>NC_000005.10:13770274-15023698 GCF_000001405.40 Homo sapiens
CATATGCATCAACCTGGCTTTTCCCTCTCAGTCACTCAGAAGGGATGGGAAGAGAAGGGCAAGAAGAGGGAAGAGGGGATGTCTGCATTCGCAACTCCCGTCCAGGTCTATTATTTCTATCCTGATGTCAATCAATATTATAGAACGCAGTAGGCCACATAAAAACCTGGCAATAATTTATCCTACTGGGCAAGGAACAGTCAATAGGCTCTAGAGGAGGGTTTCCCAACCTCAGCACCACGGACATTTGGGGCTGGATAATTCTTTGTTGTGGAGGAAAAGAACTTCAGGAAGTTTAGCAACATCCCTAAGCCTCTACCCACTACATGCCAGCAGTACCCCTTCCCTGCCCTGCCGCCACAGCTATGATACACAAAATGTCTCCGGTCATTGCAAAATAGCCACCAGGGCAAATCTGTCCCTGGTTGAGAGCCACGGCTTTAATATAGCTTTGTATAAGAACATCACACTTACCTGTTGGCCAGGGTCCGCACCTCCACATGCTTTTCTCCATATATGAACTTATAGCCCTGAATAAAGGAGAGGTATGATTTGGGCGTCACGTGGGTAGAACGTCGGAATCTCTGAAAATAATCAACACACTTCTCAGCCACCCCATCCTGGAAGGAGCCCATGCATTGGACCACCTCCTTCTTGATTTCCAAACTGCAGTCAATATCATAGGAAGTGAGGAAGTGTTCAGACACTAGAGAGAATAAAGATGACAGTGTGTGAAATATGTATGTAAGTTACCCTTTTAAAAGTTAACTGTTTATTTCTAAAACTTAGACATTTCTTAGGAATGCAAACCATTTTTGTAGCCCCAGCTAGGTAGATCTGTGTCAGCATTTTTGGCCCCAGGCCTATAACATCAACAATTTTATTTTCTGTTGTATATATAAAACTATAAAAACACTTTAAGCCTATCAACACTCTTTGTTGCCTGGTGCTTGTGCAGAGACATCTCTTCTACACAGCTGCAGGTTCTGGTCAGCAGCCAACCTGTTTTATGGTTTACATCAGGACAAATGGTACAAATAACTCAGAAATCAGTGCCCACCTGGTACTCATATTTAACAATGCCATTTATTTTGTCACTCAGAACCTATCACACCCTTAGTCCACCCTGGCTCTGACTGCATTTGGCATGTGGAAACGCTCATCACTAAATTTTTTTATGCTGGAGTCATCTTGTTCTTAAATGTGGCAGCTGGTCATTTGTGGTCAGTTCTTATTTACAGTATTCTTTTAGAATGTTTGGGTAAAAAGTCTCCTGTTGGAGACCTTTACCTTCCCCACATTGCCAAATGGGGGACCAATTCTAAGACAGCCTTCCCTGCTATGGGAATAGGCTCATCAATCACCATGTACACTGAATGCCTGTTGCGGAGCCACCACTGCGACGGGTGCCATGGAATGAAAGAGGAACGTGAAACTTGGTCTCAACCCCAAGGAATTTACAAGCATCACACAAAATACGGTTAAAATTATCACAACCATTTCTATGTATCTCAGAAGAAACAACCTATGTATATAAGTATTGTAAAGAGAAATATGGTCAATAAAATGGGAGAGAAATGAATCAAGTAAGCAAGGCTTAAAAAGGCAAAGACATACAAATAGTACTTATCACCATCAGTACCCAATCACTAAATTAAGTTCTTAAGGCTGTTATTGTGGGGCTGTATTTACATTTATGTAAATAATAGAGACAATTCATCGGCTTCATTACAAAAACAGTTTACCATATACCAAAAGGCAATAATTAAGTCACATTTTCTCATATAAGTTAGCCAACCAGTACAAAGAACGGTTTAAACTCTAAGAAGTTCAAGTCTAGGTACTGGAACCATAGAACAATTCATACTTATGATACATTTTGTGTAGGTGTTAACCACAATGGCTGCGATGTCTACCATGTGCCAGGCATGATGATCAATGCTTTACTTGGCATTATGGGATATTCTCGGGGAAGTGCCCGCTTTCTGAAATCTTCCTTGTATTTATCATGTAATGATTTTCTTTCTTCTTATCTGAACAAACAGTATCAATAATGGTGACCTTATTCTTTACGTAGCAAATTGTCCTTTTGTCTCTCCAAAAAGTCAAAGAGAATAAAATCAGGATGGATTCTAAGTATATTTTTCCACAGACCCAGGATCTCTGGTGCAGGAAAGGTTACAGAAAGAAGCAGAACACTCCCTCTTAGAGTGACCCGTGCCTGCTGAGATTCAGTCAAGAGGCCAGAAAACCCTTCTGTCATCTTCAATATCCCATCACCAAGGCAGTAATGCCAGTTTTGGGGCTACCTCCAGGGATTTTACAACATAAAGCATATTTTTCTTTAAATGATTCATCAACAGATTCAGTCCATTTAAATTCATACATATAAAAAACTCACTTTTTTTCCAAAGGTATTTAGAAGTTATTAAAATTACTACAAAATCCAGTATCAGCCCTAGGGGCTTCTTTAAATTAGAAAAACACATAATAATGTAATATTTTATTTTATTGGAAATATTTCTTATGATCTAAATGAAATGCTAACACAAACGAATGATATATTTCTTTCTAGATGCAGCTGGAGGTAATAATTTAATTCAGAATCAATATCCTTAAGGCAACTAAAATAACAGTTTTTCTAGAAACCTTGTTGCTAATTTTCTAAAAAGAATAAATAACACTGAAATCCCTAAGTGTCTAAGTACTTCTAATACTCACAGATGGTATTCTTTCAGGATAACACTAGGCAGGTTAGTATTGGGTGTGGAGACATTGATTTTCCCAACAAGATTTTCTATTTATTGAAGAAAGAAACCATGTCTTATGTCTTTTAGTTCTTTTATCCATTACTATGACTAGCATAGTATTAAACATTTATGTAGTATGCAGGCTGTAAATAGACTAAATTGGAGCTATAACCACAAAAATTACTGGTTATCAAAAGATTTAAAACGATTTAAATGTGCAGGTAAATTATGTAAAGCATAAGTGTTATAGATATAGGAGGTCCAAGAAAATGGGAAAATTTCAAATATTCCAAAGAGAACAAAGGAGGATTGAAGGATGTGATGTATCTTGATTAAGCCTTGGAGATTGAATAAATAAAAAAGATGGAGAAGAATATTCTTGGTAGAGGGACTAGTGTGAAAGGATAAGGATGATTAAAGCATGTTCAGAGGGAAAAGAGGTATATCCAAAGTTGAACTAGAGAAAGACTGCAAGTGATCAAGGCCATATTATGGAAAGATGATGAATTTCTACACAGTCTGATCCATTCATTCAACGTCATAAGTATCAAACACCAGTAGCTGCTGAAATTTGAACAAAGGATGTGTAGTTCTTGACCTCATGGGAGTTTTTAGTCTAGTAAGACATTAATTTAGTTTTTAGTCTAGTAAGCATTCATCAAATAATTAACACAATGAGGTACATAAATTACACACTGTGGTTAATCCCAAGAAGAAAAAGCACAGAGTGCTATGGAATGGATAACAGAGGACCTGGCTTGGGGGGAAACGGAGGGAAGCAAAGGAAGATTTTCCTGAAGAGATGACATTTAGCTGAGCCAGCATTATCCAGACAAAGGAGGAGTGGGTGGGGAGAAATAGGAGGAGGAGAGCATTGCATGGAACACAACTGGGGGAAAAAAAAAAGAGCATATTCAAGGATCCAGGAAAACAGAGCAGGAAAGAAAAGGGACCTCAGGAGAGCCTGGGGAGGTAGGTAGGATCAGCTCTTCCCAGCACGAAGGCCTGCTAAAGGTTGTGATTTTTCCTAAGAACAATAGGAAGACATGGAGGTTTTAAGCAGAAATAAATGCAACTGTATTTGTGTTTTTACCGTTTTTCTGTCTGCAATGTGAGATGGATGGGGGACAGGTGAAAGAGTTGAAGAGATCATTAGAAAGCTATTTGGGTTTTCCAGGTGAGCAGCAATGATAGCTTGGCCTAGGATGTCAGTGAAAGGGAGATGACTTGGTGATGGATAAGACTTGAGAGTTGGAGAAAAGGGGAGGTGTTGATGACAAAGGGGTCTCAGGTTGCCTAGTTTGATGAGCGATAATGGCCCTTCCTGAAAGGGGGAGACAATTTGAGTTTCAGACATTTTCAGTTTAAGAAACTTGTGAAGCATCCATAAGAATGGACCAGGCAGGCAGTTGAGTACACAGATTTCAAGCCAGGAGACAGACTAGACCGGAGAAAAAATTGATGGCACGTATTATAAAGGAGGCTGTGGACGAGCTTTCCTGGGGAGAGACTCTGGAGTACAGAATTCAGTCTGTCTTGTGTCTGTTGACAAGTCTGTCTTGTCTTGAGTCTGTCCAATAACATCATGAAGCTCAATATGTACGTTCCGAATAAATGAACAAATAGATTAATGCATGAAGGTTGGGATATTTGCTAGCAACTGAGGATAAAGAAAGGAAAGTTTCTCTGCCCTCCATGTAATCTTGGTTTGTGTTGGTGTGATAAGATTTAAAAGAATGGGACAATGAGAAATTAACAAAGGAGGGATCAATAAGACCTTTGTCTACAAAAGAAGAGATGACTGAAATAGGAACTTAACAAAAAGAGCTTCATATGTAAATCATCTTAATTTGGCATATTATAGTATCTGTCACCTGAAATTGTTATTTCCATTGTTAATACCTTACAGAGCATTTTATGAAGTACTTGCATATTGATAACTGTATTTCATAATAAACTTTAACATAGCTCTGAAATACTCTTGATCTGTGCTCTGCATGTATATCCTACTTGAGTTTTAAAATCTTTTTTTTAAGGTCTTTTGTTCTTTTTATTAATTTCCTTCCTTTCATCAGTGACTTTTTGTATTAAGAGCTACACTCCTTTTTGTTTTTTTTTTTTTTCAAATCTTACCTCCAGTTATATTTACATTTTTATGGGACTTTAAATTTTAAATCACTGGCCTTTTCTCAAACTTCTAAGACAAAAGGCAGAACTGTGCTGTAAATTTATATCACAAACATGTTAAAATATTCTGTGTTTAAAAGCCACAGATTGGAAAACCACTACTGTCAATAGTGAAGCGCTGAGAATAAAACTTCCCCAGTAGGTAAGAATTTGTTTTAAGAATAGGTAATTGATAGATAATCAATAAATAGATGATGGATAGATGGATGGATAGATAATAGACAGATAAAGATAGATGGATAGATAATGGATCGATGGATAGATAATTAATAGATATTTAGATAGATAATAGAGAGAGAAATACAGATAGATAGATAGACAGACAGACAGACAGACAGACAACCTAGGTTTCAGTCTCAGTACTGATCCCACTAACTTTTTCCACCTATGGCAACCCTCAACTTCATGCTCCTCAGTTTCTCCTTCTCTAAAGAGCAAGAGATGGGTTAATCAGTCATTCTCAGATGGGGTACCACAGAGCTGTAGAGGCAATGGTGAGGGCAGTAGAAGTGGGGAGTAAGAGGATGAGACTCCAGAATGCTTCCTCCGGCAACCCCCATCTACTTTTCACTGTTTTATCTACTAGGACTACTTGTAAGGTATTACTGGAAAATAAGGCTCTTCTGCATAAAACATTTTTAAAAATTTGAAAACTACTGTCCTGAATCAGGGTTCTCCTCATGTTCTGATGTAATAGGGATGAGACCTGGGTATCTGTTTCTTTTAAAATATCAACAGACAATTTCTCACCAAAAGCTTTCAAAAAAAAAAAAAAAAAGCTAAATGTACGCTCTCTAACCTCTCCTCTACTACTTTTATGTTCCAATTTCATTTGCAAAGTAAGGAAGCACTAATGGTCCATGGCATGGAAGATCAGAAAGAAGCAGAAGCAGCAAAGGGTCCAGTCAGAGACCATGCTGGTTAACATCTTTTGTCAAGGACAGAAACCAGCAGAGAATTGCTGGATGATGTTTTCCTCTTTGATTCTCAGCATTGCAGCCTTGAGAAGGAAATGTCCAAGAGATACTTGGCTTTAACCACTCTTGGGCTGACAAACCTACTTAAAAAGAACACAAATGCTGTCCATGAGATTAAACCTCTGTGCCTTCCCATGACATCCTGGAGCCTGCCTGGAGATCCAGCTGAGGCAGAGCCTTCAAGCATCCCTGAAAGAACTAGAATCCTTGAACACATGTTATGCCCTGGCATAAACATTTCCATACTAACCAGCAACTAAAGCATCTTTGGGCCATCGGCTGAACCAGTCAATTGTGCATCCTGAAATTAGGGCAGGGAACTTCAAAGCTCTGTTTCGAAATTTCTCCCCCACTGGCGAGAAGCAGAGCACAATATGAAGGTTCTGTCGGACCCGACTCATGAAGTAGTCGTGCAGGTTCTCATTGGTAGGAAGGCACCTGGGGAATTCTTTTTTCATGACTGATGCCAGGTCGCTATTAATTTCATCAATTTCATCTCGAGCAAATAGGTTAGAGACCTTAAAAAGAAGTACAGGCATGCAAATTCAGTACACACATAGGAAAATAGATCAAAATGTAGAGCTTAATACACAGAATGTCTTTTCTCCATTTGTGTTCTTGAACTCACCTACAGAAAATTGAAAGTTTTCAAGATGAAATACACTACGTTTTAAAATAAATAAATGATTCTACTATTAACTGCAAAGTTGTAGCCCCGGAAAGGAGTAAATGGACATGCCAAAAATCTAATTAGCTTTCTTTCTAACTTCGCTCTTCTGTTTTTTTCATTTGTTATTGGAACATTCACTGATGTTTTCAATGCTTAGCTCCAAATTTTGATGGAGAGTTTTATTCTTCAAAAACCCAATAGAAAAACCCATCCTTCATACTGATCACTTAATACCCATCCCCAATAGCACTTATTCACACCACTAATGGAAGAAAACATGTAGAGCTCTAAGCTGGAGGAAATCTGAAGGGATAAAACACATAAAGAATAAATGAGCTCCTACCTCACCTGATGATAAAACATTGTTCATATATTCCAAAAATGACTCATCTTTAATCTCATTGTCTGTGAAAATAAAAGTGATTCCTTTGCCTTGCTGACCAGCTGTTCGATACAAAACCTTCAGATCTTCCATCAGATTTGATGTGTTGTAGGATCTAAAGAAATATTTTCATTTTGTCATTAGCTAAAATATTTTCATGAGAGGGAAAGAACCTTGTAACAACGCATTATGCCATTTAGCTAACAAAAAAATGCTGATTTTGTTCTATCGTATACGTATGTATTCTATATGAATGTTACTGGTTAATTTTTAAAAATCCACATTTCATAAAACATTATAATTAATTAATGTTTCTACATAAAAAACTATACTGAAAAGTCAACCTGGAACAAAAATAGAATTTTTATCACAACCAAATGTCATTACATTTCAAAATGTATCTTTCTCAAAATTTTTTGACAATGATAAAAGTCAAATTCAATTATTGATATTTGATTGGCAATTGGTATTTGAGATGACAACTCATAAATTAAACTAAAATAAATAAATGCAAACTTTGGTTATACAGGGTGAGTGAGATGCCCTGTTATAAACAGTGCCTGCCTCATCCCCCAACACCGTTATCATCATTGCATGTTTGTATTATACATAAATAAACTTGTTTTCTGAGCAATCAGTACACTGTACTAGACTACCTGGAAACGTTGTGAAATATCCCAGTCTGAAGGTTCTCTAATTACCCAAAGCAATCTTTAGGTGGAAGTGAACCTACAATCAGGAAATATTAGAGAGTTCCCACTGTGGAGTGCTACATTATGCCAAAAGTATAAATAAAATTATCCCAATTCTGGAGACTCAGACTTACTAAATTATTATTTGTACTTTAGTCATGAAATAAACTCAGAATTCAGGGTGCAAGAGAAAAGAGCCATCTGATTTTTTAAAAACTAGTGAATATTTAACTCTACCTTTTTCTAACTTCTGTAACCTACACCCTAGAATTGGAAATATCACAACTATGCATCAATACTTCTAGAAGACACCTAAAGAAGTGAGATCCAAGAGATCAGAAAACAAATACTTCTAAAAGACACCTAGAGAAGTGAGATCTGAGAGATCAGAAAACAAATACTTCTAGAAGACACCTAAAGAAGTGAGATCCGAGAGATCAGAAAACAAATACTTCTAGAAGACACCTAGAGAAGTGAGATCCGAGAGATCAGAAAACAATTAGAAGATGCAGCCTCTAGAAAGAACGAAAGAGAGAAGGAAGGAAAGAAGGAAGGAAGGAAGGAAGGGAGGGAGGGAGGGAGGGGAGAGAAAGTGAGAGAGAGAGAGAAGAAAGAAAGAAAGAAAGAAAGAAAGAAAGAAAGAAAGAAAGAAAGAAAGAAAGAAAGAGAGAGAGAAAGAAAAAGAAAGAAAGAAAAGAGGAAAACATCTCACCCAGCTTCTTGTGATATGGGGGAAATTTTCAACCCGATCTCTTGGATCTCAAGGGCCCATTGCCTCAAATAATATGGCCTAAGACACCAACAAATAGTTGTGGTTCCCAAATGAGAGTCTCTTGCATCTCAGCCTTAGCCACATGGCTATACAAAGCCTTTAGAAGTTTGATAACATCTTGAAAGCTATGAAAAGGAAAGAAAGACCCTGGCCCTTCGTCTCATCAGTAATGGATCATTCCCAGTATGACATGCAGAGGAACTAGTCTGCCACAGTGAGAGTGGTGGTTGGGTATACTGGATGTGGCACTGTGGTGCAGTAAAAGTCACACAAGACTAGAAACCAGAAATCCTACAATCAATTCCCAGATAGATCAGAGATGTTGGGCAAGCCATAGCCTCTCTGAGCTTCAGCTGCAAGATGGGCTACTGCTATCTGTCCTACTAACTCACGAGGTTTTTTTGAAGATCAAATTAGCTCATGCATGTAAAAGTGCTTTGAAAACTACAAGGTTTTATACAAATGTTAGGAACAAAAATTTGAGTCCAATCCCTTTCCTGTGCAGGTTGCCTTTTATGTAGCTTGATTTCTAACCAAAAACTAGAAGAATCATATGCAAGGTAACTAGAATTATTTCTCTCTGTCCCAGTACTTGAATAAAACAGTAATCTTTGGATTTATTCTCCAAGAAGAACCCTATAGGTCAGACAAAACACAAAGTGTAACAACAGCTTAAATATTTGAATCTCCAAACCCAATGCTTAGTAACTTTCAGCCTTCATCCTAGCAGGTATCTATGGGCCTCCCTCAATGAGACAGGTCAGCAGCATGTTCTGCTTATCAGTGCCTGACTTCTTGCTCCTACACCTAGAAATTAACGTCAAATGATTTTCAGCCCAACCTAACTTCCCAAACTGGTCTCCTGGTTCTAACCTTATCTTGGTTAATCCTGAAATTCTGTTTCACCTCTCCAAATCACCTCTGTTTATTTCTTCATGTTCACTTTTCATGTGCTAATTATGCTTTCTCCCTGCACTACACCCACATCTGTGGTCAACTCCCCTGGGGTTCCTTGTCTTGATAAGAAGCAGCACCATCTAGATAGTTTCCCAAGCCAGAAACCAGGATGCACCAAGCCCTGAAGCTCCAACTTCCTGATGATCTTTTCCATTTCCACTCTCTATTCTCCATTCTCACTGCTGCCACTCATGACAGCATCATGGCTTGCCCAGACCCCTGAGACAGCCTTATAACTATTCTATTTTAGTTCCTTCTATTTTCTGTACATAAAATGTACCTGACATGTCCTCCCTAGGAGCAACTCATCAATGGTTTCCTATTGCTCTGGGATGAAGTCTGACTTTTTATCATCACTTTAAAGGCCTCCATTTCTCTTCCATTCCCACTTGTCACCCTACACTGTACACTCTGCAGTATTTAACTTCTTCCAGGACTGACTTTACCTGTGCTGATTCTTCTGCCTTGAACACACTTAACTGCTCTTCTGCTCTCAGTCTTCCTCATATTGAGGTTTCAGTTTAATCACTTTCTCCAGGAAGTCTTTTCTAATCATCCCTTAGACTAGGTTAGGAGCTCCTCCCTCAAGCTTCAATAGGATTTGGTCTGCATGTATTTCCTTATCATAGGTGGTGCCTATGAATCACACCTTACTGGGTGAGTTGGGTTGCTTAGTTGTCTGTCCCTTTGAGTTGCTACAAAATCCCTGATGATACGGCTAGATTCACCTTGCTCACCTAGCCACAGCTTGACACATAGGCAGTGTTCAATAACTATTCTGAAATGTTGGAATGAGTAAACCAATATAAAATCTTCATCTATTTTTCCATTGTATTAACATCCTTGAAATCTGAATTAACACTCAACAGGGACAATTGTCTTCTGAAATTCACCAAAAGTAGTGCATGTAATACACTATCATATATAACATAAAAGTAGGGAGGTGGCTACTAAGTGAGAGTTTGAAATATTTCAAAAGCAAATTATGACTGTGAAATGTTTATGATCTATGACAAAGGTTGACAGGGGAAGATGATAAGTCAACATTCAAGAAGGAAAATGACTGTGACTCTTTATATGTAAGAGAAATGCATTTGAACTTCAGGTGGCCTCTGAGCACCTTTTATCAAAATCCATGTTAGGTTTGTTAAAGTAAAAGGTTGTCACCTCGTCAGAGTGATCTGGAAGGAAACGTAGCCAGCAATGAATGAAGCCAACCTCGTCAGGCTCTGCTTTCCTGATCCGCCCACCCCGACCAGGAGGGCATTTCCCTGAGGAGTACGAATGACACGAGAGATCTGTAATATGGAACAGAAAAAGTATGTATCTTTCAACATGTAAATGTTCTATTTTTCCTATTTATTCAATATATGAATAAGGCCTAATTATTATTTTGGAAGATATAGGTGTCTCAAGATCAGACTGGAGACACACTGGTTGAAGGAATGAGGGCATTTCTGAAATAGAACAGTGTTGGGCTGCATCAGACGGGGTGGGAACCGTGGGGTGTGCCTTTAGGAAGTAGGAGGACACCAGGGCAGAAAAGTCAACACACAGCCGAGACCGTGCTTGCTCTGGCTTTTAAAGGAGATATCTATCTAAAGGGGACTTTGAGGATTCCTGTTAGTTGGTCTGACCTAATAGTGTATGACAGGAAGGAGAACAGAAATGTCAGAACAATGTCTACCCTTGGCATACAGGGCATCGTCGTTGATGAGAATATCCTCCACATTTGAAAAGTGTTCAAATTTAAATTGAAGGGAAGAAAAACCCCCAAAATGAGGTGATATGGTTTGGCTGTGTCTCAACTCAAATCTGATCTTGAATTGTACTCCCATAATTCCCACATGTTGTGGTGGGGACCTGGTGGGAGATAATTGAATCAAGGTGGCGGCTTCCCCACAGTGTTCCTGTGGTAGTGACTAAGTCTCATGAGATCTGATGGTTTTATCAGGGGTTTTCGCTTTTGCATCTTCCTCATTTTTTGTCTTGCCGCCGCCATGTAAGAAGTGCCTTTCGCCTCCCACCGTGATTCTGAGGCCTCTTCAGCCATGTGGAACTATAAGTCCAATTAAACCTTTTCCTTCCCAGTCTTGGGTATGTCTTTATCAGCAGCATGAAAACGAACTAATACATATGGTATAGATGTTGGAATTTTAAAAAGAAAGAAAATGAGCATAAACACCCTCCTATTACTTGGCAAAGACAGTGATACCTAAGGTATCTACCAATAAGTGATTATAGATGGGTCAGGGGGGCCACTTCACACTGTTCAATAGCCCAAGACTATTCCACAGCCCCCTTGTGGCAGAAGTCCATGTTTATTTGGCTTTATTGGTGTTGAATGGACTAGTTACACCATCAGTCTTCCAAACCTACCTAGGAGAGATGGGAATAAAATTCCCCTTGATGTTCTTTATACCTTATGCAAGAACTGTTTCTCTTTCCCTCCTAACTGCATTTTGAGCCTAGGGGTATCACTGCGATGTCCATCTTTCTTAGAAGAATGATAGAGGCTGGGCAGGGACTGGAAGGGGTCACTTCTCCACAGCCAGGGAAGCTTCCTGAAGTCACTGGGGCTCTGCATTCTGCCAAGTTTTTGTTAAACATCCTTTCTCAGAATTCCCTCACTAGCTGCAGTGCATTCTATTCCTGTTGAAAATATGCCTGGTTTTGAATTACTTTCCCCAGTTTAGTGTGAACCTGGGGAAAAGGAGAACATATTTTCCATCTCTATGTGGACCTGAGAACCTGCAGGACTGGTAGGTGCATATGCCCTGTTTTTCCAGCCTCCTGCTTGTCCCCTCTATGTGGTTCTCGCCAAAGTCATTGTGGGTGGAGGTGGTCACACATGCCTCTTCAGATCTTCCCCTGACACAGCTTCAAGAGGCACAGACGGTGGGTAAGAAGCTACTGGAAGCCACACTAGAACATTCTGTGTCTTTCCTTGGTTGCCACTTTTCAACCATCATCATTTCCTTTGATGTAGGTGGATATATCAAGATGTTGTTAATTAGGTATTAAGGAATCCTCATCCCAAAACCTTTACTTGGAACTGGGCCAAGGTCTTACATTAAAACACATGGTAAACCCTCAAAACATATCTGACAAAGGAACAGATACATGAACAGAGAAGGCTTGCAAAGCAGACTCAAAACCTCATAATCTAGTTAAATCCAGTGAGACCCTCAAATAGGGCTATTTTGTCCTGTTATATACAGATTGTGAGGTGGAGGTATGCGTTTTTAATTTCATCAGCAAGTACTCAAAAATGAATAATGTCCACCCTGCCCCTCAGGAGCTCACGCTGGAACAGGGGACAGAGGCTGGGGTCATGAGCCATGGTGAGCACTGGCACAGAGACAGGAGTGATGGCAACCAGAGAAAAGAATGCTGGGGAAACATCCCCGCCTGGGTGAGGTATGTCTTAGGTGCAGAGCTGGACTTAGACTTGGATGACTAGAAGTACATCACACAAAGAAGGTGGTATGCCAGGCATGAGCTGAGCTACCTTTAAAGAAGGAGTGAGACACACAGTATCTCAGAATTAGCAAAAGGCCTGAAGTGCCCCCTGGGGTGAGAACTTCAGTATGAGGTATGGAAATATCAGGATATAAGGCAGCAAAGGATTGTTTAGGGCTTATTTGGGGGACTTGATTAAATTCCAGACAATGTATCCAGATTCTCTGTGTGGTTCTCAGCAGTGGTCCATCCTGTCAAGACTGAGGTCACTAAGACGGGAACCCACCCTCCTAGAGCCTAGTCTTCTGATAGGGAGACAAACACACAGATAAACTTTCCACAAGGTAGTATATGGGTGGGGAATACACATGGGGGAGGCGCTCCAGGATCATGATTTGTTTACCCATAAGCAGCCCGTTGTTCTGGATCACACACCAGGCAGAGCATGACTCGGGAGGCTGGCTGGTAAGCAGGAACTAGATCATGCAAAACCATATACACCATGGTTTGAACTTTCACCAAAGAGACAAAAGAGGTATCACACAGATACACTGTACTGAAAGAAAATTGAGTTTCTAACTAAGAAAGGAACTAAGAAATAGGCTTGGTCTCATATCATATCCTGTTTTGCTGCAGTTTTTGTCTGCAGTTCTTACTCTTGGCTTCTATCGTGCCTTGTAACTAGGCCACGTATTTCAAGGCTCACAGCAGCATGACACAGAGCGTGGAAGCGCTGTGCACAGAAAATGAGAGAAGACAGGGCCAGCCGGGAAGTGGAGAGGAATGCAACATTTTAGCTCAAAAACTCTAGTCACGGATTCTTCAGCCAATTCCAGAGCAGACAGACAAGAGGCAGAGAGTGAGAGAAAACACCAGCGAGGCCCCAGCACCGAGGCATTCACACCTCCAACATCACACCCAAAGTGTTTCAAGAAAGCCTCCTCACTCATCATCTGGGCTGCGAATCATGGAGAAAACGGCAGTTCTAGTGAACTTGCTCAAGCACGACACTTAACATAAATAACTGCATCTTCAACTTGAGCTATGAAATCCCAGGTCATTCAGATTCTGTCTCCAGCAGGCAGGCTATTTGTCATGAAATTGCCTTTGGTAATACTCATTTGGAAAATATATTTTCCTTTCCTTTTTCTTCCTTTTAATTATTAAAAATGACAGAATGTTTATTCTTCCTGAAACAACTCTTAATCAACTATAAATTAAGAGCGAATTTCAAAATGTTATTTATAGTTGGCTTTGGAAGAATATTTGAGCTCATAATTCGGTACAGATGCCTCAGATTCTGAGAATCCACAGAGTTGCCAAGCCAAGTGCCCTCGTGCTGGGGAGACCCAACTCCTGAGCAGCCTCTCTGTCTTCCTCCCTCTCTCTGACTTACTCCAGCCTTGCAGAAATGCTTTTCTTTCTTGCAGGGAAAAGGAGCAGGTAATCCCTATTTTCAGAGGAATGGTTGACTAGATAACCTCTAAAACCCCCTCCGTTTGTAGATTCAGTAATTTTTAGAGGTGACAATTTGTAATTGTGCAGTGGTTCCTCACGGTGGAACCTAAATCATGGAAGACAGTGTCGAATCATTTTCTTTCTAACTAAAAGGATGTAGTCCGGAAAAGTAGTTGATATCAACTAAGTGAGAATATCAACAATGGATTTTTACATGGCATTTTCTTGCACTGTAGATAAATTAAGTCACATAAGTTTTCAAATAAAATAATATATTCTACTTCCAACCTTTGAGGATCAACTGTCCTAAAAATGGATACGGTAATGACTCATATCAGCAGTCCCTAACCTTTTTGGCACCAGGGACCAGTATTGTGGAAGACAATTTTTCCACGGATGGGACGGGGCTGAGTGATGGTTTTGGAATGATTCAAGCGCATTACATTTATTGTGCACTTGATTTCTATTATTATTACATTGTAATATACTATGAAATAATTATATAGCTCGCCATAATGTAGAATCAGTGGGTGCCCTGAGCTTGTCTTCCTACAACTAGATGGTCCCATCTGAGGGTGATGGGAGACAGTGACAGATCATCAGGCATTCCATTCTCATAAGGAGCGTGCAACTAGATCCTTCACATGAGCATTCACAACAGGGTTCGGGCTCCTATGAAAATCTAATGCCACTGGAGGCAGAACTTGGCTTTGCATGTTCACCTGCTGCTCACCTCCTGCTGTGCAGCCCTGCTCCTAACAGGCCACAGACACATACTGGTCTGCGGCCCCGGGGCTGGGAACCCCTTCTCATATGACAAACTAGAATAGAAATTATACTTTCATGGTGGATTTCATTCTAACAGAATTTTCATCTCAAAGTCAACTGTTTATACACTATTTTTAAATTATTGTTTCTAATCATGGTAAAATACACATAATCTAAAATTTACCACTGTAACCACTAAGTATATTGTTCAATATCATTAAGTACATTTACATTGTTGTGCAACTATCAGCACCACTGATCTCCACAATGCTTTTCATCTTGCAAAACTAAAACTCTGTACCCATTTAACACTAACTCCCCAATCGTCTCTCCACCCAACCCTGGAATTCTCCATTCTACTTTTTGTCTCTGATTTTGGCTACACTGGGGATTTATATGAGTAGAATTATACAGTATTTACCCTTCTGAGTCTGGCTTACTCCACATAACATAATGTCCTCAAGGCTTATGTACTATTTTTTTATAGGATATTCTTTGCATGATACAAAAAGATGTAGACTTTGCCTGTGCTCTGAACTCAGATGTCAACCATATTCATCCTCCGTGGTGAAAGCACTGAGCTGGAAGCCATATAGAAACACTGAATAAAATTATCACATCACACATTTAAAGTACACAGGCTCTTATTTCAAGTCTATAAGGTGCGACATGTTGCATTCAGCTTAGAAATTAAATTGGAATATAGCATGGAGTCTAATTTTAAACTGAAGATTCTCCTAGGAAATGAAAATAAGAGAGGGAGAGGACCATGGTGTGAAGCCAAATGTCTGTCACCTCCACAAGGCACTACTCAGAGTGGCTACTGTACCTTGACTAAGTGAACCATGGCATCTGCAAAGAACACCATGTCCATGCCGGCGCCACGGATGCTCTCATTATAGAGCTGCAGGAACATATTCAGACGCTCTTTTAGGTGACTAAAAGATTCAATTGGCTCATAAATTTTAGGTGTTTCAGCATCAGCCTCTTCAGATGTTTCACCTTTGGTGGGAAATAAGAATCAGTTAAGTTTCTGCAAATACCTGCATTTTACTTCAATCTAAATTAATACACTCAAAGCTCTACAACCTAACACTGAATAACATTCATTTTAAGCTAAATGCCATAGTGTGTATTTTGCAAAAACAGAAGACAACAATAGAAGCGTTAGGATTTTTGTGATCATATGCAGTCTTTGTTGTTTCCTATCCAGCAAGAGTCAATTTCAAATAATATTATCGTCATTGAATTGAATTTGAACCCACAACTGATTATTGGCATTTCAAAGGTCCTCCCAGATATATTAGCTTAATGGTCAAGTGCTGAATGTCAGAATCAGCAAGGGAGGTCAAGAATTACAAAACTGTTTGATAAGAATAAAAAGAAAAAGGTTATTGCATTTACTCAGGAAATTTTTATAATTCATGAATCTCAGGTCAGTGGTAAAAATAGAAGTGAATTAGAATATGGGGTGGAGGGTTGAGAGAAATAGAAAAATAATTTCCAAAATGAATAAGCATATTCGATTATTTCACTAGGGCAAGATGTATTAAAATCAATATACTTTTTTAAAAAATTAGAAACATATAATATACCAGCTTAACACTTTTCCAGTGTTAACTACAAAGCAGAGGCCAAGGTGGGCAGATCACTTGAGGTCAGGAGTTCAAGACCAGCCTGACCAACATGGTGAAACCCCATCTCTACTAAAATTACAGAAATTAGCTAGGCCTGGTGGTGTATGCCTGTAGTCCCAGCTACTCGGGAGGCTGAGGCAGGAGAATCGTCAGGAGGCCGAGGTTGCCATAAGCCAAGCCTGCATCCAGCCTGGGAAACAGAGCGAGACTCTGTTTCAAAAAAAAAAAAAAGGATAATGCCCAAGAAAAAGCTAAATTGGGCACCTATAAATTCACAATCAATTAACATTAGTAATAGGGAAAAAAGGGACACATTAGTTGAATATACCAATAACGACTTAGAATTTCACTGGGTACGAGAAGAATGAGTGGGTCTTTCTAACCTTATAGTACATAATTATTTTCAATTGACTGTGTCCTAACATAATAGTATGTTAATCTTTTTATAACAAATGAGATTGGTTTAACACAATCATGAAGATTGACCTATCTGCAAAGCTCTCACTAATCAAATTCCAGTAGTCACAATTCTCATAAATGCCCAAATCAAGCTTTGAGAAATAGTGTTTCAATGACACAAAAGGTTATGCATTTGTCTCTAGACCCTCCCCCGGCCCCCAAAATGCAGCAGTTGTGCTTTGGTCCTTGAAAATCATAATCTGATTATTTATCCTTCTGAATTACAGGGAATAAATTACATACATTTTAATTACCTTGTAAGATGCCCTTACTCTTACAGGATTTTTGTATGTGTTTGACCTGATTAAAATAAAATGTGTCAGCTTCTTTCTGCAGAAGGATCATTCCAATTGCATCTCCAGAAATAAACATTATTTTGCAATTGTCACTCAGAAACTTTTGATAGTTCACATTTACAGTTATCAAATCTAGAGAAGCACTGCCTAGTCATTTCCAATCATTTTCAAGATATACTTAGCATGTTTTTAAACATGCTTTTAAAAATCTGCAAATTAACTTAAAATCCATCCTCAGTATTAGAAGAGGTTAAATGAAAGAAAAATATTTTTAACTAAGCCTAGTTACTTCTGAGGGGAAAAAAAGTGGAGCACTGCCTCTTTTCATAAGAAAAGTCATATATCTCAATTTCCCCTGGAACCATAATCACAAAAGCTTGCCCCACATCAGCCATCTCATTCCAATTACATTTAATGACCCTCTCATACAATTGGAAGTTTTCCTTTTTATTTTCAACATTCAGGATGACCTGAATAATAATAAGTATCATTATATTTGCTGCCTTTCATTTAGCAGTGACTACAGGCCATAGACTGCCCAAGCCATTCTACAGATAACATTTCATGGACTCCCCACGGTGCATGTGATGCACATAGTAATACTTTCATTTTTATGAATGAGGTTCAAGAGAGTGCCGAGATGCCCAGCTAACTAATGTGTGGTGGATTCCTTCCTCAAACTCACCTCTGTCTGCCAGACTGCAAGTCCTGTGCACTCTCTCCTACCGAATCCTGCCCCCCAACTCTACTTTAATATCCAAGCGTGATATGCATAAACTAGTTCGTCTTTAAACTCCATGATAATGCATTAATTCACTCATCCTAGTTTTATTGAGCATCTACTGTGTCTCAGGCTTGTATCAATAAAGTTTACTAGAAAGAAACTCAACATCCATAAACTGAATCTTCTGTCTTCAGATTTCCCTTTAGGGAACACCTTTTGGGGAATTCCAAATTCCACTTCAATAGTTTACCTGCAGCTTCAGGTGCATCTCTCAAGAAATCCACAAAATATGTGTCAATTCCACAATCCACCAAGAGTTTTTTCTCTTCACCAAACTCCTCCTCTACCAAACTTACTAAAGCCTTATCAAACCAGGTCACATCACTGGACACTGTGAAACGGTCAGCTATAACACGTTTACACTCATGCTTCCACAGCTTTAACAGATCCTGTTGAAAGTATAATTAAAATGTGTTAGTAATTCCTGTTATGCCGTAATTGGGAATTCAGGTTGACAGTACTGTAGAGTATTATCCTTCCTGATTTAAGATTCAACATTTTAAAAAGTTAGGGTTCAAATATGCTCAACTTCACTTCAAATTGTCCTCATTCAAGTATATTAAATAGAAAGTAGTCTATTTATTTGCAGTCTCTGAAGTAAGAAGAAAAAATCCTCCAACAATAATATTGAAAATTGCTCTGACCAATCAACAAACTAATATTCTACGTAAAAGTCTTCAGTTTGTAATAAATTAGTCTTTTTAATAAGACATCTATATTCATGTGGCCAGAGTATAACATAAGATACAGAATATGAACAACTCTCATGTATACAACTGAAAAATTACAAAGGTGTATTCACTTAACACAAAGTGAATAAAATTTGTGGCAAAAACTGGATTATCTGAACAAAAAAAAGCAAGCACCTAATCCAGATAATCCAAGGTCCAAGGTTAACTGAAAGTTGAGGAAATTAATTGCTCAATACTCCTGTTTATATAGCAAGAATAACAAATGTATGTAAGCAAGAATAACAAATGTATGTGTAAGCTTATTATTTGATATGAAAGACTGGTGGAAATTTCTTAGCTTCGTAACATTTTTCAGGTTACAGATTTTTAAGCCATTGCATTACTAATGATAGAATGCTATCTGGTTGCCTGAATATAAAAGGAGTTGAATGAAGTATATTCAATGATTCAGTTAAGACAAAAGTTTATGATAACATCAATTGCTGGAATTGTTTGTGCTGATTTAAAATAAGCATCAAAAATGGCTATTTCAATAGTAATCTTTGAAAACTGACTTCAACAATTCCATTGACTTGTAAATAACTTTGAGGGAAAAAAATCAAGTTAAAATATTCACGCCGCTAAACTGACTCTCACTTCTCTGCAGGAAGGAAAGTGAGTTTTCCCCAAAATATCATTAACAGACACTTCTCAAAAGAAGACATACATGTGGCCAAGAAACATATGAAAAGAAGCTCAACATCACTCATCATTAGAGAAATGCAAATCAAAACTGCAATGAGATACAATATCACATCAGTCAGAAAGGCTATTATTAAAAAGTCAAAAATAACAGATGCTGGCAAGGTTGCAGAGAAAAGAGAACACATATATGCTATTGGTGGGAGTGTAAATTAGTTCAAGCATTGTGGAATGCACTATGGTGATTCCTCAAAGAGCTAAAAGCAGAACTACCATTTGACCCAGAAATCCCATTACAGGGTATATATACCCAGAGGAATATAAATCATTCTACTATGCACATGCACGTGAATGTTCATTGCAGCACTATTCACAATAGCAAAGACACAGAATCAACCTAAATGCTCATCAGTGGCAGATTGGATAAAGAAAATGTGTGACCTATACACCATGGAATACTATGCAGCCATAAAAAAGAATGAGATCATGTCTTTCATGGGAACATGGATGGAGCTGGAGGCCATTATCCTTAGCAAACTAATGCAGGAATAGAAAACCAAATACTGCATGATATGTCCCCACCCAAATCTCATCTGGAATTGTAATCCTCATAATCCCCACATGTCAAGGGAGAGACCACAAGGAGGTAATTGAATCATAGGGGCTGTTTCCCCCATGGTGTTCTCCTGATAGTGAGTGAGTTCTCACAAGATCTTATGGTTTTATAAGAGGCTCTTCCCCTTTTGCTCCACACTTCTCCTTCTTGCTATCTTGTGAAGAAGGTGCCTTGCTTCCTCTTCGTTTTCCACCATGATTGTTAAGTTTCCTGAGGCCTCCCCAGACATGCTGAACTGTGAGTCAATTAAACCTCTTTTCTTAATAAATTACCCAGTCTCCAGCAGTTTTTATACCAGTATGAAAACGGACTAATACACCACATGTTCTCACTTATAAGTGGGAGCTAAATGATGAGAACTCATGAACACAAAGACAGAAATGGCAGACACTGGGGTCTACCTGAGGGTGGAAGGTGAGAGGAGAGAGAGGAGCAGAAAAGATAACTATTGGGTACTGGGATTAATACCTGGGTGATGAAATAATCTGTACAATAAGCCCCCATGAAACATGTTTACCTATGGAACAAACCTTCACGTGTACCCCCAAACCTAAAATAAAAGTTAAAAATAAATCAACAAATAATTTTTTAAAAAAAAAAGAATCGGCAAGTTTGGTTACCTATATTGCAAGCATCTGGACAGAGGTGAGTTTTTTTAGTAATCAACACTTGTGCTTAATGAACAGTTTTGTTGATAATTTAACTGTCTCTGTGTGTTTATATGGAGAAGTCCCCTAAAACCCATTTGCTTAATTACTTCTTTAGCTCTAGAAAGGCTTAAACAGAGGCCAACCCTGTCTTAGCCTGGGCACATAGGCTACGCTTTGGAACAAAAGCATACTGGATTTTCACATAGCATTCTTAGTTTGAGGGAAATTCTTATAACACTGGGAAATGTCATATTCAAGTGTGTGTACAAATGATCATTTTTCTATTAAATGAACTTCGTAAGCTGCTGCCTCTCCTCAACTTTACCAATGTACGTAAATCTTTTAGTGCATCCAGTTACATGGAAAAGAAAAATCATAGATGATTATCAACAAAATGGGTTTTTTAATTTTGAATATTTATTATAAAGATAATTACTTTTTAAGTTAAAGTGTCAAGCTTAAAATATGAAGACTATTATATAGTAAAATCCATAGCGATTGTTTCCATTATTTAGTATAAGAAACATATCTTCTTCTCATACTAGAACTGGGAAAATAAATCAATTGTTTCTTTTATTCTTTTCATTAAAAAATAATTGTGTATATGATGTTCTTAAAACACAAACCTAATTTAATTGGAATTTATCATTGACTGACATTTTCTGACATAATTTATTTCATTATGTTAGTTTAAAAGCAGTAAAGAATACCCATGCTGAAACATTCCAAAATATGTTCACAGTTCAAGTAAAAAATAAATCAATAAAAATATTTAGAATATATCATTAATAGCAATGTTATTTGTTTTTCTTTCTTCAGTGTCACTTACATTTGGTTCCTTGATGACCTCTGAAGTAGTGTTCAGCATTCCCTGCCAGACCCGAGAAAGATCTCGTAGGTTAAACACATAATGGAATTTTGCAGGGGTAGGAAGCATTTTAATCTTGGTCATCTGCCATAGTCGGCGTGTCAGAGGCACCAATTTTGTCACAGAATCTCTCACTTCTTCTGAGAAACCCCTCTGAGTACAGTAGTGGCCTACCCCAATCACACCTGAAAAGGGGGAAATTACAGCATTTTGATTAGCCATTCAAAGAAATTAAATGAAAATGAAAAGCATTATAGCATAGGGTTTGCAAAAATGTCATTATACATTTTAATAGATAATCACATATAAAAGAAAAGTATGTTAATGTTCTCTTGTTTTTTCAAATACAGTATAACAAAAAATAGATACAAGTTTAAGAAAATAAGTTCAAAACACTGAAAAACTGATTAAGAAATACTGCCGAAGACTCTGGTTGCACCACTTCAATATTATTAAATGGGTAACAATGATAAATGCATGAAGTTACCTTATAATAAGATAAGAAAAAAGTTTTTATAAGTCCTCTAAGGTTTCTAGTTTCTGTCATTGCCTTTCCACGCATTATAAAATACTTTCATTTACTTTTTATGTAAAATTTTCCAGGCAATAAGGAATAATTAAAAATGATAACAGTCATTTTTTTCTGGTCCATGTTTCTTTTCCCAAGCTTAGATAATTCCAATGTCTGTTGGTTTCCAGACCTTGCTCACTGCTGTGACTGAAGGGAGATTACTGCCATACTTCACTAGCCTGGGGCACCCAGATGACATTTTCGTTTGCCAGAAATTAATTAGGGTAATCCTGATGAGCTTTTTCTCAATAGCAGCGTCAGAAATTGTAAACTAAATACTTAACATAAATGTGTTCAAACCTTTATGCTCTTTTCTGCACAAATAAGTCACAAGTGCATAATCATTACTCGGGTAGGCATATATGCTTACTTATTTGGCTAGTGATTGTTCGACTAAATTATCTATGAAATACTACATATTTAATCAATAACTTATTAGAATCCAGTAAATTACTCTGAATTTCAGACCGTGTCCAATCTGCGCTCTGGGTGCCATTATTTCTTTGGCCAAAATCATTCTATGGGTTGGTTAAAGTATAAGCTACATAAACTTTCGACATGGAACATAGCAATCCAGACCTCAAAACTATGTGCCCATGAGGAAACAACCTCATGTATGGGGAAACAATTTCATTTCCATGTTCATTTAATGTTAAACCTCCTTGCTTAAGAAGTTAGAAACAGTTAAAGAAAACCATAAATGGAAAAGCTCTACCAAGTCATCCAAATCAGGAAACACCTAGAATCAATCCCTATAGGAAATGAAATACACTGCTTGAGAGTGATGGAGGCTGTAGACCAAGGAGCCACCCAGTGCTCTTTCTGTGTGGGTCTTGGGTGAAGATTTTCAAAAAGGAACCCAAGCAGGTGTTCTTCCTCACCCTCCCACCCCACATCCTCTTGATCTTTACCAAAGATCTTGTCCACAGAAGCTTCAGAGGGCAACGTGCAATTAAATATAGAGAACTGCCTCTTGAGTCTTTGGGGTATGTCATTGCGTCCACCACCAGGATGGATCATGGCTGCCAAAAACTGGATGTCCACGATGCTGGTGAACTCCCCAGGCTTCTCTAGATTATAGAATCCATTTTGTTCCATCAGCTGTCGCACTATCTCATTCGTAACCTACAAAAGACAACTTTCAGAATTAAAGCATCATTCCTTTCTATCCCCGGAGCCTAACTCCTTGAGTGTTTCCAAAGAAAGAACTTTACTGGAATTCAGAAATTATATCTTGAAAAAGTAAAAACTTAAAAAAAATTTTTAAAAACTCTTCTAAGAATAAATCAATACCAAATTAAAGAAATAAAATGCACAATAGAATGATGATACCTGATCTCCCCACTCATTGATTATTGGCATATTCACATCATCAATAAAAACAGTCATCTTCTTTCCCGCAGGAGGGCCATATGTTGTACCCATTCGTTTATCCACATAGCTCTCTATCGTCCTCTGTGAAAAAAAAATCAACTGAAACATCTGTGAAAATATCCCCTAAAACCTGGTCAATTATTTTAAAAAACAACAAAAACTGGTAACCTTTGAACTGATATGAATTATTTCTAAAAAGCCAAATTTCCCCCTTAATTCTAACAAATTCTAAAGTACCTAAATTATCTTGTATAACATTCACAAAATTTGAAAATCCAGTTTAATTTAGAAGGAAATGAAATTCTAACCAATGTGAATTTGAATGGGATGAGACTCGTCTGTCCATTTCTAAAAATTTACTTTTGTCTTCTTCTGTTGGTGACACTATGTTCCCCATTATTCAAAGTCTTGCTAATAGTTTCCCTATAACCAGCAACAAAGTTAAACAAGGCTACTGTGTGAGAAGCTTCTGAGGTCTGCACTCCGAGCTGCACAGCCCATCATGGTCTGAAGGCTGAAACTGACTGCTGTCACCTGGCACAGCTCATACCCACTCTTTTGGGCAGATGCAGTTACACGGATTCAATTCTCATTCCCTGACACAGAGTGAACAAAGCTCACTTATGTCTTCTCTCTCATTTTTACATTCTGAGCTTAGGCAGTGCAAGAGAAGACCACGCTGCACTCTGTAAAAAACCTTCCTTGAGGCCGGGCACGGTGGCTGATGCCTGTAATCCCAGCACTTTGGGAGGCAGAGGCGGGCAGATCACGAGGTCAGGAGATCGAGACCATCCTGGCTAACACGGTGAAACCCTGTCTCTACTAAAAATACAAAAAAAATTAGCCGGGTGTGGTGGCAGATGCCTGTAGTCCCAGCTATTCGGGAGGCTGAGGCAGGACAATGGTGTGAACCCGGGAGGCAGAGCTTGCAGTGAGCCAAGATAACGCCACTGCACTCCAGCCTGGGCGACAGAGCGAGACTCCGTCTCAAAATAAATAAATAAATAAATAAACCTTCATTGCAGTACACAAAAAGATATTAAAACTGAAAGAACTGGGACACATTTAAAGCAGCGTGTAGAGGGAAATTTATAGCACTAAACACCCACAAGAGAAAGCAGGAAAGATCCAAAATTGACACCCTAACATCACAACTAAAAGAACTAGAAAAGCAAGAGCAAACAAATTCAAAAGCTAGCAGAAGGCAAGAAATAACTAAGATCAGAGCACAACTGAAAGAGACAGACACACAAAAAACCCTTCAGAAATCAATGAATCTAGGAGCTGGTTTTTTGAAAAGATCAACAAAATTGATAGACGGCTAGCAAGATTAATAAAGAAGAAAAGAGAGAAAAATCAAATAGATGCAATAAAAAATGATAAAGGGGATATCACCACCGATCCCACAGAAATAAAAACTACCATCAGAGAATACTATAAACACCTCTACACAAATAAACTAGAAAATCTAGAAGAAATGGATAAATTCCTGGACACATACACCCTCCCAAGACTAAACCAGGAAGAAGCTGAATCTCTGAATAGACCAATAACAGGCTCTGCAATTGAGGCAATAATTAATAGCCTACCAACCAAAAAAAGTCCAGGACCAGACGGATTCACAGCCAAATTCTACCAGAGGTACGAAGAGGAGCTGTTACCATTCTTTCTGAAACTATTCCAATCAATAGAAAAAGAGGGAATCCTCCCTAAGTCATTTTATGAGGCCAGCGTCATCCTGATACCAAAGCCTGGCAGAGTCACAACAAAAAAAGAGAGTTTTAGACCAATATCCCTGATGAACATTGATGCGAAAATCCTCAATAAAATACTGGCAAACTGAATCCAGCAGCACATCAAAAAACTTATCCACCATGATCAAGTTGGCTTCATCCCTGGGATGCAAGGCTGGTTCAACATATGCAATCAATAAATGTAATCCAGCATATAAACAGAACCAACAACAAAAACCACATGATTATCTCAATAGATGCAGAAAAGGCCTTCGACAAAATTCAACAGCTCTTTATGCTAAAAACTCTCAATAAACTAGGTATTGATGGAACGTATCTCAAAATAATAAGAGCTATGTATGACAAACCCACAGCCAATATCATACTGAATGGGCAAAAACTGGAAGCATTCCCTTTGAAAACTGGCACAAGACAGGGATGCCCTCTCTCACCACTCATATTCAACATAGTGTTGGAAGTTCTGGCCAGGGCAATCAGGAAAGAGAAAGAAATAAAGGGTATTCGATTAGGAAATGAGGAAGTCAAATTGTCCCTGTTTGCAGATGACATGGTTGTATATTTAGAAAACACCATTGTCTCAGCCCAAAATCTCCTTAAGCTGATAAGCAACTTCAGCAAAGTCTCAGGATACAAAAGCAATGTGCGAAAATCACAAGCATTCCTATACACCATTAACAGACAAACAGAGAGCCAAATCATGAGTGAACTCCCATTCACAATGGCTACAAAGAGAATAAAATACCTAGGAATCCAACTTACAAGGGATGTGATGGACCTCTTCAAGGAGAACTACAAACCACTGCGCCACGAAATAAAAGAGGACACGAAAAAATGGAAGAATATTCCATGCTCATGGATAGAAGGAATCAATAGCATGAAAATGGCCATACTGCCCAAAGTAATTTATAGATTCAATGCCATCCCCATCAAGCTACCAATGACTTTCTTCACAGAATTGGAAAAAACTACTTTAAATTTCATATGGAACCAAAAAAGAGCCCACATTGCCAAGAAAATCCTAAGCCAAAAGAACAAAGCTGGAGGCATCACACTACCTGACTTCAAACTATACTACAAGGCTACAGTAACCAAAACAGCATGGTACTGGTACCAAAACAGAGAGATAGACCAATGGAACAGAACAGAGGCCTCAGAAATAACACCACACATCTACAACCATCTGATCTTTGACAAACCTGAGAAAAACAAGAAATGAGGAAAGGATTCCCTATTTAATAAATGGTGCTGGGAAAACTGGCTAGCCATACATAGAAAGCTGAAACTGGATCCCTTCCTTACACCTTATACAAAAATTAATTCAAGATGGATTAAAGACTTAAATGTTAGACCTGAAACTATAAAAACCCTAGAGGAAAACTTAGGCAATACCATTCAGGATACAGGCATGGGCAAGGACTTCATGACTAAAACACCAAAAGCAATGGCAACAAAAGCCAAAATAGACAAACGGGATCTAATTAAACTAACAAGCTTCTGCACAGCAAAAGAAACTACTATCAGAGTGAACAGGCAACCTACAGAATGGGAGAAAATTTTTGCAATCTACCCATCTGAAAAAGGGCTAATATCCAGAATCTACAGAGAACTCAAACAAATTTACAAGAAAAAACAAACAAACAACCCCATCAATAGTGGGCAAAGGATATGGATAGACACTTCTCAAAAGAAGACATCTATGCAGCCAACAGGTACATGAAAAAATGCTCATCATCACTGGTCATCAGAGAAATGCAAATCAAAACCACAATGAGATACCATCTCATGCCAATCAGAATGGCAATCATTAAAAAGTCAGGAAACAACAGATGCTGGAAAGGATGTGGAGAAATAGGAACGTTTTTACACTGTTGGTGGGAGTGTAAATTAGTTCAACCATTGTGGAAGACAGTGTGGTGATTCCTCAAGGACCTAGAACTAGAATTACCATTTGACCCAGCAATCCCATTACTGGGCATATACCAAAAGGATTATAAATCATGCTACTATAAAGACACATGCACACGTATGTTTACTGCAGCACTATTCACAATAGCAAAGACTTGGAACCAACCCAAATGTCCATCAATGATAGACTGGATTAAGAAAATGTGGCACATATACACCATGGAATACTATGTAGCCATAAAAAAGGATGAGTTAATGTTCTTTGCAGGGACATGGATGAAGCTGGAAACCACCATTCTCAGCAAACTATCACAAGGACAGAAAACCAAACACTGCATGTTCTCACTCATAGGTGGGAATTGAACAATGAGATCACTTGCACACAGGGCGAGGAACATCACACACTGGGGCCTGTCTGGGGGTGGGGGGCTGGGGGAGGGATAGCATTAGGAGAAATACCTAATGTAAATGATGAGTTGATGGGTGCAGCAAACCAACATGGCACATGTATACCTATGTATCAAACCTGCACACTGTGCACATGTATCCTAGAACAACTTAAAGTATAATAAAATAAATAAATAAATAACTGAAAGAAGGGACACTGGAAGGGGTAGGAAGAGGATCTGAGGAGAGGACTCCAGGCTCTTGACTGGTGTTCTCACGTCCATGGTAGTGCAATGTGGCTTGGGAATCAATTGTCTTTCAAAATGTATGCATGAGTAACCAGAGTCTGGCACTGCAAAGCAAACAGAAAGGGCTTTGAAGTTCTCAAACTCCAGAAGCTTCAAAACTCAAAAGCTCATTTCATTTATATAACTGTAGGAATCCACTAATGCATGATTTTAAATCATGTTAAAGATGTTGTATAAATACAGAAGAAAGTGGAGGTATGTAAAGATAAAATAAATTCTCCTTCTCTTATCCAAAAGATGTTTTATTTCATGACAAAGAACAAACCAGTTAAAAGTGAATTTTATGAACAAGATATAACCACAAAATGAGACAAAATATAAGACAAAAAAAAGCAAAACTCTATACAACTGTCCTTGAGAATCTTCACAGTAATTGCACAGTGTACATTTTCATCATGATTTTATTTATTTTATTTATTTATTTATTTATTTATTTATTTATTTATTTATTTATTTATTTTGAGACAGTGTCTTGCTCTGTTACCCAGGCTGGAGTGCAATGTTGGCTAACTGCAGCCTTTGCCTCCCGGGTTCAAGCGATTCTCCTGCCTCAGCCTCCCAGTAGTTGGGATTACAGGTGCACACCACCACACCCTGCTAATTTTTGTATTTTTAGTAGAGATGGGATTTCACTATGTTGGCCAAGCTAGTCTCAAACTCCTGACCTCAGGTGATCCACCTGCCTCAGCTTCCCAATGTGCTGGGATTACAGGCATGAGCCACTGTGCCTGGCCTCATCATTTTAATGAATAATAGCAAGCAATGTGAAAATTTTTCACTATTTTTAAATAGAATGAGATATAAATATATTACAACTCATTCAATTACAAAACAAATCTCCCATGACATTGTACAATAGCAAAAAGAATTTCATACCCCCCCCCACAAAAATGCAAAATTGTTTGCATTTGCTAAATTTGCTCTTCTTTTCAATGAATTGAAATGCACCTCCTTATGGCCAACTAGGACTTCCAGACATTCCCATGTCTATTAATGAGAACACTTTTTGGCACATGAAGATTTTATGTATTGGGAAGCTTTCTCAAGAGCTAAATGTACTAGGTGGGATAGTCAGAGTAATACAGAGTAATAGCCACACACCTATATTTTCTTCCCCTCCACTGTAACCCTAATTTTTTTGAAATGATAGGAAATCATCCCTATCACCACTAAGCTATACATGTCATAAAAGAGTTAAATTGACAAAAGCACAACAAAATAGGGAGAAAAATTAAGCAACCTGAGAACCTAGAAGTTGAGATTTCTTTCCATTTTTAGAATTGTTGCAGATTCAATAGTTACCTGAGTGTTGAAGTTTGGTAAGACCTCCTGAAGGCCTGAAACACAACACAGGTTGGTTATGCCTTCTCTGAAATGCTTGGAACCAGAAGTGTTTTGTATATTGAATGTTTTCAGATTTGGGAATATTTGCATATACATAATGAGATATCTTGGGGATGGAACCCAAATCTAAACATAAAAGCCATTTGTGTTTCCTATATACACTTTATATATATAACCAGGAAGTAGTTATATATGCTATGTATGTATGTGTGTATTTATTAAAATGTGTATTTATATGTTTACTTACATTTTATTTTAAAATATTTAAAATTAAATATTTCATATTTATACAATTTTGTGCATGAAACAACATTCGTGTATATTGAACAATATATGTTGGACATGCTTGCATGGGGGAATCTGGTAGTGTGCTGAAAAGATATGAAAGCAGGAGGGTGCTGGGAGGGTCTTTCTTCCCTTGGGGATGCTGAATAAACTGTGTGTTGTGCACCTGCATTTTGACTACAACCTGTCACTTGAGGTGAGGTGTGAAATATTTTGAGCTTGCCAATGCTCAAAAAGTTTTGGATTTTGGAGCAACTTGAATTTCAGATTTTCAGATTAGGCATGTTCCTCCTGTATTGCATGCTCTACTCCTTTGGATAGCTATCCATTTGGGGCTGTTCGAAAAAACTGTATACTTGGACATCTGATCTGTCCAAGCTGGAGGTTCCATAACATCACAAAAATAAGCATATTCAAACATAAACTCCACTTCCTTACTCAGCACAAAGTCTGCACCCCTTTGGGGTGCTCAATTCAGAAAGTGGCACCAACTACCTATTGCCCCATCCAAAAATTTCCACATCTAACAACACTGAGTTTTTCTATTATAATTTCAACACCCTTTCTAAAGTATCTCTTCCTACCTAAACAACAGTAGGCCCCCATTCCATTATGTCTTTCTTTCTCACAGGGATTAATGTCATGACCCCTTAAATTGCCTTCCCTGACTGCAGTCAATCCTGGAAACTTCCTTATGACTCATACACAATGGCTATATTGCATGATTTGTAATTTTACCTAGAATTTTTTTGTCTCCCCCAAAGAAATCCGTCTAAAGAATCACGGATCATCTGTGTAGTATTCTGCCACCCACATTCCTTCCAATCTCTTTGATTGGTGTTCCCACCTCATCCACTGTTTTGCTGTTATGAACTGCGGTCCAGTTAATAAAACCAAGTAGATATGTTCGCTTATTAGATTATTGCCTGTCTCCTCCACTAGAAGGTAAGGAGGGAAGGCACCTTGTTTTCCTTACTTTACTCATTATTTCATCCTCAGTGTCTAGAAGGGTGTCTGGTACTATGTGTTTGTTGTTAAATATTTTTTACATAAATAAATACAAGAAACCTGGAGTCATCTTTGACTTTTCTCACTGTCTCCTATGCCTCTCCTCCAACAACCTTGATATGGTTTGGCTCTGTGTCCCCACCCAAATCTCATGTGGAATTGTCATCCCCAATGTTGGAGGTGAGGCCTGGTGGGAGGTGACTGGATCATGGAGGTGGTTTCTAACGGTTTAGCACTATCCCCCCAGTGCTGTCTCATGAGTGAGTTCTCACGAGATCTGGTTGCTTAAAGGTGTGTAGCACCTCCACCTTTGCTCTCTCACTCCTGCTCCGGCCACGTGAGAAGTGTCTACTTCCCCTTCCAACATAACTGAAAGTTTCCTGAGGCCTCCCCAGCCACGTTTCCCGTATAGTCTGTGGAATCATGAGCCAATTAAACCTCTTTTCTTTATAAATTACCCAGTCTCAGGTCATTCTTTATAGTAGTGCAAGAACAGACTAACATAAACCCCTACTCAACCAATCACAAGTTCTGGTAGTTCCACTTCCTAACCAAGGTTGAATGCATCCTTGTTCTGTTTCCTTTCTCATTTTACCATCTTGGTCCAGCCCAACCTCCCTCCTGAGAAATGACTGCGACTGTCTCCTCTCAGGTCTCTCTGAGTGCAGCCATGTCTCTTGCATCTTGTTCTCCACTCTACAGCCAGAATGAGCTTTCTAAAGGGCAATGCAATCCTCCTCAGGACTCCAGGGGGTTCCTCGTCAGTGACTTACAGGGAACTCTATGGTACCCACTACTTACTCCTCCAGTCTCACTTCCAGACAGTCCTTCTCACTGTCTTTGTTCTGGACCCTCAGGGTCTTAGTTCATTTACATACAGTTAAAAAAAAACACATAGACTGTGAAGTGATGTTCACCTTATAGGCTGGCTTACAGTATTCCTTATGGGATCCTTATTTATATATTTCTAGAGTAGCCATTTCTAAGCCAAAAAAAAATCTCTCAGGATTATCATTAGCCAAATTCACATTGTGAAATATTGATTTAGATGAGTGATCTTCTAAAAATGTCACTTCTGTCAATCCAGTTACTGATTTTTAAAAAAAAAAAATTAAGTCTCTAGCAAGGACTTGCACTAAGGACATATACTGTTCTTTGAGAATAGACAATCACTTTACTCTGAAATTGGGGAATCGTAGTCAGCATGACAGCATCTTATGCAATTTATGAAACCTAAACAAGATTCCAATCTCATTGTCTGTCTACACACATAGGATATCATTAACCCAAGCTGTGACAGCAGCATTTTAAGACATGAAAACCAGATGGTCAGAAAACCAGGTAGGCTGAGGAATGGAGCTCCCTTCTGGCTCTTTTCTGAGCTAGAAGCCCTAAACCTAGGGACAATTCAATTACTGAATTAATTTCTCAATAGACAACTCAGCTTTTATAATTCCTAGAAATTAATATAAATAATAAACTCCCCCAAGGAATGATCAACTCTTTCATTATGCTGATTTCTGTAATCCCCTATGGAAACTAATCGGCTCCTCCTCCGGACTCCACAGTACAGCATTGAGATTCTGCCATAAGTAGCACTTATCTTGTCAACTACACTTGGTTATGCACATGTCTGTTTCCCCAACAAGACAAAGGGAGGAAAGCAACATTGGAAGGGGTATTGGAAGGATCATGTGCAGCTGAGGCGACGGTGCATTGCCTAGTTCTTAGGTACAACATTCACGCAATCATCTTTGTGAATGAGACACAGTGCAAAATCTGCACGACCTGCAAGGTCTTACATAACAGCTCTGACTAGGCTGAAAGTCAGGAAAAACGAACTAAACTACTGCTTCTCACATTTATCAACTCTATGATTTCAGGTAAGCCACTTAATATTTCTGGGTATAATACAACCCAGAAATGAGAGTGTGTATAGATACGTAAATCATATGTACGTACATAAATATGCATATGAATATGCATATATGCATTATGCATTAATGATATAATATATATGAAAGCAATTCATGAGCTTGCTACAGAGTATTATGCATTAATGATATATAATATATATGAAAGCAATTCATGAGCTTAATGTAGTATAAAATGTAAAGCTATTTTATTATTTCTATGTGTAGCTCTATACACTAGCACCTAAATCATTTTTCATGCATGTTACATACAATTAAACAGAAATATAAAATATAATTAATTTTAGGTTTTCATATGTGTGCTATTAGCTAAAACATAAAAATGGAGAGTTATGCTCTTTATTAAGAAATCTACTGCCTAATAACATCTTCCCATTTTATTGTAATTCAAACAAAAATAGTCTTACATTAGGAAAGTTTAAAATGCTCAATAGTACATTGTAAAAAGTAAAATATGTCAAAAATCACATGAAAATACAATAATGCATAACTGAAGCTAAAAATAAAACAAGTGCACTAAGTGATAAACCAGCCCTTTAGATATTAATATAGATAAAGAAAGGCCATTGGAAGGAAGCATGTGGGTGCACAGCACAGCAGAGCACATGGACCCTGGTTTCCAGCTGTTTCCAGCTTAGGTTCTGCCACCAACTAAGTGAATTCAGACAATGCTTGAATCTCCTTCCACCCAAGTACATCAGTCTTAACCGTAAAACCTGACATTTTAAGAGAGCTTTATGATACAAATATACTTTCACATATTATCTCTTAGGAAACTAGTCTTCAAACTGTGCTCTGAGGAGCCAAAAGGATTTTCTGCAAACACAGGGATCCCTTGCAGGAAGAAAAGATGAGGCTGGAATGGGCTGCAGGACCCCAGCTCCAATTCCACCAAAGCAAATCCATGGTTACTTATTTTATAGATTAATCTACTGCACAAGATGTCACTTGGAAAAGTGGTTCTGGGTCCAAAAAACACTGTGGAATTTCCTTCCAGGTCTAGGAGTCTTATTTTTTAAAAAATAAAACCTATTGCTATGCAACCATTTGTAAGATGGTAGCTATATTCAAAAAACTTTATAATTATTTTTAGAAATCTTTTCAGAAATTATCTTAATTTTTGCTTTCTTCTTTTCACCTTCTTGTATTGCTTAAATTTCTACTTCTATGTATGAATTACTTTCAAAAATAAAAAAATTAATATTAGTTCGGGGGGAAAAATGAGGAATCTTTCTTAAAAAATGGACTAAATTCCCTTAGCCAAAAAATGGAGTGACTGTATAATTTTTGTCCAAACTTTTGATAGTGGCAAAGGATGCTATTAATTATTAATCTGAGACAATGAAAGTAACCTGGATTGTCCGAGGCAAAAAGTGACAGTCCCCTCTACTGATGAAAGATGTGAAAGTTACATCAAGATGAAAACAACCTGTGAAGTAACAGATACGCGCCCTTCGTTGGACAGTGTGCCATCTTGGTAACAGCTGAGAAATGGACAGTATCTATTTTCTCATCTACAATTTCAGTTTGGTTGGGATCCAGATACGTGGGAGATGCAGAGACAAATGCTCTGCTCCATCAGCCCTGTTTAGCATGAATGACTGAAAATTACAGTGAGAAAGTTAATTACAACAGTTTGGCTAATTGAAAGCTTTCTAAAACTAATGAGTCTTGCTTAATAGAAATCCCTGATGCTCCACAGTCAAAACAGTCTCTGGCACGAAACAGAGTGGATGATCCTGTGATGCTTCTGAACAGAAAAAAGAAATAGTGATGTGTTAACTCCACCTTAACACTGAAGAACAGTGGGGAATCTGGCTAAAGCCATGTGTATCAGATAATGGGAGCCTAAGGAATACTTCACTCTTCTTCTATTTATTATATTTGAATATGGTACCACTTCTAGAAATTTATTATATGGTTTATGAATTTGTATATCAAACAACAGGTTTTCTAGATAACATATGGCTTTTTCCAGGAAACGAGTACATATTTCATGTTAAAGAGACAGAAACCACAGATCTTTAATACCTGGCAGAGATAAATGTCACAGAGTTGGTAACAAAAACGCAATGACAAGGCCTCATTGCATAATAAAAGATTGGACTGGCCTTTGTTCCTGGCTCCTGGGATGGAGTCTTTAAACCCTGGAAATTTCCTGAGTGATAGAAAGGACTCACATGGGCCCCTCATACCACTCATGCCAACCACTCATCACCAGCCATGTGATGAGAAGGTTGAAGTTTTAAGTCACATGATATCAGTTGACCTGGGAGGGGAGCTGATGGAGATTTGAGTTCAGTCTTAAAGATCTTGGCTGGGCACAGTGACTCACGCCTGTAATCCCAGCACTTTGAGAGGCCCAGGAGGGCAGATCATGAGGTCAAGAGATCAAGACCATCCTGGACATCATGGTGAAACCCCATCTCTACTAAAAATACAAAAATTAGCGGGGTGTGGTAGCCCATGCCTATAATCCCAGCTACTCAGAAGGCTGGGGCAGGAGAATTGCTTGAACCCAGGAGGTGGAGGTTGCAGTGAGCCAAGATCACACGACTGCACTCCAGCCTGGTGACAGAGCGAGGCTCCGTTTCAAAAAAAATAAAAAGATCTGAGTCTCGTCCTATGGCCAATGATGTAATCAAGTATGCCTATGTAATAAAACCCCAATAAAAACCCAGGACACCAAGGCTCAGGTGAGTGTCCAGGTTGGTGATATACATGATATGCCTGGAAGGTAGCACATCCTGAGGACAGGGAAGGTTTGCATTTGAGACCCTCCCAAACCTCGCCCTCTTTATCTTTTCTTTTGACTGACACTTACTTGTATCTTTGCAAGAAAGCTGTAATGATAAGCATAGCATTTCTCCGAGTTCTGTAAGTCATTCTAGTGAATTATGGAAACTGAGAGGGCTGAGGGAATGGCCTAATTTGTAGCCACTTGGTCAGAGGTATGGGTCTCTTGAGAACCCCTGAGCTTGTGGCTGGTGTCTGAGTGAGGGCAGTCTTGTGGGGACTCGGCCCTTAACTTCTGAAGTCTGCATTAGCTCTGCCATAGTTACAATCAGAACTACACTGTAGGCCTAAAGAGTTCATACAGTCTCATGAAGTGTGGATCATTAGAAAATCACCCCACATAATGAAAAAATAATCACACTCTGATCTGATTTTTTTAAAACCTTTATCCTCAAATAATGTTATAATTATAACCTTTAAAGAGAATGTCCTCCTAAGGTAAAACTAACAAAAGCTCTTTAATTGTAAAGCGGTATTAAAGGAACACATATAACGTTAGCATCTTGCCAGCCTAGGGTAATTTAATGTGTCCTTTCCCAAACACGAAAATGCCACTGCTAAGTCACTGCAATTTGGGGTTGACCATCCATCCAGATCTGCCCACCCAGACACTATATGAATGGTATTTATTTGATAGAAAGATAGCCCATACTGGAAATCCTGTCTCCTCCAGAAGAGTATAATGAAGCTGACAGTCTTATTTAGAAGTTTAATCAATGATCTTAGTGTATTGGCACTCCGCTGTCACCAATTAAATTAAGTGATAAAAAGTGGTGATTTAACCATGCCTTCAACAAGTTTCATTGCTCTGATATTTTCATTCCAACAGCTAAAGAACAACAAAGTTCATTAAAAGCAAAGTTCTTTGGATTTGTGTTCCCCTAAAAATTTCCCTTCTATTTGCAATTTATGACATGTATCTTCTGGTGATATATTAATGTTCTAATAAAAATATGAGAGATAATTTGCAAATCACTGAAGCATGTACTGACATTTAGGATTTCCTCCTCAGTTTCAATAAGGTCTTGTACAATTTAGGACCAGGAGAAAAAGAACTATTTAAGCCACTGCAAATCTAGGTCATTCCTGGTGGTTTCATTGGGAAAAAAAAATAAACAACGCAAACTTGAGGGGTTTTTTTTCTCTCACACTTCTGTGATACATAGAGCAAAATATTTCATATCTAAGGGTCTAAGATTTTATACCTTGTTGCAATTGAGCATGGGAGCTAGGGTGGAATGTTAAGTCGGGGAACAAGATTAAAGTGGCATTCTAGGAAGTAAGGAGTGGAAGGTATAAAAGCTAGACTGAAAGAGAATTCAACTTGAACCAATCATAGCTGGGGATTCTTCCATGCCAATAACCTGGTACGCAATCATGCAGAAGTGGATTACCTAGAGGTAAACCAGGAGCATGAAGATAAAGAAATAGATGTGAAATGCATTTCTTTTGGTACTGTAACAGCCTTTGAGACCTGAGCAACAGGGACGCATTAAAGATTATTACAAAGTGCCTAGCCTAAAAGAGTATTAGGAACACCTTCAGGCAAGCAGACTCTAGGGAAAGGAAGTAGGTTTAGGTGGGGAATAAATGATTTTCTTTCAGTTTTGGATTTTGCGTGTTCACAGTATTTTCTACATAGATATTTTAAACCGCATTGAGGCCTATAGCACCTTATATAAGCTTTTAATGTTTCCATAATTTAAGATGTTATATTCTAACTAGGGAAACTATTGCAGTTGAATAATTGAAAGAATGGAAGACGTACGTGGGTGATTTATCATGGCTATGAAAATTCAGATGAGATTCAATTGAAGCAGAATAGTAGAGATTTGAGCCTCCAAAGTTTATCACAAAATTGGGCTTACTGAGCCATACCAAAGAGCCAGTACCTGGAACATCAGTGGGGTGGTTGCAGAAGAAAAATTCAGACTCTTGATCATGTGACATTCAGGATCATATTTTGACATAAATCCTTTAATTATTACTGTTTTGGCTGTTCCTTGTTCACCAATTAATAGCACAGCCTAAAATAGAGGGAATTGAAAAAAAAAGAAATGAAATAAATGAGTGTGATGGGCTGAATTTGTCCCCCCAAAATTCATATGCTGAATCTTCAACCCCTAGTACCTTAAAATGTGATTCTATTTGGAGATAAGGTCTTTAAAGAGGTGACTAAGGTAAAATAAAGCTGTTGGATGAGGCTTATTCCACCCTAACTCGTGTCCTTATAAGAAGAAGAAATTTGTGGCCAGGTGTGGTAGCTCACACCTGTAATCCCAGCACTTTGGGAGGCTGAGGTAGGCAGATCACCTGAGGTCAGGAGTTCGAGACCAGCCTGGCCAACATGGTGAAACCCCATCTGTACTAAAAATACAAAAATTAGCCAGGTGTGGTGGTGTGCACCTGTAATCCCAGCTACTTGGGAGGCTGAGGCAGGAGAATTGCTTGAACCCGAGAGGCAGACGTAGCAGTGAGCCCAGATTACACTATTGCACTCTAACCTGGGTGACAGAGACTCCATCTCAAAAAAAAAAAAAAAAAAAAAAAGAGGAAATTTGTATACACAAAGAAACACCATGGGAAGAACACAGTGAGAAGGCAGCCATCTACCAGCCAAGGAGAGGCGCCTCTGAAGAACCCCAGCCTGCCAACACCTTCATCCTGGACTTTCAGCCTCCAGAACAGAGAGAAAAGAAACTGCTGTTGTTTAGGCCACCTAGGCTGCGGTATTTGGTTACAGCAGCCCTAGCAAACTAGCTCAGCGATCAAAGCAGAAGGAATCCTTTGGGGAAAAGCAAGTCAAAATTTACTTTCTGTCAACTCATACATAAGAAATAATTACTGACTTATGAATTAGAACTATTCAACTCATATTTTAGTGGGGAATAATAAAGGAATAGTAGGTTAGGTGACATTTTCGTGTATTCTAAACTGCAACATAAAACATTTTATAATAAATGCAGGATGCTTCATGTTGGCTGGGCACGGTGGCTCACGCCTGTAATCCCAGCACTTTGGGAGGCCGAGGCGGGCGGATCACGAGGTCAGGAGATCGAGACCATGCTGGCTAACATGGTGAAACCCTGTCTCTACTAATAAATACAAAAAATTAGCCAGGCATGGTGGTGGGCACCTGTAGTCCCAGCTACTCAGGAGGCTGAGGCAGGAGAATGGCGTGAACCCGGGAGGTGGAGCCTGCAGTGAGCCGAGATCGCGCCACTGCACTCCAGCCTGGGCGACAGAGTGAGACTCCGTCTCAGTAAATAACTAAATAAATAAATGCAGGATGCTTCATGTCTCCCCTTAAAATATGCTACAGTTAATAAAAATTAAAAGTCATACCTTGCCCTGTTTAGCAATGGTTTGAATTAGAAAGTCAGTCCTCACATTGTCAACATTTGGCACCAGAATAGAACCATACTCTGGGGTGGTATCAGACGGATACAGGTATTCCTGGGTACGCGTGTTCCAGTGCGTCCATGTACCTAAGGTGAGCAGAGGACATTTCCATCTCCATATTAATAATTCAACTCCGAACTGTAATGAGCAGACATCCTTGAAATCTTATGAGGTCACCTTCCAAATTCTCCCCATAAAATGAAGATCATTAAAATTAGAGATCTAAGTACACAAGTATGTGTTAGCTGAGTCAAAACGTCCCAAGGAACAATTTCAAGGTGGTAAACCTAGGAAATACTAGGAAGTATTTTGGAATTTTTTAAAAATATATATTAGTTTTCAATAGCATGAAATATGTATAAAAATACAGAACAGAGTGAGAGTAGTGTGTATCTAAAATCATTAGTCACTTTCGAATGTCTAATCTCACACTTTTCATTAGGCAAAAGATCCTAGGCTGATGCATATGTATATTAAATAGTTAATACATTATTATACACCCACATATATGTACTTCATTTTCTGTATAAATGTACTTTATATATTTATACATACACCAATAACCTTAAAGTATATATACATACAGAGATAAAGATATACAGCTATAGATACACACGTATTTGGCAAAAATATACTTTAAACTTTGTGACTTTTATACAAATTGCTGATTATATTGAATGAGTGACAGAAATGGATCTGATTTGGTTTTTTAAATGTTTCTTAATTCATTGAAAGTTTAGTGCACAAGATATTTAACAAGAGGAAAATGTGCATTTGAAATACAAAGTAGATTTTTTAAAAAGAAACCACTGTTCACTTTCTTCACACACGAACGTTTTCATATCTTACAGCCAATAATTATAAATCTCATTTAGAAAAAATATATATGGTGTAAATATTGGCCATGTAGGAAAGAACGGCCCCCATGGGTTCCGTCTGGACGGGCAGGTGTCCTCACCATCGGGCGCCACATAGTAGTCGAAGGCGGTGTCCCCGGGCCCCGCTGGCGGCGGCAGCTCCAGCGTCCCTGTGGGCCGAGAGCGCAGCCAGAGCTCCAGGCGGCGCCGTCCGTCCAGCTCCAGCGCCGCCCCCGCGCTCCACAGCAGCGCGAACACGAACAGCCGCCCCAGGTGAGCCTGGCTCACCTCCCCGCCTTGCTCCTGAGAAGGAAAGACACTTTTTTTTAATAACTTGATTCTGAAACCCAAACGTTGCTCTAGGGTTTCAATGGGAACAGTAAACATAGAAACAAGACACTAGTTGCCCTCCAAGAACAAGGGAAAGGATGAATACAACTGGAGAACAAATGAAGAACTGATCTCTGAGAATAGCAAGCTGCCTTTAAACATAATAGGGTTGGCCGGGCACGGTGGCTCATGCCTGTACTCCCACCACTTTGGGAGGCCGAGGCGGGCGGATCATGAGGTCAGGAGCTCGAGACCATCCTGGCTAACATGGTGAAACCCCGTCTCTACTAAAAATACAAAAAAAAAAAAAAAAAAAATTAGCCGAGGGTGGTGGCGGGCGCCTGTAGTCCCAGCTACCCGGGAGGCTGAGGCAGGAGAATGGCGTGAACTTGGGAGGCGGAGCTTGCAGTGAGCCAAGATGGCGCTACTGCACTCCAGCCTGGGCGACAGTGCGAGACTCCATGTCAAAAAACAAAACAAACAAACAAAAAAACAGGGTTTATCGCAGCACTGTTCACCACAGTCAAGACTTGGAGACAACCTAAGTGTCCATCAACAGATGAATGGATAAAGAAAAGTGCTACATACACACAAGGGAGTACTATTCAGCCATAAAAAAGAATGAGAGCCTGTCATTTGAACAACATGAATGGAACTGGAGGTTATTATGTTAAGTGAAATAAGCCAGACGCAGAAAGACAAACTTGGTATATTCTCATGCATCTGTGGGAGCTAAAAATTAAAACAATTGAAGTCATGGAGATAGAGTAGAAGGATGGTTACCAGAGGCTAGGAAGGGGAGTGGGGAGGGGTGAGGAAATGGGGATGATGAATGGGTGCAAAAATACACAGTGATTGCAGTCAGCAATAATTTGTTGTGCATTTTAGAGTAACTGAGGGAGTCCAATTGTAATGTTCATAACACAAAGAAATGAAGAATGAGGTGATAGATACCCCATTCACCTTGATGTGGTTATTACACATAGCATACCAGTATCAAAATATCTCATGTACCCCATAAGTATGTATACCTACTATGTACCCACAAAAATTAAAAATTAAAACACACACACAGTAATAATTTTGGGATACCCGTTGCATGACTTTGTTAACCTGCAACTAAATTCCAAATCCATGGTTAGCTGTATTTTTTGTTAAAGGGATATGAAAAAATAAGTATATATGTGGGATCCATGTTTGAAATATTCCCCCTCCCCAACAGCTCTAACCAAATCTAATTTCAAATATAGTACTCTCTGTATAGCATGGCTACATTAATAAGAGAGAAAATATAGTACTCTCTGTGCAGCATGGCTAAGTTGATAAGAGAGAATTTCTCTAGAAAGTTGAGCAATTTACCTTCAGAGGAATCAGGCCTTGAAGCATGTTAATGCTCTGTGTGATGACAAAGGCCTCCAGCACCTCCATCTTGTATTCTAAGTTCTGGATACAGAAGCGATACAAGTCTGGGAAAGACTCGGTGTACAGCTGACGAAGAATTTCTGCTTCTTGAGGTGAGCGTTTCTTAAGAAAACCCTGTCAGTTCACAGACAAGTGTATTCATGAAACTTATTAGCACACTAGGAAAATGGTCATTTGGGGACAAAAATTTTAAAAGTATCTGTTAATAATGATAATATCTAATGATTATACCACACACTATGTTCCAGGCTTTGTTACAAACTCTTCCACGTATTAATTCACTTAATCTTCAAAACAACCCTACAAGGTAAGAACTGTTATTATCCTCCTTTTACACATGAGGAAACAGAGGCCCAGGAAGTGTAGGTAGCCTGCTCAGGAGCCCACTGCAAGCAGGTGGCAAGGGCAGAATTCAGACCCAGAAAGCCTGGGCCTACATGTTCAGCTACTACACTATCCATATGCTCACAGATGGAGAAATAGTCTTCAACTCTTGATTAAAATATGCTGGGAGAAAATGAGAAGGCACATATATGGAAATAACTCAGGGGGGAAAAGTAAAGAATAAAAGATGAACAAAGGAAATCCATACCCAGGTTTTTTTTTCTTTTTTTGAGACAGGATCTTACTCTGTCACTCAGGCTGGAATACAGTGGCATGATCTCAGTTCACTACAACCTCCACCTCCCAGGCTCAGGTGATCCTCTGGCCTCAGCCCCTCAAGCAGCTGGGACCACAAGTGCATGCCACTACACCCAGCTAATTTTTGTAATTTTTGTCGAGACAGGGTTTTGCCATATTGCCCAGGCTAGTCTCAAACTCCTTGCCTCAAGCAATCTGCCTGCCTCGGCCTCCCAAAGCGCTGGGATTACAGGCATGAGCCACTGTGCCTGGCCCCCAGATTTTTTTTTAACAGAAAACAAAGATTTACTACAATTAGTTGTTTCTTTTTATTTCTTCTAATTTAATTAATAAACAATGTAGAAAAATATCAAGGATATTCATGAAAATGGAGAATTTAGTCATTTGAGAAACCTAGTATTAAGAAACTGCATCTCATAAATACCACTTAACACACAGCGTTTCCTTAAGATGAGGCAAGTTCTCTTAAGGTCAAGAGATCAGCTCATTCTTCACCTCAGTATTCCAAGAAACAATTAGAGACTCTGAACAGAAGCAATAAAATGTTGATTCTGAATTATTCATTAGTTCATGAATTTACCATGATTCTACCTCGACAAAAACATAACATAGCACTTTTGAGTTGATGGAACCGAAAGACGACATTCACTAGGGCAGGTAACCAGGTTGGCTCCCTGAAGCTGACAGATTGTCAGCAACACAACTTTTCAATTACTCTGCCCTCTAATAACTCTCAGAGCTGGCCTTCCTGTTCTAAACATTTCCAATCTGATTCTTCTCATGAGTCTTGCTTTTCCTAACAATTTCCAAAAAAGAAAATGCATTATTTAAAACATATAGGATATTATGAGGTGGGTATAGCATTAAAGTAAAGGTCTTATTCAGTCTCAGTATGGACAGACTATAGCAAAAGCTTATTTTATAAATAGCAAACTCATGCATTAGCTAGTACTCCTTAGCTAGTTGTATAAAAGTATTTTTCAAAAACCTTTTTGAAATTGAAGTATTTTGGAAAAATCATATATATACATTTTCACTGGTAGTTTGCTGTACCTGTGGTTTCCAAGCCTGGCTATGTGAAAAAAAAATGTTGTGGCACTTAAAAGAAAAAAAAAAAAAAAACAATCCTGAGTTGCCTCCCAGAGATTCTAATTTGGTAAGATTGAAGTGTAACCCAATCATCTGTATTTTAAAGAATTGTCATTAGTGATTACTTTTGCAAAAACAGGGTTGCAACCCTCTGCTTTTATTCTCCTTAATGGGTGGATAATCTAATTGTGAAATCTGAAAACTTTACAACTATTTTTAGTGACACATTCAACTCTATGTCAACATCATTTTGCTATATGATTCCCTCCTTCTTCCCATCTTCATACCAAATCTAAAGCCTTTTGCAACAGAGTTGAGTAAATTCTGGAAAGACATTAGTAAAAAGTTAGGATATAACCATATAGAAATAAAAGTTTGAAAATGTAATGATATAATGTAAATAAACATCTACTTTATTTAAATTAGGAATTTAAATGTTTTCAATCAAAATCATCTTCGAAAAACTTAGGTGATGAAAATATTCAATATAACCAACTATGTAAAACAAGATTTTTCATGTGGCTTATCTAATAAACATTCTGCCTTACATTATAATATTTATATAGCAAAATATCTAAGTATGCAAGGCATTTATTTATAATATAATTTTGATCAATATATTCTAGGATATATTGCTGGTAATAAAATAATATACCTGATTATGAATTGATGAGATGTTATCTGAAATATTATTGCCAAGTTCAAATTTGGAACTAACGTTATAACTAATGAATCTCATAAAAATTCCTTATATGCAATTTTAATAAACTGACTCCAAGTTAATGTTCTAAGATGGTCCTCCTAAACTTTATGTGAATGTGTACCTTTCAAAAATATCATGAATCCCCAGATTGATCAAATTAAATTTTACTTATTCAGTCCTCAGACACAGTTTGGCAACACTGTTGGTTCATACAGGCCTGGCAATTACTCTACAACCCAGAGGTTGGAAATCCCAGTTCAAAAGTGATTGGAAGAGTAATGAAGAAATATGTTAGGAGCAATCAGGGTTTGAATGTCCCAGTGCATTCAAGTATCTTCCACAAACATTAGCATAAAAATGCAGTTACACTGCCATCTGCAGAAAAATTGGCACACACACTAAAAGAATGCTAAAGGATCTGTTTTCCTTTTTAATTATACAAAAGAAGGATTCAATTATACCTCAAGAATAGGACTCCAATCAAGGATAGAAGAGCTCATGAAAACCATTCCATTTCTTGAGACGGTGGCAGGAGAAGCATTGTCAATGTTATGAGGCTCGAAAATGATCTTGCAGTTTGGAGCCATGGGAATCCGATCACCATTGGCAAGGGTTAGAGTTTTGTTATCATCCAAAACAGAATTCAGATTTTCAATCCAGATGGCATCTACTGGACCATCAAGAATTATCCAGATATGTTCCCCTAGAATACCCCACCAAAGGGAAAAAAAAAATACATACACTCATGCAGTGCATGTACACATAAGTTTAAAATAGCTTGAAGAACTATTATATTAGATGTAATTTTCATTAATTTTTAAATATAGTTTTGCTCCAAATGATTACCTTGTTTTATTACAAAGGATCTTCAAAGATCTTTATATAGTAGTCAAGGCCCATAATTAAATCAAAAAGTAGTTTGTTTATTGGACAAATATTCATTGAGCACCTTGCATATGTCACTGTTCTAGGGGCTGAGGATATTGTGGTAAATGAGACAATGTCCTGCTTTTGCAGAGCTTACATTCTAAGGAGTAGAGATGACAAGCAAACAAATAAAAGTTTAACATACAAAAAAACTAAGTAGAATGAGGGCATGGGGCATGTTTTAGATAAGGTGGTCGATAAGATATTCCAGGAAGAGAATGAAGTGATGTAAAGATCTAGAGGTAGAATATTCCAGACAGCAAGAACAGAAAGTGCTAAGCCCCTGAAGCAGATACAGGCTTAGTGTAATACAATGGACTGAATGTTTGTGTTCCCCTAAAATATCCTCATGAACAAGATTAGTGCCCCTATAAAGAGACCTCAGAGAACTCTCTTGCCCTTCTGCAACATGGGGTACAGCAAGAAATCAGCAGACTGCAACCATGAAGAAAGCCCTCCCCAGAACCCGACCATGCTGGCTCCCTGATCTCAGACTTCCAGCCTCTGGAACTATGAGAAGTGAATGTCTATTGTTTATAAGCCACCCAGTCTCTAGCATCCCAAACTAAGGTGATCACGTTCCAGGAACAGTAAGAAGTTGAACCTGAAGGGCAAAAAGAGGAGGAAGGGGAGAGGTATATGAGGGCAGTGGGAAAGACAGAGCTATGGAACCCATTCTGGTTTGCACCTAAGTCTAAGGCATCCAACAGAGATCCTCGTAGAGTTGCTGAGTTGGGAATTCAGGAGAGAGGTCAGGGCTGGAGATTAAAATGTGAAAGTCACCAGTTCAGAGATGGGATTTAAAGCTGTGGGACTGGGTAAGTTTCTTCTAGATAAGTGTGGAGAGAGAAGAGGGCTGAAGACAGAGGCTCTGTAACCCTTAGGCTTCTGGCATGGTCTCCTGTGTTTGCTCCCCTTTCTTCCAGACTTCTCAAGGAAGCAGAAGTGGAAAAAGAGCTAGCAGGATGAGGAATCCCTGCAGCCCAGAGAAGGAAGGGTTTCAAGAAGGCAGGCGATCAACTGTGCCGAATGCTCCTCAGGGCAGTACCAGACTGAGAACTGGCAATTTGTATTTGACAAGCTGGAGGTCAGGGGTGTCCTTGATACAGCAATTTCAGAGGAACACTGGGCAAAAAACTTGACAGCAGTCATACGAGGAGATACTTGGAGGTAGAGAAAATGACAAACATCAGCAGATTGCTCAACAAGAATGTCATTGTAAATTTAGGTATTTGATTTAATAATAGCATTCCTCTTAATTTCTCAACTACTACCTTCTCTTACTCACCAACACCATGACCTGTCTTGTGGTTCTAAATTTTCTTTGCTATGCAACAACCGTGGGATAGTCTATTTAAAATAAAATGCTTTGAAAATCCTAATCAAGTTCATTCAACTAGCAATTCAAGTAAAATGGTGATCTAATCACCAGAGTCACTTTGAAAGAAAAAGCATATGTTGCCTTTTTTTAATGTGGAAAGGGGAAAAAAAAAACAAAAAAACCTCTGCGCTCTTGTTCTTTTAAGTCACATTTTGTCACTGGGTCTGTGTTTACAGTGGGTTAGTGGAACAAATCAGGAATAAAATTCGATTTATTTCCAGTAGAACAAAAACAATTTCTAATATGAGCACTTTTTTAAATGAAGCATTTTCATTTCTCTTTCGACAATTTATATTAGCGTTATTAAATGCGAGCGTCAATGGTACTACTTTAAACATTTTTCAGAAGGACACTGTTGCCCAAAGGGTAAACCCAGGAAGCCCAAATATCTCCTCCTTCTCCTGCTTCTTTCTCTCTGCAATTGTATTCACTCTGCCTTTGCCTGCTCACTCAGGAGTGAGGAAATCAAATGAGAAGAAAGCTGATGTCACCTCTTCCCACCGAATTTATATTCTGAGAACATTGGGTTCAATTTACAAAGTCCATAAGTGAGGGACTATTCAGACTGAACCGCTAGCCCTTAATGAGTTTGTTTAAACAACTGAACACCAATGTCCATCTACACAGAATAATTTATTAGTTCAATGTAGACTTCATTTTTGCTATATACAATTTTCTCTCCCAAACAACCCATTTTCTCTGTGACTTTATAGAGAAATCAATTCTTTAAAAATAGGCTGTACTTAAATGAGAGCAACACTGGTAAAATATTCAGTGAAAATAGTTATGGTAAAATCACTTTATTCAATATTATCAATTTTCCTTAACAGCTTTTTCCATCTATTTTATTCTAAAATATCACAGGGATACAGACATATTTTTTTAGAAAATATTATTTCCTAAAAGGGAGCATTTTAAATACTGTAATCAATAATTCCATTATTTCAACTTTCACAAATATCACACTGATTTATGACTTCTTAGTCTTGGCTAAGATATTATACAGCAAATACAGTTGTTCTACTAATTCTGTATAGCCTCCAAGGATTCTATCTAGAAGTATAATCAAAAATAATCCTTGTAATTTATCTTCTACCTTTCTTTGCTCTTAATGTTTTCCTCCAAAGCGTAGAAAATATCCCATCAGTCCAGTCATTTGTGGCAACGTCCAGCCGACCAAACATCTGTGGGGCAGTAATCGCTTTGGGATTCATCCTCATTTCCCGATGTGGTTTTCCACAATCTATACCAAGTAAATCCAAATTTTAGACATCTCAGATGGGAAGTGAACCATCATTAAGCAACATTGCACTAATTTGTGGTGTACTGTCAGCAGGTGCTCAAAATATGAAAACTGCAGAACTACATTGAAAATATGTCTTACTGCATTCTAAGTTACCATAATTAGCTTCATTATACTTTATTGACTAAAGCACTTTTTTATCTTCTTTAGAGAAAATTGCATATTGTTTAGGGGTGAAAAAAGATACCATGCTGGAATTTATGAAGGTACTAATATAATCTGGAAGCTCTCTAAATTTCATGGCTCAAAAAAAATCTTTGGTTTAAGCTACACTAGATTAAATCTTCTGCCTGAAATATCACCTAGAAGATGCCTCATTCACTGCATTATCAGCTTTGATTTGTGTTATGTTTTCTTGCTCACCTTGAAAACGATAAGCTAAATGAATTTTGCATGAATCAAGGACTTTCTTTTGTGACCAAGAAATGTATTCAAGAAATGTATTCAAATCTTTCACACCCTAAGCCGACTCTTCAGTGGGCTGGGATTCTGTGCATAAGGGACTGTGGTTAATGAGCAGAAGAGTGAACAATAAGGTTTAAAGTATAAAATTATAAAAATGGGCAGGGCATGGTGGCTCACGCCTGTAATCCCAGCACTTTGGGGGGCCAAGGCGGGCAGATCATGAGGTCAGGAGTTCGAGATCAGCCTGGCCAACACGGTGAAACCCCGTCTCTGCTGAAAATACAAAAATTAGCCAGGCATGGCGGAAGTGCCAAAGCACTTCCTTGCGTATATCATGTTCTCTCCAATCCCTCCTACTGACACAGACTCTTTTTTTCTGCTAAAAACATTTTTTATCAATCTGGTACTCAACCCTCAAGCCTCGGATGAAGTAGCACCTGGTCTGTATGCCTTTCTATAATTCCTTAGAGGATTTTCTCATCACCTTGGCCTCTACTCATGGGATACTTGTCCAAACCTTCCTTATAGCAATTCCCTGTTGAGTTTTAATTATCTCTGTCTATGTCTATGTCCTGCTTCTAATACAGAACCTGACAGATCTTCAAAGTATGCAATATTAAAGACACTTGATGAGATATATGCTGAATCAGGGGACAAATAATATGCATCAGCCCTCCACGTCGTCAGCAGAAGTTAAATTATCTTCTCAACCTTTTGGATTATTAACATTTTCAGTGAGAAACAATGGTTCTTTAAGTAAGATTAATGTTTCCTCTACTACTAAAACCAAAACCAAGTTCATAAACAGCAAATAGTCTAATGATTAATTCTTCTTTGCAAGGAACTTCTCCAGAATCAGTGATGCCATACAGATTACATAATTTAGATATACCATACATAATGTATCTATATTGTTTAATATTTAGTACTCATTTTGTTCGAGTCATTGTACCGTGTGCATTTAAAGTTTATTGTTAACAGAAGGCAGCTTCGTCACTGCAACAAAAATATTATTGAGAAAAATTTGAGAGGAAGAACACAATTATTTAAGAAACATAAAAATCCCAAAACAGAATCTTAACAGCATACATGAAAAACCACGTGATAAGTCCTGCAGGTTGGAGTGGTCCATTTTGGTAGAGGTAGATGTTAGCTGAGAACACACTTTATCTCAGTCTGAGGACTGCCTGGTAGAGTCCTGATAGACAGAATTCACTTCCTCCAATAACTGAGGAAACAAAGACCAAATCCAACACCTGCAGGGTCCCACAGTAAATACTGGCAATCCTCAGCAACCACCAACAATGTACCAGTGTTGCATCAGTAGCAGTGCACTGAGGTTCCGGGAACTGCCTGAAAGCCCACCCAGGTACCTCTTTGCTGGATGGGCTTTCAGTCAGCTCCTAGAACCTCAATGCACTGCTATATATTTTGCATTCCAACCGTCAAGGTTCTGTGACATTTTGGAATGTCTACAGGATGCCAATATTTTTAGAAAGAGAGTCATCCATGTCTGATCAGAACCAGAGAATACAAGAATAATCATGAATGTGGTAATGTCCATTATCCTTAGATGACTTTAGATGTAAGGCTTAGGGACATCTGGAAATGAAATGCATTTATTTAACTTCACTAAAATAAATCTGATTCCAAATGGGAAGGTAATTTATGATTGGGATTGGGATGACTTCGGCATATAGAACATAAGAGTTGGGTTTGGAATTATTTTCTATTTATTGAGAGACAGTGTGTTGTATTTTGTTTTTACTGGGAAATGGCATGGTATGTTGGGAAAACTGGGCTTTTTTTAAGCGCGCCCTGACCTTAACTCTGAGTCCCATCACTTACCATCTTTGTGACCGTGGGCGTTTTTGAATTTGAGCCTTGATTTTTATACAAAATGGGGATAATAATAACCACCTCTCAAGATCATTGTGAAAATCAAATTACATAACATATGTAAAACATACAGTGCAGTGCATAAAGTCACCTAAAAATGTTTTTTTTTCTCTCTGGTTCATTAATGTAATATGTTATCTCTAAAATGTTCCCAATAATTAATAAAGCAGTATTTCCTCCTATAAAAATATATTATTGTATCTGCCTGTGTATCCCTCTTGGGCATTCAAATGGGTCACCACTACTTAAATGGGCCACCCCAGGCATTGACCTTGGCTGCCCTGTACCTGTCATGGCTCTCATCAAGGTGTGGATGCAGGTGGTCTTCCCAGCCCCACTGGGCCCCAGAGTCATCATCCCATGTCGCACTCTCTGCGTTTCGAATAGCTGGATGACCTTCAGTTTCCAAGGAGGATGGTTGATTAAACCAGCTTCTTCAACCTGAAAACATAAGAGAATCCCCACATTGAAACACAACAATGATGGCCGGACACGGTGGCTCACGCCTGTAATCCCAACAATTTGGGAGGCCGAGGCGGGCAGATCACAAGGTCAGGAGTTCAAGACCAGCCAGGCCAACATGGTGAAACCCCGTCTCTACTAAAAAAATACAAAAATTAGCCAGGCATAGTGGTGGGCACCTGTAGTCCCAGCTACTTGGGAGGCTGAGGCAGGAGAATTGCTTGAACCTGGGAGGCAGAGGTTGCAGTAAGCCGAGATTGCACCACTGCACTCCAGCCTGGGCAACAGAGCAATACTCCGTCTCAAAAAAAAAAAAAAAAAAAACACATCAATGACAATCTCAATTTACCATTGTGCCACAAAAAAATACACAGACATAGGGAGGAAGGAGGAGGATTTACTGTTTAATGAGTACAGAGTTTCAATTTGGGATGATAAAAAAGGTTCTGAAGATGGATGGTGGTGATAACAGTTGCTCAACAATGTAAGTGTGCTTAATTCTTCTTAAAAATGATTAAAATGTAAATTTTATGTTGTATTTTTACCATAATAAAAAATATATTGCATGAAAAATACATATTTACATAGACAAAAATCTGGCTGAATGTAATGAAGATGTTATCCTAAACTAATAAGAAATATCTGCATTTATCTTTGGGAACTGAAAACATTTATATAAATATTCGATTGAATGAACCTCTGAGGAGCAACTTAAAAATAAAGACTCAAACAGCAAAATGTATTTTAAATGTTTAATTTAAAAGGTAATACTTACAACTAGAAAAATGGATAGCATACTATGTTGATTGAAATTCCATATAAATTTCAAACTGTCTTTATATGTCCACTGCAGAGTTTCTATCTATCAAGGCATGTATGGAAGTTACTCTGTGCCAAATATTATTCTAAGATCAATCTTTATAATAACATGATGGAAATCTTTATAATAACATGATGGAAGGGATGCTATTAACATCTTCCTTTTACAGATAAGGAACTTGAAGCAGAGTGACTAAGCAATTTGCCCAAGATGATCAGCTTGTGAAACTATGGAATGCAGATTTAAGACCAAGAAGTTCAAATCCATGGTCTATGCACTTAATCATCATGCTATGCTTGAACTCACAGTACGTAATGATTTCAATTTTACTTAAATAATTTTTATAATAATCATGTATCACTTTATGCTATGATTTGCCCTTCAGATTTTTATATGCTACAAATTACTAACGTAAGTCATCATATCAACTACTTAATGCTTAGCTTTTTTATATTTTTATATATTTTTTAGAGATAGAGTCTCATTTCTGTCACCCCATGTTGGAGTGCAGTGGCGTGATCACAGCTCACTGCAGCCTCAAAGTCCCAGGCTCAGGTGATCCTCCTGCCTCAGCTGCATGAGTAGTTGGGACTATAGACATGCACCACTGCACCAGGCTAATTTTTTAATTTATTTGTAGAGACGAGTTCTCGCTATGTTGCTCAGGCTAGCCTCAAGTAATCCCCCAACGTTGGCCTATCAAAGCACTGGGACTATTGGCATGAGTCACCACCCCTGGCCCAATACTTAGCTTTTAGGTAGTGTTAAAATTAGCCAAAAGATGAAGAAACCACTTGCAGACAAATTATCACTCTTACCTCATCAGAAAATTCAGACATTTATATACTAAATTTTTAAAGCAAAATATAAACTAAGTACTGCTACATTTTGATTTCCTTTTTTTTTTTTCATTTGTTTGTTTGTTTTTGAGACAGAGTGTCCCTCTGTCACTCAGGCTGGAGTGCAGTGGTGTAATCACTGCTCACTGCAGCCTCAGCCTCCCAGGCTTAAGTGACCCTCCCACCTCAGCATCCAGAGTAGATGGGACTATAGGCACATGGCACCATGCCCAACTAATTTTTTGGATTTTTGGTAGAGACAGGGTTTCACCATGTTGCCTAGGCTGGTCTCAAACTCCTGGGCTCAAGCGATCCACTCACTTGGCCTCCCAGAGTGCAGGGATTACAGGCATGAGCCACCACACCTGGCCACATTTGATTTTTATTATAAATATTTTCAAGGAATTGAAGTGCAATTTATAAATATGAGCTAATCACCACTTCTATAAAACATTTTTTTCCAAACTCTTCTTCATAGAAAAAGAAATTGAGGCATAAGGTTTACGTAATTAATTTTCATTCCTAGGAAGACTATAAAAAGTTAAAGCTGCACCAAGTACCATGGGAAGTCCAGAGACATCATGATATACATAGTGTGGTGGGTTCCCCCACCCTACCCACCGTATCCCACCCCCAGAGTCTGAGCAAGAAGCCACAAGTACTGAGGAAAGAGAAGCCACATGAGATCACTGCAAATAACACGCAGAGGCAGGCGACACAGCAAACACCAGGGCAGAAACAAGCTAAGCCAAGCTCCAGAGAGGCAGCCAGATGAGCCCCATCCAACCCCTGCTGACCAATCACATTTCATTTCTGCATCTGCTATGGAATGGTTTCCACCAATAATAGGGCTACTCGCACATGACTAGCTGGACATGTGGCTGTGCAATGGTAGGAGACCCAGGGCAAGGGGAGTTTGACTCGTGGTGTGCATTGGCCTCCCTTAAGACAGCAGTGTTAGCCTCACTGTTGTTATTTTTGCTGCTCAGAGTGCATAGGTTGGAGCCACAGCAGCCCCACTTTATTCCCATTAAATTCAGATGAAACAGACACCAGCCCTCGTTGCCCTGTGAAGCATATTACCTGTCTACTAATTGCTGCTTCCAGTTCAGGGTAACCTGCCTTGTCCAGAAGAATATTTGGAAAGAGATCTTCAATCAAACTCAAAAACAAGGGTTCATCCTCATCAATCTAAAAAAAGAAAATGGGAAATCAGACCAATTATTCTGGTATAAACATATCAATATGCAGATAAACTGGAAATGCCCAACACAGTCCGGGTTATTGCAATGTAACCACTAACAAATAACATATCACCTTTATTGAAGTTAAGAAACATTTTCCTCATCTTTCCCATAAATTAAAAAAAATAAAATAAAGAGGAAAAGAACAGGGAGAAAGGAAAGAAATGGAAGGAAGACAATACTGTCTATGTGACAATCTTTCCATAAAATAGTCAGTTTTGGGGGATACCATATAGTCTACAATTTTTAATTTAAACTTAAAAGAATTTTTAAATTAGAAATTAATAGCAGGTTTGTGAATTGGAATTTGGTGTATACTTTTAATTTAAAATAAAAATCTATCATTTTGTGACCCTTTACATAGATCCACGGATAGTGGGCATTGATTATCAGTCTCTATCGTGAAATAATAGTGTGAAACTATCACACACTTGTAGAGTTTACACATTATTTCCTACCAGGCTCTACCAGACTCCAAAGGTGAGATTTGAGTTCTAAAACACAAAAATGATTCAAGGTATTTGGCATCTTAACATGTGTATTTTTTAAAATCCACTGCAATTCTATTGGAATAGGCACATTTTGGAGTGGATAGGAATCATTACCCAAAAAAATGTCTGAAAAAGTATAATTTAAAGTGATGCTCTCCAGCACTTTATCTGACAATTAGGCATTTTAAATGAGCATTTTAAATAAATATTTTGAAGTCTCATGTATGGGCAGTTAGTTTAACTGATATCCAAGTAGGTGGAACACTTCCATCTGTGAGTCTTACCAGTTTAGAAAGATTCATGTCCCGTAGTACACGCATGACAATCGTGGACTCCGTATCCATTGGATTGGCTCTTTTTGCTGCTCCCAAGGTCCGAAGAACTGACAGAATGTTACGCAGGCCAAAGTCATAATGAACCTAGAGAATGTGAGATACATTGGGCTTATTTTCAACATTAAAATACTTGCAGAAGCCATATGAATCTGACAGAAATTATATTCACAATAATGAATAAATGCTGATTTTCCTTCAGAAAATGCATACACACAATGGGGTAAAATATTTCTATATAGATATACGTTTTGAGCAAATAGGGAATATCCCAAAGAGTCCTCCCATGTGCCATCATTAGCTTAAGCCCTTAGATCAGAACTAGCTGCTACAGCTTGGCAGGGAAAAAGGAATAAATTTCTTCTTGGAATACAGACATCCCTTTGAGCTTATTCTTAATCAATCATACATAAGGAAATTTGCTCATATCTCTACAGTTAAAATTCAGAACCAGAATTAAACTGGGACTGCACTCATGACTGTCATATACATAGAGATATATGTGCCTTTTTCGTGATAAGTAAGAAGACAGGAGAATCAGGGAGAAAAAAAGCACCTGCGCTTCAGGATTACCTGAAGGAGGAAGGATAAGGACAAATTAGAAAGCTAAGCCCCCAGCTTTGTCATTCCCTTACTAAATATTTACAAAAGCTCAATTATGTCAAATTTCAGCATATATAAAGTGAATAATCAAAATTTATTTATCCAATTATTGTGAAAAACAGTAAGGTGGTTCCTCAAAAAATTAAAAACGGAACGATATGATCCAGCACTCCCAATTCTGGGTATATAGCCAAAAGAATTGAAAGAATGTGCCAGGCACAATGGCTTACACCCATAATCCCAGCATTTTGGAAGACCAAGTGGGGCAGATCACTTAAGGCCAGGAGTTCGAGACCAGCCTGGCCAACATGATGAAACCCCATCTCTACCAAAAAATTACAAAAATTAACCAAGTGTGGTGGTGTGCACCTGTGATCCCAGCTACTCAGGAGGCTGAGGCATGAGAATCACTTAAACCCAGGAAGCAGAGGTTGCAGTGAGCCGAGATAGCACTTGCACTCCAGCCTGGGCAACAGAGCAAGACTCTGTCTTGCAAAAAATAAATAAATAAATAAATAAATAAATAATAAAAGCATGGTCTCAAAGAGATAGCAGCATATCCATGTTCATAGCAGCACCATTCATGATAGCCAAGAGGTGGAAGCAACCCAAATGTCCATTGACAGACGAATGGATAAACAAAATGTGGTATATACATATAACAATATTATTTAGCCATAAAAAGAAAGGACATCCTGTCACATGCTAAAACATGAATGAACCTTGAGGACATTACACTAAGTAAAATATGGCAGTCACAAAAAATCAAATATTATATGATTTCATTTATATGAACTATTGGCAATAGTCAAATTCATAGAAACAGAAAGTAGAATGATGGTTACCAGGAGCTAAGGGAAGAGAAAAAGAGAAGTTGTTGTTTAGTGGGCACAGAGTTTCAGTTTTTCAAGATGAAAAAGTTACAGAGATCTATTTCACAACATTGTGAATATACTCAACATTATTGAATTGTACACTAAAAATGGTTAAGATAGTAAATTTAATTTTATATGCTTTTACCACAACAAAAAAAATGTATAGGAAAAAACTACAGTCTTCTGCTAAGGTAATTGGGAGCAGTATGCCTCACTTAAGACTAGTCATTTGGAAGATGGAGCACATAAAAAATATTCAAATTGAGTTTCCACCTTCAGGGAATTTAAATTCTAATAAAGATAATAAAATAGAAATGTGAATAAACTTGTATAAAAGTAACAATGACTTAAAAGTGTTGGTGAGTAAACTTAATCATGGGAAACTTCCTATCAGTGTTGGATGCAGTTAAATCTGTGGGCATGAAGGGAAAGTCACAGAATGTTCACCAAGACATCAGTATGAGTCCAACTATTTTGCACACATTGATGTATTACATTTCACTATGATCTTGTGAACATGGGTGGTAGGAGTGAGGGAAGTAGTGAAGTGGTAGTGAAGATAAGAGCAGGAGCCAGTGATGTGGGAAGTTTTCTCCATTCAAGAAACAGCATGGAAAAAATATTTATTTGAAAGATAAGTGATATGGTTTGGCTGTGTCCCCACCCAAATCTCATCCTGAACTGTAGTCCCCATAATCCCCATGTGTCGTGGGAGGGACCAGGTGGAGGTAATGAATCATGGGGGTGGCTACCTCATGCTGTTCTCATAATAGTAAGTGAGTTCTCATAAGATCTGATGGTTTTATAAGGGGCTTTTCCCCCTCTTCACTCAGCACTTCTCCTTCCTGACACCACATGAAGAAGAATGTGTTGCTTCCCCTTCTGCCACAATTGTAAGCTTCCTGAGGCCTTCTCAGCCATGCTGAAGTGTGATTCAATTAAACCTCTTTCCTTTGTAAATTACCCAGTCTCAGGTATGTCTTTATTAGCAACAGGAGAACAGACTAGTAAATTGGTGCCACATAGAGTGGGGTGCTACTATAAAGATACCTGAAAATGTGGAAGCAACTTTGGAACTGGGTAACAGGCAGAGGTTGGAACAGTTTGGATGGCTCAGAAGAAGACTGAAGAAATGTGGGAAAGTTTGGAACTTCCTAGAGACTTAGAGGGCTCAGAAGACAAGAAGACATGAAAACGTTTGCAACTTCCTAGAGACTTGTTGAATGGCTTTGAGCAAAACACTGAGAGTTATATGGACAGTGATTTCCGGCTGAGGTGGTCTCAGATAAAGATGGGGAACTTGTTGGGAACTGGAGTGAAGGTCACTGTTGCTATACAAAGAGACTGGCAGCATTTTGCCCCTGTCCCAGACATCTGTGAAACTTTGAACTTGAGAGAAATAATTTAGGGTATCTGGTGGAAGAAATTTCTAAGCGGCAAAGCTTTCAAGAGGAAGCAGAGCATAAAAGTTTTGAAACTTTGTGCCCAATGATGCAATGGAAAGGAAAACACCATTTTCTGAGGAGAAATTAAGCCAGCTGCATAAATTTGCGTAAGTAATGAGGATTTGAATGTTAATCACCAAGACAATGGAGAAAATGTCTCCAGAGCATGTTAGAGACTTTCATGGCAGCCCCTCCCCATCACAGGCCCAGAGGCCTAAGAGGAAAAATGGTTTCCTGGGCCAGGTCCAGGGTCCCCCTGCTGTGTGTAGGCATGGGACTTGGTGCCCTGCATCCCAGCCGCTCCAGCTGAGGCTAACAATGCCTGTACCCCCATTGTATCTAGGGAGTAACTAACTTGCTTTTGATTTTACAGGCTCATAGGTAGAGGGGACTTGCCTTGTCTCAGATGAGACTTTGGACTTAGACTTTTGAGTTAATGCTGGAATGAGTTAAGACTTTGAGGGACTGTTGGAAGGGCACGACTGTATTATGAATTGTGAGGACATGAGATCTTGAAGGGGCCAGGGGCAAAATGATATGATTCAGCTGTGTTCCCACCCAAATCTCATCCCGAAGTGTAGTTCCATAATCCCCACATGTCACTGGAGGATCCCAGTGGAAGGTAATTTAATCATAGGGGCAGTTACCCTCATGTTGCTCTCATGATAGTGAGTTCTCATGAGATCTGACGGTTTTATAAGGGGCTTTTCCCCCTCTTCACTCAACACTTCTCCTTCCTGCCACCATGTGAAAAGGACGTGTTTGCTTCCCCTTCCACCATGATTGTAAGTTTCCTGAGGCCTTCCCAGCCATGCTGAAGTGTGATTCAATTAAACCTCTTTCCTTTATAAATTAACCAGTCTCAGGTATGTCTTTATTAGCAGCATGAGAACAGACTAATACAATAAGAATGAGTGAGTAAGGGCTCCAATAAGCAGAAGAAACCAAGAATGTTGGGAGACAAAATGTTAGGGTCAGACTAACCAGAAAGGCTCAATGGCCAGAGCCAGAAGAGTCTGTGTGTGTCTGAACACTCATAGGAAAAGAACTTTTTAGTAGGAATGTAATTAGGTTGAACCTGTGGGTATAAAAAGTAATAAAGATTCAAAGAAGTTTGAAATTAAAGCCTAAGTGATAAGATGGAACAAAGATTATATATGTTAGGAAGTGTTATTCATGTTATAGTCTCATGTTTATTGCACTGTGTCATTATTTAGCATATATTTCTAGTAATTTTTACTGATATGTACTAAAAAATTGTGGCATGATGCCCACCTCCTGGTGGTCATGTCCTTATATGATATCACCTTGAGAGTAGGCAGGACCTGTGATTTGCTTCTTCTAACTAATAGAATACAGCAGAGACAACAGGTTGTATGTGATTATGTGTGTGTGATTATGTGGTCACATTAGATTAGACTGTAGCACTCGTTTTGCTGAAACCACTTTCCTTGCTGACTTTGAGAAAGTAAGTGGTCATGTTGGGGAAACCCATATAGCAAGGAACTATGCACAGCCTGTAGGAACTAAAGGTGGCCTCCAGAAAATAGCCAGCAAGAAATCGAAGCCCTCAGTCTTACACCCTCAACTAACAGAATTCTGCTAACAACCTGAGTGAGCTCAGAAGTAGATTGTCCCCATTCGAGCATCAGATGAAACCACAGCCCCAGCCAATACTTTGATTGTAGCCTTGTTAGACACAAACCACAGGACTCATTTCAGCTAACTCCTGACCCACAGACACCATGTAGTAATAAATGTACGTTGTTACAAGACACAAAGTTTGTGGTATGATTGTTAGATGACTATTATGCAGCAATAGATAACTAATGCAGAACTATATGTTTAATTCCATGACTTTTAACTATGAAACCTCATGATGCCTGAACCTGGTACCCTAAACAATCGAGGAAACTAGCAAGAAGGCTGCAACATATAAACAAGACAGTTAGTAAACCTTGGTCAAATACTCAAGTGAGCTTAGAATGAAGAAGAATAAATCATTGGGAGGTTCCTACAAATCATGAAAATACATAACACATATAACAATGAATCTATAAGTGGTATAAACAGCCAATGTTAATATCCATAAGTCTTTGGCTCTTAAACCAGTGCAGATAATATTCACTTCATTTCTATGCTGTAAATATTAATTTATTTAAATGTACTTCTTAAAAAACTATGCATATAAAATTATTTTTGTAGTAATACACCTTTCTACTCAGTGTCAATAAAATCCTTTGTCAACAAGCCCAGTCTAGAATTTCTCAAAATGAGAACATTCTGCTGAATAGAAAAATGAAACATGCCTAAGTGCATAAGACCTCCAGGATGACACACCTGCTTAGAAAGCTGCTCCTCACACAGTTTGTAGAGCGTGAAAAACTTCCTGGCCAAAACAACGTTGTCAATGAAGCCACAACTAGCCAACTTCACCCTTATGATAATCTGACGGTCAGGCACCATCATGGCCACTGAGCGGAAATTAATCTTCAAGTTTTCAGGGAGTTCCTGCCGTCCGGCATAGCCAGGATTCTAAACAGAAAATAAAGCCCAAGGATGAATGATGCAATCAAGCACACATCAGCATCATATTAAAAGATTCATTATGTACACACAACAAATCTGGAATGACAACCAGGGAACTCATTTACGTATCTCAATCTCGTTTTACCTGGACAGGCTAAGTCATGAGCTATTCATATGATCTTTGCTTAACACCAAAAGGTTTTCAAAAGGAGGTAAAGTTACAATCCCAATTTCCATTCAGGAAAACAGATGACATATGACCAGGGAGATGCATGAAAATTGTGATAAGAAGGCTGAAATTCAGTAGCTTTTCTAGCAGCTCCTTACCATGGTTAAGAAAAGCCCAAATTCAGGGTTCATAGTCACATTATCTCCATCAGTAAAGATAAAAGACTTTTTGTGCTCCTTTTTACATGTCAGAATAATGGAAATTTGCTGGGCTGCAACCGAGAGAACTGGTAGATCAATACGGTTAAATTCATCAAAACAACCCCAGGATCCAGACTGTGCCAGTCCTTCGAAAGGAAATTAAATGAAAAATCCAATTAGTATATAATTTTAGAAAACCAAGAAAAAGGATATTATGTAGCTGCTAAAATGAGCCAGATGTAAGTTCATTCAAAAGTAAAGTGCAACAAATAGATCTATGCATCAAGTGACCCAAAACAGCTTACAATTTGGCACTTCACCTGTAAACACCCAAGATAAAGGAATATCAAAAAAAAGTCAGGAGGAAGTAACATTTGGTCCACACAACCTGGCAAGATTGAAGATTTTCCAAAAAATTTTACAAAGTTGAAAATGATTCTAAAATGTGGCCAATTGTTGAAAACAAATTTTAGCAAAATATTCCACCTTGGCTGCAATTTCTCACCAGATTAAAAAATATAACCCATACCCTTAAAAATCCGTCCAAGTCCTCGGAAATCCATCTGGTCTGAACAATTGAAAACCACGACGTATTTCCCGAGGCATCGTCCCATGTCTTTAGTGGTTTCTGTTTTGCCTGTGCCTGCAGGTCCAGCAGGGGCTCCCCCCATGCTCATTCCCAGAGCTTGAGCCAGCGTGATGTAACATCTGCATGGGTAGAAACATCACTAGAACCAGCCCTCAGTCACCTGGAAATACTTCTGAGACATCACAGTGGCATGAAACGCACACAAGATTAAAAAACAAAAGGCCATTGTCCCTACCTAACATTTCGAATACAACATCCTAAAACACACTTATCCTTATCAATGTTAACATATGTTGAGGAAAAGGAGGGGGTAGTCTATGATCAACTAAGTTTAAAAACTCCTTAAAAGGTTAAACAGGTTTCTTTACTGCTGAATTTTTCAGGCTTTCTTATCATAATATGCAGAGAGAATCTCCAGGTATAAAAATAATACATTGCATTTCCAAAATGTATTTGGCAACATTTTCGCAGAAATCTACCCCCATCTAAAATGTATATATTCTGTGAAACAGATCGGGATCCTTTCAAATAGATTAATCCCCTTTTGAATCTAAGAGTTGGCCATTTGATGTAGTTGGGATTTAAAACACACACTGCTAAATAATCACACCTTGAATCTATTTCTGTGAGTATCTACTAACCTTGCACATGCTTTCAATTGCATCTTACTATATGAGATTAACAAATAAAAGATTTGGTGAGAGAATACAAGAATGCCTGCAAAGGAAAATTTTTCACCTGATAACTTGCAGATCAATTACTTGTTTGCCAGCACCACCTGGTGTTACCAAAGGAGACAAATTATAAAGTGGTGCCGTGTAGGGTTTTCTTATGGCCAAACTATAAAGCATTCATCCGGACTTGAAAAAGACTTCCAAGGAAATGAAGTGACTATCCAGCCTGAGCAGTGGAAATGAACACTGAGTGCACCAGCTGGGGGTGGTTCCAGGTTCTCAATGTTACTGGAAACGAGTGCTATAAAGGCAAGTAAATGACTCAGCCCTTAATGTATGCAGAGTCTGGATACAGAGGAAAAGATCTGGTCATGAAATCAGGAGAATGCCTGCTCTCACTTTGACTCTGCCTTTTAACCCAAGGTATTATTTCTCCTGTTGCATTTTTGCCATCCCTTCCAAAGCAGAGTCTGTAACAACAACAGACACCACAGTGTGCTCCACATGCATCATCTCGTTTCATCCCCAGAGAACCCTGGAAGGAAGCTACTGTTCCTTTCCCCCACTGTACAGAGATAAGGAAAAAGGCCACAGAGATTGAGTGACTTTTCTCAGGACTGCGGCAGGACAGCTGAGACAAGCCAAGTCTTCTCACTTTCCAGCTCTGGGACAAGCCCACTCTATCCGGGAAAGAAAAATAACTAATGGGCACTAGGCTTGATACCTGGGCAATGAAATAATCTATATAACAAACCTCTATGACACAAGTTTACCTATGTAACAAACCCGCACATGTACCCCTGAACTTAAAAATTAAAAACTGAAAAAAAAAGATTAAATAAAATACCAAACACAAAAAAGGGAATACATCTCCATCAACTCTGATCACTCGGCTGCTGTGTTATGCAGACCCTCGTTACAACTGAGATCACTGGGTTTATATTTAAACTGAACAAGTAGCAAGTTGCTTCAAACAGATCAATCCTATTTACATGAAAAGCAGGTGGGCATGCCTGGAGACTTCTCCCTGGCTCAGCTAGGTGGGGCTTCAGACCCACTGCTACACTGGTGCCCAAACTGCCTTTCGGTGACAAGCATGGATCTGTCACAGCATCTCCCTGTGTGTCTAGAGAATTCTACATGTGAGTGTATCTCCCTTCTTGCCTCCCTTCTCTGCTTTCCTTTCTAGTCTATCTATTGGCTATTTTCAAAACCGTTTCCATTCATGAACAGGGTTTGAACTTTATGTGTTTTAGTTGCCTGTGGTCAACTCCATTTTAGTTTTCTAACCTTCAGTTAAACTGCTATAAACTCTCTGCGGTCAGGAGCTAGGTTTGGTTCACACTTGTACCCTCAACTACTTGCCTAACCCCTGGCACCTTGTACTATATGAACATTGGTTGAATAAATGGCTTGCGCTGATCCAGTCATTCATTCTTATCTGGTCCCTCCTGTCCCAACAGCTACAGGAATTAGAGATGCAGAATGTGACCCTGATGCCAAATGAAAAGCAACCAACCCCATGACCCCAGGGCTCATTAGCACTCGAACTAACCAAATCTATCACCAGCATTCATCGTAACTATTCATAGCACTGTCAGTGCATTTTGTCACAGGTAAACCAGAAATGGTTTCAACTCCTATTGGTTCTAAACTGCTGAAAAGTTTCCTAAGAAACAATGGTACGTGCATCAGCAGAGTACATTTCTTCCTTGAGAACTTGGTTTAGTTACAGACTCTTTGATTATAGGGCATGTTTAAGGAGAAACCAAAGACAAGGTTGCTAAAGAATGTGTTATCCAAAAAAAAAAAAGAATGTGTTAACATAGGCCAAGCACAGTGGCTCATGCCTGTAATCTCAGCACTTTGGGAGGCCGAGGCGGATGGATCACGAGGTCAGGAGTTCAAGACCAGCCTGGCCAATATGGCAAAATTCCATCTCTACTAAAAATACAAAAATTAGCTGGATGTGGCGGCACACGCCTGTAATCCAAGCTACTCAGGAGGCTGAGGCAGGAGAACCACTTGAACCTGGGAGGCAGAGGTTGCAGTGAGCCGAGATCACGCCACTGCACTCCAGCCTGGGCAACAGAGTGAGTGAGACTCCTTCCCAAAAAAAAAAAAAAAGTGTTATCAGCAATTTTGACAAGCAACAGTGATAGCAAGAATAATAATAATAATAACAAACATTTGCTGTGTCACGCCCTGTGCTGGGTACTTACGTTGCCTCTAGTCCACACAATGATTCCCAAACAAGGGAATGAGGGAGGTTAGGTGTCTTGTCCAACACTACACAGCTGCTAGGGGCAGAGCTGAGCAGTCAGCACTCAGGCAACACTCACAGAAGCTGTGGGAATGTCAGAGAAAGGTACAAGTCCTGTCTACATTTCTTATCAAGCAGATAAGATGCCTCCATCAGCCCTCAATTTCTTCTGCCTTCTGCTTAAGTGACAGCAGTAGTCAGGACAATTCTAGTCTTCATTAAAAACACTACGAGTTTTGGAGAAAAGTGCTGTATGTTATCATATTATAATAGCTATTTTATCATCTGAAATGTCTGCAACTCTGTCCACATGGCATTGAGCTTCCCAGAATCCAGGGAGCTGCCCCAGCTGTTAAATTCACAGGTCAGTCAGTGAAGGGCTGACAACATGTCAGTGCCTCCAGCATTTGACTTTTTAAAAGTACTAATTTCAATGAGGAGTTTTCTCTTGCAAAAGGGAAGCAAATCTTGCAGTGGAATCTCAGTTACTATCGAAAATTAATAACTCACTTCCCACATAATCAAGTTGGTTAAAGAAAAATAAACAAATGGGCATTTAGGGTAAACAGACAAACTTCAGAATCCCTTTACTTACATACTTGAAAATACTTATTTTGCTTTTAAAGTTCTCAGTTTTTTAATATAAAAAAAATACAAGACAATGAACACAGTGGAAGAATCAAATTGCAGAAAAGACTGTAAACTATGATACCTATATGTGAAACTGAAAAAGGATTTTAATGTCTAAGCATCCACAGTTTTCAGAGGGATAGAAAATAAACTGTTGATCATTTTTAAAAATAGAAAAGTTTTCCCTCCCACACATGCTACTTCATGTTCTTCTGTACCATGTAAATTTTTCACCATTAAGATGCAATTTTGGAAATAATCACTTCTTTCATTTATTCAAGAACTATTTATTTAGCATCTGTTATGTGACAGAACAATTCTAGCAAACAAATCACATGAAGCCCACGCACCAAGGATAAGAGGGTTATGAGATTTGGAGATTGCGGGAGGTCGGGAGACCCTCTGAGGTGACTCTCTAGCAGGGGACTAAAGGAAGAAGGAAGCAAGCTATGCCACTATTGAAGGAAGAGGGTGCCAGGCCAAGTGTATAATGAGGGCAAGGGCCCTGTGGCAGGGCTGCGCCACAGCTGTGCAAGGAGCAGGTGGCCTGAGCTGAATGAGGATAGAGAAACAGAGAAGTAGCAGAGGCCAGATTGTACCAGGCCTCACAGGCCCACGTGAGGACGTTGGCTTTTACTTTGCATGAGAAGGAACCATGGGAGAAGTTTTGGGGCAAAGGATCTGACTTACATTCTGGTGTCTGAACTGAGAACAGACTGTACGAGGACAACGACAGAGGCAGGGAAGCCAGTTAAAACATTGTCAGAAGGATGCAGGTCAGGATAAGAGTAGTAATGATTCCTATAATCCCAGCACTTTGGGAGGCTGAGGAGGGCAGATCACCTGAGGTCAAGAGTTCAAGAACACCCTGGCCAACACGGTGAAACCCCGCATCTACTAAAAATACAAAAATTATCCAGGCATGATGGCACGCACCTGTAGTCCCAGCTACTCAGGAGGCTGAGGCAGGAGAATCACTTGAACCTGGGAGGTTGCGGTGAGCGGAGATCGCACCACTGTGATCCAGCCTGGGCGACAGAGTGAGACTTCTTCTCAAAAAAAAAAAATAGTAGTAATGATATAGAAATAACTGTAGGCAGATAGAGAGGGTAAAAGGAGTCCTCGGTAAGGTTTGTTTCTTTTAATAAAAGTAGCTCCCGAAACATTTCTTTTCTAACAGAAAAGCAGCTTAAAGAGCCAGGCCGGCAAGCTTTGATATGCAAATGCTGGTGATTAGAAACTGGGTCCATCCAACAGGGCAATTCCCACCCTCTTCTCCTTGTCACCACGTGCGCCAAGCATCATGGCTGCCTCCAGATAACTCCATGTGTGCAGGACATCATTGCGATCTGCATTTACATATTAAAAGGCTGGGGTTGGAGGGCCAGTTTTTTCGAGGGCTACATGAATGACACACCTGGTCAAACCAAAACCCTAAGCCCTATGCAAATCAGACACCGCCTCCTCCAGCCTCCTAATATAACCTACTGTTTTCCCCTGTTTACGTGGTTTTTCTCTCTCTGCTCGGAGCACCCCTCCCTCTGTCTCTGTACTGGGGAGCTTTTTCCTTCTTTCTTGCCTATTTAACTTTCCACCCCATGAAACGACTCCATGTGTGTCCGTAGCGTTTATCTAATCGGCACAAGGCAAAGGACCCTGCTGTTCCTCCAGTCATCGGAGCCATACCAGTAAGGCAAAGGGGTGAAAATGGTCACATTCTAGAAGGAACCTGAAAGCACTGCTGACCAAATTGAAGGTAGATTATTGGAAAATGAGGTGAGAGAGAAGGAAGGGCTTCAGGGTTACTCCAGGGAGTGTTGGATTGCCCATTTGGAGGTGATGTATTCACAGGCTTCAGGGGTTCGGACATGGACATCTTTTGGGGGCCATTATACTTACTATCACACTTCCCCCCAGCATTCTGATAAAATGGAATGGCCAACTTGCTAAAATGAAGACAACAGCAGGAGGGCACTTTTGTGAGGCTGATCAAACACGCTAAGGTTAAATATACTGTAAGCAACCAACAGACATGTCACATAGGCAAATAGGTATGTGTGTCTGGAGTTTGGGAGAGAAGCCCTGGTTTGAGGCAGAGTTTGGGGTTTTTGAAGCCATGTGGGATCACCTAAAGAATGAGTAGAGGTGGAGAAGAGAAGAGCCTGGCAGTTCTATGTTTAAAGGTCAGAAACATGAAGAGGAACGAGTAGGAGCAGGTACAAAGGGACATCCAGACCACTGGGAGGAACCAGGTGAGTGTGGTGTCCTGGAAGCCATGTGATGAAAGTGTATCAAAAAGGAGAGAATGATCAACTGCTCCCATGCAGCTGATTGCTCAAGAAAGACGAGATCCAGGAAAAAACACTGGATTTAGCAAGAGGTCTGGGTGACTTTCAGGAGAGCTGTTTTATCAGAGTGATGCGGAAAGTATGACAAAATAATGGTCCCCCCAAAATACGTTCTAATCTCTGCAACCTGCAATCTGTAAACATCTTACCTTCCACAGCTAATGGGACTTTGCAGATGTCATTAATGTTAAGGACCTTGAGAAGAGGGAATTATGTTGGATAATAAAGTGGACTCAACCTAATCTCATGAGTCCTTAAAAGCAGAAGAGATAGGTAGAAGAGTGGGTCAGAGACACAAGACAGAAGAAGGAGGGGAGATTCAAAGCACGAAAGGCACCTGACCCACCACTGCTGGCTTTGAAGATGAGGGAAGGAGTCAGGATCAAGGAACGTGGTAGCCTTCAGAGGCTGGAACAGCCCTGAGCTGACCTAAGACAATGGGGACCTGGGTCCTTCAACCAGGAGGAAAGGAATTCTGCCAACAACTTGGAAGAGCGGGAAACAGAACTCAGTCTCTGGGAAGAAACACAGCCCTGCAGACACCTGATTACAATCCCGTGAGACCCACGTCAGACTTCTGATGGACAGAACTACAAAAAGAACACATTTGTGTGGTTCAAGCTTCTAAATTTATGGCAATTTGTTATGGCAGCAATACAAAGTTAGCAGAGAGCCTGAATGAAGTGAGTTGAAGAAAAACAAGGTGGAGAGAAACTGTGCTTTTGAGGGGTTTTGAAGGGAGCATGGAGTGGGAAGGAAACCAGGACAATCACGGTAGGGTTCGCTGGGTAGAAGCAATCTCAGCATATTTGTGTGTTGATGAAAAGGATTCAGTAGAAAGTGAAAATGGATGTTGCTTCCAGAGAGGAAATCCTGGAGTCAGTGGGGGTGTTGGCTTTGGACAGCGAACCTGGAGAGAAAGCAGCTGCATGAGAACAGGCACCCAGGTTAACGCACATGGTGGTGGAGATGAATGCGTCTATCTTCTCAAAAAAAAAAACATGAAATAAGGCCTTCGGTGGAGACAGAGGAAGACAAGGAAGTGCTGGAGACTTGAAAGGCAGAAGACATAAAATAACCACATAAGCATTTTATGAGAAATTCCTATTTGGGAACTCCACTTTTTTTTTTTTTTTTTTTTTTTTTTTTGAGACGGAGTTTTGCTCTGTCACCCAGGCTGGAGTGCGGTGGCATGATCTTGTCTCACTGCAACCTCCGCCTCGGGTTCAAGTGATTCTCCTGCCTCAGCCTCCCGAGTAGCCGGGACTATGGCCACGTGCCACCATGCCTGGCTAATTTTTTGTATTTTTAGTAGACACAAGGTTTCACCGTGTTAGCCTGGATGGTCCCCATCTCCTGACCTTGTGTTCCACCCACTTCGGCCTCCCAAAGCGCTGGGATTACAAGCGTGAGCGAGCCACCATGCCCAGTCCATTTTTTTAATGAACATTATTTCTAATGGGCAAATCGTCATTGTATATTATTGTGGGGCACAATGTGATGTTATGTTATATGAATACAATATGGAATGATTAACGCAAGCCATTTGACAATAATGAGCATTCAGTGCATACCTGAAGCGAAAATATACAATGTAGTTGATATTACAAAGTTCAAATTAGACTAAGCAAATCACAGAATATTAGCCCTGCAAGCACCCTTAGAGACAACATAGCTCAGGGTCCCCAGCCCCCAGGCCACAGACCAGTATTGGAGCTGAATGAGGACAGAGTATTGGTCCATGGTCTGTTAGGAACCGGGCCACACAGCAGGAGGTGGGCGGCGGGCAAGTGAGAGAAGCTTCATCTCTATTTATAGCCACTCCCATGGCTCACATAACCGCCTGAGCTCTGCCTCCTGTCATATCAGCGGCAGTATTCTCATAGGAGCACAACCTTTATTATGAACTGCACGTGAACCCTATCGTGAGCTGTGCATGTGAGGGATCTAGGTTGCCCACTCCTTACAAGAATCTAATGCCTGATGATCTGTCACTGTCTCCCATCACCCCCAGATGGGACTGTCTAGTTGCAGAAAAACACACTCGGGGCTCTCACTGATTCTAAATTATAGTGAATTGTATAATTATCTCATTATCCATTACAATGTAATAATAGAAATAAAGTGCACAATAAATGGAATGAGCTTGAATCAACCCGAAACCATCACCCACCCCCTGGTCTGTAGAAAAATTGTCTTCCACGAGACCAATCCCTGGTGCCAGAAAGGCTGGGGACCACTGGCTTAGCTCATCTTACAAATGAGGGGACTGAATCTAGGGAGGTTGCAGTGGCAGGTGTCACTAACACAACTTGTAAATAGCAGGCCAAGGGAAGAGTTAACACTCTGGAGGCCTTTCCAGTGCCCTCTCCCAACTTTTACCTGCATTGATACTCAATTTCTTTCCTGCTTAAAAAAAAAAAAAAGAAAATCTTAATTGTCTCCCAGTAAGAACAGATACTCAAGCAGCCCCCGCAAGGCCCACTGTGATTTGCACCTGACAACACACAAAAATTAATTCCCTTTCTTGCCCATTCTCTGTCCACACAGTGTTTACACATTTAAACTCTGCCTCTATAAGACTGAAGGCAAAGGAAGCAAGGTCTGTGTCAGTCACAAACCTAAATCCCATGTGAAAAGAAAGCTGATAATAAAGCTAAAAATACTAAATTTCAAAGGTTTTAGTATAAAGAGCCTATAAACCCTAAGAGACTTTAAGCAAAAATCCCCTGAGCAACTCGAGAGAATAAAAATGGTGGGGGTTGGGGAGAAGGGTTCCATCACCTGTCTGTAAGTGGAGTTATTACAAGCCTGTCAGTGCAGCCTAAAAATTCATTCTGGTATATGAACGCCACATCTGTGATGTGAATCATCATCTTGTCAGAATCTTCGTTAAAGTAAAATCTGCACTGTTTCAGCCACTCAAAGTCCATGGGACTCTTGATATGCATATGACACTGAAATTCAAAAGGTATATGTTAGAGCTCTGATGAGAATCACTCATTAAATATACACGTTATTAGCATTCATGTAGATCATAAAGTGAAATAAATGAAACTCACAGACAACCGAACTATTTCACAGGTGTCAACTGTATCACCAGCCAAGCTATTCATTTATTGATCAGTAAAAAAGAAACTAGAAGATATAGGAATAAGAAAACTCAAGTGAAACCCCTAATTATGCCTCTCCAATTTAAGTGCCTTTACGTATTTTAATAATAAGATATTAATTTCTTAAATTTCACCCTGACATGCCTAATGCCATAGTCCTCACCATGAAATATAATCTATGAAAAGCATGTTTTGACACACAAAGACAGCAATAAACAATCTCATTAGGAAAAAGACATCTCTTAAGACTATAACAAAGTACGCTGTTGGGGTTTTTTAATCCAGTAATTATTTTTCCCAAGAATTACATCGGGCCAAAATTTCTAACATCTAAATGACAGGCCATTGCCTGGAAATGCTTTTGTCCAGATTTTTTAACCAAAATTTTAAGCCACTTTCATCATTTTCTTTGACAAAGAAGAAATCTAAAATTAGCCTGAGCCCTTTATTCCTCGGAAAGGTAAGTAGTGTGCTTAACTATTAAGACAGGAGATTAGCACACAATAGCTTTGATGTGCTGCCTTTACTTCCATTATATCAGGACCAATCTTTCATAATCTTTTTTACATAATGGGATGAGACAAATCCAGAAAATTATTATGAGAATAAGAGCTTTTTGCCTCTAATTTATTTTATAGTAGAGGACAAATTTCACTTTTTATTTCCCATTTTCTATAGCTACACAACTCTCTTTTCCCACCTTGTTCTCTATTTAAAAGCAAAAATGTGTAACACCTGAATGTCAGAAGCTCTATTAGGAAAGGCCATTTGCAATCAATGACATAAAATGTAGCAAAACTTGTTAAGAATGTGATTTTTCAAAAGGCTTAAGGGAAGTCCTAAACAGCTCTACTAAGCAATATTACTAATAATTTTCATAGCAAGAAACTGGTGATCTTCAATTAATAGGTAAAAAGCGAAAAAGATGTATGAAGGCTTTTCAGATGCTACATGACAATTTTAACATTAAAAATCATCACGTTAAAACATTTTTGAATAAAGTCTAATTGCCTCAATAACATCTTAGCATAGATCATCAGAATATGACTTACGTTCAGTTAAGACTGAAAAGAAAGCTGATAAGCTCTGATTACAAACATGATTCTTTGCCAGAATTTAATTTTTTCCTTGAATTCAATCAAACTAGTTCTACTGGGTAAATGCAGATAGTGTCTAGAATTTGTTTTTCTCTACATGCCACAGCATTTATAAAGAATTTACCAGGTCATCAAAGATATCCCTTTGGTGCACATGAATAGTAATCAGAGTCTCGTATTTCACTCGTTCCGTGGAACTCAGATCCCTCGTGGTGACGTCTATCAATGTATTGAGTAGCTCCAGGAAAGCCTGATTAGTTTTCTGCATGATTTTTTTATCAAACTTGGCATTTCTAAGGGCTTCTTCTGAATCCCGTGTCCATATCATCTGAATTCCTAATAATCCAACCTTATGGAAATAAAAAAGGCTTCATGAATTTGTATGGCATATTTATGTATTTAAATAGAAATACAATGTGATCAACAGCTGTGATTGTTACACAAGTGTAAAGCCATGATTACATCAACTTTGATACCTTTTTTCATAACCTATGGAAATTCTATTTCTTATCATTTTGAGTCATTTATGTTGAAGTCACGTTTCTCATTGTTTCCTGTATTTTAATGCTGAATCTATTTTTCTTTTTTTAGTAAAGTGTTCAATCAGTACATTTTCATGATTTTTGTACATTGTTACATCAAAAGATTGATTAGGGAAAAAACCGTTTTAAATTAAAGACAATACATCAAATATATCTATAACCCAAATACACATTTAAGTCTATAGATATATGACCATATAATCTGTAGTTAAAATCTGAAAGGTTAAGTATATTTAATGGGTCCTTATGAAAATCTTAATACTGGTCTAGAGTTAAATTATAGCCATTTTTGAAGCTTACAATAGGTAATGTCTGAGACTTAAAATGACTATTTTACAAAACATACTTTCAAATTTCAATACACTGACCTGAGCAGGGAAGGATGAAAGAAATTCAGTTAGTTGGAAACCTGTTTCTTGAATATTTGCGGCTGCCTGGCGAATCACAAGATGCAATGAGGACTGAGATTCTTCCAAAAGAGAATTAAGCCAAACTTCCACATTGCCCTCTGCCATGACAGGTTTATCCAATTCAATCGTCTCACCCTCTTGAGAGGAAATTGACAGAATTCGATCATAGATCTATGTTAGAAACCAAAAAAAAAAAAAAAAAAAGCTATAGTCATATAAAAAGTAAAAACTAATTATTGACTTGTCCTTCCCAAAGAAAGTAAAGCTACAGATTATAAAATACTGTAAAAGCCAAATATAAACTACTTCAAAACAATAAAAAAAAAAGCCATGAAATCTAAAAGGCAATACAAAATCAATTCCAGGCCAGGCACAGTGGCTCACACCTGTAATCCCAGCACTTTGGGAGGCCGCTCTAGGTGGATCACCTGAGGTCTGGAGTTCAAGACCAGCCCGGGCAATATGGTGAAACCCTGTCTCTACTAAAAATACAAAAATTAGCTGGGCATGGTGGTGGGCGCCTATAATCCCAGCTAATTGAGAGGCTGAGGCACGAGAATCACTTGAACACAGGAGGCGGAGGTTGCAGTGAGCCGAGATCATGCCATTGCACTCCAGGCTGGGCAACAAGAGCGAGACTCCGTCTCAAAAAAAGAAAGAAAGAAACAGAGCGAGAAAGAAAAGAAAAGAAAAGAAAGAAAGAAAGAAAGAAAGAAAGAAAGAAAGAAAGAAAGAAAGAAAGAAAGAAAGAGAAAGAAAAGAAAGAAAGAAAGAAAAAGAAAGAAATCAATTCCAAATAAACCATACTGTAAGGGGGGAAACTTATTTTTAAAAGAAATATTTAATACAAATATGATGATTTTTAAAATCTCTAAAGTTTCTCAGATGAAATGAGGCTTCTAAAACCTAAAGTGCTGTACTAAGTCCTCCTTAGCTGTAGACAGACGTGATCTACCAAAAAGCTAATGAGGCTTCAGTTTCAGGGCCCCTCACTTACACAGACCCTTTCCAAGGTCCTGAATATGAATTTGTATTTATAATTTTACAAGATTTAGCACCCACACAACCAAAATCTGCCCCCGATTGTAGAAACCTTATGGCAGGAGCAACAAAAAACAAAAGCAACGCGATCTTAAGAAACAGCTGCTAAGAACAAAGGCTAAAAGTCTGTGGGCATTTAATTCACAAAAGGGAGCTACACAGTAAATAAGATACTGAAAGACACTTAAATTATCTTCCATACAACTTGAGACAGTGAGAAGCTTTGCTCCTGGGCCATGATGTCCTAGTGCCATGGCAGAGGATTTAAGCGAAACATCAGAAAGAATTTTCTGATGAATTTAGTCCCTTCTTTCAACCCACACATCCCATAAAACAACAAGAAACATTGATTTTTGAACCATTAAAATCCATCCTGTTTTCCTTCCTCTCTGTCCCCTCTAACAAAGCCTTGTTACAGCTGTTCAGCCTTTTTTATCCTGATTTTGCAATGGCTTCTTACATTGATTTCCTTGCCCCCTTTCATTCCGCCTCCTACACTGTACCAGAGAATGTTTCTGAAACACAAATCAGGTCACTGCCCTGCTTAAACACCTCCCATGGCTTTTTATCATGTTCAGGATGAAGCTGAATTCCGTAATGTAATGCACCTGGCCTTTGGAATCCTGCCCATCCCCCTTCTCTCTTTGCTCATGGCTCCCTGTTGTGGGTTGAATTGTGTCTCTCAAAAAGATATACTGAAGTCCTAAGCCCTGATACCTGTGAATGTGACATTATTTGGGAATAGCATCTTTGCAGATGTGATCAATTTAAGATGTGGTCACCTCTAGCCTCCAGAACTTTGAGAGAATACATTTCTGTTGTTTTAAGCCACAGCAGCCCTAGGAAACTAATACACTCCCTCACACATCCACGCTGCTGACATCCTGGGCTTCCCACACTTCCGAGCGCCCACACCTCCCTTGCACATGCTCTTCTTCTGACCTGACCATACTTCCCTTCTTCACCTGCAAGGTTATATTCTACTTACCTTCAAAACATCAGTGCAAATTTATATTCTGCAGAAAGCCCTCCCGGACACCCCCATACAACCAGGTTCCCTGATGGGCATTCTCACGTTCTTTGTGCTTAATGAAGCACAATAATAACAATTCAAGTCCAAAATTATCAGCAATTTAATTGTCCAATTTCTCTTGAGTGTAGTACATAAAACTGACTTCAGCGTTGATCATGATACACCCTTCCTGGGAACCCCAGGCCAGCATCATGACTCTCAGACAGCAAGGAGCTTGACCTTAACAAGTGGCTTTTAATTGCTTCGAATGGAATAGCTCTAACACTCCCTAACTGGGCTCTGAAGGCTACTTGTTTACTTCCCTGTCTCCTCCACCACAGCACAAGTTCATGGAAGGTTAGCGTATTCCCAGTGTTAAGCATGACATCTGGAACATGGTAGTTGCTCAATAAATGTAACACCACATGCTAGGATGAAGAAATGGATGTTACTAGGGGTTTGTATGAAGCACCAGAGGGAAACTGAATACAATATCTAACAAGAAGAGTCACTTTCCTAGGGAATTTGGGTGGAGGGATGGATTAGACAATAGATTTCCGCAGCTGTGCAAGTGTAGTCTCCGTCAAGTTAAATGACCTATCGTGAGTCTCATGCAGCTTCATGATTCTGTACACATGGAAGTGTTAAAAAAACAAAAAAAGTTTGAATAAAGTATGCCAAAACCAGATTAAAACAATTACATCATGAGGGCAATTCCGTTTAGTTAAGACGCTATTTTATGAACAGCTGGTTTTTCATCTTGTTGGATTTCTTACTAGTTAACTTGGTGTGTAAAATCATGAATGCTACATAAATGCCTTCTTAATCCTAAACTAGCATTTTTTTTAATTTGAATCTACACTTTGGATAGTAAGAAATTACACAGTTCTGAAGGTAAATTGGGCCCCGAGATTTGTTTTTAGTCACTGGCCAAGAGCTAATGAACAGGGAAGCAACCCTTGTTATAAACCCGTTTTCGAAGAGCTACTTAAAGACAGTTGAGGTTCGAAGGTACGGTGATTGTTGGCCTGCCATTAGAATTAGGCGAACCTTTTCGTGGAACTTGACAGATTTAATGTTGTCAAACACATTCAGCAAATGGGCCTGTATAGTGTGGGAGTCCGACGCCTGCCCCAGAATCTCTAGAAGGGCAGGATCTGAGACGAAGAAAAACCGAGGAAAGCACAGTCGTTTTTTCTCCAAGTACCTACAAGGAGAGGAAAAACATAAACCTTTATAACCACACAAAGCTGGTCGTTCAAGGAATAAATTAACCTGGATGGGAAAAGGGGAGAAGATTGTGTGACTTGTGACAATCTGATTTTCCTACGTGACTTCTCACTGTTTTTAATTTTTCAATTTTTTAAGAATGTTTTCAAATAACATTCCACATTCTGATGGAGAAATAATTTTTTCCCAAAATTGGTGGCAGAATTCCCTCATTTTTCACAACTATAATGTACACATTTTGCACAGTCTGGAAAATCTTGTATATACTAGGTAGAGAGTCAGATAAAAACACTATGTAGAGAGTAAGATAAAAACACTATGTAGAGAGTAAGATAAAAACACACCCAGGCAGGTTTTGGTTTTGGGTTTGGGTTTCCAAGCCCAGCACTGTGCCATCTAAAAGCTCCCTACAATACTTGAAATTGTGACTTAAAAGAGAATCCAATGAATTCGTCATCCAAGCAGAAGCAAAACCCAGCTGTGACGAGCTCCATGGAAAAGCTGTGGCACTCGTCTCTGCTTCCAGGAGTTTCCAAAATCCACTGAATGTTCCCGATCACTGACTTGCTTTCAGCCGAGCTTTCATTTCTATATTTGCTTTCTGTTATGGTCATTCCTGATGTTATGGATATGTGTATTCTGTTGTTTTCTTAACTATAGCTCTCTATCTTCATTTTCTAGCATATTTTGTTATAATTATGATGCTTTTAATTGTACTTCTTTTTTAAACTTTACCAGCTTTTTAATTTTTATTTTTTTTAATTTTTGCTCTTCCCTTATCATTTGTATTAGTATTCATTTTAGCCTTTTTTGACCTTTTTTTTTTTTTTTTTAGACAGAGTCTCAGTCTATCACCAGGGCTGGAGTGCAGTGGCATGACCTTGGCTCACTGCGACCTCCACTTCCCGGGTTCAAGTGTTTCTCCTGCTTCAGCCTCCGAAGTGGCTGGAACTACAGGCCTGTGCCACCACGCCCAGCTAATATTTTTTTTTTTTTTTTTTTAGTAGAGATGGGATTTCACCATGTTAGCCAGGCTAGTCTCTAACTCGTGACCTCAAATGATCCATCTGCCTCAACCTCCCAAAGTGCTGAGATTACAGGCATGAGCCACCACACCTGGCCCCAACTTTTTATTTTAGGTTCAGGGGTTCATGTGCAGGTTTGTTATACAGGTAAACTGCATGTTGGGAGGTTGGTGTACAGATTATTCCACACCCAGGTAATAAGCATAGTACCTGATAGGTAGTTTTCCAATCCTCACCCTCCTGCCACCTCCACCCTCAAGTAGACCCCAGTGTTTGTTGTTCACTTCTTTGTGAACATTGTATTATTTCCTGTGTAAAATTATAAGGAAACATTTCTGTTTCATAACAGCAGAATTCACTTTCTAGGAAAAATCAAGTCTTTACTAGAGGATTACTTGGATCAGAAACCGGAGCCTGATGGCAACCTCCCAGGGCATGCGTGCGGAGTGCTGGACAGTTCACGATTCGTCAACTGCTGGACTCGTTTTGCTGAGTGGGGTGTCCAGGCTGAGGACAAATCTGAGCTACATTCCTCAAGACAAAGGAGGGCACTCATTGAGAAAAAGGCAAAGAAAAGAAGGAGATACAAAGAGAGGGTCATGCTAAGTAAGGAATTTGGGAAAGAAATGGACATGTGTACAGGGATGATCATGGATAAGCCTGGGCATGTGGGTTGAAATCATTCTATCCAGCTCTCACAGGATCCTCAGTAAAACAAGCTCTTGCAGCGATGGGATTTGTTCACTTTGGACATGAGACAGCCTGGAGAGTCTATTTTCTTCTATTCCCCCTCACTTTCTTAAAGTCTTACTTAAATGTTTATAATGTTTACTTTTGTTTTAGCTAAAAAACTAAACTTTTCTCAGTTTAAAACTACTAATTCTGTTATTTCAAATATCCCAATCCTTATTTGAATAACTGTGATGTGTTTGTTATCCTCCTTACAGTAGCCCGGTCTGATTCTGGTGAGGAATTGGGTCATGTTTTCTGTCCCGTTAGACCAGTATGGAAGGAGGCTGTGGTGTGTGACAGCCAAACTCCTGAGACGGTATAGAGAAGATACCTTATCTTCACGGACACAGTCTGATTACCGCAACTCCGATTACGATCTGATCTGTGTGAAGACCCTTCCTGTCCATGCTGATCCTCGACAGCTTGGGAGGGTGTTGTTTTTGTATAAATATGATTTCTCAAATGTCTATACAAGGCTTACATATATTGCTTATAACCTCTTCTGGGTAACAAAATCAAAAGACAGGGAAAGCTCAGTTAAAAAAAAAAGTGTGAACAATTTTAGAGTAGACATTTTCTCTGCAGGGGTTATAAAATAATGCCAAAATGTTGGGTGACAGAATAGAATATGTTCATAGAAAAAAGAAAGAATAAAAAAAAAGAAAAATAGGCCAGGCACAGTGACTCACACCTGTAAGCACTTTGAGAGGCCGAGGAGGGTGGATGACCTGACATCAGGAGTTTGAGACCAGCCTGGCCACCATGGTGAAACCTCGTCTCTACTAAAAAAAATGCCAAAAAATAGCTGGGCATGGTGGCATGCCCCTGTATTCCCAGCTACTCAAGAGGCTAAGGTGGGAGAATCACTTGAACCTGGGAGGCGGAGGCTGCAGTGGGCTGAGATTGCACCACTGCACTCCAGCCTGGGCAAAAGAGTGAGACCTCATCTCAAAAAAAAAAAAAGGAGAAAAAAAAAATAAAGGGGGGATTTCGCATGTGTGTGTGTGTGTCTGTCTGTCTGTCTGTGGTGGTGGGTGGAAGATGAGGAAGGGAGAGAAAAGCAATAAACTCAGCTGTAGGTAGTCCAGTAGACAGTTCCTCGGCAAGTGTTTTAGTGGTAACTGAACCTGCATGATGTCTTAGTGGTCCCTGCCCCTCAGTCCTTCCATGTTGAAGAACCTCCAGAGCAGGGAAACTTTCAGAAACCCTTTTCTCGTTCTCTCTGACCTGATCCTGGTGTTAGGCACAGAGCATTCCTGCTGGGTCTATATCCAAGAACTGTTTAGTGGTGCCTGAACTGCATTTGGTCATGCTAAATAATTATTAGGCTAAATGGAATGGCGCAGCATCAATCATTAGACAACAATCTTTTTGTCCTTCAACAGTTACTTGACTTGATCTAATAATTTTATAAGGGAGATCAACTCATTAATCCCTAAGACTCCATTTTTCTAAATCTTTATGTTAGAAGAATTACTTGCAAATGGTTTTGCTTTAAAGTAAACAAAGGGTGCTTTACTGACGTTGGCGTTGGCTATGGCCATGGTGTTTAAAAAGCCTCCTTAGGTTTATGGTGATACTCTATGGCAGCAGTCCTCAACTTTTTGCCACCAGGGACCAATTTCATGGAAGACCAGTTTTCAATTTTTCCATAGACCAGGGGTGGGAGTAGTTTCAGGATGATTCAAGCGCATTATATTTACTGTGTACTTCACTTCTATTATTATTGTGCACTTATATTTCTATTATTATTACATAATGAAATAATTCTACAACTCACCATAACGTAGAATCAGTGAGAGCCCTCAGCTTGTTTTCCTGCAACTAAATGGTCCCATCTGGAGATGATGGGAAACAGTGACCAATCATCAGGCATTAGATTCTCACAAGGAGTACGCAACCTAGATCCCTCGCATGTGCAGTTCAGAATAGGGTGTATGCGCAGTTCACAATAGGGCTTGCACTACTATGAGACCCTAATGTTGCTGCTGATCTCACAGGAGGCAGAGCTCAGGTGATATTGCGAGTGATGAGGAGCGGCTGTAAATACAAATGAACCTTCGCTCACTCACCTGCTACTCACCTTCTGCTGTGCAGCCCTGTTCCTAACAGGCCACAGACTGGTGCCGAGGTTTGGGGACCCCTGCTCTATAGCATAGGCCTTTGAAACACCCATCACCTAAATTAGAGTAAACTTGCAAATATTTGCTACAGAAAATCTTGGCCCTACCTCTAGCTTCAAGGTAGTGGGGTGGACAACCATGTACGCATGGTTTTGTTTAGACTTTTTTTTATATACTTTAAGTTTTAGGGTACATGTGCACAACGTGCAGGTTAGTTACATACGTTTAGACTCTTCAACTTTCCTAAAAGTCCACAAACTTCCACATCTCCCCAGCTGTATGCTGAAGCCTGTGAATTTGTCCTTAACCAGCAGTGCAGACTCCCTGTCCTCTGCATTCTTGTCAGGGTTTACATCTCTCACGTTTTATGCTGCCCAATACCTTCCACCAACGTGGATATGAAAGTAATATTCATGGAGGATTCATTGAAATGTATGCGGTGATTCCATTCCCTTAGTTCCCTGAATGAAGCCATTCCATTAGAGAGGCTCATGTTTGACTCATGCTGTGATAAGAAAGCAGATGGAGACTCCGCTCTGGGTTCCTTTTAATAGGATACACAATAGAAATTCCTCCAAATTACCAATTTGAGGACAACAAAACGTAATGTCTCCCCAGGTAACTTTTATTCTATGAATCCTATGAACCTATCATATGCCACCCTTTACCTTGGAACCTAGGAAGGATCTTTGCTCTATAAATCTAAGGTCCATTTGTAGTTTTTCTCTGCACCAATTTTACCCTCTGAGCTTATTAGCCCTTTTTGTCCTTTGACCTTAACTTTCTCATGCATTGTTATTTTCCAGCAGCCGTCTCAAATTTTTTTTTGGTTAGCCGAGAATAAATAAGTAATCCACATTGCTTACAAGTACCCTCTTACAGGTCTTTTTTCCATTTTTAGCATAGTCACTTTTTTTGTTCAATTTTAATAAACTCCTCTCTTTATTTCATCGAGATCCTGCCAAAGCACCATTTGAAGCCCAGTATTTAAGCCATCAACTGCATCTATGAGGGCAGCCTGGCTTAGATGACCTGAGTCCCGCAGTGCACAGGACAAGCTGGTTATTCACAGGACACTATTACAGGTCATGAGGCCATCAGGATGTATTCATGGGGAAAGATCAACTGTCTCCCAGAGTGGGCCAAGGAGACATCATTATTTAAGTTAAATGCTCAGGTGCTTGAGTTTAACTTCCTTAAGTGTCAATGTACACTTAGCATATTACTATGTAACATATTTCTACTTACATTATTTTATTGTGATTAACCAAAGGAAAAAAAAACAAACAAAAAAACTTTATGACTCTTGGAATTCACAACGCTTCTGTACACATAAATGTGTGTGTAGATAGATATTAGACACTTTTTAATATAATCCTGACTGCATGTATATACTAAACACTGTTTCATATAATGAGTATAATAAAATATGTTGGTTCTATAAATGTTTATTCAAGAAGAATGTCAGAAAATAGGTGTATTAATTTTTTAAAGCAGGGACTGTATGAGGATGTTTATACAGTCTTATCCCAGTGATGGAAGCAACCTTAAGTCCTATGAGTCCAACATCAGGACAAATCTAGCAAGTCTTTGATGAGAATATAAGGCTTCAAAATATCAGTTTCATCTGTGCAACAGCTTTATATATAAATTCAGCCTTAGCAAAAGAAAACAAATTTGGCTAATGCTATCTAGTCTCCCTGTATCCTTTTGTCTCAAGGATACCGAGAGCTTTCAAAGAGCCAGTGAACTTACCCAGTAAGGGATTTCTGGCATATTTCCAACTGGTCCAGCAAGTGTGGTAACAGCTGCCCCAGGGTCTCATCTCCAACACAGCACTGGACTACACTGGGCACTTCATGTGCCCGAGTCATGATCTTCACCCAAGATTTATCTATGTTAGAAAACCGCTTGGCTTCCTATGAGAACAAGGTAACAAAGCACACTTAGATTTGGACACATCTGTGATCCCAAAGACAGTATCTCACATTCCTCCAGCTGAGGCTAGAGCTTTAACCAGTCCAGATATCCAAGCAATATATGCCTAATGTCACACACATTTTATTGAAGTTCTTATTGGGCTTTCTGTGCCATATCATCCCCTGTATTAAGTAAGCATCCTTAGCTCAACCTTGGTACTCCCATTATGTTAAGTTACAACAAGAAATGAATACAAAAGTAATAATACAATTCAAGGAAATATGAAAAGAAAGTACACACATTTCTTTTCACAGGTTATCTCTAAATGAAGTACATTTCCTATTTTTATATTTTCTCTATTGAGCACTGGATTGTTTATGTAGAAAAAATATTTAAAAATAAAGATACAAAATTAATTCCAGTATAACTGGAATATTGTAAAAAAATTTAATGGAAAATGCACAGATTATCTTGAGAGGGCAGGAATCATATAAATTTTCTTCCTTTTTTAAGACAGGTCTCACTCTGTTGTCCAGGCCAGAGTGCAGGTGCTCGGTCACAGCTCACTGCAGCCTTGATTTCCTGGGCTCAAGTGATTCTCCTACCTCAGCCTCTCCAGCATCTGGGACTACAGGCATGTGCCACCATGCCTAGCTAAATTTTTTTTATTTTTTGTAGAAACTGGGTTTCATCATGTTGCCCAGGCTGGTCTTGAACTCCTGGGCTCAAGCAGTCTTCCCACCTCAGCCTCCCAAAGTGCTGGGATTACAAGCATGAGCCACTGCACCCGGCCCCAAATTTTCATTTTCTTCTTTAAAGCTTTCTGTATGTCACCAATGAGTATATACCATCAAATATGAAAGGAAGAAACAACACCTAGCACCTTAAATATTCTACATGAAAATTTCTAAGTCCAATTTTAGATTCTTCTTCATCCATTAAAAAGAAAAACATGGGAATCCTGGGCAAGATGGCCGAATAGGAATAGTTCCACCCTGCAGCTCCCAGCAAGATCAACACAGAAGGCAGATTATTTCTGCATTTCCAGCTGAGGTACCTGGCTCATCTCATTGGGACTGGTCAGACAGTGGGTGCAGCCCACGGAGGGCAAGTAGAAGCGGGGTGGGGCGTTGCCTCACCTGAGAAGTGAAAAGGTTTGGGGAACTCTCCCCCGAGCCAAGGGAAGCCATGAGGTACCATGCTGTGAGGGACACTGCTATCTGGCCCAGATACTATGCTTTCCCCATCTGCAGACCAGGAGATTCCCTCAGGTGCCTACCCCACAAGGGCCTGGGTTTCAAGCACAAAATTCGGTGGCCGTTTGGGTAGACACTGAGCTAGCTGCAGTTTTTTTTGTTTTTTGTTTCTGTGATGGAGTTTCGCTCTTTTTGCCCAGGCTGGAGTGCAACGGTGTGATCTCAGCTCACTGCAACCTCCGCCTCCCAGGTTCAAGCGATTCTCCTGCCTCAGCCTCCTGAGAAGCTGGGATTACAGGCATGTGCCACCATGCCTGGCTAATTTTGTATTTTTAGTAGAGATGGGGTTTCTCCATGTTGGTCAGGCTGGTCTCGAACTCCCGACCTCAGGTAATCTGCCCACCTCAGCCTCCCAAATTGCTGGGATTACAGGCGTGAGCCACCACGCCCAGCCAGTTTATTTTTTTTTTCGTACCCTAGTGGCACCTGGGATGCCACTGAGGCAGAACCATTCACTCCCCTGGAAAGGGGGCTGAAGCCAGGTAGCCAGGTGGTCTTGCTCAGTGGATCCCATCCCCACAGAACCCAGCAAGCTAAGATCCACTGGCTTGAAATTCTCACTGGCAGCACAGCAGTCTGAAGTCGACCGGGAATGCTCCAGCTTGGTGGGGGGAGGGGGGTCCACCATTACTGAGGCTTGAGTAGGCGGTTTTTCCCTCACAGTGTTAACAAAGCCGCAAAGAAGTTCAGACTGGGCAGAGCCCACTGCAGCACCACAAAGCTGCTGTAGCCAGACTGCCTCTCTAGATTCCTCCTCTCTGTGCAGGGCATCTCTGAAAAAAAGGCAGCAGCCTCAGTCAAGGCTTATAGATAAAACTCTCATCTCCCTGGGACAGAGCGCCTGGGGGAAGGGGCAGCTGTGGGGTACAGCGTCAGAAGACTTAAACATTCCTGCCTGCCAGCTCTGAAGAGAGCAGCAGATCTCCCAGCACAGGGCTCGAGCTCTGCTAAGGGACAGACTGCCTCCTCAAGTGGGTCCCTGACCCCGTGCTTCCTGACAGGGAGACACTTCCCAGCAGGGGCCAACAGACACCTCATACAGGAGAGCTTCAGCTGACATCTGGCAGGTGCCCCTCTCAGACAAAGCTTCCAGAGGAAGGAGCAGGCAGCAATCTTTGCTGTTCTGCAGCCTCCGCTGGTGATACCCAGGCAAACAGGGTCTGGATTGGAACCCCAGCAAACTCCAGAAGACCTGCAGAAGACGGGCCTGTCTGTTAGAGGAACACTAACAAACAGGAAGCAATAGCATCACCATCAACTAAAAGGACGACCACACAAAAACTCCATCCGAAGGTCACCAACAGCAAAGACCAATGGTAGATAAATACACGAAGATGAGGAAAAACCAGCACAAAAAGACTGAAAATTCCAAAAACCAGAATGCCTCTTCTCCTCCAAAGGATAACAACTCCTCGCCAGCAAGGGAACAAAACTGGACAGAGAATGAGTTTGACGAATTGACAGAAGTAGGCTTCAGAAGGTGGGTAATAACAAACTCCTCCAAGCTAAAGGAGCATGTTCTAACCCAATATAAGGAAGCTGAGAACCTTGATAAAAGGTTAGAGAAATTGCTAACTAGAATAACCAATTTAGAGAAGAACATAAATGACCTGATGGAACTGAAAAACACAGCACAAGAATTTCGTGAAGCATACAGAAGTATCAATACCCAAATTGATCAAGCAGAAGAAAGGATATCAGAGATTGAAGATCAATGTAATGAAATAAAGCGTGAAGACAAGATTAGAGAAAAAATAATGAAAAGGAATGAACAAAGCCTCCAAGAAATATGAGACTATGTGAAAAGACCAAACCTACATTTGATCGATGTACCTAAAAGTGATGGGGAGAATGGATCCAAGTTAGAAAACACTCTTCAGGATATTATCCAGGAGAACTTCCCCAACCAAGCAAGACAGGCCAACATTCAAATTCAGGAAATACAGAGAACACCATGAAGATTCTCCTCAAGAAGAGCAACCCCAAAACACATAATCATCAGATTCACCAAGGTTGAAATGAAGGAAAAAATATTAAAGGCAGCCAGAGAGAAATGTCGGGTTACCCACAAAGGGAAGCCCATTAGACTAACAGTGGATCTCTCTGCAGAAACCCTACAAGCCATAAGAGAGTGGGGGCCAATATTCAACATTCTTAAAAGAATTTTCAGCCCAGAATTTCATATCCAGCCAAACTAAGCTTCATAAATGAAGGAGAAATAAAATCCTTTAAAGACAAGCAAGTGATGAGGGACTTTGTCAGCACCAGGCCTGCCTTACAAGAGCTCCTGAAGGAAGCACTAAATACAGAAAGGAAAAACCAGAACCAGCCACTGCAAAAACAAACCAAAATGTAAAGACCATTGATATTATGAAGAAACTGCATCAACTAATGGACAAAATAACCAGCTAGCATCATAATGACAGGATCAAATTCATACATAACAATATTAACCTTAAATGTAAACGGGGTAAATGCCCCAATTAAAAGACACAGACTGGCAAATTTAATAGAGTCAAGATCCATCAGTGTGCTGTATTCAGGAGACCCATCTCACGTGCAAAGACACACATAGGCTCAAAATAAAGGGATAGAGGAATATTTACCAAGCAAATGGAAAGCAAAGAAAAAGCAGGGGTTGCAATCCTACTCTCTGATAAGACAGACTTTAAACCAACAAAGATCAAAAAAGACAAAGAAGGGTATTACATAATGGTAAAGGGATCAACGCAATGAGAAGAGCTAACTATCCTAAATGTATATGCACCCGAAACAGGAGCACCCAGGTTCATAAAGCAAGTTCTTAGAGACCTACAAAGAGACTTAGAATCCCACACAATAATAGTGGGAGACTTTTTTTAACATGTTAAAGAAATGTTTAATTACAAAATTAAGCTTACACATAACCTAAAAATTTTCAAATGTACTGCATTTTATAGCATAAAAGTACAATCAGTAAAATGATTCACTAGTAATTTAATTACATTTAACTTAATTTTAAGTAAAATAAAAAATGCTTCTCTCTCACTATGATGCAGAATATTACTCTGAACACCTACCTCATGCATCACTCAATATGAAAAGTAAACTAACAAGAACCACTCCACATAGATTTTCATCATAAATCTTACATTTTTTTTTTTTTTTTTTTTTTGAGACGGAGTCTCGCTCTGTCGCCCAGGCTGGAGTGCAGTGGCGGGATCTCGGCTCACTGCAAGCTCCGCCTCCCGGGTTCACGCCATTCTCCTGCCTCAGCCTCCCAAGTAGCTGGGACTACAGGCGCCCGCCACTACGCCCGGCTAATTTTTTGTATTTTTAGTAGAGACGGGGTTTCACCGTTTTAGCCGGGATGGTCTCGATCTCCTGACCTCGTGATCCGCCCGCCTCGGCCTCCCAAAGTGCTGGGATTACAGGCGTGAGCCACCGCGCCCGGCCATAAATCTTACATTTTAATGCCCATACTCTTCAATAGTGGGAGACTTTAACACCCCACTCTCAATATTAGTCAGATCAATGTGACAGAAAATTAACAAGGATATTCAGGACTTGAACTCAGCTCTGGACCAAGCGGACCTAACAGACATCTACAGAACTCTCCACCCCAAATCAACAGAATATACAATCTTCTCAGCACCACATCATACTTATTCTAATATCGACCACATAATTGGAAGTAAAACACTCCTCAGCAAATGCAAAAGAATGCAAATCATAAAAAACAGTCTCTCAGACCACAGTGCAATCAAATTAGAACTCAAGATTAAGAAACTCACTCAAAATTGCACAACTACATGGAAACTGAACAACCAGCTCCTGAATGCCTACTGGGTAAATAATGAAATTAAGGCAGAAATAAATAAGTTCTTTGAAACCAATGAGAACAAAGACACAGTATACCAGAATTTCTGGGACACAGCTAAAGCACTGTTTAGAGGGAAATTTATAGCACTAACTGCCCACAGGAGAAAGTGGAAAAGATCTAAAATCAACACTCTAACATCACAATTAAAAGAACTAGAGAATCAAGAGCAAACAAATTCAAAAGCTAGCAGAAGACAAGACATAACTAAGATCAGAGCAGAACCGAAGGAGATAGAGACATGAAAAACCCTTCAAAAAAATCAATGAATCCAGGAGCTGGTTTTTTGAAAAGATCAACAAAACAGATAGACTGCTAGCCAGACTACTAAAGAAGAAAAGAGAGAAGAATCAAATAGATACAATAAAAAATGATAAAGGGGATATCGCCACTGATCCCACAGAAATACAAACTGCCATCAGAGAATACTATAAACACCTCTATACAAATAAACTAGAAAATCTAGAAGAAATGGATAAATTTCTTCTAGAAATTCTACCAGAGGTTCAAAGAGCAGCTGGTACCATTCCTCTTAAAACTATTCCGAACAATAGAAAAAGAGGGACTCCTCCCTAACTCATTTTATGAGGCCAGCATCATCCTCATACCAAAACCTGGCAGAGACACAACAAAAAAAGAAAATTTAGGCCAATATCTCTTATGAACATCAATGCAAAAATCTTCAATAAAATACAAGCAAACCGAATCAAACAGCACATTAAAAAGGTTATCCACCACAATCAAGTCAGCTTCATCCCTGGGATGTAACGCTGGTTCAACATATGCAAATAAACATAATACCTCACATAAACAGAACCAATGAAAAAACCACATGATTATCTCAATAGATGCAGAAAAGGCCTTTGATAAAATTGAACATCCTTTCATGCTAAAAACTCTCAATAAACTAAGTATTGATGAAACACAACTCAAAATAATAAGAGCGATTTATGACAAATCCACAGCCAATATCATACTGAATAGGCAAAAGCTGGAAGCATTCCTTTTGAAAACCGACACAAGACAAGGATGCCCTCTCTCACCACTCCTATCCAACATAGTATTGGTAGTTCTGGCCAGGGCAATCAGGCAAGAGAAAGAAATAAAGGGTATTCAAATAGGAAAAGAGGAAGTCAAATTATCTCTGTTTGCAGATGACATGATTGTATATCTAGAAAACCCCATTGTCTCAGCCCCAAAACTCCTTAAGCTGATAAGCAACTTCAGCAAAGTCTCAGGATACAAAATCAATGTGCAAAAATCACAAGCATTCCTACACACCAATAATAGACAAACAGAGAGCCAAATCGTTAGTGAACTCCCATTCACAATTGCTACAAAGATAATAAAATACCTAGGAATCCAATTTACAAGGGATGTGAAGGACCTCTTCAAGGAGAACTACAAACCACTGCTCAAGGAAATAACAGAGGACACAAACAAATGGAAGAACATTCCATGCTCATGGATAGGAAGAATCAATATCATAAAAATGGCTATACTGCACAAAGTAATTTATAGATTCAATGCTATTCCCATCAAGCTACCATTGACTTTCTTCAAAGAATTAGAAAAAACTACTTTAAATTTCATATGGAAACAAAAAAGAGTCCATATAGCCAAGACAATCCTAAGCAAAAAGAACAGAGCTGGAGGTATCACGCTACCTGATTTCAAACTATACTTCAAGGCTACCGTAACCAAAACAGCATGGTACTGGTACCAAAACAGATATATAGACCAAGGGAACAGAACAGAAGCTTCAGAAATAACACCACACATCTACAAACATCTGATATTCGACAAACCTGACAAAACAAGCAATAGGGAAAGGATTCCCTATTTATTAAATGATGTTGGGAAAACTGGCTAGCCATATGCAGAAAACTGAAACTGGACCCCTTCCTTACACCTTATACAAAAATTAACTCATGGTGGATTAAAGATCTAAACATAAGACGTAAAACCATAAAACCCTAGAAGATAACCTAGGCAATAACATTCAGGACATAGGCATGGGCAAAGACTTAATGACTAAAACACCAAAAGCAATTGCAACAAAAGCCAAAACAGTGTGGTGATTCCTCAAGGAGCTAGAACTAGAAATGCCACTTGACCCAGCAATCCCATTACTGTGTATATACCCAAAGGACTATAAATCAATCTACTATAAAGACATATGCACACGTATGTTTATTGCAACACTGTTCACAAAAGGAAAGACTTGGAACCAACCCAAATGCCCATCAATGTTATACTGGATAAAGAAAATGTAGCACATATACACCATGGAATACTATGCAGCCACAAAAAAGGAGGAATCCATGTCCTTTGCAGGGACATGGATGAAGCTAGAAACCATCATTCTCAGAAAACTAGCACAGGAATGGAAAACCAAACACTGCATGTTCTCACTCATAAGTGGGAGTTGAACAATGAGAACATATGGGCACAGGGAGGGGAACATCACACACTGGGGCCTGTCAGGGGGTGTGGGGCAAGGGGAGGGATAGCATTAGGAGAAATACCTAATGTAGATGACAGGTTGCTGGGTCCAGCAAACCACCATGGCACCTGTATTCCTATGTAACAAACCTGCACATTCTGCACATGTATCCCAGAACTTAAATATAATTTAAAAAAAAAATCCAAACCTCCTACTTAAAACCTTTAAGAAAAGAAGATGAAAAACATGCACAAATACAAATCAAAAATAAAGTAAAATTTTAGTGAGTGAATACATTTCACTATTGCCTCCAAAATAAATGGTCTGCAGTCTGATTTTATCTGTCATCTGTAATTAAACTGAAAACTAACCAAAAAAGAAGTTCAGAAACCTATGTGATGAAAACATTTAAAATAATCATGCTTCTAAAACTGAAATATATTGTTAAAATGTTATAATCTTGCATACGACTTAAGGTAATTGAATAAGAATCCTTGAGAATTGGTTAAAATGTTCATTTAAAAATCTCAAAATATACTCCATATATACCCAGTAAGATGATTACGATTTGATGATAAATATATACTTGACATCTTGAAAAGAAGGTCTTTTTGTTTTGGAGATTTTTTCTGCACATTTCCACCCCTCAATTTTACTGTACAGATATAATTGGGTACATTGTATAGTATGCATTACTTTAAAATGTCTGTAGTAGAAAAACTTAGCCTACCATTGTCAAGATAACTGCACCATAATTCTACACTGTTCCAAATTCTACCTTGAAATTATCTAAAGAAGCATATCAATTATGCGACCACTTATTTTTTGTTTTTTTAACCCTCTATCTCCTATCAAACCTCCACAGTTTTACAGCATTCTTACTCTGATTGTCACCCCTTTCCTTTCCACAATTCCTCACTCCCTTTGAAGAATAACAGCATTAACAGTGACAACAAAAAGATTGAAGGAAGGGGGTTCAATAGAAGTGGAATATTATTGCATTATTTAAGGGGGTAATCGCTCTGAGAGCTTTCTCTGAAAAATCTGATGAAATCATAAAGAAGATTACAAAACCTTGGGCAGCTGCTTGGCAATGTCTCCTCCCACAAAGACAGCTTCTAAATAAATCCACAGGTTTTGCACCGTCATCCAGCTCTCGATGATGTCTGTTGAGTTGGAAAGGTACTGCACCCATTTTTGAATCTGGGCTTTGAATGGCATATTGTACCTAAAATAAGAAATAGGTTTAGGGTTTGGTTTTGTTTTTGTTGTGCTGTTGTTTCAAATTAAAAAGGTTTTTAAAAATCTTAATTTTTAACCGCTTTCTTTACAACCTTAATTATGTTGCTGGCTTTTAAAGTGATGCAACCAAGTGATTAATTCATCCCCACTTACTGTTCATTGTTAGTCTAGCTTTTTCCCTTTTGATCCAGAGCATAGAGAAGGGTGGGAGATTTATAATCTAAGGAGTAGATCAGGCATTAGACTTGATTCCACCAAGCTTCCAGGGTAATATAATTACCCTCAGTGCTGCTATGGCTACGAGAATAATATTTGCCCTACTGAGCTTCTGTGCCTATTTCATGGAGTCTCTGGTTTTTCATATAATATGGAGCTTTTATAGAACCATCAGTGGGGACCAGACAACTAATTCAATCTTCAAATATGATAACACCTGGACTCTCTCCTTAGCCTCCCCTTTTCTGAGTCTCTTTCTAACTTCCCACGCACCTGTGTCCAACCCACTCATGTTTGATGTACATGTGTGCAAGATTACTGCCTCTTCCATAGTTAATCTGTCTTCCCCTTTTCCTCTTTGAGACAGACTGCCTGTGGGTGGCCTCCCAATGTCCTTTTTTCCTTCTGCTTTTCCATGTGGGCTCATAATTACCCAGCTAAATTACTGAATTTCCCAGCTTCCCTTTGCAGTAATGTGCAGTCAGAAGACTAAGTTCCACATCAACAGTGCTTAATTTAGCGGAACACTGGAATGATCTCATAGCTGAACACTGGAATCATCTCGCCAGCATTAAAAATTACTGATGCCTGCCTGGGTCCTACGTACAGAGACTCTGATTCAATGGGTCTGGGAAGTGGCCCTGGCATTGGGATTTTTTTAAGTTCCTTCAGTGTATCTGGTACGTTGCAAAGATTGAGAACAACTCTTCTACATGAAATGTGAGTAGTGGCATTGGATGTAATGGGTAGTATGGGGAATAAGGTCACACCTGGGAAAGACAGATGAGTGAGCCAGACCAAGCTTGGGTCCCTGATGATGTGGTAAAGCCCCCATTCCAACCTGAACCACCTACATTAGGAATTCTTTTATGCGTGAGCAATATAAACATCAGTGTTATATTAGCCATTTTGTATGTGGTGTTTCTGTTATTTACAGACAAACTTAATCCTAAATGATTATACAGCCTACCTTTGTGTCTCTTCTTCTCTTTCTTATCCCTTCATGGTTCTCTCTAGCCCTACATAATATGGACTTGAAGTCGTATTATTGCATAAAAGTTTAATTTCCATATTCTTAATTGTTAACCAAATTGTTTTAATATTCCATGCATCTTTCTGAATATTTGTATGCTCTTCACTAGAAATATAGGTCCATAGAAACAGAGATCTTTCCCTTATTTGTTGTTCTACCCACAGCGCCTAGAAGAGTACATCACACACATAGTAAAGGTTCAATAAATATATATTGAAAAAATACTCCTCCCAATAACTCTATCTGTAGATTAGATGCCATTGAAAAGAAAAGTTTCCCCACCCCAACCAGATAATTTTTACTTAATTTACATGAGTGTCTTTTCTATCTCCCTAGGGTATATTATTGCCTGTCTATCCTTTATTCTGGTTTGGTATGAATAGTAACCAAGTTCATTAAAACTCACTAAATCCTGAGAAGTCCAAACTCAAGATTACTAATGGTCTAACTTTATATCCCAATATTACTTTAGTGTAACAAGTAAACTGAAATAAGAGAAATTTTTTTGAAATAGTATGAAGTACACAGTATTTCCAACATTAAAAGTATTGATACACATATATATGGAGAATTGGGTGATATTTTAAAGCTAGAATAGAACAACAAATTCATATCTCAATGGTATCCACTTTCTGCACAATTACCATATATTTGAGAAGATTCTGGGGAACAAAAACATTATTTCAGAAAGAGCAAATGGAAGCAATGAAACAAGGAAATGTAAATTCATGACTGTGTGGTTTGTATGTCCAAAATGTGAGGGGTGGCCACTATGCATTATATACATGTAATGAAAGTTCACATGTGGACAGGCACAGTGGCTCATGCCTGTAATGCCAGCATTTTGGGAGGCCAAGGCGGGCAGATCACCTGAGACCAGGAGTTTGAGACCAGCCTGGCCAACATGGTGAAACCCTGTCTCTACTAAAAATACAAAAATTAGCCAGGCGTGGTGGCTGTTGCCTGTAATCCCAGTACTCAGGAAGCTGCGGCAGAATCACTTGAGCCAGGGAGGCTGAGGTTTCAGTGAGCTGAGATCACGCCATTGCACTCCAGCCTGGGTGACAAAGCAAGATTCCATCTCAAAAAAAAAAAAAAAAAAAAAAAACAAGTTCAAATGTACCCCATAAATTTGTACAAATATAAAAAATAGAGTATGTAAACAACTAAGAGTTTCTAGTCCACAGATATTGGTAAAAAAGGTTTTTCGAGTAAAATGATTATTCTGAAATTCAAAATAATGTTCCTCCTGGATTCTACAGCCTGTAGAGCTATGAGCTGTGCAGTCAGGCTTGTCAGCAGCAAGCTGAAATGTTCCCAAGAGCCGAGTGGCTAATTATACGTTGCATTATTTTGTCCAGTGGATGGTCTCAGACATACCCCACAAATAGAGGATAATGAAATAAAACCAGAGTTACACATGCTCTAACATGTGCCTGAGGCCAAAATGAAAACAAGAATAATTGAAATATAATCTCTTGATGATGTATATATAAGTGGGTACCTGAGTAAAAATATGTTTTGGATATAAAAATTAATTAATCAATGTAATTAAAACAAGTATTTTCAACATTGAGTAAACTATATGAAGGCTATTATTGTAATGGATTTTTCATTAATTTTAAATGTTTGCTATTACGGTTCTCAAATCTAAGGGAAAAGATAGATGGTTTTCCCACCTGTTGCTCAGTAGGGATCCCAGCAACATCAAGCTGTCCTCCATGTTGGCGATGATTTCCGAGGTACTGTCTCCTCTCAAGAGGAGCTCTCCACGGGTTTTAAAGCTGCCGAAGGTGAATGTTTTATTGTCCCATTCATTAATCACTTGCTTCAGCTTTTGCTCAATGTCTCTCTCTTTCACCGCACTGATACAGATGTCCTATCAAAATGGCAAGCTCTCATGTTATTGCATGAAAGTCACACGTCCTTCCTTAATAGTCTACGTGCAATACCCCATCTTCACTATTTGCTTCATATATATATAAATATATATATAAACTTTTATATTTCCAGACCTAAAATGCAATATAATAAACAGAAGGTGTATACGCAGATACTGATGCATGAAGAGAGATGGAGATAAAGATATGACTGAAAAATAGAACTTTAATTTATAAAATTTCCCAGCAAACTTGCCCAAAAGGAAAGATGACAGAAAATATATGCAAATCACTTTTAAATTTTGAAACTTTAATCACTGATTCAAAATTCAATGTATTTCTGATCTACCTCTAAAGTCAAGTGAATGCAGCATGTGAATGAACACAGGTAGCAGAAACCTGATTCTCCCATGGCTCTGTTGACTTTCCCAGTCTCCTCATGGCCTCAACCTTCTCCTAGACCATTAGTCAAGCCCTTCCTTTACCCTCATTTCTTCCCACCTATGTTCCCCCTCTGGGTGAGCTCATTTACACCCATGACTTCAATCACTTTCATATCTCCAGGCAAGACCCACATCCATTTGCCTACTGAACTTCCCTGCTGAGATGTTTCAAGGAAACCCCAAACACAGTCTGTGAAATATCAGACTCATGTCCCTAATCAAGACCATGATCTTTGCACCTTGTCACCCAATCTGATCACCTTCCCATGTTCCCCATCTCTGTGGTCAGCACCTTCATCCACTTAGGTCTCTCAGCAAGAAATCTAGAGTTCATCTTTAGCCCTCCCCTTCCTTCTCCTACCATGTTCCCTTCATCACCGAATTCTCCTCAAATATCCCTGATCCTTTCTCTCCTCTCCAGCTTTACTACTTCCCCTCTCATCTAACAAGCCATCATTTCTTGCCTGAGCTACTCTTAGAAACTCTCAGTTGGTTTTTCCATCATTCTTCCCTTGTCCTCCTTCAATTATTTCTCCAAAGATCACTACCAGAGTGATCCTTACAAACGGTCAACCTAACCATGTCAGCCCCTGCTGAAAACACACCTCCCAGCTGGTGCCCATTGCTCGATAACATCATGTAGGCCCACTCCACCTCCCTGGCCTCTGCTGTCTCCTCTCTGCCCTGCCTCCACGCCTCAGCCACATGGGCCTTCTTCTGGTTCCTCAAACACACTTCAGATGCTCCATGCATAATGCACCATCTGCCTGGAATGGCCTTCTTTGCACTTTCCAAGCCCCTCACCCCAACCACACAACCACACTCCCTTCACCCAGCCAGTCCTACGCATGCATCCTAGTCCTCCCTAGCTTTATCACCCCCAGGTGAACCAAACTCATCTACCATAGGCTTTCACAGAACAACATACATTTTATTCAATGGTATTTGCCACAGCTTATAACTGTGCCTTTATTTGTAAAATTATTTAATAATCTGTAAATGCAGGACTGCATTGTTATATCCTGATGCAGAATCTGTCCCATCTTAGGCCAAATAAGCATTTGTTGAAGGAACTAGTGGCTGAATGCCAGGAGAAGAGTTTCAATTGTCTGAGTGTAGTTTACTGATCCAATATTCCATAATATAGAAATGTTATCAAATAAATCCCATGAGACCTTGCAATCTTCCATCACATCATACTCTACCTCTATTTCCTCTTTATATTTCAGAAGAGGTGCCTCCATGATATTTCTTAACTTAAAGCTTTCATTCCCCACATCCAGACTGTGCCCGGTGAGGGTGGTTATCCTTTCCCAGTGCCGCTCCATCATGGCTTTACTGGCCATGTATTCCAGCAGCGGGCAACACTCGCTGAAATCATCAATGATCTTCTTCAGGTCCAAAAAAGCCTGCCAGTCCTTCAAGGCCCGGGGAAGCTTTCGACATCTGTGAAGGGACACCAACATGAAAGGCCATTGAAATATGATGGTAGACATCACTGGACCAAGACGGTCTGCTAGTATTTCTATTAAAAACAGTCTCTTTGAATACTTATCCTATTTTAAATCCCATGACTTGCAGGCTGTCTGTTCATATAATATACAGATGACTTTTATATTACAGAAAATTGTCCTCTCCATTAGAAAAGATTTTTTCCAACCCTTCACAACTATTACCTAGTTAGAGGCATTATTTTAGAGCGTAGAGGTGCTGCTCAAGCTAATTCAATTCTACAAACATGTACTGAGAACTTACTAAGCACAAAGCATAGCAAAGTGTATCAGGCTGTGAAGTGAAATATGCAACAAATAGCTCTTTTTTTTTTTTTTTTTTTTTGAGACGGAGTATAGCTCTGTGCAGTGGTGCAATCTCCGCCCACTGCAACCTCCACCTCCTGGGTTCAAGCGATTCTCCTGCCTCAGCCTCCCGAGTAGCTGGGATTACAGGTACGTGCCGCCATGCCCAGCTAATTTTTGTATTTTTAATAGAGATGGGGTTTCACCATGTTGGCCAGGATAGTCTCAATCTCCTGACCTCGTGATCTGCCCACCTCAGCCTCCCAAAGTGCTGGGATTACAGGCATGAGCTACTGCACCCAGCCAGCTCTCCATTTTCTTTAAATTCAAGAGCTACAACAATACAGAAAAATCATGGGCCCCTGCTTTTGTTCCAGATGATAATCTGACATTAACTTCAAATGTTTCATAAGTGTAATATAAATAAAAATCAGCTCCCACCAAGCTGCAGAAAAGCCCCTAACATGACTCATCCTGATAGACAGAATGTGCTTGTCTCATTGTGTACACACAGGAGTAATTAATAAATAGCATTTGACAAGAGTGATGTCAATGGACAAGAACAATGCAGCAAGATGTGCTTTTGAAATAGCTGGGGTGAAAAGAGAACTTGGCTGCCTATCAAAGAGGAAAGCATTTGAAGTTCAATTGCTGGGCATGCTAAACATTTAATTTCTTACCTGTTCTGGAATTCTAAGAGTTCATTGTTAATTTTTTCAATATTCACCTCTGACCAAAGAATATCATAATAGCTATTTACAGTTTCTATGACACTGTTGTACAGAGTATATATTTTCTGTAGAAGATTTAGTTGCTTCTTTATTTCAAGAAGCTGAGGATACTGTGTAGCTGGCAGGCCAAAAAGCTCCTCTCCTCCAGTATATGTGATGTATTTCCGATAGATATTATCAAATTGATTCTAATAAAAACACAAGTGAAAACGCATCAAAATGATTTATACATGATCAACATACAAATGAAAATATAAGATTTGCAAACAAGCAAGCCAGAGATGTATGATCTCTGGGCACATGTAAATAGGAATACTAAGTTGGCATAATTAATTCATAGAAACTACTTCTAATTGTAATCCTACAATATCGTATTTTTAATGCAAGTACATACCATATTCCACAATAGGGCCCTCTATCTTACAAAGAAGAAAACATATGTGTGTTTAAAACACAACAAAGTTTCATTGTTTAGAAAGTCATAGAAACTAAAAAGATTACCTGAAACATGATAAGCCTGTCACTGGCTTCCTGGGGCTTCAAGCCGCTAGCCATTGGACCATTCTGAACAAAAAGTAAAAAAAGAAAAATAGAAGGAAGTGTTTGCATATAAATTTCATGAACTCAATCCATATTTAAATATTAAAGTTAGGTTTCATGCATGATAGGAAACTTCATTTTTATTTGTTAGAAAAAAAGGGCCTCACAAAGTGATTCATTTAGACATATGTTTCTAGTCTAAAAAAGCCAAATTAATGCCAGAACTTCCCTTAGTCAAGAAACTTTTAAGATTAAAAATATGTATTATTCATTTCTTAGGTAACACAGGGAAAGAGGAGTCAATGCCTGTTCTATAAGAAGCACATATAAAGTCTGCTTTTCAGCTAAATGCTAATATCATATAACTCATAGATTTTTATCATTCTAATACCCACTTGTAAAGTGGCCTATAATCTTAACATTCCAATCAGATTTTCCAACATTAGAAAATCTTAAATATGTGGATTTCTGTGCTTCTTCATCCATGGCGTTGGTACATGGGTCCAATCTTCTAACTTGATTAATTTTGTGGTTTATTGTGCTACTAGTTAATGGGTACAAATTTTACCCTAAACTCTATATATTTCCCTTCTCCAGCATATTATAATTGCCTGGAGATGGGTCTCATTACACAACATATTTACATTAGAAGATTCAGTACTTAAACCTATATGGATAATTAAAATATGGACTCCGTGGGGGCAAGGCTTGATCTGTCTTATCCACTACTGTGTAGTCAGCACCAAGGACAGCGCCCGGCAATTGCTGAGCTCTGTGTTATTTGTGTAACCAAGGAACGCTGTGGAAAGGAGGACAATTATAACTGCATGCGAATAGTACTTTTCTACACAAATTTAGAATGCTACCAAACAACTTCAGTAACAGACCAAATTATACACTGTTAGCCCTTTTAAATTTATCATTTTCTGTTGAAATTATTATGTATGAAATCCGATTTGGTTAGGCTTTCCATCCCCACCCAAATCTCATCTTGAATTGTAATCCCCATAATCTCCATAATCCCCACGTCTCAAGGGAGAGACTAGGTGGAGGTAACTGAATCATGGGAGCGGTTTTCCCCATGCTGTTCTCTCAGTAGTGAGTTCTCATGAGATCCGATGGTTTTAAAAGGAGCTCTTCCCTCTTCGCTCAGCATTCTCCTTCCTGTTGCCTTGTGAAGAAGGTGCCTTGCTTCCCCTTTGCCTTCCACCATGATTGTAAGTTTCGTGAGGCCTCCCAAGCCATGCTGAACTGTGAGTCAATTAAACCTCTCTCCTTTCTAAATTACCCAGTCTCGAGCAGTTCTTTATAGCAGTGTGAAAACAGACTAATAGAAACTCTAAGGGGAAAGAATTGTGAAAAAAAATGTTTTTCTCTCATGAAAATAAAATTCCCATTCCCTGGGAATTCCTAGGAAGTTTCACAGAAATTTACCCATAATTTTTAGACAACTACATTTTGCATGTTGTATTCACTCATCCCCGAAAACGCACACAGAGAAAGCCAGAGACATACCAAATCATAGTCCAGATAAAACTGGTGACAATCTTGGAGGAATACCTCCACAGCACTAATAAGCTCTTTCTTGAAACTGGGCTGCAGTGAGACTAATTTATTCTGGACTTCGCCAGCACGTGCCAGCAGCTTCTCCCAAGCATAGTGCAGTGTATCAACTTTGTCTATCTCTTCCCTTGCTATCAGAAGTCCATATCTGTTAAGCAGGGCATAAGATTCCTAAAAAAAAATAGGAAAAACTTAATTTTGGCCAGTCAGATGCATAAATCTACACACAGCCATTTATTAAATGATAAGAATGGAAAATACCAGAATAATAGTGAAACTACCCTGAGAGTTCTAGTTATTCTACTTCAAACCGCAAGAGGTTAACTGTGCAACTGAGCTGTTCAGCTATAGTTTCCTCATCTATAAAATGGGAAAATCTTCTGGCTACTTCACAGGATCTTTGAGACTATTGAAAAATGTCATTTTAAATGCATTTTGAAAACCATAAACCATTAGACAAATAAAAGATATTTTTACTTAGGCCCCCAAATTGTATTTGATCACTACAAAATTCTATCAAGTAAATAAAAAACAAAATAATTTAACTTCTAATATTAGAATAACAAAATCAATCAGGGTTTTAACTCTGTCTTATTTCACGTGATCGATAAGAGGTTCCAATAGTAAGACACAAGGGAGGATTCTTGAATCAGAGCCTGGGCCAAGTCATTCCCTTCAGCATGTAAAATCCTGGATGGCTTTCTTCTCTAAAAGGTTAAAATGAGGCTAAGGTTGGTTTTCATAAGAAAGAATTTTCTCTAAATATCTCTAGTCTCTTCTCCCACCATTACTCCTCCCCATAGAGGTGGAATGAGTGCCTGATTATTAATTTGGGGGAAAACATTGTTGATCTGAGCAAGGATAGCCCAGTGCCTTTCTCTCTCTTCCCTCCCTCTCCGTGGAGGCATGCCTGTGGTCAGCACCTCAGTGCCATAAACTGGATCAGGGTAATACCAAGACCTACAGCTTTCCAACACTGCCTCTGATGGATGAGGAAGTATAATAATCCTGGGATTTAGTGTTCACTAGCTCATAATGTGTGTGTGTGTGTCTGGGGGTATGAAAGGGAGGGGAATAACTGGAGTAATACACTAAGTTATGTCTTCCGAATAACTTCCATCAGGCATAAAGGTGATGTTTTGATCTTGTCTACTTGATTCTACTTTTGTTCTTAATTCCTAGGTGGGAGAAAATAGGATTGTCAGTTACTGTACCTCCTCTTCATACTTGAGGGTATCCCCTGATCCTGCACAAAGAAATGTCTCTTTGCCTTGATGTTTCAACCCAAGGAGAGCAGGTTGGACCATGTGATCCCCCTGGCCCAACACAGCAGAAGTGAAAATGTGTAGTAGTCTGTACCATTCTCATGGTAATGTGAAAATTTTCAAAATTCAAACAGGGATGCAGAAAATGGGAGAATAGAGTCTGATCTCGACCATCAGAGTATAAGCCCAGACATTCCAGTTATAGTGTGATGAAAAGATGATGATTTTACAACTGGAGTTTTTTTTAATGCTACAATTAAACTAGTCTCATTTAAAAATAACAAATATAGTGACCCACTTCTGATAAGACATTTTCATCTGGAGGTTAACAGCACCCCCTGACCCCACGGTGCCTCCATGGCTGAGAAGTGCTTTTCCTTAACGTCTCCACTCTTGGGTCTTTGTCAACAATCACAAGTGGCAAATAAGATTTAAAGACATGCACCAACAATTATGATTATGGAAAGTTATTAATGATATTAATAATTCACACTCTTACTCATTTCTAATGATGATATAAATATTACAAGATGAATAAAAATGGAATTCAAAATTACACACACATACACAGACATTAAAAGGAGCTGGAAAGAAATATACCAACCTCTTGGTATGTACTTGATTGACAATATTATGGTAATTCTGAAGTTTTGTTTTATACAATCGTTTTGTGTTTTCTAATTTTTCTACAATGCTACTTTTTAATTAGGGAAAAAAGAGTTTGTTTGTTTGTTTGTTTGTTTTAAAAAAAAGGCTGTTGCTAAGACTGATTTTGCTGGTGGCCTAACATGAGATTTCTAAGGAGACTCCTTAGAAAGAGATGATGTTTACTCAAGTGAATCTATTCAAGGGTGTCTGCTTGTAATGAAATCAACTGTCTTTTTTGCCATTGCTTAAATTACACTATGTATGTTGATAATATTATAACTAATAAGTAAATAAAAGCAGACTTCACTGCAAAAAAAAGACATTTTCATCTGGAAAAGATAGTATGATATGGTATACAAATAAAAGTGATGTGCAACACTGATCAAATTACATAATTTCTTCGACCCTCAGTTTCCTTATGTGAGGAGTAGGAGCCATAGTAAGGATGAAATGAGTTACTGCATATATGGACACTGTTAACGCCCCATCCAGGTCCCGATTACCAGCTGGTATTCCCATCCCCGACTACTGAGAGTGCTGGCTATAAGGACTGCAGCTGTCCCTTCCCTGGAAGATTTTTCTCAGCTGAATGTGAGCCTTCTCATGGGGAGGTTATAGCCCATTTCCTACTGACTTAGGAGTAGAAAGGGTAGTCTCCTTTGCATGAAGGAGGGCCCAACTCAATTGATGTTGTAGAGTGCCCATGGGATCAGGCTGAAGTTAGTCCATAGCTGATTGACTTCCTTTCCTGATTCCCTCGCCCCTCTTCTTTGGTGAGCACTCACCAATAAATCATTTGCACAGAAATCTTTATCTCAGGCTCTGCTTTGAAGGACCTTAGGCGACATGTGAAGGTGAAAACTGGCCCATGGAAGGCAATGCTATAGGGGTTCGGTATCATCAACAATATTGAAATTATTGTCTTGGTTTAGTAACCATTTAGTAACTTCACTCCAGACCCAGTCAATATTTCAGCTAATAGCATCCAACATGTAGAAATATTTCTATAATGAACAAATGATCATTAGTTACCTCAATAGGTCCTACTTGAAAGTCAATGGAGATTTGCTCCTCCCTTATTTCTTTCAGCGCTGCCATTGCAATCCGAATATCATCTAGGTCCTTAATTGGACGATTTAGTTTCTTATTGAATTCTTCAATAAGCATAAAAATGTTTTCCATCTCACTCCGGTATTTTTTGTTACAGTGGCGTCCAATGACAACCATCCAGGCCTTTGTCTCAGCAGTCAGGGCGAACTTCAAGTCAGCTGTAAAAACCCAAATGTCTACAGTTCAGTTTTAAAAACTCGAATCAGTACGAAAAGTCAAACTGTCGCTGTTCTCCAGTAGTAAATATTTTATAGCTTATTGCCCTCTAACCCACAAAAAATTGAACTGGAAAAAATCATAATTTTTCCTACTCATTATATATTCATTCATTTTTTAAAGTTTGTTTTTACAACAACTCAACACACATTTCAAAATGTTTTTTTAAAAAAGCACATATCAGAACTCTCTGGGATAAGCCTCAAAGGTTTGTTATTGTTATTTATTAAACAAAGGGTAAATTTTAATTCAAAATATAACAGACATCTCCTTTCTCTGACTTAGTCTTTTTTTCAAGGTTTAGCAGCAAAGTGTGCAAAATAGTCCAGAATCAATAATTATGCAGAAGAAAATTTTTTAAAAATCCACAAATTGGTTTTAAAGCTTGAGGCCCATAAAGTCAATCTTTAAGACAGGTAGAACTCTCTGGAATACAAATCTAGGTAAAGAGGCAGAACAATAATGGCTAATTTATATAACTATATGAAAGAAAATGAACCAACCTGTGTACAGAGCAATGGAACCCACACAGACATATTCAGGCTCAGCATTAATTTCCTGCTCTAGGTTTTGGAAATAGAGAATCTGGGACTCAAATTCAGAAAGCAAGGGGCTCTGTGTAATAAATGTCTTAATGGCTTCTTCTTTTCCCTTTTGCCAAATGTGATTGTAGCGTTTGAAGCAATCCATGGATGTAATAACTTCCTGAATGCAAATAACAGATTTATGTTAAGAAGGAAGAATCTGAAAGGCACAATGATATAAGTGAATATTTACCAACTGCTGGTGGTTCCTATGGATTTATTAAAATGTTTAGTGAACTGTGTGATTATCTGGAAATGCCAAAGAACTGGGACTATATACAATAGTGTGGACAGTAGCCCAGGGCTAGTAACAGTTTCACTGTTATCATCCCTAGCTAAATGGGAGAGGAGCAGTTTCTAGAAACTAGATGACAGTTCTTGAAGATCCTGTGGACAGGGCCCTCTTGGTTGGAGCTGGGCCTTAGATCAAAAACCACAGCTCAAGCTCACACTACAGGGAAGGTGCTATGAAAAACATACTCTGAGGTCATTCTCCTCTTTCCCCCCTCCCCTCAGATCTCCTCCAAGATTCTTCATTGACTGAACCCACTGGAAGCCTCAATGGGAATCTACTGACATGTTGCCTAAGGTCAGATAGGTGGAGGGAATGGAGATTAGATCTTAGGGGCATGAAGGACAAACAGAAAATAGCGAGCATCACTTCAATGAGAGATTGCCTGGAATCACATAAAATGTATAATTCATATAACTAGAATTGACATCTGAACAATACTACATCTAACCAACCAGGAACATAGTGCATGTTTCCATATCTTGTCATCTTTTTCAAAAATTCCTTAAGTTTTAGCATAATCTTCATAGAGACCCCAGATACTTCTTATTATACATGTTTCTAGGTATTTTTCAATGCTGTTGTCATTGTAAACAAGATATTTTCCACTATTATTATAACTGGCTATGAATGGCATATACATTTTTTTAAATTTATTTGTAAATCAACAGTCTAGTTTGCTAACCAAGTATGCATCTGTAAAGATGAAATGACTCTCTGGCAATTGGTAAATAGGGGACAGTGCTGACATAATGCAGAGGTCATGTTTTCAAATGCTATTTTTCCCAGCAAAACAAATGCTACTGCTTTGTACCAGCTAAAGCAGCAAGTCACAGAGGAGTACAGTCCTGTGTGCCACTCCCCCTCCATCACTTCTTCCTTTTGGATTGATTTGGCTACCACCTGTCTTAAGAATATCTTTGCATATGGTTCTCACTCATAAGTTAGTGCTAAAAAAAAAAGTGTTTGCATGGACATACAGAGCAGAATGATAGATAATAGAGACTCAGAAGAGTCAGATTTCTCATCAACTTCAGAAGGGAGGGCTATGAGAAATTCACTAACAGATACAATGTACATTATTTGGGTGATGGATACCCTAAAATCCCTGACTTGGCCACTATGCAATCTATACATACAGCACAATTGCACATGTATCCTATAAATTTGTACAAATAAAAATAGATAAATAAATAAATACCAATCAAAGCAGAAAGAACAACAAAGAAAGAATGTTCTTTGTAGAGTTTGGCCTGATTTTTGTAGAGTTTATCTTTGCTTCTATGCCTCCACAATCTCTTCCTTTTCCCACTTCTACCAAGCTTCTTTCATCTTTTATAGTAAAGTTCTGTAATTACTATAGTGTTATTAAATATGTGAATATTTCACTAAGATTGTTACTGTTACTATTTTACTATGATTATTATTGTTTTATTTATTACCCTGGTTACAAATTGCCTAGATTTTGTGTCTGCCTCAATCTTGTTTTTCTCATCATCCCTATTATTTAATATTAAATATGCAACTTCTCAAAACAGGACGATTTTCAGGAACATGTTTATTGTATTCTATGAAAAATTCATATAATTATCTTTCCATTGGTGACTAACTTAACTCTTGTTGGGCCACAATTTCTTTTTTAGATTAGCCTCTTGGATTTACTTGGCAGACAATTGTATCATCTACAAATAATTAAAATTTTGTCTTTTTTTATTTAATTACTATTTATTTATTTATTTATTTTTGTAGAGACGAGATCTCACTGTGTTACCCAAGCTGGTCTCAAACTCCTGGCTTCAAGTGATCCTCTCATCTCGGCCTCCTAAAGTGCTGAGATTACAAACATGAGCCACGGCGCCTAGCCAAAAAATTTGTCTCTTCATTTCTAATTCCTTTGTGAATCAAGTTTTTCCACTGCCTTATATTATGATTTCAGAGTTACATCTGCATGAAAAACAAATTTAGCTGATAAAGAATAAACAGTGCAATTATCTGAAATAACTGAGCATTACAGGATTCTAAATGGTCTGATTATTTTAAGTAAATTGCACCAAGCTGCACCAAACCAAGAAGCAGTTCCACTCCAGCTCCCCACATACAGCTAAAATGTCCCTCCGAGCCTCAGGTTCAATGGATGTTGATACTTCCCATCCATTAAAATGCAGAAAGCTAAACCTATCACTGCCTATCCCAACCACAAATGATTCGTTTGCATGACCTGAAGTGTTGACATGCAGACCAAGAATGCATTGCAATAGCATGTAGACATATTCACATATGTATGATGGTTTGAAGAATTAATTACAGATTATTGAAGATTCCCAGAAATGGATAGAAGTTCCAGAATCCAGAGCTCTCTCACCACCCAAGCTTATAATATTAAGAATATACCCTAACTAAATATGTTGGAGGGTATTCTTTTAAAGTGTCTGTCTTTATTAAATTGGAACTTTTTCACATGAAGGTAACCTAGACCTTGAAAGGAAAATGACCTCAGTAGGAAAATTAGATGAACTACATATGTAGAGTTGTTCTGATTATGTAACCAAGGTTATTTTGATTGTTTGGTCCAGCTCAACGTTTCTATATTTTTTTTTTCGAGACAAAGTCCCGCTCTGTCACCCAGGCTAGAGTGCAGTGGCACCATCTCAGCTCACTGCAACCTCTGCCTTCTAGATTCAGGCAAATCTTATGCCTCAGCCTAATGAGTAGCTGGGATTATAGACATCTGCCACCATGCCTAGCTAATTTTTGTGTTTTTAGTGGAAACATAGTTTTACCATATTGGCTAGGCTGGTCTCAAACTCCCAGCCTCAAGTGATCCCCCACCTTGGCCTCTCAAAGTGCTGACATTACAGACATGGGCCACTACATCCAGCCTCAGCTCATCCTTTTAAGCCAGGTTGTGTTAGAAGTTGATGACCAACCTATGGGCATGCTAAAGGCAGGTCAGGTTTACATTCTAATCCAATCAGCTATAGCAACAGGAAAGGGGCAGGGATCATAGGACTTTCTGTGGTTGAGGCAGAATCATTCAGAAAGGTCTATGGCTGTGGAGGGCTGGCTATATCTAATACTATGACTAAGTGTACATATATTCTCCCAGAAACAATTTGGCTATCCTATAAATCTGGAATAAGTTCTTCAAGTTGTTATAAATGCCAACCTTTTCTACTATTTTAAGGAAAACTAATATCTGAGCATTTCCTTCATATAAAGTAAAAGCAAATGCAATAAAAGTGACACAGAGGCCGGGCACGGTGGCTCACGACTGTAATCCCAGCACTTTGGGAGGCCAAGGCAGGTGGATCACCTGAGGTCAGGAGTTTGAGACCAGCTTGACCAACATGGTAAAACCCTGTCTCTACTAAAAATACAAAATTAGCCCAGTGTGGTGGTGCATGCCTCTAATCCCAGCTACTCAGGAGGCTGAGACAGGAGAATCGCTTGAACCTGGGATGCAGAGGTTGCAGTGAGCCAAGATTGCACCATTGCACTCCAGCCTAGGCAGCAAGAGTGAAACTCCTTCAAAAAAAAAAAAAAAAAAAAAGACACAGAGATAAGTATTTTGTGGCCAGCACTGTATGTTAACTATGATTTCTTCCTCTTAGATTTTCATAATAGTGGTTGATCATACTAGAGAAACTAGTGGATCTTATTGCTGATTTATTTTCTTTTATTTTCTAGGAATACTGAGACACTTGAAAATATTTCTGAATGTTTATTGTTATCATGAAATACTTTGCTTATCATTCAGTATAGAGCTTAATAATCTAAGTACTAGATAAATATTTATTGAGTTACCTGAATACTGTCTCTAGGGGAAAATTAAATACAGGACCTTCAATATATTAAGAAAGGAAAATTAAAAGTCCATAAATGCAAAAGATTTCCAGTTCCCTTGGGAACACATTAAAACTAAACTTAATAATATTTCCTCACATTGTTACAGCAATGGTAGCTTTTCAGAGTGCTTTCAAATGAACGTAACTCATTGTATCAAAACTGAGTAATAGAAAAAATGCACTTACTGAGCAACAACTATTCCTTAAACACTGGGAAACATTATTAACAAGTCAACAAGTCTTACTGGCCATGTGAATTAGAAGAGTTTTTTTAAAAAATAAAAGATGATTTCAGGGTTTTAAATCTTTTTGTCTGTAAAATAGATTTGCATGAACAAAAAAGGGGAAGTTGAGAGGGGAGTATGCTGAAAGAAAAAATTGCCTTGAATGTACATTCATGTCCAGTTCAAGTTTGTATTGATAGTACTAATATCTTCTTTATTCTCAGTTTCATCTAATTTCTATGTGGCAATATAAATAAATTTTTATCTGATATTTTATAACATTTGCCCGACTACTCAAATATGAAAAAATGACTACAAACCTTATTCTATTTCAAATATGTTAGTATCACTGGTTCTTTGAAGGTGAATTATAACAACAGTCTGACTTGTAGTTTGGAACATATTAGATTTTTTAAGTTAGATTCATTTGTATTAAAAGAATATATTAAAAGCATTAAACAAAACACAATATGAGAGTAGGAATAATTTTTTTTCACCTTGCAATCTAGAATGAAAGATCTTCAGTTAGACAAACATTTGCTGAGCACATACAAGATGCTCCCTGAAAGCACAGTGTGTGAGACCCAGGCTACATAAAGGACAACTTTGTGATGTTCACTTTCACACAAGTGCATGTTGCAAAGCAAAAGGTCCGGCTGCCAGACCCTCTTGACATACCTTTTTGGTGGAGTTGATAATTGTGCTAAGCACAGAAACTAATTTTACAATCTCTTTGTTTTCAGAAACATTCTTATAATAGTTCTTGGTTTGCACGGGAATGGGTAAATTTACAGATGCTATCTCCAAGGTATCTAAAAAGAAAAAAAGAAGAGAAAACTTTACACTACTCACACAAGAATGTACTTTCAGGAGATGAGGATATTTCTGTGATAGTAAAGCAAGGACTTCTGAAAATCTTCTCCTTTATAAAAACAATGAAAATAATGGAAAGAGTTGTCAATGTCAACTTTTCAGGACTCTGTAAATTAATCAAAGCTTGCAATAATCCAAAAAGTGTTTATTCAAGAACAATGCTAAATCTTGGTAACAACAGCAAGTTTTGTGGTGTTTTGACTTGCTCTAGTCCCACTGCCGCTCTCTGGCTATAGGGTAGCCTTGAAAAACAGCAGCCTTACAACCATTATAACTGGAGGAAAAAAACCTACCAGTAGCCTAGCAGTCCCTGGAAGGGCCAGCCTGGGCTTGGAGCTCCTTAGGGAGCTCCATAGAATTCTCACTCTTTGAGCTGTCTGGGAGCTCCCTGGAAAAGCCCTGTTCAAACAGTTTATTTTTATTTGACCTGACTCAGAGCTCTCTGAGAAAAAAAGTCCTATCCTCATGGCATTTGTCAAAAGACTATCAGCAACAATTGCTTAACTTCACAGCTACCTGAGGCAATGATATTAGTTGGGGGCAAATAAGAGGTTGGCCAAAAAAGTTAAAACTCTGGGAAAGGAGAAGAATGAAGTCAGCAACATGGCTGAATAAGAATATCCTGGCTCTCCCTCCACCCATGGACACACCCAATACACATCTATTCTCAGATCAATTCCATCTGAGAGAAAGTCAGAGACCAGTGGAGAGACTCCTGCTTATGTTATAACCAAAAACATATCCGCATCAAAGGGCAGGAAAAGTGGAGACACACTTGGACATGGATCCTGCTCCAGGCACTGAACCAGAGAATTGGGAAAGGAATCTGCAACACACAGTTTCTCTCTGTGGAAATGAGGCTTTGGACCTCACATGTATCACCATAACTCTTAAGGTTCCCCATGGCTTGGCTCTTAATTCACCAATTCTGAGAGTGGAGTGGATTAGACACACAAGAGTCTCTCTGGACCACAAGAAAAAAGTGATGGCTTTACACAGGCATGAAGCACTTACAGAGGCTTCATTCTGTGGAAGTTGTGCAGAGACGGGGCTTTAAAACCATGGCCCCTTGTTTCTCTCTCACATCAAGTGCCCCAACATTTACAGCTGCCACCCAAGGGACTACATTCTAAAACTCCTATCTCTGGGAGCAGACGGGACTGGCATTTGTGTGTCTCTCTAGACCACAGGAAGAAGCGGCCATTTAATATGAGCACACAAGCACTTCAACAGGCTTTATCCCCCAGGAGCAGTGCAGAGAAGGGGCTTAAAAAACACAGTCTTCTGTTTCTGTCCAGAAGGGGTTAATGCTATGCACTGAGTGCCCCAACTTCTGCAGCCACCTCCCAAAGGACTCAATCCTAAACCTCTTAGCTACGTGAAGAAAGGGCATTAGGCATATGTGAATTTCCCCAGATCACAAAACAGAAAGGAAGTTTCAATGGACATGGAAACACTACCAGGGGCTACACCCCCTCAGAACAATGCAGAAAAGGATCAAGAATGTGCAGCTTCCATTTTCTTTCTGGGAAGGGGCTTCTGGCACCCCCCCGCCTAGTGTCTACTTGATGGCCTGGCTTCTAAAAACTGTACATCAGAGAGCTAATGAGGCAAACAAACAGGAGCCCTCCAGCAGCTGGAGCCACAGCTGAGCACTTCATGAGTGTTCCCTCTGGCTCCCCTAGTGATAAGCCTAGGCCTAGCCATTCTTTCTGGAAGGAGCTACGACACGCACCAAGTGCCATAACTTCTATAGCTCCTACCCAAAGGACTGTCTCTTTAATGATCTAGCTAGCTCTGGGAGTCAGTGGGTCTTTGCACTTTTGAGTAGCCAGAGACCATGGAAAACAACGAGGTGGATGTACAATGGGCCAACTTCCATCAGTTATCTCGCCAGAATCAGAGGATGCAGCCTGAACATGATGGCAGGCATTTGCCACAGATCCTCTCTCTGGCTTAATGCAGAGAACTGAAGATAAATGCCTGTGCTCAGCTTCACTGTGAAGACAGAAAAAATTGGAGCATGCATTCAACACTCCAACATTTCCAGCTACATCTAGAGAATCTAGCTCCTACCTTACCAGTCTTAGGGGTACTGACAGGACATATCATATCTGAATCTCCAGGGTAGGGGGGACAAAAAATAGAGACAGCAGTCTGGACAAACACTAAGATTAGAGAGGCATCTTGAAATCTCTGGTTAGTCGAAATAGTGAGATCCTCCCACATGAGGTCAGTCTGACAAGACTGAAAGAGGTAGCTGTCTTTTATAATACACAGAAACCAACACAGAGGGTCAAAGAAAATGAACAAAAACAGGGAAATACAGTTCAAATAAAATAACCAAATAAATCTCCAGAAACTGTTCTGAGTGAAGTGGACATATATGATTTATCTGACAGGGAATTCAAAATACAGATGCTCCTTGACCTATGATGAAGTTACATCCCAATAAATCCATCATAAGTCAAAAATATCCTAAGTCAATAATGCACTTAATACCCTAGTAAGCCTATTGTAAAGTTAAAAATCTGTAAGTCAAACTATTCTAAGTACAGATGCTCTTTGACTTACTATAAAGTTACTTCCTGATAACCCCATTATAAAGTCAAAAAAAATGTGAAGCCAAACCATTGTAAGTCAGGGACCATCTGTAATATTCATAAAGATCCTCACCAATATCAAGAGAGAAATGCAAAAACAAACTGAGAACTTCAACAAAGACAGAAAGTATAAAAAAGCACCAAACAGCAAACATAAAACTGAAGAATGATGTAACTGAACACAAAAATTTAATAGTTTCCACAGAAGACTAGATCAAGCAGAAGTAGAAAAAAAAACAGTGGATTCAAAGAGAGGTCACTGAAAATCATCCAATCTGAGGAGCAAAAAATAAAAAGAATGAAAAAGAATGAAGATATCTTAACAGACTTATGGGACACCATCAAGAGGAACAACTTATGCATTATTGGCTTGCCAGAAAGAGAAAAGAAAGACAGAGGAAACATACTCAGAGAAATAATGGCAAAAACTTCCAAGCCTGGGGGAGGAAATAGAAAGCCAGCTCCAGGAAGCCCAAAGGACATTAAATAAGATTAATTCAAAAACACTCACACCAAGACACATTATAATCAAATTGTCAATAGCTAAAGATAAAGAGTGTTGAAAGTAGCAAGGGAAAAGTGTTTCATTGTATGTAAGGGAACACTCATAAGACTATCAGTAGATTTCTTAGCAGAAGCCTTGCAGGTTAGAAAGGAGTGAAGTGATATATTCAAAATACTGAAAGAAAATAACTGCTAAGAATACTATATCAAGCAATTCTAGCTTTCAAAAACAAAGGGATGGTATAAACTTTCTCATACAAACAAAAGCTGAGAGAGTTTATCACCACAAGACCCATCTTGCAGGAAATGCTAAATGGAGATTAAGCTGAAGGAAGAAGATGCTTATTAGTAACATGAAAACATATGAAAATATAATACCTCACTCATAAAAGTAAGTATATTGGCAAATCCAAAACACTCTAATACTGTAATGGTGGTGGGTAAATCATTAATATTTCCAGTAAAAAAGTTAAGAGGCAAAACTACTAAAAACAACTAGAGCTACACAAATTTATTAAGGGATACAAATTATAAAAAGATGTAAAATGTGACACCAAAAACTTAAAATGTATGAGGTGGGGAGTAAAAGTATAGAATTTGTATATGCAATCAAAACTATGTTGTTACCAACTTAAAATAGCCTATAATTAGTATAAGATGTTTTATGTAAGCCTCAGGGTAAACATAAAGCAAAAGGCCATAAGAGATACATAAAAGAAAAAAAAAGATCCAAAATATATCACTAGAGAAAGCTATCAAACCACAAAGGAAGAAATAAACAAAGGGTCTACAAAACAACCAGAAAACAATTAACAAAAAGGCAAGAGTAAGTCTGTACCTATCAACAATTACTTTAAATGTAAATGTATTAAATACTCCAATCAAAAGGCATAGAGTGGCCAAATGAACTAAAAGACCACAAAAAAAGACCCAACTGCATGCTGCTTACAAGAGACTCATTCCACCTTAAAGTTCACTCACAGATTGAAAGTGAAGGGATGAAAAAATAAAGTTCATATAAATGAAAAAACAAAATAGACTTAACATCAAAAAGTGTAAAAAGAGACAAAGATCATCATATAATAAAAAGGGAATAAATTCTTCAAAATTATATTATAATCGTAAATACATATACACCCAACATTGGAGCATATAACTATATAAAGTAAATATTAAGAGATCTGAAGAGAGACACAGACTAGAACACAATAATAGTAGGGGATTTTAGTACCCTACTTTCATCACTGAACAGATCATCTAAACAGAAAATCAATAAAGAAATATTAGACTTGAACTACACTTTAGACCAAATATACCTAACAGACAGAATATTCCATCTAACAGAACAGCATATACATTCTTCTCGAGTGCACACAGAACATTCTCTCTATGGTAGATCATATGTTAGACACAAAATGAGTCTTAACAAACTTAAGATCAAATTACAACAAATTTGATCTTATAACAAATTATAACAAATCTTCCAAACCAAGCGTATGAAACTAGAAATCAGGAAAAAAATCAAACAGGAAAAACCATGCAAATGTTTTAAATATGTGAAAATAAAACAATATGCTTCTGAAAAAAACTTCTCAAATCAGGTCAAAGAAGTAATTAGATGACAAATTTCAAAATATCCTGAGACAAATGAGAATGGAAACATGACATATCAAAATTTATTGGATGCAGCAAAAGCAGTTCTAAGAGGAAACGGTATAGCAAAATAAACAGCTAAGTCAAAAAAGGAGAGAGATCTCAAATACATAACCTAAAATTACAACTCAAAGAACTAGAAAAAGGAGAACAGACAAGCCCAAAGTTAGCAGAAGGGAGGAAATAAAGATCAGAGCATAAACAAATGAAATAGAAACTAGAAAAACAATAGAAAAGATCAACAAAACAAAAAGTTGGTTTTCTGAAAAGCTACACAAAGTTGACAAATCCTTAGCTAGACTAAGTAAAAAAGAGGACTCAAGTAAATAAAATCACAAATGAAAGGAGATATTACTACTGATAACCCAAAAATACAAATTATCATGAGAATGCTAAGAACAATTTTGTGCCAACCTAGAAGAAATGAATAAATTCCTAGAAACATATAATTAACCTACCAAGATGGAATCAAGAAGAAATTGAAAATCTGAACAGACCTATAGTAAGAAAGAAGATCAAATCAGTAATTTAAAGTCTACAATCAAAAAAAGCCTACCACCAGATGGTTGCATAGCTAAATTCTACCAAACATTTAAAGAACTAATACCAATATTTCTCTAGCACTTCAAAAAATTAAAGAGAAGGGAATACTTCCAAACTCATTTTACAAGGCCAGCATTACCCCGATACCAAAGCTAGACACATACACTACAATTTAAAAAAAAAAAAAAACTACAGGCCAATATCACTGGTGGACATAAATGCAAAAATTCTCAACAAAATCCTAGCAAATTATATTCAACAGTGCATTAAAAGATCATTCATCATGATTAAGTGAAATTTATCCCCTGGATGCAAGATTGGTTCAATATATGCAAATCAATAAATGTGATCCACCATAACAGAAGTCAACTAAAATGGTGATATTAAAATACGTGGACCTTGATATTTTGTCAACTTCAAATTGGCTCATAGATTAATATTCTGATGTAAAATAAATTGAGAATTACATGGAGGGGTTAAAAAACATTTAAGCTCAATGAATGTTGATTTACAATGCCTCTTTTAAAAGACTAAAAGAACATTTACCTTGAAGTTCATTTTCTCCCATTTCAACATCAGAATCACTGTCTTCATTACTCTGCAAAGCAGCCATTTTTCTTTCTTGTATCTTTTTCTACAATGTAAAAGGATATTTTTCAGTTCTGTCCTATCTGTAAAAGAAGTGGTTTCCATATGAAACCATTTCTGCACCCCATACCCACCTTGGACAACAGTTCACTGCTCCACTGTCTGACCCCCTTAGGGACACTGATGATGCACTCCACGGCTTTGTTCAGGGTCTGCTGTACATCTTCCAGGGCAGGGGCCATGACGATGTTGGGAATGGCCAGAGTGACGCTTGCCCGGAAAATGGGCAAACTGTTCTGCTTCATGTTAGAGGCACTGTTACTGTCTGAGTTAACCCAAAACAAGGAAGAATTCACATTTTTAATACAAAATAAGATTTGCTTCCTTTGTAACCATAAAAATTAAAACAATACATAATAGGTATAAAATCTAATAAATATTTGTTGAATGAATGAGTCAATTAAAACTAATGGAGGATCTAGTATTGCTCAATATAACAAAGCAGTTCAGGGGAACCCAAGGCATTTTTTGCTGTTTACAGCTTCTTGGAATACTCTCCACAATGAAACCCACTGTGTGGGATCAGGCTAAATTATAAACACTTCTGTAAAATATTAAAGATGATTCTTCCAAATAACAAGATGCCAACAAATTAGCTAAATGTAGCTAAGTAAGCCAGGAATGAAGAACAAGACTATCGGCATAAGCCAAAGTTAGAACAAATAACCACTTTGGAATTTCAGATAAATCATAGGCCTTTCCTACCATGGTGTGTAAAATCCAAATGTGGAGCAGTTAAAAAAATGGAAAAGAAATAAAGTGTAATTCGCCATTCATACTGAAGGAGCTTTTAAGGTTGAACATAGGTATAGGTATGTAGATACAGACATGTATGTATATGTGTCTGTGTATCATGCATAACTTTACGTAGTTGCAAATATCTGTAATAGAAAAGCTGGGAAATAATTGTGATTGAATATTTAGCCTATCAGCCAACATTTATTAAGTTCTAATAATAACGCTGTGCCAAAGAAAAGAACTATTCTCCATCCTGAATGAAGTAAAACATAATAAGCCATGGCACCAAACAAAAAAAAAATCTTTCAGAGTTTCCACTTTTATTTACCCACTTTTAATTAAATATTGAAGATGCTTTCCTTTAAATGTCAATATTCAAAATATATTTAAAAATTTTATTATCCTATTATTTCAGTTTTCATTAATTACTATTATTTGTTTTCTTTTTACCATTTTTAACTTAAAATTTAATTTCAGGATGCCTCTAGATTTGACAGATTTTTGTGGCCCACCTGAGAAATACAACACCTATTTCTGAACTGTGCCGAGGAAAAGATGATGCTATTGAAAATGAGGAAACCACCTGGAAAGTACTAAATTAGCATAAAAATAGTAAAATACATATATATCCTTTGAAGAGTGTGACACTAGTAAGATGTTTCCACTTTGTAAGACTGGCTAACAAACCTAATGATTTAACAATGAAAGAATCGTTTCCATATAACTTCCTTTAAAGTATGTATTTTTTTCTTTCACCAATTAAAATAATTTTATATTTTTTCATCTTATTACAAAAAGATTAAACGTACTACCAATTTTCATGTTATTAACAAAAACTTAAGCAAACTATTTAACCTCCCTGTGCTGTGCTCTAGTTCTCTGATTTAACATGAGAGTAGTAATAGTATCTACTTAATAGAATTGTTGGGATGATCAAAGTTCATAATGTTTAAAATTACGAGAAGGCACTAAATAAACGGTGGATATGGCCAAGTGCGGTGGCTCACGCCTGTAATCCCAACACTTTGGGAGGCCGGGGCGGGCGGATCACCTGAGCTCAGGAGTTCGCCACCAGCGTGCCCAACATAGTGAAACCCTGTCTCTACTAAAATACAAAAAATTAGCCAGGCGTGGCGGCGTGCGCCTATAGTCCCAGCTACTTGGGAGGCTAAGCTGGAGAATCACTTGAACCCAGGAGATGAAGGTTGCAGTGAGCTGAGATCGTGCCGCTACCCTCCAACCTGGTCGACAGGGCGAGACTCCATCTCAAAAAATAAAAATTTAAAAAAAGATGAATATTTTTAATTATTTAAATTTAACAGGAATGTACATGCACGTGCACACGTGCACACACACACACACACACATACCCCAGCAACTATGCCTGATCATCCACTAAGCAAACCACACAAGATTATTACCCCGGAAGTTAATTGTGTGAGAGGAATGAATACGTTTGCGAATGGCCTCTAGTGTATTCCTTGTAACTTTCAGAAGAGCATCCATGTTCTGATGGTTGAAATGAGAGAGTAACTCGCGGGCTTCTTCCCCTAACATCTCAGTTTCTTTCTTTTTCCTCGTGACTGTCGTCAAAAGCAGGGCATTGGCCCTGGCATTAATAGATGATGTCAAGGTGTCAAAATTTCCTTCTTCTCTTTTTGCTGTTACAAGATGAAAGAGATAGAGATAGAGATAAGTTAGATGGATGGATGGATAGATAGACAGATAGATAGACAGATAGATAGAATCATCTGTTGCAATTAAAGGATAAATTACATGCAAGTTTAGTATCACTTAAACATCACACTTCTTAGGAAGTGAGGACATCAAAAAGTAGGAGGAAATCAGGAACCAGAGGGACTGATGGAAGCATCTCCTTCTCAATACAAGAAAACAGCCAACAAGAGAGGCAGGAGCTATGGCTGGAAAAGCTACAGTGGCCCCCAAGGACCTGGGTTCTGGTGCTACCTCCCACCAATAACCCTAAAACTTTGGGGGGATAATTTCCCTTCTTCACATCCACATCTCTCTGTTCTCCTCTGTCCTGCAAAAGGTGCGCTCAGTCTAGAGGCTCTCCAAGGGGAATTCCAGTCAATAATCCATCCAACTCTATTGATAAGGTAAAATAAAACACCCACCCACACATAAATGCAAAGAAAGCTAACCAGGGCCAATGCAAAGTGCATGTTTGCAAAGTTTAACCAAAAATAGTAGGAATTAACAACATAGAGTCACTAAAATATGCTCAGGGCCATAATTTCAGATTTATACATATCATTAGAAAATCGAGAGGATGTTTATAGAAGTATGAAATTAATTGGTATGTAGAAAATGCAGTTTTAGTTTTTAGTAAATGTCATAGAAAAACAAGACCCTTTCATTACCCCATCTCTTACCTGAACTTTCATTTTTGTAATTAACACTATTCTCATTGGATATTTTTTCACTTTCTTCTTCAGATAAAACTTCCACATCCAGCAACATATTTACAAGCTCATTGACTGCCTCCTCCACTAATGAGCTTTTAAAATGTAGTATTTGTGCACCATTTACACAAAGATCCTAACCAAAAAAAAAAAAAAAAAAAGATAGCACAGTGGTATATGGTTTATCTAGCTTTTGAGAGCACAGAAACAGTGGTAGCAATGCTGTGGCTCAGCCTCCAGGTGAGATTTCAGCCCCAGTGATGCTTGGCCACATCCTTCACAATAGCACAGGCCAGGTGTCCTCTAAAGGAATGTGTTTAGGACAAGAGAACCCACTGGATCAGTGTAGATGGACCAAAATTACAGGCACTTCTCCACCAGTAGAGAAAATATCTTCAAAAGCCATCAGCAGCCTCTCTACTCGTCACATTTCCTTCATATCACATAAATCGGATCCAGCCACCCTTCTTTCTCTCCTTGTTTTTGCCAACAAACCATAGTCATCCCCTCATTAATTTCAAAGACACTACCCACCCTTCTAACTATATTGTGCATTTCTCAAGAATGGATTTAATAAATATAAACTAACATGATTTGAGGCATGGTGATCAATTCTGGAGGAGATTAGGTAGACAGATAGTTATAGATGGATGATATAGACAGAATCAGTGATTTACCACCTGGTTGGAAAGTAAGCCCATGAAACAACAGACTGTCAGTTAGGCACAGTGTCCAGCTCCATTCCAAGTTCCAGCATTATACATCTTTAAACTTATACGGCTTGAAAACTAGGATTCAAATCCTTGCTCTGCATGATCCTGAAAATTCTTTTCAGTCTCAATTCCCTCATATGTATAATGGTGATATAGTAGAACTCACTGTAGTTTTTGCAAGTATTCCATAAAATAAATGCAAGTAAAATACTAAGAGCAGTGCCTGGCATAAAGTAAGCACACAAGAAGTGCTTGTTATTATTATTGGTTGGAAAATCACAAACATCCACAGGACCTAAATATTTGCAAAGGTTAGTCAACTCATTCCATGTAAACTAACTCCTCAATTCTCTGAGAGAACACTAATATTTTTTAAAGTCTGAATCTTAAGTCCTCTGACTCTACCTTGGAGAGAAACACACATGTGGTCTCCATTTTCAGGGCCAGCTCTCACAGGGAATCCTCAATTAACTTGCAGCTCTTTCAGTCCTCTCAGTAACACAAGCACATGTTTGAGATCATAAAATTCCTTTGTATTGAGGGTTCTAGAAGATGAGATTGATAACCTCTCAAAGACTAATATAGTTCCAACAACGTTGTTTACATCTCTTAACTCTTTCTCTCTGTGAGAAGGCATAACCATAAAAATGTAAATAGCATAGAAATTAACAAAGCAGAATATAAACGCAATGAGGAAAAAGAAGTAATAAATAGACTCATTAAAATATCCCCCAGGACAAATAAAATAAATGAAAGATGCTGCCTCCACTTATCCTGCTTCATTTCAACAACTAACCTCCATGATGACACCCAAAAGCTGAAACCCACCAAAAGGGCCTTTCTTTCAATCCTGAGTGGTGTCCTCCTTGAATAATCAGCATGGGGCTCCACCATTTCCTCATTCCCATGATGCTTTAGCTTTGGCAAACCAGGAACCTACTAGACGCCATGTCTTCTCAAGGTCTCTTCACCCTTACTCCCTGGTTCATGCCCTCTCCTAACACGATTTCACACTTCAACCATTGTTTTGCTAATATCCTTTACTCCATCACTCTCTCAACCTTCCACTGCCCCACCCAGGAGACGCCCAACCCAAATGAACCAGGTGACCTACCCTCTCCACCGGCACACATAGGTCATGGTGAGGCAGATGCTTGGCACTGGGAATTCATGGTCCCCAAACTCAAACTGGCCCCTAATGCTACTCGGGAATCATTCTACATGACTATAGCCACCTCCCTCTACCAAGCTCCATAATAGCTGTGTCTTCAAATCCCTGTGTCCTCAAATCGTTACACCATCCTTCCTCGTCATACTCAAAGAATGACCTTGATTTCTACAGCACAAAGCAAATGGAGGTCATGACACGGGGACTCAAACAACTCCCACTGCCCTCATGCAGAAGACAAATCGGCCTCCATCATGAGCCCCTTTTCCTCTTGTTTTGGTGAATGCAATCATTCTCCTTTTATTCGAGGTTAACTCCACAACCTGAGTTCTGAATCACAGCTTCTCTGGCTTCCTCAGAAACCAAGCCTACCCCTTTCTTCCTCTCTACTAATTTTCCACCTGAGCATATGAACACCCAATGTACTTCAACTCAACACCTTTCTCCAGCTACAACATGCTTCCACCTCAGGGCCTTTGCACATGCTATTCTCTCTGCCTGGCATGTTCTTCCACTAAAATGTTCACATAGCTTGCACTCTCACTCCCTCCCTTCAAATCTAACCGTAGAAGTCATCAGTGACCATGAACATAAAATCACAACTTTCTGTCAGGTACTCCTTTTCTCCATCATCCTTTTCATTTTTCTCCATAATTGAATTATGAATTCAAATAAACAAACTCAAGAGAAATGATTTACTAATACCTATATTGGTAATCAAAAATGCAAACTCAAATTGGGTTCCACGATTTTGCTACTTAAAGTAAAAGTAGTAAACTATAATAAAACAGTGTTTGTTGGAAGTGAAATTGGTAGTACTGCATTGCTGGTGGCATTGTAAGCTGATAATATCCTTTTGAAAAGCAATTTGGCTACCAATATCAACAGCCATCCAATAAGGCCATACTCTCTGACACAATAATTTTATTTTGGGGAGGGAATAACATTAAAGGAGAAAATACATGATACATGCATATATTCACTGCAGCTCTTGACAAATTAGCAAAACTTTGGAAGCCATCTAAAGGTTCAGCAATAAGAAACTGGTAAGTAAATTACAGTATATCAACTCAACAGAATATTCTGAAGGCACCATTAAAAGGCTGCCTATGAAAGCCATGTAGCAACATGAAGAATATTTTGTGACGAAATGTTAACTGGGAGAAAAAAGTACTATTCAAAACCTGATATATATGGAGTAGAGATCGCCACTTTATTAAAAAGCTTAAAATGCATTAATATTATAATAATGATGGTATAATTGATTAAAAGGCTAGTTTCTTTCCATTTTTAAAATATTCTAAAACTTTCTTTTAAATTTAAATTTAAAACAAGTGTATTTTTATAAAACAATCATCAGAAAAGGGGTAAGACTAAAACCATGGAGGCAAGTGATTTTTCAGAGGAAGAGATAGTTTTTTAAATGATGAGGAAGAACAAGGGGATGGTTAGGTGTACCCACAGTTAGTGAATGTGAGGAGGAGGGACTAGAAATTTCTAACATGTAGACAGTAAGTTTTGCGTATAAAATGACTTAATATAACCTGCCATATATGCAGAAAGGGGTGAACACAGCAGGCCTGAAACTGCTCTCCTTAGAAAGTCCTGCTTGGGAGGTGGTCCCTTGGCCGGCGTCTGGAAGCTTGGATTTTAGGAGGGTTCCCCCTGTTGCCCTGCTGATAAAGATAGTTTGCTGTGCCTAAACTGCTTGTGCAAACAATGTAGTTTATGCTGAACACCTGATTCCTTCTGGGAGTCTGGAATTCTGGTCCATGCTAAGCAGAGTGTGTGACCAGACCCAGTAAGAACCTTGGGCCCTGAGTCTCTAATAGGTTTCCCTGGGCAGAAACATTGCACAGAGGGGACGGTGAGCTCCGGGCAAGCCTCACAGGAGGGAGACAGCATGAAAAAGCCTGGACAGGGACTCCCCAGACACCACCTGTCTTTGTTCCTTATGATCCGGCTGCATCTCTTAACTATGTCAGGGCAGTGCAACTACGTGCTGAGTTCCGTGAGTCCTCCTAGTGGGGGTGGTCTTGGAGACCCCGGCACATCATATTAAAATCATGATCAAGGAGTCCTTATCCTCAAGATGCCCACTGGGAATATTGTAAATGATGCTAACGTGACATGCCTGAAGGGGCACTTCATGGAGCACTGCTCCCAGGAGCTTACTCCTGGCACAGGGAAGAAAGTATCCCATTTGCAAATGTGTTGGAGAAATAATGAGCTACGAAAAGTTAAATGAAGGGCCGGGCGCAGTGGCTCACGCCTGTAATCCCAGTACTTTGGGAGGCCGAGGCAGGCAGGTTGCCTGAGCTCAGGAGTTAGAGACCAGCCTGGGCAACACGATGAAACCCCATCTCTACTAAAATACAAAAAATTAGGCAGGCGTGGCAGCGTGTGCCTGTAGTCCCAGCTACTCGGGAAGCTGAGGCAGGAGAATTGCTTCAACCGGGGAGTCAGAGGTTGTAGTGAGCTGAGATCGCATCACTGCACTCCAGCCTGGGCAACAGAGCAAGACTCCATCTCAAAAAAAAAAAAAAAGGTTAAATGGAGATCTTCTGAGGGCCTTTATCTTAACATGTTAAAGTGTAGCGGATCTGTAAGCACAGTCTTTACCCTAAGCAGTTTGCACTCACTCCCTGCCTCTCTCAGGATTCCCAGCAATGGCTCCAGAATTGTGTGCTATAGAACACCAGTTTGGGAAACCCCCCCTCAACAAAAATGTTTAAAGAAGAAATTTTGTCTAGAAGCTGTTCAAAACAATTGTTTCGTTAATTAACCCTAGCTTATGAGAAGCACTTCTGCAAGATAGCTCTATCCTTCATTAAAAAATGGAAAAATTCCAAGTGTGTTCTATGGCAATTTCTCTCCTACTGATCTGAAATGATGTGTTCCCCATAGCTAAGTGACCGCTTACTTAGATACATTTCTCTTCACTGGCAAATTATTGTCAGAAGATTCCATGTCTGAATCACTTCTATCACAGAGCACTGCAAGTAGAGAAAAAAATCTAACTTATAACTTCAAAAAAGTGACCTTTATAGGAAAATGAATCACCAAAAACCTTAAACAAAAAAAATCAAGGTTTTAATGACCTTTGTCATTTGGAGAAACTCTTCACAGGTTAGTGGCTCCTCCTGGGGAAGCTGACAAAGAGGCGTGCTGCTCATTTCTTCTAGAATGGCATCAATGCGGAACTCAATCAAATCATTGACCCTGTCAAGCAGCAACTCCAGGTCCTCTTTGGGAAAAAATAAAAGTAAATAAAAGAGATTAGGTAAAGCATTTTGTTTTTTAAAAAAATCAACACTTGATTAAATGACAGTAGTAAAATCAGCTTTAAAGATTCTCAGTTACGTATGTTCCCCAGATCCCCACTGATTCACACTTGGTTGTCGCTAATAAAATATCCAAGTTGTTAACTTTCTAATACTAATACTCTGTAGGGAGAATGGAAAATCTATCTTGGTAGCCCCTTCTAATTTGATTATGATCATTCTTATTATAAAGTTTTTATACATTTTATAAATGCCTCCTTAGGGACTTTTAGCCAATTTCCTTTTGTTTTATTTCCTGGGGCCATCGTTCCTTCTCTGTAACCAGTTTCTGAGCTCCTGCCTGCCTAACTCTCACTCATACTTAAAGATCCGGCTCAAGTGCATTTCCCCACAGAGGCCCTGGGTGAATCCATGTGCATTGGAGTGGTCCCTCCTCCTGTAAAACCACAGATGGAGCATCCTTCCGTCTCTGCGGATTGTCTACCCATGTGTCTTATCTTCTTTAGAATTCATATTTTTTATCCTTACATCTTCAATATTTAACCTGGTGCCTATTCCACAAGAAGTATTCAACAAATTTGACTAAAGTGAAAGTTCCCTATTTTTTCTTTCACTGTAAATATCATAGGGTACATTTTTTTAGTTGTGCTGAAGTAATATTGAATGCTAAGTTCAATGGATGCAAAGGCCAACTCTGAAGCAAACTAACAACAACTGCACATCAAAAGTAGGAATGATTACTAATGGATATCCATCTAAGGGTAATACATTTTTCAACAGATACCATACAGTAAAATTTCTCTTTTTCTAATACTCCTTTCTCCTGGGAAATAAAGCTGAAATTGAATACAGGAAAGTCAACGTTACATACCAACGCTGTATCGGAGATGTAAACACCTCCTTAAATAAATACCTTTATTTCCTAAAGAATAAAAGCCTAAAAGTTTTCTATTTTTTCTAAGCTAATTATTAAAGAGGCTACTCAAGATACCAAATAGTTCTGCCTGGTAAATTGATTGAATACTAAAAGAGAGCCAACACTTTCACTTAAGTATGTGTGAGCAATAAAATTCTCTACGCTTTCTAACGGACTGCTTCTTCATCTTTAAGGACATCTGTGTTAAGCTGAAAAAAATAGTCCCCAAGGATGTCCACATCCTAATCTCCTGTGAATGTTACCTTATATGGCAAAAGGGATTTTGCAGATGTGATCAAGTTAGGGATTATGTAATGTGCAGAGTGTCCCAGATTATCTATACTCTCTTAAATGCATGATGCAAATGACCACCTGTAAGTAGGATTGGCTTACTAATCCAATTAAAATCCAGCTGCACTTGAGATTTTACATAGTTTTCTCTCAAAGAAACTTCATCTTTGTTCTATTTTAGTTCCTTAAATTACAAAAAGAAAAACATAATAGAAAACAAGAACAAGAAGTTTCTCTAGAAACTAGTTCCTTGTCTCCAGCTAACAATCTAATAAAACATCCAAATTGTTAATACTTTAATACTAGTGTTCTAAAGGAAGGATATTACTAAAGTCTATCTTGGTCGCCTGTTCTAATTTGATTATGATAACTCATTATCATGTTTTTATACATTTCATAAGTGCCTCCTTAGGAAATTTTAGCCAGTTTCCTCTTGTTTTATTTCCTGGGGAGGCGTATTTTGGAAGAAATATTAATTTAGAGCAAGGAAATCGGGTTCTAAACTCATTATTATTTCTTACATCTATGTAACATTAAAAGCCATTTAGCATCTCTGGCTTGATATTCATTCATATTCAAAAACTCCATTATCATTTGTCTTTGAGTCCAGCTCCCAATCTATAATGCATAACAAAGGTGAGGTATGGGCTGAATCATAATTTCTCACTCTACTCCCCTCCAACCCAGTACTTCTCAAATATTCTTAAATATGAAGTACCTGGCTATTTAAATAGCTGGACCTTCTGAACCCTAAGTTTTTTGGAAAGTGCGGTGAAAATCTACTGATAAGACAAGCTCTTGACAATTTACATTATAAATGGACTAGGTACTATGTTAACAGCCATAAATTCCAGAACAAGAGAGAGACCTGAGGGGCGGAGTTGGGGGAGAGAGAGAGAGAATAAAAGGAGGCATCACGAGAGCTATCTAAAAGGGAAGCCCAGGAAGAGGTATCCAGAAATAAGGTAATGGGCTTGAGGGGTAGGAACAGGGTTACAGTGATAAAGAAATGAAGAGAGACTAAGTATATAAAATTATTGCTATTATGAATCTGCAAGTATATGGATGTCTCCTACACACCCAGCTGAGAATAACACAAAAGAAGTATAAATGTAAACAGCCTGGATTTAATTATTTCACATTGCATTCATAAATCGTAACACCATTTTGTATCCCATCAATTTTTCCCCACGCAACTCCTTCTTCACAGAATCCATAAATCTATACAATTATAAATTATCAATTTACAATAAAAAAAGAAAAAAAATTAAACAGCCTGATATTCAGGTCCTTTGTAGTCTGTTTGAGGAGAAAGATGAAACTGTACTAAACCATTAGAAGACAACCAAAATATCAAGTCTCTGGTCCCAAATATAAATCCAACAGGAGGTCACAGGAGGAAGCGGTCACAGGAGGTAGAGTAATCAGAGTAGCCTTCTAGGGGCAAGACTCACTCTGGGCTATAAGAGTGGGGAGGACTGGGCTATGCAGAGGAGAGGGTGTAAGACACTGGCTAGGAGAGGACAATAGCAATGTCTAAGTCTTTCTGAGAAAAAAAAAAAAAAAACCATTACCACGTTCCAAACTGTGCTACACTGTCTGCCACAGAGGATCTGTAAGGTGTTAATGTGTCCTCCTGGAAGGCAGCCAAGGAATTCTGGGAAATGCCACAAGCAAAAGGCCACTTTTGGAGACCTACTGGGACACTGGCATGTTACAGGCTCTGAAAAGTCGTCCAGCAAAGAAACCTGTCCAACTGCTCCTCTTGGATTTCCCAGACATATTTGAGCCCTTCTTTGCAACATACCCGTACACATTCCAGAAAAGCGCATTTTATGGAATATACTACCTTACATATATTTTAGACTATTATATCTCTTTTTAAGGAAAATTGTGTTTGTTTAAATTTTTCCCATTTATCCTGTTGTTCAGCACTGTACTCTATCCAAATCTCCACATCTTTCAAATCAAGCTCTCAAAATACACTAACCTATTTATATAAAAAGCTGAATAACTCTAAAGATACTTTAAATCCTAATGTCCAAAAATACAAATAAATGAAAATATGTGGTTAATCTCTGGGGATAAAATTAAATAGTGAATATTTATAGTTTCCAGGAAATTACTGAATTCGCATGTTTTGGAACACTTCCTTATGAAACAGCTTAAGAATAACACTCCCCATTTCATTATTTATATCTCCATATTGATAAGAAATTATTCAACAGATGTTAGGAACTCAGCCTTTAGAATTCAGAAATACTAATTATTCAGGCAGACTTACTGATCTTTGCAAAAGTGTTTTCTAAATAAGCCTCAATATTCAGTGATGTCCAGGTCAGTGCAGCCAAGCCAGGTTGGAGAGCTTCATCCACTTTGGCCAAGTGAGGGACAATCAATTGCTCAATGGCAGCAGGTATTTTTGACTTCACTCTCTGATATTCAGCTAGCATCATCTGCAATGAAATTGGGGTTAAGTAATCAATTAATATCTCACTTCTAATGTCTGTTAATATCTCATGTCTTATACAAAATGACTACTTTTATTTAGGGTCAAACTGTAGGGCTCTAATAGCCTGGCAGGTAGAGTAGCCAAAACAATAAAAAGAAAAGAAGACGGCCGGGCGCGGTGGCTCACGCCTGTAATCCCAGCACTTTGGGAGGCCGAGGCGGGCGGATCACGAGGTCAGGAGATCGAGACCATCCCGGCTAAAACGGTGAAACCCCGTCTCTACTAAAAATACAAAAAAATTAGCCGGGCGTAGTGGCGGGCGCCTGTAGTCCCAGCTACTTGGGAGGCTGAGGCAGGAGAATGGCGTGAACCCGGGAGGCGGAGCTTGCAGTGAGCCGAGATCCCGCCACTGCACTCCAGCCTGGGCGACAGAGCGAGACTCCGTCTCAAAAAAAAAGAAGACAAGGACTCTCTCCATAATTACAAATTCCTAATCCAAAAAAATACAACTGAAGATGAACAAGAATTTAAGACTAACAGTGTCTCACCTCCTACACAGCCTAAAAAGGGAGAAAATCTAAGGCCAAGTAATTTTTCTAAACCATGCAGAAACACGGGAATGGCACCTTCACCTGCTCATCACCAGGCTTGTTTGTTCCTCTTTGTACACTGATACGACATGCGTGCTGCTCCTCTGGGGACCTCTTGTAGACTACACCCATCACCCAAAACATGTGGGTCGCCAGAGGTCTACCTCAGCCCTTTGCTAGGATTATAGGCCAAATCTTGTTGCCAAGACCCAAAGCACACCGGGAACCAGTATTGATCTCAACTAGTGTCACGGCTTTGAATTTCATCCAGATGCCAGAAACAAACACATTTACGTCTCCAGCCCAGATCTCACTCCTGAAAGTCTAGATTCACAAATGGCAGCAGCCTCCCAAAGTTTCCACATCAATATATAGCAGACATTTCAAACTTAATAAGTCCCAAACTGAAAGTCTGTTCTTTTCCCAAAACCTCTTCCCAGTGCATCCTCCAACTCAGCTGATAGTGACTTTATCCTTCCAGTCCACAGGTCAAAACCCAGAGTCATCCTTGATTCCTCTTTCACTCACACACATACAGGTAATCCATTAGGATATCTTGTTTGCTGTCTAAACTGTACCTAGACTTATTGGGAGAGTGAGTGGAAGCAGGGAGACAACAGTAGATCATCCCAATAATTTAGGTAGGAGCCAATGATGGCAGTAACTGTAAATGTGGAAAGCAAGTCAGATCCTGCTTCCACTCACCCTCCCAATAAGTCTAGGTACAGTTTAGCAGCAAAAATGATCCTTTCAAAATGAGAATTCAGATCATGTTACTCCTCTGCTCACATGGTTACATAGCCTCCCATTTAATTCAGGGCTACAAACCTTTATACAAAGGACTTGGATAGATGCTTGTTCTAGAAAGATCTACCCGATTTTGTCCCATTACTTCTCTGATCTCATCTCCAACCACTCTTTCCCTCTCTTACCTGCACTTGCCTGACTGTCTTCCTTTCTGGTCCTGAGCCTCAGGGCCTTTGCACCTCCTTCAAATAAGTACTCAAATGATACTTTCTCAATTATACCTGTCCTGACTACCTGTTTAAGATTATAAACCACCACCAAAACCACTCACACATTTTATCCCCCTTTTTTGTCCATAATAACTATCACTTTATTACAATAGACTATATTAATTTACTTACTTACAGTGTTCATTTTCTGTTTTACCCAATTAGACTATAAGTTCTACAAGGACAAGAATTTTGTCTGCTTTGTCCAGTGAGCCTGAACCAGTGCCTGGCACATAGGAGATAATAAATCAATATCTATCTAATTAGTTGTTATCAGAAGGATTTTTCATCTGAAATGGGCATTCTCATCTTTCACTGAAAGGTACATAATGTCAAACTGTGTCAGTATTATTTACATAATGTCAAACTGTCAATATTTTGTTCATATGTAACCATGTCAATATTAATAATCATTAATTATAAGAAACTAACTTTAATGTGCCCCATAAATACAGTTGGTATTAAGGTCATATATGTGCATGTTGGTTTTACCTTGATAATAGATGAATGTTTTCCAAACTGTTTTGCCTAGAGTACTAGGTCCAAAGAGATTCTATAAGAAAAAATGTCCCTTTGATAGATAAATTTTGAAAATGCTGCATACAATATCTCCCCTCTTGGGTGGTCACAGCTAATATTAATGATTCTTAGAAACCTGCTTAAGGAAGTAAGAAGCCTTGCAAGGCTTTGAAAATTTTGTTAAACACAGTATTTCCCAGATGGACCTCATAATCCTTTCCTCATATAATGTTTTTCCACAATTTCTATAAGATTCTTTCAATGTCCATAAAAGCCACTTTAGAAAAGTCTAAATTTTCTGGTTCTATTCGCAGCTACTTACATATTTCCTGAAACTTGTATCCACTGCTTGTTTTTTTTCAATGTCCACCAGTTATTCTATCTGGAAGCAGTTCTTAGAATCTGCTTCTAGCAGGCATTCTACTTCCCACCTTTAATCCCAGAAGGGATTACTCAACTGCTTTGACAAAAGAGAAACCCAGGCTTAGAAGGTGAAGTCATTTACCCAAAGATAATGATTTGAATCCAGATTAAATTGGCTTCAGAACCTATATTTGTAACTATTAGCCTGTACTTGGTCTTCTCTTTCTAGTTAAACTGTCTTCCAAGGAAGAGATGAAGAAACAAATTCTCAGCTACTTTGGCATATCTGCAAAAGCCTGAAAGCTCTGTCAAATATTCAGCACAATAATTCTGCAACACTTCAGATGGTCACCTAAACCTGCCAATAGATCTGCTTTGACCAGCTACTCAGGTTGAGCAGAAACTTTTAACTCTCAACCTCCAAGATAATAAATGTTAATGAGATGATAATTTACTCCCTTGAATTGTCATTTAAAACATTCTTTGATCCTCTTCCCTTCATGGGGGAGGGGGGAACCACATCCCCTTTTTTTGAATCTGGGTAGGTTTACAGTCCAACAGAGTACAACAGAGATGATGCTGTGAGACATCTGAGGCTATTATAAAGACCATGTGACTTCTTTATTGTTCACTGTAGCGCTTGTTCTTGAAACCCTGAGCTGCCATATAAGAAATTCTACTAGCCAGAGGCCTCCATACTGGAAGGCCATGTATAGATGTGCCTGTTCACAGTCCCACTGGAGTGTACCTTCCAGCTTTCCTCAGGAAAGAAACAGAAACTAGAAGAACCCTTCTTGGACCTTACAGATTGAACATCTGCCAGTTGAATACCAATAAACAACCTTTGTCAACAATACATGGAACAGAAGAATCACCTATGCAAGCCCCACTCAAGTTCTTTACCCATAAAGTCATGATATAATGATACGGTTATTGTAAACCCTACAACGTGCTTACAAGTGTTTGTTGCCTGAAACAGACAAGTGAAACAACAACTCTGCAAATACAATTAAATTATCAGTAATTCCATAATCTTATAATTATAGTTTCTTAGTAAAAATATTATTTTCTTTATGAATATGTAAATTGACTAAGTGAGTTTCCTAATGTGAAAGAGTCTAAAAGGGAATCTCAACATGCTGACTGGTATTTTATGAGTCTACATTTGAGGAATGTCTGTCCATTGCCAATACAACTTTTTAATATGACATGAAGTGGTGGGAAGACGATGGACTACAAGTCTGGGTTCTGGTCTTACTTCTGCCACTTTGTAGCTATGAGACCTTTGCTAAATCTTTTAACTTCTCTAAGCCACAGTTTTGTCATCTACGAAATAAAATAATAGTATTCTGTCCTACTTACCTAACGTAGTGGTAGAAAAGATCAGATGAAATAATGAGCATGAAAATGGCTTTAAATGTAAAGTACAGTGCAAGTGCATGGACTTAGTATTGTCACGTGATGTTAACCACTATGAAATTTTAACAATGGTTTCCATGTTGTCAGATTCCATGGCCGCATCTCTGATCTCACCTTCTTCATCCCCTGGGTAGCAGCATTTGCCACTGGTGACCAGTCCCTCTCTCAGTAGCCTTTTCATACCCTTGGCTTCCTTTTTTTGTTGTTTTTTGTTTGTTTGTTTTTTGAGACGGATCTCGCTCTGTCACCCAGGCTGGAGTGCAGTGGTGCAATCTCAGCTCACTGCAACCTCCATCTCTAGGTTCAAGAGATTCTCCTGCCTCGGCCTCCCAAGTAGCTGAGATTACAGGCACATGCCAACATGTTCAGCTAATTTTTGTATTTTTAATAGAGACGGGGTTTCACCACGTTGGCCAGGCTGGTCTCGAACTCCTGACCTCAGGTGATCTGCCAGTCTCAGCCTCCCAAAGTGCTGGGATTACAGGCATGAGCCACCGTGCCCGGCCATCCTTGGTCTCCTTGACACTTGGTTTCTTCCCAGCTCAGAGGTCAGTCCTCTGTTTTATTTGCACACCTGTCTTCTTCTTTCAGATCTGTTAATACTGGAACAACCCAATGCTTGGCCCAGTGGCCCTCCATTCTTCTCTGTCTGTATTCTCTCCCCTAAGAGATCTCATCCAGGACAATGACATTAAATAACAATGATATTCTGATAACTCTCAGAAGCATGCCTCCCACTTTGGCTTCTCCACTGAACTCCAGACTTAAGTATCCAACTGCATGGACAACACTGCCACTTGGCTGTCTAAAAACTATCTTGTACTTAAATGGGAACTACTGATTCCCTCCTGCTGCTCCAAATACACTAGTTTCGGTTTTCGCCATCTCCATAACTTGAACTTACAGTCAGGGCCCCTGCATGGTATTGTGCAAGTTATGAAGAATGCAACCTACACAGCATTCTACGGCACCCCTGCTTTAATTCATGGAACTGCTCACACCAAAACCACAGGTATTATTCCTGAGTTCTCTTATAACCTGACTGTTGACATAACTCTAAATTCTCCAAACAACTCTGCTGCCATCCCAGTTCAAGCTCTCATCTTCATCCTGGGCCAGTGCAACACTTCACAAACAGGCTTCCCGCTGATACCCCTCGTCCCTCTTAACATCCATTTTCCACCCAGCAGTAAGAATAACTTTTATTATAAAAAGAGATCGTGCCTTTTTCAGTGGCTCGAAATCCTCCAATGGTTTCCTGGTACACTCAAAATAAAACCCAAGCTTCTCATCTTGGCCTGCAAGACCTGTAACGGCCTGGCCCCAGCCAACTCTGCAGCTGCACCCCATGGCACTGTCCCCTCAGTCACTCCATTCATCCTGGCCACTTTCTGCTCCTTGAATATGACACATCACCATATTTTTTTATAATACATTCCAGAGCTAGCCAAGAATGGGGGGAAAAAATAAAAGTAGTATACCTTCATGTTACTGAAGTTCCTTTTGTATCTATCTCGTTTCTGGAAGAGGGAAGTTGCCAGTGGAGAGACTTCCAGACCCATCTGGGCCATGCACTCTGTTTCTCTAAATAAGATTAATATCTGAGGGTCAAAGTTTACAAACAATTCCCCTGTGCCTGGAGCCTTCACCAATAATGAAGCCTCAAGACCTACATGAATTTCTTCAATCTGTGGGAAGAAACCAACATCATTACTATCAGAAAGTTCAATTCATGCAGAGTATCTAGCTCAGCTATCTCTAGGAATAAGGATCATTAAATGTTCTTCCATGGATTTGAGCTTCCTAAATTAAGGGCAATAAGATCACTCACTCTTCTCCTAAATCCAGTCTCATACAATAGCCTTCAAGTTCTTGGTGTTGATGTTGGGCAGTCAATTCAATAAAACCTTTCAATGACTCTAACACTGATAAATAAGTGGACACTGCAACAGTGGTGGCGTCTCAAAAGCCATTTAGCTACCTGATACCTTCATGCCTACTCTATTATTCTTCCTAATAAAAGTTTCGTAAGACCTCCTAAACTCAGTTTTTACTTATCTAGAAAAACAATGAACACAGCTATGGAGACATCGCATCCTGACAGCCTACAAAGAAATACATGTATTGGTAGGATATGCTATGATTAACCAGTTGTACAACAAAAGAAAATTTGAAACTTTGTTTAACAGATGTGCTAGTGTTTACTGACATATTTAGGATCTGACTGAATTTTAAAAAGCAAGATATCCTAATAGATTGGGCATAGGAACCAATAAACAAGATCTTCTCACTTTGGAGTTCGTAAATTAAATAAAAATGGGGTTCTGTTACCTGGCTTGTGGTTTCTTTTCAAATCTAATAATTATTTTTCTTTGTGGACATATTACACTCTGAACGCTTAGATTCAACCCATCTGCCTTACAAAACACCTACAAATCCAGCTTTCTAAAGAAATAACACTGTCAAATGCTAGAAGAGGGGTTCCCATGATTCCAACAATGGGAAGAGTATAAATTTAGGGACTCACTTGCCGAAGCCACGCCCTGTGGAAGAGGACCTCAAACTCCAGGAGGACCTTGGCCATCCTGTTGTAACTGCGAATTATAGGTTTGGCTTCTGCCGTGCTTAGCACAGCTGGGTGCTGCTGGAAAAGCTGCATGGGCTGCTGAATCCTATGGAAGAGCTGGCGGGCCCACAAAATCTTTCCAGCGATGGGAGGCTGGTTTCGAGCCAGAGGAGGATCGTATTTCTGCTTTGTATACAGCTTTGAAATCATATCAATGTCAGCCCCATAGTTCTCAAGGATAAGTTGATATTTGTCATCAATACCAAGATTAGGTATATTCAATCTGATTTTTTTAAAAAGTTAAAAGCTTGAATTAATGGAATAAAATAAATAAAATACACAATAAAAATATCTAGTAATCTCATTTATTAATATTTATTTTTTAAAATGCTAATGGAAAAGAATGAGATATTTACATGGAATATTAAAAGAATAAAAATAAAACTCATCCATAAAATGTAGGCAAAACTATTAACTTGGGAAGACATTTTTCAAATTATCTATACATTAGGAAATATTATTATAGGCAGTCACAAGGTACTTCAAAGCTAAGAGTATTCTCTATTTGTAGAAATAAAATAAATCCTGAATCCTTAAAAGGATTAATCCTCTGAAAAACTTAAAAACTATGACCTTGTGACCCAAATTGCCAAGAGAGGTTTTCCTTTCCATCAGAATATGAAATAATAATAATAGGAATAACAACAATAAAAGCTAAACTATCCCAATTTTAGAAAATAGACAATTTCTTGAAAATTTTACCTTTCAAATTTCTTCAACATTCTTAGAGCTTGATTTGTGTTTTGAATCTTTGCAAATGTAACATCCATGAACTTCCGCAACTCGTTCTAAAACAGAATAAAATCTGATGATGAACAATAGAATTGGGAATTTACTGTTTAGCAACAAGATAAAAGAGCTTTCCATTCTGTGCAAACACATATAACATGGAACAAAATGTAACCGAAAATTGAATGAGCTTAAAAGAAAAATAAATGCCCAGAAGCCAGAAACAAAGAGAGACTTGAAAGCCAGATCAGCCATGGGAGTTGGCGCCACGTCAGGTTCCACGGGTACTGGGCCAGACACAGAGCCTGGGGGGTGGCACTGGGGCCTTATCGCAATATGGGGAGATGGGCTATGGGGTCCTAACATTCTCAACAGAGCCTGTGGAAAGCAGGGATCCTTGAAGTGCTGCCCAGTACATGCAAAGGGAATTGATTCACAAGTTGGGAAAGCTGCAAAGAGGCTTGACATCTGCCCAAACCCTTGAATAGGAAAAAAAGTCACCCTACAATAGGGTTCCCATACTTTCTCATCACAGCTACTCACTTCTACCACTGCAATGCCAAAGCACCCATAGACAGTACACAAACAAATGGGCAGGGCACTGTCTGGCTCTTGGACATAGTTTGCTGACCCCTGCCCTAGAGGAACTGAAATCCCACATCGGTGCCACACCTAGATAAGGGGTCCAGGTTTAAACTACACATGAAATGAAAGGGATATAACCCAAGACATTAACATAAAAGCTAGTCTGGGAAAGTAAAACCACTAGGACCACAGAATTCAAGAAAAGCCACTCTACAGAAACACTTCCAAAGCCCAGGGCCAAAAGATTCCTATAGGAAAAAAAATAAATACATAACTTCTAAAGAAGCTCAAAAAGTTTTTGAAAACCCATGAGAAAATCATCTTTGAGAGAGAAGGAGCAGAATGCACAAACAGAATTAGTAACCAAGTACTAAAAATGATAGAGCAGTCTAAAGGAGACTATGAAATAAGTATATTTAAAGTGATTAAAGAGTAAAGAAGAAACAGAAATCATAAAAAGAACAGAACTGAATAAAACAAGAACACTCAGATTTTTAAAAATAAAATTTAGACGTATAAAGGGGAACATAATTACAATTCAAAATACAATAGATGCAAATTATAAACACCTGAAAAGAAAACTGATGAACTACAAGACAGTTTTCAAATAAAATCACCCAAAGTATAGCAGAGAAATAAAGAAATGGAAAAATACAAAAAAAGATGTTAACAAACATGGAAGATAGAAAAATAAGGTGTAACATATGTCTATTGGAAATCTTGGAAGAAGAACCTAAGATATTTAAAATGAGAAAGGCTGAGAATTTTCCACAATTAAAAAAAGACTTAGTCCTCAAATGGAAGAAGCACATCAAATTCTGAACAAGAGAAATATGTTTTAATCACACCCAAAACTCACAGAAAGATGCCAAAGGTAAAGAGAAAAACAATATTAAAAGAAAAATAATAGTAATATTAATATTAAAAGATAGAAATATTAAAATCACAAAAGGGAGAAATCAAATTTATCTATAAAGAAATAACTATTTGATAGCAAATACCTCGTGGAGAACAATAGCCGACAAAAATCAGTGAATAAAGATCTTCTAAGGGCTGACGGAAAATAACACCCAAACTAAAATCACATATAAAACGAGAATAATATTCAAGATTGAGGGCAACTTTATAGGCATTTGGGTGTAAAGACTGGATGAGTTTACCATTAACAGACTCTTGTTAAAATAAAACTAAAGGATATACTTCTTTAAGAATGATAATGAACCCAAAAAGAGGGAGAGATACGATTACTAACAAGATGCAAGAATAAGCAAAGCAAACTGTAAACATGTTGCTAAATTTAAATAACTATTAGTAATAACAAGTTTGAAAAGTTTAGCAGCAAAGGTAAAACTAAAATTCAAGACAACCATAGCATGAATGAGAGGTAGGCTGATAAAACAGTTAAACTCTTTAAAGTCAGGTATATATGCTAAAACCACTAAAAATATAAATACAATATTAAAAATATAAATAGAAGAGGAATAAAGAGAATAACAAAATTTAATCAACAAAATATAAAAAGGAAAAAGTCAAAGAAAAAAAGTTCACCTCACTTAAAATTCAAAATAGATTGTAGAAGTAACTCTATACTAAAAACAACAATCAATGTAAATGGCTTAAACTTGCAATTAAAGGAAAGAGAGTCTCAGCTGTTTTTTATATATACATATATGTTATATAGAGAGATATGGATTATATTTTTATGTAGATTGTACATGGATATTATATATAAATTATAGATATATATATTATAGATATATGGATTTTATATATATGTGGATTATATATGTGCATGTGAATTATATATAAGGATATTATATATAAATTATAGATATATTGATTTTATATATATGGATTCTATGTATGTGGATTATGTGTGTGTGTGTGTTTGTATTATACGTATATAATCCAACCATTGCTCTTTTAAAGAGATATGTTTAAAATATAATAATTAAGAAATAGTAGGCCAAGTACAGTGGCTCACACCTTTAATCCCAGAACATTGGGAGGCCAAGGTTGGCAGATCCCTTGACCCCAGAAGTTTGAAACCAGCCTGGGCAACATGGCAAAACCCTGACTCTTCAAAAAATACAAAAATTAGCTGGGCATGGTGGCATGCACCTGTAGTCTCAACTACTCGGGAGGCTGAGGTGGGATGATCATTTGAGCCCAGCAGATCGAGGCTGCTGTGAGCCAAGATCGCACCACTGCACTCCAGCCTGGGTGACAGAGCAAGACCCTGTTTCAAAAAAGAAAAGAAAATGAAAGAAAGAAAGAAATAGTAGGAAGTAAAAGAACAGAAAAAAATGTTTATTTCAGGTAAATAATAACCAAAAGAAAGTCGAAGTAGCAATATAAATAATTCACAAAATTGATTGTAAGGCAAAGAGCCTCATTGAAGATAAATATGGTCATAATTTAGCATTAAAGGGAACAATTTCTTTGGCAGATATGCCAATTTCGAGTCTGTGTTTAACCAATTGAATCAAAATATATACACAGATTTTTAGAAACCCATGGATCAAGCATGCTATGGTTTAAATGTCCTCTCCAAAACTCCTGTTGAAATTTAATTGCCATTGTGATGATATTAAGAGGTGGCACCACTAAGAGGTTATTAGGCCCTGAGGGTTCTGCTCCCATCGGTGGATTAATGTTATCGCAGGAGTGGGTTGTTATAAAAAACGAGCTCAGCCCTCTCTTGCTTTCTCAAGCTCTCTTGCTCTTCAGCCTTCTGCCATGCAGCAAGAAGGCCCTCATCAGATACCGGCTCCTCAACCTTGGACTTCTCAGTCTCCAGAACTGTAAGAAATAAATTTCTTTTTTTTATAAATCAGCCAGTCTGCAGTTATGTTATAGCAACACAAAAAGAACTCAGACAAAGAAGATCAAAAAACATTCAGTATACCACTACAAATATTAGAATGGTCAAAATCTAGAATGCTGGAAACACCAAATGCTGGTGAGGATGTGGAGCAACAAGAACTCTACTCTAATTCATTGCCAGTGGGAATGCAAAATGGTATGGCCATGTTGGAAGACAGTTTGATGGATTCTTATAAAACTAAAAACACTCATACTATATGATCCAGCAATCATACTTCTTGGTACTCAATCAAAGAAGTTAAAAACTTATATCCACAGAAAAATCTACACACCGATGTTTATAGCAGCTTTATTCATAGTTGTCAAAACTTGGAAGTAACCAAGATATCTTTCAATGTGTGACTGGATAAATTGTGGTACATCACAACTGAATAATGGAATGTTATTCAGTGCTAAAAAGAAATGAGCTATCAAGCCATGAAAAGGCATGAAGAAAATATAAACGCATATCACTAACTAAAAGAAGCCAGTCTAAAAGGGCATATTCTGTATGCTTCCGACTAGATGGAAAAGGCAAAACTACATAGACAGTAAAAAGATAGTAGTTACCGGGAGAGGGAAGGATGAATAGGTGGAGCACAGGGGACTTTTCGGTAGGAAAACACTTTGCCTGATATTACCACGGTCGATGCATATCCTTGTATCTTTGTCCAAACCCATAGAATGTATAACACCAAGAGTGAGCCCTAATGTAAACTGTGGACTTTAGATGGTAATGATGTGTCAATTTAGGCTCATCGATTGTAACAAATGTACCACCCTATCAGGGGATGTTCATAATGGGGGAGGCTATGCATTCTGGGGGAGAGTAGGGGGAATATAGTAAATCTCTGTACTTCCTCTCAATTTTGCTGTGAATCTACAACTTCTCTTTAAAAAGTCATTTTTAAAAAATATTTAATGAGGTGTAAAATATTTGAATAACCCAATTAAAAGTGTGATATAGTGACATCAAAAGACCCCAAATCCAGACAGAAAACACTACTCTTTTCAAGTACACATGGAACATCTACAAATCTTAACTACGAACTAGGCCACGGAGGACATCTCAGTAAATACCAAAATACTGACATAAAGTATTCCATGTTCTCACATCAAAATATAATAATTTAAGCCAAAATAAAATGAGAGCCAATAGAGTACAATAAAAAAGCTAAAAATGCTTTCAAATAATCCATGAGTAAAATAACAAATCATAACAAACATTACGTGATACTTTAAACTCAACAACAACATATGTACTACATATTAAAATTTGTAAGAAACAGCAATAGTGACCCTTCGTGGAAAAGATATAGACTTTCATGCACCTATTTTAAAGAGAAAAAGAAAAGAAATGGAAATTAATGAGCTAAGCTGTCAGTTGAAGAAAGGTAAAAATAACAGAATAAATTCCAAAGAAAGAAGAAAAAAATGTTTTAAAACAAAATGCAATAAAATTAAAAACAAAGAAGTAAGAGACAAGATTAACATCTCCAAAGCTGCTCTTTGGGAAAAATAATAATACAGACTAACCTTTGGCAAAATTAACCAAGGGCAGTGGGGTGAACGCAAGTTCACACCGAGAGCATCTGTCAAATTAGAATCTAGCAGAACGAGGCCAGGCACGGTGGCTCACGACTGTAATCCCAGCACTTTGGGAGGCCAAGGCAGGTGGATCACTTAAGGTCAGGAGTTCGAGACCAGTCTGGCCAACATGCTGAAACCCCATCTGTACTAAAAATACAAAAATTAGCCGGGTGTGGTGGAGCGTGCCTGTAATCCCAGCTACTCAGGAGGCTGAGGCAGGAGAATCGCTTGAACCCGGGAGGCAGAGGTTGCAGTGAGCCGAGATCGTGCCACTGCACTCCAGCCTGGGCAAGAGTGAAACTCTGTCCCCCCGCCACCCCCCAAAAAAAGAACCTGGGGGAGAGAAGGGGGAATATGGTAATGATATTAATCAAAGAATAAAAATTGTTCTAAAAGCATTAAAGGTGAAACGTGTTGTAAAAAGAATGACTTAAATATCAAAGATTTTAAAAATCCTTTTCATGAACCCCTCAAATATGTTTTCCAAAATGGTCTTTATGGGTTCTCCTGAGAACGTCACACATCTTATACTATTATGTAACTATGACCCTCCCCCCAAAAAAATTGCACCAAAAAACTAAGCACAATTTATTCTTTGTGCATCCTAAGCTTTAGTGCAGAGCTATAATTAAAATCTAAATTCAGTTAAACAAAACATAGAAAAATTATTTCCTTATTTTATATTTCATGCTTCAAGACAAAGTGAACAACTTTTTTTCAACTTACCAGTCAGAAGTTTTAATTAAGTCTTTGCAAACTTGAAGAGACATTAATTGATGTAGTATTAAATTGAGGAGACTAGTTTGATATGCGATAAGAATTAGTACCTAAATGGGTTTGATTTCAGATAATGTTAGGTCAGAAGTAATATGGTAAGAAAACCAGTTGGCAATATCCAGACCACCACAGGAGATACGACCTGTGGAGGAGATGGAGCTATTGGCAGGGTGGGGGATGGGTAAGCCGCAAACCTCCTGCCTGATCCAGCAAAGCTCCAAAACTGAAGGAGCTGGAAGCCTATTACAATACTTCCTTGCCCTCAATAGTTTCAGCTACTTCTACTGGAAGTATATGTATTTTTTAAGTGACATTATTTCTCCTGCTAAGTCCACATCCTAGGATGAAAAAATGTTCCTGCATTAAAAAACAGTACAGTTAGCCTACCTAAATAAACATCTACATTTTTTCACTACATAAAAAATCTCTATGTATAAATTATGCAAAACTAGAGCATTTATAACCCTTCCACTGCCTCCCTCTCCTTCAGACACCAGCAAATCTCTACTGAGCCCTAACACTTTTACCTGGTTTTCCTTGCCTTTCTACCCTATGGCTTCGCAAAGGCCTGGGCTGAACTCTCTGTCAACATGTAAGACCTAGACTTTTCTTGTTCTGAGCCTTGGTCCATCCTTACAGTTTGTGGGGTCTGGGTTGTGGAATCTTCATACTCGTCTTCACATTAGTTTTGGGGTCTCAGCTCCTACTCAGTTTTCCTTTAACTCAGCTTGCCACCTCAACACCCATCCTTTACTAAGTAGTGCCTTCTCCATCTGCTGGGATCAGCATGCTTCTAGACTTCCAACAGCCCACTTGGTTCCAACATGCTGCCCTCTTTGACCTGTTAGTACCAGCACGAACCCTAAATCTGGAGAGGATTCCAGGCTCTGATCCCTTTGACACCACCCTGATCCAAATCACTCATGAAGACTTTCACTTGAGATTCCACTGTTGCTGAGTCTCTCCAAGACTCCTGGACGCATCACCGCCCTTACTCCATTCAGAGTCGTGGGAAGGTATTTTTGCCCCAGTTTTATAAAGATGAGGGCTGAATTCATGAGTGGGTGAGTATTTAAAGGACAGACTGCAGAACAATTAGTTAAGAGAAAGAGAATGGACAAAGGAATAAAGAAGTGTAAGTCAAAGAAAAACTCATTGGCAAACCAAAGACAGAAGTGAACAATTTCTGACATGGAAGACAAGATGGATAATAGTGTTGACTTTCTTTTAAGAAGGCTGAGTAGAATGGGAACTAATACAGTAGTCCCCTCTTATCCTCAGGAATATGTTCCAAAATCCCCGGTGGGTGACTGAAACCAAACCTTATATATACTATGTTTTTGCCTGTACATACATACAAACATAATAATGTTTAATTTACAAAATAGGCAGAGTAAGAGATGAGCAGCAATAATAATAAAATAGTACAATTTTTAACAATATACTGTAATAAAAGTTATGTGAATGTGGCCCCTCTCTCTCTCAAAATATTTTATTGTACTATACTCACCTATTTTCAGACCACAGTTGACCCTGGGTAATTGAAACCATGAAAAATATAACCACACAAACATCTTTCTAGCATCAACCACAGCCTCCTCTCTGAAGCCTTTCCTAACCCCAGCCAAGCAGAAGTATCAGATTATCTTTCCCTAGGTTCACATGATCAGATTCTACGTAATGTTTTCCAGGCCTGATCTCCCTATACATTTTTGTAGGCCTTGAGCTATGTCTCTTTATTTTTGAATCCTCACTTTTTCATATAGTATCAGAGTAGTATTCTTTCCTAAGTAGCCATTTTAACTCCATTTGCCCTTTTTTAAATGCTAAATTCATTACTCTGTTCTAATGTATGTGCTTATATTTTCATCATTTCACCATCTGCCTCCTATCTGACTATGAGCTGCGAGGGCATATCTACTTGATTTATTTCTGTATTCATAACCTACAGCATAGAAGTCTAATACATAATTGCTGTATAGCAAACGTTTGTTTCATTGCAATAAATCTACATCTTCTTATTAACATATGGGAATAAAACATGATCCCTGCATTTGAGGTGCTCACCATCTATATTCCACATATAAGCTACAGAAGTACCATGTGGTCAGACACTGCTGAGGAAACACAGGTGAACATCAGAATCTGCCATTACTCATCAATTTCCAACAAAAAGAGACCAACATTCACTGTCCTTATGTCTGAATCTGCCCCCAAAAGAAATCATTGCTTAAATTATTATAGGTACTCTCTCTTCCCATCAAATGAAGCCTGCTGCATGCCACAATGGTTAAAAAAGTTGAATTCCAAAGCCAGACTGCCTGGCTTTCACCCCAACTCCACCCCTTGTTATGCCTGTGACTTTAGGCAAGCCACTTCCCCTCACAGTGAAGTTTCCCAGTTTCCTCCTCTGCAAAATGAGAGTAACAAGAGCACCCACTTTATAGGATTATTACGATTATTAAATGAATTAGCACATACAAAGTGCTTAGAACAGTGCCTGGCACATAGAATGAGCTAGCTTTGTTATGACTCATTCTAACACTGAACTCGCTCCTCCCAAGGTGTCTCAGAGCTCCTTTTACTTTGAAGTGCACAAATTTAATGCAAATCAAAAACCCTGGGAAAGAAGAAATAGAGTGGCTATTTTCCTCTTATAGTCAGAAAGATAGACATTTGCACCTCACTGGGATGAGAAAATGTCCCCATATTCATTATGGTAGATACCTGCTGGGTGTCTTCCCATCTTACCCTCCCTGACTCCCCTTTCCTGATAATAAACATTCCCCGTGACCCAGTGGATCCCATCCCGCCTGTGTCCACCACAGGATCTCACAGTTGAGAGGCCCAGTACTAGGCACCTCACCAGAACTGGCTAGCCCAACCCCTTCCTCGGGAATCTGGAGCTGGCCTGGTCCTGTGAAACAGTCTCAGAAGCTGCTAATGGCATAAACTGCTCATGTGAGCTGCAAGGCAAGATGGCTGGTCTGCAGTGAGCAGGTGAAAGAAGGAAGAGAAAGGGGTTGCAAGTCCAAGCGGGGTCCAGGTGCTGAGTCGGTCCTGGCGCCACCGTTTCTAAGGCCAGTGGCAGCCCTGCCTTGGAATCTGCCAGACATTGCTGACCATTTGCCTGAGCTACCTCTGGTCATAATCATTGCTACACAGTGACAAACGGAAATAAGAGTCTACATTCCAATCGTGCCGCAATGTTCAACAGAAGATGAAAGTTAACTTTCTAAGAACGTCAATGGAAGACATGTGGAAGTCTGATACACATCATTAGCCAAAGCTATATTTATGACCCTTTAATCCATGAAAAACAGCCTTCAATTATTAATCTGAAATCACGAAACACAGGCTGAGGTTGCTATCGGTCACCTCCATGATGAAGATACCTCTGCCTTCTGATTGGGTAATGATTAACGGCATTATACAGAAAGGAAAAAATAAACACACGACTGTCAACAGGAATTTTATTATACAACCTACATGAAGGTCATTAGTCTGCTTGCAAAACTCTTCGTAATCTTGGTCAAAATCCATTTTCCGCTGGTCTAGGAAATTGTATTCCTTTTTCTTTATGGTTGCCACAATGCCCTGAAATATTATGAGATAAATTAGATAATATTTCAATATTCTTATATTACCTAACTAAATATGACCCTTAAATGTAGAGCCTATACAATAATTGCCAGAAAAAAAATAAGTTTAAAGGAAGCCTTATTTTTTTACTCACATTGTTTTGTGCTTATTATTTTACAGGCAGTATAAGGTTGCCCTACTGCATTCAAAGAAATCACTTGGAAAGTATTTTCATGATGTTTTATGTATTTTTGAAAAAATGAAATAAAAACCACACCTGAAAATTGGGAAAGATTTTTTCCACTAAAATTTTATTGTTAATCATATCTGAAATAATTTTTAAAGCCCAGAGTAGAATTTACTAAAATATTCTGTGTTGAATAGTTTAAATCTTCTCAGAAAATAAATAAGGCTTTCACAGAACACAAACAATATAGGAAGAAAATAAATGATGTTATATCTACAGATGAGTTACTACCTTCCAAGCTTCAAACATCTTAAAAATGTCAGACCAGAATCCACCACTTAAAACCTTTCTAAAATTAATTGTTTCCTACTGCCCTGCAAAGCTGCAGCCTGTGACTAGGAAAGTACAAACTAGGAAGTTCATCTCCTTGAAAATACTATTATCAGAAGCTTTGTTTGCTTTCAATAATGAGCTATAATGCTCTGCGATTCTTCTTAACCAGGTACTAAGCCATTCTCAAACTCAGGTGCCCACACTGTTGACAGAAGCATATAATTTTTATGAAGAATATTGGGCCTCCTTCTTCTACAATCTCCTCTTCAAAGTCACTTCCATTTAAACATCAAATCTCTCAATAGACAAAAGTGTATAAACAGCATAACTTCTTGAATCAAGTTTACTAGATAAAACAACCTACTTTTTCATGCTGCATAACTACAAAATTAGTTCTATTTAGAAATTGTGTGTGTATGTATATATATATATACTTTTTTATATAACGTGTGTGTATGCATGGAATGTTATATAAAATATATACACACACACACTATATATATGCATGGAATGATACAATGTCTAGGATTTACAGTGCTGATATCCCTTAAAATCAAAAGAATCAAAAGTATGTGTGTGTATGTATATATACACATATATACATACACATGTAGCTTTTCCATACTTCTTTTAGACATTTTATGTAACACTATATACATATATACACACACATATATAGTGTTATATAAATTGTCTAAAACAAGTATGGAAAAGCTACTACATTTTGATGTAGTAATTTTAAAGATTTGGGAACTTGAGAAAATCCTGCTCTATGACTGGATTTAATGGTCACTTAAGATTATTAAGTTAAATAAAGGAAATGATTAATCGTGACCTTTACATCAACTACTCAAACTCAATCTACTTAATTATTTTCTTGACAGATATTTATTGCACATCTACTATGTGCCAGTAAACTTAAAATGTTTCCTGCTATATAAAGGTATTTTCTTTATCTCTCCCAAAACTTGGTATACTCAGGAAATGAAAAAGATTCCTTATATTGGGCTAAATTGTTAGAGTACAAAAATTAGTGTGTAGTGGTTAATTATATGATCCTTTTCAAATTCAAGTACCAAAAAAAATTTAAGATTTAGTGTCACTGTCCCCCAAAAAAGAAAAAAATTGACTATGTCCATATTAAGAATTTAAAGCAAATTGTTTGTAAATTGTTTTTCTAAAATCTTCGAAATGTTATTAGGTCACTATGCCCACTTTCAAAACTAAAATTAGTCACACAGATACCATGACAAGATAAAGCAGTTAAAAATCAAAATAATTAGGGAAATCACATCTAGAATAAAATCAGGTCCTTTATATTTTTTAATATGGGTCCAAATAAAATGCTTAAATGCAGAGATAATTGAGTGCCACAAAGTACCTGGTGTCAACTAGTGCCTGATACAGTATACTCTTCATTAAATATTTCTTGCAAGAATAAATAAAACAATAAGTTACAATTAAACATTTTTCTTGTGCTACTAATGAAAATGCTTTTTTAATGGTGATTAATTTTAGACTATTGGAAAGTCATTCTTATAACCACACACCTGAAAAGAACATATTAGCACCATTACACAATTCTCAAACAAATCTAATTTCTTTATTGTTAAAAGGCCATGAGATTATTTATATTTTACTTTACAGACTGATGATTTGAATCATTCTAAACACTGTTATTTGCATAAAATATTGAAGTTTAGTTGTGGATTATGTTATAAAATATAGCTTTAAAGTACAATACCTGGTATTTAGTGGCCATGTCTTCCAGCCCTTCAATTGTGGAATCTTGCAGGACTGAATACGTCTTGAGGGTTGTAAAGATGTCTATTATCTTGGCAAGGCGTCGGTGAAAAGTTTCGAATTTTCCAAAAATATACATCTCGCTAAAATCAAATTGTTTTGCATTTGGATTTTGTTTAAGCTTTTGTTTTGTCTTGTGAAAGCAGAGCTGGTATTCCTTAAAATCAAAAGAAAAATATACAACAAAGGGAACAAGAAAGGTATCAACTTTATTTTCTTAAGTGAAGGCGACAGCAAAATTAGGATGGAATTGTAAGCCTTTTCATAGTTTCATGCCTTTGCTTGTACTCACTCATCAGCCTGGAAAATCATCTTTTCACCTCCTCTAATCTAGCAATTCTAGATTCTAATCGGGTTACTCACGATGCAACTCAAAGGTGTGGCTTTCCCATCTTGGTCCCATGGTTTTGGTAATAGCATCCTTCTATGACTCTCTCTCCATTCATCTTAAAGATGCTTAAGGAAAACTACCTCATATTAGCTGTCTTTGTATCTCTAGTACTTACTGTGATATCAGGACATAGTAGGCTCCCAAGGAGGGTACAAAAAGGTGAATAAATTTCCTGGGAAGGTATATTAACATTCCATTTTCTTCATAGTTAAGAATCACTGTTCTTTTTATCAACCAATGATATAATAATTACAAAATGATTTAAGATGGTCTCAACAAAAATAAGATAAAAAGAATAGAACATCTAAATACTAAACTGACCATTACCTGTTTCAGTTTAATCGCAGATAGTATTTTTTCTTCAACAACATCCTGTGGCTGGTTCCAGATGGAAGCGGTTCCATTATTGGTAATATAGGCTTTACATGCAGATATAATCTGATTTGTCACCTGGGATTTTCCAATAAAATGATGTTAAGCACATAAAACAGCCATGGATTGTAAACTGGACTAGAAGGTCCTTAACTCTTCTACTTCTCAGAGTTCACAATCTTCTAACTTGAGCTTGGGTTTATTTTTTTTCCATCACAGTTATAATCCACCAATAACCCTTTGATATTGTCAAAATCATTTGTGAAATCACAGAGTTGGAAGCACCATGGAAAATCGACAATTTAGGCCACCTTGTCTATGCAGGATGAATGTCTTAACAAAACAAGGAAGGATTCATTTCCTTCCCTGAAAACTGATGAGTTTCCCCAAATCTCCTTAGGTAGCCTGCTCTAATATCTAACTCACAGTTTACTAGCACCATGTAAAGTACTGCCGATCCTGATCTTTTCATGTGACCATGATCAGCAATGGAAATGTCAAAAGGAGAAGGCCGCAGAGAGAAGGAAAACTAATGTACAAAACCACTAACATTTTATTCATCTCTCCAAACTTCACAAAAATCCTCAGAAATGTATTAATTTTTTGGATAAAGCATAAGGAAAATTAAATGACTATGCTGTATCCATGGAAAGATATGATGCCCAGGATTTACAGTGCAAGGGGTGGGGGTATAGGTGAAACAAGATCAGCCATGCGTGGATATCTGCTGAATCTAGGTGATATGTACATGGCATTCCAGTATACGATTCTCTCCTTTTGTACCTAATTCAACATTTCCATAATGAAAGGTTTTTTACAATTAGATAAATGGTGGTTTCATTATTTTATGCTAAATCAAGTTTTGCAAATAATATGCATAAAATCTTAATTAATAACACACATTTACTTGTGGGTGTCATTTACCCAGGGAATACTCTCGCAACCCTAACATATAATTTTAACGTATAAGGAAGTTGGGAGGGAATCTTGCAGCCATCCCTCCTGTCTACCTGAACTACCTACATGACAGAAGGAAAACGTTTCCTATTGAGCTCTTAAGGCTGGATGTCTTTATTCCCAGGAAGAATTGTGCTTCCTACTGCGTTAGTATTCAGAACACGAGTCTTGATTCATCAAAAATTCTTCTATTTTAATATAACACTTAAGATTTTTGCTTTGATAATGAAAAAGTCATTTACTTCTTAGAGACTGTTCAAAATGAGAATAGCAACAGTGCTTACCATAAACACTTACGAGTTAGGACATAAGGTTTAAGCATCGTTATGTTTTTTGGCAGAATCATTATAATTGCTTTATAGATTACTAGAACATTGCAAGTGGCTTTTATTACCATGATTACTGTTCTAATAACACCAAGTAAACAACTGTGGCATCAAATAAATTTGGAACAGTGGCATATGAAATATGAAACAGGAGATAGCCAGTTAAATATAGCTTTTCTTAATTAAAATTTACCCAGTAGGAATACATGATGTGCTAAACCACATAGGAAAGAAATTCCAAGAGCAATCTTTTTTCATTTGTATTATATAAATAATAAAATATTTATTATAATAATTACTTTGGGAAATAATGCTTTATGATTTGCTAGAATCAGCCTCTGACATCAATTTAATTCTATCTCTATTGATAGCCTAAGCCTTTTTAAAATTTTAAGATACATACATATTGAACTGAGCCAATGTGGTAATTTTTAATTATCAAAAAATTGATCACTGGCAAAGAAATACAAATGAACATGGACTCTACATCATGCACTTACCTTTACAAACAGAGATGTGATCTTCTCAGAGGTATTATAGTAATGAGAGATACTATAGATCATTTTAATTGCATTTATAAGTGTAGGAATAGCATCCATCATGGATAGCTGAAAGATATCACCAAAGTTTTCAGAAAAAATCATCAAATTCAGCAAAATTCTAATAGACTAACCATTCCATCTGCATTAAAATAAAGTTTAAGAGCTTTCTATTAAAGATTTAAAAATACTATTTAATGCTTTACATGAAAATAATATATTTAATATTAATTTTATTAGTCACATATGGTTAATCAAATTTTATTTCAGTGGAAGAAACATTGACCCACTGTTAATGACAAGCAACAGCAAGTTAACTGTTAACTATTATTAAGGATAAACTGTTAATAACAGTTAATGTTGTACTAAGTAAAAGCAGGCACTTCCGAAAGCTAAAAGATTAAAAAAAAACATCACTAGCTAATGACTTTTCCCACAGTTCTTTGGGGTATATAGTTCAGAATGTCCTTTGCAATATTTAATGGAAAATGTAACATGCAATAAATGTTTTAAAATATAACATCTCATATACATCTTCAATAGATAGGAGGTAGACTGCTTAGAGAAATAGATATAGAAATACAGATATTTGTGCGTCTGCGTGTATATACCTATATATATGTAATTTTCTTGAAAATAAAGTTTCTAAGACCTTTCCAATGAACTGTAATATTGATGAAACAAAATTCAATATTCAATTCAGCTAGTGCAAAAAGGGTTATCTATAGACTGAAAGAGTAGAAATCCTTAACTCACGGGATCACTGCTGTACAAAGGGTCACAACATTTTTCAAGTGTATACAAGTATTTCACATTGTCCTTTGCTTCATTAGTTGCATCAGTGATTCGAATATCCATCTCCCGCCAAGTCTAAGCACAATAGGGAAAAGCAATTTTAATGTAATTATTAATAGAGGAACTTCCAACACAACCACTGCTAAGAGTCACCACAAGTCCATTAGGCGAGACCTTCTGTCCATCTCACAGAAAACTGAATCCAGAGGGGCGAGAGATATTGCTATGCTGGAAAGCAATTTAAAATTTTTGACTCAATGTTTTAAAGCATATCTTCCAGGGCTTCTCATATAAAATCTATGCTATGACTATCACAGAGCACCAGGAGGGCAGCACCGCCCTTTAAACTCACACGTTCTCCCCTGCACTGGTTAGCAGACCCATTTGATACCACACTTCCATATTTTCTATCTTTCCTCTATTCTAACCTGAACTCCCTTCCTATATCCCTATACATTTATCCATTAATGTAGTAATTGTTTATTATCTGCCAACTGTATGCCAGTACTGTGCTATGAGCTAGGAACTTAGAAATGGAAAGATAATCTAAAAGTGAGAGAAGTAAAAGGAAATTATTTAGCACGTCAGTACATTCCATTGACTTCACGGAAGTCTGACTGATAGTATTTCTGAACTGTATTGCAAGGCTCACCTCTGCTATTTCTTTGAGGAATAATAGAAGGTAAATCTATAGCACGTTTATTGCAACAAATTATTACGTATCAAAACATGCAAATAGCTAATAACACCCATGCAAATAGTTAACAAACAGTCTTTCCAGCACCAGTGCCAGGTGAGTTAGGCAGCCTCTATGACGGTCCCCAGTGACCACAGACTCCCTGTATTCAAGCTCTTGTATTCATCCCTTCTCCTTGATCATGGGCTGAATCTAGTGACTTGCTTCTAATAAGGAGAATATGGCTAAAGTGATGGGATGTCACTTCCAGAATTAATTTACATAAAGACTGTGGCTTCTAGGTTGGGGACTCTCTTGCCCTCCTTCACTTGCTCCCTTTAAGGGAAGCCAGCTGCTATGTTCTAAGCTGCTCTACAGAGAGGCCCATGTGGGAAGGAACTGAAGGAAGCCTCTAGCCAACAGCCAGCAAGAAACTGAATCCAGCAACAACCAGATGAGTAAACTCAGAAGCAGATCTTCCCCGCGTTGAGCCCTAAGATGAACCCACATCACAGCTGTAGCCTCATGAGATACCCAGAGTCAGAGGCACCCAGCTAAGCTGCACCCAGATTCCTGGCCCATAGAGTGTGAGATTGAAATATTGGCTGTTTTTGTTTTTTGTTTTTTATTTTGGCAGAGTCTCACTCTGTCACCCAGGCTGGAGCGCAGTGGCACGACCTCGGCTCACTGCAAACCTCCACCTCCCGGGTTCAAGCGATTCTTCTGCCTCAGCCTCCCAAGTAGCTGGGACTACAGGCACACGACACTATGCCCAGCTAATTTTTGTGCTTTTTAAGAGATGGGGTTTCACCATATTGGCCAGGCTGGTCTCAAACTCCTGACCTTGTGATCCACCTGCCTCGGCATCCCAAAGTGCTGGGATTACAGGCGTGAGCCACCACGCCTGGCCTATTGACTGTTTTAAGCTGCTAAGTTTGGAGGTTGTTTTGCAATATAAAACTAATATACAAGGACTAAAAAATAAATACAGATAGGGTGAGTTTTCATTATTATTATTTCTAGCTGGTCTGAAATCATAAAACATAGATATATATATAAACATGCTATCATGTTCTGTCTTAATTACATACAATGCCAATAACACATATACATACACGTACACCAGCTAACAATTGCCTTTCATTCAAAGACTATTTCCGCAGCCTCCAAAGTGATGTGAGGGAAGTATTATGTAATTTTAAATGTTTTTCATCAAGGTATAATAACATTTTTTTGTTCCTAATCACTCTATGCCTTGAAAATATGCATAGAGAACTCTTATTCCCATTTCACAAGGCAAAATGAAATGGCTGACGACCTTCAGCAGTTTCGACTTGGCCGCCGCAAGCACTGCCAGCACAGCCTTCACATCCGGGCTTTTCAATTGTTCCAAAAGGTAGTTAAACTTGGAGAGTCTTTTTTTCCAGTGCTCCAGCTCCGCTCGTGGCCCAACGTCATCCGCTTCCTTCAGCAGCTGATTGTTTTCAGCAAGAACCTGCAAATGCGCGGGGAAAAACACGAGCCATTGCACGGGGCTGGAGACGCTAAAGTTATAAACAAGCAAAAAACAAATAAGGAAATCAATTATCCTATCTGGATCATGATATATGCGTATTCCATGCTTCCAATAACAATCTTTTACTCACTTAGCATGCATCCATTTTTAAAACTTCAACGAAAATCTCTTTGAATTGTTTTAACTGAAAACAACTTATGCTTTCCTCTTTTGAAAATAGTTTATATTTTGGGGGGTTTTTAAAGATTTTTGATTCATACTTTTTTCTTTTATTGATACTTATTTTACATATTTATGGGGTACATGTGAGTATTTGTTATATATGTAGAATGTGTCATGACCAGGTCAGAGTATTTGGGGTATCATCACCTTGAGTACTTATCATTTCTACGTGTGGGTAACATTTCAAGTCCTCTCTTCTAGGTATTAGATTGGTGCAAAAGTAATTAGCCATTGAAAGTAATGGCAAAAACCACAATTACTTTTGCACCAACCTAACAGTTTGAAATATACAGTATACTGTTGCTAACTACGGTCACCCAATCTGCAATCAAAAACTACCTATTTAATGAGCTGTAATGAGCTTCTGAAGGCCATGACCTCAGGAATTTTTCTTGGCTATTCATTTACTCTATAACCTTGGAGGAACATGGCCTTGTTAAATTGCATGGCTCAGGCTAGTGGATTTTAATTGTGCTTACTTTGTAATGTAATGTCCACCTTCATGCCTTCATTGAGGACTTTTCTGAATTTGTGTTTAAGGTGAAGTCTCAAGCTCCCTTTTGGAGGACATACTAAATTAGAAAACTCCTCATGCTTCTACAGGGGTTCTCTCCAAAGTAAATTAGACATTGAGAAAAGAAACTGGCAAAGTGCAGCGTTTGAGTGATATAAGTATATGCAGCCATTTTCTTTCATTTCTTAGAATTCTTACTACCTCTTCTTAATTCATGACAGTAAAGGAAAACCACATTGGACCTCTCACCTCCTCAAGGATTTACAGTAAAACGCTTAACAAATGGAATGTCGTATGTCAATACACCTTCTTCCATTGTCTAGCGCAGTAATGTGGCACCTGAAATTGATGTTTGGTTTCTCAAAATTACCTGTTCTGTCTGTTTGATCCATACTTTCATGCAATCCTCTATTTTTCCCAAAGTCTCAGGGTTATTTGCTAGAGTCAAGTAGTCCGTAGGTTCCTTTAGGGTTTTCAGTTCAAGTATGTCACACTTTCGAAGGTTCACCTAATTAGAATGAAAATTAAATAATCAGATGATGCTTTTGTAAAACACACAGACTGTGGGCCCTGTGTTTTCCACTTTGCTGCACTCTGACAGCGCTCTGGAAAGCCCACCAGGTAGCACATACCTCCTCTCCACTCCCACGTGCCTTTGTCCACGCTGCCCCCAGACTGATGGGACCTTCCAACACTTCCCTGTGATCCTACACAACCTCACAATTCAACCCAAAGCCCACTGCCCTCTCCCACTCAGAAAGAATGCCTCCTCCCACCTGGGGACCCATCCCATTTTGGTAATACTTTTATTGCAATATGAAGTGGACCCATATGAAAAAAACACTGCTTTTTTAGATAGAATGCCAGCAATTTTATTTTTTTAGTAGTAAAAATGTTTGCTTTATTCATGTATACATATGTAACAAACCTGCACGTTGTGCACATGTACCCTAAAACTTAACGTATAATAATAATAAAATTAAAAAAAATTTTCAACATGTAGAATGCCAACAATTTTATTTGGTCCAACCTGCAATTTGGTCTGCCCTCCATCACAGTCAATCACAAATATAATTTGGGTGTTAGCTGGAGTCATCCTGTGTCTGTCTGGATAAAATTTGCTTAACTCCCCCATTCCACATCCTTTGGAAAGCGTAATGCCCCTTCCCCAATCCCAGCAGGATCAGCATTCCTGGGAGAGGAGGGCAGAGTGTCACACTGTCATCATTACCATAGGATCCATTTCCCTACCTGCCCCTACATGCCTGATCTGGGCTCTGTCATCTCTCTTATTACCTTATCTTCTCTCTCTCTCCCTCTCTCTCTGTCTCTCTCTCTCTCTCTCTCTCTTGCTCTATCTCTCTCTCACACACACACACACACACACACACACACACACACACACACACAAGCGTACATCCATCAACCTCTGCCCCAAGTAATCACAAACACAGACTTATTATAAACAGCACAAATCATACAGAAACTAAATGTCACCTTTGCCAAAATTATTCTTAAAGGCCCTTTTGATCATTGGCTGAATCACAGGATCAGACTTGCTCTCTCCAAACATATCAATTCCTCTTTCCTTCTTCTGCTTCTTCAGGATCTCTTCCCACCTCCATCTGCCGCCCACACACACCCCCCCACACACACACACACTTCAGTTCCAAATTCCTTTCATTCTAGGATGCACAGCAGTGCCACAAGCATTTCTGACTCTTGCCTTTGGAGTCACTCATCTGACTGACTGAGTAAAGCCCTACAACACTGCCAACGTTTTTATGGAACCCCTGAATGTGTTGATCATTACAAACTGTAGAAATTTAAATCTAATCACCACCACATCTTGAAGGAGCAATAAAATTGCCTACAAAAATTTTTGAAGAACTGAAACATAGAGGAATTAAGACCATCTAAGAGAAGCATTACACACTTATGTACTGTGCTTGTTGACCACCTGATCATTTTTAAAGGAACAGCTTATTCGTCCTCACCTTCTCCTTCAGACTCTCCTGTGCACCCGACAGGACGTTCACAAAGCCTTCCAGGGAGCTCAAGAACTCCTGGCGAATGTTAGCTGCGTCCTGAAGGCCCTCGAGCTCGCCCCAGCCATGGCTCGTGGCTCTGAGAGCAGGAATGAAGATGTCCGACAGCAAACGTCTCACACTGTTGAGCAGGCCTCCATCTGCCGCATCTAACATGTTAAAACTCACCTCCTGGAAAACAGGCAGGAGATCTTTTATTGTAAAAATCATCCTCAAATGCAACACAACTACTAAGTCATTTCTTAAATGTTGTCACTTTACCAAATACCCAGTAAATTATTAGTTTGTGCCAGGTGTGGTGGCTCACACCTGTAATCCCAGCACTTTGGGAGGCTGAGGTGGGGGGATCACTTGAGGTCAGGTGTTCGAGACCAGCCTGGGCAACATGGTGAAACCCCATCTCTACTAAACATACAAAAATTAGGCTGGTGTGGTGGCAGGCACCTGTAATCCCAGCTACTCAGGAGGCTGAGGCAGGAGAAATCGCTTGAATCCAGGAGGCAGAGGCTGCAGTGAGCCAAGATGGCGCCACTGCACTCCAACCTGGGTGACAGAGCAAGACCCTGTCTCAAAAAAAAAAAAAAAAAAAAATCAGTTTGACAACCTGGTTAAGAAATAAGCTTTACACTATTCTAAATTGTAATCATCAAAATAAAAGCATGAAATAAATAGAATACCAGATGTTTACCAGTTTATTTGCTCCAAGAAGATAGTGCACCTGTCAGAGGGAAGGGGAAAACTTGTACAGATGCATTTTACTTTGCACAAAAAAAAAAAAGTTATATATCCACTTTCAGAAATCTTATCTTAAATGTATAAAATTTGCCATTAAGTAAATTATGCATGGGGAATTCATTAGAAAAAGAAAGCCCTCACTGTTATACACACACCCAGAAGGTTATATCAATTTGTGTTAATAAATTGAATATTAAGTCCTCTTACTCAAAAGATTTAAAGGGAATGTCCTCTTAATTTCTTGCTTTAAATTTTTAAAAAATACTTCTCTGAAAGTAGTTTTAGATACTGTAGTGAATACAATGATTGTCTCCACCAGAGGAATATTTGTGTGCAAGTTGTGTGTTTTTTGGTAATTCAGAGTAAACAATGGCTCTTGCCCCTTACCTGGTGGATGTTGTCAGGGGTGATGGCTTTGGAAGGGTCAGTCCTGATGAAGAACACACATACCCCAGTAAGAGCCACATCGTTTCCCTCGGTCACGAACACCTTAGGTTTTTTAATCTTTCCAGAAACAAGATTTACCCCTCCTAGAGAGCCAAGTTGTCCTACAAAAGCAAAATAATTTTAGTTTCACAAATGCTTTTTGCAGTCCATGTGGTTCCCTTTGGAATGAAGTTTCCTTGTTAAAATATTGCCATTGTTGACTTGTCCATGTGCCTTAGATGGGTCCACCTCTTGAACAATCTCTAGCATGAGCCGTACAGGGATCTTAAAAAATCTGTTTGATTCCAGATCATAGGTTCACTTCAAAACTGTTGTTTCAGGGGCAGTGAAAAGAGGGAAGGAGGACAATGTATCTACTGGCATGTACTGTGTTCCAGACCCTCTGCTAGGTACCCTGTGTACATTATTAAAACTCACAACCCGGCTGGGTGCGGTGGCTCACGCCTATAATCCCAGCACTTTGAGAGGCCGAGGCGGGCAGATCACCTGAGGTCAGGAGTTCGAGACCAGCCTGGTCAACGTGATGAAACCCTGTCTCTACTAAAAAAAAACAAAAATTAGCTGGGCGTGGTCGTGGGCACCTGTAATCCCAGCTACTTGGGAGGCTGAGGCAGGAGAATCACTTGAACCCAGGAGGCGGAGGTTGCAGTGGGCAGAGATCACACCACTGCACTTCAGCCTGGGCAACAGAGCGAAACTCAGTCTGAAAAACAAAAACAACTCTGAGGCAGCTGTGACATGTTCCAAGTCAAACAGCCAATAGGTGGCAGAGCCAAGGTCGAAAACCAGCTCTGACTACAAAACTCGGAACCCCCACTTCCCCATGCTGTCCCTACTCTGTCATAGTCAGCATACCTGGTTATATTTCAAATACTGCTGCAGTCAGGGTCTTGTAGAGGTAGGACCACTTAATGATTAACAATGTGGGCTCTAGAGTCAGATTCTCAGAACTTCAATCTCAGGCTGCACTCCCAGCCACGTGACCTTGGCAAGTTACTTTATCTTTCTGTGCCTCCATTTTCTCATATTCACATCTTAAAAATGAGAATAATATGGCCGGGCGTGGTGGCTCATGCTTGTAATCCCAGCACCTTGGGAGGCCGAGGCGGGTGAATCACCTAAGGTCGGGAGTTCGAGACCAGCCTGATCAACATGGAGAAACCCCGTCTCTACCAAAAATACAAAATTAGCCAGGCGTGGTGGCACATGCCTGTAATCCCAGCTACTCAGGAGGCTGAGGCAGGAGAATCGCTTGAACCCAGGAGATGGAGGTTGTGGTCAGCCAAGATCACACCATTGCACTCTAGGCTGAGCAACAAGAGCAAAACTCCGTCTCAAAAAAAAAAAAAAAAGAATGATACTAGAACTTAGCATCTGAAATTGTTGTGAAAATCAACACACTGTGTAAAGTCCTTAGAAAAGCACATAAGAATACTAGCCTCTGTAAGCATTATTATTATCAGTACTTGAACAGTCATCTTTGATTATCCAAGCATGTGGCTCATTGAGTAGATAATTTAAGTACATAGAATACACTCTGAGCTGTTTCATTGTGTTCTTACCTGCCCAAGAAATGTTTAGATCTCCAAATGGACCGGTAGCTCAATCAGGATCACTGCAGTGGGAGGATGGCGCTAATGGTGGACTTTGGGATGGGGAGTGGACCAGAAGTTGAATCCTAAAATCCTGGGATTGGAACCTCTTGGAGTAATCCTCCCTCAGGGATCTTCCTCCCATGGTGCTAGGCTAGAGACCTTGACTGTGGCTTGGACAGTGAACCCTCATTAAAGGTAACTAGAAGATCAATCTCCCCCTCATTCAAAATTGCATCCCGCTCCTGGCTAATATCACCTGGGTCTCATGAGTAATAAGATGTTAGGCAACAAGTTTCAACCAAGGCACCAACGCATGATAGACATCAGAAAACAGAATTTCAAAGGAAAAAAAAATCTGCAGAAATTTCAAAGCTGTTGTCCTAGAACTGATTAGACATCTTCTCCCTGGCCCCCATCAGAATGCAAAAGGGTCAAGAGCGTGTAGACTAAGGAAGGATTTTGTGAGGACAGTTATGCTAAGTATTAGTCCATTTTCATGCTGCTGATGGAGACATACCTGAGACTGGGCAACTTACAAAAGAAAGAGGTTTGATTGGCCTTACAGTTCCACGTGGCTGGGGAAGCCTCACAATCATAGCAGAAGGCAAGGAGGAGCAAGTCACGTCTTACATGAATGGCAGCAGGCAAAGAGAGGATAAGACCCAAGGAAAACAGATTTCCCCTTATCAAACCATCAGATCTCATGAGACCTATTCACTATCACCAGAACAGCACAGGAAAGACCCGCCTCCATAAGTCAATCACCTCCCACCAGGTTCCTACCAAGACACGTGATAATTGTGGGAGTTACAATTCAAGATGAGATTTGGGTGGCGACACAGAGCCAAACCATATCATGCTATGCAAACGGTGAGGTTATAAAGTGTTCCTACTTTTACCTCAGGTCAAGAATGAGACTGCAACTGTCCCAGCTTGCCCAGGACAGGGGGGTTTGCTGGGATGCAGGACTTTCAGTGCTACAACCAGGACAGTCAGTCACTCCAGTCAATAAACAAGGTCTTCAACCCAACCACCTAAAGAGCTTGATTTATGTCTCCTGGAGTTTAGGAACAAAATGACTGGGATATGACACCTGACCAAGAAATCTAAGCACAGTGCTCAATAAGGCAGATAGAGAGAAACTGGACTGCACGGGGAGCTAACAGCACCACCATGGAGGGCAGGGACCTAGGAACCCAGGTGGGGCCCCTGCTGAAAAGAGCCAGACTGGAGCCACCTTAAATCCTACTCAAAAGGAGCACCTGAGGGAGGATGGGACAGAGTGAGCGAGACTGGTGGCTTAGACTACCAAATTTCAGAGGCCATCATCAGGACAGCCTGTCACCTCGGGAGAAACCACCACCGTGCCCACAAGAGCAAGGTAAGAGTGCAAGGTCAGCAGCTCATGACAGCGCTAGTCCAGTAAAAATTTTCCTGCCCCTCTTCCCTCTTACCTCTGCCCTGCCTCTGGCCTCACACAGTCAGCCACTTTAGTTAAGCTGATGTGGACAAGGGGTAGAAGACGAAGGTAGGGAGAAAAGCACATGGTCCTCCCTCTTCTCCTACTGAGAAGTTCAACCTTCAGAGAAATGGGAGGTTCAAGGATGAGGAGGGAAGAATATTTCGCTTTCCATCAACTGGACAGTTTTGCTTTTTGAGTTAAGGTTGTGTTTGTAATTTGAAATGACTATAGAATTTTTTGTAATCTAAGAACATCCAGGAAAGTCACAGGATTGCTTGCATTCTAATCCAAGTTCAGAAGGACTATCACCAGTGAGAAGATTTAAAGGTTAAACTTGGTTTTATGTTTACATCCTACGAACACTTCTTGGTCCAAGTAAAATTTACGCAGAAGGCCAGTTTCATCCAGTGCTCCGTTCATGGATAAACTTGATCTTTCATTTGAGCTTATGTTTTGCAATCTGGTGTAGAAACCAAACCTTCTATCTCTTGATTTTTCACTTAAAATGTAATAAGCTTTCTAAGCACAAAATATCAAATTGACAGCTTTGAGAAAATGCCAGTTCGAATTTGCATGCATAATTTCTTCAGTTTTTAAACAAAGAAGTATAGTCTTACTATATGCCAAGAGCAATAGCTATTTTCCCTTTTATCAAATGGGTCATAAAAAGGATGTATATAATATTTTAATATATTAAATAATACATTTAATCAGATATTGACTTATCTTCCTACTTAGGCCTTTAAAATTACATTAATCCACTTAAAAGTAGAATAGACTATGCCAGTTGAATCTATAGAAAGATTTGCAAATTTGGGCCAGGCACGGTGGCTCACGCCTATATCCCAGCACTTTGGGAGGCCGAGGTGGGTGGATCACAAGGTCGAGAGATCGAGACCATCCTAGCCAACATGCTGAAACCCCGTCTCTACTGAAAATACAAAAATTAGTTGGGCGTGGTGGCGCGCACCTGTAGTCCCAGCTACAGGCTGGGACTGTACTTTGGGAGGCTGAGGCAGGAGAATTGCTTGAACCCCGGGAGGTAGAGGTTGCGGGGAGCCAAGATTGTGCCACTGCACTCCAGTCTGGTGACAGAGCGAGACTCTGTCTCAAAAAATAATAATAATAAATAACAACAACAAAAAAAAGATTTGCAAATTTTTCATAAATGAGAATGATGAAACCTGTCATCCAATATTATTTATTTAAAGCAGAGTCAGTAGAAAATTAACACAATGTGATAGCTAACTAAAAAGGGGTGTTACACATGCTGGCAATAATTCCTATGTTAAAAAGAAATAATGCCTATATACATGTGAAACAGGTGCCCATTATAAGTTCTAGAACATAAAACACAGAATGAACTAGAATATAAGAAAAGGAAGTCAAACGTAATCTACTTTATTATCTTCATTGCCAGCACAGCCTGAGAAGGAATATGAGACAACTCCAATAAAGTTAGAACAACCAGGCTAAATACCAACTGTAATCTGTCCTCCATCCTTGAGGTGAAACAGAACTTCTTCCACAGGGCCACACCCTACACACTAATGGTTTCCCACATGGACCCACACACGCATCTCCCTCCCGCCCGCAAGGTGAAACAGGTCCGTTCTCACAGTAGCTTTCTTCTTCAAGCTACCCTCAGATAAATCTAATAACACATTTCTGGGTTATGTCACATCAAATTCAGATACCTGTTTCTGCTTCCTCCACATCTTGATAGTAAAACATGAGGTGTCGGAGACCTCCAACAGCAAAAAGTTGATCAATTCTTTCAATCTGGGAAAAAGAAAAAGGCAAGATAATGATTTTCAATCCAAATTAGAAACTGCAATTAAATCAGCATTAATAATATAAAAAAGGAAAATTTACTGTCATCTTTCTTATTCAAACAGGACTGCATCTAATGTATCCTATAAAAAAGGGAGCATTTACATCAAAAGAATAAATGTCTCACCATAGTAAAGACTCTGTTCAAAAAAGTAATTTCATGAATCATAGAAATATTTGCTACTTATGCACATTTGAAAAGCATTGTCCATCTATATTTGCAAATTCCCTAAAGTGTTGAGCTGTTGAAGGGAGATTTAAATAGAGATGAGTGCTTCAGTCAACTGCAGATAAGCAAGAACAAACCTTTCAAAACTTAGTCTAACACTCTAGAGATAATTAATATTAAATTGCAATAATCACCAAAACTGCCATGAGAACATATCTGACTATGAACACACCTTCCAGTAAGCAACCTGGCACTAAGCTGGGACTAAGAGTCCCATCCCTGAGGCTCACTGTAAGTCTACAAGTCTAACAAATGGCCTGCTACCAACAGAAACACTTCTTTTAAATAGTCAATAGCACTGTTTGGAATTCATATGAAAATAAAAAGATAAAATCCACACACCCATTAGGCATTAGGATGGCTACCACCAAAAAACAGAAAACAGCAAGTGCTGGCGAGGATGTGGAGAAACTGGAACCCTTGAGCACTACTGGTGGGAATGTAAATGGTGGAGCCGTTGTGGAAAACAGTATGAAGGCTCCTTAAAAAACTAAAAATAGAATTGCCACATGATCCGGGAACTCCACTTCTGGGTATATATCCCAAAGAATTGAAAGCGGGCTCTCAAAGAGATATTTGTATACCCATGTTCATAGTAGCATTACTCACAATAGCTTCCACAAAAGATGAAAGTGACAGATAAAGCGATAAACAAAATGTGGTATACATATACAAGGGAATATAATCCAGCCTTAACAAGGAGGGGAATCCTGGCACATGCTACAACATGGATGAACCTTGCAAACCTTACACTAAGTGAAATAAGACGATCCCAAAAAGATGAACACTGCATGACTCCACTTGTGTGAGGTACCTATGGAATAGTCCAATTCCTAGAGACAAAAAGTAGAATGCGGGGGTTGCCAGGGGCTGGAGGGAAGGAGGACTGTGGAGTGGTAGTTTAATGGGTACAGCGTTTCTGTTTTTGTAATAAAAAGCATTCTGAAGATTTATTGCACAGTAATGTGAACGTACTTAACACTAATGAACTGTACACTTAAAATGGTTAAGATGGTGAATTTTATGTTATGTGTATTTACTACATCTTAAAATAATGTTTTTAAAGGATAAAATCTAGCCTGAACAATTAAATGTGAAAAATAAGTCCCCTTCAATTTCCACCATGATTGAAGATGCCACAGGGACGAGGAGGAAGGACTCCCCAAGATTCAATTCCAGGCCAAGAATGCAGTGAAGGGCATGCTTCCATCACAGCCAGTATTGAAGCTCCTATCCCTCCCCTCTGTGCTTGAGAGCCTGAGCCAGATGCTTTCTTTAAACCTCCAGGTTCTGACATCCCTGGGTTCTGACCTTGACATAGGAGTTTAACCTGGTATCCCTACAGAGCTGAACTTTTGCCTGCTTCTTCCCCTTGCATATTCCCAAATCCAGATGTCTGAATTGGGAAGCAGGGTGGAGTTAAGCATTTCACCTCTGGAACAATCTCCCCAAGTGGCCCTCTCTGCTTTTATGCCTCCATATTCTGGGAATAATATTATCTACCTCCTGGTATTATGAAGATGGAAATGAAGTCATAGATGAAAGAGACTGAGAACAGGGACCGACACATGGTAAACATTCAATAAGTGTCAGCTATGAGGAGAAGGAGAAAGAGGAGAAGCACATTTCCTCAGCTCCTGCTTGATCCATCCTGTAGTTTACCCATTTTCGTGTTATCCATTCTTAATTGTTCCCCAACTCCTACTAACCCCACCAGAGTAGCCCAGCAGGAAGGAATGAAGCCAGTGGTGTGCCACAGATGGCTCGTACTGGCCCAGGATATCCAATGGATCATAACTCTTTACAACTCAACATTTCGTTAACATGATGATAGTAGTTTGGAACCAGCCATTGTGGGAGTATTTACACCACAGAAATTAGCAGATTTTCAAACTAGTACCTCCCTGCCTACTTCCTCCAACCTTGCCCAAATCCAGTTGTTAAAATTTACAAGACTACCACTGAAAAGAATTCCCAACGGTGTGGCACCCTGTCAGCAAAAAGGGCTTGTCTTCTTTCTTTTTTTTCCTAATGTCTAATTAGTTTCTTTAAAAAATCTTCAGGAATCATCATAGGGCTGCTTATGTGCTTTTCTCACTGCCCAGGAAATTATATCTTCCCATATTTTGGCCTTCCCTAACCAAGGTCAAACACAAAGCAAATCACACCCCCAGTTTTAAAGAAAAATTGTAGCAGAAGATGGGAACAAAAGCAAGCAGGTTAGGAACAAAAGAAAGCAGGTTCAGCTGCCAAACCAAAGTGAAAGCCAGAAAATCATGGCACAAATCCAGTGCCTAGAACAGGGGAAATGCACAAAAGACGAATCGGCAACTTGAAACGAGATTCTGTTCCCCGGCTTTAGTTTCCAAAATGGCATGAGAGCCCAGCTTCACTGGATGTAGAGAGATGCAGACAATGCCATCAGAATCACGGAACTCAAATGACAATTAGAAGTGCCCCTATTCAACATGGAGAGCTGGAGAGCCTTAAGCTCATTCTGCAAGCACCAGTACAGAGTCAGAATGGAGCCCTGTCCACGTTAAGACAGGCACCTCCCTCTGGGCACAGCATGGGATCCTGCCACAGGACTGTGTCAACAGACCATCTGTGCCCTCCATCATCAAGTCAGTGAGAAGTGAAACGCATCCCACCTGATTCCCTTCAAGAATGGCATCCTCCACTTCGGTTTTGTTCAGGTCCAAACAGGAAGCCACAATTGCAAATAAGTAGTTATGCCTCGCATCCAAAAGAGCCCGCTTGGCTTCCTTCTCTCCCTTCAGTCTTTGCTAAAAGAAAAGAATAAAAATGTTACATGGAAACTGCTGTTCTCAAGTGGATTCATTTTGTAATAATTTCATACAATTGTTGTTTTTTCAAGTCTTAGGTATCCAGATAATAGACAGCTTAATGGTACCAATTTTTATGTACTATCTTCTATTTTTAGAAATAATTTATTTCTCTTATGAAAATAAAGCATGCTCATTGTTGTGAAATTGCAGAATACAGAGAAGCCAAGAGAGAAAAATCTGCCATCCAGAAATTATTATTGTTAACATTTTGTTCTAAATCTTTACACACTTATTTCTATGCATATATAAGCATTCAACAGAATATCAAAAAAAGAGATCTCCATTTTTGTAAACATTTTCCTAAGCCATTAAAGTAATATTTTTTCTACAGTATCTCCTATCTTTATTGTTTATCTACAGCTACATATTTGGTCTTGAAATTAACTTCTGAATACCATTGCTTGCTCTTTAACTATCAATTGTTAATTATGAGAATAAGGCATGCTTAATGTAACCAATGTTGGCAGTTTGAAGCATGTCTTTCCTTATACTGTATGATCATACAATCCTATTCAAACATATGCACACACCTATATTTACATCATACTATAAAATGTTTTCATGCATTTCTCCCTTAACAATGCATCACGGACTTCTTTCTAGTTTAATACAGACTATTCCATCCTGTGTAATAGCTGCAAAAATATTCAGTATGAATGTACCATACTTTATTCAACTATTTTGACACTGGTAGACGTTCAGCTTCCAATTCATTCTTGGAATAATACATTACCTTTAATGCCAACCAGTAGCTCCCACTGGGAAGAGGAAAAGTGGCCCCTCTGGATCCCTTCTTTTAATCAACAAACATTTGTTAAACCCCTAATATGTGTCAGCACTGAAGAGACTAACACTACCTGGTAACCTCAAAAAAGCTCATGGCCTGGCTGGCAGGATGTGAGCTGAAAATTTAAATATGACAGATGGCATGGCAGTTGCCACAGAGGCATCAGATTTATGGGTCTCCAAATGCAGGGGCATTTATGGGTCTACAGAGAAGGAGCAAAAAGAAGGGTCTCCCACTCTAGCCTGGAGTTGATAAGGGGTAGGGGTGGGGATGACAGGACAGCTTTCAGGAGGAGGTGGCTGAAGCCTAGCATTGAAGGAGGGTTGGTCATACTCCTAGGACAGTCGCCTTTCTGCATACACAAAGGCTGAGAGGCACACAAAAGCACATTCTGAAAACCACAAGGTAGCCAGGATGTGTGAACTAAAAAGGACTAGGAAAACATAATAGGAAATGAGAAAAAAGTCAGATAATAAATATTTTCTGAACCACATTACAAAGTTTAACTGTTATGTAAAATCCACGGAGAATCACTGATGAGTTTCATATCAAGAGAGATAGGTGTTTAGCTGTCTGTGCAGCACTGAAAAATCCATCATTCTGGCAGCAGTGTGGAAAGTAGGCTGGTGTGATGCATGCCCAGAGGCAGTCAGGTGGGTGATGGTGGCATTCCCAGACACTGGGTTCATCAAGAGGAACAAGTTGAAGCAACACAATCATAAGTTCAGCTTTTGGATGTGTAAGATTTTGAGGTGACTCAATACACAGGTGGACGAGGCAGACAGGCCACTGGAAATGTTCAAGGGGAAACTGCATTGCAGATACAGATAACATGCAGGTTCTCAATTTAGCACGATGACTTTATGAGACAGACCATTCTTGTTGTGAGGAGCAGTCCTGTGCAATGTGAGGTTTTAGCAGCGCCTTTGGTCTCTAACTTCTAGGTCCCAGTAGCCTCCACCACCAACTCCTGAGAATAAAAAACGTCTCCAGACATTGCCAAATGGCCCCTGTGGGACAAAATAACTTCTCCTGTTCAGAACCACTGATATGATACAGACATATATATAGATATAGACATAGGCACATATAGACATAGACATAGAGAAGACGGTCAATATAAAAGCTACAATGTCAAATCAGTGTGAAAACAATGTGGTACCTGTTGGAGTTGTGCAGTACAGAACCTGCAAAAGTACACATCAACAGCTCTTTCAACCAGCAGGTGGTATGTGCATTCAATAAATATTTGTCAAATGAATGAATAAATCAAAGTTTAAACCATGAGTGCAGATATGATTTTCTAACAAACATATTGAAATGAAAACACACTAAAAAAGTGAAGAAAATTGGGGACCACCAGTATCCCAGGAGCAAGGAGAAAAAGAAGTGCAAATAAAGAAAGCTAAGGATGAGGTTGGGCACAGTGGCTCATGCCTGTAATCCCAGCACTTTGGAGGCCAAGGCGGGTGGATCACCTGAGGTCAGGAGTTCAAGACCAGCCTGGCCAACGTGCCAAAACCCTGTCTCTACTAAAATACAAAAATTAGCCAGGCATGGTGGCATGTGCCTGTAATCCCAGCTACTTGGGAGGATGAGGCAGGAGAATCACTTGAACCCAAAAAGCAGAGGTTGCAGTGAGCCGAGATTGCACCATTGCACTCCAGCCTGGATGACAGAGTGAGACTCCACCTCAAAAAAAAAAAAAAAAAAAACTAAGGATGAATGTGCAAAGAGATAGAAAGGAGACCAAGAAACCGTAGTAGCAATAAATCATGGAGAGTGACCAATAGCAACAATGCTACACAGGATTGGTTGGGTTAATTAGGATATCTTTAGGGATTGTGTTTACAGGATGGTTGCAGCTTCTCACAGCTCTTTTGCAGTGTGACTGTGCCACTAACCTGTCAAGAAATAGACTGTATTTCCCCTCCCCTTGAATTTGGCTAGCCCTATGGCCAGTTTTCACCAAAAAAAAAATCTGAGGGTAAATGAGATGGGACTTCCTAAGCTAGTTCTTAAGAGATCTTCACCTTCTGCCTTTGCACTTAGAATGTTGCCTCAGAACTCAGCCATGTAGGGAGACCACATGGAGGAGAACAAAACCTTCTGGTCAGCGGTACCATCTGACCTTCTAGCTGACCCCAGCACCAACTTTCAGCCATTTGAGTAAGCTGTCTTGGATGTTCCAACCTAAGTTTCCCCTACAGATGACAGCAAGCCAGCCAATGGCACCTGCAGAAGAACCACCCAGCAGAGCCCAGTCACTCACAGAATAAAGAGAGATAACAGATGATTGTTTCTGCTTTAGGCCCTTAAGTTTTGGTATGGTTTGTAACGCAAAAATAAATAATAGAGTAATTTTGTTAGAATAATTTCATTGGTTGGACAGAAATAAATATAGACTTGAGAAAAGGATGATTGGGAAAAGAGAAATATAAAAATGCTGAATATAAACTACTTTTTCCAGAAACTTGACTATAAAGGAATAGGGTATGGTAGTAATAGAGAGGAAAATTTAGAGTCAAGAAAGAATTTTTTAAGGTACAAAAGACTTACAGAAAAGTAAAGATGAAAAAGTTGGAGATTTCAGAGCAATTGAAAGGTTATTGCTACACCTATGTAATTGACATACATTTCTCTGAACTTGAAGGACTACCTATCTGAGAGACAACTTTGCTGGGGAGGTGGCAAGAGGCAGGATTCAGGTTTAAAAAATAGATAATCTACCTGTTTTCTCACCATTTCTTTAAAAACAAACATGTTAGTTCATTCCATAGACATCAAATAAAAGTACATTTAAAACTTTTTTCAAATGTCACTAAAGCCAGGAAGATGTCCTGTTGTTTTGAATTGTTTTCTGCCTTCCTGGCAGGGAGAAATAAAAGACTTTTCTCTAAGTGATCACTCTAAGTTTGTGCTAAATATCTTTAGCAGCTTGAGAACTCAGAGGTCAACCAGGGAGCCAGGAATTCAGCAACAACACAAAGAGATGGCAAATGCTTGGTAGCCAAAACTAAAAATAAAAGAAGTAGACAGCCAGAAGATTCAAGATGTAAAGGAACTGAGGGCTTCCAAAGAGCACAGAGATTTAAAAAAGATTCTTCCATGGCAAGGAACTGAGGCGTTCCAAAGAACACAGAGATTTAAATAAGATTCTCCCATGGCAACACATTACTTCATAACCCAATTGTTTCTGATTCCAGAGAAAAAAACATCCTAATGAAAAAGAGGGAAATCACTCCCTAAAATAGAAGACTAATTATTCTATTTTTACTTAAATATCACAGGAGAAAGAAACTTCCAAAGCAGCTTTATTTATATAAAGCTAATTATTGACATATTTTTAAGTAAATGTTTTCAGAAGTTATTTAATATATTTAAAAGCACGTTAAGACTTGAATATATTTTCTTATGTAAACTGATTGTTCTATTGCCTGAAGACAAGTAATATGAAGTCAATCCTAGTGTCATATAGATGAAATGCCACAATGTTTATCAATCTCAACTTTCATTGCATTACACTAAGGTATCCTGGGAATACTGAAATTGCTTTTTAACTACCATAAAAAAGTCAATAATGTCAAACAAATATTTAGCAATTAGAACAGTGCACTGTCAATCCGCAGACCTAACCCTGCAGCTTTCTGGCTGCTAAGGAACTGCAGCAACAAGCAGTCAGGTGACTAGTTCTTTGGGGGTTGGCTTGTCCTGCTGGCCTTTGAAACACCTAGGACACTTGGAAAGTGAAGGCAGAGAGGGATTAAGAAGGCAGGAGGTAAACTATGTCAAGACTTTTCTGGAGTCCTACTAAAATTGTTTTGCATTGCATGAAAAAGCACCAGTGAATAGGGGTGGGGAACATGGCCAGAAATCTATTCAATGTCCAAGGAAATCTAGAGCAGCATTAAAACATTGCGGCAATTTGTGATATGTTATTACTGCCTTAGAATGGGAGAGTGGCTAATGTACTACCTCACAAGAAAGGAGCTCTGCTTCCCAGGTGGCCAATCCTCCACAGACAAAGGAGCACTGATGTCAGAATGAGGTGGTAAGGTTCTAGTCCCAGCTCTGACACTAATTGCAAGACCTCACATCTTTCATTTAACCTCTCCAGGCCACAATTTCCTCAACTACAAAATGAAAGTGTTGGACTAGGTGACAGCCAAGGTTCATTCCTTCTTCAATATGTGGACTACTTCTCATGACTTCAAACGTTTACACAATCTACAGACTCAAAATTTTAAAATACAAATCCTAATGAATACCCCAAAAAGCTCAGTGACTGTCTCAAAAGTAATCTATCCATCTGATGTTTAAAAAATACTAACATTTGCCTTTAACTCTGTAGAACCAAAGTCCAAGTCTGCATGCTTATATACACAAACTGTGTATAAACTACATACATGATCAGTCTTTCATTTTGTCTCTAGGCTTATAATCCTCAACTATATGGGAGACCTTATAGAAATGAAGATAAAAGTAAAATGGAGATAAAAGTCCCAACTTGAAAGAGGTTTGTGAGGGTTAAATTGCATGCAGTTTGGTGATCACACTAAATCAAACAGCACTCGAATTAAAATGGCATGACCAAGGATTTGATCCTGGACATCAAAATTTAAGTGAAACAAAACATTTTCATAATGATTTCTTTTAATTGTACAAATGTTTAAGCTTCCTACACCCTTATGAAGCTCTGCCTTGTTGACAGGTTTGTTCCTGACACAGATCTACTCCACTGACCCCATTGGCAGCCAGCAGAAGTGGATGGAGGATGGGGCTATTGGGTCTGAGAGTTCTTTTGTGCCTAAGCAAGGACATCTTTTCCCAGACCCTCCTGAAGTGTATATTTTGCATTGTTTGCCCTGGTTGCATTGCCAGCTTGGTTCTGTTAGTCATCATTTGCTCACTATGTTTTGGTTTAATTGTCACAAAATCCCTATGAAGAAGACGTTATTATCTCCACACCAGGAAATCAAGACTATGGACCATTAACTGCTTTCCCAAAAGCACACAACTAAGAAAGTGGCAGGGTTGGGAATCAAGCCCTTGCTGTCCACAGGACCAGACCAAGACATAGGATGCCCAAGGGCAACTAAGAATTTTGCATAACTTCAAACTGATATTCCATAAGCACTTTTTAAAAAATATGCGCTTAACAGTTATCTAGTGTGCTCTAGCAGGAGACCCCATACAAGGGTTATACGAGGAGTTGTAGATGGAGACCAGTTAACTAGCACCGATTTCCTGAGTTATATCAGTGGTATTTTAGTGCCAGTGTGGACTGGTACCCAGGTGCTTCCAGCTGGGATTAATGTATTCAGTTCTCACTGCACTCCTGTGTCTCTCAGAAAATGATAACACCCTCACCCCATCTTCTACTCCTGAAAGTGTCTCGGAGGTTAGTTCCTCATTTGGGTAGTCAGTAGGTGATGCTCCAGATTCCCCCTACTCACTGCTGCTTCCATCTGACAGTATCACTGTTATCGACATCATACTGCATATACCAGGTCCTCATACAATACCTTTGCACGGGGAAGTGGGTAGGGAAAGGAATGGGTTCTGCAGCCAAAGAATATTTGGTTGTTAAAGAAAAAAGTTTTTCTAGGTGACATGATTAGCTTTGTTGCACGTCTGAATCTGAGAAAGAGAAAGAGATCTGACTTAAGGAAGTTCAGTTGCACACGTTGAAATGAATATATTTCTATTTGTTTGACTTGAGCATTTTGTTCTTTATATATGTGTATTCATACAGTAATGTAACAAATATAATAGAGAATAATATAGGTTAAAATCCCCATCTGAGATCATTGTAAATAATGTATTCTATGAATTACAGCCATTCTCCTATCCCCATCCAAGGTTTCCGTTTCTATGGTTTCCATTACCTGTGGTCAACCTTGTTCCAAAAATGTTAAATGGATAATTCCAGAAATAAACAATTCATAAGTTTTAAATTTTGTGCCCTTTGGAGTAATGTGATAAAATCTCATGCCGTCCAAATCCATACCACCTGGGATATGAACCATCCCCTCATCCAGCATCTCCACACTGTAGACATTACCCAACCATTAACCATCAACATCATCTGCTCCCGGCACCCAATCATTGACATCATCATAGCTCAATGATCCAGGATCACCCAAAGCACACGGTCCCCCTGCTATACCATCAGATGGTCAGTAGCAGTCAAACACTATATCACAATGCCTACAGCATTCACCTCACTTCATCTCATTATGCAGGCTTCGTGTCACCTCACATCCACACATGAAGGGTAGATACAGTACAATAAGATATTTTGAGAGAGAAAGACCACATTCACACAATTTTTATTACAGTATATAGTTATAATTGTTCTATTTTATTATTATTGTTGTTGTTAATCTTTTACTGCACCTAATTTATAAGTTAAAGTTTGTCATAGGTATATATATGTACATATGTATATATAAAAAATGTAAATATATAAACGTACATATATATACATATATATGAAAAAAACATAGTATATATAGGGTTCAATCCTACCCATGGTTTCTGGCATTCAGTGGGGGTCTTGGAATATATTCCCCCTGGATAAGACAGAACTACTACATGGTTAAAGTTCCTTATCTTAAATAACTAAAGTAAATACATCCATGACTGATTTCCCTTTGGCTGTCAATGTCAACCTCAAGTCCACAGATAATTGATCACTTGATGAGAACACAGTGCTAACGAAACCAAGGACATGGATTTGATCATCTCAGGCCAGCTAACTTCACTTTATTTCATCTTCCCCAACTGTGGATGAATCAGGACAAATTCACGAGCAGAAAAAGAAAATTATTCAACGTGTATGCCTGGCTGAAATACCTGGTTATTGGTAAAATATGTGTTTCTTTTCTTTCTTTAAAGACACCCAAATGGTTTAGTTCTCCTATCTGCCACATATATTACCTGATCCTTCTTATCTCCTGAGCAGTAAAACAAAGTAAATAACAAGAGAATCTCATCATTCCTACAGGAGTACCAGCTTTACAGGGAAGGGATGTTTTCCATTTTGATTTATTCGATAGCAGCAGTGTCAACAACAGGCCCTGGCACACTGAAGATCCTCAATTAATATCTCTAAATAATTTTAAAATTATTTTACAAGTCACTCTCACGTAATTAAGGGCTGGAACAAATTATCCTAGACCAACGTGAGTCCACGATTGCAGAATCAAAATTAAGTCAATAGGATCCATGCTGTTGTGCCTGGAACATAAGTGACTACACAGAATTCTACCCTGGGTAGGATAGTAGCTCCCCCTCAATTTACAGCAAATACAGCTAACCTTGCTTTACCTGCCTCCCGTTTTATTTTGTTGAATTAGAGAAACTGAGGGAAGCAGTTCTCTAACTCATTTACCCTTAGAGCCCTCTACAATCAACCCTGTTTCCCTGTCTTCCCACAGAGAAAAGCCTCCCTCTTTGTCTTCCAGCTTCTCTGTTTCAACCCACAGGGCCCCGTCTCCTTTCCCGGCCTCTCTCAGAGAGAAGAGGCTGCTCTGTGATGCTTCCCAGCCCAGCCTAACCTGCTCTCTAATTGGCTGGGAGAACCACAATTTAGAGACTCTCCACTCCTAACTGTACTTTTCAAGTCTTGCCTTTTCTGACTCCCCTTTCGTTTCATTTATCCCGGTGAAGGGCCACAGCTGCAGAGGAAGCACGGCACCTCCTTCCAGAATTAAGCGCACTTCAGTAAAGTGGTTTCGGGAAAGAAAAGAGATGACACGCTGGCTAATCCCACTCACAGCAGGTGCTTTAGTGAAGCCCTCCTCTATTTAACAAGAGCCACGCTTTCCCTCTATTGCAAAGAGATAGCACTTAAGCGTGTGGTACCATCCATTTTCTTCTGTCCAGGGATAAACTTTGGCATCCTGTCTATTTTTGCTGGAGTTCCCAAGGCCTCTAGCTCTCCCTATTTACTCACTCCCTTACCTATCATTCCTTCCAGGCAAATAAAGAACTCTCTCTTTAGCATTTACGATGTGTGAATTTTCCACCCAGACCAACCCCAAATCTGCTGTAGGCATATCCCGGTGTCCACAGCCTCACCTCCCCCGACATTCCATCATCCAAATTCTAACTTAGAGTCTGTTTTCTGCACACCAAATTTCTGGACCTGAAGTGAGATCTGGTGGACCTTCACATGGCCATATATCCTCTTTCCCTAACCCCACAGTGATTTCACTCCAAAATCAGAAATGCCTCTCATGTAGAATTTCAAGAGGTCTCTCTGGCAGCAGGGACCATATAACTCAAATGGCCCTTACCCATATGCTAAAAATATATATATATAATATGTCACCATTCACGTTATATATGGCACAGGAGTGGAATTCCAAAACTTCCCTTATTCATACAACAAACCACTGTGCTTAAAGCTGGCCACTCATTGGAATCATTGGAGAGCTGTAAAATACTGATGCCTGGGCCTCCCACCCCTGAGAAATCCTGATTTATCTGGTCAGGTGCGGGGCCCAGGCACCGGCATTTCTCCAAAGCTCCCCTGGTGATTCTAATGTACAGCCCAGCCTGACATCACTGTTCTCAAGGAAGTCATTTTACAAATTGATCCTGATGGATTAGTATGACCGAGTTCTCACTTGAGGTAGAAACTTAACAGAGAAAGCCCAAGGACATAAATTTTGGGATCTTCTAACTCTAACTTCTCCTTTTCTCCTTACTAGACTTGTGCAAAAATTGAATGATAGAAAGAACAAGTTCAGCTCTAAATTCCATGGTGTCTAGAAGGGTTTTTCCCTGCCATATCACAGAGCACAGCACTTAGTACAAAGTAGGCATCCAAGAGAGATTTGTGGAATGGATAAGTTTTGCACATACAGTTACATTCCCCCAGGGTCTAGCTATGGCATGATAATGATGGGGCATCTTTTGGCCTTAACTAGTTCAGGCTAGAGAGTGCTCAGTGGGCCTTTACAAGCAGCACTGGCACAATGGCTCATGTCTGTTATCCCAGCACTTTGGGAGGCTGAGGCGGGAGGATTGCTTGAGGCCAGGAGTTTGAGATCAGTCTGTGCAGCATAGCAAGACTCCATCTCTACAAAAATTACAATTAAAAAATTAGCCAGATGCGGGGATGCATGCCTATAGTCCCAGCTACTGAGGAGGCTGAGGTGGAAGGATTGGTTGAGCCCAGGAGTTCTAGGCTGCAGTGAGCTACGATGGCGCCACTGCAGTCCAGCCAGGGTAACAGAGTGAGACTGTCTCTAAAAATGGAAAAAAAATTTTTAAATAGACAGTACCTCTCTCTTCCCAGCTAAACCCTAGATCCATTCACCTTCCAGTGCTCTAAGGAAATGGTTTTGATCTGCTCTATGTGAAATTTGTTGACTTGGCCAAACAGGTCTGGGCCTGATTAACAGCACACTGAAAATGGTTTGGTTAATTTGCCAGAGAATGAGAAAACTGACATCTTTTCAGATTTCAAAAGATAATCTGAGAGCAAAGGTTCTTTCTGTCTTGGCTTCTACTAAGCACCCCACTGGAAACAATGGCTGCCCTCCTGCAGAGCTTCTCGGCGGGAGAGGGAGGTGTGCTCTCTTCCCCCACAGCTTCTACCCACAAGAGATTCACTGTTCAGAGAAAACCTGCAGCAATCTGAAAGTTCATGAGCAACAGCATTCCCTAACAGAAACACATACAGCACAAAACAGGAACAACACACATTCCGCTGCAGTGGGGAGAAGACTTTTCTCCATTTTAAAACCAGCTTTGCAATTAGGTAAATTTGACAGTCTAGAGGACTACCATCTATCTTTCAAGTTGTTCTTTTTTCTGGAAGTCAACAAAGTCAACCAACAAAGTTATAGACTTCAGTTTCATTTTGGGGAAGTAAAGAAAAACAGAATTCAAGTCTGGAATTCATGTCCGTCTTACACCTGTAACTTGGTACTAAGCATTCTTTATCTCTGAGAAAAGCAGAAAAAAGACAGACATCAGATCTGGACCATAATTTTTGCAAATGAGCGAATGAATATATACAGAATAATTTCAAGTTTTTAAATGAAAATAACGTGTGTTTATTATACAAGAGAAAAGATATATGGCTTGACTTTGTTTATGGTACATTTGGTTGTTACTGGCATGATATTTATGGATAAAGTCAATTATTACATTACAGTAGCCTAATTATAACATAGCATCATTGCAATAATAGTTCCAGACCTTAGCGTGGAACTTAGTTAAATATATATGGACTTGTAGTTAAATACATACATACTTATAGTTAGGTAGCTCTGGAATGTTTCCCATTGGTCATTTTCGATCATGAAGTTATAATATAATAAGCTATCTTATCAGTTGACAAACTTTCCTTGCTTGGCCAAACTTTAGTCAGGTTCCTGAATCTTCTCCTAGGCCCATCTGTACACTTCCTTGTAAAATCTAGTTTTAGCAAAGAACTCTGCTAAGTCAGTTAACAAGAACCCCTGTAGAGGGTACTCAATATCTGATCACCGTCAGTCGCTGATTGGGTTCCTCATCCTCCACCATCCCCCACGTGCTGTCTCATCCCCCTGGCCTTTCTTCAGCAAGAATCCTGGTAGGTCGTCAGTTTAGCCAGAATCCCCCTCCCCATTGATGTCTCCTCTAAGCACTTTCCTATCCACTGACCCCTGCCCTGCTCCTTGGCTACAAATCCTCACTTGGCCATGCCATATTCACAGTTGAGCCCAATCTCTCCCATCACTCCCCAGATAGGTCCTTATACCTAACACGACGGTCGTGAATAAAGTCTTACTTTACCATGCTTTACCAAGTGTCACTGAATAATTTTTTTTCTTTAACACAGTGCACTAAGTAGAAACTGTGTAATTATTTACATAATACACTGCAATACTATTAAGGTAATTCTGTTAATATTATACTTCAGTGGAGTGAACCAAACCAGCATCCTAAATATATAATTGAAACCTCCAAAAGACTTGACTTACTCTCAAAACATAGTTCATGTCAAGGAAGAATAATTCATTAATTATACCTGAGATTTTATCATCAATTGTGGTGTTTCAGACTTGGTACTGAAGCACAGGAAAAATGTTCAGACATGTGAAATGTTTAATTCATTCAACTTATTCCACAAGCATATATTAAGGACCAAGCATATACTATGGACCAAGCTCTGTGTTAAAGGAAGATTATTTTAAAATGGAGAGAACTCGCAATCTAGCAAGAGAAAGAGACATGTGGGTAAATGTCATTTCACTACAGTGATGTGACAAGGACTCTATAAGACATCGAAGGAAAGTGCTGACAGGGTACAGGAAGGAAACTCACACCTCCTCCTCAAAGTGTCAGGGGACGCTTCTCAGAGGAGGTAACACTAGCACTTGGTCTTGAAGAATAAGCAGTGCATGGACTGGCTGGAGTCAGCTCTTCCAGAATGGTCTTCTAACTCTAGCAAGCAAGTTCAGGGGCTTGGCTGCAAGACGTTCACCTTGGGAAGGATGCATCAGAATCTTGTGGCTTGGGCAAGTGAGGGGTGGCAGATGGTGGCATACTTAAAAAATTCAGAGGTAGATGCCTGCTCTTTTGTGGTAAAAACAACAGGCTAGGGGGGATCATGTGAGCTTCTGGGGATACACAAAAAGACACAGTGATCAAGCCCAGTAGGAAGCATGGGTTAATGGTTGAGAACTGAGTCCTAGAGAAACCTCCAATTTCTTCTGACGTTAATTGGCAGTGGAAGAGGTTTCCAAATCCCTCTCTATGCATTTGCATAATAAAAAGCTGCTGAGCTGAGCCCTGTGCTAGGGAAGTTCATTCTTCAATGTGATTTCCAAAGGCACAGCCTTGCATCTCACTGTCTGTGACCTCATTTGCAGGCATATAGAACAGGGGAGTGATTTCAAAGCCTAAACCTTGCAGCCTAGAATCTGCCTTAACTATTTCTAATCACCAACTAAAGTTTACAGGTTTGAAAGAATACAAAGTGCCCAAACCACTATGAATGTGTTTTTGACCCCAGGAAAGCATCTTCCCAAAAGATGCAGCATGAATTTCTAGGTGCGTAGTTTAAGCGGCAACGTGCAGAAAAGCCTACAGATGCAAAATTTTTTTTATTTAAAAAATGAATATGTAGCCTATGCACCAGGTGAACATTAGTTAAAAAATGTGTTTCTCGCAAATTCATCAGTGTGTGACTTTGAACCTTTTTCAAGTTTGTTTTTTCCACCCAGGTGTGACAGATGATAATCCAAAACACACATGCAAAGGTACAGACAACAGCACCTTACCGTTAAAACTCGAGTGACGCTATGCTTCCAGAGCTGTCTCCTCCCAATCCTAAACATTGTAGCCGTGCATGGACAGGCTGGAGTCAGCTCTTCCGGAATGGTCTTCTAACTCCTGGCAGACCTGCTCAACATCCAACAGGCTTCCAAATGGAAAGTTTTACTTCCATTTTACTTTCACGTTTCTAATTTGCATGTATTATTCACTACATTCACAGAATAAAAATTAAAACTCCACTTATACCACTCAAGTTTTTCTCCTAGAGTGTCTGCCCTGGGCCTCTCCTCTCTCTCGAAGCCTGGTGTTGTTAGGGTAATATTGTTTATACACTATACAGTTGAACCATGCCTCTTAATCATGTTTATCAAGCAATCAAAGCATTTTAACTGCTCGGTAGCAACACAACTCCTTCTGTTGTTCAATTAATTCTATTCACTGCCCAATAATAAGCATTGAGTCAACAGTGATATCTAAATAGTTTCTTTGAACAATGAGAAACTTTAAACCATATCAGATTAGAAATCCAAGAAGCCACAGCTCTGAATATATTGTCCATGTCGAGAAACTCAGTCTTACTTTGTGTAAACAACTTTGCAAGCACGATGCACTGCCAGCATTGTGACTAATTGTGACTAATTGCCAGATAGGCTAATTGTGACCCATAGGAGCCATTTTCTCCACCACAAAGAACAAGAAGTCTGTTTCATATGCAAATAGCAAACCATGTCCATAAATTACTTGTGCTCACACAGTTGCACATACACTTCAGCCAAGGTAATTTATCCTATGTGGCTAAACATCTTGATCATCTTAACTGTGAAGATGTAATGGGAAAACACTGCCAAATGCTTTGAGAGATCTCTCATGTATGGTTTCTCCCATCGAGTTGAATAAAAGGCAGGACACTTAAGGTTGGTCTTGTTGAATCTAGAATTTAGTCCTTGGAATTCACAGTCCAGCAACTCAAATCCTAAAAGGTCATCCAAGGATAATCAGGAAATTGGGAACTCATCCTGGTAACATCCTGCTAGTCAACCTCTGTGGAGCCTGACTTGGAAGGCAGGGTGCTGACATGGTTTCAGAACATGGAGATTCACTTGGTCCATATCCAATGCTAGGGCACGGACGGCCTCCATATGTCAGGTTAACAGACAACATTTAGACCTCAATATTATTTGGTAAGTAAATAACTAGAACACAGGAAGTTTAAGTTTGTTTGCAGGATTTTTTTTTTCTTTTTTGAGACCTGCAGGTCTCACTCTGTCACACAGGCTGGAGTGCAGTTGCGTGACCACCACTCACCACAGCCTCAACCTCCCAGGCTCAGGTGATCCTCCCACCTCAGCCTTCCTAGTAACTGGGACTACAGGCAAGTGTCACAACACGCGGCTAATTTTTGTATTTTTTGTAGAAACAGGTTTGGCCACATTGCCCAGGCTGGTCTCAAACTCCTGGCCTCAAGCAATTGCCCACCTCGGCCTCCCAAAGTGCTGGGATTATACGCATGAGCCACCAGGCCAGGCCCTGCAGGATATTTGTTGAAGTCAACCTCTGGTTGTTGGTAAGCGGCTGTTGTCCGTTTCTAATAAAAAGTGTTGAAGACAGTATCTAGACTCTGAGTCCCTTCTCTGTGTGGTGCTGAAGACACCAGAAAATAGCAGTAGGATCGGATCCTCCTCACATGGCATCTCCTATCCATCCCAAGAATCCTCTGTCAACACATGACCTCAGGACAAACATGTTACAATTCATTACATCGCCGATTATCTTTCATTAGTTACATTTGAATCGGTGCTTCCCTAATGGTATTTTAGGCACCATCCTCATTGCAGCAGCAGCCCATTTACAACGCATCGCTTGGGGAGAGTTACTTCCTGGGAAGATTTCCACAGATGGCTGATGGCATGCATTTTGTGTTTGGCAGGCATAACCATGACTCCCTTGAGGCTTCACAGCAAACCGGGAAGCCTTCCAGTCTGTGTGGCTGAATTTCAACCCCTCGGGCAAGGTAGATGGCGTCTTAAGGTATCTTCTTGAGCGCTCAGGCTCACTGGAAGTTGTTGAACAACACAAACAAAGCAAGCCAAGGCTGAATTTACAACAGGCCACCTACCCCCGCCAGCCCCTGCCAGAATGAAAGTCAATTTCTGGCATTTGGAGGGAAATGATCAAACATTGTTCGGTAGGAAACTCAGAAAGGCTTGCCTACAAATAGTTTCCACCAGGCAAGAGCTTCAGCTGGCAGGGCTCTATATATAGGACTCACACGAGGGAGGTCTGCAGCCCCGTCTGTGCGGATAGTACACCCTTCCAGGCTGAAAATATTGGTCATACACAAATCCTGTCAGACATAATGGGAAAACAAGAGTAGACAATGGACCTCATGTGGGCGGAAGGCTTCATCCAGAAATCCAAGTACCTGCAGGCAAAGTTTGAAGTTCCACTTTCATTCATTGAACAAAAGCTCGTGAGTGCCTTTTACGCAGCCAGACGCTGCGCTATACACTATGAATAGAACAGCTAATAAAAACAGATGTTTACTCAGACATTTAAAAATATTAATTGTAGAATGCATAATTATCCTATGCAACACTCGGAATGAAAAAATAATGCTGCCTATTCAACATATCCATTTTAAGGTGCATTCTGATTTCACAGATGTTAAAATATGAAAAATGTACATTTCATAATCAATAAAAAATGGTTATTCTTGCCTTTACTGGGGGTAGATATTAAGCAAATATATAAATAAATGTATAATGACAAGTAAAATGTTACAAATTTTGATAAGTGTCATTTTAAAAGAAAATAAGGTATAAGCTTTATGTGGACATATGTTCTGAATTGTTACCTTTACGCTTACATTCCAAAGTGTAAAATTTTCTAAACTCATCTCTAAATTATGGAGTCATCTACCCTGCATCTTGAAGCCTCGTATGTACATCCCGTTCCATATGGCTTAATAGAAAAGTGCAACTTTGGGGTCAGACAGACCTGAACTTAAATCCCAGCTATGTGACATCAGATATTTTGTCTCCTAAATTAGACGTTAGAAATAAAACCACTTACCTAAAACTGGTAATGATTTAAATATATTTAAATCTCCTAGATCCTCATAGGCACCTAATAAATGAAATATATAACCACATTTTTTATCTGCAAAAGAGTTATGACTACCATTTATGGCAATATCAATGGAGAGGACGAATTCCTAAATCTTAACCTAACCCACACATTTCAGTCGAGAGCTGGTTGAAAATTTTGCTCTCAATTTCTGAGTATGTCCTAGCAAAAGAGTGGATCCAAGTTTTATCAGTTACTAGCTACACGTTTTTCATGGATTTCCATCTTTAAGAATGTCTTACTGAGGCCCAACAGGATCAAACACATTCATCAGTTTAATAGCCTTGTAAACAATGATACAAACTACAGCATATAAAAATGGCAAATGAGTTCAGTGGGATGAGAGAGTTCCATATTTCACCCATCAAGCGCTGCACATTTGTCTTCACGCTTTACCATATTGAAATGTGGTCATTCCAAATGCAACATGATATTTCATCTTATATTCAATGCCCTCTTATAATTGCTGTTGGCCAGACAAAAATCATGACATGAGTGTCCTTACCAGAGCTTGTGCACACCCAGCTGTCACCCAAGTGGCACCACAAGGCCACAACAATACCAGGAAGTTACAGCCAACAAACCACAGAAGCTCCATGTGAGGAAGAAATGTGTGTCCCGGTTGTTTTCTAGAAATCTTCACTGTCACCTTCTGGGAAGATCCAGAAAACACCAGCACTGCAACTTGCAGGAAGGATGTTAGTAGATTGGAAGAAAATCCCAGAAGAGTCAGACCCTACATGTGAAGAAGTTTTAGAAGTTTCTTAACTAATTCATTGCACTTATCTTTGTATGGATGCATGGGGGTGATGTTTAAAAGAGCTTCAATTAAAATAAAATTGAAATTCTAAGAAAGCAATGAAGCCTAGTTTAATGGACAGGTGTTTTTCCTTCTTGGTGGTTAATGACACAGTAATGTGTTTCATCTGATAATGGATTAGGTCAGATGAATACAGTTTTGTGAGTTCTAATGATCAAAGGAAACTTTTGGAGAAGGGAGAATTTAAGGCAAGCCCTATAGAAGAATAAGATTCAAATTAGTAGATAGGAAAACTAGAGTGTAACATATGTGAAAAATTATCTTGGAGACTGGAATTCAACAGAGCCCGTCTTGTGCTGCAATTTTAAGTAAAAATGATTGATTAATCTCTGAAAGGTATGTTGAGGCTGAATGGTGGGCGTCAATCTAAGGTAGTGGGCCTTGCAGGCAATTAAGGAGTCACTGAATTAATGAAAGTCTTGTTTAGGAAGGTTATGCTGGTATTATAGCTGCACGCCGGTAAGGATGAAGTAGAGAGAGACTGAAGGCAGTCTCCTGGGCATGAAGAAATAAAGAATTCAATAGAGGGAGGTGGAAACTGTGGTCACCCAAACAACCTAAAAATGAATAAACTCGCAAGCTGAATAAAAGGGGCAAGTCTCCTTGTCTCTGTCCAATATATTGCTGCCCCTAAGCTACTCCTCTAGAGAAATCCTGGTTGAGGAAGGAATGAGAAAGAACAGATAGAACACACCAGAAAGAAAAAAAACACACACAAATAACAATGGAACTTGACAACCGGTAACAGAGAAAAGGACACCATTGTCAGAGAGGATTCCATGTTTCCCAGCTTGGGTAAAGAATCATCATAACTTAAGCAGAAGCAGAGGAATCTAGAAAAAGTACATTTTGGAGACTAGATGACTAAGGAAATGTAAATAAAGCTCTAATTCTTTACTTTTCCTTTTGGTCTTTCCATCTTGAAAACATGAAGGCCAGTATGATTATATGCAAGACAATAAACATCCAGTATCTTTTTCTTTATACAATTGCAATTTTAAAACTCACAATAAAAAGAAAAAACTCATAATAAAAAGGAAATAAAGGAACCAATAATATAGTATTGATGCCATAATCATTTGAGCTATACTCACAAAAGAAGATAGTGATTCTAAGAGCTTCAAATGGAGTGATATGGTTGGTTGATTTTGTCACCATTTTTATGGATTGAAATTATACAGGGTAATCTTGAAAAGATGCACAAGTTTCCTGGGAGACTCATCTGTCAAAATTCAAAAGAGAGGATGGGCAAGAGAGGAGAAACTCCAGAGGAGGACACAGAAAGCTGATGCATTTAGAGTAAACACTAAGAGCATCTAAGTTCTGCCGTTTGGAGGAAGAGAGCGGCTTGGGGCTAAACGCACTTTCCAGATGTTATCTTGCATAGTGCCTTTCATGTAGAAAGTGTAAGAATTAGGAATATTGGGCACTAACGGAGGGATACATTAAAGAAAAGACTGTCTAAGAAGTATCTCTGTCTTCCCTGGTAACACTTCCACATACCTGTAGAAATAATGTTGTCCTGGCTTTAGGACGTTACGCTTCTGATCCTGAATCCTGTACATACTGGTTGCTTAGGTGGCCTCTGATTAACAACGAGCCAGCTACACTGGCCCCATTTTCCCCTAAATTATATGAGATGGGTGGCCCAGTGATCTTGCAGGTAACTTCTGGCTCCAAGAAAAATGCACAACCTAAGTGAAGGATCTCAGATCCCAAGCATACTGCATGCTGAAAGTAACTGCAATGTTATCTTAATATGATTTCTACATGTACTATCTTATAACATGGTACACAAAACATTAGAAAACTTATGAGACCACTTGATCATCTGAGATGAGGCCTATCACTTAAACACTGCAGTACTGTTATGCCTATGGTAATAGTGTTTTCTCCATAAGAGTTTTTTTTCCTTTCCAGATGCCCATATTTTGAACAAATTTTGCTCCCCAAACCATGATACTTGTATTTTTTTTTTGAGATGGGAGTTTTGCTCTTGTCTGGAGTGCAATGGCGTGATCTTGGCTCACTACAACCTTCGCCTCCTGGGTTCAAGCAATTCTCCTGCCTCAGCCTCCCAAGTAGCCGGGATTACAGGCATGCGCCACCACGCCTGGCTAATTTTGTATTTTTAGTAGAGATGGGGTTCCTCCATGTTGGTCAGGCTGGTCTCGAACTCCTGACCTCAGGTGATCCACCCACCTCAGCCTCCCAAAGTGCTGGGATTACAGGCAAGAGCCACCACACCCAGCCGTATTCTTTGTATATAAAGCTGTAGTGCTTTCTGAAATTTTTCTCCCAAACCTACACACACAAAGCTCATGGGTTGTGAATGAAGACATGTAAATTCAATTTTAGGTGCAAATCACCAAGATTATTATAGTAAGTCTTTCTGGCATCCTGCTTTTGGTTCTGCTGCATAGCACAGTTATGTTTCATGTTGAGTCTCTTCAGATAGTATCGCCTAGCTTGGTTATTGCAGTTGTTACTTGCTTAGAACCAAAATTTCAGCATTATGGCATATAGAACCAAGAAAAAAAAAACTTCTTTATTAGAAGCTTGTTTGTAGTTATCATCTAAAGGACAACCAACAGCTTGGGAATAACCCCATGCCTTAATTACTTGTACTTTCAGAAATTCAAAGTCCATACAAATATACAACCACAATTAATTAGAGAGATAGGAAGAGAACCCTTATTAATGTGATGCTTCTTGCTTTATGAAAGCATTAGGAGCTGATGGTCTTCACATTTTGCTACCTTTTAATTGATATTTTTCCACTTCACACACTGGCATTCTAGGGCACCAAATCATGATTATTTTCCTGAATATAAAGTAACAATATTCATATACTCTGTCTCTTTTGTTTTTTTTTTGTTTTTTTCGTTTTTTTTTTTTTTTTTTTTTTTTTTGAAGCAGGGTCTTGCTCTGTCGCCCAGGCTGAAGTGCAGTGATGCAGTCATGGCTCACTGCAGCCTCAACTTCTTGGGCTCCAGCAATCCTCCCACCTCAGCTCCCCAAATAGCTGGAACCACAGGTGTGCACCACCAGATTCAGCTAATTTCTTACTTATTTTTTGTAGAGATGGGGTCTTCCTATGTTGCCCAGACTGGTCTCGAACTCCTGGACTCGAGCAATCCTCCCGCCTCAGCCTCCCGAGGTGCTGTGATTACAGGCGTGAGCCACCATGCCTGGCCCATATTCTCTCTTTTTTTCATTGTGATTGAGTTTATAAGGTATTCATTGAAAAGGAAAATATATTTCATTTCATAAGTCATTACTCATGCCAAGATCTGGTCCCTGGTTTTGAAGACATCAAGCAGCAGTTAACAACGGGGAGAAACTCACCAGCCTGCACCCTCCTGTGCTTGCTCTGTCCCATCAACAGACACACACCACCCTGCAGAAACCAGACAGCTGTGGAAAGGAAAGTGGAGGGCTCCAGTTTCCCTGAGGGATCATTTTGGGGGCTATCTTTGCTGTTATCACAGCTGTGTTAGTTTTCATTAAAAAGAGAAAGTAAAAAGTAGAGTTAGGTTTACCAGCAAACATAAAAATTCTCCTTTAACCCTGCATTTAGGTCCTCTTTGCTTTTCTCTTGTGCTAAGATATCATGAAAATGGTAACTTCAAAATCATGTTGTCTTCCTATAGAAAGATTTAATGAGAAAAGTGAATCAAATGTCATTTAATGTAAAATAAAATCCTGATAATAGGAATTGTTTGTTGACTCAAGAGACATCTTCTAAAAGCAACGAAGAATCACCCCAGCCCAGGGCCTCTAACATCACCCCATCAGAAGCACATTAATTAACTAGAGGGATCTCCCAACTTGGGATAGCTTGACGTTTATCACAAATAAAAATCCGTGAAAATAAGCAAGACATATCCATAAACACTGATGGTTAGCACTCACGCCCACACTAAGGAGTCTGGAACTAAAATGAGATGCATTGATTTGAAAGGCAGAAAACTCCTGATTACAAGAATGTGATCAGAGAGAGCAAATCCATTTTTTTAAAGCACGCAGCAATTTCTGCAAAGAAAGTTCTGTCTCTGAAAAGCTTAAAAATAGGCTCAGGGAGACATCAAAGGAAGATGTTTCTAGCCAGAGAAAGAATGATTTGATCACCCCAGAAAGAGAGCACTTGGTGGCAGATCAGAGTTCAAGGGGAAGCTCAGGGGCTGTGTTTTTGATGACTCCCAACCTCCACCAATATCACCGCAAATTCAGAGGGCAGGGATCAATATGTCTTACCCATGACTGTATTTCTGGGTTTTCCAACTGCTCATTAAACGAAAACCAGCCCATTTATAATCCCATCCAGGACCTAATTATGTCTTTAAATGTCAAACTACCAACAATTACAAATTGTATTAGAGTTACTCCACTATCAAGAAAACAATATTTACATTGCCAAGGAGGACAAAAATAACCCGTTTATTTACCCATTGCTGTTTTCTTCAGGGTTTTTTAAAGAGACGGGGTCTCACTCTGTTGCCCAGGTTGGAGTGCAGTGGTGCAATCATAGCTCACTGCAGCCTGGAATTCCTGGGATCAAGTGATCCTTCCACCCCAGTCTCCCAAGTAGCTGAGACTATCTGTGTGTTCAGTATTTGACCTTTCTTAAACACTGTAACATAACTTGTGATAAACGTCATTGCTACTTAATGCGTTGTCACAAGACAAATCTCTGACACTGTTGTTTCCTTCAAGAGCAAAATTGCTATTAATAAAATATTATTTTAGAGACCAAACATAAACTTCATTTCTCATACACATAAAGAATAAGTTCATCTTATTGCTAAGAAGACTAAATTATAGAAACTCTGTACGGATCAAATGTCCCTTCAGAGTTTTCTTGAGGATGGGTTTCAACACTTCTCACTAAAACCAACATCACAACTTCTTGACGGAGCAGAGGTGAAATGACACCCAATTAAAGTGAATGTGTATATATATATATACATTTCTATCATAAATACATTTGACAATAGCTTTAGAATGTAATACCTTGTTCCTGCTTCCAAAAGAATTGTCAGCTTCCTGATTTTCCATCTATCATGAACTCTTCTACTAGAAACAGTTAACATTGGGCCTTATATTCAAATGTAGCCCCTGGGTGGGTTCAAACATTCAAATGAAATGGCACAATTAACTACATAAATCAACAGTCATTGATTGAAGTAAATTCCAAGTTGGGGACATAAAGGACCTTGCTATGAAAACATAAAGAACAAGATAAGGCAAGAATTTTGAAAATATAGCCCTTACTTGGTGATTCAGCATTTGCAATGGAATTAATCTGAACAATTACTTTCTTTTGATTGTTTTAACTTTCAAATATTATATCATTCAAAATGTGGGATGCTTCTTGTTTTGTTTTATTTTTGGTTTTGTTTTGAGATGGGGTCTTGCTCTGTCACCCAGGCTAGAGTGCAATGGCGCGATCTCGGCTTGATGCAACCTCTGCCTCCCAGGTTCAAGTGATTCTCCTGCCTCAGCCTCCCAAGCAGCTAGGATTACAGGCGCCTGCCACCACGTCCAGCTAATTTTTGTATTTTTGGTAGAGACGAGGTTTCACCATGTTGGTCAGGCTGGTCTTGAACTCCTGACCTCATGTGATCCACCCACCTCGGCCTCCCAAAGTGCTGGGATTACAGGTATGAGCTGCCACGCCCGGCCAGTTCCTGTTTTAATAGAAACAAAAGACAGTAAAGACCCTAAAGGTCAAACCTGGTGGTAAAATATTTTTTCTACATGGTAAGAAAAGTAAGTCCATATTTTAGGTGTGATTTAAGAGGAAATGTTACATATTTTAAGAAAATACTTTAGTGTACTCATTCATCTCACCAAAGGCAATCAAAACATATTTATTAAGCTTCCCTGATATACCCTGCACGATGTTATTCAACTATAAAACACTTCCTTCCCAGAAAGAGCTTATAATCCATTAAAGGAGATAAAACTAACTAAGTGAAATAATAAAGTACTAAATTATAAGACCTTATGAAGGTTGCAGGAATCCAGGGTGCTATACCAAGCTCATGAGTCGACACGTGGAAAATATACCCTTTTATATGCAATAAGGTTTACAGGATAAGGAAAGAACTTTTCATAAAACTCAGTTTTGAAGTTGGTCTAAATCACTTTAGTGAAGGAGGAGCAATTGCATGTCTAAAAATTAGAAGGAAAAATGTAAAAGCTTAAATAAAGTCTGCAAGCTCTTCCTTTTGTAATAGAAGAAAATAAAGGAAAACATGTTCCTGAGAGAGGTGTTCCGAAAGTGAGCGAGAGCAGGCCAGGGAAAGTCATTTCTCTCTGCTTCTCCACTTTCTTCCTCCCCCTTTCCCAAAGTAGAGGGTTAACACTCGAATCTGTTCCAACAGAAAATTCCAGAAGGAAGGCAGTGTTTCCCCGTTGCCCATTAAACTGCCCCAGCGTTGATCTCGCTGCTACTTTTTGAGTGAGGCCTGTTCTGCCTTCCACATTGGGACATCTCTGACTCTTTCTCTTTTAACCTCCCTGGCTGCTTTCTATCTCCCTTCTTTCTGACCCTGAAGCCTAAAGGAAAATCATCTCAGCCAGTTCTCACACGTTCACTCTCACTCATCACCAATTTTCTTGCCATTCTGTGCTTCATTTTGAAACAACTTAGGACCACACAATCAACGCGAAGTCAAAGGCAGACTGATATGGTTTGGCTCTCTGTCCCCACCCAAATCTCATGTGGAACTGTAATCCCCACGTATTGAAGGTGGAGGCTGGTGGGAGGTGACTGGCTCATGGGATAATTTCTAATGGTTTAGCACCGTCCCCCAACTGCTGTCTCGCGATTGAGGTCTCACAAGAACTGGTTGTTTAAAAGTGTGTGGCACTTCCCCCCTCACTCTCTCTCTCTCCTGCCACCACGGTGAGATGTGCTTGCTTCCTCTTTGCCTTCTGCCATGATTGTAAGTTTCCTGAGGCCTCCCCAACCGTGCTTCCTGTTAAGCCTGTGGAAACATGAATCAATTAAACCTCTTTTCTTCATGAATTACCCAGTCTCAGGTATGTCTTTATAGCAATGTGAAAACAGACTAATACACCAAGAGAACTCAGCATCCTCAGTGGGTTTCACTGCCAAACAAAGAATGGAAGAAAACAGGGTGTGTCCAGCTCATTACATAATAATAACAAATGTAAAGAAACAAAAATTGGAGGGGTTAATTCACTGAGTGATGTAGAGCAGTAAGAGAAAATCTATTGCTTTTTTAATCCAGGAAATACACAAAGTTGAAAACAGCAGTCTCCTAGGAGAAAATGTGAGGCAAATATGACTAAAAGAACTAAGGCTGAAGGCAATTTTTCTCCAAACTGTTATCCTCATTTGGGAATTACTTTTTTCTCTTTAAGAAAAAAAAGAAAATTAATAAAATGGAAAACATTTTAAATCACAAAAGTTTGTCCTACGGAAGGTTTTCAAAATAGTAAACAATCTAATTAGAGTTTATATTTCCCTAATTAGTTCTATTTAACTCTGGTAGAGATTAAACCTTTTTAAAATCAGTTCAAAACTCTTATTTCAATATTAAATTTTACTCTAATATACAGGAGAAAAGCAAGACATGAGGGGAGGGAAAGTCCTTGCCAAGAGCGTGCAACAATGAAGAAAAACAGAACAAGAATCTCCTACCTTCCCTGCAAACCACCACCGCTGTCCACGCTCACCAGTGGGGTGGTACATGCTCTTCCCTAAATGCACTTTCATAGGGTCTGACACACACTTCATTCCATCTCTGCTGGTCACTGTCCCATTCACGTGTCAAGAATCTGTTCCCATGGCCCTTCCTCTATAGCATTCTTCCCGAATCTTATGATTCCCTTCTCTGAAATTCTACAGCTCATTCCTTGAATCTAATCATTTTCATACTAAATAATAATTACATTTTAGAAATAAACTTTATGCTGGGATATTTTTTAAAATAAAGACTATGAATACTGTGACTAGCACAATATCTGCCATATAACAGGTGCTCATTAAATATATGTTGAATGGTAATTTTTAAACATCATCTATACTGTGTATAGTCATCAACCAAAACTATTTTCTCTCATTAAGTAATACCTCTATTCTGTTTTTATCCCCTTGAAGGTGTCCTTTTTCATGCCATTGTTGTTCTCATTTTTGTTATTGTCTTTTATCTTTGTTAACTTGTTGCTATAGATAGTGAGTTATTTGAGGATATGCAGTAAAAGAACTCATAAGTAAGTGTAAAAGGCAAATCCCAGCCCCTCCTTTGAGTGTCACTCTGCCCATGCGTGCCCCTAGTTAGACAGAAGAGAGAAACTGCTTATCCTGCACTTCTACGTTCCTCTATTAGCAGAGACCGAAGTGTGAGGTTTACAGCATGATTCAACTGCCACATTTTTTCCTGCATAGCAGGTGCTCTTTTTTATTATCATTTTATTGAGTGATTATCAAATGGGATAGAATTGCACACTGAAATTTCATGAACTGAATTATTCATAAAAGTGAATTTCAGTATACTGAGCATCAACTTACCATGGCTCAGCTAAGGTTCACAAATATTTTCCTTACAGAGAATTGTTGTTGCAATTTTATTTGTAGTGCAGGGATGTCAAATTGGCAAAGTTCTACTATTAGTAATGGATCTACAGTCCATGAAAACAACACTGTACCTCAATCAACAGACAGGTTTATCTAGCTTTTTTCTTTTTAAGAAGAAATCCTCAGATTCTGGTTACAAGATTTACAGCATTTCAATCTCATGCCCTATAAAACCTTATGTTCAGAGGTTAATAAAATGAGATTAATCCAGAGATACTGCATGTTGAATTCTTTTCTCCCTTCAAGCACAATATGCTAAACAAAGCACAGTCTACACTACAGAAGGAGAGACTCTGGAAACAGCTGACTACTAGTGGAGGTTAGCTGCCATCCAGTGGCTGAAAGTATAACTCACCCATTAACCATTAGCTTGAAGAGCTAAGGAAATACAAAACAGACCCATGTCTCATGAGTACATCAAAGGTTATCAATTATTTACACTTATTGTCTCATATTTACAAAGAAGACAGAACAGTGGGAAAGTTACTGAATGCTTTAATGAAAGAGAAGCCAGTCTTCTCTTTTTCAATTCTAACCCACAAGAAACTTGTCTTTATGTTCTGATGATTTCCCTTTCAAAAATTTCCAATTTAGACATTTTCTCTATCTATATCATATGGCCCAAGTTAAATAATAAAATAATTATAAATAATAAAATATATCTTACTGTGTGGAAGATGGTACATTGAAGAGGCAAAAACTTTTATCTCAATCTTTAAAGAGGAAAATATGTAAATATATCCATATAGTAATCCCAATATTGATAGTTACATAGTGAACTCTTTGAGTTGATTTTGATCATTTCCTCTCATTTAAAATGTAACATCATCTTTTCTTTAAGATCATTAACTGCTTTTAAGTAATTCCAATACCTGTATTTTTAAATATACTTTATTATTATGAAAATAATAAAAATTGATTGGAAAATAGAAAAAATCACCATAATATGAACACTATTAACATATATTCTTCTACTCCATGAGCAATAAATATTCTAGCTCCCGTTTTCTTAAAAATAAAATACACACATGTATATGTATATATGTATATATACCTTTATTTTTAGTTTAAAATGTATCATGTACACATTCTCATATTATTGAATATTCTTCAAAATATGATCTAACGATTGCATAGCATATCAATTACATAGGCCTTGATTTATTTAGCCAATTTTTTTTTTACTTTTAGATTGGTTCCAATTTTTCACTATTATAAATAACAGTATAATGGATATCCCTGCATACAAATCCTTGGTATAAATCTCTATTTATTAATTTCAATAAATTATTATAAAATTCATCTCTCCAAAATTATACTCTTTGATTTCCATGAGAAATTTAATGTAATTTTGTTCATCTTTACAAATATGGTAGATGAGAAATGGTAAGTTGCTGTTATCTTCTTGCAAGTTTAATTTGCAAATCTTTGACAAGTGAAGCTGAACATGTTAAAATTATTTACTGGGTATTTGTGTTTTGTTTTGTTTTTATTTTTGTAAATTGCCTGTTCATGTCCCTTCCTATTTTTCTTCTGATAATTTTCTTTCCATTGATTTTATTTTTAAGACTGGATAAAGATAACAGCACACATCCAGAAAAAGGAATAGGTGCCTCAATATTACTCTTACATAGAGTAGAATTAAAGACAAAGGCATTAAAGATTTGGACCAAGACAGCCATTTTATTTTCGTAAAAAGTAAAATTAACTATGAATATATAGTAGCTATGTGCCAAAAACCAGTACTAAAATAAAATAAGCAAAATCTGTTAGAACTACAGGTAACATTAACAAAAACGATAGTTAAAGGATGTTCTAATAGAATGTTTTAACAGGAATATACTAAACCTTAAAATCTCCCCCAAATTATTATCTTACAGTGCCATAGATAGTTAACAAAATTAATCATTAGAACACACAAAACCTTAATGCATTTTAAAGAGAAGTCACACAAATCACAAGCTCCTACAATGTTATGTCAGAAATTAATCATGAAGGAATTTTATGTTTCTCAACAGCCTTTTTGTTGTTGTTGTTGTTGTTGAGATGGAGTCTCCATCTGTCACCCAGGCTGGAGTGCAGTGGTGCGATCTTGGCTCACTGCAACCTCCGCCTCTCAGGTTCAAGCAATTCTCCTGCCTCAGCTAGAATTACAGGCATGTGCCACCACGCCCAGCTAATGTTTGTATTTTTATTAGAGACGGGGTTTCACCATGTTGGTCAGGCTGGTCTCAAACTCCTAACCTCCAGTGGTCAGCCCGCCTCAGCCTCCCAAAATGCTGGGATTATAGGCATGAGCCTCTGTGCCTGGTTCTCAATGGCTTTTAATTTTAGAAAGAGTTGAGTCCTCGCAGAACTCCAAACTGCAGATACAGGCCATTTTGAATATAATGAATCCCACTGAAGACTCAAGAAGACTGATAGAGAGGGAAGAGGCAGACAAGTGTGGATTCTCTCTGTCTTCGAGAATGCCAGGTGGTGAAGGTTGGGGAGAGGTGCCCCTCATCAGGCCAACTTGGCCAAACCAGCCCCAAGTCAGAACCAGGCTTCACATCTTCATGCCATGAGTGCAGGTCCCTTTTCGGACCAGCCCAGCGCCCAGGACAGTGGGGTCCTTGAGAAAAGGATTGGGGCCACCAAGGCAGAGAAAAGGTGGGACCTGGAGGTGGTTTTACCCCCGTGGGTCTCCCTCTTCATTCCTTACCCCAAGTCCTCTCCCTGGAATTCTGTGTGAGTTCTATCAAGATTCCTCAGCTGGGTGTGGTGGCTCACACCTGTAATCCCAGCACTTTGGAAGGCTGAGGCAGGCAGATCACCTGAGGTCAGGAATTTGAGACCAGCCTGACCAACATGGTGAAACCCCGTCTCTACTAAAAATACAAAATTAGCCAGGCGTGGTGACACATGCCTGTGATCCCAGCCACTCGGGAGGCTGAGGCAGGAGATTCTCTTGAACCCGGGAGGGTGGAGGTTGCAGTGAGCCGAGATTGCGCCATTGCACTCCAGCCTGGGCAACAAGAGCTAAACTCCATCTCAAAAAAAAAGATTCCTCATGACTGAGTCCAGGAAAAACACCCCCAGAACTGGACTCACTCCCAGCTACAGTCAAAATGCAAAGACAAGAATAGAAAAGGAGTGTTCTGCTTCCCTACGGCATGAGGGGAACGCTTTTATCTTCAAAAAAAAAAAAAAATCCAAATCTTTAGTTTTTGATTTAGCATGCTGCAAAAGTTCTTTCAATCCCAGGAGATTTAAAAAAAATTGTTGAGTTAGGTTACTCTGGTGGAGCAAATGCAAGAAGCAAGGTGAGGAGAAACGAGGTGGACCGTACTGTGTTACAGTGAATGTGAGGAGGTGCACAGATGAGTGAACCCCAACACTGGAGGGGTGAACACTAGGCACTGATGGGCTCACATCGTCATCATCTTGCTGGGGTATGATTGAAACTAATATCCCTTTTTCAGAATTCCTAACTCTCTGGGTTGGCAAACTATGGCTCATGTGCAAAAACTGGCCCATTGTCTATTTTTGTAAGCAAAATGTGATTGGAACACAGACGTATTTATTCATTTCTGTATTGCCCATGGCTGCGTTCATGCTACAATGGCAGACTTGAGCAGTTACAACTGAGAGCTGCAAAGTCTGTAATATTTATTTATCTGGTCCTGTACAGAAAAATTCGCTGGCCTCTGGTCTAAACCAACATCACACACAACTTGGCTGTGCCTCTCTTCTTACGTCAGCATAGGGGAACCCCTGGCCAAGGCACAGCCCGGCTCCATGCTCACCTCCCTGGGAGTCCCTCAGTATCCCTCCTCCCACACCCACCCTCTCCCCGTGGCTACTCCACACGCACCATGCCTCACTTACTCATCACAACCAGCCTCATGCTCAGCACATAGGTGCCCACGTGTGCCCACTTCCATGGGGTCATCTTTTTGATATCGAGTATTGTGAGATGGGATTGGGCTTAGTTCCACAAGAAGAGAGAAGAACTGGAAAAGGCTGCAATAGCTTCCTATCATTCCCCCTACCTTCTTCAGTATCCTGAAAGCCTCTGAAATCTCCACTCTTTCCCCAACCTCCAAGGGAGGAAAGAAATTGGAATGAGTTTCCCCAGGCCCAGTTCTGCTGTGGGCAGATTTCTTTGAGTCAGGAAAGGCAGGTAAGGAAGAAGCTTCTTTGCTGAATAAGTTTTTCTATACCTCCCTCCCTTGACCACTTTCCAGTTCTTTTCTGTATATATTTAATAATATAAAAATCATCTTTTTAAAATAAAAGAGAGTATTACTATACCCATTTTCCAGATGAGGAAACTGAGAGTGAGAAAGGCAAAGTACGTTTCCAGTATGTGTAATTTTTAACAAAAGTGAGTGTTCCTATTCCCATTTTCCAAATGAGGAAACTCAGAGATGGAAAGGTAAAGCGAGCCGGGCATGGTGGCTCACGCCTGTAATCCCAGCACTTTAGGAGGCTGAGGCGGGCAGATCGCCTGAGGTTAGGAGTTCAAGACCAGCCTGGCCAACATGGTGAAACCCCATCTCTATTAAAAATACAAAAATCAGCTGGGTGTGGTGGCGGGCACCTGTAATCCCAGCTACTCAGGAAGCTGAGGCGGGAGAATCACTTGAACCCGGGAGGCAGAGGTTGCAGTGAGCCAAGATCACATCACTGCGCTCCAGCCCGGGTGACAGAGCAAGACTCCTTCTGAAAAAAAGAAAAAGAAAAAGAAAGAAAGAAAGGTATGGTAAAGTGACTCGTCCAAAGCCCACGGACAAAATGATCCCATCTTCACTACACAGCATTATGAGCCCCTTGGTGAGATGCCTCCCCCATTCCTCCTACTAATCCTTGATGCTCAACTCCCTCCCAACCTGACCCAAAGCTTCCTCCTTCGAGAAGCCTGCCTTGATTGATACTCTCTCCTGATCTGGGTACTCCTCTACATAGAACTCAATCACTAACGCTTTTATTATTTGTTTATATTATTTTAATTGTGTCTGTTTGTGCTTTGCTTTCAATGCAAAGCAGGTGCCAGTACATACATATACTTTTTGAGGTTTTCTTTATTATCAATAGCTTTATTGAAGTATACTTGATATACCAAAAAACTGTACATATTTAACATATACAATTTCATGAGTTTGGATATATGCATATACCCATGAAACCATCACCACAATCAAGGTAAAAATATATCCCTCACCTTCAAAAGCTTCCTCATGCTGCTTTGTGGTTTTTGGTTTTGTTATTATGTTTTTTGTGTGTGGGAAGAACCCTGAACATGATTGATAAGCACCTGACTTATTGTATGTAAATTGAATTTTTTAACCAAATAATATTTTTATTTATATGACATAACGCAAGTTTTTCACAGGAAAGCAATATGACTCTAAGGAATCATGAAAATCATGTTTTGATACCTTAGAAAACAATAAGTTTCTCATAAAACATTCAATATGCTGCAATTTTAGCATTATAGTACACATCTTTGTTTTCTAAAGGTTCTTTTGGATTGCCAGGAACCAAAAAAAACAGTCTCATAAAACCCAGATGTTAAAGAGAAACTGAACCAGACACTTCCTAAAAATTGTAAGACATTTTATTCAAGCTACTGCAGTTAGAGAAGACAGACTTCAGTACTGAGCTTAACTCCAAATACAGCAAAAGCAGCTGGAGATTTTTAGCCAATGGGCAGGCATCAGTAGATGGAAAATTACTAAGAGGAATTTGATGAGATATCAAGTGTGGTGGGAAAGAAGAACTTGATTAGATATAAAGGGGATGGAACGGGTTCTCCCTAAACTGGCTTAGCAAGATTCCTACTAAAACTGGGCTTGGCAGGCCAAGGACAGGGCCAAGAACCCAGCTAGTCAAAAAGAGGGCCCTGACAAAATTTGGTCAGGGAAGGGAGTCCTTGTCACAGGTAATGAGAGTTTAAGACACACAAGCAAAGACAAACTGTCCCGGCAGCTGCTCGGCCAGCCTCACAGGTAAGTGCCACGTCCATGACACCCCACAGCAGCGGTGCATCCACCACAGTCGCCGCGTCCCAAGAGCAGGGAGCATCTCCCTGCCCAAGTGCTCCGCCATTTTGAGAACCAGCCACCTTCTCCCTCTCCCTGTGTTTATACTGTTCCTATCACTGCTTGGATCCGCTAGAGCTCCTGCTTGATGTGAGACAAAGTAACAATCATAAAAAGCCATATTTGCTCATTTCTTCTTGCCAGAATAATTTCACAAAGCCCCTGACTCTGAGATGACATACAACTCTCTAAAAACAAAAAGACAAACAAAACAGAGCATATGGTCCTCCATGCCTCTTGCCTAAATCATTACATTCCTTAAAAAATAAATGACCTGGTCGGAAGCGGTGGCTCACGCCTATAATCCCAGCACTTTGGGAGGCCGAGGCGGGTGGACCACCTGAAGTCAGGAGTTCGAGACCAGCCTGGCCAACGTGGCAAAACCCCATCTCTACTAAAAATACAAAAATTAGCTGGGTGTGGTGGCGTGCACCTGTAATCCCAGCTACTCGGGAGGCTGAGGCAGGAAGAATCGCTTGAACCCGGGAGGCAGAGGTTGCAGTGAGCCAAGATCACACCATTGCACCCAGCCTGGGCAACAAAGCGAGACTCTATCTCAAAATAAATAAATAAATAAATAAATAAATAACCTAGTCTTGTTTTTTCCTACACATAAGATAATGTCTGACAGGATTAGTAATTATACTTCCATAATCTATAACCAGATATACTCTTATACCCGAACATTAATAAAATTGCTCTCCCCACTACCCCCCTCCTCCACAGTGGCACTATCATAGCTCACTACAGCCTGGAACTCCTGGACTCAAATGATCCTCCTGCCTCAGCCTCCTGAGTACATGGGACGACAGGCATGTGCCACCACGCCCAGCTAATTTTTATGTTTTTTTGTAGAGACGTGATCTCTATCCTCCTATCCTCAAGTAATCCTGCCACCTCAGCCTCCCAAAGTGCTGGGATCACAGGCATCCACCCCTGCACACAACCGCAAACTTCAATTCTGCTTCAACATACCTTCTAAACAAGTCTACAGTAATTTTACATGTACCGATCCCTGGCCACCTCTACATAAGCAGTAGGCTAAAACACTGTCCACAGTAGTCTGATAGGACTGTTCCTCAGCTATAGGCCTTGGCCTACAGTCCTCAGTAAAACTGTAAATAAAGCTAACTTTAATTCTTTAAACACTTGACTTTTTTTTTCCTTTAGTTGACAATCATGGCACCCCAGATAGGACTCAGAGCAGACAGCCCAGGGTCACCTAGAACATTGCAAGGACTGAGCACCTTAGTACCAAAACGGGCCTTTTGAGCCCCTCTGGCTCCTCCACGGTTGCAAGTGACTGGGTGAGTCTCTCCTGAGTCTCAGACCTCCCACTTGGTTGATGGTCCTGGAATCAACTCCCAGTGACTGGGTAAATGGCAAGAAAGGAGGTTATTGGAATGTTACTGAAAAGGCACACAGGACAGACAGGAGGATCAGGCTCAGAAACTAGATGGGAACCAAGAGGGGCTAGAGGCAGAGAGATCGCTCAAGGTCACACTGGAGGACGTGGACTCCAGCTGCACTTGACTCTCAGCCCTGCCTCAGTGGTCACCAAAATTGGGCTGCAAGTAGCCTTGACCTTAGATCATTCCCTCCTGATTCCAAGTCCCAGATCAGTGGACCCGAGTAAAGGCCCTGAACCATGGCAGTGGCCATAGGGTTGGAGATGAGACAGAACTGACAGAACCTGGTGGCTGAGCAGAAGTTGGGGATACAAAGATCTGAGGGTGATGCCAACGTGTGTTTAAAGATATATACAGTATCTGAAGTAGGATCAGGAATGAGAAGAGAAAATAGTGCCAATATTGTGAATTAAACAGATAAATGCCTTTGGGCCCCAGGACCCTTTGTCATTTCTCACCCTAAATCTCCTCTCTTTTGTCCCCTTTGTACCAGATAGTAATACCTTCAATGTCCAAAACATACCATGTGTCTCCCAATACTGTGTTCCGTGAAAAATCCCTCCACCTCGTCCACTGGGGAAGCTCCTGTTCTTTGTTTCCAACTTGGTTAGTAATTACTCCTTCAAGGTGCTTTCCCTAATGCCAGTCCCTCCCCTCCATCATCATAGCCTTTCATTCTTACACACGGCACCCTAGAGGGTCAACATGTGTTTCTAGAACTCTCTCCCATTCTACCAGAATGAGCCCCTCAAGTGTTTATTATTGAGAGGGCATTAATAATATTTTAAAACCTGTATGTTAAAAAAAATGATATGTAAGTCAACAGACAAATCCGTTTTTTTAATGTCTTCCCTTTTATTCTCTGGATAAACTGGACATGATTGATAAGCACCTGAATTATTGCATGTAAACTGAGTTCTTCTAAGTAAAATAATATTTTTATTTACATGTCATAATGCAAGTTTTTCACAGGAAACCAATGTGACTCTAAGGAATAATGAAAATCATGTTTTCATACCTTAAAAAACAGTAAGTTTCTCATAAAACATTCAAACTATATATAGAACAACTAACAAAGTCTTGTTTCACATATCATCCCAAAAGACACGCTTTGTTTAAGGCATTATTTGGCAGAGAGAACTGCATCAGTCTCTTCCAACCAATTTCCTCCATTAATCTGACAGTTATTCAGTGGCAAAGTCCTGGAGAATTTCTCTTTAATATCAGTTACATTGTTCATGGGGCTGGATGTTCACCCAGTTCCTCCTGAATTAACAGCAAATATATTCGAAAATGTCCTAGCCCTCCTAATACTAGATTTTTACATATTCAAAATCTTCACTAACAGCTGTAGTGAGCTGAATATTATTATTATTTTATTTTTTATTTCAATAGGTATTTGGAGAACAGGTGGTTCCATGGATATCAAGGATACCAAGGTTCCATGGACACCAACAGGTGTAACCATAGATACCACTGGCTACATGGATAAGTTCTTTAGTGGTGATTTCTGAGATTTTGGTGCACCCATCACCTGAATACTATCCCTCACCCCCCTCCCATCCTTTCCCCCAATCCCTAATGTCCATTGTATCATTCTTATGCCTTTGCATCCTCATAGCTTAGTTCCCGTTTATAAGTGAGAACATACGATGTTTGGTTTTCCATTCCTGAGTTACTTCACTCTACATGAATAATGGTCTCTAATTCCATCCAAGGTTGCTGCAAATGCCATTATTTTGTTTCCTTTTATGGCTGAGTAGTATTCCATGGTGTGTGTGTGTATGTGTGTATGTGTGTATATATATCACATTTTCTTTATCCACTCGTCAATTGATGGGCATTTGGGCTGGTTCCATATTTTTGCAATTGTGAATTGTACCGTTATAAACATCTGTGTGCAAGTATCTTTCTCGTATAATGACTTCTTTTCCTCTGGGTAGATACCCAGTAGTGGAATTACTGGATCAAATGGTAGTTCTACTTTTAGTTCCTTACGGAATCTTCACACACTGTTTTCCATAGTGGTTGTACTAGTTTACATTCCCACCAGCAGTGTAAAAGTGTTCCCCTTTCACCACCTCCCCACCAACATCTATTTTTTGGTTTTTTGATTATGGCCATTCTTGTGGAAGTAAAGTGGTATCACATTGTGGCTTTGATTTGCATTTCCCTGATCATTAGTGATGTTGGGCATTTTTTCATGTTTGTTGGCCATTTGTATATCTTCTTTTGAGAATTGTCTATTCATGTCTTTAGCCCACTTTTTGATGGGATTGTTTGATTTTTTCTTGCCGATTTGTTCGAGTTCCTTGTAGATTCTGGATATTAGTCCTTTGTTGGATGCATAGTTTGTGAAGATATTCTCCCACTGTCTGTTTACTCTGCTGATTATTTCTTTTGCTATGCTAAAGCATTGTTTTTTGTTTTTTGCTTTTTGCTTTTTGTTTTTTGAGACAGTCTTGCTCTGTCGCCCAGGCTGGAGTGCAGTGGTGTGATCTCAGCTCACTGCAACCTGCACCTCCTGGATTCAAGTGATTCTCGTGCCTCAGCCACCCAAGTTGATGGGATTACAGATGTGCACCACCACACCCGGATAATTTTTGTATTTTTAGTAGAGATAGGGTTTTGCCATGTTGGCTAGGCTGGTCTCAAACTCCTCACCTCAAGTGATTCACCTGCCTCAGCCTCCCAAAGTCCTGGAATTACAACCATGAGCCACTGCACCTGGCCTAGAAGCTTTTTGGTTTAATTAAGTCCCATTTATTTATCTTTGTTTTTGTTGCATTTGCTTTTGGATTCTGGATCATGAAGTCTTTGCCTAAGCCAATGTCAAGAAGGGTTTTTCCAATGTTATCTTCTAGAATTTTTATGGCTTCAAGTCTTAGATTTAAGTCTTTGATCCATCTTGAGTTGATTTTTGTGTAAGGTGAGAGTTGAGGATCCAGTTTCATTCTTATATATGTGGCTTGCCAATTATCCCAGCACCATTTGTTGAATAGGGTGCTCTTCCCTGCTTTATGTATTTATTTGCTTTGTAGAAGATCAGCTGGCTGTAAGTATTTGGCTTTATTTCTGGGTTCTCTATTCTGTTCCATTGGTCTATGTGCCTATTTTTACACCAGTACCATGCTGATTTGATGACTATAGCCTTATAGTATAGTTTGAAGTTGGATAATGTGATGCCTCCAGATTTGTTTTTTTGTTTGTTTGTTTGTTTTTTGCTGACTCTTGCTCTGGCTGTATGGGCTCTTTTTTGGTTCTATATGAATTTTACGATTGCTTTTTCCAATTCTGTGAGGAATGATGGTGGTATTTTGATGGGAATTGCATTGAATTTGTAGATTGCTTTTGGCCACACGGTCATTTTCACAATAATGATTCTACATGAATTTTACGATTGCTTTTTCCAATTCTGTGAGGAATGATGGTGGTATTTTGATGGGAATTGCATTGAATTTGTAGATTGCTTTTGGCCACACGGTCATTTTCACAATACTGATTCTACCCATCCATCAGCATGGGATGGGTTTCCATTTGTTTGTGTTGTCTATGATTTCTTTCAGTAGTGTTCTGTAGTTTTCCTTGTAAAGGTCCTTCACCTCCTTGGTTAGGTTTACTCCTAAGTATTTTATTTCATTTTTTGTTGTTGTTGCAGCTATTGTAAAAGGGGTTGAGTTCTTGATTTGATTCTCAGCTTGGTCACTGTTGGTGTATAGCAGTACTACTGATTTGTGTTTTGAAGTTCTGCTGAACTCATTTATCAGTGCTAGGAGCTTTTGGGATGAGTCTTTAGAGTTTTCTGAATATACTATCATATCATCAGAGAACAGTGACAGTTTGACTTCCTTTTTACTGATTTGGATGCCCTTTCTTTCTTTCTCTTGTCTGACTGCTCTGGCTAGGATTTCCAGTACTATGTTGAATAGAAGTGGTGAAAGTGGGCATCCTTGTCTTGTTCTAGTTCTCAGGGGGGAATGCTTTCAACTTTTCCCTGTTCAGTATAATGTTGGCTGTGGGTTTGTCGTAGATGGCTTTTATTACCTTGAGGTATGTTCCTTCTATGTCATTTTTGCTGAGGGTTTTAATCATAAAGGGATGCTAAATTTTGTCCAATGCTTTTTCTGCATCTATTGAGATGATCATGTGATTTTTCTTTTTAATTCTGCTTATGTGGTATATCACATTTATTGACTTGCATATGTTAAACCATCCCTGAATCCCTGGTATAAAACCTAATTGATCATGGTGAATTATCTTTTTGATATACTGATGGATCAGGTTAGGTAGTATTTTGTTACAGATTTTTGCATCTATGTTAATTAGGGATATTGGCCTGTAGTTTTCTTTCTTTGTTATGTCGTGTCCTGGTTTTGGTATTAGGCTGATAGTGGCTTTATAGAATGATTTAGGGAGGATTCCCTCTTTCTCCATCTTTTGAAATAGTGTCGATAGGATTGATATCAATTCTTCTTTGAATGTCTGATAGAATTCAGCTGTGAATGCATCCATCTGGTCCTGGAATTTTTTTGTTGGCAATTTTTTTATTACCATTTCTATCTCACTGCTTGTTATTGGTCTGTTCAGAATTTCTATTTCTTCCTGGTTTAATCTAAAATAGTTGTATATTCCTAGGAATTTATCCATCTCCTCTAGGTTTTCTAGTTTGTGTGCATAAAGGTATTCATAGTAGCCTTGAATGATCTTTTGTATTTCTGTGGTATCAGTTGTAACATCTCCTGTTTCATTTCTAACTTAGCTTATTTGGATCTTCTCTCTTCTCTTCTTAATTAATCTCACTAATGGTTTATCAATTTTGTTTATCTTTTCAAAGAACCAGCTTTTTGTTTCATTTATCTTCTGTAATTTTTTTGTTTCAATTTCATTTAGTTCTGCTCTGATCTTGGTTATTTATTTTCTTCTGTTGAGTTTGGGTTTGGTTTGTTCTTGTTTATCTAGTTCCTTGAGGTGTGATCTTAGATTATCTATTTGTGCTCTCTCAGACCTTCTGCTGTGGGCATTCAATGCTAGGAACTTTCCTTTTGGCACCACTTTTGCTGGATCCCAGAAGTTTTGTCACGATTATCTTTCACTTCAATGAATTTTTTAATTTCCATCTTGATTTTATTGTTGACCCAATGATCATTCAGGAGCAGGTTATTTAATTTCCATGTATTTGCATGGTTTTGAAGATTCCTTTTAGAGTTGATTTCCAATTTCATTCCACTGTGGTCTGAGAGAGTACTTGATATAATTTCAATTTTCTTAAATTTATCAAGACTTGTTTTGTGGCCTGTCACATGGTCTATCTTGGAGAATGTTCAATGTGCTGATGAATAGAATGTATAATCTGTAGTTGTTGGGTAGAATGTTCTGTAAATATCTGTTAAATCTATTTGTTCTAGGGTATAGTTTAAGTCCATTGTTTCTTTGTTGACTTTCTGTCTTGACGACCTGTAACTGGAGTATTAAAGTCCTCCACTATTATTTTGTTGCTATCTCATTACTAATGTCTACTAGTAATTGTTTTATAAATTTGGGAGCTCCAGTGTTAGATGCATATATATTTAAGATTGTGATATTTTCCTGTTGGACTAGTCCTTTTATCATTATATAATATCCCTCTGTCTTTTTTAATGGTTGTTGCTTTCAAGTCTGTTTTGTCTGATATAAGAACAGCTATTCCTGCTCGCTTTTGGTGTTCATTTGCATGGAATATCTTTTTCCACCCCTTTACCTTAAATGTATGTGAGTCCTTATGTGTTGGTGAGTCTCTTGAAGATAAGAGATACTTGGTTGGTGGATTCTTATGCATTCTGCCTTGCTGTATCTTTTAAGTGGAGCATTTATGGCATTTACATTAGTATTGAGAAGTGAGGTACTACTATTCTATTCATCTTGCTAGTTATTGCCTGAATACCTCATTGGTTTTTTTCATTGTGTTATTGTTTCATAGGTCCTGTGAGATTTATGTTTTCTGGAGGTTCTATTTTGGTGTATTTTGAGGATTTGTTTCAAGATTTAGAGCTCCTTTTAGCAGTTCTTGTAGTGCTGGCTTGATAGTGGTGAATTATGAGCATTTGTTTGTCTGAAAAAGACTATCTTTTTCATTTATGAAACTTAGTTTTGCTGAATACAAAATTATTGGCTGATAATTGTTTTGTTTAAGGAGGCTAACAACAGGATCCAATCCCTTCTAGGTTATAGGTTTCTGCTGAGAAATCTGCTGCTACTCTGATAGGTTTTCCTTTATAGGTTACCTGATGCTTTTGCCTCACAGCTCTTAAGATTCTTTCCTTCATCTTGTCTTTAGATAACCTGACGACTATGTGCCTAGGTGATGACCTTTTTGCTATGAATTTCCTGGATGTTCTTTGAGCTTCTTTTATTTGGATGTCTAGCTCTCTAGCAAGACCAGGGAAGTTTACCTCAACTATTCCCCCAAATATGTTTTCCAAACTTTTAGATTTCTCTTCTTCCTTGGGAACATCAATTATTCTTAGGTTTGGCAGTTTAACATAATCCCAAACTTCTCGGAGGCTTTGTTCATTTTTTTTCTTTTTTCTTTGTCTTTGTCTGACTGGGTTAATTTAAAAGCCTTGTTTTCAAGCTCTGAAGTTCTTTCTTCTACTTGTTTTATTCTATTGCTGAGACTTTCCAGTGTATTTTGCATTCCTCTAACTGTGTCCTTCATTTCCAGAAGCTGTGATTGTTTCCTATTTAGGCTATTTCTCTGGAAATTTTTATCCTGTATCATTTTTTTATTTCTTTAAGTTGGTATTCACCTTTTTCTGGTGCCTCCTTGAGTAGCTTTATAATTGATCTTCTGAATTCTTTTTCTGGTAATTCAGTGATTTCTTCTTGGTTTGAATCCATTGCTGATCAGCTAATGTGATCCTTTAGGGGTGTTAAAGAAACTTGTTTTGTCATATTACCAGAATTGTTTTTCTGGTTCCTTCTCATTTGGGTAGACTATTATCAGAGAAAAGATCTGGGGCTCAAGGGCTGCTGTTCAGATTCTTTTGTCCCACCGCGTGCTCCCTGGATGTGGTGTTCTCCCCCTTCCCCTAGGGATAGGGCTTCCTGAGAGCCAAACTGCAGTGATTGTTATTTCTCTTCTGGGTCTAGCCACCCAGTGGACCTACTAGGCTATGGTCTGGTACTGGGGAGTGTCTGCAAAGAGCCCTGTGATGTGATCCATCTTCAGGTCTCTCAGCTGTGGATACCAGCACCTGCTCCAGTGGAGGTAGCAAAGGAGTGAAGTGGATTCTGTGAGGGTCCTTGATGGTAGTTTTGCTTAATGTGCTGGTTTTGTGTTGGTTGGCCTCCAGCTGGGAGGTGATGCTTTCAAGACAGCATCAGTTGTGGTAGTATAGGGAGGATACAAGCTTACTCTAGGGTCACCTGGATATGTATTAGGATTTCTCAGGTGGTGGGCAGGGCCATAGAGCTCCCAAGAGATTATGTCTTTTGTCTTCAGCTACCAAGGTGGGTAGAAAAAGACCATCAGGTGGGGGGCAGTGTTAGGCGTGTCTGAGCTCAGACTCTCCTTGGGCAGGGCTTGCTGTGGCTGCTGTGGAGGATGGGGGTGTGGTTCCCAGGCCAACGGAGTTACATTCCCAGGAGGATTATGGCTGCTTCTCCTGTGTCATACAGGTGGCCAAGGAAGTGGGGAAAAGCCAGCAGTGACAGGCCTCACCCAGCTCCCATGCAGCTCGAAAGCTAGTCTCACTCCTACCGTGGGCCCCCAACAGCAGCAAGTTTATTTCCAGGCAGCCGGTGAGCAGGCTGAGAACTTGCCTCAGGCTACAAGCCTCCCTGTTGAGAAAGCAAGCAGGGCTGTCAGGTTCCATGCCTCCCCACCTGGCGCAGTTTCTATGCTCATAGCTACACTCCCTGTTCACCCCTTCCCCGGGATTCTGTCCAGGAAACCTCACGTTTGGTCAAAATTGTTACAAAGTTCAATTGGAAGTTTCCTTCTCCCTGTGGTCTTTCCCCAATTCCACTGGCAGCTCTCTCCAAGGACCCCTGTGAAACAAAGTCAGGAATGGCTTCCCTGGAGACCAAGAGTGCCCACAGGACTCTTCCCGCTGCTTCCTCTACCTCTGCATTTCACTTGACTCTCTCAGTTCATCTCAGCTCTAGGTAAGGTCAAATCCTTCTCCTGTGATCTGGACCTTCAGGTTCCGCAGTGAGGATGAGTGCTCGGGAGCAGACTTTCCCCCTCTCACACTTTGGGCACTCGGAGTTTCTCAGCTGTCTCATGGGGCCGGCAGCAGCAAGCCGCTTCCTTCAAAGGGTGTGTGGATTCTCTCAGCTTTCCTGGGATGTTCCTGCAGTAGTTCTTGGAGCAAAAGTTCATGATGTGAGTCTCCACATGCTGCTCTGTCCATTCGAGTGGGAGCTGCAAGTTAATCCTGCCTCCTATCTGCTATTTCTTTAGACTCTGAACATTATTATTTTGCCCCCCAAAAAATGCCCGTGTTCCTGGGCAACATAGCAAGACCCCATCTCTAAAAATAAATAAATGTTTTTCAAAATGTCCATTTCTAATCTCGGAAGCCTGTGAATATATTACCTTACGTGACAACAGGGGCTTAGCAGATGTGAATAGATTAAGGATTCAGTGAGGGGGAGATGAGCCTGGATTATCCAGGTGGGCCCAATGTAATCACAAGGATCTCCATAAGTGGAAGACAGGAGAGGCAAGTTCAGAGAAAAGTTGATGTGATAAAAGAAGGGCTGTTGCAGCAATGCCAGAGGGAGGCCAGGAGCCAAGGAATTCAGATGACCTTTAGAAGCTGAAAAAGGGACCAAAACGATTCTCTCCTAGAAGCTCCAGAAGGAATGACTGCCAGCATTTTGATTTTAGCCCGGTAAAACTGACTTTGGACTCCTGCCCTCTAACCACTGTATGAGAATAAATTTGGGCTGCTTTAGGTCACCAAGTTTCTTACAGTAAGAATATGAAATTAATACAACCACTAAGTCTTCGAGAGTGTTCGTTGCCACATCATAATTCATAAGCTCGAACCCATGAGATGGGTGTGTTCAGGGGATGGCCCTGCCAGCTGAGCTGCTCCTCTTCTGCTGTGGCTTCAAGTACTTTCTCTGTGCTTCAGTTTCCTCATTTGTAAAATGGAGAGGAGGAGGATGTTAATTATAGGACCCAAATGAGTTAATCTTCTTTTAGAAAACCCTTGGCACAGAGCAGTGAGATGTGGATATATATAGTCATATAGAGAGATATACATTGTGCAAGTTGTCAGAATCAAAATGGAGTCACTTATGTTAAAAAAAAAAAAAAAACAAAAAACTTGGCAAATAGAACCAAAGAAGGTCATAAACAGAAGGCTCTCGTGTGCGAATGCCCGATGGCAAGAACAACCACGAAAGACTCTGCAAAATCCACAACCTTGCATAAAAGCCATTGCAACCTCAAAATACTTCTGCAAGGACATCTGTCCATCAACTGCCTGTCTGACTTCCGACTGACGTCACTCTTCTTATTGGTACATGTGGCCAAGGATAATTATCTAAAAACAATTATGTGATCATCCTCACTTTTCCTTTTCAAACTTTTGCCTTCCTTTACTTTCCTGAATATGCACTTAGTTTGCTATGCACAGGTATTCCCACTGAGATCCCTATTCCTGAATAAACATCATTTTCTTTTGTCTTTTCTTTATTTTAATTAGTTTTTTCTTTTCTTTTCTTTTTTTTTTTAGACAGGGCCTCACTCTGTCACCAAGGTTGGAGTGCAGTGGTGCGATCTTGGGTTACTGCAACCTCTGCCTCCCAGGCTCAAGCAATCCTCCCATCACAAGTAGCTGGGACTACAGGTGAGTGCCACCACCTGTAATTTTTTGTATTTGTTGTAGAGATGGGGTTTCACTATGTTGCCCAGGCTGGGCTTGAACTCCTGGACTCAAGCAATCTGCCTGCCTTGGCCTCCCAAAATGCTGGGATTACAGGCATGAGCCATCATGCCCAGCAACATCATTTTCTTTTAGAGAATATCCCTCTCTATTATTTGGATTGACAACACATATTCATTAATACCTGTGATAGGATGGCATTTGATGGGTTTTAATGAACTTGTCTCATCTAATCAAGGTAAAGTTCAATAGGGATGGTGAAAAGAGATTTCCTGGCCCAAAACCACCCGCTATAAGTCCCATCCATCCTTCTCTATGTCCTTCATGCCCAGGGAGGCTGAAACATTGAACTGGTGCCTGCATGACACCCTTTGCTACCCACCCTCTTTTCCTGGCTTTCTATATCCAAAGTCCTAAAGAGACTACAATTTCCATGAGTCGGCAGCCACAGCTTCACAGGCCTCAATGAGCATCTTTACCCATTAAGGTTCCACTACTACCACCGCTACTCCCCCACTGCCTCTGAGCCCACCTTGCCAGGAGGAGACACAAGGTGGCTCGGAAGCCATGGAAAGCTGGTATCGGTGGCCAGGAGGCTGGTAAGGCCAGGGCAGCCCTATAGCATGATGTTCCAGGGCTTCTCAAGAGCTGGGGAGTATTGATGAGGCACAGACTGGCCCTCTGGAGTCCACAGGGTGAGGGAGCAAATACCGCGGCAGGCATCCAGGAGGCAGAACTGTAGGGGCGTTGATGAACTTGGGCACTGCATTAGTCTGTTTTCATGCTGCTGATAAAGACATACCTGAGACTGGGCAATTTACAAAAGAAAGAGGTTTATTGGACTTACAGTTCCAGTGGCTGGGGAGCCCTCACAATTATGGCAGAAGGAGAAAGGAATGTCTCACATGGCGGCGGCAAGAAAGAGAATGAGAGCCAAGCAAAACGGGTTTTTCCTAATGTGAGATTTATTCACTACCACAAGAGCAGTGTGGGGGAAACCATCCCCATGATTCAATTATCTCCCACTGGGTCCCTCCCACAACATGTGGGAATTATGGAAGTACAATTCAAGATGAGATTTGCTTGGGGACACAGAGCCAAACCATATCTGGCACCAACAAACAACAGATGCCAGCCCATAGCTCTGTGCCAGGATTAATTTAGTCCTTACATTGCTGGATAATTGAGAAATTTAAAGGATTCCAAGTGAGAAGACAGAATGGACAGGGCGAAAATGGGGCATTTAAGAGTTCTGAGGCAGGGTTTACTTACCATATGGAATGAAAGTATTCAACTTTCCAACAATTAGTATGGCTGTACCAGTACATATCTGATGAATTTCAGCCTTATATAAAATTCTGTTTTGCAGTCTTCAGTGTCTAGTGGATACTGAAGATTGGCTCACTCAACATCCATTCTAATACATTTCTAGTATTTGTGCTCTTTTGTATCATAATAACCTGTAGCTAAAAACTACATTTCCCAGACTCCTGTGCAGCTATCTTGCATTTAGGGTTCCATATATAATTTTGCTCCTCCAGTCAGCTAAACTTGCACAAGATTTTGAATCAGAACTAAATTCTGCCAGGCATGGTGGCTCATGCCTGTAATCCCAGCACTTTGGGAGGCCAAGGCGGGAAGACTGCTTGAGCCTAGGAGTTCAAGTCTGCATTAATCATGCCACTGCACTCCAGCCTGAGAAATAAAACAAGACTCTGCATCTAAAAAAATTTTTTTAAAAAAGAACTAAGTTCTGAGGAGAGAGATACAGTGTGAGACATTGAAGTCCAAGTCCAAGATAATCACAAGCACACTTTGTCCTAGATTTAGTTAAAACTAACATAAGGGAATGCATTAGAATTATGAAAATAATTCTTTGTGCAAGAAATTAAGGGTAAGCCATATGGGCTTTTTATTATTAGATACAGTAGTTCCCCCTTATCTACAGTTTCATTTTCCTCAGTTGCCTGCAGCCAACAGTTGTCCAAAAATATTAAATGGAAAATTCCAGAAATAAACAATCCGTAAGTTTTAAATTGTACACTATACTGAGTAGTGTGCTGAAATCTCACTCACACTCGTGCTGTGTCCCAGCCAGGAGGTGAATCATCCCTTTGTCCAGAGTACCCATGCTGTATACACTACCTGCCCATCTATCACTCAGTAGCTTTCTGGGTTAACATCTTAAACCATCTCAGGAAGGGTAAGCATAACACAATAAGATGTCTTGAAAGAGGGAGGCCACACTTAACTTTTATTACAGTATATTGTTGTAATTGTTCCATTTTATACTAAGTTATTGTTAATCTCTTATTGTATCTAATCTGTAAACTGAACTTTATCATAGGTATGTATGTATAGAAAAAAACAATGTGTGTGTGTGTATATATATATATATATATATACACACACACACATACACACACACACACACACACAGGATTTGGTCCAGGCTGTGGTTTCAGGCATCCACTGAGGGTCTCAGAATACATTCCCGGAGGATAAGGAGGGATTACTGTATTCATGCAATTACAAAGACTTCATACCAACTGATGAAAGTGACTTCATCATCTATGAAAAATAACATTTATAAGTGTCACATAAAATATATTGGTCTGGTTATATAAAACTTCCAGGTATTTTCTGGAGAGTAAAAATATTAAAATTCAAATTTATTTTGTCTCAATTCCCTAACCTTGAACGGTGTGTCACTAAACTATTTTTAGACTTCTCCACAAGGTGGGGCTACTCCCAAGCTATTCTGTTGCTAAGGAGGGACGCAGAGGTGCTCTGGAAATGTTTCATTACAGTGTCACTTCTTTTAGCAGTCTTGGTAGGAAGGCTTATTAACTGCAACTCTAGGAATCACTGGGAGAGGAGCTGTAATCAATATTTCCAGCATCCTTTTAAGAGCTGTAACTTCTCAGCCTCTGCTTGTCCATGCAATGATCACTCAGGTGGAGGCTTGCCCAGGACATCTCCCAGGTTCTCCGGGACCTCACTGGAAAAGCCACTGTGAAGGACGTGGGACGCACATGTCTGTCTCTCCCGTCTCTGTCCCCAGCTCCTTTCTCAGCCCATTCAGGCCACTCTAACACATTACCATAGACCGAAAGGCTTATAAACAACAGAAATTCATTTCTCACCGCTCAGGAGGCTGGGAAGTCCAAGATCCTCTGCTCCCTCATTCTCACATCCCAAGCTGCTCCAAGTCTTGCACACAGACCTTCCTAACTTTCCTCCCTCCCCTCAATTTTCCCCTCCTCCTCCCTCTTTCCTGGCTTTGACTGAATCCTCCCCCTTTCTTGCCTCACTGGTTCACTGCCAGACTAGCAACTCCAATTTCTCCGTCGAAGGCGGAGGAAATTTTCCAAGATCTCACACATCAGCATCCTGGGTCCCAGCCCAGGATGGGATCCAATCCCAAATGGGATCCAACTGTACCTGGACACATCTGGACATGAGAGATGAGCAGGGGAAGTCCTTGGTGGGGGCTGGGAGGGTTCATAAGAGTTGAATTATGGGAGGGTTTTGAGGGATTTTCTTCCCTTTATCTTATTTTGGCCACTGGGAAAGAGTCTCAAACAGGGGAGAATCATGAGAGGGAGAGAAAGAGAGGCGACTCTCTCGGAAAACATTCCAGGCCCTAAACCTGACTCAGGCCTGACTCCTGTGGGAAAAGGCTGTGTATATAAGCTCCATGGGGGACTCTGTGAGAGCTGAGTGGAAGAGCAGGTGCAGCTTTGAGGCCCAAGGGGCCAAGCATCGTCCCTATGGAGGGGAGAATATGGAGCACTTTCATGCACAGACACACTGTGGCTTCAAGCTTGTAACAGCACCTGCCTCCGGCCAAGAGAGAGACCTCGCACCAGAGCCCAGCACCCTTCACCACCACTGCAGTGGTTAATTTCATGTGCCCACTCAGCCAGGCATGGTACCCAGATATTTGGTGAAGCACTACTCTAGATGCTGCTGTGAAGACATTTTTAGATGAGATTAACATTTAGATCAGTAGACTTCCAGTACGGGAGATTACCGTCCAGAATGTGGTTGGACTTCTTCCAGTCAGTTGAAGGCCTTAATAGAATGAAGACAGAGGACTCCATGGAAGAGAGAATTCCACCTCTAGACTGTCTTTGGACTCAGGCTGCAACATCTGCTCTCCGTAGTCTCCAGGCTCTGTGTGTCTATGTGTATATATGTGTGTATATATACAGTCACATACCACATAACGACATTTCAGTCAACGATGGACTGCATACATGACAGTGTCCCATGAGATTATAATGCCATATGTTTACCATGCCTTTTCTATGTTTAGATACACAAATACTTACCATCGTGTTACAGCTGCCCACAGTACTCAGTACAGTAAGCTGCTGTTCAGGTTTGTAGCCTAGGGGCAATAGGCTATGCCATATAGCCTAAGGATATGCAGGCTATAGCATCCAGGTTTGTAAGTACACTCTATGATGTTCACATAATGATGAAATTGTGTAATGGCACATTTATCAGAATGTATCTCCATCATTAAGTGAATATGACTGTGTATGTGAATTTAGACATAAATACACATCCTAGTGATTCTGTTTCTCTAGAGAACCCTGGCTAATACAATGTCTGCCACCTGGTCTCACCACTCTACTCTCACCTGGCCAGCCTCCTCTGCCCTCCATTGGCTCCCAGTTCTACTCTGAGTAAAAGCCAACATCTCCACGAAGGCCTCGAGAACCCCACCCCATTTACACAGACACCCTAGTTCCTTCCCCCTGCTGGTCTCATCTCCTAGTCTCTCCTCGTGACTCCCTCCCACCACCTACACTCCAACCTAGGGCTTTCCGGCTCACTGTTCCCTTTGCAGCAATGGCCTCCCCTATATGTACATATACCCAAAGCCTACATGTCCAGCAAGTCCCTCCTCAAACATCACCTTCATCATGAGGCCTACTCACCCACCTTATTCAAAATTTCAATTCCCCCCACCATACACGCTTGAGGCTCCTTACCTTCTCCTTTCTTTCTTCCTATAGCATGAACCATCTTCCAACATATAAACAAAATGTGTTGGTTTAATGTTATTGTCATCACCCTCAACTGGAATGTAAGCTTCCCCAGCACATGGATTTTTTAGTTCCATTCACAATGTAGCCCAAACTCCTAAAGCCAAGCCTGAAACACAGTAGGTGCTCAACAACTATGTGTGAAATCAATGAACCCCTCCTTGGTCCCACAATACTACCACCACCAGCCCCAGCAGCTCCCTTCTCATCAAAATGCCTCTAAACAATGGTTTCTATGACTTCCATTGCATTCTCCATTCTCTCTTGAATTCACCCCAACCTGGCTTTTGTCCCCTCAGCTACATGGAAACAGCTCATCAAGGCACTAAGAACTTCACGTGGCTAAAGCCTATTGATCTTCATCTTACTGATCAACTGCATTTGGCAAACTTGATCAACTGCATTTGGCAAAGTTTGTTTGGTTTTTTGTTTAGTTTGTTTTACTGATCAACTGCATTTGGCAAAGTTTTTTGGGGTTTTTTTTTTTTTTTTGAGATGGAGTCTTGCTCTGTTGCCCAGGCTGGAGTGCAGTGGAGCAATTTGGCTCACTGCAACCTCCGCCTCCTTGGTTCAAGTGATTCTTCTGCCTCAGCCTCCCGAGCAGCTGGGACTACAGGCATCCACCACCACACCTGGCTAATTTTTGTATTTAAAGTAGAGATAGGGTTTCACCATGTTGGCCAGAATGGTCTTGATCTCTTGACCTTGTGATCTACCTGCCTCAGCCTCCCAAAGTGGTAGGATTACAGGCGTGACCCACCGTGCCCAGCCCATCCCTTCTTCTTGAAATGCCTTCCTCACTCGACCAGGACATTCCTTCTCCTGACCCTGCACTGACCTGCTGGCTTCTCCTTCTCAGTCTCTCACCCCTCAGACCTTTAAGGTTATGTTGGCTCAGAGCCCAGGCTTCAGCCCTTCTCCATTCATTCTAACCCCCCAGGTGACACCAGTGAACCTCCAATTTCTTATCTCCAACCCTGAACGTTCCTCCAACTCCAGACATGGATGTCCAACTCCCTGTTCTCTGTGTGGACATCTCAGATTCGGGCATCGAACTCAGCATCTCCCACATCATGTGCCATTTCCGTCCCAAACCCACTCCTCTCTCGGTCTTCCCCCTCCTTCCATTGCTAAGGCAACCAGCCTTGCGGTCTGCTTTCTCTCATCCCCCTTCACTTCTAACCCACCCTGAAACCCCACCAGCTCTGCTGCAAAATATAGCCCAAATCTGACCACCTCCTAGCTCATCCACCACTACCACTCTGGGCCACACCACCATCATCTCTCACCCAAACTACTGCAGTAGCACCCAAATGGTTCTATCTTTCCCCTTCCACTTTCCCACACAGAGACCAGAATTGTCCTTTGAGAATGGAGGTCAGTTCATGTTTTTCCTGCTAGCCCCCACAATCATCCCAATACCTCTCCTACTCCAACTCCTACCACTTTTCCTCTTTGCTCACTCCCCTCCAGGCACTGGGCCTCCCTCAGCTGTTACATTAAGATGCCAAGCAAGCTTAGGCCACAGGACCTTTGCATGTGATCTTCCCACATCTTGGAACTCCATGTACCAGATAGCCACATGATTCTCTCAAGTCCTTCAGGTCCCTGCTCAAATGCTCCCTTACCAGTGAGCCAACTTCTGATCCCCACTATATAAAGTAGCAAGCCCTGACTCCCACCCACTCTCTGCAACCTTCTCCAGCTCCCTTGCTTCACTTATTTTTGCCCACAGCCTTTGACATAGTACATATTATCCCCACTAGAATGGAAGCTAAGGAGGGAAGGGTCTTGGTCTGTTGTGTCTGCGGCTGTATTCCCAGCACCCAGAATAGCCCCTGGTTCATAGCAGGTGTTCAAAACGTGTGTTGAGTGAAAATCCAGATGATTCAGATGTCAGTGATCTAGGAAACACATTTCTGAAGAAAATGTACTTGATCATGAGCTCTTTAAGGTCACATATGTGTCTTGTTCACACTTGTGCCCCAGCACCCAGCACCGTGCCTGGCTTAGAGTGGAACATTATTAAAGAGACTAAGGAGTGGATGGAGCTGAATGTCAGTTATTCCTCATGCCTCATACTTCCTTGTGGAGGAACTTCAGGTAGACTCACACTCCTGGCCTCTCTCCCCATCCCTTGCCTGTGGGAAGAAGCAAGGTAAGTGGATTTTTTGATGTGGCACTATGAAAGAAGTGGAATGTGCTGGCTCTCTCCCCCATCTTCCAAGCAGTTGCTGTCTGTCTGCTCTCATCGGTGCTACCAGGACAGCCCCTAAGAGGGAGGGTCCATCCATCCAGATGGTGGGGATGTCTGAATGGCTGTAGACTTCTAATCAGCTTTATCAGTAATAACAGATCAATATCTTGATCTCCATCAGTCTGACATCATCTTGATCTCTGAATCCTTCTCGGTCAAGGAGGGGAAAGAAGAGTTACAGAAAAGTAAAACTGGAGGTCACAGTTTAGATGTACCCAAGGCCATCCACCCATAACCATGTGGCCAACACTGAAGTCATCCTGATTTCCTTGAGATGCTAGAAGTGCTGGCTCTAATCATAACTGAAACACAAGGCGTAAGCTTTACATCCTTGTCAGCACGATTCGGTGAAATTAAACCAATAGGCTATAGACAAATCAGCCCTAACAGTTCTACTTGCCCTAAAAAGAATGTTCATGTATAACAACCAATCAAGAAAAAGGTCAAAATACTTCCCTCGTTATGCTTCATAAACACTGTGCTGCCAAACTGCAAGGCGAGCTTCTTACCACCTGGTTTGAAATCTCCCGGATGAAGATCTATACTTTCTCTTATCGTATGACAATAAACTTTCAATTTTTTCCTAATTTCATCTGATTGTATTTTGGTTAAAGGAAATTATTTGTTACACCCTCATGCCCAAGTTAGTTGTCTTTATTTTCTCTATTTGCCTCATCCTACCCCATTGCTCAGCCTTTCAGTATGTGCATACACACGTAGACATACGCATTATTGCATGAGTGAGTAGACATATGCACTATTGCATGAGTGAGTAGACATATGCACTATTGCATGAGTGAGTAGACATATGCACTATTGCATGAGTGAGTAGACATATGCACTATTGCATGAGTGAGTAGACATATGCACTATTGCATGAGTGAGTAGACATATGCATTACTGCATGAGTGAGTAGACATATGCATTATTGCATGAGTGAGTAGACATATGCACTATTGCATGAGTAGACATATGCACTATTGCATGAGTGAGTAGACATATGCACTATTGCATGAATGAGTAGACATATGCACTATTGCATGAGTGAGTAGACATATGCACTATTGCATGAGTGAGTAGACATATGCACTATTGCATGAGTGAGTAGACATATGCACTACTGCATTGCTTTCATCATCATTTTGGTTTCCTTCTGCCTTTTTGCAAGAGGCAGAGAGAAATCAGCAGGTCCCTCACCCTTGGAGCAGGAAGACCATGGCAAGGCCTTGTGGTGAGCTCTGCCTTCACAGCCTCTATTGCTCCCCTTCTGCTTTCTCTTCCTTCCATCTCTTGGTGAACTTAGAATCCCTCCACAACCTTGGTCTCCTGATTTCCCAAAAGGGGCATATCTGGTAGATTAGGCAGCCATTCTTAAACCTGGCAGGCATTTGAACTACCTGGGATGCTTGGGAAAATACTGATTGTCAAGCCTGCTGCAAACCCACTGCATCAGAACCACCGCACAAAAGCCCTAGGAATCTGGATTTTTCTGACTCCTAGTTGATGCTGATGCAATCCCAAGACCAGTCCCAGCAGCAGGGTGGACACAAGTGCCCAGCTGCCTCCATGCTGGATGAAGGTGAGGGCTGAGAACACCTTCCAAATGGAGTTCATTCCTCTTCCACTGAGCTTGTGGGTGAGGGTGACCCTCCAGACAACACCCCACCCTGCTGGTTCCCATCCAAACCTGGAGCCTGAAGTCGTTAAATGGCTGGGGCAGTGGTTCTTGAACTTTTAGTTCTCAGGAACCCCTTACACTCTTAAAAATAATCAAGGACTCCAAAGAACCTTTGTGTGGGGAGGTTATAGCTATTGATATTTACTGTACAAAAATTAAAACTGAGACATGTTTAAAACACAAGAATACACAAACACATTCCATCAGCATCAGTGTGACGATGCTGCCCACATCACAGAGCCCCTGGGAGACAGCTGCACAGGCAAGGTAGGATAAGCACGTGCATAGTTTTGACCTCTAGGACCGTCTGAAAGGATCTGGGGTCCTGGACCATGCTTTAAAAACCTCTAGGCTATGGGAATGAGCAGAGCCCCCCAGGCTTCCTGGAGGACACTGATGGAGGCATGACCAAATTCTGGATGACATCATTTCCTGTTTAACTGGAAGAAAAGAGAGTCCTCAAAAATGGCATCTACAAGGCAATCAGCGAAGGTTTTGTGGAAGCTAAAACGCCAGAACCACTCCAAGCTTGCCTCTTGGCTCAATCACTCAGACAATTTTCAGACGCAAGCGCTGGAACCACAGAAAACAACTGATACAGTCAGCAGACTACTGGCCCCCAAAGACCTCCATGACTTAATCCCCAGAACCTGTGGCATTTTCAGTTACGTTAGGTGGGAGGTGGAAGTAGAGTTGCTAATCAGCTGATTTACAAATGGAGAGATTACCCTGGGTTATCCAGGAGAGCTCGATGTAATCATAAGGGGCTCTTAAATGTGGAAGAGACAAGCAGGAGAGGGGGGCAGAGAAAGACATGACAGGAAGCATGACGGAGACATGCAATGTTGCCAGCTTTGAAGGAGCCTGGAGCCAAGGTATGCAGCCGCCTCTAACTGCTCAAAAAAGCAAAGATTTGTAGTTCTCCTTGAAGAGGTCCTTCACATCCCTTGTAAGTTGGACTCCTAGGTATTTTATTCTCTTTGAAGCAATTGTGAATGGGAGTTCACTCATAATTTGGCTCTCTGTCTGTCTGTTATTGGTGTATAAGAACGCTTGTGATTTATCCACATTGATTTTGAATCCTGAGACTTTGCTGAAGTTGCTTATCAGCTTAAGCAGATTTGGGGCTGAGACGATGGGGTTTTCTAGATATATAATCATGTCATCTGCAAACAGGGACAATTTGACTTCCTCTTTTCTTAATTGAATACCCTTTATTTCTTTCTCCTGCCTGATTGCCCTGGCCAGAACTTCCAACACTATGTTGTATAGGAGTGGTGAGAGAGGGCATCCCTGTCTTGTGCCAGTTTTCAAAGGGAATGCTTCCAGTTTTTGCCCATTCAGTATGATATTGGCTGTGGGTTTGTCATAAATAGCTCTTATTATTTTTAGATATGTTCCATCAATATCTAATTTATTGAGAGTTTTTAGCATGAATGGCTGTTGAATTTTGTCGAAGGCCTTTTCTGCATCTATTGAGATAATCATGTGGTTTTTGTCTTTGGTTCTGTATTTTACACTGTTGGTGGGACTGTAAACTAGTTCAACCATTGTGGAAGACAGTGTGGCAATTCCTCAGGGATCTAGAACTAGAAATACCATTTGACCCAGCCATCCCATTACTGGGTATATACACAAAGGAATATAAATCATGCTGCTATAAAGACACATGCACATGTATGTTTATTGCGGCACTACTCACAATAGCAAAGACTTGGAACCAACCCAGATGTCCAACAATGATAGACTGGATTAAGAAAATGTGGCACAAATACACCATGGAATACTATGCAGCCATAAAAAATGATGAGTTCGTGTCCTTTGTAGGGACATGGTTGAAGCTGCAAACCATCATTCTCAGCAAACTATCGCAAGGACAAAAAACCAAACATTGCATGTTCTCACTCATAGGTGGGAACTGAACAACGAGAACACTTGGACACAGGAAGGGGAACATCACACACCGGGGCCTGTTGTAGGGTGGGGGGAGGGGGGAGTGATAGCATTAGGAGATATACCTAATGTAAATGACGAGTTAATGGGTGCAGCACACCAACATGGCATGTGTATACATATGTAAAAAACCTGCACGTTGTGCACATGTACCCTAGAACTTAAAGTATAATAAAATATATATATATATATATATATATATATATATATATAAAGCAAAGATGCAGATCCTCCCAAGAGCTTCCAGAAAGATGCAGCCATGACTGCATCTGACTGCATTTGACTTGATTTCAGCCCAGAGAGATCCATGCCTGAATTCTAACCAGCAGAACTGTTAGATAACAAATGTGTGTTGTTTTAAGCCAACTAAGCTTGTGATTTGTTACAACAGCCAAAGGAAGCATATACCCCTGGCAAAACTGACCAGCACCTGAACACTGCCCCAACAGAGAACTCACCAGAAGACCCTTGAGTCGGGAATTCCTTCCTGTGGGTAGAACTTGGTATAAACAAGTAAGCCAAGCAAGGAACTTACACCACAGCCCAGTTAACAACAGGATGCCCATGAGAACCCCTGACCCGACTCAGCTCCCTAACCCTGTCCACAAATGGCCCGGGCTCTGTGCCAATGACTAATCTCCAAAGTATTCAGTGAAGCGTCTGCTCCATTCGGGATTTTTTCAGATGGGCATTTTGGTTTCATCAGCCCTGCTTTCTCCCGCTCCGTGACTTTGCATCAGTTGTCATGAGGATGATTAAATAATTTAGCACTTAGCCCCCTGCTGTACTCCTTGGCCTGGATCATGACCACACCGAAGGAGTGCCCACCAGCAAGAGACCTGGAGACATCCCCAGTAAGTGCAAAAGCTGGACACAGTCTTAGGGTCTCCTGCCGGAGGCGGAGGGGATGAGGGGAAATGCATTGCGGCTCCAAGAGGAATCGCTGGGGAGTGAATATTGGAAGGACTGTGTGTGTGCATTCTGAGCTTCCCAGCAGCCCAGGGGTGGAAAATAGTGTGTCAATCACTACATCAGCCTAGAATACAACATCCTCCACTTCCCTGGTAACCTCCCCTCTACTGCCTCTAGACCACTTCAAGTCATTCCAGAAATGGCTGAGCCCTTTCACCCTACAGGGTTGACTGGATCAGAGGAGAACCCCGGGCCAAGCTGGACCAATCAGAGTTTCCATCCCTGAATTTGGAATTGGAGCTAAGCTAGAACCTGTCTCTTTGATGGCAGTAAATGTGAAGCTCAAACACTAGTGATTGGCTTCTCTCTCCAAAAAGACTATGGACACAAACAAAGCCAGTCTTCAGAAAGACAGGAACAAGAATGATGCAGACACATCATGTGTGCAGAGATGAGAGCCCTAGGTTACCTGCATCTGCTTCTTGCACCTTCCTGAGACCTGGCATCATCACTACCCACGCTGTAATTCCCCGAGACAACCCTGGCCCAGGCCCCTTTCACTGCTTTAGTAGGTATACATTTTTTGCAAGCAAAAGAATCCTAACTCAGATATCACTATTGTAAGGGTGGCAAGCATTTGTTAGAAAACAAAGTAAGATCCATAATCGATATTTACTTCGTTCCTCTATAGATTCCTGCAAGCAGAATCTGGGATGAACAGTCTGCATGCCTCTCGCCACCTGTCCCAGGGATTCCCTGTTCCACAAGACACTTGGGATCTGCTTGTCATGCATCATGCGTAACTAATAGTGCAGAGGAATTAATACAGTTAAGTGAAACGTCCGTCAGTGGGAAGCCGGAGCAAGGGAAAATTCTCCTTCCTTTCCCCTCCTCGACTGCCCTGGTTTCATGTGGCCTCATGGCAGAAGCCCGCCAGACTGCTACCTGGATGCAACCAGCTAAATAACCTGCCCTCATATTGATTCTCCCTCCTCCCCTGCTTCTCCACACTTTTCCCTCACTCTTGCCTTCCTGGGATTGGACCCCTCATAAATTTCATAACACAAATCCTTGCCTCAGGCTCTGCTTTTTAGGGAACTCAATCCAAGACATTCTTGGTTAAAATGAGGTCTATGGTACACTCAGACACTGAATATAGTAGAGATGAAAAAGTCTTGGCTAGTTTTCTGATAACTGAAAATGTAATATATACTAAATTAACTGAAGCTGTAAAACAACCGGTACCCCTCCAAGCAGATTACGGTGACAGCTACTTTAGCCACATAACACTAATCAACTGCTCACACCAGAGAATGAAAATAAGATATTAGCAAATAAACCAAGTTTAAGGCCTCACCACCTCTCAAATACAAGAGAATTGAATCTTGTATAAGAATCTAATCTTGCCAGGCACAGTGGCTCACGCCTGTAATCCCAGCACTTTGGGAGGCTGAGGAAGGCAGATCACCTGACGTCAGGAGTTCAAGACCAGCCTGGCCAACATGGTGAAACCCCGTCTCTACTAAAAATACAAAAAATTAGCCAGGCATGGTGGCGCACGCCTATAGTCCCAGCTACTTGGGAGGCTGAGACAGGAGAGTCACTTGAACCCAGGAGGTGGAGATTGCAGCAAGCCAAGATGGCGCCACTGCACTCCAGCCTGGGCAAGTCTCAAAAAAAAAAAAAACAATTTAATCTTGTTTAATCTTAAATAAGATTATTCAATAGGACCCTTCAAATGTCTACTTTTGCCTGTAGAAAAAAAATGAACATAGAGTCAAAAACTAGACAAACCTGTCACATGGAAACCCAAACCAAAATAGGATCAAATTCAAAGAAGCCATTTCATGGGAAGCCGCTAGGTGGTGAGCTTTCACCATCTTTGCCTGTTTAAAGGTTCACTCCCGGGTCGCCTCCGCTCTTATTTTGGTTGATAAGGATTTGCTATTTTGACAAACTGAAATTTACTATGCTATCATCTGAGAATTTAAGAAATCTGAAAATTCAAGCAGTAGAAAATCGTAGTATCATAGATAAAATAAAAGTGGAATGAATGTAAATCGTAGAGAGTTGTTTAAGTTGCCCATCACTATACAAACTTTGATGCCACTGTCCCTTTGGTCTCCCATTCTGGAGAGGGAGGCATTTGTATCACAGGATGTTTGAGGAGGGCTGTGGCTCTGTTGTACTTTAATTGGAAGGAATTGTGCTTGCTGTTTACAGGAGGTGTTATGAAAACCAAAACACCAATTTTTTTTTTTTTTTCTTTGAGACAGAGTCTGGCTCGGGTACCCAGGCTGGAGTGCAGTGGCATGATCTCAGCTCACTGCAACCTCTGCCTCCAGGGTTCAAGTGATTCTCCTGCCTCAGCCTCCAGAGTAGCTGGGATTACAGGTGTGCACCACCATGCTTGGTTAATTTTTATATTTTTAGTACAGATGGGGTTTCACCATATTGGCCAGGCTGGTCTCAAACTCCTGACCTCAAGTGATCCACCTGCCTCGCTCAGCCTCCCAAAGTGCTGGGATTACAGGCATGAGCCACTGCACCCAGCCCAAATCTTTTTTTTTTTTGAGACAGAGTCTTACTCTGTCACCTGGGTTGGAGTGCAGTGGTGTGGTGCGATCTCACCTCACTGCAACCTCTGCCTCCCGGGTTCAAGTGATTCTCCTGCCTCAGCCTCCCAAGTAGCTGGGATTACAGGTGCCTGCCACTATGCCCAGCTAATTTTTTGTATTTTTAGTAGAGACGGGGTTTCACCATGTTGGCCAGGCCTGGTCTCAAACTCCTGACCTTGTGATTCGCCCACCTCGACCTCCCAAAATGCTGGGATTACAGGTGTAAGCCACCGCACCTGGCCCAAAAAGTCTTTTAGAACAGCATTTCTGAAATGCAGCCCGGGGAGAGATGGAGGGTGTGTGGTAAGCAGGGTCACTGGAGATCCAAGAAAAGCAGAAAGAGCCGTGTAGTGGGGAATGGGTTGCTTGCAGAATGGAAGTGAAGTGTAGGGATATTGTGATAACAACAGTGGGTGGAACTATTTCTTTCTAATGATTCATGTGAGGAAATATTCTACAAGAAAAAGTGCAGCTTCACAATAAGAAATCCATAAAATCATTTACTGGAGTGCTATACAATGAAATTCTATGCAGCCATAAAAATGGTTTTGAAGAAGCATTTTAATTAAGTCGAAAGACATTTATGATATGTTGTAAAATGAAAAAAAAAATCCGGTCCCAAAAAAGTATGATCCAATTTTGTAAAAAATAAATTTTTGTAATAAATAAATAACGTGTGCATACATGTAGAGGGAGACTTTTTTTTTTTTTTTTTTTGAGACGGAGTCTCACTCTGTCGCCCAGGCTGGAGTGCAGTGGCGCGATCTCGGCTCACTGCAAGCTCTGCCTCCCGGGTTCACGCCGTTCTCCTGCCTCAGCCTCCGGAGTAGCTGGGACTACAGGCGCCCGCCATCACACCCGGCTAATTTTTTATATTTTTAGTAGAGACGGGGTTTCACCGTATTAGCCAGGATGATCTCGATCTCCTGACCTCGTAATCCAGCCACCTCGGCCTCCCAAAGTGCTCGGATTACAGTCATGAGCCACCACACCCAGCCGAGGGAGACTATTAATAGTGATTAATATTTCTGAGACTTAGAGGTAGGTTTCCAGATTTTTTTAATGTTCTTTTTCCTTGGTTTACTTGTCTTATTTTCAGTCACTAGCATTACTCTATACCAGGCCCTGTTCTAAGCACTTCATAAATACTGACTCACTTAATGTTCACAACAGGGCTGCGAAGTAGGTACTATTACCATCCCCATTTTTATAGATTAAAACATTGAAGCACAGAGAGGTTAAGTGACCTACTCAAGGTCACACAGCTAATGAGTGGTGGAGCCGATTCAGACCCAGGAAGTCCAGCTCCAGCTTCTGTGCACTTAAATAATAAAACATGAGAAAAAGTAAATTAAAAGCATAAAGAAAAAGCAAGGAAGGAAGGATGGAAGGAAAGAAGAGAGGGGGCAGGGATGGGGATAGGGAAGAGACTCACAAGAGAACAACACACAGTTGTTCTAAAAACTTTAAAAAATTGGGGCCCGGCGGCCAGGCACGGTGGCTCATGCCTGTAATCCCAGCACTTTGGGAGGCCGAGGCGGGTGGTTCACGAGGTCAGGAGATAGAGACCATCCTGGCTAACATGGTGAAACCCTGTCTCTTCCAAACACACGAAAAAATTAGCTGGGCGTGGTGGCGGGCGCCTATAGTCCCAGCTACTCGGGAGGCTGAGGCGGAAGAATGGCGTGAACCCGGGAGGCAGAGCTTGCAGCAAGCCGAGATCGCACCACTGCACTCCAGCCTGGGCGACAGAGCGAGACTCCATCTCAAAAAACAAAATGAAGTAAAATAAAAAAATTGGGGCCAGGCGTGGTGGCTCATTCCTATAATCCCAACACTTTGGGAGGCCAAGGCGGGCGGATTGCTTGAGGTCAAGAGTTCGAGACCAGCCTGGCCAACATGGGGAAACCCCATCTCTACTAAAAACACAAAATTAGCCAGGCATGGTGGCGCGTGGCTGTAATCCCAGCTACTTGGGAGGCTGAGGCAAGAGAATCACTTGAACCTGGGAGGCAGAGATTGCAGTGAGCCAAGATTGCACCATTGCACTCCAGCCTGGGCAAAAAGAGTGAAACTCCATCACAAAAAAAGAAGGAAAAGAAAAAGTGTAACCAGAAAAAAGATAACATTGAAATATTTAACCCTAAATAAATTAACTGCACAGAGCCAGAAACATGCAAATAACACCTTTTAAATAAGAGGCAGTTTGAGTTTTTTTCTAAAATCCCTCCTGCGGGCTGCTTCCCCTCTCAGAGCACAGTAGGTGTCGGGGGCTGGATTGACTTCTTGCCAGTTGCAAGTCTTGACTTTGTCTCTCTAGAGCATGCCCCAACCTGACTGGCATGAAAGCTCTAATTTTTCTTTTTAACTAGGTAAAAGAAAACCACATTGTGAAAAGAGGGAAAGGGAAAATGCCTAAGCTAAGAGCAAAGCAAACCTTAAATGTTAGTCTGCACTATTTAAAAACTTTGTCTCCTTCAAGACCAGAGAGCTGAAAGGGAACAAATGAAGTCCATTGAGGTCTACGGCAAAAAAGAAAACAGTTCAGGTGGACTAAGATGGCTGCCCTGCTTAGTACTGGGTTGAGAAAGAAGATATGGGCTGAATCGTTCCCTTTGGACTAAATGCCTGCTTGTCAGACAGACCCAGACCCAAGGAGCCAAGGGTAGGGATTAGGGGGAAGAAAGGAAGGAAAAGTGGAAGGAGGAGGAGGAACAGAAGGAGAAGGAGGAAGAGGAGGGGAGGAGGGGAGGGGAGGGGGAGGAGGAAGAGGAGGAGGAGGAAGAGGAGAAAGAGGAGGAGGAGGGGGAAGAGGAGGAGGAAGGGGAGAGGGAGATTGTATACAAGGATGAGGAAGGAGTCAGGAGGAAAGAGGAGTCATGGAGAAACGAGGGAGGCGTGAAGACAGAACAGAGGTGTGAGGGGGAGCCCTTCATTTTCTTATGACTGAGGTTTACATGTTGAGAAAGGGGATACAAATATATCTTGAAAACCCATGTAGCCTAAAAACGGGAAGAGAACTATTTCTTTTTCTCTGTCCCTCAGCACAGACTTTAGGCAAAAATCTCCATCTGCGAAAGAGATAAATGTGTCTACCCCTTAAAAACAGGGTCAGGATTAAATTCTGTAAAGAACTTTGAGTGTCATCTCTAACAAGCATGAAGCAAATCCTCCAGTACACGAAGCAGAATGAACGGACTTTTAAACAGTAATCTTCAGATAAATAAAACTGGTACTAGACAAGAGATGAAGACAAACACCCAAAGAGCTGCAAAGTAGCTTCACAAACTCACAGGGAATGAATCAAGGTTCCTTTTGCCCATTTGGCTTACAGTTTCCATTGAACAAGTATATTTTAAATAGTCAAGGATTAGATTGTCTTAAAATAATATTATTCATGTCACTGCAAATGCCAAGTCTTGTTCTTCAAAATCTCACTCTTCTGCCTCAATTGACTGATTCTTCCATCTCCTCCACAAGCATCCTAATCCCACCAAGGCCTCAAACCCCAACAAAAAAACCACCATCGCCCCAGATCACTCACAAAATCCCACAAATCACATTTAAGAAATTCAGAAACAGATAGACATAAGAATGAGAAGGAAGGAAAGCCCATGAGCTCTCTTTTCAGAATTTTTGTATCACTTTCTTGTAAAGGTCATTTGTACCTAATTTTGCTTTGACCAAAATGGATGCAAATTTTAACCTGATTTCTTTGCACTTCCTAATTTACTAGTGATGTGCTAGGCCCTGTTTTATTTCACTTTGGTGCCAGTGGCCTAAAAACCTGACTTTAAAAGTCTAGTTTTCAGAAACTCCACTGCAAGAATACATTTTCATATCCAGGGGATTCCCTTGTAATGGAGTTGTACTTACATAACATATTTAATGAACAACTATCGAGTGATCGGTATTCCACTCTCCTCTAATGTCATTATTTCCCAATACTAAAAGGAGATCAAAAAGGTAAAAATACATTATTGGCCATTTTTAAATCTTTATAATAAGATTTAAGTTATTAGTTCACTGGGTGTATATTTCCATACAGTTACCAAGACATAATTAAAAGTCCCAAGGTGAAGCTTAATCAGCCTCTCCCCTCTTAAACCAATCATCACTACAGAGACTGCTAGGCAGTGACCCAGTTACTTCTTCAGATGCCTTAATTAGTCCCAGAAACACCAAAGCTCTTTTTTGAGAAGTGGAAATCTATTTCTGTTATTCATTAACACCCTTAAAGCATATTCTGCGGCTATTAGACATAAGCCAATGAAAGGGCAATGGAAAGTCATAGACACAGAGCATGATTAACATCCTCAATGAAGAGGCAATGGGTGTCCACTTTTTTCCTTAGCGATGCCCGTCTACGCATGCTTAGCTTTCCAATGGAGAATGCAGAATTCTAACATAGATAAAATTAGGATCCAAAGTCATTATGAAGTTAATGAACAAATGTAATCATGATGCAGATGCTCAACACATTCAGAAAGGAGTTAAATACTCTGAGTTTTTATCACTGTCTCTAAATTTTCTCTTTAAGCAGGTGGAACATATTTTAAAGATAAATGGAGTGGCTGGGAGGGATTCTCATTTTTAAGGTTCTAGGTCTAAGCAAGCCTGAGAAAAGGGGACCCAATACCCAAAGATTCTGAGATTAATTTTACCAGCTAACAAAAAAACTCATATATTCTACCCCACTGTACTATTACAAATATCACAAAATATAGATTACATAGAATTTAGTCATGAAAAGATCATACGGTTAATATGTAAGTGTAATTGCCCTATATGCTCAGCATTGACTTAGACATAATCGTAAGTATTTCCTTAAGAGCTTAAGGGCATAAATAACGTGAATCTTATATCCCGTCTTCCAAAAAAGCTTCACATGCATGAGCACAGCTATAAAAAGAGACTGGCTTCGTGGGTGGTTGTGGAATCAGCTTGCCTAATGTACAGACGTGCCCCACGCAATGATAAAGCCAGAAATTGGTTGTAATGTGCTGGCTTCTTGAGATTAATCTGACCCAAACACACAGTCCCCACCCTCCCCAAGACTTCAGCAGATCCCAGACGGCTAAGGGTGCAAGATCACCTCCAGCTGTGACCTTCCTCTGAGGGAACCAGGTATATAATGCAACCCATTGCTCAAATTCCACGAAGTGATAAAGTGGCTTGTGAAGACAGCAGACCTCCTCAGAGGTCGGAAGGAGGAAGGCAATTTCCAGGTGAGCCTCAGGCATGCCTGCTGTCAGGCCGTCCTCTGCTCACCTCTGACCCGGGGGATCTTCCCATGACTCCTGCCCCGCACGCATCCCAGCCTCCGCCTACAGGCTTCCCACTGCACTTCCTCCCGCACGCCTCCACCTCTCTGCCTCTCAGCCACCCACCGGCTGGCCCTAAGATGGTGGCACTGCTATAAATCATTCTCCATGCTCACTCTGCCTTTGACCCCAGGTCTTATCTCCTAACTCTCCTGACCTAACCAGAGTTCCCCGAGCCCCCAACAAGCAAAGACAACTTCCTCCCCAAAAAGGAATTTTGCCGCTGAGATCATGAATTATTTACACTGACCTAGAAGAGTACGATCATCATTCTGTAAAGGCCAATGGTAGATAAATTCAAGAAACATAGACCTTAAAAATTACTACTGTAAGCAACTTACAGTCTTACCATGCAAAATAACCTGACCATGAAGAACAAAGAGTAGAATCCTGTTATAAAATGACTTATTACGCATTTCTGATATGAAAAGATACCTAAACCCTGACACAACTACTTACACTCAAAGCCTGACCTGACACAGAAAATAAGGTTATCTCATTCTTCAGTAGTATTGCTAGAAAGGAGTCACACCATAGGTCAAATAGTCTCTTCTGCTCATAAGCTTAAACGGAAGGGGAACCCACAAGCTGGTTGGAGATGAATGACCTCAATTTGAGAGCTCTTCACCCGCCTCTTCCCCTTGGCTCTGAGCACAGATGCTCAGATTGCTGCTCACCTAATTTGTCTACTGCCATTACCGCATTTGCCTATAAAATTTCTTCTGCCTGCGTGGCTAGCTGTTCGCCTGCTTAGGTTCACTGGGAACAGCTGCTTGTGTTCATTGCCACAATCCGTCTCCAGCAGCATTCATCCATCACACATGAGTTTCAGCAAACAAGAATCCACGCAAGCCAGAAGACCCGTTCCAGGAGTTCAGGGTGGCAAGCTTGTCACAGACAGGACCTGGGGTGGCTGGTAGAGGCCAATTTGAGACTACACACCACATTGACCCTTCCCATGCATTTCATGCCATAATAATCACATGTGTTTTTGTGCTGAGTCAGTTTTCGTTTCTCATTTCATCTGTGTAGGTTTTTCAGCAGTGCTTGGCAAGCTTGTCTTTCCAATGAGGAGGCTGAGAACTAATGCCCTATTTTCAGTTTCTTCTTAAGTCTCCCACATTGCCACATACAGTGCACCACATATACAGTAGCGGGCAATTACAGACAATGCCCTGATGTCCAAACCCCCAAAGTCAGCCCTCAGGATAATTGTGACAAAAGCAAAGTTAATCTTTAGCTCTTTTCTTCCATCCTTGTATCCTCTTTCTCCCTCCTGCTTCCCTCCTTCCATTGCACGAGCTTCCATGTCACCAGGGTAGCAACTGACTTAGGCCTACATGGACTGCATCTCGATTTAGTGGGGCCTGAGGCTTATGCAAACTGAAGGGTCCATATTAAGAAAGAGAATTAGAAAATTATGAACACAAAGCCAGGTATTAAACTGAATATTTACTTAGAAACAAAAAATAAAATATAACAAATTACAACTTTTTTTAAACTGACAACACAAAATCCAGGTTAAAAAAAAAGTAGCAAAATGTTTTAATTAACTTCCTGAAAGACTTCCATATCAAATATACAGATGATATGGACAGATAATACATATAGATGATATAGATATATAGGTGTGTTTTTGGCCACAAACTTTTTGACCCTCTCTTTATTCAACAACTTGGTAATATTTTCCAGAGTGAATACAAAAATAATTTAGTCCTTCCTTCAGCAGAGTTGACTGGAACTTGACTTTTATAATGGAGAGATGGAATGCAAAAAACACACAGCTTCACAGAGAGATGCATGGCTCTTTGCAGTACAGTTTACAGATTTGTACCCTACAAACACAGGAATTCTGATAAAGCCTACTATACAGAATTCCTACCATAAAGGAAGAAAGGTATGGTGTGTTTACAACTGTATCACTGCATTATCAGAAATAGCCTTGACGGTAGAAAATTTCCAGTTTTGGTTGACGAGATTCCAATTGGCCACTCTGGGCACCTCTGATGATTAAAGGTGTTTCCCATACAATGGCTTTCTGGCTTTCTGGCTTTCTGGCTCATGCAGTTCAAAACTATTCTCTCCTCCACAGGGTAGTTTCGCTTCCATGCCCCACCTCCTAATACTATTATTGCACTGGGCATCACATTTCAACAAGAATTTTGGAGGGACACAACACTTAAACCACAGCATTCTCCCGCCACCCCCGACCCCGAATTCATGTCTTTCTCACATACAGAATACATTCATTCCATCCCAATAGTCCCAAAAAACTCTTAACTGGTTCCAGCTTCCACTTTAAAGTCTAAGTCCCAAGTCTCATACCAATAGCATCTAAATCAGATGTGGGTGATATTCAAGGTATGATTCATGTGAACCTATGAAATCAAGGAAGTTATGTGCTTCCAAAATATAATTTTGGGACAGACATAGGATAGACATCCCCCCTCCAAAAAGGAGTAATAGGAAAGAAGAAAGAAGTGACAGGACCTGACCAAGTCCAAAGTTCAACAGGGCAAACAACATTAAACCTTAAGGCTGACTCCATCTCCCACCTTCTGGTCACTCTGGGGCAGACGTTAGACCCCCAAGGTTCTGGACAGCCTGGCCCCATGGCTTTGCTGGGCACAGCCCACGGGGCAGCTCTCACGGTTGGAGTCTTGTGCCTGCAGCCCTCTTAGGCTGGGGTTGCACACTGATGGCTCTATAATTCTGGGATCTCAGGGGCAGCCCCAATCCCACAACTTCACTAGGCATTGCCCTAGTATAGGCTGCCTGTGGTGGTCCCAACCCCACCGTTCTGCCAGGCATTACCTACTGGGGACTCTCTGTGGTGGTCCTGCCCCTGCAGCAGTTCTCTGCCCAGACTCCAACACTCTCCAGGGCATCCTTTGAAATCTAGGTGGAGACAGCCATTCCCCCACAGCTCATGCACTCTGGGTGCCTGCAGAGTTAGCATCATGAGGATACCACCAAGCTTTACCACTTTTTCTTTTGGAGGGGTGGCCCTAGTAGAGCCACATCCATGGTGTTCTCTCCTGAACATGTTTTCTCATTTTTTACAGGCTAAGAATTTTCCAACTTTTTAGGTTCTGCTTCCCTTTTGATTATAAATTCCATTTTTAATTTATTTCTCTCTTTTCATATTTTATTATAAGAGTCAAGAGAAGCCACAACACATCCTCAACATTTGGCTTAGAGGTTTCTTCCACTAAATATTCTGCCTTCCACAAAACACTATGACACAAAAACAATTCAGCCAAATTCTTTGTCACTTTATAATAAGGATGGCCTTTCCTCCAGTTTCCAATAACATATTCCTCATTTCCATCTGAGACCTCATCAAATGACCTTTACTATTCATATGTCTACCAACATTCTGCAGTCAAATCTCTACCCCTGAGCTATACCCCCTCTACCAACATTCTGATCACAACCACTTAAGCAATCTCTAAAAAGATACAGGCTTTCTCTACAGCTCTCCTCTTCTACACCCTCACCAGAATTATCCTTTATTTCCATTCATGGCAATGCAGACTTTTTCTAGCCTGCTCCTCCAAACTCTTCCAGCCTCTGCCCATTTCCCTGTTCTAAAGCTGCTTCCACATTTTCAGGTATTTGTTACAGCAGCACCCCACTTCTGGTACCAATTTCTGTCTTAGTTCATTTGGGCTGCTGTAACAAAATACCTTAGATTGGATAATTTATAAATAATAAAAATATATTTCTCACAATTCTATTTTTTTTTTTTTTGAGACAGAGTCTCATTCTGTCACCCAGGTTGGAGTGCCATGGCGTGATCTCGGCTCACTGCAACCTCCACCTCCCAGGTTCAAGCAATTCTCCTGCCTCAGCCTCCCATGTAGCTGGGACTACAGGCATGTACCACCACGCCCAGCTAATTTTTGTATCTTTAGTAGAGATGGGGTTTCATCATGTTGGCCAGGCTGGTCTTGAACTCCTGACCTCAGGTGATCCATCTGCCTCAGCCTCCCAAAGTGCTGGGATTACAGGCGTGAGCCACCATGCCTGGCCTATTTCTCACAATTCTAGAGGCTGTAAAGTCCAAGATCAAGATGCTGGCAGGTTCAGTGTCTGGCGAGGGCTCACTCTCTGTTCCATCCATGGCACCTTGTTGCTGCACCTCACATAGTGGAAGGGCTGATGGGACTAACAGACTTCCTTAAGCCCTTTATAAGGACATTACTCCCATTTACAAGAGCAGAGCCTTCACGACCTAATAACTTCTTAAAGGCCCCACGTCTTAATACTATTGCAGTGAGGATTAAGTTTCAACATGAATTTGGGAGGGACACAGACATTCAAACAACAGAACTTTACTTTTGCAGATTTTACAAAAACACATGCGCATTGAACACATTGCTTGGCCCTTCCCACGTAAGTGAAGGGCTCTGAAAGCCAAGCTTCAATAGCTCCAGTGTAAACCCAACTCTAGGCTACCTATTCTGAGTTGGGAAAGTGAATAACTTTTATTAAGTACTTTATCTCACCTTGTATTTTACATTTACTGACTCAATTTATTCTAAACATTATCTTATGAGGAAAGTAACAGTTCCATTTTACAAATGAAAATGCCTAGCATATTCTTTCTGAGAGGATGACAAAAAATAGTCCAAAAAACTCTTGAAATGATTGTTTCTAGTGAGGGAGCTAGTGGGCAGGGCTGGGATAAATACATGTTTTGAATTGCACACACATTCATATTGCTTGAGAATTTCTTTTCTTTTTTCCCCATGGCCATTGATTACTTCTTTTTTCTTGAAACGGGGTCTCACTCTGTTACCCAGGCTGGAGTGCAGTGGCTCAATCTCAGCTCACTGCAACCTCCGCCTCCCAGGTTCAAGCAATTCTCCTGCCTCAGCCTCCCGAGTACCTGGGACTACAGGCATGCGCCACCATGCCCAGCTAATTTTTGTACTTTTAGTAGAGACGGGGTTTAGTAATGTTGGCCAGACTGGTCTCAAGCTCCTGACCTTAAGTGATCTGCCCGCCTTGGCCTCCCAAGGTGCTGGGATTACAGGCGTGAGCCACGATGACCGGCCTGCCATTAATTACTTTTTAAAATTTTATTTTACTGTAGTAAGAACATTTAACATGAGATCTACCCTTTCAACAAATTTTCAAGTATACATTATTGCTAACTATAGGTACAACATTGTACAACAGATCTCTAGGGCTTACTCATCCTGTTTAACTGAAACTGCATGCCTCTTAATTAACAATTCCCCACTTTCTGCTCCCCCAGCCTCCTGGCCACCACCATTCCACTCTTTGCATCTATGAATTTGAGTATTTTAGATACCTCATCTAAGTGGAATCATGCGTTAGTTGTCTGTGACTGGCTTATTTTACTTAACATAACCTCTTCAAGGTTGTTGCATATTACAGAATTTCCTTCATTTTAAAACTGAATAGTATTCCACTGTATGTATACAGCACACTTCCTTTATCCATTCATCTGTTGATGGACATTTAGGCTGTTTCCACATCTCAGCTATTGTAAATACTGCTGCAATAAACACGAGAACACTGCTATCTCTTTGGGATCCTGATTTCAGTTCTTTTGGATAAATATCCAGAAATGAGGGGTGCCTGGATCATCTGGTAGTGGTATTTGTTAATTTTTTAAGAACCTCCATACTGTCTTTGGTAGCAACTGCAGCATTCTGCATTTCTACCAACAGCATGCAAGGGCTCCAGGATTTCCCCATCTTTCCAACACTTGCCCTTTGTTGTTGCTGCTGTTTTATGATAGCCATCTTGACAGGTGTGCGGTAACACCTCATTGAGGGTTTGACTTTTACATTAAAAAACAATTTATCATGTGTTTTAAAGGAAAAAAGAATTCACACTAACAGAGAAATTACTGATAATAGGTTCATGCATCATAATACTGTTACGGGTTGAACTGTGTCCCATCACAATATATTTGGAAACCCCAACCACCCCCAAAGTACTTCAAGGTGTAGCCTTCTTTGGAAATAGGGTCTTTGCAGATTTAACCAAGTTAAGATGAGGTCACTAGGGTGGGCTCTATCCAATCTGACTGGCGTCCTTCTGAAAAGAGGGAAGTTGGACAGAGACAAGCACAGAGGAAAGGCAATGTGAGGACACGGGGAGGACACAGCCGTGTGACTGGAGTGATGCAGCTAGGAGCAAAGGAACACCTGGGGCCGCCAGGAGCTGGGAGCAAGGCCCGGAAAAAGCCTTCGGAGTGAGCACGGCCCTTGCCAACACCTGGATTTCAGCTCCCAGCCTCCAAACTGTGAGAGAGTAAGTTTCTGTTGCTCTATGCCACCCAGTTTGTGATAATTTAGTGCTGCGGCCCTAGAAAATGAATATGTTTCTCTCATGATAGTTATATGATGAGCATTTTTTTAATGTTTGTTGGCTGCTTGTATGCCTTCTTTTGAGAAGTGCCTGTTCATGTCCTCTGCCCACATTTTAATGGAGTTACTTGTGAAATACCATCTCATACCCATCAGAATGGCTTTTGTTAAAAAGCCAAAAAAAAAAAATGGATGCTGGCAAGGCTGCGGGGAAAAGGGAATGCTTATTAGAATGGGAATGTAAATTAGGCCAGCCACTGTGGAAAGTAGCCTCGTGATTTCTCAAAGAACTAAGAAGTTAACTATCGTTCAACCCAGCAATCCCGTTACTGAGTACATACCCAAAGGAAAATACATCATTCTACCAAAAAGACACATGCACTGGTATGTTCATTGCAGCACGGATTCACAATAGCAAAGACATGGAATCAACCCAGGTGCCCATCAGTGGTGAAATGGATAAAGAAAATATGGTGCATACACTCCATGGAATACTACATAGCCATTAAAAAGAATGAAATCCGTCCTTTGCAGCAACATGGATACAGCTGGAGGCCATTATCCTAAGCAAACTAACACAGAACAGAAAACCAAATATTGCATGTTCTCACTTATAAGTAAGAGTTAAACACTGGGTACACATGAACGTAGAGATGGGAACAACAGACATGGAGGACTACTCGAGGGGAGAGAGAAGGAGAGGACAAGTGCTGAAAAACTATTTATTGGGTAATATGCTCAGTACCTGGGTGAAGGATTCATTCACACTCCAAGCCTCAGTATCACACAATATACCTCTGTGACAAACCTGCACCTATCCCCTAATTCTAAAATAAAAGTTGGAAAAAAAGAAAAGTAATGCAATTTTCTTCCCTTGAGATACTTAGTGATTTTTTGTTTTTTTTGTTGTTGTTGTTGAGACAGAGTCAGAGTCTCACTCTGTCGTCCAGACTGGAGTGCAGTGGTGTGATCTCGGCTCACTGCCAACTCCGCCTCCTGGGTTCATGCCATTCTCCTGCCTCAGCCTCCTGAGTAGCTGGGACTACAGGCGCCCGCCACCACACCCAGCTAATTTTTTATATTTTTAGTAGAGACAGGGTTTCACTGTGTTAGCCAGAATGGTCTCAATCTCCTGACCTCATGATCTGCCCGCCTCAGCCTCCCAAAGTGCTGGGATTACAGGCATGAGCCACTGTGCCCAGCCTAGTTTTTTTCTTTTCTTTTTTTTTTTTTAAGGATACTTTATAACTGAAAGGGATGACTTTAGTTTGGTAAAATTTGAAGCAAAAGAGAAGCTGAGGCACCAATCATACCCTATACAGACAGCTAAGCACATTGTGTAAGGCAGATGTTGCCCACCACTCAGCCCATTAGAGAGCTCATGCACCATCAAACCCAGAATAAAGCAATAAGCCCAATGGTGATCCAACCCTTTGCTGGTGTTAATTTGTTTTTTTTTTAGACAGCGTCTTGCTCTGTCGCCAGGTGGGAGTGCAGTGGTACAATCTCAGCTCACTGCAACCTCCACCTCCCAAGTTCAAGTGATTATCCTGCCGCAGCCTCCTGAGTAGCTGGGACTACAGGCGCGCACCACCATACCCAGCTAATTTTTGTATTTTTAGTAGAGGTGGGGTTTCACCATGTTAGCCAGGATGGTCTCAATCTCCTGACCTCGTGATCCGCCTGCATCGGCCTCCCAAAGTGCTGGGATTACAGGTTTGAGCCACCATGCCAGGCCATGAATTTTAATATCTTTGGCTATTCATATAATACTGAAAAAAATCAGTTAGAAAAAACAATTCAGATGCATAGTTCTAATGAAGTGCATATGTGTATCTTTTCATGGGTGCACATCTGAAGAGATCATTATGTTTGGGGAGTTTTTCTGGCTATCTGATGTTTTTATGTTTTTTTCTAAGGTTAAAAATTAAACACATAAATGTACTTTTAAAGTTGACAATATCAAAAAATTGGAAAAATTTTGAGGCTGAGTTTACATAATTCTAAAACCGGATCAACTTGACTAAATTTAGTAACTTCAACGAGAAAAAAAAATGAAGTTTATTTATTTGGTTTGTCTGGCAAAACAATATGTGTTTAAATAGTATTCTGTAAACAATGTTTAATCATCAAGATATTACCATTATAAACATAGATCCATATTTTCAAAATACACAGATACATACACACACAGTAGCTTAAAAAAACTACAAGTATTTTTGTTTAGCAGATCAAAAGTTCCCACTAATGCTAGAAATTTGCAGTGTCTAACAGAAGAATTTGAGTTTACTTTTTTAAAAAGATTTTCCTTACTTTAATTAATTTTAGGGTCTACTTCTTGATATAATCTTTCAAATGTACTTACTTTTTATTAATAAATATATATATTTATGTTTGTTCAGAAAAGCCACTTTGGCAGAAATCAAAGAACAACCACAAGTTGTGCTTATAAGAACAAAATCATTTTAAAGAACAAAACACAACTACGATAGTAATTGAAAACTGAGCAATAGATGTCTTTTTTGATAAACAAAAGAATGTACAACTTAAAGTTCCAGTTGATACAGCCCCTGGATGCTTTGAAGCAAAAAGGTTCTGTTTTTAATGACTAGCATTTTTATAGCATTTCTGATAGTCACCTAATAATAGAAATACATCATTCTCATTGTCCTTTTTCATTTTGTCTTAATAGCAGTAAATTAATCTAACTGATCTATTTCTATAAATTATATTCTTGCTATTAACTATAAATCTGAAGAAGAAAACATCAGAGTTACATATAAAATTCTTAAAAATGTTTCCACTTGATAATAAATATTCCCTTACCAAAAAAGTTTGGGCCTGGGAGAATTTCATTTCTTGTTTTTTGATAGTGAAGAAAATGGATGTGCATTTTTCATCCTATATTGATTTGAATAATAGAGATTCACTTATAATGTGAGCAGTACTTTGCCTTCTTTGGTAGGTAAGATCTAATGGCAAATTAAAAGCCACTTAAGAGATTACCTTTAGCCCTGGTCAGAAAGAAGGCAAATTAGTCCTTCCTCCCTCTCACCTCTCTGTCATACTCCATTCATGACTTCTGAGGCAGACAGTGGTTCCAAAGATGGCCACAAAAACATCCCATCCCACATGCTCATCCTTCAGTGTGAGCTTGACATTCTTCCCATTGAGAGGTGGGGTCTCCACTTCTCAATGCAGAGTGGAGGAGAGACTGTCACTGCTTTGACAAATAGATTACAGTGGAAGTGACGTCCAAGGCTGGGTCATAAAAGTGATGCGGCCAAGCCTTGCTCTCTGGAATACTCTCTCTTTGAAGCTTTCAGCCACCATGAAAGCAGCCCACTGCCCTGAGGCCACCCTGCTGGGAGCAGGCCCAAAGTGACCCATGTGAAGACACCACATGGAGCTGTCTGAGATTACACAAAGAGAGAGAGGTGCTGGATCAGCCCCAGCTATTCCAGCCTCCCAAGCCCCATAGGAGAGACCCCCATGCCAGAACCACCCAACTCATCCCTTCCCCAGTTTCCTGACCTATGGAAATCGGAAGAGAAAATACAATGATTGTTGCTATTTCAAGTCACTAACTTTGGGAGTAATCTGCTGTGCAGCAATGACATCAAGAACAAGCTCCAACTTTCTGGAACTTCCTCTTTCACTTGAAAAGAAATGCTTCGAATATTGCTGCTTCGTGTCTGTTTAAGTATCTTTTATTGTGAAACAGGGCCACCAAATCTAGGTCAAGAGTCCCCCTGGCCCAGCTGTTCCTTATCTGAAAGAGAAAAAGAGAGGAGAACCCTGTGAAATATCAGGCCACATGGAGAGCAAAGGGAGAGATCAGTTACAGCCACCTTTCTCTGATGAGCTGCGGGCTAGCTAATTAAAGGCTTTTGCTGCCTATACCAGAGAGGGGAAAGAAGGTAAAAGGCCTGAGTACCAAACAACAGAGTTGTTTTGAAATCCAAGTAATGTGGAGTCAGAAAGGCCCAGGAGTTAAAGAACAAGGAGTCCTTTTCTATTCCCTTTTTCCTATTAATAATGCACCTTGCATTGCAAAAGTTATCAATACCCAATGGCAGCAGCACACTGTGGTGCAAAGATCTGGGTTTCATCACTGCACTTACAAGCTGTTTGACTTTGGGCAAGCCACCTAACTTCTTTGAGCCTCTGCATTTTCATCATTGAAATGAAACCACCACACTTACTCTGTGAGGTGAAAGGAAACTGCACATGTATGTAGCATGCATAGCACAGAGCAGGCCTTCAGAAATTATGACTACTTTTCCATCTTTCTTTTCTAGTATTGGTTATGCTGCTCATTAGCTGTGTGACTTTAGGCAACTGACTTAACCTCTCTGAGCTTTGGTTTAAACTGTGAAATGATGGGTTGATCTCAATAGCCTCTCAATCTCCTTTATTATTTTCTTCCTTAGATTTCTGCGATCACCTCCTAACTTGTCTCTCCTTCTCTTGGCCCATCGTGTCCCAAACCATCCCACGCATGCTTCCAGAGCCACCTTGGTACTCAGCAAGGCAGCTCATATTTCAAGGATAAGTCCCAAAACTCAGCACACGAGCCTCTTCATGGTGGGACTTGAAAGTCCCTCTGCAGCCTCAGCCTCAACATCCTTCTATCACTCTCCCCTGCCCCAGCTGCACCAAACCACTCAGTCCCCCACCAGTGGCAAGCCCTCTATTCCTTTGCCAGCCTCCTCCCCTTTGCCACATTGTTACCTTCCATTTCATCATCTAACCTCAACTCAAGCATCGCCTTCCAGAAAACCCTCTTTGACCCTCCCAGGCAGGAGTCTGTTCTCCAGCTTTCTATGACAAAAACAGTCCAGCGAATGCTTCCAACCTAGAACTTAACATAATCATTGAAATGGCCTCTCTGTTTCTTCCAGCTCAGTTTTAACTTCCCTGAGGGCAGGTACTTGTCCATCTTTCATCTCATTATCCTCAACATCACAGGAACACAAAAATAAAGGTTTGTGGGACACAGAATGCTGAGCCAACAACACACTTAACTGCTGCTGTGCCTGTGGCCAGGAATTCACACCACTTCAGCTCCTTGAGGGGTTAACAGACTCTGGGCGTCCTAACTTGCATCAGCTGATGAGAAAAATCTTCAAAATGCAGCACCTGAATGTGTTCCTTTTAAGTCATCGTTGCACAATCGATAAGTTTTGGTAAAAGACTTTTTGAAAGACCAAAAATATGGTGTTTTATTTTTCTTCCTTATATTCTGGAGTTTGCATTTAAAATTCACATCCAGAATCAGCTTTGTTTCTTAAAGGAGGAAACTCCATGAACAAAAGCACACAGATAATTTTCTAGCATGGAAAAGGCTGAGAATGAGTCTGGAGGGGAAATGGGAAAACAGACAGGGTAGGAGGGAGCATCCCACACCTGAGAGCTGGACAGGGCTGGCAGAATGAAGGAGGCAGCCGGAAGGCAAAACCACCAGGGACAAGGGACTCAGCCTCTTGGGGATCACTCCCAGGGGAGCTTATTCCATTCCTCAAGTCCTGATTCCTGCAGCCCCCTGTTCCAAACCCACCCCCCTTGCAGACCCACACCTTTTGTCTTGCTTCTTTCTCCCACCCAACACCTCCCCACACCCAACCCTGGCGTTGTGTTCCCATCACCCATTATTCAAAAAGATGAAGTGAGCAAGAGTCCAGACCTTCGCTCTGAATGACTTGAGTTTCAGTTCATCCCTGACATATACTTGCTGCGTGCCCTTGAGGCAACCTTGAGCTTTAACCTCTTTGAGCCTCAATTTTCCCACCTGTAAAATCCAGTTGACATACCAGCGCGAGGCTATAACAGGGACTAACTGAGATGAACTAGGCAAACTGCTTAGCATAGCATGGCAGTCAGCTCAGGATGCCGTCACCAAATCCCACAGACTTGGTGCTTAAATACCAGAAATTTGCTTTCTCACAGTTCTGGAAGCCACAAGTCCAAGATTAAGGTTTGGTTTCTTCTGACGCCTCTCTCCTTGGCTTGCAGATGGCTGCCTTCTCACTGGATCTTCACATGGTCACCCCTCGGTCTCTGTGTGTCAGGGTTCTAATCTCTTCTTACAAGGACACCGATCATATCGGATTGGAGCCCACACATATGACCTAATTTGACCTTAACTACCTCTTTAATGGCCCTGTCTCCAAATACATTCCAAGGTACTGGGGATTTAGGAATTCAATGTACAAACCTGGAGAGGGCATAATTTAGCCCATAACACATAGTAAGCACTTATGCTGTGGTACTTATCAAAACCTGCCTTGTCAGTTACAATGCTGATGTCCTTTTACTAAATTCTAAGTGCTGTGGGCTGACTGACAGGAGGGCTTGGTCTTTTTTATTCTTTCTTATTGATGATCACCCAGGCCCTATCTGGTCCTCGGCCCTGGCTGCAGCATCTCCTCCTGCCTCCTGCTGCTGCCTCCACAATGAGCTCCACTCTGAGCCTCCAGTGGCCTTGGGTCTTCTCAGAGGTCACTTCTTCTGGCTGGACAGCTCTGTTCCTCCTCTGGCCTCTCCTGGTCTCTTTCTGGATGTGGACCAGGCCCTCCACGCCCTCTCCATAGCCCTGCAAGGCTGTCAGCTCCACCCAGGCGAGGACTCTTGTCTGTTTCTTCCCTGACATATCCTCAGCCCCAACACAGTTCCTGATACTTAGTTGATCTTCCTTTGGGGAACATTGCTAGAGTCAGCAATGACACCGTTCTCTGAGCTAGGCCTTGCCCAGTTCTTTGTAATGAACAATCAGATGGACATCTCAGGACATCACTGCATCACAAGCTCTTTCATTGTGTAGCCAACAGGCTAAACAGTGTTCAGAAACGATCCACAGAGCTTTCAGCCTTCCAAGAGTATGACTTTGTTTTTTTTTCCAATGTCCAAGCAGTCCAGAAAAGTCACACCCACTCCCTGGGGTGGATACAGAGCTGAGGCCACATCCTCACAGCCAAGCCCTGGTGGCCCAATCTGGAAGCGGCTTCAAAAAAGAAAGATATTCTCATATTCTGACTCTTCATGTTACCTCCTCAGAGCAGAAATGATGACCTATGGGAGTCTGATCATAATTCTATTACCCCATCTGGGATAGGTACAATGGCAGGCTTTCTCTATTAAATAGACATTAAAATAGCATAAGCTTTGGACAGATTCCTCATAAGAATCTGACAACTATCACATGTGCACTCTCCTTTCTCAATACACTGACTCCATCTCCTGGAAGGCAGGCCACTGATCTTGCTGTAAGTTACCCAAAAACAGTGGACAGCGGTCACAATTTGTTCATCTCATTTGGTCCTCACAAAAAAAGAGGGGAAGCATCATTAATTGTGTAATGAATGTTAGGAGAGCTCCAGCGTCCTAAAGGGGAATTTGAAAAAAAGGTCTGTCAGAAAGCATGCAGTATGTAGGCCAGGTGCAGGGGCTCATGCCTGTAATCCCAGCACTTTGGGAGGCCGAGGTGAGCGGATCACCTGAGGTGAGGAGTTCGAGACCAGCCTGGCCAACAGGGCAAAAACCCGTCTCTACTAAAAATACAAAAATTAGCAGGTGTAATGGCACATGCCTATAATCCCAACTACTTGGGAGGCTGAGACAGGAAAATCACTTGAACCCAGGAGGCAGAGGTTGCAGTGAGCCGAGATCGCGCCATTGCATTCCAGCCTGGGCGATAGAGCGAGAATCCGTCTTAGAAAAAAAAAAAAAGAAAGAAAGAAAGAAAAAAGAAAAGAAAAGAAAGCATGCAGTATGTATTTTAGAAGGAAGGAAAGAAGGAAAAAGAGGATGAGGGAGAGGGAAAGAGGAAGAAATGAGGGAGAGAGGGAAGAAGACAGGAATGAAGAAAGAAAGAGGGAGGGTGGCCAGGTGCGGTGGCTCATGCCTGGTAATTCCAGCACTTTGGGAGGCCGAGGCGGGTGGGTTACTTGAGCCCAGGAGTTTGAGACCAGCCTGGGCAACATGGTGAAACCCCATCTCTACTAAAAATACAAAAAAGTAGCAGGGCTTGGTAGCAGGTGCCTGTGATCCCAGCTACTCAGGAAGCTGTGGTATGAGAATCACAGAAGAATCGAGAATTGCTTGAACCCTTGGAGATGGAGGTTGCAGATTGCACTACTGCACTCCAGCCTGGGCAACAGAGCGAGACTCTGTCTCAAAAAAAAAAGAAAAACAAAAACAAAAGAGGGAGGGCAAAGGTGGAGAGGGAAGGAAAAATGGAGGAAGAAAAGAAGAAAGGAAAGGTCATATTCCCCAGAACCTTTCCACAGTACTTTAAACATAGTAGGTACTTAATAAGTATTTATGGAATTGAACTGAACTGCCCAGGTATCTGTAATACCATTTTCTCAACTCCAGCCTCACTTCCTAAGCATTTTCTCTAGAGAGAGGTAAACAGAAAAAGAAAGCGTTCATTCCACCAGTTCTATGCCCTTCACCCCATGCATCGGGCCTGGCCATGGGCCGGGCCTGCCCCTGCAAGGACAGGACAAACTGATCCATGTCCTGTCTCGAAGCTGGTTTCCTGGCAGGACTGTAACTCAACATTCTGGGAAATACAAATATCCCTGGTAGGTAACTCACTCTTGAGTTGAAGCCGTCGGTTTTTATTCATAAACAAAGTAATGAGTGAGCAGTTGCTCAACTCTTTTTTTGTCTGTTTGTTAAAAGAAAGGCCATAAGAAGCAAAGCCAAATGCAAACAGAACAGAGGTATAAATAAACAGCCGCTCTGGTGAGTGCCAGGAAAGAGCTTAGCGTGACTAAAGGAGAAAATGTAACAGGTAAACTTCCTCCTAGCATTTCTTATGCAGCAGGAACCAATTCCTCCAAATAGCCATGCTCACTGTATCCTTTTCCCAATACTGAGGCAAGCCTTGGTCACACCATCACCAGGCACCTGGGGAAAACAAACACAAGGGACCCTGCCTTCCTGCGAGAATTGAACATTCTGTGAAAGTGACATTTCAGGGATGCAACAATTTCTACACCTTCTATTTGCTTGAGTGTCTATTTGCTTCTATCTTTTCTAAATAATATAACCACAAAAATCCATATTTGCAGAATGCATAATCAATTATTAGGGCTACCAAAATCCTTTCCAAATCAATCTTGGACTAGTGGCACTAACCTGCCAATATGAGGGTTAAGAAAATCATGCAGTACAGGAAACAGAGGAGGACTGGGCCATAGGTTTGTTTCACGATTGCTGGTCTTCACTTTGATCTGCATATGCTCATTTACCACCTTCCACCATACTTCCAGCTTAAGTAAAATGGGGATTGCTTACTCAGCTGGGGAGAGCAAGAGTTGTAAAACAGTGTTTACAAAGATGTGCCTGAGTGAACAGAAAACCGAAAATATTTACCAAAGGATGCTCAGTGTGTCTTAGGAGAAGAATGTTGTGCAAACATTTTTGAGGTCACTATTCTTCATAATTTTTTCTAACTATAAATTATGTATGTATAAAATCTGTATATTCATTATAGAAATGTTAAAAATAAAGAAAATTAAAATCCTCTTTAATTCCACTAGCCAGAGATAATCAGTATCAATATTTTGGTGTATGTCCTTTTATTCTGCTTTCTATAGATATTTATATACCGTTTTTATTTTCATAAAATTGGAACCTATTGCTTCAATGATTTACTTTTTTCACTCATTAATTGTAAACATTTTCCCATGTTATTAAATGTTTTCTAGTAACACTTGGAGGGAGGGGAGAGGTCTTTGCAAATTTCATAGATGAAAAGAGGTATGTCAATGTAATTTCCTAGTTTACTATGGAAGTTAAATAAGAGATATTTGATAATTTTCAAATTCTTTAAGTTCAACTCGAACAGACCAAGAGAAAATTAGAGGCAAAGAGCATAGCGCTGAAACCTGAAAGCAAGCATAATTAATAAAATATAACAACCCAGATGAAAGCTAATAGCCATGCTTTATATCCTTAAAGGGGAAAACTTGGTAAATTTATGTAAGATTGTATTATATATGGATTTAAAATTAAGACATAGAAAAAAGTCATTGGTTTATTGGTATTAGAAGTAACAATGTCACCTGTCATTTCAGGGTCCCATTTTCTTTGACAGAAAATGAGAACAGTCACTTGAAATACTAAAAAGAGCTAACGAGTATGTCTTCAATAAACACAAAATATAGTGAAAATTCCAAGTATTTATGACATAAATTATATGAAAATGAGAATATTAATATGTGTCTACCATAAAAGGATACACACAAAAATAAAAGCCAATTTTGAGCAACGTAAATATCTACAGAGAGGAGGAAAACGCTGAAGTATTATTTGCATAATCTAGATACATTGCTCTTAATTCAACAAGTATAAATTTATATCTTTAAAATCATGACAAAGTGCATATTTTATCGATTAGCATAATAGATCCCTACAGTTATATGACTATAGTGTACCTGATGAAAATATATATGAATGCAATCGTCCTTGAAAATAAATGCAAAAACAAGTACTGAACTTGGATTATTCTTCAATCCACAATATTCACTTAAAAAAAAAAAAAGAGCCAGACTAATGAAATGAAAGTTGATGTAAATGTATAGCGTGTGTTTCCAGCTGCACCTGCTCCGATGCGCACCGAGGCAAATGTAAGAGACAGAAAGAACCCACCCAGCGGGGCTTTCTCTGCACACCATACCCCTCCCTCTCTCCAGGGGAACTAAACATTCGCTTCTGTCCAAACCCAAGGGCTAATGAGAGCTGGTAACAGCCAACGAACGACAGACACAAAAGCGACCTTCGCCACACCTGGATATCTCTGATGCTCGCTATGGGACAATGGGTGGATTGGGTCCACGTCGCAGACAACCAATGGCCTTTTCAGCAGCAAGAGGAAGAGGAGGAAGTCCCTGAACTTAGTGCGTTTTGCATTTCGGGGTGCCCTGGTAGGCGTGATTGACAACTACCCCCTGAGGAAAAAAACGTGCGAAATTCCAGAAACAGCAATCCCAGCCCTAAAAGGTCAAGAAAGTGCTTTTGGCCCCCAAACTCTGAAAACCCCGGACCACAAGCCGAGCCCCTCCCTGGTCTCTGCCGCCAACCCCGCGAGCCAGGGAACCCCGGGCCGCTCGGCCGCGCATGCGCCGCGGCGGCCCTGGCTGGGCGTGGGAGCCGCGTGGCCCGAGCGCGCACAGTACCAGTTTGTCCATGGCGCTGTGCTGCGGCGCTCCGCTGGGACTCGTAGCGCTCCCCCGGTGCAGGGAGGACCCCGCCGCAGCCGCCGCGCCCTGCCCTCGTCTGCTCTCCGGAGTCCGCTCAGGCCGCCCGGCTAGCCGGCTGTTTGCTGCTCCTGCCGTTGCCATGGCGACGGGCAATGCTCCGCCTGGGCCTGGCCACCGCCCCCAGCGCGGCGCGGCGCGGCTCGGCTCGGCGCTTCCAGGGCTCCGGCTCCCGAGCTACTTGCATGCTCGGGGCCGGCTCCGGTTCTGGGGAAGCCCAGAGCTTCCGGCCTGCCACTGGGCCCCAGATGCCGTTTCTTGACTATTTTCCATTAGGTTTCTCTTAGCTCTCCCCTGATTGTTTAGCATTTGTTTGAATGTGGAATTTTGAGTGTTTCTAGCTTTAGGAGGAAAAAATAATTCAAAATGAAATTTAGAAGATTTCAACATTAATTCGCACAGTCTTGATTATTAGTCTTAGACTGTAAGTTTTAGATTCTTCTCATAGCTTCCGTGTCTGGTACCTTCACAGCTATTTCTCCAGCTAAGACCTCCATAGAAACGTTTAACTTTGAGTTTTAATCTATAGGTAATAAAGATAACTTTCTAAACACTGTACACCCATCAGAATAATACCTCATTGGCATGTATGAATTCCAAGTAAATTTGCCTTAAAGCACTTTCCAAAAAAATTTGAATAGAAATATTTCGTATCTGCAAAATCTTTCTCATCTGGGCCAGCACTGTCCAATAGAAATATAATGCCTGACACATGTGAAAGTTTATGTTTTTAGGAGCCACATTTTAAAAAGTAAAAGAAGCAGGTGAAATTAATTTTAATAGTATGTTTCAGTTTCTTCATTCATTAATGAAGTCATTACTATGTTTCAGCCAAAATATTATTTCAATATGCTACCAATATAAAAATTATTCATGAGACAGTTTACATTCTTTTATCGTACTAGTCCTCGAAATCTGATGTGTATTTTACACGTACAGCACATCTCAATTTGGACTAGCCACATTTCAAGTGCTCAATGGCCAGTGTGACTGGTGGCTACTATATTGGTCACAGCAGATCCGCTAGGCCAGTGCTTTCCAAACTTTTTGGCACCAGGGATTGGTTTCGTGAAAGACAGTTTTTCCACAGGTGGGGCAGGGGGTGGTTTCCGGATGATTCAAGCACATTACATTTATTGTGCACTTTATTTCTATTATTATTGTATTGTAATATATAATGAAATAATTATACAACTCACCGTAATGTAGAATCAGTGGGAGTCCTGATCTTGTTTTCCTGCAACTAGATGGTCCCATCTGGGGGTGATGGGAGACAGTGACCAATCATCAGGCATTAAGATTCTCCTAGGAGTGTGCAACCTAGATCTCTCCCATGGGCGGTTCACAATAGCATTGGTGTTCCTATAAGACTCTTATGCCCTGGCTGATCTGACAGGAGGTGGAGCTCAGGCAGTAATGTGAGCGATGGGGAGCACCTGTAAATACAGATGAAGCTTCATTGGCTTATCTGCCTCTCACCTCCTACGATGAGGTCTGGTTCCTTAACAGACCACAGACCTGGGTTGGGAGCCCCTGCACTAGACTATGAACTCTAGGAAGACCAGCCCCAGATCTCCATGAGGCGGGGAGGATTTCGTCTCCTTGTCAGGCCTGCTAAAACCTGATTAACTTTTTTTTTTTTTTAGACGGAGTTTAGCTCTTGTTGCCCGGGCTGGAGTGCAATGGCCAAGTCTTGGCTCACTGCAACCTCTGCCTCCAGGTTCAAGCAATTCTCCTGCCTCAGCCTCCCAAGTAGCTGAGATTACAGGCACCTGCCACCACACCCAGCTAATTTTTTTGTATTTTTAGTAGAGATGGGTTTTCACCATGTTGGCCAGGCTGGTCTCGAACTCCTGACGTCAGTTGATCCGCCCTCCTCCACCTCCCAAAGTGCTGGGATTACAGGCGTGAGCCACTGTGCCTGGCCTTTTATTTTTTTTTTTAAATTGAGACAGAGTCTTGCTCTGTCACCCAGGCTGGAGTGCAGTGGCACCCTCTTGGCTTACTGCCACCTTCACCTCCCGTATTCAAGTGATTCTCCTGCTTCAGTCTCCGAAGTAGCTGGGATTACAGGCGCACGCCACAGCACCCGGCTAATTTTTGTATTTTTAGTAGAGACGGGTTTTTGCCGTGTTGGCCAGGCTGGTCTTGAACTCCTGACCTCAGGTGATCCCTCCGCCTCCCAAAGTGCTGGGATTACAGGTGTGAGCAACTGTGCTGGGCCCTAATTAACTCTTGAACAAGTGTTCCCATTCCCACCAGAGGGAGAAACATCCTTAAGTGGCAAAAACACTTTTCAGAAACTGAGAAAAGTAGAAATGACATTCCAGTCGTCTGCTTTTGTAGACAGTTTGTGTAACTTTGCCTGCAAAGGGTATCTTTGCCCCGTGGTACCTCTCTTGTTAGCCTGAAGAGGAAGCCAGCCTGGGACTCAAGGTCGCTGGGCTCCTTGCTGCTGTCAGGGAATGCACAGTGTCATTGTCCTGCCTCCCTCACTAGAATATCATCAGAATTCAGTGTAACCCTCATAATCGCCTTAGAAGGTTTTAGAACCAGGCCCTCAAGAAAACAGTGTTTGTTTTAACAGAGGTAAAAACTCTGCTTGGTCAAAATATGCAGCTTCAAGGGAAAAGTCTGTCCATAGAGGGCAGGTCTAAGAAGGGGACATGCAAGCTAATACTTGTCTAGGTAATTTTATGTATTAACTCATTTTATCTTAAAACATCCTCTAAACTTGGCCATTATCATCAGTGCCCCTACCTATTACAGATGAGACACAGAGAAAGATGAAGTGGCCTCCCCGAGGCTACATAAGTAGAAGAGTAGAAGGAGCTGGGAGCCCTGGTTCCACCTCGTGCCTCTGGACTCTATTGAGATGACAGACAGTATGGAAGGTGGGCGGTGGGGCAGGCGTCGAGGGAGGGGCATCTTCAGGGAAGCTTCTGTGTTGGGCACTTCTGTGCTGACACGAGTCTTTCTGATTTCAGAAAGAGACCGGGGGTAAAGCTGGGCTAATACAATCTTATAGTTCCCTGATCTGTGCCTTTTTAGGCAAAATGTGACCTACACACTTTTATCTTTGATGTTCCCTTCCTGCTGAAAGTCCTTTGCTCCCAGAAAGATGTATGCTGTTTAGGATCCCCAAGCTAGAGTGGAATTCCTTGGGTCTGGCCTGGGTTTCAGAGCTTCCCCAGCCATCCTGGTCTACCATTAATACTGAACAACTCCCTCCCCCGGGCACTACCCCCCATAGGAACCCCTTGTGGCTTTCCTGCTAATATTATAGATTAATTTCTGCTGTGAGAAATTGTTGGTCAGAACAAGATAGCTGGCTCAGGTGGCTCTCACACCCTTCCTACAGCTATACTCGTAAACTTGACCTTCTGGAGATGGAACCAGCTCAGTGATGGGAACCTTGAGTGAGATGACTGGCTGGTGGGGAAGATGCTGGAGGTGAAGGAGCTTGCAGGCTCCTTTGATCTTGCCTGTCCAGACCATGGCCGGAAATGATCCTACCATTGAAGGAATTAGATTAAACTGCCTCAGGAAATAATTCCATTTATTTCTTTTCCTAAAAACAATTTTTTTTAAATGGAATCTTGCTGTGTCGCCCAGGCTGGAGTACAGTGGTGCAATCTCAGTTCACTGCAACCTCTGCCTCCTGAGTTCAAACGATTCTCCTGTCTCAGCCTCCCGAGTAGCTGGGACTACAGGCATGTGCCACCATACCTGGCTAATTTTTGTATTTTTAGTGGAGACAGGGTTTCACCATGTTGGCCAGGCTGGTCTTGAACTCCTCACCTCAAGTGATCTACCCACCTTGGCCTCCCAAAGTGCTGGGATTACAGGCCTGAGCCACCATGCCCAGCCTCCTGAGAAAATTTTAAAGTAAGCCTCAATCTAAAACCTCCACTCAACTGGTCTTTTAACATGAGATTTATCCTTGGTGCCTTCATTGCCTAGCACACAGTAGGTGCTCAGAAACAACTCTTGAATTTTAGAAGACTAAATAATTGGACACATAATGATTTCTTTCTTGTCCACCCACATAGACATGAAGACTAATCACAGAGAAGTACAAAATTTCAGATCTAAGAATAACCAATTGAGATTATGTTTTATTTTATAGAAAAGACTATAACTTTATGCGGCCGGGTGCAGTGGCTCATGCCTGTAATCCCAGCACTTTGGGAGGCTGAGGCAGGTGGACCACGAGGTCAGAAGTTCGAAACCAGCCTGGCCAACATGGGGAAACCATGTCTCTACTAACACAAAAATTAGTCAGGTGTGGTGGCGCATGCCTGTAATCCCAGCTACTCAGGAGACTGAGGCAGGAGAATTGCTTGAACCCAGGAGGTGGAGGTTGCAGTGAGCTGAGATCGTGCCATTGCACTCCAGCCTGAGTGATAGAGCAGGACTCCATCTCAAAAAAAAAAAAAAAAAAAAAAAAAAGAAAAGAAAAAGAGATGATCATTTTATTAAAAAGAAAACAAGGACTGACTCACTGGAGGTCACATAGCTATTTATTGACTGAAACAGGACTAGAAACCAAGTTTTCTTTTTGTGTTGTGTTTTAATACACTTTAATGCTTAAAAATCATACCTTTCATTCTCTAGGTCTGATTTTCAGGATTACAGAGCTTTACAGTGCTCTCTCAGCTCACTAGCGCTCCATGCAAGTCATCATTTTTGCCCATTATTACAGTCATATAATAGTAACCTCTTTCTATTTTGCAGAAGAGAGACAGAGTTTACTAAATAAAATTTTATTGACAGCTTTACTTTCATAATTTTGGGGGAAAACTTTTGTTGCCTGTCATAAACTGTGGGCTAGCAAGTGTCAACATACAATGAAGGAATTAATCAGTTCAAAAATCAATATTAATTCACGTGATAAACTTGGCAGTGGCAGAAGTCACTGTTTGTTGGCTCATCCATCCCTGTTTCAATGTCTTTGCCTGCCTCTAGCAGAGCAACAGGAAACTGTCAATATTTCCCGGCCACCTTCATAGCTATGGGTGGTGCTATGACATGATTCTGGCTTAAATGACAGTCTACTAGGGCGCCTGGGAATCCTTTTGCTTTCCTGATGAAAGAGGCAGACCCAGCTGTCTCTTTCACACCTTCTTCCAGCTGGAACTTGGCCCTGATGCCTGGAACTGTTGCAGTCAGCCGTATTATAACCATGAGGGCATAACCATTCAAATTACAGAAATGATAGCCTTGACATCTCTGAATCTCTGAACCAACAATAACAGGTGCCTCTCCCAAACCCACTTGTTACATGGGGAAACTGAACCCCTGTCTATTTAAAGCATTGTCAATTGTGTTTTCTCTTGCCCAAAACTAAAAGCATTCCTAATCAATACAGCAACTATCAACTATTCTCAGATATTTTTGTGGGTCGATTTTATTTTACAAATCTAAGACTTTTAAGTTGTATAAGCAGAGGTTCATTTCACCACCATCCCAACCTTACTGGAGGAGGGGTGGCATGAGTTAAACAATCAGTGAATGAAATCTCAAATTGGTTTGGCTCAGGTCCACCCAAGGACAGATGCTTGGTGAGTGGCATCTGTTCCCCTCCATGACTGCCCCCAGCAACCTGGGTGTCCAGCATCCCACTCTCTGCTTTGGAGGTAGGGGATAAGATGGCTTACAAGTGTCCTTGGATGTTGAATCAGGAATGTCCACCCCATGTCAATCAGATGAGCTTCCAAAGTCTCCAGGCACAGGCAGGTGTCAGTGCTGTATGAGCAGATGCCCAGGCGTTGGCCCCCCTTGGGATGCTTTTGCCTGATGGTGATGAGTAGGGCTGCAGGCAGGCTCCCCTCCTCATTCATAGATGCTCCTTTAAGGATCTGTGGCTGACGATGGACAGCACTCACTCCTTGCAGGCACCGTTTTCCTGCTGGTCATTGTGGTCCACAAGCCCATGGGTAGCATCTTCAGGTCCCTTTAGCCACTTGGCGGCTCAGTCTGCTCCTCCCGGTCTCTCCCAGTCCTGCTTTCATGCTGATAACAGCTAAGAACTCCATGATGTGTGCCATGGCATCTAGGCTGCTACTGCCATGCTGCCTTCCACAGACGAGTGGTACCAAAAGGCACAGTAGTGGATATTTGTCCTCTTTAGCTGACTGCCATCCAAATCGCCTTCCTGTACTTGGAGAATTTCCTCCCAAGCAGAGCCCTCTATCCCCCATAGAAACTAAAAGTACCAAGTGCTTTCACAGGCACACTTACAACTAGGGCATCATCATGTGACCCAGACGTGACTAATCAAATGCACCCACCTTGGACTTGAATCAGGAGCTGGTTAACCCAAAACACGCGACAGTAGAGAGTATATTCCAACAGAGGTGGCAGTAGCAACAGCGGCATTGAGTTTGCAAGGGCAGCTTGGGCAGCAGTAGCCTCTAAGTCACGTGTCCAGGAGCCAGTATGGCTTGTAGCAATGTCCTCAGCACACTGGTTTCATGGCAGGATGTTTGACTGTGCTCTTGGGTGCAAATGACATATCCACCTGGCCGTTTTCCAAGCCTCGCCATTCAACGTTATCAACTATTCTGAGCTGCCTGATATCCTTTTAATAAATTCTTTTTTTTTTTTTTTTTGCTTCAATCAGTGATGGTCAATCTCTATTGTTTGCAATTAAGAATCCTGATGCATTTGCTTTTGGCAATTTCATTGTAAAATCTTTGTCCATGCCTATGTACTGAATGGTATTACTTAGATTTTCTTCTAGGGTTTTTATGGTTTGGGGTTTTACATTTAAGTCTTTACTCCATCTTGAGTTAATATTTGTATAAGGTGTCAGGAAGAGGTCCAGTTTCAGTTTTCTGCATATGGCTAGTCAGCTTTCCCAGTACCACTCATTAAATAGGAAATTCTTTCCCTATTGCTTGTTTTTGTCAGGTTTGTAGAAGATCAGATGGTTGTAGATATGTGGTCTTATTTCTGAGATCTCTATTCTGTTCCATTGGTATATGTGTCTATTTTGGTACCAGTACCATGCTGTTTTGCTTACTGTAGCCTTGTAGTATAGTTTGAAGTCAGGTAGTGTGATGCCTCCAGCTCTGTTCTTTTTGCTTAGGATTGTCTTGGCTATACAGGCTCTTTTTTTTGGTTCCATATGAATTTTAAATTTGTTTTTTTCTAATTCTGTAAAGAATGTCAATGGTAGTTTGATGGGAATAGTATTGAATCCATAAATTACTTCGGGCAGTATGGCCATTTTCATTATACTGATTCTTCCTATCTAAAAGGATGGAATGTTTTTCCATTTATTTCTGTCCTCTCTTATTTCCTTGAGCAGTGGTTTGTAGTTCTCCTTGAAGAGGTCCTTCACATCCCTTGTTAGCTGTATTCCTAGGTATTTTTAATTTTCTTTGTAGCAATCGTGAATGGGAGTTCATTCATGATTTGGCTCTCTGCTTGTCTATTATTGGTGTGTAGGAATGCTTCTGATTTTTGCACATTGATTTTGTATCCTGAGACTTTGCTGAAGGAACTTCAGCTTAAGGAACTTTTGAGATCATGTTCTTTGCAAGGACATGGATGAAGCTGGAAACCATCATTCTCAGCAAACTAACACAGGAACAGAGAATCAAACACTGGATGTTCTCTCATAACTGGGAGCTGAACAATGAGAACACATGGAAACAGGGAGGGGAACAACACACACCCGAGCCTGTTAGGGGGCAGGGAGGGAGAGCATCAGGATAAATGGCTAACGTATGTGGGGCTTAATGTGCTATATGTGATGGGTTGATGGGTGCAGCAAACCACCATGGCACACGCTTACCTATGTAACAAACCTGCACATTCTGCACCTGTATCCCGGAACTGAAAATAAAATAAAATTTAATTTTTAAAAAAAGAAGAATCCTGATGGATACACCCACACATTTGATACTACAAGACTGTTTGGCAGTATTTGTGTAATGTACTTTATAAAAGTTTGGGAATGCTAATTAACAAAATGAATTATGAAAATAGAGAAGGAGAGATGTAAGGTAGCATAGTATACATAACCTTCTCACAACTGGGGAGCAAATTTTAAAAGTTAAGCTCTTCAAAGGGAGTCTCTTTGTAGGAAGGAGGAAGGTGGTTTCCTAGTTCCTAGCCTTGTTTACCAGTCACAAAGGTGTATTATTATTTAGGGTTCGGCCAGAGAAACAGATTCAGTAAGATGTATATGTATGCATACATGTATGTGGGCATGCACACACACACACACACACACACATACACACACACACACACACACACACCCATATATGCAAACTGTATATATTTTATATGTGAGGAGATCTATTTCAAGGAATTGGCTTACACAATTGTGTGGGTTGGCAAGTTGGAAATCTGTAGAGCAGGCTGGAAACTTGTGCAGGAGCTGAAGCTGCAGCCCACAGGCAATATTGCTGCTTCTTCAGAGAGATTCAGTTTTTATCTTAAAGCCTTTAGACAATGACTACTTGCTGACAGCATTCTGCTACAAAACAAACAGAGATATATTTTAAAGTGCTGTTATTTGCAAAATATTATTAATAAAAATGCTTCTATAATTAAAACTTAGACCCCAGAAAAAAATAAAATCTTATGACATAGAAAGCTAAGCACAGAAGATGAATCCTTTTTTTATCCATCTGAGAAAATATAAAACTGCCACAGAAGGATTAAGCTAAAAAGGACCCTACCAAAAAGAAAACCCAAAGGCTTTTCCACTGGACCTTATATTTGTAGAATCATGGCTTAACAAAATATTTCTATCTAAAATGGAGAAAATACTACCAACAAAAATAGTGTCTGGACCTCAATATCTAATAGTAAAATTCAACAAGCAGTTTTGGGTTTACAATTACACTAAATGCTAACCATGTAATACATATAATAAAATTGCATTTACTTCTGCCAAGGTGCAGTGTTCTACTAAAAATAATAAAGCTGGGTGGGTGGGGTGGCTCACACCCGTAATCCCAGCACTTTTTGAAACCAAAATGGGAAGATTGCCTGAGCCCAGGAGTTCAAGACCAGCCTGGGCAACATAGTAAGACCTTGTCTCTACAAAAAAAAAATTTCTTTTATTATTATACTTTAAGTTTTAGGGTACATGTGCACAACATGCAGGTTAGTTACATATGTATACATGCGCCATGTTGGTGTGCTGCACCCATTAACTCATCATTTAGCATTAGGTATATCTCCTAATGCTATCCCTCCCCCCTCCCCCCACCCCACAACAGTCCCCGGTGTGTGATGATCCCCTTCCTGTGTCCATGTGTTCTCATTGTTCAATTCCCACCTATGAGTGAGAACATGCGGTGTTTGGTTTTTTGTCCTTGCAATAGTTTGCTGAGAATGATAGTTTCCAGCTTCATCCATGTGCCTACAAAGGACATGAACTCATCACTTTTTATGGCTGCATAGTATTCCATGGTGTATATGTGCCACATTTTCTTAATCCAGTCTATCATTGTTGGACATTTGGGTTGGTTCCAAGTCTTTGCTATTGTGAATAGTGCCGCAATAAACATATGTGTGCATGTGTCTTTATAGCAGCATGATTTGTAATCCTTTGGGTATATACCCAGTAATGGGACGGCTGGGTCAAATGGTATTTCTAGTTCTAGATCGCTGAGGAATCGCCACACTGACTTCCACAATGGTTGAACTAGTTTAGAGTCCCACCAACAGTGTAAAAGTGTTCCTATTTCTCCACATCCTCTCCAGCACCTGTTGTTTCCTGACTTTTTAATGATCACCATTCTAACTGGTGTGAGATGGTATCTCATTGTGGTTTTGATTTGCATTTCTCTGATGGCCAGTGATGATGAGCATTTTTTCATGTGTGTTTTGGCTGCATAAATGTCTTCTTTTGAGAAGTGTCTGTTTTTAGCCAGGTGTAGTGTTTCATGCCTGTGGTCTTAGCTACCTGGGAGCCTGAGGTGGGAGGATCACTTGAGCCCAAGAGGTCGAGGCTACAGTGAGCCATGATCACATCCTTCCCCTCCAGCCTGGGCAACAGAGCAAGACCCTGCCTAAAAATAAATACATAAAAACAATAATAATAATAAAGCTTCATAAAGTGGATTTGCTGTTTTATCAAAACAATATTTTCCACCTATATCGGAATGTAGCCAATTCATTTTTAAATGGTTGGAAACAAATAATGGTGAAAAATAATCTGTCCAAGAAATGGCTGCTTTCTGGCACTTGGATGACCTTACTAATACTTTTTAATATTGAAGTGTTAAAGCAATTTCTCAGCCAATTGAAAAAAACGTGTCAAAGTTTTATTCTGAATTCTCCACAGAGAAGAAGCAACCAATTCAAAGATGTCCCTTTTGTTAGACGTCTTAGAAAAAAAGAAAAGAGAAAAAAAAAGAAACAACTAAAGAAACATTTTCCAAACTTGGAAATAAGAAAAAGGAAGCTTTTGTGACTTTTGAGTCTTAGAGTGGAGCATTATTAATTATCCCATCCAAAGATGATTTAATTCTTTAGGGGAATGTACCTTTGAATGAGTATTTATCACTGACTAGGTCACAGACTCTGTGAAGTTATAGGGTAACTCATAGATTTCTGTTCAGTAAACATGAAAATGATGTCTGTCTGGGCGCAAAGATAATCATGGATGTGGTACTCTGTGCCTGTATTGACTCAGGAGGCTGAGGTGGGAAGATCATCTGACCCCAGGAGTTCAAGGCCCACCTAGGCAATATATATGGTGAGATCTCATCTCAAAATATATACACGTTATATATATATATACACATATACATACATACATATATACACACATACATACATATATACATATATACACATACATATATACATATACATATATGTATATGTATGTATGTATGTGTGCATATATGATAATCAAAAGAGTTACTATTTTATTGTCATGGGGGACATTAACCAGTTTGATAGCTATCTTTACACTCTTCACTGATAATAAATACTTCAGAATGTCCTCTAATTCTTAAGCCAGATGGATCTCTCGTTAATGAGTTGAAAAAGCATTGACATATCCTGTTGTATATTTATATGAGAATCATGCTTTAAAATTTTTTAATGATACTTTGTTATGATACGGTATCAACTATGCCTGGTGACATCAGACTTCTCAAAAGGCAGATGGTCAGTTGGGTGGGTAGGTAGATAACTTTCCAAATGGATTATTTAACCTTCTTCAAGTGTGTCAGACTACTGCTCAGAAACGCTAATTTCTTCCCAAAAGGAGTTATAAATTGTGGCAAAAAATTTCTATAGCAGACCTTGTTTGGGACAGTTTTCTTTCTCAGTTGCCATTTTGAATTTGGAAAACATTATATATACGATCTACCACCAATTGACAAAAATAACCATAGAATTACACTCTATCACAGGATTACACTGGGGGAGGAATATCAGAAAGAAAATATGCCAGAGAATTCCTAAAATTGGGCACTTGAAAAATGTTTCCTGCCAATGAAGAGGAGGCCTTGTCACATGCCTCTACATGCTTCCTAATCTATAGTCTCCTTTCTGAGAACACAAGCCAGAAAGGGAAAGTGAATTTCAAAACGCCTCATCTTTGTCAAGCTGCTTTGATGAAAAGTAACAGAAACTCATTCAAATTGTCGGAAGGAAAGAGAATGAGGTACAGGGAAGATGTAGGAAGAATCACAAGTAAGGGTGGGAGGAATAGCATGGCCAGCCAGAAGCATCCAGCCAGCAGCACCTGTCAGTGGCCCCAGTATGACCCCCTCCTAATCTCTGCTTCTCTCTGCATAACTCTCCCTGCAGACCTTGGCTTCGACATGCACACAGCAGAAGCTTGCTACCCCATGACATCCAAGTTTTAAAATCCTTAGTTCAAACACCCACAAGAGACAGACTGGCAAGTGTGTCTTAACCCCAATTCTTGGAGGGAATCTTAGGGCTGCTGTTCACCTTGGTCCAATCAGCCCTGACCAGTGAAGCCAGCAGGACCAAGGAATCCATCCCTGTGAGAGGGAAGAAGCTATCAGAGAAGGAAGGGCATGGAATAAGGTGCTGTCTTGGTCTGCTCAAGCTGCTATAACAAAATACCATAGACTGGGTGGCTTCAACAACAGACATTTATTTTCTCATAGCTTTTCAGGCTGGAAGTCCAAGATCAGGATGCCAGCATGAAAACTTTCTGTTGAGGGCTCACTTCCTGCCTTGCAGACGGCCACCTCCTCACCGTATCTTCACTTGGCCTTTCCTCAGTAAATGTGCATGTAGAGGGATCGATCTCTCTCTCTGTTTCTTCCTCTTCTTAAAATGCCGCCAGTCCTATCAGATGAGGGCCCCATGCTTATGACCTCACTTCACCTGAATTACTTCCTAGAAGCCCTATCTTTAAACACAGTCATGTTGGGGGTATGACTTCAACAGAGAAATTTGGGGGAACCTATTTCATCTCCTAGCAAGTGTCTTCTACAAGCTGAAAGGGACAATTTCAAGAATGCCGAACCTTTCTTCCCACTCTTTCAGCCTCCATCTCATGCCATAATTTTTCATTACTTTCTTTATTCATTCATTCATCAATCAAACAATGCCAGACACTATATTAGGGAAAAAAGATGAATGAGACACCCTCCTTGCCCTTATGGATCTCCCTGGCCAAAGGGAGAGTAAGATCTATAAATGCCAAAGAAAGAGTACAACACTATATGCATTTAGAGGAGGTATGTACAAAGTTTTCTGGGTGCACAGAAGAAGAGAATATGACAGGAACTCAAGGAACTCCTGACCAAGGGGATCTTTGAGTGGCCCTAACACTGAAGAAGACCTACTTCCCACTGTACAATTGTTTAGTCTCTTCAGTACTTTTTTGTTATCATTAGATTTTTTCCTGGGCAAATTGTGAAACCTTTCTCCAGAGTTGCTATAATAGGGATGCTTTCTCTTTGGAATCTATACTCCTTAAAGCCTTTTACTCTCAACAAAGAACATTTGTAGAGCCCACTAGATTCCTTAAACAAGTAAAGAAACTTTTAGTTCGATAAATATGACCATTCTCTTTAATGGTCAAACATACTAGAGCTTCAGATTTCTCTCAAACCAGTTCCTTATTGGATCCATCAAACAATTAAAGTGCCATCACCACATATTTTTATACATACTACCCTTAGATTAAGATCATCAAGGTCAGTCTGGATAGAAACTTTTGTTTTTTTGAGACAGAGTCTCGCTCTGTTGCCCAGGGTAGAGTACAATGTAACACGATTTTGGCTCACTGTAACCTCTGCCTCCCAGGTTCAAGTGATTCTCCTGCCTCAGCCTCCCAAATAGCTGAGATTACAGGCATCCACCACCAAGCCCGGCTAATTTTTGTGGTTTTAGTAAAGACGGGGTTTCACCACGTTGGTCAGGCTGGTCTCGAACTCCTAATCTCAGGTGATCTGCCAACCTCAGCCTCCCAAAGTGCTGGGATTACAGGGTGAGCCACTGCGCCCAGCCAGAAACATTTTTTTAAGTAATTGAATTACAAAGTTAGATGAGATTTAAGATATATGAAGACTTAAATAAAATTAATATTTATTTAATGTGATTTTTAAAATTTAAATGAATCTCAACTTATATCACTTGCCATTACTATTAGTGCGATAATCATTGTTCATTCTCTCAGGTTTTTCTCACCAGGGCAAAAATGGTGTAACAAGATCTTTGGGAAACCGTTTCCTGCTGGGGTGACCCTACAAATCCCCTGTTTTTAGGTAAACTTGTGAATAGACTACCTTAAGATTCTAGATGCACAAAGTCTCATAATTTAGACTCCTCAAAACTGGATGTTTTTGATAACAAAAATAAGAATTGGTCTCCAATGTGTCTTTTTGCTATGTGTAAAGAAGGAGTTTGCTAAGTAAATGGATCGTGTATTCAAAATTTGTTTGAAGGAAAAAAATTTAGCCTGTTGAATCTTCCTATAAGTAATTACATTTTTTAAATATTTGTAGGCACTCCAGAGAACCATGTATTCATAAATCATTAATAAGTTAATTGGAAAGCATTCTTACGCAGTCATCAAATCTGATTCCCTGAGGACTCCTGCTGGCAATGCTTTGCTATCCTAGGCCTAATTGCTGCGTATATTTAAAAGTAATAAACACTGTACTTAAAAAAAAATCTGAAGTTCACTCATTTGTCTGAATTAGTAAGAGATGCAGATATGTGTGTGTGTGTGCATGCAGCATGTGTGTGTGTGTAAATATTTGAAAATCCCTTTCAGTTTTCCTTATCTGAATTGCCCTGCCCTCTCCCTAGCAGTTTGACAGGAGTGAAAGTGGGATGCCCCCCCATAGTTGACCAGGCCAGGTAAGCCCTAGCTTGCCTTTAGGACAGTTTTGAGAAGGTGAAATTCAAGCAGGAAGACCTTATCTGTTCTGCCAGGAGGCTGAATCATGCAGATTGCATTTTCAGGTTAAGCAGCTAGAAGGAGGAACGGGCCTGGCAAACTCAACATAACACATTCAACTCCACCCCAGTTTCACCCTAATGGCATCTTTTCTTGGTAGTATTTGAAAAAGAGTGACTAAAGAAATATTTTCCTTTCTGTTTTATTTATTCTTATCTATTTGATTTTTATTCTTTGATATCATAAGATAGCCCCGTCTAAATTTTCTCCAAACTATCATTTATCGAGTGGCACCAATGTTTGGGAAAATTCATTGCCAGCAATCAAGCATGATGTGCTCTTTTTAGAAATGTTCATTGATTTTCCTCTAAATCATTGCAAGGGTGGATACGTACATTTTACAACATGAATAACCAGAAATGAGAGTCAAACTCCTGGAAAATTCATTGACTTGGTTCAGGTTAAACAGTGGATCCTCCACTTGAACATTCATTATGAAAACACAGTGATGATATTACTCTTTTCAAAACTAGTCTTCATTAAATGGATTTTTAAAGAGTTTTTGGTTCTAAGAAACTTGATTCTGTGTACACCAGTAACTTTTTTTTTTTTTTTTTTTGAGACAGAATTTCACTCTGTCGCCCAGGCTAGAGTGGAGTGGCGTGATCTTGGCTCACTGCAACCTCTGCCTCTCAGTTTCAAGCAATTCTCCTGCCTCAGCCTCCTGAGTAGCTGGGATTACAGGCACCGGCCACCACGCCCCACTAATTTTTGTATTTTTAGTAGAGATGGGGTTTCACTACATTGGCCAGGCTGGTCTCAAACTCCTGACCTCAAGTTATCTGCCCACCTTGGCCTCCCAAAGTGCTGGGATTACAGGCATGAGCCATCATGCCTAGCCACCAATAACAATTTTATTAATATCTTTGTTAATGTCAAATGACACGTGTCCCTTAATACGTGGCAATATCTGTTTTCCAGACTCCACGGGCAGAAGGTACTAGGATGTACGAGAAGGTACTGTGTTCTCAGTGTAATGTAGCATTATTTCAGTTTGCTTAGAGCTGTACCACAATAGGGGATGCCGTGAAGAGGGTTAATGTTCGAGCTACTTTGCGTGTGCATATTTTAACAAGATGTGATTTAAAACTCTGGGAAGCACAGATGGTTGATCAAGTGCAAGAACTGTGATAGATGGAAGATCATATATGAATGCTAAGCCCAATTACAAACAACAAATAGCACCCACAATGTTGTCACTTTGGTCATTCTGCAGCAAGAAGTTAATGGCAGATGACATTACCATTCAACAATATATCAATCAGTTTTGTGAGAGACTCATCCTCTCCACATTCTTTCCTCCTTTTGGCAGAGTTTAAGAGTATAAAGTGTGGGAAGTTCATTAGCCTCTCCCCACTCATTCTAGGGGTACTTTCCAAGACCCTTCCCCATTCAAGTCAAGTATTATGGTCATTAGCCAACTAGGAAAGCCATAGCCAACCCTTGCTGTTGTTGGATTGCCCAGTTACCATCTCTCCTTTCTGGACATCTCACCTCCTTTTTACATTTAGCCTGCTACACCCCCTGCCTGTGGAGCCCCGCTGCAGGACCTGTCCTTTTCCAGACCTTGAAGTCACTAGAAGGAGAATGTATTAGTCTGTTTTTATGCTGCCAATAATGAGACAACATTGGAAAATCATGGAGGACATGATTTTGTCCCCATGCTATGTACATTGAAGTTTCTCCAGAAACCTGTATAGGAGGAGGGAAGGTAAAGAGAGAGGAGAGGAGGCACGAAAAGATGCTCAACATCATTAGTCATTAGTGAAATGCAAATCAGAACCACGAGGAGACAACACTTTACACCCACTAGGACGGCTGAAATAAAAGACAGACAACAAGTGTGGGTAAGGATGTAGAGAAATTAGAACCCTCATTCATTGCCGGTGGAAATGTAAAATGTGTACATCAACTTTGGCAAGCAGTCTAGTAGTTCCCCAAAATGCTAAACATAGAGTTATCATGTGACCTAGCTATTCTACTCTTTTAAGTATAGACCCAAGAGAAATTAAAATAATATGTTCAAACAAAAACTTGGATGTAGTGTTTATAGCAGCATTATTCATAAGGCAAAATGTGGAAATATAATCTAAATTGCTGAATAATATTCCACTGTATGGAAATACCATGTTATCAACCCAACTGATGAATGGAGAAACAAAAAATGATTTGTTCATGCGATGGAATATTACTTGGCAACAAAAAGGAATGAAGTACTGATACATACTACAACATGGATGAACTTTAAAAATACAATGCTGAGTGAAAGAAGCCAGTCACAAAATACCACATATTGTATGATTCAGTTTATGTGGATTCTCCAGGGTAGACAAATCCACAGAAACAGAAAGTACATTAATGGTTTCCTAGGGTAAGGGAGGGGGCAGATAGAGAGTGACTGCTAATGAAAAGAGGTTCCTTTCTGGCGTACTAAAAATATTGTAATATTTGGCCTGGCACGGTGGCTCATGCCTATAATCCCAGCACTTTGGGAGGCTGAGGCAGGAGGATCACTTGAGCCCATAAGTTTGAGACCAGCCTGGGCAGCATGGCAAAACCCTGTCTCTACAAAAAATATGAAAATTAGCCAGATGTGGTGGCGCATCTCAGCTACTTGGGAGTCTGAGGCAGGAGAATCACGTGAGCCCAGGAGGCAGAAGTTGCAGTGAGCCGAAATCATGCCATTGCACTTCCGCCTGGGCGATGGGAGTGAAACCCTGTCTCCAAAAAAAAATTTTTTTCGAAAAATTAGATTGTGGTGACAGCTGCACAATTGTATGAATATACTCAAAAATCCTTGGACTGTGCACTTTACATGGGTATATTGTATCATATTTGAAATATAAGTATCGGTAAAGTTGTAAAAGACAGAGGAGGAAACACATTCCATGTGACTTAAGGTTAAGTTAAACACGTTCTTGAATGTAAACTATCTGGGAAATAACATCCCCCAACAGACATAAATCTAACATGAGTAGCCTTTTCTAGCAGCAACAGGTGACCCAGTTTCTCCCACTGTGGGAATTAAACCTTTGAATTTGATAGATAGGAGGGAGCCACCCCATTCAGAAAATTATCCTTAACAATACTTATAGGTTTGGTCAGAATGACTGAATTCACACCACAGGATGAAAACTAAAGGTAGTTTACAATATGGTTGATTAAACATAATTAGACACCCGAAACGATAATGACACAGAGGAGGAGGAAGTGGACTTAGAGTTAGTAATTTCTGCCTTCTCCACGAGGAACCCTGTGGGGGTAAGATCATGTTTCTGTTCTGGTCCAGCCAGATTTTTCCTTGCCCTGATTCATCCTGGTTCCGCCTGGTGCTGCTCTGCACCCCACAGGGCTCTGGTCTCAGTCTGATCGGTCCTCAGATGTCCCTTTCTTGTTGCAGAGCCCCTATTATTTGCAGAAATTTCTCTTCCTCTGCACGAACCTTACTCATCCTCTGCGACCTGATCAGCAGCATGCCTAAAACAATATGGACCCCAAAAGGATCTGACATTAATTTCTTACTGCCCCTAAAATGGCTTCCATTTCTCTGTAGGCGCTACCTCCTACTCTACCCTTCTACTGGAACCTCAGCTGGCCACAGAGGGCCCTTCTGTCTGTTCTGTCTCCCCCATGCTGGAGCCTGTGATATTTCTCTATTTGGGGCAGGGAGAATGATTTAGCTCAACTTGCCTCCAAATCAGTGACTGGGGGCTCCCTTAGATGTCCCTGGAAAGAACACTGGCACAGCGCTTGACCCTGAATGGTGATTGTATGGCGTGCCCTCTGGTACCTGGCATAGAGAGGACAATTAGGGTGCTGTGTGGGGCTCTTTGTTCTCCTCTGCCCCATCCTCTTTTTCTCCCTGATGGCACTTTGGACCCCTGGTTCTTCAGAATCACCAGGTTTGACCTGGACTCTGCAGATGAGGTCCTAAGTAGGAAATTCACATCGTGACAGCTCAGATTTCTCTTTTGTCTCAAGTCTTTGGGATGGGAGCAGAGAGCTGAACACAGTCTTATTAGTCAGAAGGAAGGGGAAGGAGTCTAGTGGGCCCAAAGAACTAACGGGGCAATCATACCTATCACCCCCAAAGCATAGATAGAGCAAAAAGTTGGGGTCAAGACAACATATTCTGCTTCGTAACTGCCTAAATGCTGATGGCAAGAAATTTTAACTGAGCTGAGTGATTCCACCACAAATTCATGCTTTCCGTCTCACAGCTGGGTTCTGAATGCTTCTTGACAATCATTTTCCTAATCACTCCATGATTTCCTTTCCATTCCTCTCTGCAGCTGTTACAAACCTTCCCACTTGTCTCAGCTCCCCACCTCCACTCCTACCCTGCTCTCTCCTCACCATGGATGTCACCTTCAGTGAGAAGGAGACACTGTGGGCTGCCACTCCAGCAGCAGCCCTTCCTTCAGCCCCAAATCCCTTCCTTCTGCTCTGATTTGGGTCACTTTCTCCTCTGGTCTTTCTTAGTTAAAGGTCCTGAACATCACCAAGAATCAGCCCTCCACCCCTTATAGAATAAACAGGTTTACGCGAAGGTGGAGACTCAAATCCTGGCACCGCCACCACCAGCTTGGGAGCCCTAGGCAAGTGATAACCTCTTAGTTTCACCATCGATAAAATGGGAGTCATAAGAGTACCTACCTCATTGGGTAATTGTAAGGATTTCATTAATTTTTCTGGGTAAAGAATTTAAGACATTGCCTGGCACAATATAAGCCCTATGTAAGTGTTCACAAGTATTATTATGCTGTGTATTTGTTAATGTGCATTACATTATGTGTGTGTGTGTGTATATATATATAGTTTATGTATTTTTTTTAATTTTTGAGACAGAGTGTTGCTCTCTCTCAGCCTCCCAAGTAGCTGAGATTACAGGTGTCCACCACCACGCCCAGCTAATTTTTGTATTTTTAGTAAAGACGGGGTTTCACCACATTGATCAGGCTGGTCTTGAACTACTTACCTCGTGATCCACCTACCTTGGCCTCCCAAAGTGCTGGGATTACAGGTGTGAGCCACCACGCCTGGCCACATTATGTATATTAATTAATGTGCAGTCATTTCTAACATGTGTTAATATAAATAATGGTTATTAGGAGTTGTGAATCTTCAAAAGGGGAATGCCATATCACTGCTGCCAAATACCTGTTACCCAGGAGCACCTACTGACACTTCCCCAGAGCAGTGTTCTACCATACACCTGCCTGAAATCAATGCCTTCTTCCTTGCCTGATCTTCCACCAAACTCCTACCTAGTAGGCTGTCACTGAGCCTCTTGCTCCTGCCCCCATGCTCTCTCCTTACCCCTGTAATCCCAGCACCACTCTCATAACTCTGTGAAGGACACATTCCTTATATGACTCCTAAAGAACAAACCTATGGGACTTGTCTTGCTCCTTTTCCTACCTGACCACCACAGACTTGGCCACATTCATGACCACCTCCTTTCAACTCCTTTTAACCTTGACCCCCGGAACATTACTCTCCTCTCGTTCTTCATCACCCTACGCATATTGTCTCCTTCATCAGCCTCATTATTTCCCTCAACCCTAGAATGCAGCTTCTGCTCAGTGCCTGCTCACCACCCCCCATCCCTCCACCATCACTCCTTGGGTCTCGTAACCTTACAGGCCAGTGTCCTCAGGACAGTCCTAGTCTACACCTGTTGTCCCGCTTTCTCTCCCCAAAGTGTCTCATGTTGTATGACAAATTACAGAGCCACTCTCTCTATGAGAGAGGTCCTCCACCTTTGCAGCTTCAGCAGCACCTCTAGACAGCAGTGATGGTAGCCAAGCAGCTGGGACAGCCCACTTCCGTGCCCCCTCCATTCACAGTGCAGACAATTGACATTTTCTTCATCTCATGTAAGGAGCTATGTAAATGCAGCCCCTTTTCCCTACTTCCAGCCAGATTGCTGCCCTCAAAGCCCTCCTTTATAGATAAACTGGAACTGCCACTGAATACAAAGGACTCCCAATGCATCCGTCCATTCCTTACTTCTACCCTAAGACTCAGACTAGCATATTCAGCTTCCTGATGGACAGTGCCAATCAATATTCCCCAGACACCTAAAATCCAACAAGTGCAAAAGTGAAGTTCATGTCATCCCCCTCCACTTTCCACTTGATTCTCCCCTACTTCCTGTGTCTGCTTACAGCTTATACCAGCTATATTATACCCTCCTCATACCCCCACCAAAGGGAGACGGCCACACCTGCAGCACAGGGATGATTTGTGCCATAGAAGCCCATTTGTCTATTTGCACTCAACTAGAGCACATCAACACATTTTTGGACCCCCAAGCGAGAAACCTCCCCCAAATCTTCTCAACTTTTCTCTCAATGCCACATCTTGGGACCAAGCCCTGCAGTTGGCCTGTGTCCCTTGAATTTGTTTTTATTTGCATTGCCACCACTATTGTCTCTTCTTCCATATCGGTCATTAATTCCTAACCCAATCTGACTTCTGCCCTTTTACTCTACTGAAAAGGTCTTTGCCAACAGCCTTCTGGCTGCTAAACCCCATGGGTTCTTTTCCACCCTTTTCTACTCCACCTCTTGCAGTTTTAATTCCCTTGACCACACTCATAATCCTGAAATAGTTTCTTCAACTTCCAAGCCTCCATATTCCTCTGAGACAGGAGGAAGAGCCGTGTTGAGGGTAAGATATTCGTTGTGAGCACGTTGAGTGTGAGTGGTGTATCAGACATCCAAGAGGATGCGTCCTAGATGGTTGGTATATGGATCAGAATCTGTGCTGTCCAATATAGTAGCTACCAGTTACATGTTGCTATTTAAATGTAAATCAATTAAAATGAAATAAAATGTAAAATGCAGTCCTCTCTACCAAGTTTCACAACTCGAAAGTGTAGATGGCCTCCTTAGCTCCCCTGCTCCCTTAGGCCCCCACACGCAGTGAGTCACCAAGTCTGGCTCCCTTAAATATCTTTATTATTAGATTCATGCCACTTAATGTGGCCAGTGACGCCCTTCCTGAGCTGGCCTCAGCTCATTCCTCCCTCTCCTCCCCAGCCACACCCCACTTGATCTCTATGCCCAGTGACAAGCTCTCTTTTGCTGTTCCTCCCCTCACCCAACCTCTTGTCCTGGTTAAATTCTAGTCATATTTTAAGGCTCATCTTCTCCTCTAGCGAGTTTTCATTGTAACCTCAAAATTAGATTATGTGCCCCTTTTTGTGCCCTTATAGTGCCCAAAGTGTCCTATCACGGGAGAGTTCACAGTGCACTGAAATAAACTCTTTTATTTTCTGTCTCCCCAGGACCAGCTGTATCTACAGTACCTAGAACCATGCCTGGCATACAGTAGGCACCCAATACATATTTGATGGATGAATTAAGGAATGAATGAATGAATGAATGAATGAAAAGTAAATTAATGAACGAAAAAACTAAACAGTAGGTGTTATCAGGGAAAACTGTTAACGTCATTACTAATTATGGATCCTAGAAAAAATAACAAAAGATAGAATGAATTACAAATTTGCTTTGGTGGCACCCAAGTGATACTAATTACAGTTATTTACATTACATTAAATCTTACTTTTTATGCCAAATGACCATGCAGTAAAAGTAAGGATATCATTAAATATGTATATCATTAAATGTGTCAGATCAACATGGTTGAGTTTTATTTTGTTATAATAGTGAAGTATGCACATATGCTTAGACTACATCAATTATTGCTGATGTCTGTTGTCTGTTCTCACCCTTGAACAAGTTTATTTTCTCTGTTCCTCATTCCATAGCATCTCCAACATTGAGAGCATTGTGAAAATAAGCAACAGGCAGAGAAATGGATGATCACTTCTGACCGTGTAGAATACAAAGCAATTATGAGCCGATTGTAATTCTGATGCTGTTGATTTGTTATTCATCATTATAATGCACCTGACAGCAACATAGGCTTTCACAGGCGCCATTTTATTTAGTCATCTCTTCAGCTCTGAAAGTAATTATGGTTCTCAGAGAGAGTTTTAGCGATTTGTTCTAGATTTGTTCTAATAAATGGCAATGGCAGGTAAAGAGCCCATATTAAGACAGGTTGGGCAGAAACAGTACATGAAGTCAATTATATTTGAAATTACACTTACTAATGCCTGTAAAATGTGTTTGTCATACATATCTCATTCAATCAATAATGATTTGGGTATTTTAACCCATTTTTGCAGATAAGGCAACTGTATTAGCCCGTTTTCACACTGCCGATAAAGACATACCCGAGACTGGGCGATTTACAAAGGAAGAAGTTTATTGGACTTACAGTTCCACGTGGCTGGGGAGGCCTCACAATCATGGTGGAAGGTGAAAGGTACGTCTCACATGGCGGCAGACAAGAGAAGAGAACTATTGCAGGGAAATTTACGTTTTTAAAACCATCAGGTCTCGTGAGACTTATTCACTATCATGAGAACAGCACAGGAGAGACCTGCCCCCATGATTCAAGTACCTCCCACCGGGTCCCTCCCACAACATATGGGAATTCAAGATGAGATTTGGGTGGGGACACAGCCAGACCATATCAGCAACTAAGGCTTAGAGCGGTTGGGTAATTTGCTCAAGGTCTCAAGGACGATAAATGATGACTTTTGAACATGGGTCCTTTGGCTCAAGAACCCATGTGGTTTTTGTTTTCTTCTATTTCACTTGGTTTATGCCTAATGGCCCATGTTTTATCAGGAAGGTGTGAATAAAGACATGTCCTAGCCAGGAGGTGCTAGGGCTGAAGGTTTGAGGGAAAGTAGTAGAAAAGGTTTCAAACAGCTGCTTTGAGTGCCTGCTAATGGCAGATTATGGAAGCCCAATGTTGAGGGTCTAGTAAGGGTAGGTTATGGAAGCCTGACACGGGTGTCTTGGAGCTCTCTCCCTGGGACTCCTGTGCTTGTGGTGCTGTAGAACCAAGTGTTGGCACACAGTCAGCAATCCCAGCTGAGCCTTGCCTTGCAGCCATCCCCACTGAGGTGCTAGACTTACAAGGGAAGCTGTCCTGGACCCTCCAGACCAGTCCATCTGCCAGCCGAATACAACACCACCACCTCAGCCAGCACTACATGGAACAGAACAATGGAGCAGCTGAGCCCTGCCCAAACTCCTCACCCACAAAAGCACAAAGAGTAAAAATGGCTGTTGTTTTAAGCCGGTCAGTTTTGGGGTAATTTGACACATGGCAACAGATAACCAGAATATACCACAAGTTCATTTTGTAGCTTCCTTCTCTTCATGGTGCCAGACAAATCATAGCCAATGGCCAGGCTAACAACCAGTCACAAGAAAACAAACTCTCCCCTCTTGCACATGGCAATTCACACACAAAAACAATTACAGTGATTTTGCATTTCTTACAAATAGCCTATCCATGGGCCGATTCGAAATGTTGCCCATAAAACCATTTTTCCTTTGCAGGTTATAAACACTGATAAAAAGGAAACATGTCCTCTCCGTGCAGACTGAGCCGACAGGACGGACATTCTTTTGATCATTTTACCATTTTCATGTTTGACACACAACAGCTTTTTCACTGTTCAACCCAAATTTGAAGAGGAAACAAGATAACATCTGTTTCCTTCACCATCCTTCCATGCATTTCATAGCACCCAGATATATAGGTGCTTTGCTCACAGGGATCACGCTATTCAAGTTCACCTTCTGATGATTCTGAGATGAAAATGGCATTTGCTATAGATCCCTCTCACAGGGTAGGCCGGGAATGCAGACTAGCTAAGTAGGGAGTGGGAGGCAATTACTCTAACCTCAGTGGACAAAACAGTTCCCCAAACTGCAGAATTAGCAGAGCACAAACGCTGCAGCTGTTTGCAAAGGCACCCGCGGTATTTCTGACATGGCAAATCATGCTGGTGATGTCAGACTCTTTTCTTAAACAAAAGTGAAATGTGAGAAGGTGAAAATACGTGACTGCTGGAAGATGTTTTTCCTTGTTTGGGGACTGCATTCGCAAATGACTCTTGTCCAGGACCCTGGGTTTTCCCCAGGTCTTTTAAAGGTCTACATTCCTTTAGAATCCTTCACTAAACCTACCAGTTGGCTCCCTAACTTCCCGGTTATCTCACCGCTCTGTCATGCAAGTCACTGAGCAGGGAAAGTGACTCATAGGCTCTAAAGAAAACCTAATTCATTGAATTAAACATTGGAAAGAATCTAAGTGAGTCACTGTATCCTTCGCTTGGTCTTTAGGCAGCACCACACCTTGATCATTCCAGCCAGAAGGGAGGTAATCATATTTTTAAAAAGCTGCTTGGAGAAGGATTATTTACAACGATAATAAATCCCATTTCTATATATACCTATATTCCGAAAACAACAGCAAAGGCACTGCAAAATTAAACCCCAAAATACAAACTGAAGAGCAGAAATATGCAAAGCCTTGAGCCTAGCTCACACCGCTTCTGTGCAAATTAGAAAAAGGTGGCCCCCCAGGTTGAAGGAATTAGGAAAAAGCACCCACTTGGGGCAGCAGCTGCTGACAGCCATGTTTGGGGGCCTGGTGAGTAAGCAAATGGGCTGGATCTCCACTCACCCCCCTGCCCTGCCCTCCAGCCCTTCCCCTAACCACCTCCACCCCTGCTTTTGTGCAGAGAACAAATTCCAGGACCTTGTGCAGTGGCGTGAGAAGAAGGACATGGAACTTTTTATGACTCCCCCTCCCCATTTTCCTGGTAAAATCTTTTTTTCCCTACTTTTGACCCTGTTGTTCCTTATTGCTAACACTTGGAAACACTGATTTTTTTTTTAATTTGTCACGCTGTACTAACAGTTGCAGGCTGGCAGTTCATGTGTTTTTATCCAACCAGGTACCCAGCAGGTGCTCGAGAACCATTACAAAAAGAACGAATAACTCTCTCAGAGGGAATGAGCACAGCCTCCAGTTCTAACGTCTAATGCTGTCCTTGCTTTAAACTGAAAGGAAGAGTGTGATCTCACCTCTCCTGGGGAAAAACAACAGACCTGTAGACAAGTTGCTCTGCAGAGCAAAATTCCAGGCAGAAAAGGGGCATCCTTGAGCACACGGGTTTCTGCAGCCATGAGATCTGGGCCCCGCGCTGGCGCTATCACCCTTGCACTTGCCTCTTGTTTAGGTGCCTTTCCAGAGCGTTCTCCCTCACCTAGTAGCACATTAGAGGGACCATCAAGAAGGGGAGCATCATTTCTTACCCCTCAGAGCCCTCTCACAGACAAGGAAGGGGCTGCCCTTCCAGGGCTGGGGGCACAGCCCCATTTCCTCTTAGGGAGAAGATCAGATTCACAGCACAGCCACCAAAACCACTTCCCCAGGGCAGACTTTCCCAGCCTGGCCCCAGCCTGGCCCTAACCTGGCATTCTCGGCATCCCAACAAGCCAGAGACAGCTGCCCTGTGAACCCCATCACTGATAGGAGAGGCCAAGCAGGAGGTCAGAAACAGAAAGTCCGGGGGCCAGTTCACTCAGTCCACATGGTGTCTTTTGTTGTTGTTAGCTGTTAATATTTAATGGCCTGATCCCATTTATATGAAATATCCAGAACAGGTAAATCCATAGAAACAGGCAAATTGGCAGCTACCATGCCTGGGGTTTAGAGAGAATAGGAAGTGGCCGATGTAATGGGAATGGGGCTTCCTTTTGCAGTGAAGAAAATGTTTGGAACTAGATAGTGGTGGCAGTTGTACAAACTTGTTGGTGTACCAGATGCCAGTGAATCATTCACTTTAAAACGATTACTTTTAGGCTGGGCTCGGTGGCTCATGCCTGTAATCCCAGCACTTTGGGAGGCCGAGGCAGGCAGATCACTTGAGGTCAGGAGTTCGAGACCAGCCTGGCCAACATAGTGAAGCCCCATCTCTACTAAATATACAAAAATTAGCCGAGCGTGGTGGCAGACACCTGTAATCCCAGATACTCAGGAGGCCGAGGCAGGAGAATTCCTTGAACCCAGGAGGCGGAGGTTGCAGTGAGCTGAGACCAGCCAGTGCATTCCAGCCTGGGCAACAGAGTGAGACTCCATCTCAAAAAAAAAAAAAGTTAACTAATTTCATCCTATGTTAATTTCAGCTCAATTTTTTTAAGTAAATGAAAAACAACAAAAAAAGAGTCAGACATTTTTCCTATTAGATTTCTAGCTTCTCTTGAGAAAGTAGAAGATCTGGCCATGTCCACCTAATCCCCGCGATGCAGCAGCTGCCTGTGAGGAAGGGACATTTGCTGTCTGGGTTGCCCCTCACCCACGTCCTCATCTCAGCTTGTGACCCCTGCTCCTACCCACAAGGAAGCTGCTTACTTTCCCCAGAGAGTAAACAGAGTCCCCACTGAGCTACCATCTTCAGATGAGTGGGAGGCGAGAGCATGACTCAGGGTCTAAGCACACAGCCGGGGTGGAACAAATATGAAGAGGCCATGAGGCAGGGGTCAGGGGAGTCAGAGGCAGGATGAGGACCCAGGTGTTCCTAATTACGCTGCATCTCCTTCCCCGCCAGCCCGCTCCGACCTCTAACCTACCTCGTTTTCCTTCCCAGCTTTTACTGCTGACTTACTGTGTGTGTAAGTTTCCTGGGGCTTTTATCACAAATTCTGACAAACTGGGCAGCAGAGACAACAGAACTGTATTGTCTCACAGCTCTGCAGACTGGAAATCCAAGATCAAGGTGTCAGCAGGGCTGTGATCCCTCCAAGGGCCCCAGGGGAGAAACCTTCCTGGCCCCTCCAGGCTTTTGGTGATCCAAGTGTTCCTAGACTTGAGGCAGTATCACCCCAATCTCTGCCTCCCCCTTCTCCCATCTGTCTCTGTCTCAAACCTCCCTCTCTATTCTCTTTTAAGGACATCAGTCATTGGATATAGGGCCCACCCTAAAACCAGGATGTTCTTATCTTGAGATCTTTAACTTAATACATCTGCAAAGACCCTATCTCCAAATAAGATATACTCACGGTTATCTAACCAGGGGTTAGAACTTGGACATATTTTGGGGAGACACCATTCAACCTATTACACTCTGTATCGATTTGCTTACTGTGTGACTCATGTCATGTGTCATGAGAGTAGAGACTTTGCCCGTTTTTTTCCATGTCGGAAACCCATAGCCTAGAACAATGCCTGGCACGTAGGCTCGCAGTAAATGAAAAGAAGAAATGAGGAAGCATGTGTGTGGGATGATGTTTGGCTCAAGCCAAGTCAGCAATCACAGGAAGGTACAACAAAACCAATCCAGCACATGAAAGGCAGGGACAGCTATCCGATGAACCCAAGGATGAGGGTCACCAGATACACAAGGAGGCACCAGGTTAAGAGGAGAAGTGGTCCCACTTGAGTAAGAAGTTTGACATTGAAACCGCAGCACCTGAGCTGTTGGAGGTTCTTGGCATGACTGCTCAAGACGGTGGAACTGGTCTGCAGTGGTGTTGGACTCTGCACCAAGTAGGGGCTGGACAAGTAAACTTCAGGAAGGGTTAAGCCTACCTTCTACTCCTGCTGGGGCTGCCGCTGTGTTTGTCACAGTCCCAGCCTGGGTTTTTAACTCACTGGAGGAGTGATATCCAAGGTATGGGCCAAGTGACTGCTTCAGAGTCACCTGGGGGATGTGAGTTAAAAATACATCCTCTTGGGCCTCAGCCCAGACCTTCTGAATCAGAATCCCAGGGATTCTGAGAACACTGAAGTTTGAGAACCAATAAAATGCAGTATTTAAATGATGACCACAATTGCAGGGAACATCCCACATTCTTTGCTACTTGCTCTGGTCACTGTCTTCAGCTCAGGTAGCTAATTGGTGAGCCTGCCCAGTTTCTTGCCTCTCTATTTTTCCTACTGTCACCAGAGTTCGAACACATCAGGGATGGCACTATTTCTGTCCTCTAAAGCCTTGAGGGGTTTCTCCATTGTCTGGAGAATAGACACTGTTGGTTGTGCACACAACAGCTGTTCCTCCTTTATTTGGTACTAACAGAACCCCAGTTTCATTCAGGCCTCGAGGAGAAATATGATCACGGAAAGGGGCTCTACCCCTACACGGGGAACTGTGATGAGTTCCATTCAGTCACGCTAATGCCCTTGTCATTTGCCAGCGATGGGTTCCGAGGTAGGCAGGTGACCCAGATCTGTCCAATGGGACATGAGAGGCACCTGCTGGGGGCTTCTGGGAAAGATTCTCCAACCCTGATAAAAAGAGACACAAGAACAGAAAAAATCCCCCAACATCCCCCCTTGCAGGAGATGCCTGTAGTTCCCGGCATCAAATCCCTTAGCCCACCTTAATTTCAGCTGCAGTGGTGATGGACATTCTGAGTCACAGTGATTTTTATTCCTTCCGTGACACCCCACTGGTGAGGGAGAGAGTCCCACCACAGGGTAATGGGGATAGCTAAGCACTCAACTCCCAACACCCAACACTGGACAGATGCGCTGCCAGCAGTTTATCAATCACACATACTCACAGCCTGTGGAAGAGAACACAGCACACTCCACACTAAGCGGGGCCCAGGGAACAGAGGGCACTTGGGAACAGAGTGAATAAGCAGGGGCTGTGGGAAGCCGTTTTTGTAGCATCAAGAGGATGAGGCGCCCCCTGAGTCCCATGGGAGGATGCGCTTGGCTTATTTGAATAATTCCCTGGTCTGGCAGGGAACTGAATCCTATACTCAGGATAAGAATAAGGAGGAACTGTGGCTGGTCACAGTGATAAGGAGGATTGTTTGGCTAGGGAACCTTATCTGTAGGAGCAGAGTGGAGGGGAGCTTACCCTCCTACTGTCAGGTATTGAGGCAGCACGTAGTACTGAACCTTCACTTCAGACCACCATAATGGAGAGCATCTTCACGAGCTCCGACTCACCTTGAGCCAGCAGTGCACCACCCCAAGCCCACATTGAGCACCTTGACTTTTTGCCTTTGAGTTTTCTCCTGCACTGCCCCACTGCCATGCCAAACACCTGCATTCAAAACCCTCCAAGCCGCTGGGGAACAGGGGCACTGGAAGAAGTCTCCAGGAGCATCATCTTCAGGTGAACAAATTCTGACCATGTTCTGCGTGATTCCCAGAGACCACGGCACCTGCCTCCACAGTGAGCCCTTACGCTGCCTTTTCCTCCCTTCCTGCCTCATGGTCCCCAGTTGCTCACTCCCACTTCTGGACCAGTTGCCAAATTATATATCAGGCTCTGCTTTTAGGGGAACCCAAAATAAGACACTCTTCCTGTATTTGGGCACAATTTTATGAGAAAACGACGTCTTGTGGATTTGAGAGGCTGAAGCTGAGGATGAAAGTCAATGTGCTGGGGATGGTGGAATGGAAGCATGGGAAGAGCTAGGAGGCCTTGGTGACATCCCTAAGAGGCTGGATTCCCCTCACCTGCTGGTTCCTTCCTCTGTGCTTGTTGGGACAGCAGGGAGAGAGATGACAGACCCCATGCCATCATCTAGGGCACCTTCCCTGGAGCACCCTAAGTGATCACAGTGGTGTTTGTTCCACAGCCTCCATGCCAGTAGGAGGCAAAAGAAACGTTTTCATGTTAGGCCAGTGAGCAATGCCAGGAGTCTCAGCTGGATGTGTCAGCTGTCATGATCATTCCAATCTCGCTGGAATCCTGCAGGAGGAGGGGAGAACACCGAAGTCCTCATGTGCCATCCTATGCCAAGACCGATCCCAAATTTCATATGTGGTGAATGCAAGTATTTGTCACATCTCAGGCCGTTCTCCTTCCATCTTCTTGTCTTCAACTGCCACCTGAATTTCACTAGCATCATTCCAGCCACAGCATTGTGGGGGAAGTTCTTTGTCATAGTTGCACAAGCACAGTTATAGTCATTAGCGATGGAGTTTCTCATGACAACAGCCTCTAAAAATAAGCCACGTCCAAGCATGTCAGCAGCGTGTCAGCAACTGCCATGCAACTGACCTGAGATTTCGCATGAAATATGTAAAATGTGGAGTAAGACATGGGTTCTGAAAGCCCAGCTCCCCGGTCCTCTCTGTGCTCAGCAAGAATGTGAGCGATTAAAGATCTATTTTTACTCTTTGGAAGACACTAATTAGCATTAAGTTTGATTTACCACAGTTAGGCAAAATCATTGTTTAATGAGCCACCTTCACAAGTTAGACGGCTCATGTTACCCTCTGATACGGTTTGTCTCTGTGTCCCCACCCAAATCTCACTTTGAATTGTAATCCCCATAGTCCCCATGTATCAAGGGCAGAACCCCAGTGGAGGTAATTGGATCATGAAGGTGGTTTCCTCCGTGCTGTTCTCATGATAATGAGTCTCATGCCATCTGATGGTTTTATAAGCATCTGGCATTTCCCCTGCTTGCATTTCTTTCTGCCACCCTGTGAAGAAAGTGCCTGCTTCCTCTTCATCTTCCACCACGATTGTAAGTTTCCTGAAGCCTCCCCAGCCATGCTGAACTATGAGTCAATTAAACCTCTTTATTTACAAATTACCCAGTCTTGGGTATGTCTTTATTAGCAGCGTGAGAACGGACTAATACACCCACCCAGAGGAATGAACAAACATGCCCCACAAAGCCTGGCGGGGGAGTCGGGAGAAGGATCTCCTGCATGTTTGCAGTGATTTACTCGCATGAACTATTTGTGCATGTTGTCGGGTTTTACCTTGCTCTCTCTTGTGCTGCAACAACAGCTACAAAAGTTCTAGACACTTCTTGACACGTGCTGGATTGTCCCGATTTGCTGTCCTATAGAATTCACTGAGCATCTACCCTGAGCTGAACTCAGGGTACAACGACCAATAAGGCTCACCTTCAGCATCCAAGCTGTCTGGCCTTGAGTAAGACATAGCTCCTCTGTGTCTCAGTCTCCTCCTGTGATAAAAGAGGACATAACACCCAGCTTCACGGCATCTGACTCGTGCCATCTTGCAGGGCCCACACTGCAAAGCTGCAAAGTGCCATGTGCTTGGTTCAATGCTCTTCTGTTGCCATCTTGAAATTCTTAATAATTTGAACAAGGGGTCCAACATTTTCCTTTTTTCACTGGGCCCCACAAATTGCATAACCTAGACAGAGTTTTATAAGGATTAGGTAGGGGAACGTACTTAAACACAAAAGTAACGCAAAGCTTCACACAGAATAAGGACTTTAAACTGGCATAACCGGCTGGGTGCAGTGGCTCATGCCTATAATCCCAGCACTTTGGGAGGCCAAGGCAAGCAGATCTCTTGAGCCCAGGAGTTTGAGACAAGCCTGGGCAACATGGCGAAACCCCATCTCTACAAAAAATTTAAAAATTAGCCGGATGTGGTGGCACATGTCTGTAGTCCCAGCTACTTGGGAGGCTGAGGTGGGAGGATTGCTTGAGCCTGGGAGGTTGGGGCTACAATGAGCCTTGATTACACCACTGCACTCCAGCCTTGGTGACAGAGCAAGACCCTGTTTCAAAAATTAAATAAATAAAATATAAATAAATAAATACAATGGTATAATCACCCTGATTAGGTAGTTAAATCTAAACAAATGTATTTTCTTACCCATCTAATCTAAATACCATAACTTAAATTCTGCCTCTTGCCCACCTAATCTAAATACCATAACTTAAATTCTGCTTAACTTTCTTTAATGAATGTTATGCATCCATCTCGGACCTCAACTTTGAATCTTAATTTCCAAATAGTTGACATGATTTGCTTTATTTTCTCCCTATCACTTTTGTCAAAAGTTGATCCTTTCCACAACAGCTCCTGTTGACTTGAGAACTGTATGCATAAAGTCCTTTGGTCATACTAATAAATATTCAATCTGTTGTTCCAATTTACCTTTCTTCCAAGAATTGACCAATTTTTATCAAAAGGCTGATAGAAATAAACCATACACAAGGGGAAAATATTGGGTTACAAATATAAATTTTTTTCTTATCTCCCCAAACTGATAACCTTTGGTATATGTCCACAATCCCTTATCCACAATTCTGTCACTTATAAAGCCCTAAAAATTTGGAAATAAACTTGCAGCAAATATATTTAGTGACAAAACCAAACCTAAAATTGATATGGGGAGATTTGTAGTCGTTTATAATCATGCTGTGCATATTACATCACATCCCTCGTATATACTGAGTTATCTTTCTAAAATTAAAAACAATTCTGGGCTGGGCATGTTAGCTTACACCTGTAATCCCAGCACATTGGGAGGCCAAGGCAGGAGGATCACTTGAGGCCAGAAGTTCAATACCAGCCTGAGCAACATAGTGAGACTCCATCTCCACAAAAAAATGTAAAAATTAGCCAAGCATGGTGGCACGTGTCTGTTGTCCCAGCCATTCCAGGGGTTGAGGCAGGAGGATGACTTAAGCCCAGGATGTGCAGGCTGCAGTGAGCCATCGTCATGCCACTGCACTCCAGCCCGGGCAACAAAGTGAAACCCTGTTGAAAGAATGAAAGAAAGAAAGAAAGAAAGAAAGAAAGAAAGAAAGAAAGAAAGAAAGAAAGAAAGAAAGAAAGAAGGAAGGAAGGAAGGAAGGAAGGAAGGAAGGAAGGAAGGAAGGAAAGAAAGAAAGAAAGAAAGAAAGAAAGAAGGAAGGAAGGAAGGAAGGAAGGAAGGAAGGAAAAGGAAGGAAGGAAGGAAGGAAGAAAGAAAGAAAGAAAGAAAGAAAGAAAGAAAGAAAGAAAGAAAGAAAGAAAGAAAGAAAGAAAGAAAGATTCTGAATTTTGGAACACTTCCAATGGCAAGTTTTGGATAAGGGACTGTGGTCCTATGTCAGGCCCACACTACCCCTTTCAGAGCTCACTCCCCAACTAGTGAAGCAAAGCATTAAAGACACGCCCTGGGCCAGGCACAGTGTCTCACACCCATAATCCCAGCACTTTGGGAGGCCGAGGCTGGCGGATCACCTGAAGTCAGGAGTTCGAGACCATACTGGCCAACATGGTAAAACCCCCGTCTCTACTAAAAATACAAAAAAAAATTAGCCGGGCATGGTGACAGGCACCTGTAATTCCAGCTTCTTAGGAGGCTGTGGTAGGAAAATAGCTTGAACCTGGGAGGCAGAGGTTGCAGTGAGCCAAGACCGGGCCATTGCACTCCAGCTTGGGCAACAAGAACAAACTCCAACTCAAAAAAAGAAAAAAGGAAAGAAAAAGGCCCTGGAACTCAAACAGATATGTGTGCACCATGTTCACAGCAGCATTATTCACAACAGCCAAAAGGTGGAAACAATCCACGTCATCAACACATGAATGTATGTATATACACAAAATGTTGTATACACATGTACAATTGAATATTATTCAGCCTTAAAAAGTAATGAAATTCTGACACATGCTACCCGTGGATAACCTTGAAGACATTGTGCTTAGTGAAATAAGCCATTCACAAAATACAAATACTGTATGAATCACTCTATGAGGTCCCTAGAGAGGTCAAATTCATAGAGATAAAAAGTAGCATGGGGGTTTCTAGGGAAAGTGGGGAAATGGGGAATTCGTGCTCAATGGGCACAGAGTTTCAGTTTGAAAAGAGGAAAATGTTCTGGAGATAAATGGAGGTGAAGGTTACACAGCAATGTGAATACACTTCATGCCACTGAACTGTTCACTTTACAGCACCTAAAATGATCAATTTTATGTTATGTGTAACTTACCATATTTTTCTTTTTCTTTTTTTTTTTTGAGGCAGAATCTCTCTCTGTTGCCTCGCTTGGAGTGCAGGGGCACAATCTAGGCTCACTGCCACCTCTGCCTCCCGGGTTCAAGCGATTCTCCTGCCTCAGCCTCCTGAGTAGCTGGGATTACAAGCGCATGCTACCACACCTGGCTAATTTTTTTGTATTTTTAGGAGAGACAGGGTTTCACCATGTTGGCCACAATGGTCTCCATCTTCTGACCTCGTGATCTGCCCACCTCGGCCTCCCAAAGTGCTAGGATTACAGGCATGAGCCACTGCGCCCGGCCCCACATTTTTCCTAATGGCAGGCCCTAGAATATCTGTCCTCGGAGTACTGAATTCCCCTCTCCACCTGCCCTACTTCTCTGTCCCTGGCCACCCTGAACTGATCATCACTCTCCATCACCACCAGCAACTGCCCCCACTGACGCCCTCCAGACAGAGACATCAGTTCACCCCTCTCCTGGCTTAGTATTCACCTGGCTTCACTTCCTAGAGTCTCAGATTGATAAACTGGCAACAAACCCATTTCTAGCAAGGCACTAAAGCACACCCAGGTGTCCTATCCCTGCAGGCGTCCCAAACCCAGGGCCACCTGCACCACAGGCTGGTCTCCAGCTTCCAGTCACCTCCCTTACACCAGTGGGAGGTGTTAACATGAAGGAACAAGGAGCTAGATCCTCATCTAGTTGATCTGCGTCCCCTGTGCATTAGCTTCTTATGGCTGCTGTATCCAGTTACCACAGATTTCATGGCTTAGCACAACATAAATATATTCTCCTACAGTCCAAAATCAATTTCACTGGAGTAAAATTAAGGTGTTGGCAGTTCTGTGTTCTTTCTGGAGGCTCTAGACAAGAATCTCTTTCCTTTTCCTTCTGGCTCCTATAGGACACTTGTATTCCTTGACTTGTGGCCCTGTCCTCCGTCTTCAAAGCACCTCACTTCCACCTCTGTTTCCATCATCGCACGGCCTTCTGTCTCCCACTCTGACTCCTCCTGCATCCATCTGTCTTGCAAAGACCCTTGTGATGACATCAATCTCACCAAATAATCCAGGATAATCTCCCCATATCAAGACTCTTAGCTTAATCACATCCGCAAAGTCCCTTTGCCATGAAAAGGAACACAGTGACAGGTTCCAGGGATTTCACAGGTTCCAGGGACGTCTTGGGGGAGGAGGGGATTTATTCAGCCTGCTACACCGTAATTGGCAGGCTAGAGCCTCACATGCAAAATATGAGTTCTTTTTTTTTTTTTTTTGAGATGGAGTCTTGCTCTGTCACCCAGGCTGGAGTGCAGTGGTGTGATCTCAGCTCACTGTAAGCTCTACCTCCCAGATTCACACCATTCTCCTGCCTCAGCCTCCCGAGTAGCTGGACTACAGGCTCCCGCCACCATGCCCGGCTAATTTTTTGTTTTGTTTTGTTTTGTTTTGTTTGTATTTTTAGTAGAGACGAAGTTTCACCGTGTTAGCCAGGATGGTCTCGATCTCCTGACCTCGTGATCCACCCCACTCGGCCTCTCAAAGTGCTGGGATTACAGGCGTGAGCCATCGCACCCGGCCAAGGTGACAAAATATTTCTTGCTGTTAGTTGCAGGAGAGAGAAAAGATGAATACTGATCCACGTCTGAGAGAGAGACAAAAATTCAAGTTGGAGAATGGTCCAGATACATCACCAAAGCAAGGAGGACTGTAAGTGGATATCAGAACCTGAGTGCAGAGACAAGAGACAGATCTCTGTTTCTGAAAACATGGCAAGGAAAATAACCTAAATATCCTCTCACTATCAAGCATTAGAAATGTTGAATAAAATATGACAAATATCTTTTTAATTCATAGCCAACCTCCTAAGCAAGGAAGGGATAGCCCCAGGGCCAAAACCAATAAGGGAACAGAAAGCCAACATGGTAAATATGACCTGATGCTGGGGTTGGTCTGTGGGAATTGGAGAGGTGGCAAGTTTTTGTAACCAGGGAATTTATGTTTTCATTGCCACACATGAACAGTAGAGAAGGTTTTGGGTGTGTCCCAGGTGAGGAATTGGAACTGAGGTCCCTAGGGTAGTACAGGAAAAAGAAATACCCATTAGCCTGTGGAGATGATAAGGAAATGTCTTGTTTTTGCCTGAACTTGAAAAAGAGTATTAATAATTTCCCTAAAATTTTTAAATTACGGTCTCATCCTCATGACTTGAGGTTCTAATTTTGCACTATTTGTGTGGCCCCAGAAACTCAAAACCCAAGAAATCAATTAATGTTAAAAGTGGTATTTTCTTTCTCTAAAAGTATTCTTGTTGCTCTACCATTCTTCCTCCTCAGATCAGTATCATCTTTTGCTTTGGGGAGAAAAAGTGGATGTCGCATAAAATAATAAAATGTAAAAGTGTTACAATATGTAAATGTCCCAAGACACAGTAGACACAATTTTCTGTGAATAAAACACTTTTAATTGGAAAGAAACAGATTTCTTATAGAAAAGTAATTTTGCTCTGAATTCCAAAAGAACTTTCCTTGGAAACATGTTTACAAACATTAGCCACAGAGCTTAAGGAAGACATTAAAAACCCTACTGGCTGGGAGGAAGGCACTTGGACAGAGAGAGGAAGCAGACAATAAGGGAACTATAACCAAAGGCCCACAAAGGGAATTAAAACCTTGGGAGATAAGAGGCATGGGTGGTAGACACATTCACCATGACCACCATTCCACAGATAGATCTGAGGCAGTGTTTGCAATAAGAACTGTTGGTATTTAAGTCTTCTAGCATATCATTCTTTGTGTAAAGGACAAAATACCCAGGAATAGTTTTGTTTTGAGGTATAATTATGCTATTTCAGATGACTCAGCTGGAATCACCAGCTTTATTCCAATTTCTTAGTTCTCTCTTATGTCTGCCCTTTATTTACCTTCCTACCTCAACCCAGGCACCCTACATACAAGAACCCCACCACTCTTCTTCACCACTAAGCTCAGGCAAACTGCTATCACTTCCCATTTTCATTGGCTACTCCTTAAAAAAGGTTGTAGTCTACTAAAACATAAAGTAATTACAAAAATTTAACAGATATTAATTCCATGACAAAAACTACAGAATATGGCTAAGATACATTAAAGAATATCTAAATAGATTAAGAGGTATACCATGTTCATGAATTGAAAGATTCAATATTGTTAAGATGTTCATTCACCTCAAATTGATTTACAGATTCAACACAATCCCAGTGAAAATCTAAAAAGCCTTTTTTTGAAATTAGAGATTGATGTAAAACTTATTATAAGTTTTACATGGAAATCCAAATGACTTAGAACAGGTAAGAAACTGTATTAGTGCGAGACCCTCCAAAAACAGATGTCAACAGATTGATGCACAAGAGATGTATTGAAAGAACTGCCTGTGAAAGATAAAAGGAGGCCAGGCACAGTGACTCATGCCTGTAATCCCAACACTTTGGTTGGCCAAGGCGGGTGGATCACCTGAAGTCAGGAGTTCAAGACCAGCCTGGCCAACATGGTGAAACCCCGTCTCTACTAAAAATACAAACATTAGCCAGGCATGGTGGTACACACCTGTAATCCCAGCTACTTGGGAGGTTGAGGCAGGAGAATTGCTTGAACCTGGGAGGCAGAGGGTGCAGTAAGCCAAGATCACACCATTGCACTCCAGACTGGGCAACAAGAGTGAAACTCCATCTCAAAAAAAAAAAATTTTTTTTAATAAATTAATTAATTAAAGGAGAGGCAGCAGGAGCAGCCAGGGAGAGAATTTAGACCGTGATACAGGTCTGACACCTGTGAAAGGAGAAAGTGAAGGAAGGACTGACTAGAAAGAGCCTGATACAAAAGTATCCTGCCTTGGGCAAGATGGCCCGTTTAAAATAACCCCACCATAATCAGCCATTGGCTGGGAGCAGACTGGAGAAGAGTGGCCTGGTATGAATGCCCTGGTGGATGTACAGTTAGCTTCTGGAGGCTGTCAATCAGCCATGCTCTCCATGGCAGATTCCCTTGAAGGAGAGAGTCTGAGTAGGGTATCTCCATGGCTGCCAAAACAATTTTTATAAAGAAGAACAAAGTTGAAGGACTTAGGCTACCTAGTTCATGACTTACTATAAAGCCACACTAATCAAAGAGAGTGTGGTATTCACATAAAAGCAGAAAAATAAATGAAATAGGAGAGAGACCACTTATAGGGTCAAATGGTTTTTGACAAGGGTTCCAAGGTAATTCAATGAAGAAAGGACAGTCTTTTCAACAAACACCACAGGAACAACTAAACACAGTATCCAAGTGAGAAAAAAATGTACACTCTCCATCTTGTACCACATCTAAAGTGGGGGTACACCTGGAAAGTTACAAAAATTGATTCATACATCTAAAACTAAAAGCTAAGGCTTTTAGTTTTCCATAATATTTGGAGAAAATATTATGACTTTTGTGCAGGCAAGGATTCGTTAGGCAAGTAATAGAAAGCACTAACTATGGTGAAACCCCGTCTCTACTAAAAATACAAAAAGTTAGCCAGGCGTGGTGGCGGGCACCTATAGTCCCAGCTACTCGGGAGGCTGAGGCAGGAGAATGGCATGAACCCGGGAGGCAGAGCTTGCAGTGAGCCGAGATTGCACCACCGCACTCCAGCCTGGGCAACGAGTGAGACTCCAACTCAAAAAAAAAAAAAAAAAAAAAGATAACTGTGCTTTATTAAAATTTAAAACTTCCACTTTTTGAAAAATGCCACTACAAAAATGAAAAGTCAAACCACTGGGTGAAAATATTCATAACATATACAGCTGACAAATATTTTGCATTGAAAAAATGCAAACAACTCTTACAACTATTAAAAAATATTAAGAAAACAAGGCAACTAGAAAATAGGCAAAAGATTTAAACAGACACATCACCAATGAATATATACAAATTGTCAATAAGCACATGAAAATATGTTCAATATCACTAGTCACCAGAAAAATGTAAATTAAATCCACAGTGAAGTGCTACTACACACGAGAATGACTAAAATTAAAAGACTGGTTGATAATACCAAGTGCTAGCATGGGTGCAGAGCAGCTGAAACTCTTGTACATTGCTGGTGGAAGTGTAAAACGTCACGGTCACTTTGAAAAGCAGTTTATTATGAAGTTAAACATATTATACTTATGTACGATCAAACTCCTAGGTATTTACTTAAGAAAAAGGAAAACATATGTCCACAAAATGACTTATACATAAACATTCATAGCAACTTTACTCATAATAACCAAAAACTGGAAACAACTGTCCCTCAAAAGATGAATGGATAAACAAATAGTGGTATATTTGTGCAATAGAATACAATAAAAATAAGCAAATATGCCCAACCACATGTACAGATCTCAGAAACGTTATATTAAACAAAATGATCCAGACTCCAAGGAATATATACTGTATGGTTTCGTTTATGAATTTCCACAACAGGAAAAACTAACATAGAGATCAGTGGTTTAGTTGGGTGAGAGGGAGGAATGATTAGCTGCATAGACAAAAAGGGACAGTTCTGGGTTATGAAATTGATTGATTATCTGATTAAAATGGTGATTACTAGAGTGGATACATTTGTTAAAATTCATCAAACTAGATACTTCTTGTGCATTTTTATTATATATAAATTACTTCTCAATAAAGTTGATTATATTTTTATTTTTAACAAAAGAGTGAAGGCCAGGCATGGTGTCTCATGCCTGTAGTCCCAGCTGCTTGGAAGGCTGAGGTGGGAAGATCACTTGAGCTCGGGAGGTTGAGGCTGCAGTGAGCCATGATCACTCCACTGCTTTCAGCCTGGGTGACACAGTGAGACTGTGTCTCAAAAAAAGGGTGGAGCTCTCCATCCAAAGTGCACAGTTCTAAGTGCTGGAATCTGAGTCTGCAGCAGAGGGAAGGAGCTGCCCAAGAGTGTCCTTCCCAGAGTTCCACTTGGAAGAGGGAGCAGCTGTCTACTGGCTGATGTGGAAGAAGCCACAGAGCTTGTAGCTTCTCGTTTGTATTACAGTAGCATCCGTGTTTAACCCTTGTATTTTCCCTTTTTTTTTTTTTTTTTTGAGACGGAGTTTCGCTCTTGTTGCTGAGGCTGGAGTGCTGTGGCATGATCACGGCTCACTACAACCTCCGCCTTCTGGTTTCAAGTGATTCTCCTGCCTCAGCCTCCTGAGTAACTGGGATTACAGGCACCCACCACCATGCCCGGCTAATTTTTTTGTATTTTTAGTAGAGACGAGGTTTCACCATGTTGGCCAGGCTGGTCTCAAACTCCTGACCTCGTGATCTGCCCACCTCAGCCTCCCAAAGTGCTGGGATTACAGGCATAAGCCACACCTGGCCAACCACTGTATTTTCTAATATTACATCTTTATTTGATATTTTGTACTCTGATTGTAATTTTTTTTTTTGAAATTTACTAAATATTAGTTTTACCAACTTTCTAAAAATGAACACGTTCATTCAACAAATATTAGTTGAGTATCTATTATATGCCAGTCTCCATTGTAAGCGCTAGGAATACAGCAATGGGGAAAGAAGGAAAGTAATAATTATTAAAATGCTCTCCATAATGCATTAGATGATATTAAATACTAAGGAGAAAAACAAATCAGGGAAGAATAACAAGGAAGTAGGGAGGAGGAGGCAGGGGAGGAGTCTCAAATTCATACAGGGTGCTGAGAAGTGACGCCTGACGAAAGACCTGCAGGAGATGAGAAGTTGATCCAAGCAGATAACAGAGGGAAGAGCATTCAAGGCCAAGGGAACAGCAAGGGCAAAGGCCCTGAGGCGGGGGTACACCTGGAGAGTTCAAGGACAGCAAAGGGGTCTGTGTAACTATAGGCCAGTGAACAAGGCAGAGTTGTGGAAGACGAGGTCAGATATGAAGAGGAGGGCTAGAGGGTCATGACAGAGATTTGACATTTACTCTGAGGTGAGCTAGAGAGCTGTTAAAGGGTTTGGAGCAGAGGAGGGACATGACCCAACCAGCCCATTAACAAGAGCACAGGCTGATGTGTTAGGACTGAACTGGAGAAGACAGGTGGAAGCGGCGAGCCCAGTCAGAAGACTATGCAGTCATCTAGGAGAAGCTGGTGCCTCGGGTCAGGATGGGAGCAGTGGGCGTGGGGAGAAGTGGTTGGATTCTGAATATATATGAAGATAGAACCGATGATATTTGCCGGTGGGTCACACGCTGGGTAGGAGAGAAAAATGTGACCTCAAGAATGACTTGGAAAGGTGCGATGGTTCGTGCCTGTAATCCTGGCACTTTGGGAGGCCAAGGTGGGCAGATCACCTGAGGTCAGGAGTTCGAGATCAGCCTGGTCAACATGGCGAAACCCCGTTTCTACTAAAAATACAAAAATTAGCTGGGCATGGTGGTGCACGCCTATAATCCCACCTACTAAGGAGGCTGAAGCAGGAGAATCACTTGAACTCAGGAGGTGGAGGTTGCAGTGAGCCAAGATCATGCCACTCCACTCCAGCCTGGGTAACAGAGCAAGAAAGAGCAAGACTCATCTCAAAAAAAAAAAAAAAAAAAAAGAAAAGAAAAAGAAATACTCCAAGATTTTTTTATTTCAGTAACTAGAAGGATGGAGTTGCAGGAACGAGAAGGATGGAGACTGAGATGAGGAAGACTACAAGAAGAGCAGATATAGAGGGAAGATTAGGACCTCAGTTTTGAACAGGTTACATTTGAGACAACTATTTGACTTCCAAATGGAGACAGTGAGTAGGCAGTAGGACATTGTTATCACAGGAGAGGACAGCTCTGTGCATGTTACTACCCCTGAAGACCTTCCAGTGGGACAATATCATCAACAGTGACCTTGGTGATCCTGACCCTGTGTGGGCCTAGGCTAATGTGTGTATTTGTGACTTCGTTTTTAACAAAAAAGTTTAAAAAGTAAAAAAATTTGGCCAGGCACGGTGGCTCACACCTGTAATCCCAGTCCTTTGGGAGGCCGAGGCAGGCAGATCACCTGAGGTCAAGAGTTTGAGACCAGCCTGGCCAACATGGTGAAACCCTGTCTCTACTAAAAATACAAAAATTAGCCGGGTGTGGTGGCGGGTGCCTGTAATCCCAGCTACTCGGGAGGCTGATGCAGGAGAATCGCTTGAAACCAGAAGCCAGAGGTTGGCAGTGAGCCGAGATTGTGCCACTGCACTCCAGCCTGGGCAAAATGGCGAAACTCCATCTCAAAAAAAAAAAAGTTAAAAAGTTAAAAATTGTAAAAATAGAAAAACTCTTCTAAAATAAGGATATAAAGAAAAAATATTTTTGGACAGCTGTACAATCTGCTTAAAGCTAAGTAGGTATTACAAATAAGTCTAAAAGTTCATAAATTTAAAAAGTTACAGTAAGCTAACGTTAATTTATTATTGAAGAAAGAAAATCTTTTATAACTTTGGTGTAGCCTAAGTGTACAATGTTTATAAAGTCTACAGTCATGTACAGCAATGTCCTAGGCCTTCACATTCATTCCTCACTCACTCACCGACTCAGCCAGCACAGCTTCCAGTTCTGCAAGCTCCATTCATGTTCTGTATATGTGAACCATTTTTCATCTTTTATACTGCATTTTTACCGTACCTTTTCTGTGTTTAGATGTGTTTAGATACACAAATTCTTACTATTGTGTTACAATTGCCTATGGTATTCAGTACAGTAACATGCTGTACAGGTTTGTAGCCTAAGGAGCAATACGCTATACCACATAGCCTAGGTGTATAGTAAGTTATTCCATCTAGGTTTGTGTAAGTACATTCCGTGATGTTCGCATAACAATGAAATTGCCTAACGACACATTTCCCATAATAGTATCCCCATGATTAAGCAACCCATCACTGTATATATATTCTATTGGTTCTGTTTAAACTGAGGACCCTGACTAATGCATCAAGCAAGTGCAATGAAGTGAGAGAGAAGGGACAGAGATGTTTACAACCAACTGAAGGTGCAATTTCAGCAGGATAAGGAGGGATGTGAACACCCAAGAGCGACAGGGTAAATTCCTGGGGGTAAGCTCAGTGGATTGTGATCCCGTGGGCTTGAAGGATTGCTGGAGGGGGGCATTATAGGGAGTTACAAAGTCAATTCTAAACACTTTCCAATTAACATTACACAACATAAATACTGAAACAGCTGTTTCCATTTTTCTCCAGACTTGCAAAGGTAAGACTGCTGCTACAAAGGCCCGGCAGACAGTGCCACTCTTCCCTCCTGGAGCCCAGGCAGAAGGCAGCCTCAGAAGGTTGGGGTGGGAGGTGGGAAGGAAATGGGCTGCCTTCAGCAATAGTGCAGATGTGGAGTAAGAAGGGCCCAGGAGAGCCACTCACACCCCACCAAGCATCGTGGAGATCCAGGGACTTTCCCATAGCCCTGCAAGGGCCAAGTAGTAACTGAGAATTCCCTCAGGGTGCCTGCTGGGGGTCACCTGTACTGGAGCAGAGGAGCACATTGGCCAGGGGTGACAGCTCAGGGATGGGAGCCAGAAGGACGTTGTGGCTGGGTGACCAGGCAGCAGGGCAGGGGCGCAAGCTCCCTGGGAGTACCCAGTATGCAGAGAAAGTAAGACGAGGTTCCACCCAAAGAAGAGACCAAGTATGAGGACACATAGCTCCTCCCAGGCCAGCTCAGAGGACCAGCTGCCTGAGGACAATGCCTCAATGTTCCAGAAACTTCTCCCTGCCCCAGGGACTTCTCTGGGTGGAGAAGGATTACTCAGGGACTTCTGATGAGAGGAGAAATCATGAAGGTGAGAAACTTTCATAAGAACTTCAAACTTTGAAATGAGTGAGAAATTTACTCAAAAGAGGCTTTCGTCTTTAAACAGAAAATACAGAATTACCTTGAGTGGCAAGATTGCTTTTCCGAGTGAAAACAGAGAATGACTGTTACGGAGATTTTTTTCCACTGAAAGGAAAAGGCTCATATAACAAATTCCAGAAATCTGGTTACCCTTCTGCATATCTGAGTGGTGACTCTCAATTCTCATTGCTCTACATGCAAATGAAGCCATGCTATATAAAACAGCTCTTCATGTTGACAGAATTATAAAATAATATTGGAATAGGAAGAGGCCTCAGGTCATCTAATTTAATGGTTCTCAACTGAGAGCGATTTTGCCCCCCAGGGAACATTTGACCCCACCTGGAGACATTTTTCATTGTCACAACTTGAGAGGTGCTGCTGGTATCTAGTGAGTGGAGGCCAGGGATGCGGCTAAACATCACCCGATGCATAGGACGGCCCCCCTGAACAAAGAATTCTGTGTTCCCCAGTGTCAGTAGTGCCAAGGTTGAGAGATCCCAGTCAAATCCAAAATTCTACCTAGGCATGCAGTTCTTCAGAGAACTCCCTCCTGGCTCAGTCAGCCTCGGCTTCAGAATTTCCAAGGTAATATGGAATACTATGCAGCCATAAAAAAGAATGAAACCATGTCCTTTGCCAAAACACGTGTGCAGCTGGAGGCCATTATGATAAGTGAATTAATACAGAAACAGAAAATAAAATACCACTTCTCACTTATAAGTGGGAACTAAAGAGTGGGTGCATATGGACATAAAGATGAAAACAATAGACACTGGACTACAGAAGTGGGGAGGAAAGAAGGGGGAGGAGGGTTGAAAACCTACCTGTTGGGGATGATGTTCACTATTTGGCTGATGGGGTCAATAGAAGCCCAAACCCTAGCATTACACAATATACTCATGTAACAAACCTGCACATGTACCCCTGAATATAAAATAATTGAAGGAAAAAAATAATTTCCAAGGTAATTTGCCCACTGATTAAGTCATGGAGGCAAGATTTTTTCCCAGCTCTGCCTGAGCCCAGAGTCTGTGCTTCTTAAACCACTCTGTCATATGCCAAGGTCAGTCAAAACAGGGACATACGCCTGTAATCCCAGCACTTTGGGAGGCCAAGGCGGGCGGATCACGAGGTCAGGAGATCGAGACCATCCTGGCTAACACGGTGAAACCCCGTCTCTACTAAAAATACAAAAAATTAGTCGGGCGTGGTAGCGGGCGCCTGTAGTCCCCTCTACTCGGGAAGCTGAGGCAGGAGAATGGTGTGAACCCAGGAAGCGGAGCTTGCAGTGAGCCGAGATCACGCCACTGCACTCCAGCCTGGGCAACAGAGTGAGACTCCGTCTTAAAAAAAAAAAACAAAAAAAAAAAACAGGGACGTTGCACTTGTGGTATTCTGAATGCCCAGATGGTGGGATGTAAAGAGTTGTCCTGAAAGATCCCCTTCCCAAAACTCTCTCTCCCACTAACCTGCCACAGTACCTGGACTCCGTCACTATGAATCCACCCCTGTGGATGATGGCTTCCTCGCTTGAGGAGCATCCTATGACAATGCAGGCACTCCACACAGATTTGAAAAAAATTACTCTACGTACAGTCTAAGACTGACACTGTCTGTTGACCTTGGGCAAGGTACTCGACCTCCCTGTGCCTCACTGTTCTCATCTGTAAAACAGGAATAATAATTATACCTACCTCGTGAAGGTATGAAGATTCAATGAATGATTATATGTAAAACACCAAGAATACTGCCTGACACACAGTAGGTACAATTCGTGGTTGTTGTTAACTGCGTTTTCAGGCAATCATAGGGGAAATCTGTACGGGCCCTTTAAAAAGCCTGGCAGAAAGCCAAGCTTTAAAAAAAATTAGTGACTACAAAAGTGCAGCTTCTGCAGTTTCTTTTCAAGTCAGACAAACTGTTCAAAATTGAACAAGCATTAATAAGAAGTTGAAGAGTGGAAGGCAGTGAGTGATGGACTATTAACTTGGTGGCCAAAGAAACTCCAGGTTAGAGAAAAAGATTGTCGTGGAGGTTGATGCGGACTCAGAAAGTAGCCCACGGAACTTCTGTGCTTTTCCCTTAGCCACAAGAGGAAACTAAGCAAAGAGGTGAACAGGAGTTTGAGAACTAACCCATGTGTTTGGGAGAAAGCCTCATGTTTCAGCAGAAAGCCTGCTTCTCTCTGACAGTGCTTGGCAAGTCTAATGAGGACAGCCAAGAAGATAAAGTAGACATTGCCCTGATCAGCAGCAAACACACCCTCAGTTCCAGAAGAAGTGGAAAGCGACATACCTGGCGGAGGTTATCCGTGGGCCTTTGGATGCCTAAGTGTAAAGTGGGAGAGAAATAAATATTTCTCCTAAGAAGAAGAAAGAAAAAGAGTGTAGGATGAGCCGTAAGAAAGGGCTGTGTGAGTACCTAGATGTTGATATTTCTGGAAAATTTCTTGCCTATCATCTTACAGATTTGTTCTGGATTTTTTTGTCATGGTAAAACACACATAACATAAAATTTACCATTTTAAAGCATGCAACTCAATGGCATTATTGCATTCAAAGTCTTGTGCAACCATCATCACTCTCTAATTCCAGAACACGTTCATCACCCCGCAAAGAAGCCCCATTAGCAGTCACTCTCCACTCCCTAGTTCCCTAACTACCATTAATCTATTTTCCGTCTCTACAGATTCGCCTCTTCTGCATATTTCATATAAATGTGATCAAACAATACGTGGCGTGAGTCTGACTTCTTTCACTCAGCGTGTTTTCCAGGTTCCTCCATGTTGTAACCTGCATTAGAACTTTAGCCTTTTTATGGCCAGATAATATTCCATTGTATGGATATATCACATTTTCTTTTCCATTCAGCTGTTGATGAACATTTGGGTTATTTCCACCTTTTGGCTATTGTAAATAATGCTGCCATAAATATTTTGTACAAGTTTTTGTTTGAACACCTCATTTTGATTCTTTTGTATACCTGGACTGGAATTGCTGAAGCATATGGTGACTCCATTTAACTTATTGAGGAACTACAATCTATTTTCCACAGCAGCTGCAACATTTGAATTGTTATGGATTTTTGCCAACTGAATTAGGAAGAAATAGGAAAACTTGGAGCTATAGGGAAACATTGCCATTGGCCCCTTTGCAAAGCAATCTGGCAGTGTGAGGAACAGTGTAGCTTCATAGAAAAAGGATGGAACTCAAATCCAATATACCTGGGGTCCAATATCTAGCTCTGCCGACTACTAGTTGGCAAAACAATTAACCTTCCCTAACCTCAGTTTCTTCTTCTGTAAATGGGGTTCTTCTTCTGCTTCATAGTATTATGGTAAAGATTAAAGAGCTTTGTCAAAATACCTGGCACCTGATAGGCACCCTCTAAGTTCTAGCTATTGTTATTATAATGTATACTGTTTTAGAAAGTATAAAGAGACTGAAAAGTCCTGTTATTTAACTGGAAAATTCCGCCCTTGAAAACCTATGTGAAGAAAATCAAGTCTACCATTTCTACTAAGGAAAAAAATCCTTCAAAATATATGCCATATTATAGATAAGCCAGTAGTACCATTCTTAAGCAAGAAGGAAATGAAGAAAACCAATTCTTCAGCACCAGCTGTGCCCTGGGTTCTGGGTTAACTTCTTGACATATTCATACATTAAACATGCATTTATTGAGCCTGTATTACTTACTACTTAATGAACTAGGCCCTGGTGATACAGCAGTGAACAACAGAGACACAGTTGTGAAAGAAAAATAAATTTAGGAGCCCCCAAATCACTAAGTTAAAGAGAAAAGTCAGGCTGGGAACTTCTTAGGGCCAAACTGCCTCCCATTCTACTCAGTCACCCCTCTGCTCACTGAGATAAATGCATATCTGATTGCCTCCTTTGAAGAGGCTCATCAGAAACTCCACAGAATGCAACCATGCAACCATTTGTCTATTAGCTACCTACTTCCTGGAAGTCCTCTCCCCTGCTTCAAGTCTTCCTGCCTTTCCTTCAAGTTGTCCTGCCTTTCCAGACTGAACCAGTGTTCATCTTGCATATGTCGATCAATGTCTTATATCTCCCTAGGATGTATAAAACCAAACCATACTCTGATCACGTTGAGCACACGTTGTCAGGACCTCCTGAGGCTGTGCCACGGGCGCACGTCCTCAAACTTGGCAAAATAAACATTCTAAATTAACTGAGACCTGTCTCAGATTTTCAGGGTTCACACAGTCCCTGCCCTCAGGAAGCTTATATTCTAGCAGGAAAGAAAGCCATAAAACAATTAATAGTAACAGCTAACATATACTGAGCACATGCTTTGTGCCAAGACTATTCTAAGTCAGGTGTTGGCAAACTATGAGCCATGAGCCAAATCTGGCCCACCTCCTGTTTTTATAAATAAAATAATATTGGAGTACCGCCATATCCACTCATTTATGTATTATCGTCCATGTTTGCTTTTGCACTATGGCAGCAGAGCTGAGTAACTGAGACAGAGACCACAAGGCCCACAAAACTTAAAGTATTTACCATTTGGTCCTTTACAGGAAAAGCATACTAAACCTCTGCTCTAAGCACAACAGGAGTTGTCCTTAGACATAGGTACAGTACTCTTATTATGCTCATTTTGCACATGAAGAGACAGGCACAGGCAGACAAAGTCACTTGTTCCAAGTCACACATGTAGAAAATGAAACAAATCTATAGTTTAGTCTGGCTATAAAACTCATGCTTTACAATCTATACTATTCTGCCTACCCAAACAAATACACGGTCATTTCATAACAACTGTAAAAAGTGTTGTGCAACAGAAGAGTATGTGGCGCCTCACTGAATTGTACAACCGAGGCTAAGATTTAGGATTTAAAGGGTCAGGAAGAGTTGGAGTGGAAATGGGACACATTCCAGGTGTAGGGAACAGTGAATGAAGGACTTGAGATGGGAAAGGGCTGGCCCATTCTAGGAACAGTGTAGCTGGAGACAGATGGGCCTATGGGAGAGGCAGGAGGTAGATGATGTGAGGTCGGGTGGGCCAGGTTGAAGATTTTGAACCTTACTCTAAGACCAGTAATGAGCCATTGAAGGGTCTTATTCAAGAACATGCTAATATTAGATTTGCCTTATTTCAAAGGTGGCTCTGGACAGCGTGGAGACAAGCTTGGGATATGGGAACTAAAAGCAGGAGAGACTCATTAGAAATGATCGCCAAAATCCAGATGAGAGACAGTGGTGGTTTGACCAGGGCTAGGATGGGAGAGGGAAGAGACAGATTCAGAAGGGGAATGGAGCAGAATCAGTAAGACTTGGCGCCTGACTGGCTATGATGGTGAGAGGGAAAGGGGTCATGGTTAGGCATCCAAGTTTCTGGCTTGGGTATTTAGTATGTATTGCTTCTGGCATATTGGTCTGGGTTTTGAACTGTAACAATGGAATCTGCTGTAGCTAGTTTGGAAAAAAAGAGGGTTATAAAGGGGTATGGAGAATCTTTGTTAGAAAGAGTAGATCAAGGTCTAGGCTGAGTTTCCAGGAACGACTCCCTGGTGAAAACAGCAAGGAGACTCCAGAACAGGGCTGCCTCTGCTCACACCTGTGTCAACAAGATGGAGATGCCCGGTCCTACCCTTTCCAGCTCCACTGAGAAGCAAAGGCCCTGGTGCATCTGATCGGTTGGATTGGTGGATTCTAGGTCACATGACTGCATCCTAGCAGCAAGGGAGGCTGGGAAATGCAGTCCACTTTTCTTTTGTGTTTTGGTTTGCATGTTGGGGGAAAAATCAAATGTGGAGAAGATGTTCTAGAGATTCTGAGCTGCTTCAGGGCTGGGTGCAGTGCCTCACGCATGTAATCCCAGCACTTTGGGAGGCCAAGGCGGGCCAATCACTTGAGGCCAGGAGTTGGAGACCAGCCTGGCCAACATGGCAAAACCCTGCCTCTACTAAAAATACAAAAATTAGCTGGGCGTGGCAGGGCACGCCTGTAATCCCAGCTACTCAGGAGGCTGAGGCTTGAGAATCTCTTGAACCCGGGAGGCAGAGGTTGCAGTGAGCCGAGATAGCGCCACTGCACTCCAGCCTGGCCGACAGAGCAAGAAGACTCTGTCTCAAAAAAAAAGATTCTGGGCTGCTTCAAAGGGCACATACCTGCTATAGCAGATAGCAGGGAATTAGGGTGAGGGTTAGGTGTTAGAGTTAGCTGAGATCACAGCTGACATCACTTAGAAGGAAAACACCAAAGGTGGAGCTGGTTTGAGAAGGGAAATAGGGGTTTATTTCTGGACCCATTGAATGAGCAGTGCCCATGATATCCAGGAGGCAGCTGGAGAGATCTCGTTTAATCCTCAAAGCAAACTATGAAATCTACGTTAAAATCCACTTGCTCTAATGTCACATAAGAAGAATGTGGAAAAAATAGGACATGAATCCACGATATTTTGGCTCCAATAGCCACAGTTTTTTCGTATCTCATAAACACTGTCTTCCAACTTCATTATCGTCCTTTTAACCTCTGCCTGTCTTTAGTTAATATAATTAATACTTTTAATTCTATTTTTATTCTATTTTTATTACTCCCAATTTGACAAACACCTTGGAAATTTCACCATTTGTCCCTGTCAAACACAAAGTCACCACTGCTCTCCATAAGTCATGCTGAGATCACAGGTTTTGCACTCTATCCTTTCTGCTCAACTGGACTAGGGCAATGTGCCCCGTGAGAAGATGCATCTGAATTGTGGTTTTCAGAACAAAGCTGAAGTGGGCAATGTTTCTCTTGGCACTACCCTTTAAATCACCACCAAAATTGACTCAGCCTTCCAGAGGATTGGCCTAACGGCCTCATTCATGCTCAAGAAAGAGTCTATCATATTCCAACAGGCTTTTCTGTAGAAATGTCATGTTGATTCTACAGTTTATATAAAAATGCAAAGGACTTAATTTAAACCAAAACAATTTTGGGGAAAAAAGAACAAAATTGGAGGACTTATATTACCTGGATTGCAAGACTTACTATAAAGCTACAGTAATCTACACAGTGTAGTATTGGCAAAGGATAATCATAAGATGAATGGAAAAGAAGAAAACCCAGAAATAGATGCACACATATATGATCAATTAATATTCAACAAAGGTGCCAACGTGATTGTCTTTTCAACAAATGCTGCTTAACCAGCTGATATCCATAAAGAAAAAAGAGAACCTCCACATTTAGCTCACACCATACACAAAAGCTAACTCCACAAAGGATCTTAAGCCACAATGTAGGAGCTAAAACTATAAAACATCTAGGAAAAAACAGAAGAAATTCTTTGTGACCTTAGAAATTAACAAAAAATTATTAGGATACAGAAAAGCATGGACAATGAAAGAAAATATTAATGAAATGGACTTCATCAAATTGAAAGCTCTTGTTCTCTGAAAGATACTGTTAAGACCATAAAAAGACAAACAATACACCAGGAACAAATTATTTTAAAAACCTAGTGGTTTTTCTTCTTATGGTTGAGTTGTAAACTATAGTAGATACATATACATCTGACAATGGACTTATATTAAGAACGTATAGATATGTTTACAACTCAATCATAAGACAAACCACTTGATTTTTTTTCAATTTGCAAAAGACTTCAACCAGCTTCACTAGAGAGGATACACAAATGGCCCACAAGCACATGAAGGGATTCTCAACATAATTAGTCATCAGGAAAATGCAAATTAAAAGCACAATGATCTAGCATCGCACACCCACTAGAATGGCTAAAATTAAAGAAACAGGCAGTACCATGTTGGCAAAAAAGTGGAGCAACTGGGGTTGTAAAATTGTGCTTTGGAAAATAGTTTGGCGTTTTCTTTAAAAGTGAAACATACACTTAACATATGACCCAGAAATTCTGCTTCTATACATCTACGCAAGAAAAATGAAAACATATGTACTCAAAAGATTTGTATATAAATGCTCAAGCGGCTTTCTTTAGAAAAAAATGTGTTATATCCATGTACTAAAATATATCCCCAGAAATATAAAGAAATGATATACTGGCACATGCAATAACATAGATGAGCTGTGAAAATGTTATTACTAGTGTTTCAATCTTTTTTTCATGATGCCCCTAAACCAAACAAAATACATAAAAGTTCAATTTATTAACTCATTAGGCCCAAACAACATCAAAATAGTGGTTCCTATGGCATCCAACAGATCTGTGTTTCCCTCAAAAATTTAAAACATCCATGATACACCATGAATTTGCTGTAGCATCCCAGAGTACCCTGGCAGAGTCTGAGAACCATGGGGCTAAATTAATCTAGTGACTGACCGAAGAACAATGGTTGCCTGGAGCTGGGGGAAAGGAATATTAGGGAACTTTCTGGGATGATGGAATTTCTCTAAAGTTTGATTGTGGTGCCAGTTACATTCTTGCATACATTTGTCAAAACTCATCAAAGTGTTTTGCTAAAATGGATGCATTTTATTAGATGTTAGACGTAGATACCTCAACAAAGTTGACTTAAAGGCCAGCATTTCGAGAGACTGAGGCAGGAGGATAGTTTCAGCCCAAAACTTGGAGACCAGCCTGGGCAACATAGGGAGAACGCCGTCTCTATCAAAATAAAAATAAAAAGGTAGCCAGGCATGGTGGTGCACACCTGTAGTCCCAGCTACTCAGGAGGCTGAGCTGGGAGGATCACTTGAGCCCAGGAGTTCAAGGCTGCAGTGAGCTATGATTGCACCACTGCACTCCAGCCTTGGCAAAACAGAGAGACCCAGGCCGGACGCGGTGGCCTAAGCCTGTAATCTCAGGACTTTGGGAGCCTGAGGCGGGTGGATCACCTGAGGTCAGGAGTTCGAGACCAACCTAACCAACATGGAGAAACCCCATCTCTACTAAAAATACAAAATTAGCCAGGCATGGTGGCACATGCCTGTAATCCCAGCTACTCAAGAGGCTGAGGCAGGAGAATCACTTGAACCTGGGTGGCAGGGGTCGTGGAGAGCTGAGATCGTGCCATTGCACTCTATCCTGGGCAACAAGAGTGAAACTCTGTCTCAAGAAAAAAAAAAAAAAGAATGAGACCCCGTCTCGAAAAATAAATAAAAGTAAATTTAAAAATAAAAGTAAATAACACTCAAAGATATCTATTCTGGGTATGAAAACATATCTCATGTATGCTCACGTATCCCCTCACATACACAGTCAGGCCCACTCCTTTTTCTGCTTGTTCATAGAATTGCTGCACTATATTTTGTGATTGGCCCCACTAGCTGACTCTTAGACTTGATTGTTACCTCCTTCCTTTCCCTGTCTCTTCTCCACCCCTGACAATTGAAGATGCTTTCATCATTTATTTCCCCTGTCCCCCACCCCTCCCCAACATTCAGATATGAGGGAATGCTGTGAATCCAAGTTGAACAGCAAGAAAGAAGCCACAAGAATTTCAAAGGCACTTGTAGGCATGAACCACGATTACAAATGAAGGATGTGGTGTCTGGGTATACAATAGCTTGCATAGAGTACATGCTTGTTAAGTGTGTGTTCACCTGGGTTTACTGAATTTGCTGAGACTTGAAGGTTTCTCAGATACACTATCATTATTATTGTAATAACTTGAAACTACCTCCTGTATAGCCTATGTGACTACCATTTATTAAGCATCTGCTTTTCTGATAGACACTACAATTAGCGCTTTCAGTTTTCTGTCATGAAATCACCCCAACTCTGTGAGATAGATATTATTATCTTCATTTACAGATCAGGAAACTGAGGCTCACAGCTGTTAAGTAAATGGATCTGTTGCACAGGTACTAAGTGAAGGTGCTGTGATTTCTATTCCCGTCTGTCTACTCAAACAGCTCATTGTCGTTACTATGCCTCGCTAGCTAACCACGTGCCTCTGATCTGAGTGTTATAAAAGAGTAGAACCTTATTATGGGAATCTGAACCTCATGATATGTCAGACTAAAATATAAGGAGTGATGTAGTTTATTTAAAAAAAAAATACATGCGAGAAAAAGCTGCTGGGAAGATTCTTTCTCATAGTTTTTCATAGTAAACTCTAGGAAAATGAAATATAAGAATCATTTCTCTCTACAGTACCAATAATCATCAAAATTTATGTTGGGTGATTTTCCCCCCTTATTTTCCTCAAGGTTTGTGCTTTAACCTTTAACAAATGTTTGCAATAAATTTTCTCTAGCTAAACATTGTTTCATCGTTGGAACATTTCCTACAAGCAATAGTTTTGTCTTATCTTGGGAACTAGAGCTGGAAGGGGCTCAGACATCTGCAACTTTACCTTCCTTCCTTGCAGCAGGTAATTCTTTGCCTGGATGAACTGAATTTATGCTGCTTTTAAAGTCCCCAGAAGGCACTAGCACACTAGGCTCAGAAATGCTTTCTCAGAGCCAGGGAGCTCTTCTTGGGTCTGACATCAGTCTCACATTTTGCAGTTTTAGCTTGCCTCCACTTTTTTGTACCTCCACGGTTGATCCAAGTCTCCTTCATCCTGGATTAAATCGCAGGTACTCTGCCTAGGTGCCCCTTGATGCCTCGTCAATGCCTTTGTTCAGGTGTCTTTCATCTCTTGAGATGCCCACTGGCTACCCAGGGCTACCTGATGACTCTCACAACAACCTTGGTATTCAAGGTCATGGCCTGAGCCTCCTCTGATGGGAGTCCTTTTATAACATCTGTCCTGTCTGCTGGTCCAGTGCTGGTGGATGCCTGTTGTCCACACAATTATTAAGAGTGCTCCCTTTCTTTCACCCTCAACAGTGTCTTGGTTTGCTTAATAAATTATACAATCCCCTTATTTGTAAGTTATCAAGAATCAGGGTGATTTCCCTGAACCTTCCAGCTTTAGGTGCTCCACATGAATGATCAGAGACTAGAGAGAGTGATTCAGTGCAGAGTGCTCAAAAGCTGCACTGGGCAATGTGGTCATCAATAACCACATGCAGCTACTGAGCACTTGATGTACAGCTAGTCCTGATTGAGATGAGCTGAATGTGTAAAATGCACTCCAGATTTTAAATACTTAGTACAAAAAATAGATAAAATGGCTTGTTAATAATTTTTGTATTGATTAGCTGGGCATGGTGGTGCACACCTGTGGTCCCAGCTGCTTGGGAGGCTGAGACAGGAGGATCATTTGAGCCCAGGAGGTCAGGGCTGTAGTGAGCTGTGATCGAGCCACTGCACTCCAGCCTTGGCAACAGAGCATGACCCTGTCTCAAAATAATAATAATAACAATATTTATTTTGAAATAACATTTTTGGTGTGTCTGAGTAAATATTATACATTTACTTTTTTTTTAAATTGAGATGGAGCCTTGCGCTATCACCCAGGCTGGAGTGCAGTGGCACTATCTCAGCTCACTGCAACCTCTCCCTCCTGGGTTCAAGCGATCCTCTGGTCTCAGCATCCCAAGTTGCTGAGATTACAATTGTGTGCCACCACTCCTGGCTAATTTTTGTGTTTTTAGTAGAGACGGGGTTTCGCCATGTTGGCCAGGCTGATCTCAAGCTCCTGACCTCAATGATCCACCCGCCTCAGCCTCCCAAAGTGCTGGGATTACAGGCGTGAGCCACTGTGCCCATCTTATTTATTTTTGAGACAGGGTCTCACTCTGCCACCCAGGCTGGAGTGCAGTGGTGCAATCTCAGCTTACTGCAGCCTCAACCTCCCGTGCTCAAATGATCTTCCCACCTAAGCCTCCCAAGTAGCTGGGACTATTGGAAAGTGCCACCACACTTGGCTAATTTTTTAATTTTTTTTTTTTTTTAGAGACAAAGTCTCGCTATATTGCCCAGGCTGATCTTGAACTTCTGGGCTCAAGGGATCCTCCTGCCTTAGCCTCCCAAAGTGTTGAGATTACAGGCAAGAGGCATTTCCTGTGCCTAATATATTTATTAAGATGTAAATGTAATTAAAATTAAAAATCTATTATTAAAATTATTTTACTTCTTTAAATATGGCTACTAGAAGATGTGAAGTTACACATGTGGCCTGCATTCTGTTTCTGTTGGGTGGTGCTGCTCCAGATCCAATAATTCATTCCCAGGAGTGGTCCCACTACTGACTTTCCCTTTCCTTCCACAAACTAACATTGGGCTGCCAAAGAGCAGATAGTAACACTTTCAAATATTGCTCCTCCTGGGCCAGGCACAGTGGCTCACACCTGTAATCCCAGTACTTTGAGAGGCCGAGGCGGGCGGATCACGAGGTCAGGAGTTCGAGACCAGCCTGACCAACATGGTGAAATCCTGACTCTACTGAAAATACAAAAATTAGCCAGGCGTGGTAGCCCATGACTGTAATCCCAGCTACTCATGAGGCTGAGACAGAAGAATTGCTTGAACCCAGGAGGCGGAGGTTGCAGTGAGCCTAGATCATGCCACTGCACTCCAGCCTGGGTGACAGAGCAAAACTCCGTCTCAAAAAAATAAATAAATAAAATAAAAGTGAAAATAAATAGAGGGAGAAATGGAGAAAAGAGAGGATGGGAAAGAGAAGGAAAGAGACAGAAAGAGAAGAGAGGTACAGAGGAAGAGAGCGTGCAGGTCCTGGGAACACATGAGGAGTGAGTGGCTTGGGTCAATCCCCGTCAACTGCTTTAATGTGTAAGAATGTGCAGCCACAGTCTCCAACAATCATACTGTCTTATCAAGAGCCAGGGCTCTCTTACAACAGTTGCAATCTGGAATGCACAGTAAATGACTGGGTCTTCAGGAGAGTTTTGGGTTTATGATCAAAGCCAGATGTCACCTAACTCCATCTAGCCTGTGAGGACAGGCTGCCTAGCGTCCCACTCCAAGGGAAATTCCTCTCCATTCCTTGGTGGTAATAGTGTTATAGCTTCCTTGGCATCATAGCGTTTCTATCTTCCCACTTTTCTAAGAACCTGAGAAGGGCATAGAGGTTTGAGTGAGAGGTCTCCCTCTGAAAAGGGATGCCACATTTCCTCCAAGAATTTTATCTTAGCATCTGAGACAAATGGTAAATGAAAATGTAACCCCAAAGCAGAACTGCTCCCCATCAAATAGTTGGATCTCATTTTTCAGACTGGACGGGGCTTGGATTTGCCATGTAATCTACAATGGGGCAGGTTGTTGGTGCAGCTCACTCCCTTGAACCCCACAAAGCCAATATGTGGCCTCACAGTTTAGACTTCCAGAGAGGGTGAGATCATCCCTGCCACACAAGTTAGCACATTCTCTTTGATGCCCTTGCAAACCCGGCATCCCCCCTCAAGACACTCTATGCCTGTCCGAAAATAAAACCCTTTGATCCAGCCCCTTCGTGTGTCCTACAAACCCTCAGAGTCTTCTTCATTAGTTCTCACTCTGCTGGCTCTGCAGAGAGAGGGCACAGACCCTGGCACATGCGTTACCCAGAATGGGAGCTCAAACAGTGGGTTTGGGTTCAGCTCTGCCCTTTCTCCTCTCTCTGCCTTCCCCGGCAGTGCTGGGGGCAGATTTCTCCTAAGGTAGCTGAAAGCAAACATAATTTGCCAGCACAAAGTCAGTTTTCTTTGGAGGACCTCCCAGACTAATCCACGTGAAAATCATCACCTCCTTCTATCATGATGGCCTTGGCCCCACTTCCACGGTAAGTGACGCATTTCCCGTGCCCTGGCTCTGCTCCAGCACATTGGCTTCTCTCTTGGTTGGCTTTCCACTTATAGAGGGTCTCCCATGTTAATAGACAGTGCTCCTTCCGTGTTCCCAAACTTCCAACACGTACTAATCTTTGGGATTCAAGATTGAAAAATAAGAATTCTTAGGAATCTTCAGGCATTCTTAAATGCATAAGCTATTAAATAACTTTTCTTTTTTTATTGTTTGAGAAAGAGTCTCACTCTGTCACTCAGGTTGGAGTACACTGGCACAATTATGGCTCACTGTGGCCTCTACCTCCTGAGCTCAAGCAATCCTCCTGCCTCAGCCTCCCAAGGTACTGGGATTATAGGCATGAGCCACCACACCCAGTCTATTACATAATTTTCATAACATTTTGTTGGTGTGTTTTAAAATCACAATGAGTGACTACAATAAAAGCAAAGTTCAACGTAATTTTTTTTTTTTTTTTGAGAGTGGGTCTCGCTCTATTACCCAAGCTGGAGTGCAGTGGTGCAGTCTCGGCTCACTGCCACCTCCACCTCCCGGGTCCAAGCGATTCTCATGCCTCAGTCTCTCAAGTAGCTGGGATCACAGGCGGTGCCACCATGCCTGGCTAATTTTTGTATTTTTAGTAGAGACGGGGTTTCACCATGTTGGCCAGGAAGGTCTTGAACTCCTGATCTCAACTGATCCACCTGCCTCAGCCTCCCAAAGTGCTGGGATTACAGGCATGAGCCACCATGCCCAGCCAGCTCATTTATTTTTTTAATGATGAAAATACATGGTCAGTTTCACAAAGAATTGTAACCTGCAGCAATATTCAATCACTGAAAGACACCAGCAAACACTATTGGAAGGTGTTTGAATAATATTACATTCAGATCTACTAGCAAGGTTTACAACACCACTCTCAGGTGTCAAAATTGCAGTGTAAGGGTGAATTTTGTTTCAAAGTTAATTTTTCTTGTAACCCACTCATAGCATTTATATAAAGTACACTATGCATATGAACTTATTAGTATTTATTTTAGTTGCAAAAATGACTTGCTGTTTTCAGGAGACAGGACCATGAACACACACATGACAGCTACAAGCAACACTGACTGATTAAATTGTGACCACTTCTCTCCTAAACTAGGACTTTTGTCCTAGTTTCTGGAAATGTCAACCCTTTTAGCTCATTTTGTGCTGCTATAACAAAATACTAGCAATGCAGTAATTTATAATGAACAGAAGTTGATTGGCTTGTGGTTCTGAAGGTTGGGAAGTCCAAGATCAAGGGACTGACATATGATGAGGGCCTTCATGCTGCATCATCACACAGTAGAAGGCAGAAGGGCAAAGAAAGAAAAACAGAGAGTAAAAGGTTCTGAACTGGTCCTTTTATAAGGAACCCACTCCAAAAACAACAAATCCACTCCCACAATAATGGCATTAATCCATTCTTGAGGGCAGAGTCCTCATGATCTAAACACATCTAAAAGGTCCTTCTCTCCAACACCTCCAAATTGGAGATCAAGTTTCCAACACATCAACTTTGGGAGATACATTCAAACCATAGAGTCCACCCTACTCTTCAAGCCAACTTGTCAGTTCTTCCTGCTCTGACTTTTGACTTGATGTCAGTGGATTTCTTTTAAACAGTAATGTCTCCATGTTGATTAAGCTTTCATTCTCACTTGAGAATTATCATCACTTTTCTCATTTTCTCAATTTTTGTCTGATTTTATCATCAAGATTTGGAATTTTTAAAAATTATACAAATTTTTCAAGAAATTCTGGGAAGGAATTCCTTCATGGAAATGACTTTTTCCTGAGCCATCCAGAGGGAATACTACTGTGGCCCACATAGTCTCTTTCTAACGGCCAAGTTTCTCAGCTGAGGAAGCAATTTAAGTCTTCCCACTACATTAAACAAACTACAAATTTTATTTGCTTTTCAGACTGTGTCTCTGAGAAGCTGTCCATTGACTTGTTTAAGCAACTCATTGATTGTCTACTGTGTCAGGCACAGCACTGGGGACGTGAAGATGAGGAGACACAGTCCCCACCCACTACCCCAAACCTGAAGTATGGAGACAGGTGATCGGCTCAGGATTACAGGCAATGATGACTAGCTCATGGACATCAGGGGTCTCAGGGAACTCACAGAAGCCGATGCCAATCCCACCTGAAGATGTCTGAGAAAGTTCTACACAGGAAGTGACAATTTGGTTGATTTTAGAAGGGAACGGACACATTTTCCAGACAGAAAGAAAAGATAAAGAAAATCACACACGGAGCCCAGCAAATGCGGGGTCATGAAATGCAAGATCCTATATGCCACACTGGGGAGTTTCCCTCTATCCCCTGGTGAGTGAGACGCCTTTGAGGCATGTAGTCAGGGGAGCAATGTGATCAGACCTGTGGGTTAGAACAATTTGTTAGGAAAACTCCCCCCCCACACACTCATGCATGGATATCTCTTGGCAGAACTCCAGAGACTCAGAGCTCATTTATCCAAAATCAAGTTCAATAGCCGGCTGTTCCCATTGGAACATTTAGGTGATAGTGGTTTTCTTTTTTTTTTTTTTTTCATCAATTGATCTAGGTGAACACCTGAGCTTTAGTCTGAAAACAGGGGATGTCAGTGCCCAAAGACACTTCACAGGAGAATCTCCCACCTCAGTCCAGAGCTGATTAGTGAGCACCATTCACTTCCTACTGGAAAATCCTATCCTCCTTAAAGACCCAGCCATAACCACCTGTTCCAGGCTGAGAGATGTCTCCTGTCCTGAATCCATTTCCACATGTTGAGTTCAGTGAAAGACATTCTGTTGACCTGGTAAAAGGCACCACCCTTCCCAGATCATCACCTGGCAGCAAATGTGTGGTTCTGTCTTTTTTGTTTTGTTTTTGTCTTGTTTTGTTTTGTTTACCATGTCATTTGCTCCTGGTCACCTGTGACTTGAGAAGCAAAACTATGCATACCAATGCAAAAAGCTGAAGTGATGTTGGGGGCAGCATCACCCACTCAAACACACTGGACTGGATTTTTCTCCAACCAGCCTGGAGACCCAGGAGCACCAAGCAACAGCATCAGAGAACTGACTTGTCTCAAAGCAAAATCAGATGGTTCACAGTCGGCAAGCCTTTTGATCACAAGTTGCATCCTTCCCCATCTTCTATCTCCATTTTCACCCTAAAGGGTCTGGTGGCTAAAAGGAGCCCAATCAATAACCTCATCAGGGTGAGAATGGGACCACAAAATAAACTTGCACTTGCTAGCATGTTTTGTTTTCATTATTAAGAATCTGATCTGTAATTAGGGAAATGTAAGTATAAACCACACTATAATTCAATGTCATATCCATTAGATATGAAACAGGAAAAATCTAAAAGTTTAACAATACAAAGTGTTGGCAAAGATAGGGGTAAAGAGGAATTGCTGATGTGTAGGTAAATTAGGACATGCACTTTAGAAAACACAATCTAGTGCCATAGGTGAGTTTCCTGAAACAGACTCTGAGCCAGACCTTGGCATGTAGAAAGTTGACTGGGGAGGCTGGGCATGGTGGCTCACGCATGTAATCCCAGCACTTTGGGAGGCCAAGGCGGGCAGATCACCTGAGGTCAGGAGATCAAGACCAGCCTGGCCAAGATGGTGAAACCCCGTCTCTACTAAAAATACAAAAATTAGCCAGGCATGGTGGTAGGCACCTGTAATCCTAGCTACTCAGAAGGCTGAGACAAGAGAATCACTTGAACCCAGGAGGCGGAGGTTGCAGTGAATTGAGATTGTGTCACTGCACTCCAGCCTGGGTGACAGAGCAAGAGTCTGTCTCAAAAAAAAAAAAGAAACTTGATTGGGATATTTTGGGGGAGCAACACCTATAAGGTGTAAAGAAAGCAAGAGCAGACAGAATTGTTGATCTGCAATGCAGTTACCAGCAGAGATTTCAGCCAGTCCAGGGGAGTTATGGAGCTGGAATGACATTTCAAGATTGTTCTAAATTGAAACAATAAGGCCAAGCCTTTGTATTCCTTTCCATCTCCCCACCATGGCCTACAGGCTGTACCCAACAAGTGTAACCTTGGGTAAGTCAGCTCCCTTTGGCCGAAATCTGTGAGCTCAGCAGCTGGAGAAATGAGGGCTCTGTTTATAAAGTTGAAAATGTATGTGTTTAATCACCAGGCAATTCAGCATCCGGGAATATGCCTTAGAGAAACTCTCCAGCACCTATACAAGGGAGCGTGCACTAGGATACCCAGAGTAGCAGTGACAGTAAAAGTGAAAACAACCTGAAATATTCATCACTAGGAAAACAGATAAACAAACTGTGACACATCAAGGGATGCAATGCATGCTTTCCAGGAGTTGCAAGGTTGGACTAAATTCATACATATCGATGTGGATATGTCTCAAATATAAAATTGCTGAGTTTTTTGGGTTTTTTAAAAAAGTAAGTTTTAGGAAGGTATACAACATATTAGATCATTTTAAACACAAGGTAAAACTACATATTTATGTAAGTGGAAGAACACAAATTTAGGAAAGTGGTGACTTTGGATCAGGGACAGGCCCAGGGAACTGTGCAGGGGAACAAATGGAAACTTCAACATTATCCACAATGATCTGTCTCTTATTTTTTAAAAAATACAAAGCCAAATCAACAATGTCAGCATGTGTTAATTCTGGATGTATCGTGTGTACACTGATTTAAGTTTCTAATCTGTACTTTTCTGCATATTTTTAATTCTTCAACAGTTTTTAAGAAATAAGAGAATAATCCAATCTGAATTCTTGGACTGTTGTCTGACTGGTATCTTAAGAAAAGTAATGACAGACCTCTGGCCTGCAGAATCCCTTAGTGACCCCCGAAAATGGTCATACACACACACACACATGCACACACACAACACGGGCACAAGCAGGGCACAAGGGATCTTTCAGTCACTTGTTGAGCCCAGGTAAGTATACATGGAACTTAAGATCTCAGAGCTCCACCAGGCCTTCCTAAAGGAAACCAACTTCATAAAGTGTTCACAATGCAGGGACTGACCACTGCTGTGAATCCCCATCTCAGGGGAGGCCAAGGCATGTCCTGGGCATCATAGAGGGCAAATGGACAAGGGAAGATCTCAGACCTCACTGGACAGGGCTCCCCGGACATTCTTAGAGCCAGACTAGCAAAAGTTCCCCTTAGAATTAATTTCATGAAAGCGTTTAATCTCATTCTATGAATTAAACATTATGCTAGAAACTTGAGATATGTTCAATAAAAATAAAAGGTACTATCCTTGGCCCCACTTTCTAGCACGGTATGTACACACAGACGTGTGTACGGATCCTGACATGTGTCACTGGTAACTATTAACTTAGGTAGAAATGTAGATAATATGTTACAAGAACAAGGGACAGTGAGAAAGGCTTCTTGGAGAAAGTGATTCTTGAGGTGGGCTTTAACGGGATGTGATTTCTCCTGATAAAAGAAGGGAAGAGGCCAGGTGCAGTAGCTTGAGCATGTAATCCTAGCAGTTTGGGAGACCAAGGCAGGAGGATTGCTTGATGCTAGAAGTTCAAAACCAGCCTAGGCAGCATAGCAAGACCCCGTCCCTACAAAAAGTTAAAAAAAAAAAAAAAAATAGCCAGGCATGGCGGCATATACCTGTAATCCCAGCTACTTGGGAGACTGAAGCAGGAGGATCACTAGAGCCCAGGAGTTCAAGGTAACAGTGAACTATGATTGCACCACTATACTCCAACTGGGATAAGAAAGCAAGATCTTATCCCTTAAAAAAAAATTTAAGAGAAGAGAGAACATTCTAGACAGAAAGACAAACCCACAACAAATCTCAGAGGCATAAAGTATATCACTTGAGAGCAGGGTAGCAAAAAAATGCTGAAAAGGTGGGCAGGGCCAACATCTGAGTGTACTTACTACTGTTTCCATCAGGATGGGCTAGAGTGTGCTGCAATGACAACAAAGTTCTTAGAGTTCTGTGACTTAGCCCGGTAAAGGTTTATTTCTCACTCACAAAAAGTCTAAGACCGCAGGCTGTCTCCTCCCTCCATAGCCTCTAGGTAGGATCTTTTCTTGCCTCATCTGGTTTCTGGTGGCCCCAGCTGTTCCTTGACTTTCAGCATCATGCCAATCTCTGCCTCCGTCTTCACACAACCTTCTCTCCTCTGTATCTATCTGTGTCCAGATTTTTCTCTTCATATAACGACATCAGTCACAGTAGATTTAGAGCCCACCCTAATGTCCTCATTTTGACTTGATGATATCTGCGAAGACTATTTCCAAATAAGGCCACACTCACAGGTGTGAGGAATTAGGATTTCAACATAGCTTTTAAGGAGACACACACATATAGCCTACAAGGTCACCACAGCAGGACAGGAAAGAGCTCAGGGAAAACACAGGATGTTTTAAGGGCCAAGCGTGGAAGTGACTTCCACCACTTTTGCCTCTCTCCTATTGGCCAGAACTTGGTCAGTTGGTCTCGGTCTAATGCGAGAGAAGGGGAGTGCAGAGGAGCATGTGAAGTCTAGTGAGTATCCACAGTGTTCTCTGTGACTTCCATGTTCAGGAGGCTTCAGCTTTGTCCCTCAGGCAACAGGATGCCAAAAGTGTGGGGAGGGAGAGGGGAGGAGCGGGTAAAGTGAGCAGCATTCGGTTGTGGCCGATGGGTTAGACAGGAGCAGTCCAGGAGATCAGATGGGTGAAGACGCCATCGAAGTGACACAGAGGGAGGGTGATGAAGACCTGCAACAGGGCTGGATTAGTGAGAAGAGAGCAGGTGAAATCGCTTTTGGATTAGTGAGAAGAGAGTGGGTGCAATCGCTTTTGGATTAGTGAGAAGAGAGCAGGTGAAATCACTTTCGGATCAGTGAGAAAAGAGCGGGTGAAATCGCTTTTGGATTAGTGAGAAGAGAGCGGGTGAAATCGCTTTTGGATTAGTGAAAAGAGAGCAGGCGAAATCACTTTTGGATCAGTGAGAAAAGAGCAGGTGAAATCGCTTTTGGATTAGTTAGAAGAGAGAGGGTGAAATCACTTTGAGGAAATTTTCAGAGAACCAGACAAAGAGAAAAGAGAAGGAATCATTTATCTGTCTTAACAATCCATTCACATCAAAATATTAGAGTTTGAGCTGAAGGAATGCATTCAGCTTTGGAGAAACTCTTCCAAATAGTTCGCAAAGTTTCGCAAACGTCCAAAACCAGATCATTTTGCTAAAATTATCTATATAGTAGACACCACTGAAGTAAGTGCAGAGTTGCACATAATGAAACCTGGAGAGGAGATGAAGGGGCAAAGTCAAACCAGAAATCTCTTTGAGGACTTTCCTTCTTTTGCAAGGGGATCACAGAGAAAAGAACACGTTTTGGAAAAATACCCTGGAGGTTTCATGTTTCCACTTTGATGCCACTTCTGCAAGATGATGCCAAAAGTTCAGCACTACTCCTAGGGGAGTAAAAGGAACAAGCACCAGGGATGACCACGTCCACATCAGATGTGAGCTAGAGGGGGCGGCTTCCCACGGACACGTTTGAGTTCTGTGTTCTCAGGGATAACTTCCCCCAGGACGCCCATGCCCTGCAAGACAAACAGCTCTCCAGGAGGAGGGTGTCCTGCCTTTCATGCACCCTGGCCACGTCCCTTCCTGGGGAACATGTGCATTGAAGGAATCTTTTGGCTTCCCTGGGCCACATTGGAAGAAAAAGAACTGTCTTGGGTCACACATAAAATACACTAACACGGCTGGGCCTGGTGGCTCACATCTGTAGTCCCAACACTTTGAGAGGCCCAGGCAGGTGGATCACCTGAGGTCAGGAGTTTGAGACCAGCCAGGCCAACATGGTGAAACCCCGTCTCTACGAAAAACACAAAAATTAGCCGGGCATGGCAACATGTGCCTGCAATCCCAGCTCCTTGGGAGGCTGAGGCAGGAAAATCGCTTGAACCTGGGAGGCAGAGGTTGCAGCAAGCCGAGATCAGGCCCTGCACTTCAGCCTGGGCAAGAAAGTGAGACTTTGCCTCAAAAAAAACAAAAACAAAAACAAACAAACAACAACAACAAAAAAAACACTAACAGTAACAATAGCTGATGAGCTTTAAAAAAAAAAATCGCAAGAAAGCCCCATAATGTTTTAAAAAAGCTTACAAATTTGTGTTGGGCCACGTTCAAAGCCATCCTGGGCATCATGCAGACAGCAGGCCACAGGCTGGACAAGCTTCATGTACATGTATTTGCTTCCCATTCTATTATGTGTTCAAAAGGAATCAACCTGTACTTTATTCCTATAAGGAGTTTTGAAACACAAGGCTGAAAGGGATCGATTTGTTCAAGAGGAGTCCCCTAGCCCCCTGAAGGGAGGCAAGGCTGAGGATCCCTTCCAGGTAGAAAGCTTTCCAGGCAATAGGCAGGACATGGTTGTGCCGCAGAGGCCTGAGGGCTCTGTTTGTGTGGCAGGGAATTCAGCTCTGCACGTAGTGGGTTCACGCTGGGATGCACATTCTTTGTCGCTCAGTCGAGCTGTAACCCAGAAAGTTAGCATTTGCTTCAGTGTGACACGGACCATATGACAACCATTCCTTCTCTTTTCCTGCTGCTGCATGGAGGAACTGCAGCAGGCTGACCTCCACTTAGGGAGACAAGCGCTCACATCCTCCACTCATCTCATGAAACACCGTGTTCTAAACTCGCAAGCCATCCCCCAGTCAGAGCAGCCGGCCAAGTTTGGGAACTTGAACAATGTACTCTTTGTACATTGGAAATGCTGTTTAGAAGCTGGGTGGCTCACGCCTGTAATCCCAACACTTTGGGAGGCCAAGGTGGAAGGATTGCTTGAGGCCAAGAGTTCAAGACCAGCCTGGGCAACATAGTTAGACTCCATCTCTACATAACAATCTTGTAAAAAAATTAGTTAAGTGTGGTGGTGCATGCCTGTAGTCCCAGCTGGTCAGGAGGCTGAGGTGGGAGGATCACTTTAGCCCAGGAGATCAAGGCTGCAGTGAGCTGTGATTGCAGCCTGGGTGACAGAATGAGACCCTGTCTCTAAAAAAATTAAATGATGTTTCAGCTAGAGTGCCTTGCTCTTTTTTCTTCTCTTTTTCCTCCCCACTTCTCCCATTTAAATCTTCCTTCTCACTCTCCTTTGGCTCAAGTGGATCCCACTGTCCAGAACAAAGTGTAAGGTCAGGAACAATTTTAAAGAATATTTGGTGGGCAAGGTGGCTCACGCCTGTAATCCCAGCACTTTGGGAGGCCAAGGTGGGGGATTACCTGAGGTCAGGAGTTCAAGACCAGCCTGGTCAACATGGTGAAACCTCATCTCTACTAAAAATACAAAAATTAGCCTGGCGTGGTAGTAGGCACCTGTAATCCCCACTGCTCAGGAGGCTGAGGCAAGAGAATCACTTGAACCCGGGAGGCAGAGGTCACAGTGAGCTGAGATTGCGCCAATGCACTCCAGCCTGGGCGACAGAGCGAGACTCCATCTCAACAACAAAAAAAGAAAGTTGATTAGGGTATTTTGAGGGAGCAACACCTATAAGGTGTAAAGAAAGCAAAGCTAGTGATTGCACCACCGCACTCCAGCCTGGAGAAAAAGAGCGAAAGTGCCACTCTTTATTTATTTATTTAAATAATATTTAAATAAAAATATTTAAATAAATTTAAATATTATAAATAACTATTTAAATACTTAACATAAATTTTAAAATATTTAAATATTTAAATAAATATTATTTCTTTATAAATAAATAATATAAGTGGGAGCTAAACAATGTGTACTCACGGACACAGAGTGTAGAATCATATACACTGGAGACCCAGGAGGACATCAGGCAGGTGAGGGATGAGAAATTTCTTACTTGGTGTAATGTACATTATTTGGGTGATGGTTTCACTAAAAGCCCAGACATCACCACTAGTCAATAGATCCATGTAACAAAACTGCACTTGTACCCTTACATTTATACAATTTTTTTTTAAGATGGAGTCTTGCTCTGTCGCCCAGGCTGGAGTGCAGTGGCGTGATCTCGGCTCACTGCAACTTTCACCTCCTGGGTTCACACCATTCTCCTGCCTCAGCCTCCTTTAGTAGCTGGGACTACAGGCACCCGCCACCACGCCGACTAATTTTTTGTATTTTTAGTAGAGACAGGATTTTACCGTGTTAGCCAGGATGATCTCCATCTCCTGACCTCGTGACCTGCCCACCTCAGCCTCCCAAAGTGCTGAAATTACAGGCGTGAGCCACCGTGCCGGCAATTTATACAATTTTTTTTAAAAGAATACAGTATTATCAGGTCAAAGGCAAATGAGAAGGAAAGTAGGATGGTAATCATTCCCCTCTAGAAAGCAAATTCTACTCTCCCTTCTTAGACCCTGGACTTTTCAAGGGTAAGGACTTTGATGTCCATTGGCTCAGGCACCACAATGTACCTTGTGAGTATTTTTTACGTGGCTTGTGACTAACTGAATGCTTTCTGTACACCTCAGTGATTTGCACACAGTTAACTGAAGACCAACAAAGGCAAGCTCATGTATCATGGAGCCCCACCTCTGTGTGATCTGCTGGAAAGCGCGGTTGTATAGGTGTTTTTCTGTCTAGCAGGGATTGTTGGAACAGATTGGAAATGCCCCACTGGGATCTGCTAGACTTCCCTAGCTGCAGAAGTTATTAACATATTTTAATCACCCACATAAACACATATGCAAGGTTAATGATCTTTATGATCTCCTTCGACTTAAAACTCACCTTCTTAAAACTTCTCAGGGGCTCCTGATTTCGTTCCTGAGAATATCCAAAATCCTGAAATCTTCAAAGTTTTACATCAGCAGTTCTCAAACATTCTAATCTCAGAACTTGTTTAGACTCATCAAAGATATTTAAGACCTCAAAGGGTTTTTGTGTATGTGAGTTATATCTATCAACATCTACCATATTAGAAATTTAAACTGAGAACGTTTTCTTTCTAATTATGAATTCATTTTTAAATAACAATAATAAAACAATTTTTTTTGACAGGGTCTCACTCTGTCACCCAGGCTGGAGTGCACCATGGTTCCCTGCAACCTCGACCTCCTGGGCTCAAGCGATCCTCCTGCCTCAACCACCTGAAGTGCTGTGATTACAGTCATGAGCCACCACGCCCGGACATCAAACAATTTTTGGGTGATTTTTTGAGACAGGATCTTGCTCTGTCACCCAGGCTAGAGTGCAGTGGCACAATCATGGCTCACTGTAGCCTCGACCTCCAAAATTCAAGCCCAAGGGATCCTCCCGCCTAATCCCCACCCCACACCCTCAAGTAGCTTGGACTACAGATGCACACCACCACACCCGGCTAATTTTTGTATTTTTTTGTAGAAACGGGGTTTCACCACATTGCCCAGGCTGGTCTTGAACTCCCTGGCTCAAGTAATCCGCCTACCTTGGCCTCCCAAAATGCAGGGATTACAGACATAAGCCACTGCACCTGACCATAAAACAGTTTTTAATTTAGTAATGTTTATTGTTTAAAAACAATAATAAAACTTTTGTTAATATAATTAACATAAATATAATTAACATCTATAACAAATATAAAATATATAACAAATATAATTAACATAAATAATATAAACATATTATTTTGTTAACATAATTAACATAAATATAATTAACATAGATATTATTGATGCAAATAACCCATTTATGAAACCTAACTCTATGTTTCAAAGCACACAATTTTTAGTGAAAAAACTGGCATTATTTTACATTTTTGCAAATCTCTTCATGTCTGACTTAACCGAAAACAACCGGATTCTCATGTCTACACTTAAACTGCTGTGATAAATTATGTCAGCACATCTAGAGAAAACCTGGCTTCTCACAGATACACAGTTAGAAAAGAGAAGAATACTTAATAGGCATTTCAGATAATGGTGAATATTCCTTTTTTATATGACACCAAATCTCAGCACATAGTCATTTATCAAAGGTTAGTTGCAATGTGAAATCTGAAACCATATCAGTAACGTTTTCAGACTCAATTATATTAAAATCCATGAAATTATATTGTCCTTTGAATGGGTCTGTCACGCATACATGATTTTCTATCATCATGTCATTTGGAAAATATTGGATCTCTGAGTTAAGCAGATCTTCCAAATGTTGTCACAGTACACTTTTACATTCTTTTTTTTTTTTTCTTAAGACGGAGTTTCACTCTTGTTGCCCAGGCTGGAGTGCAATGGCACAATCTTGGCTCACAGCAACCTCTGCCTCCCGGGTTCAAGCCGTTCTCCTGTCTCAGCCTCCAGAGTAGCTGGGATTAGAGGCATGCACCACCACGCCCGGCTAATTTTGTATTTTTAGTAGAGACGGGGTTTCTCCATGTTGGTCAGGCTGGTCTCGAACTCCGGACCTCAGGTGATCGCCCGCCTTGGCCTCCCAAAGTGCTGGGATTACAGGCGTGAGCCACCGCGCCCAGCCAACATTATCAAAACGATAAAATCACATTCATTAAATCACCCCCATCTCATCAGAAAAGTCTTCAAGTATTAGAGAACTATGCAAGTTAAGCATGACAGATACAAGTTTTCCAAAATTCTAGTTTTCATTTGAAAACTCAAATTGTATTATTGGCTACAAATAATGACTACTGTATTTCTTGAAGAGACAGGCTCCCTTTGTTCATTTTTTGAGAAAATACCTGGCAGGTATCCAAGTCTGAATAGTCATAGTTCAATTGTCTGCCATCACTCTTTCAAGGAAAGCTGGTATTCCATGAAGAAAGGGCTAGTGAGGCTTGCAACTCAATCGCAACTCAACTGCTTTTCCCTGAGAAAACTGCTGGAGTTTGGTATGCAGCCAAGCACTCAATGCATCCAAATTTTTTAAAGTATACTCAAGACAAGAGATTTAATAAATGAGTAATTGTTTTACAACTTCATCAACATCCTTAAATGAAACTGGATTTTTTTTTTCTGCAAATGCAGGTGGTAAAGAATACAATGACACCTGGTACAGCCTTGGTGTGGGCTAAAGCCCCATCATTTTTACTTCCGTTTTGCATTTTGACAGTGAAATGTCAAAGTGATATAAAAAGCAAGTACCATCTTAGTAGTATTATGAAAAACATATTTGACTTCTCATGCTCCCTGAAAGAGTCTCAGGAGACACTAGGGTTCCCTGGTCTATGCTTTGAGAACTGCAGCCCTCCATGCTCTGACTTCTGCCTGCCTGTTGGCCCCATCCTCATTCAGTGATTTAACTTGGGCTCCCGTAGAAGCAGACCAGGGGACAAGGATTCAAAAGCAAGTAGTTGATTTGCTAAGTGACCCCAGGAAGTACTGGGAGGGGACTGTGAGAGTGGCATGAAGAAGAGAAGGAAACCAATGCATGATGTGTTTGTTCATGAGCGGTTTACCCCTGCAGGCAACTGGAGCTCAGTCCTGCGGGAGATGAAGTAGGATGGCCACAAGATTATGTGACTCAAGGGGAGAGGGAGCTGGGGCATTTATCCTCCCACACTCACTGCCACTGGCTAGGGGCTGCTTGTGGAGACCTCCCCTATCCCTTATTCACTGTGACTTGCTTCCCACATGCTATTTGGTCTACTTAGAACCATCTTGTGCCTAACTCGTTGCCCGGCCAATGCCCACTCATTCTTTAGGTCTCAGGACAAGTGTCACCTGTAGAGAGACTGCCTTTTATCCCCACAATTCTAAAACAGATTCCCCTGGCACAGTCATTGAAAGCACACACAGTTTTTCTTCTCAGAGAGTCCTCCTGCAGTTTGTAATTCTTATATTTTTGTTATTCTTTATTTACTGCCTTTCTTCCCACTAACCCAGCATCTCTGTAGCATAAGGATGGGGACTGTGTCCATGATTTGTTTTCCACTCTTGCATCTCCAGCACCTAGAACATGCCTGGCACACAGTGGACACTCAACCAACACTTGTCAAGAGGATGGATGGGTGATAAGTACGAAAGTACATAAAAGGCACATAGCTAGAATTTCCAGTGGTGATTCAAAGCAAGTAATTCAGGTAATCATTCTGGAAAATTCAAGCACTCTGTTGACTATCCTCTTCAATAGCTGAGTATTGGTTCAAAGTGCCTGAAGGAATCACAGCCTTGGCCTGTGTGGGGTCGCAGCTGGATGGCAGAGTGTCATGGCTCAATTGCAGCCCCCTATTGCCTCCCTCTGCCCCTGGCACACTGCAGGTCCTATTTCCCCTATGAGGACACTGATCCCACAAGCACATGGGCATGTGAACATATGATACTAGAATGACAAGGAAAGGAAATACCAGAGAAAGATGTTCAATGTGTCCTTCCAAATTCTGACACGCACCATCATAAGCCATGAAACTGTGCCTCTCATGGAAGCAACAGTAAAATCCAAATGAAGAATGAATGAATGAGTGATGCATAAGAACAAGCATAGGACAGTGGAAGGAACTTTCCTCTCTAGATTTCATGCATATTGGATTTTATTTTTCTACAGCAAGCCACTGTCTAAGACTTTTGTTTGTTTGTTTGTTTGTTTCTGGTACTGCTTATTTGCAATGCCAGACAAACAGAAAAACCCAAAAGAGAAACTTAACAGAAACCTTACAAATCATCTCATAACACATGATTAGGGTTTTTTGTCTATTATAATTTTCAAATACATTGTCAGTAGAGTAGAATTTTTATAATAAAATCTAATTCCCTGATGTGACATTTTAAAAGAACCGAGCTCCATGATGGACAGTAGGGTTGGCAAAGCCTTCTCTAGGGTTATTAAGTCTACTGCTGGGAAAATGCTAATTCGCCAAAACCTTTTTCAAGCTCAGGCCTATAGGAGACTCCATGCCAAATTTATATGCCCAGGTGCATGATTTCATATGTGCTTTGAATAATGGTATCTGTGCTCAGAAAATCAAACAGAATTAGGAAAAGCAATTGCCTGCGGGGATTTTCATTTTGTACTAGTGACATGAGATCATTCATGTGCCATGCCGTTTTAACAATTCAGCATTGTAAAATCAGAAATCTTTCCTCAAATCCACTGTAGAATGTAAAGTGTTCATTTTCTTCCTATTACATGAAGTGAAGGAAACAGTCGTTCTGAAATGCAGGCAGTATCAAGGTAAATGTGGTGGCCATTTGCTCAGTGAAAAATACATGGATTCTTTTTTTCTTCCAGAAGAGAGACAATATTTGATTTTAATTACTGGTACAGCGTTGGAGATGTTGGTTCCAGGTCAAGGAAGCCAAGTAGCTAAAATGAAATATGCTGAAGCGTCACAGGTCAAAGAGAAGTAAACACACATAAAAATGGGAATGGAAATACAATAAATGACCACACATAACCTATCCTACTCACTCATTGCAGAACTGACGTTGCTTCTCTCATAAACCTCAAAGCCTGCTTTCAGGTTTCATCAAATATCTAGGGCTCCAATATCCCAGGAATGGTTTCCTCAGGCAGGCCATAGATTGCAAACCATCCCAGCCTCAAGGGGAGAAACGAGAAGGGCGTGGCTGCTAGCCAAAAGGAAGCCCCGGACCACTGTGTGCCGTTATCTTTCATGGTCCTTGGGTTTAAGTTTGCACCTGGCTGCCCAGGACCTGCTGAGAGATGAATGGGTAAGCTCACATTTGGAAATCACAGGGGAAGATGTCACGAGTCTCTCTAAAGGGAGGCTACAGAATGTTAATAGGTGGGAGAGGCCCCTTAAAAGAGCTTTTACAGCATCCCTGAGACTTGCTGCCCTTGTAGAGTAACACCCTGGCATCTGCTTAACGTACACTTAAGTCTTTACAAGCTCAGGCTCCTAATCACAATTAACAGCATCCTTCCACTTCTCCTAAAAGCCTGACATTTGGTACCTCAGTCCTCCTTCCTTCTCATTGTCCTCCCCTGTGGCTTCCTTCCTCATGGGTCCCCTGATGCTAGTATCCCCACAGCCTGACTCACCTCACTCCCATGCCCTCTCAGAAGCCAGCTCGCCCATTGACGGGGCAGCAGCTGGATCTGCCATGGCCACTAGGAACTCAGAGACCCAAGGGGAGTGAACTCCACTTTATAAACCTATAACCTCGGCCCAGAAATATTTCCAAGCCCCAAAGGGCTAATTTGCCCCACTTCCCACCTCCACAATCAGTAGACTTTCAGCTCTTTTTAGTATTAGGAAAAGAACCAAAATAGTCTCCAAAAGCTGACACCTCCCGGTGGAAGCCTTGGCACAGATGCTCACAAAACAACTCGTAGCCTCACCAAGAGCTCTGTGCCTTGGTGCCTGCCACGCACCAAGCTCTGTGGTGAGCTTTTAATACATATTGACTGATATAAACCTCACAGCAACATTATGGGTCAAATGAACTGTTCTAATGCATGCCCATTTTAAAGATGAGGAAATAGAGGATGAGAGAGGTTGAGAACTTGCACAAACAGCACGGCCAGAAAGTGGCAGAGCTTGGATTCCAAGCAGGATGGTCGGTCTCTGGAACCTGGCTGCCAAAGCCAAGACAGGGTCAAAGGATGGTGAGATAAGAGAACAAAGCCTTCAGATTTCTGGTTTATATTCAGTCATTATTTCTTTTTAAGAAAAGCTCCAATTCCTATTTTAATCATTTATTTAAATGACTAAGCATGTATTAAGCACTTAGGGTTTGGGACTTAAAGGCTTCACAAAACTAATCAAACATTTATAAGTAAGTATGCTGTATTCAGCCAGGCGCAGTGGCTCACGCCTGTAATCCCAGCACTTTGGGAGGCCGAGGCGGGCGGATCACGAGGTCAGGAGATCGAGACCATCCTGGCTAACACGGTGAAACCCCATCTCTACTAAAAATACAAAAAAAAATTAGCCGGGCGTGGTGGTGGGCGCCTGTAGTCCCAGCTACTTGGGAGGCTGAGGCAGGAGAATGGCGTGAACCCGGGAGGCAGAGCTTGCAGTGAGCTGAGATCGTGCCACTGCCCTCCAGCCTGGGTGACAGAGCAAGGCTCTGTCTCAAAATAAATAAATAAATAAATAAATAAAGTAAATATACTATATTCTAGGACCATAAATGAGACGTTGGATTCAGAAAGGTGCTATCTGTGAACCTGTGGAAACTTCCCACTTCTTAAGAACAGACAATTACTAATTGCACCACAAGGATCCCTGCCACCATCCCTCACTCTTGAGTGTGTAATACACTTGCTTGTTGAGGTGACCACCAGGGCCTAATCACCATTCTTAAAGCAATGTAATTAGTCATGAGTAATGAGGGTCTAAGTTGGAGTGTTGCCTAGTTAGAAAGAATGTTTTTGAAAAAAATTACAAAAGAACAGATTGCATAACTGGATATTAGGGATAAAGGAGACAATCCAATTTCAAGTCCACAAATATTGGCTGGGTGCAGGGGCTCACGCCTGCAATCCCAACACTTTGGGAAGCCAAGATGTGGGATTGCTTGAGCCCAGGACTTAGAGACCAGCCTGGGCAACATATGAGACCCCATCTCTACAGAAAGTTTGGAAAAAAAAAAATTAGCCGAGTGTGGTGGGTTTGTTCTGTAGTCCCAGGCGCTCAGGAAGCTGAGGTGGTAAGATCTCTTGAGCCCAGAAGTTCGAGGCTGCAGTGAGCCATGATTGTGCCACTGCACTCTGGCCTTGGCAACAGAGTGAGACCTTGTCTCAAAAAACAAGACAAAACAAACAAACAAACAAAAAACACAAATATTTATTGAGCATTTTCTTCATGTAATGACTTGTACAAAGATCATCTAGAGATGTCCCTGACCTCAAGGTACTTACATAACATAAGAATGTAGAGAGCAGGGAGATAAGACAAGCAAACAAATAATACTGCAAATTAGATTAATCATGTTGTGACAGTTGCACAGGGGAACACTAGGAGGGAGGGTCTCATACAGTTTGGGGCTAACGAATGATATTTTAGGAACCTTTATGGGCATGGAAGGGATGATGGGTATGCGAACCTCTCACTGCCCTCCCCTTGGCCTAGACTGAAGTTGGAAGTTCAAGTCCACACCCACCATCGCTGGAGGCTGGTGGAACGATGCTGGTGGGTCACCCCTCGGCCGGAGTTCTCTGCTGTTCCTGGCTCCATCCAACCACTTCTATCTGGGAGCTCTGGAGTCACAAGCAAAGGGCACGGATTGCTACTGGAGGTGTTCAGGTCCTTACAGAAACCCAGGGAAACTCAGCCTCTTGTTAGAGAAGCCAGCATCCCCAGGAATGTGAGATGAAGAGGGGTGCTGTGCATGACATCCATGGGAATGAAACAGAACACTAATCTAGAAGCAAGAGCAAGTAGGAGTTAGAAAACATCAGTTCCTAAATGACTAACCCACTTCCTACGCAGATTGCATAGTGAAAAGACTGCTGCGTTAGTAGGAGGTTTAAGAGATTAGGCATACCCAGCCAGGCGGGGTGGCTCACACCTGTAATCCCAGTACTTTGGGAGGCCGAGGTGGGCAGATCACAAGGTCAGGAGTTCGAGACCAGCCTGGCCAACATGGTGAAACCCTGTCTCTACTGAAAATACAAAAATTAGCCAGGCATGGTGGTGGACACCTGTAATCCTAGCTACTTGAGAGGCTGAGGCAGGAGAATTGCTTGAACCTGGGAGACGGAGGTTGCAGTGAGCTGAGATCGCGCCATTGCACTCCAGCCTGGGCAACAAGAGCAAAACTACATCTCAAAAAAAAAAGAGAGAGAGAGACAGAGATTAGGCATACCCATTGTGTTTCTGGCTGATGCTCTCATACGAGTTCTGTTCTAACACATTCACTGAAGTTTCCATGTTGCATTCAGACAGATGACATTCATCTCCTGCAACAGTCAAGAGAATGTCCAAATTCTTCATTTTATTTGATTATGATTTTTTTAAAGAGACCATTGCCAGGGGCTTTGGAATCTTCTTAATGTACAAAGGTAACAGCAAATACAGGAATTGATGGTCTCTATGTCTCACCATTCATTTATAATTTTCTTCCTGGAAAAAAAAAAAGCTTCCAGGAATTAGTGTCTAGTGTATGATAATTATGTGCCTGTTTTGTATAAGGTGGAATCTGCAGGTAACATCTTTTCTGTTATGATGAATACCACTTAAATGGCTTGAGGTGGTCAATTAATGAACAATGCAATTTTTGTGTATCAATTTTCCAAATTATGATACGTTATAATATCATCAACTTGGAATTCTCATGTAAGAGTCAGTAATATATGTTTGGGTCCACAGTTCCTCAGAGTGCACATGAAAATATTATTAAACCTGAGTTATTGAGCTTACGGGCTACATTTTCATCTAAATTAATACAATTCAGCCCGAAGGCAAAAGAATGTATTAAACCAGAGCTCCTAGGAGAAATGGCTAATTCCAGGACTGGAGCAAGAAACTACAGCATGAGCCTGCAACAACCTGTTTTGCCAAAAAGTAAGGAAAGTAAGGATATGATCAAAAGGACATACGATCCTGTATAAAGGGGCTCCTACCTGGCCAAATCGGGGACACTTTGAGCATCAAAATATAACAAAAATAATGCATCCTGGCCAGGCGTGGTGGCTGATGCCTGTAATCCCAGCACTTTGGGAGGCCGAGGCGGGTGGATCACCTGAGGTCAGGAGTTTGAGACCAATCTGGCCAACATGGCGAAACCCCATCTCTACTAAAAATACAAAAATTAGCTGGGCGTGGTGACGAGTGCCTGTAGTCCCAGCTACTCGGGAGGCTGAGGCAGGAAAATCGCTGGAACCTGCGGGGCAGAGGCTGCAGTCAGCAGAGATTGTGCCACTGCACTCCAGCCTGGGCGACGGCAAGACTCCATCTTAAAAAAAAAAAAAAAAATGCATCCTATCCTGGCATCCATTGAATCAAATAAGAATGGGAAAGTCCATACTGATTTAAAAATAAATGGGAGAAAAAAAAGAACATGCTTTCTCATAGTAAAATGCAAACTAATAAATGTAGAAAAAACAGAAGTAGAAAATCACTCTTTTATAACCATCCTGGTAATAATTGATTCAAGTAGGAATTATCAATGGCTGTGAAAAGTAGAGTAAGTGTGTGACAAACAATAGGATATTTCTATATTCTCAAAGTATTTCCCGACAGATTGCTTATAAATTACAAAGGAGAAAATAATGATTTCTAGGGAAGAAACCTGACAAGATGTCACCCTAATCAACAGATCAAAGTTGACAGGACAGACTGACATGACTACCGTGCCTTCAGATGTGATATGATGGGAAGAGCACAATGTCACTCATACAGTGTTTTGTCCAAAATGCATAACCTGAATGAGATCATGAGGAAACATCAGAAAAAAACAAACTGAGGCCTTAGCAACCCCTCCAGTCATGTTGTTCTATGGGTCTACAATATTTCTTTTGACGATGGTAACAGCACCACCTCAGGATTTCCTACTGGTATGACCGTGCTGTAATCCCAGCACTTTGGGAGGCTGAGGTGGGTGGATTACCTGAGGTCAGGAGTTCAAGACCAGCCTGGCCAACATGGTGAAACCCCGTCTCTACTAAAAATACAAAAATTAGCCAGGCATGGTGGTACACACCTGTAATCCCAGCTACTTGGGAGGCTGAGGCAGGAGAATCGCTTGAACCTGGGAGGCGGAGATTGCAGTGAGCTGAGATCATGCCACTGCCCTCCAGCCTGGGCAACAGAGTGAGATTCCGTCTCAAAAAAACAAAACAAAACAAACAAACAAACAAAAAAAACTGACGGACAGTGAAGGGCAGCTAGCAAATAACTGGCCTACAATTTTTTTAAAGTGATAACATGAAGAATAAAAAAGCTGACAAACTGTTCCAGATTAAAGGTAAGTAAAAAATCATTATCACTAAAGGCAATTTGAGCTTTCGATTTGGCTCAGGATTGTGGGGAAAGGAGGTGGGGTGGGGAAAAGAGGTGGAGGACATGAGTTGCCACAAAATTATTGAAACAATTGGTGAGATCTAAACACAGACTCCAGTAGATAATTACATTGTATGAATGTTAAATTTCCTGGATCCCATATTTGTACTGTGGCTATATAACAGACCCTCCTTGTTCTTAGGAGTATACTCTGGAGCATTTATAAAGGGACATGATATCTGCAACTATCTCTCAAATGGTTCAGAAAAAGCGAATGTGGCAAAATGTTAACAATTGGTCAATCTGGGCAAAATGCATACTAATGTTCTTTGTACTATTTTGGCAATTCTTCCAAACATTTGAAATTATTAAATGATCCCTTAGCACCCCCTCCAGTCATGTTGTTCTATGCGTCTACAATATTTCTTTTGATGATGGTAACAGCACCACCTCAGGATTTCTTACTGGTATGACCACTGCCTTACAGATTTTACACTACAATATCTCATGGCATTTTCACCACAATGCAGTGAGGCAATTACTATTGTCCCAATTGTACTGATGAGAAAAATGGAGGCTTGGAAAGGCCAAATAATAATATGTAAATTCGATGGCTGCTCAGTCAATGTTCACCCCCATCCTTAATCTCCATGAGAGAAATATACTTCCCCTATTCCATATTTGTTGGGTGAGGGCCAGGGGACTAAATGTGGGGAAGGAATGTTAGTGGACCAGGCATGAGAAGTTTGAAATGTGATTGTCTTTTTGGTTGTGCTTACCCCTTGATTCTTCTGCCATGGTTAAGAGAAAAACATGTCGTGTGGAGCAGGCCTGAACCTAGCAACAGCTTAAAGCCAGGCCAGCTGAGCCCAGCCTGGATCAACCAACACAAGCCAACCCATGAATGCATGTTATTAGCTGCTACTGAGTTTGGGGGTCATTTGTTATATAACTTTACAGTGGCAGGCCGGGCGCAGTGGCCCATGCCTGTAATCCCAGCACTTTGGGAGGCCGAGGTGGGTGGATCACCTGAGGTCAGGAGATCGATACCAGCCTGGTCAAACATGATGAAACCCCGTCTCTACTAAAAAGGCAAAAAATTAGCTGGGCGTGGTGGCAGGTGCCTGTAATCACAGCTACTTGGGAGGCTGAGGCAGGAGAATCGCTTGAACCCAGGAGGTGGAGGTTACAGTGAGCCAAGATTGCACCATTGCACTCCAGCCTAGGCAATAAGAGCAAAACTCCATCTCAAACAAAAAAACAAAACAAAACAAAACAAAAACTTTACAGTGGCAATAGACAACTGATACAACTAACATGTTTGAAATCACAAAGATAGCAAGAATTGGAGCCAGTCAGAAGCAGTGGCTCACACCTGTAATCACAGCACTTTGGGAAGCCAAGGCAGGAGCATCACTTGCACCCAGGAGTTCAAGACCAGCCTGGGCAACATAGCAAGACCCCATCTCTACAAATAAAAAATAAAAAATTAGCCAGGTGTGATGGCACACACTTGTAATACCAGCTACTCAGGAGGTTTAGGTGGGAGGAGCACTTGAACTCAGAAGGTCGAGGCTGCAGGGAGCTGTGATCACGCCACTGCACTCCAGCCTGGGCGACAGAGCAAGACCTTGTCTCAAAAAAAAAAAAAAAATTGGAGCCAGGAAGCCATGTTGTCGTGGTGCCTTATGCCACTCCTCTATTAAAGAGCACTTCCAAATATGTATAGCCTTCTTATTCACAATGATGACTGGTGACCCTGTAAACGCCTAACATACCTCCTGAATCATAGAATAAAAGCAATTATAGCATCAAATACAAATCTGTCTTATTTTATTTTACAGTAAGTTGATAATCATGGCATATTTAATTAACTTTTCTGTTTACCATCCTGGTCATATGGTACTACTATTTTTCAACTTTAATAATTATCAAAATATTCAATATGCATGGATTTTAAGTGGCATGGAGTGGAGGTATTGCTTGAATAATAACCAGTCTCTAATGTCAGATGAAAAAATCAATTCTGTAAAAATTGGGATGAATTTCCTAGCAAGGGTTTTTACTCCTCTGTGTCCTAAGACAGAAGAGAATGAATTCTGCTGCATATTTTGAGTCTCTGGTTTTAGTCTTCCACAGAACCCAAGATGGAAAAATACACCTGTTCTCAAATCTTACATCCAAAGCAAATTTTCCAATTTAAATCTAAAGGTAAGTTTGTTTGTTCATTTTTCCAAATGACTAAAGATATTGTTATGTTTTTGCTAACATATTGAAACATTTTTTCTTATACTAACAAATGAATTATATTCAGCCAAGGAGTCTTTTTTAAAGTAACATTTAGCTGAAGAGCAAATCCCATAATAAAAATGCATCTAGGCGGCCGGGTGCGGTGGCTCACACCTATAATCCCAGCACTTTGGGAGACTGAGGCAGGTGGATCACCTGAGGTCAGGAGTTCAAGACCAGCCTGGCCAACATGATGAAACCCCATCTCGACTAAAAATACAAAAAATTAGCCGGGCGTGGTAGCGAGCACCTGTAATCCCAGCTACTTGGGAGACTGAGGCAGGAGAATCACTTGAACCCAGGAGGCAGAGGTTGCAGTGAGCCAAGATCACGCCACTGCACTCCAGCCTGGGCAACAAGAGTGAAACTCCGTCTCAAAAAAAAAAAAAAAAAAATACATCTAAGCATCTAGAATTGTAGCACAACGGTTACGACTTGGCTTGTAACTATTAATTCCATTATGCAACAGTTCCTGGATCATTAATAGGTCTACTTTGAGCAAATTTCTGGTAAAAAAAAAAATGGCCCCTGTTAATTCTTTTGTGACAGCGCCCTCAACTTTCATTCAAGTCAGATGCAGACAGCAAAAAAGAAGAAGATGTTAAAAAGTGAAATATTATAAAGTTAATGCTCAGTCAACAATATGCTGTTGCATGTATGCCTGGTGTGGGAAATTTTATACTATGAGAACTTGGTTTTTTGACTCCTTTAAAAATCTCCTATAAATACACATAAAAGTGAACTCCCTAAAACATACCCTTATTTTCTAAAGCCTGAGTTTTTCTCCCCCTCCCGTACAAGCAAGGCAGATTATTTGCAGAAACTGACATTAAAAATAGCTCTGGTGATATTGTCTACAAAGCAGAAGATTCTCTTTTTGTTTCATACTCCCATTAACGAGACAAGGCAAAAAGTGTGTGAATTGAAGAGTGAGAAAACAAACACTCTAAAAGAATAGAATGCAAAACTCCCCCACTGGCTCATGAAGATGTCAATAAAGCAGACATTTGAGCTAATTTCATAATAATGAAGCTTTGGTAACAGTGATTAAACAAATGTAATTCATTTTCAGGGGATAGATGGCATAGTCTCCTCTTACGCTCTCAAGAAGAATAGATGTTCTTCTGCCATCTTCACTGGATAAAAGGGACCCCTCAAAAGCCTGAAACAAAGCAGTGAATCAGGAGCTGGGAATTTCCAAAGAGGAAAGATGTCCCATTGCTTCTCATTCTTAATTTGTCTTTGCAGCGTATGCAAGAAGCTATTCTTAGATAAGAAAAAAAAAAAAGAATAATGGCAGCAATTTTGACTTCATGACAAGGGTCTGGTCCCTTCAAATGGCCTCCAGTTTTTTCTAGTATGACACAGGTCATTTATATTTTTATAAGAAGAGAAGTCAGCACTTGATTTTACAACTATTGAAGTGGAATAATAGTTAGCAAATGTTGAAACTTTAAATGAGACGTAAACCATATCAGAAGTGGCGAGGCAGCAAATGTGCGTCTGTGGCCTGCCTCATGAAGCAAGAAGAGGGTCTCATTAAAAATTCGGAAAACACATAAATTATCCCACAAGGGTGTAAAACGTATAAGAAAAAATTCATCAACAAACCGGGGGAACTAATGTTATGCAGATTAATTTCAAAGTCCTTCAACATCAAAGAGGTCATAAAAACGTGTTTAAGAGGTAGAATCCATTATGCCATCTGGAATTCAGATTTCCGGTTGCAAACCAATTGGTATCATGAATTAATCTTCTCGGTAGAAGTAATCTGGTATGGTCAATAAATCACAAAATATGAGACAGTCGTTACATATGTAATATAGATAACAGACCCCCATCCATAATGTTCTGTTATGGTAAACCTAAGTTATCTGAAAAGGAATATATATGAAATATAAATTTGTAGACATTTTATCACTGCAATAAACAATGCATATTGCATTTGTTAAATACTATTGATATGTGTAGGTTAAGCCTATATTCTTAACATTTTTAAGGTTCTTTCCCCTTTTTGAATTGGGATTGAAGAGTGGTGAGACACTGCACTTCACTTGTTTGAAGAGCCAAGATGGCCTTATCCACACGTCTAAGAACAGGTGTTCTTTTCTGAGCGCTTACTCTATGCCAGGCAGTAGGCTTAGATGGCAGACTCAGGATTTGAACTGAGCAGTCTTACTCCATAGCTTATTCACTTAACTAGAATGATTTGATGCTTCCCAAACACACATCTAGAAAGTGTGATTTCAGAACTTTTCTCCCCCAAACCCCCTAAAACTCATCGGCTCTAGCTGGCAGTGACTGTGAAGTCTTATCCTTATCTGTGCCCTAAGAGACCTCTAGATGCCTGGGGTAAGAAAGGAAGCACAATGTTGGAGGATGGCTGTGCTGCCCCTCCCCTCTTCCCTCCTCATGGTTCTAGGGTGGGCACTGTGTCTGGAACTCCAGAGAGCAACCATTGCCACGCTCCCAGTGAGATTCAAACCGACTTCTTCTCATCTGGGCCAACTGAAGAGGGGACCTCATCCCCTTCCACATTTCCTGGCCAGCAAGGATAGAGGCATGTATTTCCAGAAGGGGCAGGATCTTCCAGTGACCCTCGCTGGGGGGTTCATCCAGCCATAGAGAGCCGGCACAACTTGTCTTTCCTGCCCTCACTTTCCCAAAGCAGCAATCTCCTCATGACTTCACTCAAGTGGCATTATCTTCTTTCTGAAAGAAATTTGGACATAAAGAAATAAAGCACCTCTCTGAGTTATTGAAGCTGGTTTGCCAACCTTGTTTATGCCACTGGTTATTTAGTGGCCAGGTTGAATATCACCCATACTCAAAGTTCAAGAGGATGGTTTCAAAAACTAGCTGACATAAACAGATGGGAAACTGAGCGTTAGATTGAAGTGGCTACATTGCTCTACACAGTGCTAAAAGAGCTTCCATGTTACTGCTTTGCAGAAGGCATCTTCATATCAAATACCAATTTATTCTCTTTAACCAGAGTAGGTGGCAGCCTAAGTGATTATTACTAATGCCTGAAGTTCCTTAACTGGAAAATGTCTTTCATCCATCAATTAGAGAAAGGTTTGAAAGGCAATTCCCCTCAGTCAGTGCTACTACCTTGATTTAGCTCTACACTAAGAATAAATTATTAGTAACTCATCATATACTACTGAGAAAGAAGGGGAGAGGAAAGAGAAATACAGTGCCTGCAGTGGGGAAAGAGAATACTCTATAGACAACTAATTTCTTGAGTAATTTCTTAAAATTACTCTATTATTGCTTTTGGGTTTTTTTGTTTTTTTGTTGTTGTTTTTTGTTTTTGTTTTTGTTTTTTGTTTATTTGAGCAGTCTTGCTCTGTCACCCAGACTGGAGTGCACTGGCGCAATCTCGGCTCACTGCAACCTCCACCTCCTGGGTTCAAGTGATTCTCCTGCCTCAGCCTCCTGAGTAGCTGGGATTACAGGTGTGCACCACCATACCCAGCTAAGTTTTGTCTTTTTAGTGGAGACAGGGTTTTACCATGTTGGTCAGGCTGGTCTTGAACTCCTGACCTCAAGTGATCTGCCCGCCTTTGGCCTCCCAAAGTGCTGGAATTACAGGCGTGAGCCACCGCACCCAGCCAAAATTACTTTATTATTGAATATAAGCTCAATAAACATTTTCTAAGTAAATTAAAACTGAATGGAAAATTGAAGATGGGGAGAGGAGAAGGGAAAATGGAAACTAACTCTGTTTACTTCTTGATTTTACAAAAGGCAGCTAAATGGTACTTTGACAACAAACTACGAATAGAAGGAAACTTTCTCAACCTGATAAAGACTATCTGTGAAAATCCCACAGCTAGCATCACATTTAATGGAAAAAAAAACTGAAAACTTTCCCTCTAAGACTAGAAATGAGACAAAGATCTTTGCTCTCACCGTTTCTATTCAACATTGTACTGGAGGTTCTAGCCAGAGCATCTAGGCAAGAAAAAGAAACAAAAGGCATCCAGATTGGAAAGCAAGAAGTAAAATGCTCTCTATTTGCAGAGGACATGATCTTATATATAGAAAATTTTAAAAGATCCTCTACAAAACTATTAGAACTAATAAGTTTAGCAATGTCTCAGGATACAAGATCAATATACAAAAATCAATTGTATTTTTATACAATAGCAAGGAATAATCCAAAAATAAATCAAGAAGACTATGTACAACAGCATAAAAAAAAAAAATACTCAAGAAGACATTCAACAAAAGAAGTGCAAAACTTAACCATACATCTAAATAATGAAAAAATATTCTATGTTCATAGATCAAAACTTTTCAGTTAAGATGACAGTACTCCCCAAATTGATCCACAGATTCAATGCAATTCCTGTCAAAATCCCAGCTGGATCTTTTGCAGAAATTGACAAAATAACCCTAAAATTCACATGGAAATGCAAGAGACCCAGAATAGCTAAACAATGATGAAAAAGAAAAACAAAGTTGGAGGACATACACTTCCTAATTTGAAAGCTTACAACAGAGCTACAGTAATAAAGACATTGTTGTACTGGGATAAGGATAGGCATATGGATCGATAGAATAGAACTGAACCAGAAATAAATCATTACATTTATGGTCAGTTTATTTTTGACCAAGATTAGAAGAGATAATTCAATATGGAAAGAATAGTCTATCCAACAGTTGCCTCTGGGACAACTGAATACTCACATGCGAGAAAGTGAAGTTGAATCCCTGTCTCACACCACACACACTAATTAATTAAAAATAAATCAGAACTAAATGTGAAAGCTGAAGCTCTAAAACTTCCAAAGGAAGCACAGAAATACATCTTTGTGACCTTGGATTAGGCAATGACTTCTTAGATACAAACCAAAAGCTCAAGCAATAAAAGATAAAATGGATAAATTGGACTACATCAAAATTTTAAACTTTTGTGACACTATCAAGAAAGTGAAAAGACAATGGACAGAATGGGAGAAAATATTTTCAAACCATATATTTGACAAGGAATTTCTATCCAGAATATATAAATAATTCTTAGAAACTGACAATAAAAAGACAAATAAAACAATTTAAATGGGCAAAGGATTTAAACAAATATTTCTTCCCCAAAAAATATACAAATGGCCAACAAACACATGAAGGGATTCTTAAAGTCATTAGTTATAAGAGAAATGCAAATCAAAACCACAATGAGATACCACTTCACATCCTGTAAGATGACTAGTATTAAAAAGACAATAACTAGGCCAGGCACGGTGGCTCACACATGTAATCCCAGCACTTTGGGAGGCCGAGGTGGATGGATCACTTGAGGTCAGGAGTTCAAGACCAGCCTGGCCAACAGGGTGAAACCCAGTCTCTACTAAAAATACAAAAATTAGCCAGGCATGGTGGCACATGCCTGTAATCCCAGCTACTGGGGAGGCTGAGGCAAGAGAATTGCTTGAACCCAAGAGGTGGAGGTTGCAGTGAGCCAAGATCATGCCATTGCACTCCAACCTGGGTAAAGAAGTGAGACTCTGTTAAAAAAAAAAAAAAAAAAAAAAAAAAAAAAGACAATAACTAGTGTTTGTGAATATATCGAAAAATTGGAACCCTCATTATTTGCTGCTGAACATGTAAAATGGTGCAGCTGTTTTGGAAAATAGTTTGGCAATCCCTAAAATTGCTAAACACAGAGTTACCATATGACTTAGCAATTCCATTCCTAGGAATCCAAAGGAACTGAAAACACGTTCACACAAAAACTTGCACACAAATGTTAACAGCAGGATTATTCATAATAACCCCCAAAAGTGGAAAAAACCTAAATGCTTATCTGCTGATGAATAGATTAAAAATGTGAGGGTTTTTTTTATATAGAGTATTATTTGGCAATAAAAAAAGAATGAAGTAGTGATACATGCTACAATATAAGTGAACCTTGAAAAACATTTTGCTAACTGAAACAAGCCTGTTACAAATGATCACAAATTATATGATTCCATTTATGTGAATCAACACATAGACAGAAAGTAGATAAGGGCTTGCCTGGGGCTGAGGGAGGGAGGAAGGAATGAACATGGGGAATCACTGTTAATACATAGGGGGTTTCTCTTCAGAAATGTTGATGTGATGAAATGTTCTAAAATTAGGTTATAGTAATGACCACATGGCTGGGAATACGATGAAACATGATACATTATAAATGGATGGGTTTTATGGTATATAAAATATATCTCAATGGATCTTTTTTTTGAAAACATACTTTAGCATAGGCTCTATTAGGAAAAAGAAATCCACCTGTCATACAACTTGATTTTCAATTTTTTTTCTGAGATAGGATCTGGTTCTGTCACCCCTGCTGGAGTACAGTGGTGCAATCTCAGCTCACTGCAGCCTCCACCTCCTGGGCTCAGGTGATCCTCCCACCTCAGCCTCCTGAATAGCTGAGTCTACAGGTGTGCATCACCACATCCATCTAATTTTTGTATTTTTTGTAGAGATGGGGTTTCACCATGTTGCTCAGGCTGGTCTCGAACTCCTGAGCTGAAGTGATCCACCCCTCTCAGCCTTCCAAAATGCTGGAATTACAGGTGTGAGTCACTGCACCTGGCCTTGGATTTTCAAATTTTGATTAAGTTATTGTGGTAGCCAATGTGAGTTGGCTACCCAACAACCATTCTCCTCTTGTCTCTGCAAGCCAAATCCCAATTTTGTCCAGGTAAGAGGCAACAGTGTGCCTCTCCCAAGTGCTGAGTATTGATTACCTTAACTCCAAACCCATCACGATATCCTCATCTACCTTTGACAGTGATTCATTCAGGAGTGGCAGGTGTTCCAGTCCTGGCCATTGACACAAAAGAGAAGTCTTCTGCTAAAACTCTTAGCAGGATAAAAAGTCCTAGATAAAAAAGGAAGATCCCAGGCCAGATGTGGTGGTGCGTACCTGTAACCCTAGTACTTTGGGAGGCTGAGGAGGGAGGACTGCTTGAGGCTAGGAGTTTGAGGCTACAGTGAGTTCTGATCACACCAGTGCATTCCAGGCTGGATAACAGAGACAGAAGAAAGAAAGAAAAGAAAGAGAGGAAGGAAGGAAGGAAGGAAGGAAGGAGGGAAGGAAGGAAGGGAGGGAGGGAGGGAGAGAGGGAAAGAAAGAAGGAAGGAAGGAAGGAAGGAAGGAAGGAAGGAGGGAAGGAGGGAGGGAAAGAAAGAAAGAAGGAAGGAAGGAAGGAAGGCAGGCAGGCAAGCTAGCTCTCTCTATTCCCTGATTTTAGACTTCATTTTGGGGGAAGTAATGCTTGGGGGTACATGAGTCATGTGATAATCTTGAGGACAGGGAAGCTGCCTCGAGCTGCATCCCTGAAACCACCTGTTACCAAACCTCTTAGAAAACAAGATTTTTAAATAAACCTCACTGTTTAAGCCACATTCTGTCAAAGAGGCTGTTTACTGCAGCTGAAAGCCTGCTCATTAATATATTTTCTCTTAAATGGGCTTATTTGTGAATACTCACAAAATTACATGCTCAGTCCTATATCAAGATTTGTCTTTAGAAGATAAAATTGATCTAGACTTTTTCAGAAGACAGACCTAGCACTGAGTCACTTAAAGGTGCAAGAAGAAAGCACTGTGCTCAGTAGGAGAAAGAGGAGAAACAGCCTTCTATATGTAAAGTGGACCAGAGATTGATCAGCCTTTGTTAGGAAGGCTGATGGGGATCCCCTGTCTAGGAGGCAGGACAAACCTTTGACGGGGCCTGCACTACAGAGTTTGAAATCCTATGTTGTTTTTCTTTTCTTTTTCTTTTTTTTTTTTTTTTTGAAACAGAGTCTCCCTCTGTCACCCAGGCAGGAGTGCAGTGGCATGATCTTGGCTCATGACAACCTCTGCCTCCCAAGTTCAAGTGATTCTCCTGCCTCAGTTTCCCAGGTAGCTGGGCCTACAAGCGTGCACCACCACACCCGGCTAATTTTTAATTTTTAATGGAGACAGGGTTTCACCATGTCGGTCAGGCTGGTCTCGAACTCCTGACCTCAAGTGATCTGCCCATCTCGGCCTCCCAAAGTGCTAGGATTACAGGTGTGAGTCACCACGACCGGCCTTGTCTAATTCTTCACGAACAATATCCTGGCATCCACCGTTTAAGAGAATTTGGTACGTTATTTGCAAAGTGAATAAGAAAGAAATCATACTAGAAAAGCAAACATAGTAATTCTGAAAGAAAACTACCATTTTACTTCTTTAAATTGTTTATCTTAATAGTTCAAGAAATGTGTGAAAATACCTACAATTGTTAATGCTATAATGAAACTTCTTTATAAACCTGTAGGTGTCAGATTTACACTTGTCTCGTAATTGTTATGTAATTCTTTACAAATATAATTGTTTTAAGTGCCAAGATTTGACCTAAATAAATGCAAAATTTTGATATGGAATAATAAGGCAACTTCAACTTGTTTTTAGTGATAGAATTAATGCCACAGAGGAAGGTTTAACTGTTGCTGTTGTTGTTATTTTATGTTCAAATTTTATAAAGACAGTCGGGCAGTCCACTTCCAGAATAACAATGTGAACATCATGAATGCACTCACCAGTGCAACCATCAAAATGCATGAAAATTATTTTTTATAAAACAGGCTAGAACAGTCGCGGTGGCTCACGCCTATAATCCCAGCACTTTGGGAGGCCGAGGCGGGTGGATCACGAGGTCAGGAGATCGAGACCATGCTGGCTAACAGGGTGAAACCCTGTCTCTACCTAAAATACAAAAATTAGCTGGGTGTGGTTGTGCACGCCTGTGGTCCCAGCTACTCGGGAGGCTGAGGCAGGAGAATCACTTGAACCCAGGAGGCGGAGGTTGCAGATCGTACCACTGCACTCTAGCCTGGCAACAAAGCGAGACTCCGTCTCAAAAAAAATTAATAATAATAAAACAGGCTGGGCATGGTGGCTCATGTCTGTAATACCAGCACTCTGGGAGGCCAAGCCAGGAGTATCACTTGGGGTCAGGAGTTTGTGACCAGCCTGGGCAACATAACAAGAACCCAACTCTACAAAAAAACAAAAACAAAAAGGCAGGTGCGGTGGCATATGTCTGTAGTCCCAGCTGAAGTGGGAGGATCACTTGAGCCCAGGAGTTTGAGGCTGAGCTGCCATGAGCCATGATTATGCCACTGCACTCCAGCCTGGGCAATAGAGTGAGACTCTATTTCTTTCTTTCTTTTTTTTTTTTTTTTTGAGACAGAGTCTCGCTTTGTTGCCCAGGCTGGAGTGCAGTGGTGCGATCTCAGCTCACTACAACCTCGGCCTCCTGGGTTCAAGCAATTCTCCTGCCTCAGCCTCCTGAGTATCTGGGATTATAGGTGTGCACCACCACACCCAGCTAATTTTTGTATTTTTAGTAGAGACAGGGTTTCGCCATGTTGGCCAGGTTGGTCTTGAACTCCTGACCTCAGGTGATCCTCCTGCCTCGGCCTCCCGAAGTGCGGGGATTACAGGCCTGAGCCACCACGCCTGGCCTGCCAGACCCTATTTCTAAAGAAATTTGTCTTATATAAAACAAAACTAAAACCCAGTCATTTAAAGTCTTAGGAAATTGTCCAAAGGAAATGAAGAACCAAGTATTCAATGTCCTAAATCTGGGTAAGAACAGCAAGAATCAGTGGCACTGAAGTCACTCTCCACTCCCTCTGTCCTGCTCAGCATGATGGAAGCTGTATTCCAGGTGGGTGTGGCCAAGAAGATGGGGCTCACTCCCAGCTCTCAATCAGTTGCTACAACGTCTCGCTGGGAGGCTTAAGCCAACAGCATTTCTCATTCTGCCTCCAGGTCTTGTTACAGAGCCTGAATTCCAAGCATGGCTGAGAGTTCCTGAGCTCCTTTTCTCCACCAGGCCACACTTCATAGGCAGGGCAGAGGCTCTACCTTAATTGCAGCAGGCTGAGAACATAAGAGTCCCACTCTCCTTCACCCCAATTTGCTCATGGGTCAGAGGTCCACACCAAAAAGGCAAACTAAGAAGACCAGAGGCTCACACCCCCAACCAGGCCCAGCAGCCCATCCCTAAAGCAGAGGGTCACTCAGAAGCACACCATTGCCCCTGCCGTCAGCTCTGGAGTCATTGTTCAGAGATTTTGCCAAAGAGGAGAGACAGGCTATAAAACAGAGCTCTGAAGCTTTCCCCAAATAGACTGACTTTTTAAAAACTAGCCGGTGGGGAAGTTGAAGCCTAAGGATACTCTCAAAAACAACGGAGGTCTTGGTGGTAAGCAATTAAGAGGAGGCTGGTAGCTTCATGAGAAAGAAAAGCTACACCAGAACCAGCTAGTTTCCCAGAGAAAATCTGGAAAAGAGACAGTTAATAACAGCACTCCTGGGGGAAGAACAAACTCCAAAGACTGGCCTCAAAAACCATCCCTGAAAAGAGATCCACATTTAATTGGATCCAACTGTGGAGCAATTTATGCCCCAAAGCATTGTGAAAACAGAGAGCAATCAGCCAGCTATTAGTGGAATCTAACAAATGGATGTGATACCAACAGAGAAGACAACTGAGAAATCGGGAGAAATAACAGTCAAAGAGATCCCTGATAAAACTACTGTCCAGCCCAGGATGACTACATATATGACCAAGGCTCTGCTCTCTGCCATCAAAAACTTCTCACTGCAGAGAAAGTAGACTTTACTAAAAAAGGTTCAGCCAAGACATTAAACAAATAAACAAGCAAACAGCAACTATAAGCCTTGAAGTTGGAAGAAGTCAATATCCAGAATTGCTACAAGACATTGTAAGATACAATGAATTTCTCTGAGTTTCTCTTCAAAAATTTAGCTTGCTAACTTTCTTGTCTTTTGTTCTCAAACTCAACTTTCCTGTTCCTCCTTGCCCCTAGTTACTGTAAACAGCCTACCCACTGCCCATCAGCTCTAATCAATAACTCACACCCGTTTCCTTCGTTACCTGTACCCCTTATTCCCCCAAAACTGCACATCTCACACACTCCACCTCTGTACCTCACATCCCCCTCCCATTCTATAATTAGAAAAATATGTACCAGTAGCCAATCGGGTCAGTTCAGATTGTGTGGTCCGACCCCAGCCCATGGGGGAGGGACACAGAAGTAGGGATTGCGTTAAGGATATAAAAACCCCCCAGTCTCCTTTGCTCCCTGTGCTCTTATGATCTTGAGTGACACAAGTGGCACCCTTCTGCAGAAGCATATTGCCTTGCTGAGAGAATTAAACTTTTGCCTGAGTATCGGTTTTACTTCACAGCACCAAGCATTTATTCCTGCAGCATTTTATATCCAACATTAACTAAAAATTTCTAGTTTTCCAAAAGAAATTATGCTATATGTGAAGAAACAGGAAAGTGGGACCCATACACAGGTGGAAAGGGCAGGCAACAGAAACTGCCTATCAAAAGATTAGATGTCACACATAACAGACAAAGACCTCAAAACTGTCATTACAAATATGCTCAAAGAGCAAAAGGAAGGCCAGGCACGGTGGCTCACACCTGTAATCCCAGCACTTTGGGAGGCCAAGGTGGGTGGGTCCTGAGGTCAGGAGATGGAGATCATCCTGGCTAACATGGTGAAACCCCGTCTCTACTAAAAACACGGAAAATTAGCTGGGCGTGGTGGCAGACACCTGTAGTCCCAGCTACTCGGGAGGCTGAGGCAGGAGAATGGCATGAATCTGGGAGGCGGAGCTTGCAGTGAGCCAAGATCACGCCACTGCACTCCAGCCTGGGCGACAGAGCGAGACTCCATCTCAAAACAAACAAACAAACAAATTATATCTACAGTTATATATATAATTGTATTGTTGGGCCTATAACATATAGAAATATAATATATTTAACAATAACAACACAAAGGATGTAGGTGGAAGTAAAGATAGATTGGTGTAAAGAAATGACAGTATCTTGAACCCACAGAAACAAATGAAAAGAACCAGAACTGGTAAATAAGAAGGTAAATATAACAAACTTTATAAATATATGCTTGTTCTTTCTTCTCTCAGTTTCTTTGAAAGACTAATAATTATATAAAGTAACAATTGTAGCACTGTATTGTTGGGTTTTTATATCGAGTTGTTGGATATTGTTATATATAACAATAATGACCCCAAAACAAGGAAGAGGTAATAGAGCTATATAAGCTCTATAGGAGTATCATTTTTTTTTTTGAGATGGAATCTGGCTCTATTGCCCAGGCTGGAGAGAAGTGGCATGATCCCGGCTTGCTGCGAACTTCACCTCCCAGGTTCAAGCAATTCTCCTGCCTCAGCCTCCCAAGTAACTGGGATTACAGTGCACACCACTGCGCCCAGCTAATTTTTGTATTTTTTGTAGAGATAGGGTTTCACCAAGTTGGCCAGGTTGGTCTCAAACATCTGACCTCAGGTGATCCGCCCACCTTGGCCTCCCTAAGTGCTGAGATTACAGGCGTGATTCACAGCGCTTGGCTAGGAGTAATATTTTTATATGTAACTGGAATTAAGTTAGCATAAATCTGAAGTTGAGTCTGATAAGATATATATGGTAATGTCTAAAGAAACCAATTTAAAAACTCAAAAAATAGTGAAAAAGTTATTAAAGGAATTAAAATATACACTTAATGCAAAAAGAAAAAAAAAGACACTTGTCCACCTTCGCTAATACCAGTAGACACTGGACAACCCAGACACTAAAAAATTGAATAGGAATTAATGAGAAGATGCTTCTGCAAATTTTGGTCCAAGATCTCAATAAACTCAAGGGTATTTTTTACATTACTAAGGAAAGTACACTTTTTTAAGGGTTTACCCTTAGGAAGAGAACCTACTGCTTATGCACTTCTTTCTTATCCCCAAGCAGATAATATAATTATGTAAATTTCTTACAATGACACCATTGACTGATGAGCAATGGAAGGAGAATTCTTGAATAAAAGTAAATAAAAATTTGAGATGGTATGGAGTCTATGGGAGCTCATTCACACAGGATTCAGAACTTCTCCCTCTTGGTTCACGTTGCATGTCTGGAAACAAGCTGCCCTTTTCAGGGAAGAGAAATTAACTCCATACACTTTTGATCAGTTCAAAGGCAGATTGGGCCGGGCGCAGTGGCTCACGCCTGTAATCCCAACACTTTGGGAGGCTGAGGTGGGTGGAACACCTGAGGTCGGGAGTTCAAGACCAGCCTGATCAACATGGAGAAACCCTGTCTCTACTAAAAATACAAAATTAGCTGGGTGTGGTGGTGCTTGCCTGTAGTCCCAGCTACTTGGGAGGCTGAGGCAGGAGAATCACTTGAACCCAGGAGGCTGAGGTTGCAGTGAGCCAAGACTGTGCCTAGCCGAGATTGCACCATTGCACTCAGGCCTAGGCAACAAGAGCGAAACACCATCTCAAAAAAAAAAAAAAAAAAAGAAAAAAAAAGGCAGATTGTGCCCTGAAACTCTTATTGTTTTAGAGAAAAGGAGGCAAGAGATTCCCTTTTAGAATGTTGAATGGCCTTGATGGGCACCCTAACCTCAGCAGAGCTTTGACAGTTGGATGGAAATTACCACATTTCTTCCAGATTAGACACAACCAAAATCCCTTCTCAGAGTCATTGGTAAGGAATTTGCTTAATAACTGAACCTGTGGTCTCTGGGCTGCCTGCCAACGGCAGGACAAAATAAAGACAAGGATGCAGACACAGGCAGGCATAAGAGAAGATACTGTGTCCCTGACTTTATTGTTCTGCCTTTTTTTTCTTCATCTCTTCCTATTCTCCTTTCTTGTCTATTTATAGCAAACAAAATTATCCCTTAAATCTGAGTGCAACACACATGAATGCATGGCTTAAGCAGATATTATGCAAATGATTATAGAATAATAAAATCAGATGTCCAAAGCAAAGTATTTCCATTACCATCAACCCATGGCAAGGTTCCCTATTCTATTCTTAAGCAGCTTCAAATCTACTTGTGATCTTTTATCACAATTTCATTTTCATAACAACTTTCCTAGTTTATAGAATGTTTACCATCTATATGTTTCCTATACAGAAGAAAACAAAGTCTCCCACTGTATCTATTTCTATAGCAAGATTTTGTAGGAAATGTTGCCTATCAAGGAATATCCTTTCAATTTTCACCCACATGGAAAATCAAACTGCTCTTCAGACCTACTAAAACTCGCTTTACAATTTCCAGTCTATTTCAAGCTTCATTTGAAAAAGTGACTTTTTTTAGAGACCAGAAAAAACCTAATTCTGCTTTTCTTTTTCTTCTTTTTTTTGGGGGGAGGGTACAGAGTCTCACTCTGTTGCCCCAGCTGGAGTGCAATGGCCCAATCTAAGCTCACTGCAGCCTCTGCCTCCCAGGTTCAAGAGATTCTCCTGCCTCAACCACCCAAATAGCTGGGACTACAGGGACGCACCGCCATGCCTGGCTAATTTTTGTATTTTTAGTAGAGACGGGGTTTCACCATGTGGGTCAGGCTGGTCTTGAGCTCCTGACCTCAGGTGATCCACCTGCCTCAGTCTCTTAAAGTGCTGGGATTACAGGTGTGAGCCTCTGCACCCAGCCAAAACCAAAGAAAACCTGACTCTGATTTTCTAATAAAAGTACCATGAATAATAAAATCTGGGCATATTCAGGAAGCATTTGAAAGTTTTGACTGGAGAAACTATTGATCAATCTTCACATATCTTCACATTACCACTCAATTGTCTCTAGTTCTCTAGTTTCATCAGTTTTTTTTATTTCCACTGAAATTCCCACTGTTTCTTATTTTTCTGTGGAAGATTAAATCTACAAATGGAGATAAACATTGTTATTTATCTAGTTGGTGCTTATTGTACTTTCTGTATCTGGGGAACCATGTATCTCACCAATTCTAGTAAATTCTCCAATTGTCATTTATTTCTTTATATGTTTCATATATTTCCTTCTCTCCATTCACTCCTTCAGGAAATATGTGAAACCGACTCAGTTTATCCACCATATCTCTTTTTGTTTTGCTGTGCATAAAAACACAATTCTTTATTTGAGTGAGTATATTTACTAAACTATTTTAACATAGTTCATGAATTAACATAGTTTAGAAATGATCGATTGCAAATTAAGGACCTTGCTGACCATACTTACTTCTTATGCTTTATCATTTCCTAATTTTTAAGTAAACTTTACTGTGCTACAATGTACACAACAAAATTCACAAATTTTAAGAGGAAGTGGATAAATTCCGTCAAATATCCATGTAACCAATGCCCCATTTAAAACATAGAATATCTCCTTAGATAGTTTCCTGTGCACATTTTCAGTCAATCAACACCCCACCACCACACCCTAGTCAACCCCGATCTGATTTCTAAGAACTTCATCCTATAAACAGAAACATACAGGCTTTCCTCTTTCGCCTCCAGTTTCTCTTACTCACGATAACGTGGGGGAACATTCATCCACGTTGTTGCACGAGTCAGTAGTTTGTTCCTTTTTATGGCCATAAATTGGTATTCCATTGTATGAATACACCACAATTTGTTTATCCACATGCATTCTACGTATTATTCCATACATATAAGCAATCTAAATTGTTACATTATAAAATTGCATATGTTCAATATAAGATGATATACAAAAAACCTTGGTAGCTTCTAAGTGGCTTCTCTTGCTCAAGTCTTCAATACATCCTTACTGCCAAGATCAACCTTCCCTTCACCTGAAAATCTTCTATTACGTTTTGCTCTCATCCCCTGCAGGAAGCAATCCCTCTTGCTTCCCAGTTTTTACTTCACACGATACACCACTTTCTATTTTGTGTTATGGTTACTTATATACATATCTAATATCAACTGCTAGACGCTAAGCTGCTTGAAGTCAGGATCCAAGTGAATTTTAGCTTTGCTGATCCACAGCACTTAGCAAACGGCTGGCTTGTGGGAAGGGCTCAATGCACGGCAGCTGAGTACGTAAAAAACAGGTGAATTCCCGTATTCCAAAGTAGCTTCAGTGGCTCCCTGCTTTGTAGTTTGTCATGCAAACTCTTCCACGAGGAGCTCCAACCTAGTTTTCCAACTGCAGTCTCGTGATTTTTCCTACGTAACACTTCTCCTTCAGTTAAATTCTTCTTTGCTAACTTCCATCCTTTTATCTGTTATATTATTCCAGTCTGGTAGAAAACACACACGCACACGCGCACACACCCCTATCTTTATTTTCCCCAACTCCTGAACGAGAGTTACAGTTTCAAGATTTCTTTTACCAGGGCTCCCCACCGCCGCCCCCACCACCATCCGCCACCTTGGTCAGCAGGGACCATAAAATAAGCAGTTGCAGATCGTGCCCAGTAGGGGGAGGAGTGCCCATAAGTCTTCCACTAAATCCGAGGCCTTTCTGAAGCCCAGGAGATTTTAAAGAAGCCACGTGTTTACGAAAACGTCTTCTAGGTTAAAGAAATAAACAAGAGTTCAGCTAACTCCTTCCTCTGATTACAAACTGAGTAATCTCTGCTCACCAAAGCACGGTAATTTAAGCCCAAATAACAAAGACAAAACCATATGACCATTTTTAATCTCTAAGGACCTCACTCTATTTGCATCCTCATTTTTTTTTAATCCATAAAAATCTATTCACAGATTGAATGTTAAATCTGTGTTGTTGAATCAGGAACTAGTAATGGAAAGCTGGACGTCTTGCCCTCCAGATGCAGAGATTAGTTCAAAAGAAAAACATCTGTACTGCCTACTTCTCTTCCATCTCCACCCACTTCTCAGCACCATTTAGGTTTTAAAAATGTTTTGTAATGGTCTACCAAATGGCAATCATTTTTTATGTACTAAGTTTAAGATACCATGGGATTTGATTTGACTCAATGTTAATCATTGAGTCATGCTGATCACAAACCAAAAGTGAACAGTCATCATGAAACAAACTGTGTCACACCACAGGGAACAAAATGGTAGCCCCGCCCGTTCTCACACAGGGGCAGATAGATTTCACAGAGAATTAGTAAAGCTCAGGGCTTCGTAAGCTTAAAAATTAATGACGCTGGAAGAGATCATTCAATTTCATAAATGAGAAAACTAAAATCTTGAGAGATCAAAGTGGCTTTCTCAAGAGACCACAGCCAGTTAGTGATGAAGCAGAGACTAGAGTCCAGTGTTTGGATCTGTTACGTCTTGGATGATCTTCATCTACAAACACTATTCATTGCACTTCCTTGGCAGTGTCAGCAAGAGATGATATCTTAAAAGGATCGTTTTTGTGCCCAGTTCCTTTAGAGATGTACTAAGAAGGCAATGCAAACACCAGGTCAACTTGAAGAAAGCCTCTCTAAGCAGCCATCCAGACTTGAAGCTTCGTACAGCCGCCACATTGACACCTTTTAAACAAGTCCTTGTAAGAAGAATCTTCAAGGAAGAAAGCAAAATCCATCCACGGTGAATATTGCATGTGTTAGCACACATCCTATACATCTCTCCCGCAATTATTTATTGGGTGGAGTATGCAACAAGAGTGTGTTATTATATTAGTCAGTTACTTGTCCCTTGAATCTAAAGATAACACCTACAGCTCCCATTGCATTAGAGATAGGACGGAAATGCTAAAAGCCGTGTTAGAATGACAGTGCTTAATAACAATGACACTTGAGGTTTGTAACGCTTTTCATGGTAGATCTCAAAGCACTTGGCAAGTGGTCATGACATTTCGACACAGTATTATTCTGAAGAAGCATCACTGTGATTTCCTTTTGATAAGTCAGAGAAAGAAAGATAATTCCCTGTTAAAATCTATCTAGCGACTGGGATTTTTAGCCCTAACATTTTTATTTTTAATTATGCTTAATTTTGTACATTAGCTAAAAACTTGTTGGGAATACATTTAATTCTAATTAAATAAATAAAGTGATCCGACTTAGGATCTAAACTCAAAAGTCCTGTGCTCATTCCGAGGCAGCAGTAACTTTTCTGGCTTCCTGACATAAAATTCATACAAACAACCCTCGTAGAACATCATCTGATATTCCAGGAGTGGAATGTGTGAGGCAACCTAACAGGGAATAGAGCAACTTCAAAAGAAAAAATACAGAAGCTAAGATTCTCTTCCCGGAACTATCACTATTAAAAATTAATCCAGGAATTCAGGTTTGGGATGAGGTAGGAGGATGGGTGGGAGGGAATTAGAGAGGAAGGAGAAGCAGACAAAGACTCTTTAAATATTTATGATTCTTATTTGAAATCAGAGAAAGATTCCCTACTTGCAAGACTTGAAGTGTCATTATAATTAAGTACTTCAGATATTTTATATTATATTTGATGGGTTTTGACTTCAAAGGAACTTAGGGGCAAAGTCTCAGCCAACACAGAGCATTCACTGCAGCACCCCCGAAGCAGTCAAAGTCATCACAGAGGCTTCAGCCTAGCCTGTCTCAAAAAAGCACGATATCCTAGGAATGCAACAATTTCTCAACTCCAAAGTGGTCAATGAGATGTAAGTGGAACTTGTTGGATAGGGCCTCTGGAAAAGTTCCTAAAAGAGGGCTGACTCAGCTATGAGGTGAGCTCTTTTATGGTTCCACCCACGTCTTCTTCTTCCTGCCTGAAATGTGGACATGATGGCTGGCGTTCCAGCAGCCATTTTGTATCTTGAGATAGACCTTGAGAAAAAAAGCCACACTCTGAGGGGGGTAGAAGAAAGACAAAAAGAACCTACACACCTGATGACCAAGTTGATGTCATGCCCACCCAGAATTGCCTAATTTGGGATTTCTTTTACCTAATAGGAGGTCTCTTACTTGAGTTTTTCATTATTTATTCACTGATACAGCCAACTCAATAGGTTTTAGGACTCTACTTTCTCTAAAACTGTCTTTGATTCTTGAGCAAGCATAGTCAGTACTGTTTTCCTTGACTTTCTAAGACAGGTTCACCAAGTCCTGCACGTTATGTAACTCTGGAAGACCCTTCTTATATCGTGGGCCATGAGACACTCTCACTTAGAAGACAGTGTGAATAGGGTCCTCCGGATCCTCTGGTCCCAGCTCACCCACTTTCACAGAATTTCTGCTTACCTTCAACCTTCTTGGAGTTACATCCTCAGGGATACAAGTAAAAATGTTATTTTAGATTCAAATATTGGTTAAACAATCTTTAATACAATCTATGGTATTACAATTTTATTAAGGGCTAATTTAAACTAGATTTCTCAAACTTCCAACCCATGGATCACTTTGGCAGATAAATGAATGTCATGAACCATCTGTAATGCTTCTTTCCACAGCACAAAAAAAAAGAAGGGAAGAAAGAAAGAAGCTATAAAGAAAAGAAGGGAAAAGTTACCACAAAAGAATAGAATAGAATAGAATATGTGCTATTGATCATAAAACAAGAATTAATATAGGAAAATTATTTCTCATTGAAATAAAAGAATAACATTGGTAATAATGATAAACAACATTTTTAACATTGGTAATGATACATAACATTTGTTGTGACACAGATTTCTCTAGGCGGTCATTGTTCCAAGTCCTTTTTTCAAGTCCTCTACATGTAGTAACTCAGTAGTGGTCTGTGGCCTGTTACGAACCAGGCTGCACAGCAGGAGGTGAGCAGTGGTGAGTGAGCATTACTGCCTGAGCTCTGCCTCCTGTCAGATCAGCGGTGGCATTAGATTCTCATAGGAGCATGAACCCTATTGTGAACTGTGCAAGTAAGGAAGCTAGGTTGTGTGCTCCTTATGAGAATCTAATGCCTGACGATCTAAGGTGAAACAGTTTCATCCCAAAAACCATCTCCCCCACCCCACCTGGCACCTCGGAAAAATTATCTTCCACGAAACTGGTCCCTGGTGCCCAAAAGGTTGGGGACCACTGTATTAACTCATTCAATCCTCATAACAAGCCTCTGAAGTAGGTTGTTGTTATTATTATTATGCTTATTGGACAGATGAAGAAACAGAGGTACAGAAAGCTTAAGTGACTTGCCAAAGTCTCACGTTGGTTAGCAGTGGAATCAGGATGTAAATTCAGGTCTATCTGACCCCCTCCTCACCCCCAAACATATACCATTAACTACCACACCATACTGCCCCAATAGTTCATAACAAGCAGCATCATACTATAAACACTATGATTAGAAGATCTAGACTACAGACTCCAGAAGGGAAGGACGATTTGTATTTTGTTCACTGCTCTACGCTGAGTGCCTAAAACACTATTTGGCATGTAATAGGCACTCAAGTAATTATTCAATGAATGAAGAAACGAATGAGTGAATGGATATAGAAAACTTTACGGTACTCCCAGGCACAAGGGATCTATGTTGTAAGAATTGTTTTTGGGGTTGCAATGAGCAGCAGACCATCCAAGGAGAAATACATTCATAATAAAGCTTTGTAGGATGTGCGATCTTCAGATACTAACATCATTAACATTCAACCATCTGCCAGAAATCATTATGATACCTTCCAACAAAGGCTTATAAAGTGTTTTCATTCGCACTATCTCATTTAATCCTCATAACCACCCTATGAGGATTTATTTTCACTTTGCTATTGAGAAAACAGTCTTTAGCGACTGCCAGAATCCAGGCTTACATCCTCTCACCCACTCCCGCACTGTGGGTGTTCACACTAGAGTGTCTTGCCAGTCATGGGGTTAGATGCCCCTGACCACTCACACTTCACTGCCCCATCCCCTTCATGGCCGTGGGCCTGCATTCACAGCTATCCCTGGCCTACAACCCAACTTCTGATCTTGGTATTCCAGGTATCTACTGTGGAGTGCAAACTTAACAGCTTAAACAACAACTTGTTGTTATTATCTCCCATGGTTCTGGAGGTTGGCTGGGCTCAGCTAAGTGGTTCTTGCACAAAGCCTCCCATGTGGTTGCAGCCTGATATCAGGTCAGCTAAGACTGAAGTCATCTGAAGGCTCAACTGAGCTGGATGTCCTATAAGGCCCATTCACATGGCCTGCAGGCTCATGAAGGGCTGTTAACCTACGTGAGCCTCTCCCTGTGGCTTAAGCTTCTCACACAGGGTGGTTCACTCCAGTGGAACATCCCAGGAGCGGATGTTTCAAAGTTCAGGAAGCAGAAGCTGCCAGGCCAGTGAAGGCGTGGCTCAGAACTGTTACAATGATATTTCCACTGCATCCTATTTATCAAAGCAACCATTGGCCCACCCAGATTCCAGGGTGTGGAGAAATAAATTCCCCCTCCTGATGGGTGAGTGGGAAGGTCATCTTCCTGAAAAGGATGTGGGATGGGAGATGTTGTTGCAGCCATCTTTGGAAAATATGACCTGCCACACTCAGCTTCGTAATTAAACTGCAACTTATAAGCTACCCGGTTGCGGATAAATTTCCATTTCCACACTGTTATTCTGTGTTTAATTGGGCACAGAACAATGTTCAGTTTATGTTTTTAACTGTTGGCATGGTTACATTTGGGGCCCGAACTGTTATTAACTCATATCCTTTAATACCTTCCAAGGCTATTCTAATTCAAACAGGTATTTTAGCTCATTGATAAGAGAGTTCATGGGGTCCAGGGCATGGGTGAAGCTGCCACTGTTTTATTTACATTCGCGACAGTTACTTGTACTTCCAGCCAGTTCCAGCCTCTCAAAGAGGACCAGGCAAAAATATAAAAACAGATCAGTTCAAATTCATCACGATAATGAAAACATTTTTTTAAGTCCACAGCTACCTCTCTTTAGCACTCACGTGCCAATCATGTTAGACTTCTCACCCTAGCCTTATTCTCTTTTCTGTTTTTGTTTTGTTTTGTTTTGTTTTGTTTTGTTTTGTTTTGTTTTGTTTGAGACAGAGTCTCGCTCTGTCACCAGGCTGGAGTGCAATGGTGTGAGCTCGGCTCACTGCAATCTCTGCCTCCAGCGTTCAAGCAATTCTCCCGCCTCAGGCTCCCGAGTAGCTGGGGCTACAGGCATGCGCCACCATGCCCAGCTAATTTTTGTATTTTTAGTAGAGACAGGGTTTCACGTTGGCCAGGATGGTCTCAATCTCTTGACCTTGTGATCTGCCCACTTCAGTCTCCCAAAGTGCTGGGATTACAGGCGTGAGCCACCACACCAACCTATTCAGTTTTCTTGATGTCCACATCCTCCCATCCTAACTGGATTTCACTCCCACATCCTCTTCCATTGAAATATTACTTATTTCATGGCAAACTCAAATTCCTCTGGATCGCCTTTCCTAATGAATGTCCCTGCTAAATGAGTGTGACTTCACTCTTCTTTGAGCCCCTGTAACTCTTGCCTGCCGCCTGTCCCAAATTTCACCTTTTCTACTTGGAGTCACAGTCCTATTTGGGCTTATCTCTCTTACTTCCCTCCCTGTGCCTTCGCATCCACTGCCTGCATAACTCAGCCCAACACCTCCACACAACGAGTGTTCCATGAATACGCATGAAAGTGGATTGAACCTCCAGGAATACCATTCTCATCCTACTGTCATTTCCTCTGATAGCCTGGGCTGATAAAGATCTCACTCACCCTCAGGGAACTGTCTTCATTCACATTCATCCACTCCTTAACTCAACCAAAATGTACTGGATAAAGTCTGAGTGTTAAGCCAAAAGAATGTTTGAACATAACTCAATTCAAGTTAAATGATCTCACTTCTACCAGCAAAATAATCTTATCAAAGGAAATAGGCATCACATGTCACATGTTTCCTCCAATTCTGGCTCCTTAAAGACCAAAAGAGATGTTCCCTGGAGGTGGGCCCATGGCTGTCCACAAAGACCAGAATGTAGCTTCTGCAGGAGGAGCCAGGCTTTCCCATCTTCTCCCCAGCATGTTTTCAGCAGCCAGACCTTGGGCTCTCTTTTAAATGCTGCTTCTTTTGCTCCCATTCACAAATGTGGGGACTTTTCTTGCTGACCCTTCCTGATTCTGCTTTTGTAACTGTAATAGGTTCATTGCCTGATGTGCAGGGTAAATCAATACGCCGAGACACTGGGCTACAGCAGAGAAAGAGGTTTAATCGTAGGGCTGCCAAAGGAGGAGATGGGAAGAGACCTCAAATCTGTCTCCCCCAAGCAGTTTGGGGCTAGGATTTCTAAGGGTTTTGGAGTGGGCTGAAGTGTGAGGATCATTAATTGGTTCAAGAGTTGCGGGGGTGAAGTCATGGGACCGAGAGTGGAGAAACTATTCTCATGCTGATTCCATTCCTTTGTGGGGGTCCTCAAACTGGGTGATGTAAGTTGTTTTTGCCAGAATTCAGGATATGGAAAACATCTTAGGCAATTCTTAAACAAACGCCTTATGAGTCTAACATCAGAAATCCTATCTAGAAGAACAGCAGGGATGCAGGTGATCAGTATCTAGCGCTACATGGCTCAGTGACAAGGAAGTGGGCCACAGTGCGGCCTGACTAATGCTTAATTACAACCCTATTTCTGTCCAGAATTCTTGCTAAGCCTATGAGGACAGTTTCGATTTTGCTCTGTCCACACTAGGCTGGGCAACTCCCCCATGCTCCTCATGGGGCTCCTAACCCATTCCACCCTCTGGGTTGGTCTTTTCCACCAGTAGAAAGGACCCCAAGAGGAGTTCCAGTCCCTTCATGGACTTGTCAGTGAGGGTTCTCCAGAAAAACAGAACCAATAGGACAAGAATAGACAAATAAGAGGGGATTGACTGCGGGAATTGGCTCGCATAATTATGGAGGTCTAGAAGTCCCACAGCCTGCCATCCTCAAGCTGGAGAACCAGGAGAGCCAGGGGTGGGATTCAGGGTGAGTCTGAAGGCCTGAAAACCAGGAATCCAAAGTCTGAAAACCAGAGAAGATGGAGGTGCCAGCTCCAGAAGGACAGAAAATACAAAAAAGTAGATTAATTATCCTGTCTGTGACATTTTGTTCCTTCAGGGCCCTCAGCAGATTGAATAATGCCATCTGCATTGGTGAGGATGATCTGCCTTACTCTGTTGACTGATTCGAATGCTGATCTCTTCCAGAAACACCTCAGGGACACACCCATATTCTTTTTTTTTTTTTTTTTTTTTTTTGAGATGGAGTCTTGCTCTGTCCCTTAGGCTGGAGTGCAGTGGCGCCATCTCGGCTCACTACAAGCTCTGCCTCCCAGGTTCATGCCATTCTCCTGCCTCAGCCTCCCAAGTAGCTGGGACTACAGGCGCCCAACACCATGCCCGGCTAATTTTTTGTATCTTTAGTAGAGACGGGGTTTCACCATGTTAGCCAGGATGGTCTCGATCTCCTGACCTCATGATCCGCCCGCCTCGGCCTCCCAAAGTGCTGGGATTACAGGTGTGAGCCACCGCGCCAGGCTGACACACCCATATTCTATCAGTTTTGTGGGTATCCCTTTACCTGGCCAAGCTGACACATAAAATTTTCCATCACAATGGAAGATGAGCAGAAATGTCCCATGCAAGGTGGGACTAGTATTTAAATGTATAAAGCCCAGTTATTTAGAAGCTTTGTGCCTCCATTTCCTCAAGTGCAAATGGGGATAATAATGGCCCCTCTTCCATGGGTCCTTGAGAGCACCCCCCGAAATAATTCACTAACGCATCACAACTGTGCCTGATGCACAGAACACAGACCATAAATGCTATGCCTTCCTGTTGCTAAAAGTATTATTGTCGGCTGGGCATGGTGGCTCACGCCTGTAATCCCAACACTTTGGGAAGCCAAGGTGGGTGGATCACTTGAGGTCAGGAGTTTGAGACCAGCCTGGCCAACATGGGGAAACCCCGTCTCTACTAAAAATACAGAAATTAACCAGGCATGGAGGCGGGCACCTATAATTCCAGCTACTCGGGAGGCTGAGGCAAAAGAATCACTTGAACCTGGGAGGCGGAGGTTGCAGTGAGCCGAGATCATGCCATTGCACTCCAGCCTGGGCGACAAGAGTGAAACTCCATCACAAAAATAAATAAATAAATAAATAATAACAGTATTGTTGTCTTGGGTCATGTTTCTCAAAGGCAGACTCTGAGACAAGGAAAGGTGTGATTTTAGGCAAAGTCCCAGGAGGGGCAGCTTCACCCTAATCCCACAGGGTATCTCAGGAGTGTGGGGCTACCTGGAGGAAAGAATCCCTTAGTACTCCCTGCTCTTCATTGACAGACAAATAAGTTCCCAGAGTCCAAGGGCAGTCCTCCACGAAGAGTGGCAGGTGTTGGGGGGGAACCTGGGAGGATCTGGGGAGCCCTGTGGTGTGCATCACAGTTGTTACCTGCTAAACCTGTCTGAGGATTTCATTCTCTGACTGGCATTTTCACTCTATGGTCTCCATTCTCTGTTCTGCATCCTAGCCCCTTATACCATCTACAGCCTGTTCATCCACTCAGCAATTATTTATTGAGTCCAACTATATGTCCAGCACCATGCTAGGACCTGGGAATATATCCCTGAACAAAAGGCAAAAATGCATATGCCCTCATGGAAATATTCAGTGGTGGCAAATTTCACCAGTTTCTAAAGGAGATCTGGCTTTTAGAAATAGCCAAAAGTCAGAGAAGATGCAATTAATTCCATAATAGCAATTTTCACCCAAAGTAAGTTGCAATTATGAATTGATAAGACTGATTTTCTCCTAGACCTATTAAAGGAGAAAATTATTGCCTATTTTTCCCAGGCAATAATTTTCAGAAGACTTCTTAAAAATTACACATTTTTTCATTACATGGGTAAATAATCACACTACCAAAACCTGCAAAATGGAAGAAAGTAAATTAATTACCTATAATTCTACTGGCTTTCCAAAGCTACTGTTAGCCTTTGGGGGTATCTTCGTCCCGTCTAATCTTTGTGTCTACTTTATATTTTTTTCTAAATTAGAAAGCATTTATGTATACTCATGTATTTCTTTCCAACTTCATGTTTTATCTTAGTCCCACAGTTTTTGCAAAGAATATTCTAATGACCATAGAATATGACATTCTTTACTCATTCTCTATTATTAGCCCTTTGGTTTGTTGGCAACCTTTTCACTATTAATTGTTGAATTGACTAATTCAGAAAACAATTCCAAAAGGGGAGTTTCAATTATGTATGAGGCAGTGAAACCATAATTGGAATGAGTACACTGACTCCCAGGAACCCTTTTGAAGGATGACTCTGATCTGGATATAGCAGGTTTTATCAGATTGATTCCAAAACACCAATAGTCTGCAGTTTCGTGTTTTCCATGTTTGAGGAGTTCTTTCTAAGCTTACCAGGCGGGCTCTAAAAGAAGGATTCCTGGAATTTGATTTTTATCTCCACCCGAGAGCATCATCGAAGCAATCTCCTAAATCTCCCCTAGAGCATTCCACAGCAACCCTTGGAGGCAAAGGACATAAGGGAGGTGGGAGAGGCGAGTGGTGTCTTGTGATTTGCCAATGTCATTCCTGCCATGGCTTCAGCTGACCCCTGAAGGGCCCTTGAGGCACTTTTCCCGGAAGGCCCCCCAGGTCTAGTTGTCACTGGTTTTTTGGAAGGCTCTCCAAGGCCTCCGACATCTGTTAGACATGACCCAAGACAAAGACAGCTGGGAAAACCCACAAGGAAGGAAATCCCACTGTGAAAGGAGCTGCCTCCGAGTTCCTTTGAAAGCCATAGTTAACTATTGTTCCATCACAAAAACTCAAGTTGAAAGCTGCTGCTGATTCCGGGGTCGGTCGCTTAGCCCGTGGCAGAGTTAGCAGGAGGGAAGGGACACAGAAGTGCCTGTGTCCCCAGAATGGCTGCCAGTGGCTGACGGAGCAGCTGAGGCGCTGCTGCCAAGAGCCAGGGCTCCCTCCAGAGAGGGCCTGGTCCTAGGAGACCACGCGACAGGCACAGACAATGGGCCATTAGCTGTCTGTGGCTTCTCTCTGCCTGGTGTTGGCATTTACTGCACGTCCCACACTCATGGGTCTGAAACTCCCTGGAAACTGTAGTAAATTGTAGTGAAAACTTTCCAACAGCCACCTGCACACACTCCCAGACTGGATGAATAAGCAGAGAGTCTGACTTCTTTATCTTCCCTCTTGTAAGGCCTAGAAAAAGAGGAACACATTTTAAAAGTCTGTGAACTGTTCAAAATTGAGCACACGCTTTCTAGCTGGACACCTTATCATTTTCTTTGTCAGATATTTGACATCAACATGCAGAGCAGTTTGGATGAAGAGAGCAAGCATTTGGTGGAGAGAAATGGGTATCACAGGTATGTTAGAAGAGAAAAAGAATCTCCAAGCTGCCGTCTACAGCTTTCCCTGAGCAGTTTCTGCAACACATCAAAAACCTTCACATGACAAGAGGAATGGTCCCTGGAGTGGGCCGCCAGGACAGAGGGTCACGCCTGCATGTTGGCATCAAGGATGGTCCAGTTAGCACTCGCAGGATTAAAACTGGGAATGACCTCTCGCTTGGTGGCTTCAGCCTAATGTTTTGTGTTTTCACTCTGGGTTGACGGAGAGGGTGATTCCTTAAAAAGCACCCCCTAAAAAGAGACAAGGGAAATAATGTTAAAACAAACACTAACACACAAAGCTTTTCTATACCACCATGGGTAGAATTCTGAGACTAACATATCTTAACACCTCCTTTAAGGAAATTGGCTAAAGAAACCCTCAAAGGACCTTGTGATAAGAGAGTCTAATCTGTAAGCTGAAGACCACCCTATGGGGAAGGAGGCACACTAAAGCTGGCTTCCTTGTGGCCACAGCAATGGGCTGGTGTGTGCTGTGAAGGGTTTGGGTCAGAGCTGGGCATTCAGAATATAGCAAACTGCAAAACCACAATGACATTTAGCATGGAAGAGTCTCAGAAGGTGCCTTGACATGCAGCTGATATCTAGAAATCACGGTCTGGTGAAATCACAGCAAATGGCTCCTGCTCCAGAGCCTCCTAAGTGCTCTTCTTTCCTCCCACCACAACCCTCCCAGCACTCGAAGCCAAGATGGGCAGCTTCAGGGGCCAACCTGGCACCAGCCCGCCTGTGGGAGCACCAGACAGTTCACAGAGACTGCCACACCTGAGCCCTGTCCCTGTGCATATCCCCATCCAGGGAGGGCCCAGACAACAGTGGAGGTTGGGACGTGCCCAGTGCCTGTGGTTGCCAGGGCAGTGTTCTGCCAAGGCATCCTCAAGAGGTCACTTGTGGGAAATGCAGCCCCAACAGTTTACCATGCGGCCATTATTATATATCAAGATGGAGCCAAGACCCCAAGGTCCTTCAAATCCATTAAGAATCCTGGGTGCAGTGGCTCACACCTGTAATCCTAACACTTTGGGAGCTCAATGTGGGTGGATCACTTGAGGCCAGGAGTTCAAGACCAGACTGGCCAACGTGGCAAAACCCTGTCTCTACTAAAAATACAAAAAAACCTAGCTGGACGTGGTGGTGCGCAGCTGTAGTCCCAGCTCCTTGGGAGGCTGAGGCAGGGGGATTGCTTGAACCCGGAAGTGGAGGTTGCAATGAGCTAAGATTGCACCACTAAACTCTAGCCTGGACAAAAGAGTGAGACTCCTTCTCAAAAAAAAAAAAAAAAATCCATCGAGAACTGGATCTTCCAATGAGGGGCTTGTTGGAAAATTTCCCCTCCTGTATTAGGCTGTTTTCAACAGGCATTAAGTCTCAACCGTGTTGGTGTTCTTTGACCAAAGAAGGTATGGAAGAAATAATGCTCATACAGAAGTGCCAAGCTCAGTGTTACATGTTTTATGCTCTATCTTGGAAGTGAAAATTTTTCCCATGTCTGCAACAAGATTACCAAGTGACAGTGACCAGTAACAGCTAAATAGGCCTCTATCACAATTTGTTAATTGTAGTTTTTTTTTCCTGAAAGTTCTGCATTTCTACCATATTTCTTCTTTTGACAATAATCAGACATATTGTCATATTGCCACCAAAAGTATTTACTTCAGATAGGAAATACTCAGACTATATCTTCAATGAGAGAACTGTGAAGAAGGTGAAACCATGCCCCGGTACACTGAGACACGAAGCTTCCTCTCTGTCCTGAGAAACATTACCTATATGCTTTTTTATTTTTATTTTTTAGAGATGTGGTCTTGCTCTGTTGCCTAGGCCAGAGTGTGCAGTGGTGTGATGACCATAGCTCATGTAACCTACAACTCCTGACCTTAAGGGGCTTCCCAAGTAGCTAGGACTACAGGCATGCACCACCACACCCAGTTATTATTATTATTATTATTATTATTAAAGAGATGGGTTCTCATTATGTTGCCTAGGCTTGTCTTGAACTCCTGACCTCGTCATCCCATCTCAGCCTCCCAAAGCACTGGGATTGCAGGTGTGAGCCACCATGCACATCCTTTATTACTTTTGACAAAGACCTGAATTCAAATCAGATTATTACTCTTTAATATGCCAACATCTGTTATATCATTAAATTATAGTGTTCTGGGTATAATCATTACCTACAGATCTCTGGGGGGAAAAAGGCTGTCAGTTCACCAAAGTCCATTAGAGTCTCTAAATGAAATAGATGTAAGCTGGCCCTAGACCAGTCACAGACACAAGGCAAAACAACACTGAGCAGAAACTCTTTCCTTGCTCTGAAACTAGCATGCTGTGAAATAGAACAGGTTTCTATTATCTCACAAGGGTATAGCTTAGTGCAGGTTCAATTTACCTAATTTAAGTGTCCCATTATGATTGTTGCAATACAACTAGTTTCTTCATTTCTATCTTCATGTATTACGATTCCAGAGAGAGTGACCTTTAACATAGGAGTGAATGGCCCCGTCCATCTGTTCATCTTTTAGTAACATGAAAGATCTTAAGATATTTGTCAGCTCCAAGGCAGACTTGGAATTGCCTATCAGAATCATCCTGAGTTTGGCTGAGATGGCCAGGCCTTTATACTCTCAAATCAATCTGTATATGGGTACCCCAGGAGTGGGCATGACCTTGGGCAGAATGAGGTCATTCCTGAGGAGGGTGACAGCTGAAGGTTATAGTGCTCCTGGCAGCTGCAGCAACAAATCTTTCATGAAGGGAGGCTTGGGGATGGTGCAACACAGAGTCCACCACAAATATACAGTCCTGTGAAGAGATAAGCACAAGTGCAGACGACGTTATAATACATTGTGATGGGAGCAGGGTAGAGTTAAATACAGGACTCTATCCGCACATCTACGAAACTTATTGTACACAATTTAAGGGATGAGGGGAGCTTCAGGAGAAAGTCTCCTGTAACTCGGTTGTGAAGGGCATGGGGGCTACAGAGGAAAACACATGCATAAAGGGCCAGAGTGTAAATAGTTTGGTGTGATGGAAAGCGTTGGGGGCCGGGCCCAGTGGCTCATGCCTGTAATCCCAGCACTTTGGGAGGCCAAGGCAAGCGGATCACCTGATGTCAGCAGTTCGAGCCCAGCCTGGCCAACCTGGTGAAACCCCATGTCCACTAAAAAATACAAAAATTGGCTGAGCACGGTGGCTCACACCTGTAATCCCAGCACTTTGGGAGGCCGAGGTGGGTGATCACCTGAGGTCAGGAGTTCAAGACCAGTCTGGCCAACATAGTGAAATCCTGTCTCTGCTAAAAATAAAAAAATTAGCCAGGTGTTGTGGCAGGCGTCTGTATTCCCAGCTACTCAGGAGGCTGAGGCAGGAGAATCGCTTGAACTCGGGAGGGAGAGGTTGCAGTGAGCCAAGACTGCACCATTGCACTGCAGCCTGGGCGACAAGAGCAAGACTCCATCTCAAAAAAAAAAAAAATTAACTGGGCTTGGTGGCATGCTCCTGTAATCCCAGCTACTTGGGAGACTGAGGCAGGAGAATCACTCGAACCCAGGAGGTGGAGGTTTCAGTGAGCTGAGATTGCACCACTGCACTCCAGCCTGGGTGATGGAGTGAGATTCCATTTCCAAAAAAAAGGAAAATGTGGACCTGATGTTGTCGGCTACATTGAAGATCAAGACTATCAGTAAGGAGTTACTGAGGGACTCTAATCGGGATAAAAAAAAAAGCACCTAGGAAAGATCACAATCATAGGAGCATGGTGAAGAAATTGGAGGGCTAACTCGAAGGGAAGAGTAACACTTTTGAGTGTTGTAGTAACTCAGGTGAAAGTGACGGTAATATGTGGGGATGGAAAGATTTAAACAGATCAAATAAATATATTCAAGTGGTAAAATCAAGAGAATTACATGATGGACTGGATGTAGGAGGTATAGCTGAGGGAGGGGGTGGGATGGTGGCCAGAAGTCTGGGTGGATGACCATGGCATTCATTGAAATGGAGGTTTTGGGGGGAAAGGAGTGGGGAAGGATGACAAAAAAAAATTCAGTTTTGGATACATTGATTCGAGTTTTGTTTCAGTTGTCCACTAAGCAGCTACCATGTGTGTCTGAAGGTCAGGAGTGATTCCTGCCTTAAAGATGCAGGCCGAGGGTCACTAGCATCTATATGGAAAAAGAAATCCTAGGCATGGATGGAATCTCCTACAAATTTCTTTTAACAGTGAGAAGAGATGGTGTCTAGAATTACTAGAACTACAAGAAGCACTGCGATGTAAGGAATGGTTGTAGGGAGAGGAGACAAACATCTCTGAAGACTAGGGAATGTTAGGAAGAAAACCAAGGTTTAGCGTCACAAGCCAAGAGAAAGGAGGTTGGTAAACCATACTGAAGTTTGTGGGGGCTCCACAAATCTTTCCGGTTTCCCTAATTGCACTCTGATCTGATTATGAGATAAATACAGGAGTAGGCCATTGGAGAACTGGCCACCCCTTCATTACTGATGAAATTGATCACGAAGACTATGGTGGAGGTATGCGGCAGTAACGAACTCTCCAGTTGTGAAACCTGGACTCCTTCCTTGCTGAGGCACAGGTAGTGCTGGAACCCTGCAAGGCCTCCTCACTGGGGGGCCTGGAGGAAGAGAAGGGCAGAATGCCAGCTCCCCACAGCAGCTGCTCCCAAGAGGAAAAGAGGGAGAGGCAAGACTGTACCTGCCCAGTTCCTCCTCCCAAAGCCACCAATCGGGTAATTCAACCCACATGGAAGAAGAGACACTGGGATTAGAGAACAAGCGTCTCTCTCACCTCTCCCATCCACACAAGAAAATCAAGGACTGGAGAGTGTCTGTTAGTTGATGCTGCTGGTAGTAAACTCCCTGGAGTGGTAGTGGGAGAAGCCAGACTGCAGCAGGCTAGAGAGAGAATGGGAGGCGAGGCATAGAGACAACCAGGCCATAGAGCGCTCACAAGAAATGCTGTTATGACAACTACTCCAAGGGGTTAGAGCTACCGTCTGCAAAGTTTAATTTCATTTCATTAGCATATGTTAGGGTAATCCAGGCTTGAGGAGCTGAAATAAGGTACTGATTAACTTCCTAGGGAAAGACACATGAAATAAAGCCATGAAAATGTGTTTTGTGGGACCTGGGGCCAGTAGACTAACAAGGAAACGACCCGGGGTCAGTTCACAGAATGTTGGAGGAGAGTTGAGAGACAGCAGTGGGGCCTAAGCATGTGAGTTTCTACTCAAGATGATTCATTGCATCACACTCAAAAAAAATGGAGAAGGAGGCCGGGCATGGTGGCTCACTCCTATAATTCCGGCACTTTAGGAGGCCGAAGTGGGTGGATCACCTGAGATTGGGAGTTCGAGACCAGCCTGACTAACATGGAGAATCCCCATCTCTCCTGAAAATACAAAATTAGCTGGGCATGGTGGTGCATGCCTGTAATCCCAGCTACTCGGGAGGCTGAGGCAGGAGAATCGCTTGAACCCGGGAGGCAGAGGTTGTGGTGAGCCGAGATCGTGCCATTGCACTCCAGCCTGGGCAACAGAGTGAAACTCCATCTCAAAAAAAAAAAAGAGACAAGGAGGACACTGAGCCTTTAGAAAGAATTTAAACCAAACAAACAAACAAGCAAACCAAACCCCCCACTAAATTAAAGAAAGACCATGTGCTAATCAAAACACTGTGCTGACAAACAGACCCCCAAATTTCAGTGGCTTAACAAAAGTAAAAGTCTATTTTACTCATGTCATGTCTATTGCAGGATGGGTAGCTGTGTTCCATCTTGCAGCTCCAAGCTAGTTCATCTGGGCTTCAAGGCTGATGTGGATGGGGAAGGAGAATAGAGGCTCACACATGGGTGTACATATCACAAGGAACAGAATATAGTCACATGGCCCCACCTGACTGCAAGGAAATATGGGAATTGTAGTCTGTGGGCCTTTGAAGAGGAGAAAAATGGGCACTGGTGAGCACCAGCAGAACCCATCACTGTAGGCATTAAAGAGGTTTAGAGCCATGGGAACCACACGATGTGGCTGTGCATCCCTGCAAGCCACATTCCTTGAAACCATGTAAATCACTAGGTAAGTAAATCACCTTACTGACATAGAAGCTGCATTTCATGTAAGTAAGGCGATTCCTCACTGACCTTGAAGAAGTTTTTTTCTTTTTATTTTTTCTTTTTTTTTTTTAATTTTTTTATTTTTTTTTTGAGACGGAGTCTCACTCTTGTCGCCCAGGCTGGAGCGCAGTGGTGCTATCTCAGCTCACGGCAAACTCTGCCTCCCAGGTTCAAGCAATTCTCCTGCCTCATCCTCCCAATTAGCTGGGATTTCAGGTGCCCGCTACCATGCCTGGCTAATTTTTGTATTTTTAGTAGAGACAGGGTTTCACCATGTTGGCCAGGCTGGCCTCAAACTCCTGACCTCAGGTGATCCGCCCGCCTCGACCTCCCAAAGTGCTGGGATTACAGGTGTGAGCCACTGCGCCCGACAAAGAAGTTTTTTACGATAGGCACAAATGTTTAAAGAGATAAATACTACTGAAATGGGGATTACGATCCACTGCAGAAAATCATTAACATAGTCCCTAGCACATAGGGCTCAATGAGTATCTGTTGATCAATTGAGCTGATGCCTGATAAATCTTGACCTTTCACAGACAGACAGAAAACAACAGATGCAACTACAGCAGAAGGCTTTTTCCCTCCAAAGGCTGTAATGCTCCGGTTTTGCTCTCTGGGTCAGGTTTTCCCCCATCCTATATTTTTGGCTGCTGGTTCGGAGGCAATCACCAGAGACAAAGAAAAGAGATGCTTAGACAAGCGGACTGGTTCAGCTGGATGAAGCGCAACCGCTACAAAGTCTTGGTTTGGTAGATTTGACTTTGCTCTTTCCTTTCTCTTCGGAGGGGAACGTTAGGAAAGGCCTGTGGCTTGCAGAGATGCACTCCCCACTGGTGTGGTTCCCATGGCTCTAAACTCCTGTGCCTGCTCATGTGGGAAACCTATTTAAGACATTCTGTTGCATAATTGGAGGAAAATAATTGGAGGAAAAGTGTAAGCCATCTTGAGGGAAGCAATCACTCGACTAACATTCCTACTTAAAAATAAATGAGAAAAACCAGATTTTGCAATTTCAACAGACTTTTATTGAACATTTACTAACTCTGCAAAGTATTATGCCAGATACAGTAAAGGGCATAAAAAATAAATGGGCTAGACCCAGTTCTCAAATAGCTAGTGGGAAAGTCGGTCACTTAAAAATCTGATTAGATTATAACGGAAAGTGATTCTGAATAGAGTAATGAGAAAACTTGCATGGAGTTGGGGAGGGAGGGGTGCTCATCTCAGACCATCAAGAACAAAGGCCCCATGGTGGGCACAGCATTGGTGGAAGACTGTGGGACTGGGGTGCTCCTTGGCTGTCCCCACAGGCCCTATATATGTAAGTGGATGAGGTCCCCACCTGCCTGGGTCAGGGCATTCAAGGGATGTTTCTGCCCAGATCCTACACCAGGTGTGACTCAAATCCTTACAACTGTAGGGTCCCTGGGGACAACCTCAGCCATTCTGCTTGAAGCAGGCTTCAAATAAAGGTCCTCAAGAGATTCTGAGGTACAGGGCATTAGCCAGGAGGATCTTTCATGCCCACACTGAGGAGTATGAAGATCATTTTATTTTATTTTATTTTATTTTATTTTATTTATTTTTTGAGATGGAGTGTTGCTCTGTTGCCCAGGTTGGGCATGATCTTGGCTCACTGCAACCTCCGCCTCCTGGGTTCAAGTGATTCTCCTGCTTCAGCCTCCCAAGTAGCTGGGATTACAGGCACCTGCCACCATGCCCGGCTAATTTTTGTATTCTTAGTAGAGATGGGTTTCACCATGTTTGTCAGGCTGGTTTTGAACTCCTGACCTCAAGTGATCCTCCCATCTCAGCCTCCCAAAGTGCTGGGATTACAGGCGTGAGCCATCACGCCTAGCCATGATCATTTTAAAGGGCAAGAAATGAATCAAAGGTTTTTGAGAAGAGTGGCACAATCCAACCTGTCCTTTGGGAAGTTCCTTGGGCTTGAGGTCAAAGGAGGGATGGTTAGGGTGCACCTGCAGCATGGGGAAGGCCCAGAGGAACAGCCCTTCCCTGAGAGACAGATACCCTCTATCCCACCTCCATGAGAGATTCTCCCCAGATTTCCCTAGTCTCAGGCACCTGTGGAGACAAATGACGTCACATGGTCATGAATATCACCTTTCACTGGCCGGTTAACTCACTGCAACCATGCAGCATTCCAAATTCTTTTAAACCGGTGCTCTGCCCAAAATACTATTTGCACATGTTGTCTAATTGAAATCTCAGAATAACTGTATGAGGTAGGAAATGCTGTTATCCTCATTTCTCAGATGAGGAAGCTGAGGGGAAAGTTCTTGTATTTACACAGATACAGTAGCTAAGTTGGAATTTGAATCTGATTGAGATTCCAGAGCCATACTCTTAGTTACTATGCTGCACAGCCTGTAAAGATTTTGATAAACATGGAAAGCCCTGGATGCTTGAAAGACAAGGTAAGCCCATGGCATAAAGAAAGATCAGGATAGGAACTGTGCTGCAATCTGTCTTTCCCTTCACAATTTAGTCCACTTGGTGTGTCTGTCTATCCATCTGTCTGTATATCATCTAACCACCAACCCATACATCCACCCATCCATCCATCCCTCCATCCAAACATCCATCCATCCATCCATCCATCCATCCATCCATCCATCTCAACCTTCAGAAAAGAACTCAAGGCAAAAAGATAAACAGAGAAGTAAAAGCCTTAAAAATAGTGATAAAAGAATAAAAGGCACATAACAAAGGGAAATAGATTATTGTAAAACTGATGCAAAAAAGCACATACTTAATTCTGAGCACCTTGACTTCCAAGGTATAAAAAGAAATATGGTGAATTACATAGTTTGCATTCGCTCATAAAAGCATGGCCATCTGTCAGGAGAGACAAACTTTTCTACTACCAAAGCTTAAAACAGCTAACACATGGGTCTTTATTTAATAAAGGAAAATTAAATAACATGAGGCCAGCATCCTCAAATGCAGATGAGTCCCAATAAAGGCAGAGCACCTAACGTTAAATCTTCATTATTTCTGTAGGACTGAAGAGTAGTATAATCTGGACATGCTCTGTCTAGGGGAGTTTCTAGAGTCCCAGATTGAGGAGGCCCAGCAATGTGTGACTTTTGCTTCCCTGTGGTTCAATAGTCTCACCTTCACCTTACCATTGACTTCTCCTTCATTCTGCCTATCTCAGGAAAGAGAACCATCAGGGGGTGCCAATTAGATTATGTCAGAGACAGTAGAAGAGACAGAAATGCAAGACAACCAGGGGCCCAAGAAGATATTACCAACGTGGGGACTGGAATGGAGGGAAGTGAATGAGTGAAAGAACATGGCTTTAGAATGGTATCAAATGCCAGTCCTACCACCAGGGAAAAATCACGACATATTTCAAGCAATAGACACTAGTTCCTTGCCTTGATTCTCCAAGGTTGTGAAGAACTAGGAAGAGCTGAGCAGAGAAGAGTCATGCTAAAGGACACAGCTGGAGCTTCCCTCTGCAGGTGGGAGGTAGTTTCCTGAGTTTCTTCTCAGAAAAGAGTCTTTGTACTTAAGAGCAGGATGGAAGAGAGATGGAGTAATATCTCCCACACAGAAAGATGCAACTGCTGGCTATTGTGTGAAGGATATTGTAACATGAGAGAGGTCACGTGTTCACAGCCAAAGAGAAGTGTTATCCAGATGCATTTCACCTGCCAACAGTGAGCAGATGTTAGAGTCTTTTCCTGAACCCTGAAAGTTGACTTGATCCCCTCTTTTTGGGGACTCCTTTTTGTGAGAAGTTGCAGGTTTCCAGCTATCATCCCTGTTTTACCTCTTCTTATTCCTGGGTTTGAGAACTGGTATTCCAGCCATTGGATGACAATGTGGATGCCTGTTTTCTCCTTCTGTGGGGAGAGTCAATTGCTGGCATTCACTTCTTATGGCATCTCCACCAGTCATTCTTTCTTTGCATTGCTACCATCATTGGCCTACACAGGCCTTTACAACTAGACTAGTGCTCCACAGCCTTGCTCATGTCATGGCACACAAAGGAAATGACATGATTTATTCAGCCCACTGGGCTTATCCAGGCTGGAGGCAAATGGCTGTGGCCACTCCATACCTCCCGACCCCTGCCCCAGGCTGCACTGGTAGGTACAAGGATCCAATTAAGTTGACCTGCTTGCAGTCCAACTAGGCACACCAGTTGGAAGCTCTGATCTGGAACACAGAAATAGCTGCTTCATTTTTTTCCCCGTCATCGGTCTCTTGCTTCAATCCACATTGCGCACATTGGCCAGGCTAGTTTTCCCCAATTCAGCATTTTCATTATGTTGTTTTACTGCTCACCTCACAAGCAGTGGCTCCCCACCACCTATTGGAGTTTTAAAGTTACTGACCTGGCAGTCAAGACCTCCCCCAGTGTTGCCCCTATTTGTCTTTCCCAGGATTGTCAGGTTCAGACCTGAACTCGCTGCCTTCTCCACATGTGCGCTTCTGCATTTAGCATGGTGCTCTACTGTCAGGCCTATTCTCCATTCTTGCCTACAATACTTCCAGATTGAGATCATTCCATGTCTCCTCTTTGATGCTGTCCAATAACTCAGCTTCTAAGGGTTTTTGTTTTAACCTCTTTTCCAACCTTGTAGGCCACTATTCTCCAAGTCCCTTCCAGTCTCTCAACATTCAGTGAAAAGCCAGGCTTAAATAGTCCAATAAATTCAGGAAATGCTGCAGCATATATTCCCTTCTTGAGGATGCAAAACGCATATCTGCTTAAAAGGAATTTATTTCATTCATTTTAGCCCTGAGTTGTTCAAACTTATTTCAGCACAGAACTTTAGAACAATAACAGTTATTAACTTCCCGTGGAATTGGTCCTATAAAGCAGACTTTGGAAACACACAGTTGGAACCTTGCAGGTGATATCCAGATAGGCTCTAGTCTCAAATTTAGTTAGCTCTTTCAAATCTCCAGGTAGTAAAAGCTAATTAAATCCGATCATGGAACTAGACAATCCGACCTTCCTATAAATAGTCTCTTTTCCCGCCACATTCAGTACTGAAAGAGAAAAGGGACAATGGTGGTACCCCTCACCCTGCATGACCTTACTGTCAACTCTGTGTTTGGAACCCTGGCAGAAGTTTGCTGGGATGAATTTGAGTAGCCAATTCAAGTAATAATAATAGCAAGATAATATTCATCAATATCATGCACTAGAAAGTGCAGCACGTTGTAAATCCTTAGTTTACATGAGTTTTTTCAGTCCCCACAACAGCACTGTCAGGTAACCACTATTTTTTATCTCCATGTTACAGATAAGGAAACTGAGGCACAGAGGGATGAAGTAACTTTCCCAAGGATGCATATCTAGAGAGTAGCAGAGCCAGCATTCAGACACTCAATCACCAGAGTCTTGCTCAGAACCACAATGTTATGTTACCTCTTCAAGAAAACCAAAGTCCTTTGCCATAGGTTGTTTGTTTGTCTGTTTTTGAGACAGAGTCTCACTCTGTCACCCAGGCTGGAGTACAGTGGCATGATCTTGGCTCATTCCAGCCTCAACCTCCCAGGCTCATGAAATCCACCCACCTCAACCTCCTGAGTTGCTAGGACTATAGAAGCACACCACTACACCTGGCTAATTCTTTTTGGTTTTGTAGAGATGGGATCTTGCTGTGTTGCCCAGGCTGGTCTCAAACTCCTGGGCTCAATGGATGCTCTGACTTTGGCCTCCCAAAGTGCTGGGATTGCAGGCATGAGCCACCATACCTGGCCCAAAGGCATATATTTGAAGGGTGTGTAAGGTAAAATGACACAGCGATAGATTGATCTAATGCATTTTTTTTTTCTAATTTTGAGACAGCATCTCGCTCTGTTGTCCAGGCTGGAATGGAGTGGCATGATCTTGGCTCACTGCAACCTCCACCCCCGGGTTCAAGTGATTCTCCTGCCTCAGCCTTCCAGGACTACAGGCGTGCGTCACGATGCCCGGCTAATTTTTGTATTTTCAGTAGAGACGAGGTTTCACCATGTTGTCCAGGCTGGTCTTGAACTCCTGACCTCAGGTAATCTGCCCACCTCGGTTTCCCAAAGTGCTGGGATTATAGGCATGAGCCACCGCGTCCAGCCTAATGTATTCTTTATGAAACTCTGCCTAAATGTTTACTGATATCTATGCTCAGAAGTCCACGTTCTCTATTCCACACAGATAGCTTATCTCCAAGTTTATTTAAAAGATCACATTGTACTTATTCTTTGTACTGTGAGTCTTGGTCTTTGGCCAAAAGCAATACAATTCTGACCTAGGAGTTCTTCATTCATCACCCCAGTGCAAGAAGGGTTTCCCCCTCTCTGAGTTTTTTTGACATTTATTGTGTCTTCTACTCATTTGAATGTATATTCTGTTTTGTAATCATAATTGTCTCGCCAAGTGACTGGGTCTTATCTTTCCAACTATGTCTTGTCACTTATAGCTCCGTGCACAGTGTCATGCTCAGAGAGGTGTTGAGTGTCTGTTGACTGATTTATTACCCCCAAATGCTGGAGCCATTTCATGATTGCACTGGGTGTCCTCCTTTAACCCACTGTATCTGCTCTCTGCCTTCCTCCACCTCGCTGTGTCCTCAGGAGGATGACCGCTGTGGACCCATTCACAGGCTCCCTTCCTCTCTGACTCCCGGTGGTGCCACTAGTGGGAGACGCCAGCAGAAGAAGTGACAGTGGGAGGAGAGAGAGGTCAGTATTCATTCCCCTGGTTTCCTCTCTTGCAAGCTCTGTGTTGTCAGGACAAAACCACTGCATCAAGAGACATCCCTAGCTGCTTATTAGCCTCACAGTCCACAATCTCCAGGAACGCCCATGCTTCCTCAGGTTTTGTTACAATCCTCTCCTGCCATTCTGCAACTTCTTCGGCACCGGGCTGAAGAGTGAATGTTAACTGCCAGCTGCACAGCCTGCATAAGACTGCAGAGCTCAGTGGATACAACTGGCACATATCTCTCCTTTAGGAAAGCACGTAAAAGATCCTTTCACCCTTTCTGGCTGTTGGAAGGATAGCACCCTACATTGCAGCTGAACAAGGACAGCATCTACCAAGGGAGATTTTTCAGCTGACCCCGTGAGGCCTGGCAGTTGAGGATGGAGAGGCTTATGGTTGTTTGGCTGTTGGTGTATTATTTTGGCTACTGGGAGGAATCCCGTGTGAGAGCCTGTACTACTGTGGCAGTCTGTTTCTGGCCAGTTTGACCTTTTTATCATGTATTTTTGGGCCTGAGAATGTTCTGAGATTCCCTGACATTCTACTGCTTTATTTTCAATTAGCCAGAGCTGTAATCTATCAATCTGGACCTTTATAGATATACGTTTATACAGTTTTTGTGAAATATAATTTATATGCCGTATAATTCACTCATTTAAAGTGTACAGTTCACATTTTGGAATATTCACAGGGTTGTGCAGCTGTCACCACAATCTATTCCTTTTTTGAGATAGAGTCTTGTTCTGCTGCCCAGGCTGGAATGCAGTGGCATGATCTCGGCTCACTGCAAACTCTGCCTCCCAGGTTCAAGCGATTCTCCTGCCTCAGCCTCCCAAGTAGCTGGAATTACAGGTGCCCGCCACCATGCCTGGCTAATTTTTGTATTTTTAGTAGAGACGGAGTTTCACCATGTTGGCCAGGCTGGTTTCAAACTCCTGACCTCAAGTGATCCACCTTCCTTGGCCTCCCAAAGTGCTGGGATTACAGGCGTGAGCCACCACAATCTAATCTTACAACGTTTTTATTTCCCATAAAAGAAGCTCTGATTTAGTGTCACTCTCCTTTCCTCCCTTTGCCAGCTTCTGGCAACCACCAATCTACTTTCTACCTCTATGGATTTCCTTATTTTAGATACTTCATATAAACAAAATCATACATGATGTGACCTTTTGTATCTGGCTTCTTTCACTTAGCACAATGTCTTCATGGTTCATTCATGTTGTAGATGTATCAATTCTTTATCCTTTTTATGATTGAATAACATTCCATTATATGAATATACAAAATTTTCTTTATACAATCATCAGCAGAATGACATTTGAGTTATTTCCATTTTTTTGGCTATTATGAATAATGCTACCAAGAACATTTGTGGCTGGACACAGTGGCTCACACCTATAATCCCAGCACTTTGGGGGCTCGAGGTGGGCGGATTTCTTTGAACCCAGCAGTTTGAGACCAGCCTACGTAACGTAGTGAAACTCCATCTCCACAAAAAAAAAAAAAAGTATACAAAAAATTAGCTGTGTGTGGTGGTGCGTGCCTGTAGTCCCAACTACTCAGGAGAGGTGGGAGGAGAAATTGAGCCCAGGAGTTCAAGGCTGCCGTGAGCCATGATTGTGCCACTTCACTCCAGCCTGGGTGACAGAGTGAGATCCCACCTCAAAAAAACAAAAACAAAAAAAAAACAAAGAACATTTGTGTACAAAGGTTTTTGTATGGACATATGTATGTTTTCATTTCTCTTGAATAAATACCTATGAGTGGATAAGCTAGGTCATATGCTAACTCTATGTTTAACTTTTGGAGAACTTCCAAACTGTTTTCTAAAGTGGCTGTACTGTTTTACATTCCTGCCAGTAATGAATGAGGGTTTCAGGCTCTCTACAGCCTTGTCACTTGCTGTTGGTTGTCTTTATTTTAGCCATTCCAGTGGGGGTGAAGTGGTATCTCATGCTGGCTTGGTTTGCATTGCCCAGGTGGCTAGTAATGCCGAGTATCCTTTCATGTACTTATTGGCCATTTATACACAAGCTTTATGTCTACATTTCCCTATTCAAGACTTTAGGAGCCTGACGGATTTCAGAATTCTGACCCTTTCGGAAGTTCATAGACACTCTTCAATATATCTGCTGCAAAAATACTATGATTCAACCTAAATGGGATAAAGTGTATATGACCTCAGGTGATACTGTCAGTTTTTGACACCGAAAGTGTTACAAAAAAATGTTGGTTTTGAGAACTTTTGGATTTTAGGAATATAAGGAAGGGACTGAGCACCTGTACATGCTCCTGGGTTCCAGTTAAGACTGTGCTATGGGCAGCCATCCAGATGTGCCACTGCTGCCCCTCCACGAGCCCCATAAGCATGGCTTTCTCTAGCGTGACCCCTCAGGGACCCTCCCCAGGGTCCAGCAGGGAGCAGAGTACAAGGACAGGGGCCTAGGCACCTTTCTTCCCTGATCTGACTTTGCATGGTGCCTCACTCAAGACCTGAGTGGCATTCTTAGCTTAGCCCCACAGTTGCCTCAGGCTAGCTGAGGTCACCTTGCTTGTCCAGAGATAGAAGTGCAGCTAGTGGTGTTTTTGGGAGAGGGAGAGAGTGGGGGTGCAGGGAGGGTTGTGATGCATAGAGTGGGGGCAGGTATTAATCCCTGCAATTACTCCTAGATATGCCCATTGCACTTTAAAGAATCTTTAATTGTATTTATAGAAACACAGAAAAGTGAAGAATTCAAGTGATGCTGAAATTTGGCAAATCAACAGTGTGCAAGGCAATCAGGGCTAGGAGCAGGGCTATTCAAACGGTTGGTCATGGTCACACTCATTGCCCCTTTTAAGTTGCTCTTGATCCATGACTCCCCCTTCCCGGCTTGCCCTCAGCTGGCCCATGGGCTATCCTTGAGAAGCAAAGGTAATGGCTCACTAGCTGTCTCCACCCTGCCAACTGTGAGCTACATGAACTCTGTCCCAGGATGTGAGGAGGAGTTCTCTGCCCTCTCCCCAACTCTGCTCTGAAGCCACAGCCATTTGTTCAGTAAGAGTCTGTGGCCTGGAACCATTCCCCGGAACTGATCTCCTTTCCAGTGAGGTGCTTATAGCTATAGAACCCCCAGATGATCTCAGAAAAAAGGAGGTGATTAGAAGGAGGTAAGCAAAGGGGATGGGTACTGATATAGTTTGGCTGTGTCCCCACCCAGATCTCATCTTGAATTGCAGTTCCCATAATTCCTACCTCTGATGGGAGGAAACTAGTGGGAGGTAATTGAATCAAGGGGGTGGTTTCCCCCATGCTATTCTCTTGATAGTAAGTTCTCATGAGATCTGATGATTTTATAAGGTGCTTCCCCCTTCTCTTGGCTCTCATTCTTCTCTCTCCTACTGCCTTGTGAAGAAGGACATGTTTGCTTCCCCTTCTGCCATGATTGTAAGTTTCCTGAGGCCTCCCCAGCCCTGTGGAACTTTGAGTCAATTAAACCTCTTTCCTTTATAAATTACCCAGTCTAAGATATTTCTTCATAGCAGTGTGAGACTGGACTAATACCCAGGTTAGAACAAGGGCAGTGCCCTGTCTCCCTGCTCCCCATGCCCATTCCCGCCAACCCCACACTTCCCCTGCTGCCCAGTTGCTCCACTCCTTTCAGTGTTGAGTTCAGTCTTGAGGTGCTTTCTTACCTGTTGATGAAGGGAGGCAGGGATGGAGGAGGAGGCAGATGAGAGTTATGTGATATAACTAATGACTGCAAGTGTGATTTTCTTTGGGGACTTGGCTTTCCTGAAGGTAGGGGCCAGACAGGCAAGATTCACTTCTCTAGTTCCAGTTCACTTGCCCAGGATCACATAGCTAGTTGGTGTCAGAGCTGGGACTGAAAACCGCTTCTTCTTGGGGCTTCTTTTCCCTCCATGACAATATCTACCCTTGTGTCTCTAGAAGAAGGCATTTAACTGCACTGGTTTTGAAAACAAATCCAATCCACTCACTGGGTTTCTTTGTTGCTTTTTGCAGCCATGATTTTGCCCTGAGGCCAGAGTATAAATAAACAGAAAGCAAAAATAGGCTGGAGAGGAGGTGCTTTCTAGGAAGTGATTTTTGAGCTGTGCCTGCATTCTCTTCTCTTGGTCCCTGAGACCTGGCAGGGTGGTGGCAGGAGGAGGGAGGTCCGTGGACAGGTCCCCTCAGCTTGTGAGGGAAGAAGTCCTCTGGGGTGTGGTTGCAGACCCAGTTGGGTTGGCTGCGGGGTGATCAGCAATGATGGGGCCAATTCCCACTGCCTTGGTGTTACCTCCGCAGGGGGTATCCCTGCTCTCCCAGCCCTGGGCAGGGGTCCCATCACTTGGTGTGGTGGTTCTTGAGCATCTTACCGAGACTTCTCCCCTGGGAGATGACAGTAGCTGGTTTCTAGAGAAGGCCCCATCGCCATCTTTTACAAAACTTTTTACAAACTTCTGCTTTATCCCCAAACATTCTAATGAGTCCACATAATCTACTTTGAACCTAAAATCACTTAGAATCTTTCCATACAACAACGTACATCTGCAACCACATTCTTTTGAAAAGGCAGAGTCCTTACAGAGCACTTGCTGAGATTCCTGTACCTCACCAACCAGATCCACTGTTCATCCCCCACACCCAAACTCCCCAAGCTACAGTGGCATCCCCTATATTCTCCAAATAGCAGCAACACACGCTCCTGCTCAGGGCCTTTGCATTTGCTGTTTCACCTCCCTTAAGTCCTCTTCCCCTAGATGTACACTTTTTTTTTTTTTTGAGACAGAGTCTTGCTCTGTTGCCCAGGCTGGACTACAGTGGCATGATCTCGGCCCACTGCAACCTCCACTTCCCAGGTTTAAGCAATTCTCCTGCCTCAGCCTCCCAAGTAGCTGGGATTACAAACACGTCCCACCGCACCCGGCTAATTTTTGTATTTTTAGTAGAGATGGAGTTTCACCATGTTAGCCAGGCTGGTCTCGGACTCCTGACCTCTGGTGATCCACCTGCCTCGGCCTCCCAAAGTGCTGGGATTACAGGCATGAGCCACCATGCTTGGCACAGATGTACACCCTCATTGTCTTATCTCTTTCCGATCTTTGCTCAAATGTTGCATCAAATGTTGCACTGCTTCGTCGCTCAGACTTCACCCCTTTTCCTGTCTTATTCTTCTCCATTGCACTGTCATTTGGCCACGATGCATTTTACTTATTTGCTTATTGTCTGTCATACCCATCCCACCCTATGACAAAGTAAGTTCTACGAGGGCAAGAATGTTGGCTGGTTTTGTTCACTAGTGCTTAAAAGAGCATCTTCCATATAGTAGGGACTCAGAACATGTTTACAGCATGAATAAATCAAGGCTTCTAGAACAGTCTAAAACTGGACATAGAGTCTTTAGATGGTTTCCTGTATGCAATGGGAGCCCTTCAGTAAGTAATCAGTGAACCTCAAATATAAAAACCCTCATTACTGTTGCAAATGCACTAGGGAAGACCTTGCTCAGGTTCTACACTAGACAGAAGCAGTAAGACCAGCTCTAGGCACAAGCAAAGTCAGTGCTTTTTTTTTTTTTGAGATGGGGTCTCACTCTGTCACCCTAGCTGAAGTGCAATGGTTCAATCAGAGCTCACTGCAGCCTTGAACTCCTGGCCTCAAGCTATCCTCTTGCCCTCTCAAAGTGTTGAGATTATAGGCATGAGCCACTGTGCCCCACCAGTACTTTTTTTATCGGTGCCTTCCATCACTCTTTTCTTTCTTTTATCCCTCATTACTTTGGACCAATTCTCGGCTAATCTACTAATCTTCTCTATGAGGTATTAAGTGATAAAGGCTTAAGGTGTTAGCATTCCCAGGAGTATTTATCCTTTAAAGAGAAATCTGGAAGACCAAAAGTTGGCCAGGATCAGAATGAATGAATCTCACCAGGTAGAATTTCAGATTCTGCAGATTTCAGGCTAGAGGCTCAATTTGGAATTCTTTGAATTACTGGCCAAGAACAGCAAGTCAGCTGTTTTTAAGCAACATGCCTGGAAAATGGGTCAATTGGAAGCCAAGGCAGTAAATACAGATATTGTCACTTCTCCTATACATCTCTCATTTATATACTAGTAATAATAAAACCTTCCTCGCAACTTCCAAATTTCAGCTCACTTCAAAGCCAAATCTACCTTTATCTTTTTTTCCCCTGAATTGCTGGGTTTTCCTGCTACCAGATCAAGATCTTCATCAATTCCAACCCAACATCTTCGGAAGCAAAAGCATGTGTACACACACACACACGCACATACACGTGTGCACACACACACACCTCAAATGCTCCCAAATTCCATCCCCTGGTTCTTTCCTAGGCACATTCCTCCTAATTCCCTCTTCTACCTCTCACCCTGTCCTCTGCTTGATTTGTATATTCAGAGCTATTCCAATGAGTGGAAAAACCACTGGTGGGAAGAGCCCAAAAGACTCTTTACCAATCCACCCTGATGACCAGCTGACAATTCTCGAGGCCCCATGCCTGTGAATAGGGCTTCAGAGGTTCACCAGAGGCGATGAAATTTGAGCTGAATTTTGAAGGTTGTGCAGGATCAACAGCAGCTGTCACGAAACCCTGTTTAGATCCCCCCTCCACATGCTCAGATAGCAGAAGGGAAAAACCTGTATGCAGCCTCTTTCTCTTACTGCAATCTGCGTGAGCCTGCAAGCAAGTCCCACACTCAGACACAAATCTTCTATATGGTGTTCTTGGAACTGACTCTCCCAGAGACAGAATTGGTCAGTATCTGAGTCCCAACCCTAGAGAGCTCATTTTGCCCAAATCCACACCATTCCCCAGACATGGCGATTCCCAACACCCTTAGCCATCATTACCACTCAGCCACATTCCCTTTCAGGCCAACTCCCATCCCCAGAACTTGCCTCCACCCAAGAATTCTCCAACACGAGTCAGGCTTTTCCAGTTGTCACTTCCCAGGCACCACCACTAAGGTATTGCCAATCTTTCTGTGGCTGCATTTCATCCAGTCTGTCCCTCTCTCCTAAGCAGTTTTGACTTTTTCAAATTCTCGACCTTTCTCCACCATTTTGGCAGCAGAGAGGAGCTCTGTATTCACTATCCACACGGTAGGGTTATAATGGGATGGATGCAAAGAGAAAAAAATAAGTTGGCACTTGGTTTCTGAATTTTAAGAGACACTTTGGAATCCATGGTAGAAGGAATAATTGGGGGGAAAACATTGTTGAATATTAGGAGCTGAGTTTCCACTGGAACACAAACTTTATGTCAAAAAAACCAACAGATTTGGAAGAAAGCATGACAAAACTGGAGTGAGATTTTCTTTCTGGAGATGACATAAATATTCTTCAATATGGGGGAAAGGAGATGGATAGTGTCAAACCCTGATGAGCCTCTGAGAAAAGAGCTTGTACCCAGATAGGCTTGTGGGATTGGAGAGCAGAGATCTTAGTCTAGTTTTCTTTCTTTCTTTTTTTCCTTTTTGAGACGGAGTCTCGCTCTGTTGCCCAGGCTGGAGAGCAGTGGCGAGATCTTGGCTCACTGCAAGCTCCGCCTCCCAGGTTCATGCCATTCTCCTGCCTCAGCCTCCCGAGCAGCTGGGACTACCGACGCCCACCACCAGGCCCGGCTAATTTTTTGTATTTTTTAGTAGAGACGAGGTTTCACCGTGTTAGCCAGGAAGGTCTCAATCTCCTGACCTCGTGATCCGCCCGCCTCCGCCTTCCAAAGTGCTGGGACTGCAGGCGTCCGCCACCACGCCCGCCCAATTTTTTTTTTTTTTTTTTTTGAGACGGAGTCTTGCTCTGTCTCCAGGCTGGAGTGCAGTGGTGCGATCTAGGCTCACTGCAACCTCCGCCTCCCGAGTTCAAGCGATTCTCCTGCCTCAGCCTCCCAAGTAGCTGGGATTACAGGCACGTGCCACTACACCCAGCTAATTTTTGTATTTTTAGTAGAGACACCATGTTGGCCGGGAGGTCTCCATCTCCTGACCTCGTGATCTGCCCGCCTTGGCCTCCCAAAGTGCTGGGATTACAGGCGTGAGCCACCACGCCCGGCCCTAGTCTTGTTTTCTGAGACTGGCTGGGAAGGGAACCTTGCTGGTGGTTGTGGGGAGGTCTGAGCACTCCAGTGAGCAGCTGATTATTTCCCTGGGTGGCTGGGAATAGCTCAGGAGTGGCACTGACTGCCAGCTGACCTCTGGAGTTGCCATGGTTGGGAGAGAAGTAACAGCAGAAGGCAAGGCCTGAGCAATTCCTGCAATCCAGGCAGGATGCCAGGGTGGAGGGACACAGCTATACACCCATGCCAGCATAAATCCATGACGATCAAGGACCAGGTACCTCTCTGTTGCCACCTGGAGCAAAAGCCTTGAGAGCTTGGCTACAATCTTGGGGAGAAGATAGGGGGAGGGAAGAACATCTAATTGACAAAGAAAACCCCAAGAGATTGAGTTTTCCCTAAACTAAAACTAAGCTTTCTGCCATAGGGCCAGTGGGAGCTGGAGACTCAAATTAACTGAGGGGAAAAAATCAAAGGAATGTTGTCAGCACATGTGAGCTGATGGCCTGTGAATTTTGGACCTACTGCATTATTTTTTGGGATACACTGCCCATGCAATTCTTCAGTAACTTTTAAAATAAACTTTTATTTTAGGATAGATTGACATTTACAGAAAATTTGTGAAGACAGTACAGAGTTCTCATATACCCCACACCAAGTTTCTTTTATTATTAGCATCTTTTACTCATATGGTACATTTCTCATAATTAAAGAAGCAATGTTGGTTTATCACTATTGATTAAAGTCCATATGTTTTTCAGATTTTCTTAGTTTTTACCTAATGTTCTTTTGTGGTTCCAGGATCCCATCAAGAACACTATATTCCATTTAGTCATCCTGTCTCCTCAGGCTCCTCTTGGCTGTGACAATTATACAGACTTTCCTTCTTTTGGATGACCTGGGCAGTTTGGGGGAGTACTGGCCTGGTTTGTTTCTAGAATGTCCCTCAGCTGGGATTCATCTACTGTTGTTCACATGATTGGATCGGAGTTATGGGTTTTCGAGAGGAAGACCACAAAGGTAAAATGCTGGTCTCATCACATCATATCAAGGGTACATAGTATCAACACACCTTCTTGCTTCTGCTGTTCACCTTGATCACCTGGCTGAGGTAGTATTTGTCACATTTCTCCACTGTAAACTTACTCTTTTGCCCCTCCTTTCCATTTTGTATTCTTTGGAAGGAAGTTACTATGTGCAGGCCACGGTTTAGGAGAGGGCTCCTCCATTTCATGGAGGGCACAGTATCCACATAAATTATTTAGAATTGTTCCCAATGTATTTACTTAATCCCATTGATTTACTTAATTTTAAAAATACTATATTATATATTACTTAATCCCACTTATTTGCTTAATCATTTATTTTCATCACTATGGACTCATGGATAATTTATTTTATACTTTTGGTTATAATCACATTCTGCTTTATTTTCTTGCTCAAATCGTTTCAGCTTTGGCCACTGGGAGCGCTTTCAATTAGCTCCTGTGTCCCTTTGAGGTACCCCCACCATTGCTGATGTCAATTAAAAAAATTTTTTTTTCATGGGGGGAGCAAATTACCTACCTTTTGGCACAAGGTGCTCCAGGCACACCTTGAATATTTCCCGTCCCAGTCCTAGAATCAGTCATTTCCTCAAGGAGCTCTGGCTCCTTTTATTGGAGAATGGTACTAGAAGCAAGATCAGAGCGCTAGGTGTATTCGTTGCTACAGAGTGTTGTGTCTAGGCCCACTCAGCTGACAAAGCAAAGAGATACAAGTATGTGTACGACCCTTTATCTACAAATCTCTGTACAGACCCATTATATACATTATGAATATATAATATAGATGTAGACCCCAAACATGAGTCCATAACGATGTCTCCAACTCTAACCCTGTACCACAAGGATCACTCTAGCCTCTTCCTGGCTGTAACCTCCACTCCAGCAGTGAAGATTTGATGGCCACCATCCACCATTTACATTTGTCTATTTCCAGTATACTCGTGTGGTGGTTTCATCACCCAGTTGTTTTTCATCTCTCTTGCTTCTGCCTGTTTCCCCCGGCACTGGATCCTTTCACTCTCCTCGTAGCCGGGGCATAGGCGTTTTGAACTAGAATATTCGTCCAGCGCTGGTTTGACACGGATCTTCCGCAAAGGAACATTTCTTTTGGCCTCCCCAGACCCCGTCATCTTCCCCATTCATTCTGGCGGAGTAAGGACTGAGAAACCGTGAACCCGAGGTTCAGCAGCCGAAAGTCCCCTGGGAGATGGGGATACACCGAGAGGAATCCCATTTTACAGGAGAGCTTTGTACCCTTAGGAGTACCGTGGCCTCCGGGACTGGAGCAGATAACCTGTTTTCGGGCCCTCTATGTTCACTCAACAACTATTAAGAAGCCCCCTCCCCGAGCCAGGGCCAGCGCTGAGCCCACTAGGGAGGCACCCGCCCCGGCCCGCGTCACCCCGCCTTGCGGGCTAGACGACGAAACGCCTCGGCGCTCAGGGGACCGCGCACCGGTGCAGGAGCCAGCGCCCCGGTTGGGGGCGCAATGCCGGGCCTGGGAAGGTCCGCCCCGGCTGGTCAGAGCTTTCCTGCGCCTTCCAAGGCTTGGAGCTGCCCCGGGGAAGCAGACCGAACCAAACCGAACGTTCCTGCAGCCTCCCCGCCAGCCCTGCGGGAGCCCATCCGCCCAACGCGGCCCCGCCCCTCCCCCAGGCTCCGCCCACCGCCGAGCCCAGGCTCGGCCCTTGACGAAGTTCGCCGGAAATTACCGAAGCCCCTCTTTTTTTTCCTTCCTCTCCGTTCCCTGTTCTCCCTTTTCCTTTCACCCGGGTTCCCTCGGCCGTGATTTCCCCCTCCCCCCTCCTTCCTTCCCCATTGAAATCAAGATGGAGGCTCGCGGCAGCCGCCGGCGCCCGTGATCCCGGAGGTCTCGCCGGCCACGGGCCCCCGCCCTCGCGACTGCGCGTCCGGGAGGCGCGTGCTGCTGCCCGCGCTCCGGCCGGCGCCCGGGAGGCCGTGGCTCCGCGCCTCCGCCCCTCGGCCAGCTCGCGGCTACCGGGCGGAGTCCTCGTCTATGTGGGCGCGCTCCTTGGGCCGAGCCGCCGCCGCCGCCCCCCGCCGCCCCGGGGCTCTGCGTCCGCGCGCCGGGCGCGGGCAGCTGGGTGCTCGGCGCCGCCAGGCCCGGCGCGGAGCGGGCGGCACGCGGCGCTAGGGGCGCGGGGCCCGAGGCGGGCGCGGCCGCGGGCGCCGCCGCAGCCATGAGCGGCAGCAGCGGCGGAGCCGCCGCCCCCGCCGCGTCCTCCGGCCCCGCCGCGGCGGCCAGCGCGGCTGGCTCGGGCTGCGGGGGCGGTGCCGGCGAGGGGGCAGAGGAGGCGGCCAAGGACCTGGCCGACATCGCGGCCTTCTTCCGATCCGGTGAGTGCAACTGCGGCCGGCCCGCCCAGCGGCGCTGCCCCAAGCGCTCGGCCGACCCGCCGCGGAGCTGCCGAGCTCCGGCCACCGCGCGCTGGTGCCCGCCCGTCCGTCCGTCGGGGCCCGCAGGCTCTCGCCTGGGACCACTGCTTCCATGCGCCGGGGCTGCCCGCCCCACATCCGCGTGTCCCGCTGCCCGCGCAGCCGGGCGCGCGGCAGCTTGGCCCGAATGCCACCACCTCGCCCTCCCTGCGCCCGCCCCTCGTTTTAGGGCAGAATCCCCCGGTCTGCCGCTCCCGGCAGCCGCGGCTTCGCGGGTTGGGGCGCCGGCTCTTTGTCTCTTTCGCTGGAGGACCGAGGAGGCGGCGGCGGAGATGGCGTGGGCGGAGGCTCTTACCCCGGAGGCCGAGCGGACTGAGCCGGGGCCGGTCCGGGACGGGAAATTGGTCTTTGATCTGTGCCTGTCTCTGGCTGATTTGTACCTGGACCCTCCTCGACCCCATTAGCAGCCGGGTTTCTTTGCTTGGCCCTCTAGCCTGTCATCTCCCCGGCCTTGGTCTACACTTCTGTGAAACGGGGCAGTCACGGCACTCACTGCCCAGGGAGTGGGGACGGTGGCCGAGCTGAAGCTCGGAGGACCGGGAGGCGCGGTGAGCCATTGTCTCCGGGGACGACCCGGGAGGGTCAGCTGGGAACGTGGCCCCGGGGGGGCGGCGCGGGGCTGGGGCTCGCGGGGCACTGTGTGGGTGGCGTGGAGGTGGAGGCGGTGCCAGGTGGCCCCGAGTCCACCCCGGCGCAGAGGGGGTGGCCGCGGGAGAGGCGCGGGTGGCGACCGGTCCGCGGGAGGGGCACCGGGTTTGCTGCGCAGGGGGCGTGACAGGGCGTCCCCGGTACCCCAGCGGCGGCGCCTCCTCCCGCTCCGGCCCAGATCCCGCGCGAGCCGGGCCCGCGTCCCCGCGTCCCGCGTCCCCGCGCCCAGTCCGGTCTGCTCGCGCGTCGGCTGAGCAGCAGCAGGAGGAGGAGGAGGCGGCGGCGGCGGCGGCGGCCTCGGGGCCGGCACCCAGAGCGCAGTCCTTAGCGGGCCGGGCACGGGGCAGGGAGGATGCAGACTCCGGGTTGGAGAGCGGAGGAGGGCGGGCCAGGTCCGGGCCTGGAGAGGCGGGCGGGGGTGCTGGTGGCGGCCTCGGGGAGGACGGCCGGGCTGGGGACACCGACAGGCCGGGGGAGCGGCCCTGCGCTGGGGGACGCGCGGGAGGTCGGCGGTTCACGCTTTTCCGTGGCCTCTTTGAAAATCACCTCCCCAGATTCGGTGAGATCAGTTCCCCAATCCGGGTCACGAGGAGCAATTGCAGCGGGAGGGCGATGGTGAGAGGCAGAAGTTAGCAGTGCTGGTAGATACCTGGTTTAGTACTGTCTTCTCTTGGTTGTCTTGATCTTTGCTAGGCGGGGTTATTTTTGATTCATTTTAGCAGATTGGTTGTGGCTGGGAGTGACACAGCCGACTGTCCAGTGTTAGCTTGGGGTTAATCTACTCCCCAGTGCTCACTCTCCTTGAGAAGTGCCTGCAGAAAGCAAAGGTTTAGGAAAACATGAGCTCCTTCTAAAGAAAGCTACCCCCCCCCACCTTTTTTTTTTTGGTGCGACTGGCCAGATAGAGCAGCCCCGTCTTACCTCTTAATAGCAGAACTGGGACGTATTCCCTTCATGCCCTGAAGCTAAGTCTAGCTTTCTCTCTACCTACCTGTCACAGAATAATAGATTCTGTGCAGAATTCAGCTCCTCTCTGTTAGAAAGGCTCTTCTGCGTTGGAGATGGATTTTTTGGTGTTTGTGAGACCAGGCTTTTTTACATCTCTATTATGCATAGTACAAAAATCACTTCTGCTGCTGCTAAGAGCCCTCCCTAAAAGACACCGAAGATTTGCTGCCTGTTGGCGTGGCTCTCTCCAGGAGTTGTCGTCTGCTCTTGGCTTTGCTTAGGCCTGTGCTGCCCCCGCCGCCAGGGCTCCTGTTCATGTTCCGTTTGGGTCAGAACCAGGTAATGTCTCACTGGCTTGTTCCTTTCTTCTGCCCTCCAAAATGACAAACTTAACTTTTTAGTTGTTTCACTTAGAATCAGGAGCCAGGGCAGAACTTAAGTAGGTATCAGATGCAGCATCCCATTCCAGCGATAGCCTGGAACGTCTTTTTAAAAGTGAAATCTCCTTTGGGCAGCTCTGAGTCCCTGACCTAGATCTTGGCTCTAGCATCTAGGCCAACGATGTCTAGCAGGGGGCAGAGAGGGGTCATTCTGTTGGATGGGTGGGTGTGGGGGTGGGGTTTGAACAGTCAGGGCTGACCGGGCAAGGAAGCTGAGGAGAATGGAGCAGTCAAATCCATCAGAAATCTGGCTTTCTTTTCTAAGACTCAGAAACATGGGAAAATAGGTTCTCATTGACTGGGGAGGACAGATCATGGTGTGTTTTTGAGCCTGGTACTAAAAGTGCCAACCTGACTTAGACAAAGGCTTTCCATTGCTTGCCTTTCCTTTCTCAGCCCTGAAACTCTGTTTGCATGGCTGCCTGATTTTCTTTCTTTTTTTTAAATTCGTTCTTGTTGCCCGCATTCGGCTTTGTCTTTGTAGCCACAGATTGAAAACTAATACCAGTGGTTGGATGAAAGAAAGAGAAGACTTTAATAGAACTTTTAAACAATTAAGGGAAGTTCAGAAATAGAGTGAACAGTCCTGTGATTTCTCCATTACTGGAAGTGCTCACATAAAGGTGCTGTCACCTGGCAGGGTTTGGAGTTGGGCTCAGGGGACAGGACTGCTGCCCTGGAGAGGGGTCCGGGAGATGACCTTGGGGCTGTTCCCCTTTCCCTGTGGACTCTGGCTTTCTCTGAGTCCTCAGTGCCTAATCATTGTTCTCCGCTTTTCTTTGGGTAGTTCAGGGCTCCAGAGCCCTGGTGCCCTTCTCCTCTGCTGAGCGTCCACCCAGGGTTCACCTCACCCAAGGTCTCATTTCCTTTGCTGTCATTCCGTTCTCTGCTCAGGACCTTGGCACTCCCTGTTCATTTTGATGATCATTTTGATCACCTATTTATAGACCTGGCATGAAGCAGGCAGGCCAATTAGTGTTCAAGTGGATTGAGTTGTAATAATGTGAGTCAAGTCCTGGTGCTTGTGTGTTAAAGAGCAGTAAGAGATTTTCTGCAGGTGTTAGTGAATTTCAAACTTCACTTTTCTCCTTTGCACAGAGCTCAGCACAGTAAAACCAATTTCAATGCAAGAGCAAAAAGAAAAAAAAAGACACCACAAAAATGAGCTAGCCTTGTTTTAATTTTATTTTACAGATGAGGAATCAGCCTTAGGGAGGTTTCATGACTTGCCCCCCAGAGTGGAACTTGGGTAGAGTTAGAGTCAGGGCCCTGGTCCCTGGTGCTCTTTCCTGGTCGCTTCTCATAGCCAGGACGTTGCTTACATTAGTTCTCAACCCCACTGGGACCAATCATTTTTATTGCCAATCTATTTTGGGGCTCTGTTCTCGTGGCAATAAATCATTCTTTCAGAGCTCCCTATTTAACCTTGTGAGAGCGTGTGTGTGTGGTGGAGGTGCTTACATAAATGCAGTATTTTTAACCTGCCTGGCACGCTTTAGGTTGGCGTTAAATGAATATCTGGAGAATAAAGGTTTGTAGTTATTCTGAAGCATCACGTCCTGTCGTGCTTGGTTTCTTTCATTATTAAATCTTACTCGACTCCTCCTGCAGCCCCTGTCTTTCCAGGGAACAGGTGAAGAAAATCAAGTCTATTAGGGAGAAGCACACATACTTTTATATATTTTGATATGACGGTTTCCTTGTGGAGTATTGAGAGAAGCTTTTCTTCATATTTATACCTTGAATGCCACTTAGGTAGTTGGCCTGGGGCGGGCTGTGCTACTTCTGTTGGTATTGAGAAGCCTGGCAGCTTTGGTCCTTGTGAGCACCAATAATGATTGTATTACAAAGTGGGTCCTTGTTACCCTCAATATTTCAAAAATAGAAACTGAAGGAAATGTAATTTGATAGTGAATGTTGGTTTCTCCTTTTTAGGTGGCACAGTCAGTTTTAGAGGAAAGCAAGGAGATTTCTAAAATTCCTGTAAGTGACTTTCGAGGAATCAAAGAAGTGCAGTAAAGTCATCACTGAAAGAAGCTTTTCATTGAGACCTTGTAAACCGACATATTGATGTGGGATATTGTATTTTTTCCCTTTGCAATTTAACTATTTAAGATTCAAATGAAAATTTAAAGAAGCCATTTCCACCATTTAAATGATTAACCAGATTTAAATGAAGCCGGTGGTGGTGTTCAAAATGAAGCATGTGGTTTACATATGTTTCCTAAATGTACCCTAAAAATATGTAATTTCAGTGGCCTTTTTTGACCTTTTAAATGTTACGATAAAGTTGAGATTTGTTCTGAACTGCAGGTGAAAGATGTGTTTGAAGCTGTCATAATCTAAGTCAGCTGTATTCAATATTTACTTTGTTTATTTACTTGACTATCGAGAAAATAAAATTTTATCTCATAACCTTGGCAGAATTCCAGAGAAAAGTCTAATTCTTAATCAATAGCCACACTTTACTGCCTAGTAAACTCACTGATATTGATAGGGATGAGCTGTGTTTTACTACAAAAAGCAGTGATAACACCCTGCCCCCATTCCTCCTCAATTCTATAATGAATTGGCTTTTATTTCCTTAAGTGCATTGTCTTGACAAAATTTTAACAGCGCCACTGGCAGGAAATAGTAGCGACTCCCTGGACAGTGAAGACTTGGATTTGCGGGAGAATCCCAGTGTATTCTGGTGGAAAGTGCGTGCTCTGACCTCATCCTCCCATTTCTTCCAAGTACTCAGCTGCGTAGACTTGGCCAAACTGACAAGGGTGATGGTGTGGTTGGCCTGGTGGATGGAGATGCTGTCTTTTGAATCTTCTCAGCCTCATTTTAATTAATGGGCTGCAGGGACCAGGCTGGGTCCCCAGCTGGAGCAAGGGGTAAGCGGGTTCGATGTGCATCCACAGGGTTCTCTTCGTCCTATTCCAGTTCTGCTGACGCGCTGTTCAGTGGGCCACTGGGAGAGGGAATGAACAGGGAGACTTCCCAGTGACCCTTGCACTTGGGAATTCTGGCTGCTGTTACTCAGCGGGAGCTGTTCTGGGAATTCCTATTGCTGTGCCTCTGAACTGAGGGGAAGGGAGCATAGAGGAGTGGTCAGAGGCTTGCGGGGCCCTGCATGTGCTGCTGGCTTCCTGCTGGACCCCTGGTCTCCTCCCCCTGTGCCCGCAGAACAGGACTTCGCTCTCACTGCCAAGGTGCCCAGCTCCCTGCTAGTTCGTAAATCTCAAAGAGAGATACCTGGCTAGATTGTCCAGTGAGGACTCCCAGCTTTTTGATGTTACTGAGCCTTCTGTGCAGACAGTCTTGCTTTTGGGGAATCTTGCTCTCATGTTTAATGGTTAACAAGTGCATAAACACTCATTTTCGCTTCTCATTCACTCATGGAAACACTTAATTTGCTTACTGAATAGTTGTGTTGTTACCTTAATTTCCTCTTTTCTGTCCCCTCTCCACATAAGGAAGCCCCTTGAAACCCAAATTACTAATCACCTGCCCCCCGGGAAAGGTTGTATGTGGGGAAAGAGAGAGCAAACCAGAGTGAGGCTACGAGCGGGGGGCAGAGGGCATTGACCTCTGAGATTTCTCCCTGTGCCATTTGATGGCAGAGGGGCTGTGGAAATGTAAAACCTCGTTTTGGTGATGAACATACTTGAGTTTTAGATTACTGGCTCTTTTCATTAGCCACATGTCTACTCTTGTCTGATGGGGGAGGATTGTAGAGTAGTCTAGAGCTGGTGTTTTGGAGGCATCTTCCTATTTGGGCTTTGTCATCAATGAGTGCATTTTAGCAGTTACACTGACAGAGAAAGCTTTCATGAAAACTTACTCAACACAAAGACTGGATTCTAGGTCTAGGGTACTTTGACTTTGTGGTGTCCACGTGAGTTGATCAGGCTTGTTTTCTCACAGTCTGTAGCCCTGCTATGGACAGGGATGAATTGCAGGAGGTTTTTCTTGGGGAGGGATTTCAGTGAGTGGCAGCAGATTTGTCCTGGCCGCTCTGTGGACCCCTTTCCTGAAAGGAGGGGGAGCTGGTGCTGCTCCATTACTGGCTTACTGCAGGGAAGGCCAAGGGGCCCCTTGCTGTCTGTCTGTTGTTGTTAGCATTGAAACTGTGTAGGTGTGAATAGATCACAAACTATAGTACAGCCATTCCATTAATGTTGAGTGAGAGAAGACAGTCTCAAAATGCTGCATGCTGTATGAGTTCCTTTATATGACACTGGCAAAAAGACAGAACCGTAGTGACAGAAAACAGATGGGCATTGATTGCCAGGAGTTAGGGGGTGGGGGAGTATGGCTACAAGGGGGCAGGAGGCAGGTGAAGGATGGGGAACTGATTTGTATTCTGGTTGTGGCAGTTACATGTGTTAAAATTCACAGACCTTTACACACATGCACACAACACACACACACCGTTTAACTGTATATGTTATTTTAAAATGTGACATTAAAAAAAGGCCAATAATAAACTGGGAGAAAAACTATTACAAATCAAAGGATTATATATATGTAATTAGTAAAGGGCTCCCTCAAATCAATTAAGACAAGACATATCTAGAAAGAAAATAGGCAAACAATTAAAAGAAGTATGAATGGCCAAAAAATACATATTCAGCCTCACTCATAATCGAGGAAATGCAGATAGAACCAATGATACCAACAAAAGCCAAAGCTCATATAAGTAATTATTCTCTAAGTAAACTTGAACAAAATTGAGTTAATTTGGAAAGATTTTATATCGATTTGAAAGATAGTAATACTTGTGTTCATACTTTGCTATGTAGGACCTAGCTTCTTATAATTGCCCGGGGGTGATCTAGGGTAATGGTAAAGATAGATAGGGGGAAATAAAGATTCTTTCCTGGGATTCTGTAATACGTGTTAATTTGGAAATCCATCTGGTGTATAAGTCAAATCTGACTTACAATAATCTTTAGCTATAGACAGTTACCATTTTTGCTGCTTCAAAATTTCCCACTCCCATGATTTGTGCTGCTGTCCAGATCGAAGATGACAAGTGGCCCATGCAGGATGATCTTCAGCGCCTCACAGTTCCTGGTGCGAAAGAAGAAGTTTAGTTTCATCTGGAGGGCTTCGTTCCTACATGAGTAACTATAGGAGGTCATTTGCCCTCTGTTCTTAGGCATTCTTGTATATAATTGACAGCTACCTATTTCACGGTATTGACAATTAATAAATGGATTTATGAAGTGTTAGCCCCACCTACTTTTAAGACTCATAACCATAAAACTATGCATGAACTTGAGAAAAACACAGTTCAAATTTACACGTATAATCCTAAAATATTTTTAAATGGGGTTTGTTGGTGCCTGTTTTTTCATTGTGTGTGTGTGTGTGTTTGTGTGTGTGTGTGTGTGTGTGTATGTATGTATGTAGGTATATCTCTTGGAAAGTCATAAAATACCCCTCTTTGGATTTCTGTGGAATAGGTGGTTTCAGTGCAAGAATGAATGAATATATCGGAGACTAATACTTGAAATCTATTTTCAAAGAACTCGTGTTTCCTAGTATATATGAAGTGACATGTATAAATGACATGAATGCTTTCAGGCAAAATGTTTAGATTGTGATTTGAAAATGATGTGCATATGAGAAGTCGTTAAGATGTTGGCCAAAACAGTGTGTGTATAAATTGATCTCCATTGTTTATTCATTTTGCTTTGCTTCCTCTTGCATTGACCCATCCACTTTTTCAAGTTCACAATGATTCTTTTTTGCTGCTGCCATTGAAGGATGCCACTGATACCTGTGAGAGGGCACTCTTTGGCATTTGCATTCTGAAAGTTTTGCATTTTCTTATTTGTGTTTACTTTTTAAGTTCATCCTTGTTCTGCATGACAGATATGCCAGGGCCTGCAGGAATAGCATTAAAATTCTGTTGTTTTTTAGATAACTTTATTAGTTTAAGTTTTAAATGATAAGGACCGAGAGCTACAATTCCTCTGTTTTTTATTCTGAAGCTGAACCACACAAATATTGAAAAACAATGCTTTGACTGGAGTGTTATATATATTTCCACCTAACTAGCTTCACACAATAAAATCTCTAAAGTTTAAATTGCCCAATATTTTGACATCTAAATAACTGGAATAAATCCCTCATTAGTCTAATAGTAAACAAATAGATTTCTCATTTGTAGGTGGCTTTTTAAAAAATTTAAGTTCATGATTATGAGAAATTCTTCCCAGCGTTCACTGCCCTTTTCAGTACCAGAGTGATGAAAGCTGGCATGCAAGGGAACATTACTAGCTCGAAAAGCAAAACAAAACAAAACAAACCCAGATCGCATGGGGGCAGGATGTATTTCAGTTTTTTTGTTTGTTTGTTTGTTTGTTTGTTTTGAGATGGAGTCTCGCTCTGTCACCCAGGCTGGAGTGCAATGGCGCAATCTTGGCTCACTGCAACCTCTGCCTCCCGGGTTCAAGCAGTTCTCTGCCTTAGCCTCCCAAGTAGCTGGGATTACAGGCGCCCGCCACCATGCCCAGCTAATTTTTTTGTATTTCTAGTAGAGACGGGGTTTCACCATCTTGGCCAGGCTGGTCTTGAACTCCTGACCTCGTGATCCACCCATCTTGGGCTCCCAAAGTGCTGGGATTACAGGCGTGAGCCACTGCGTCCGTATTTCACGCTTTTTAAGAGTCACTTCACCTCCATCTAAATTTTGTTGCACTTACCCTAATATGTCTTGGGTCCAGGAGCCTGGAGAACGGGTGCTAATTTGATGGTTTCAGGCTGTACCTTTTACTCACGTGCCAATTCAGATCAGTGCATCCTGATGGGTTGCCCATAGGAGAGCAGCTCTTCATGGCAGGGGCTTCACTGTAGAGTCATTTAGTGCCAGAATGTTGTTAGTAGGTAAATTTTGTTAGTTGGTTGGTATACATATTACTTTTCCAATATTTAATTGCAGAATTTGCAGGATTCATTGTTAGGCCTTTCTCTCATACCTCATGGGTATTGTTTATTAGGGCCAGCCTCAACTCTGCTGGAGTCTGAATTCTCATAAGGTTCAGCCTGTTTGTAAGACGGAAGCTGTCCACTGAACCAAAGAGCTGGAAGCCTTCGAAAGGCATGCAAGATTGAGGTGGAATCACACAGATTTTCGGTGATAACCTGCAGAGTGGACGATGGAGGCTTTGGAAAGTAGGATGGCAGCCTTGCAACAGCCTGCCCCTGGCCATGCTTGCCACACCCTTGCTATCCTCTAAATCTTTAACAGCAGCTGCCAGGGAGCAGCAAGAGAGGCCAGGACCCCTGTCACGTGGGATGAGATAGCACCTTTGGAATTGTGCTCCATAGGAAAGTAGAATAAGCACATCTGCAAAGTAGTAACCTGCTTGCAATGTCATAGGATGAGATTTAAGATACTGTGTTTATTTCTTTTTCTCCCAAAGCTGTAAGTCCCATCCTGTTCTCTAAGAAAACCTGGTAAAATCTTCCTCTTCACTGTTATCTCTGTATTGCCACCACTGGTTTTACCATCCAAGGGCCTGTACTTTGCCAGGCACTGTGCAGAGTGTTTTATATACTTTTCCTTGGATAGAAGCAGCTCCCCCTCCTTCAGCAGGTGGATGCCATTCCTGGGTTGTGGATGAGGATGTCTGCTTCTGGTAGGGCAAGCGACCTGCTTGCCCCATTTGACTCTGTTTGTGAGGGCCTGAATTGGAATTTAAGCCCAGGGCTGGCAGATTACAAAGCCCCCTCCATGCCCCTTCCCTCTCATGGAAGGAGAGAGTAGGCATGACCCCTCCTCTATACAGCATCCCACAGCCTCCTGGATTTTCATTTTAAAATCCTGAGAATTGAATTTGTGTATACTCGTGTGTTAAGGATCAAAGCTATAATTTACAAGTCTCACACCAAATAAAACTTGAGTGAAAGATTCCAGGCTATAGCAAGTATTTTTCTCATGTTGGTTTGGGCCCTGTAATTTAGTTTCTGTGCCTTTCCTCTTCTCACCTAATTAATACTGATGTTACCTTTTACGTAAATAACCCTAGCAGTCCCAGCTTTCCGGTGGAGGCATGTTGGCTCTGTTGAGTTTTACAGGCTCCCCCGGCTCACAGTCTGGGGAGAAATCCTGATTGAAATCTTGGCCCTCTGTTTTCTTGGCTGTCTGGACTTGGACTCAAGTGTTGGATAGGAAATCTCTGGCTGTTAATGTGGGGGTTGGGAGTACGGGAAGGGCGGGGAGAGGCTGGCCAGGGAGGGAGGTTTCCCAGCCCTTGCTGTGTGTGACACATTAGAACACTACCAGGGCTTCCTTTCTAACTTAGGAAAGGAACGGGGCCGGGGAGTGAGAGGGGCAGGAGGGCACCACGGAGCTGCCTTTTTGGGGTTGGTTTTATAAAATGGTTGTGGTCACTCCTGGTTTTGCTATATATAGCTGTTTCGTTGTAGCCACTCATTTTTTTGCTGTTTTTCATCAAAATGTGCACGTAGATGATATTTAGTTGGGGGAAGCAGGGTCATTTCCTTCCCACTGTCTCAGGCACGTGTCCTAGGCTGTTCTGTGTGTGGGTTGCGTTCTCATCAGCCATACCTCATGTGGTCCCCTCACAGTCAATGGCATGATTTTATGGGATGCTTGCTCAGGTTTATGCCCACATAAAACTTCTGAGCTGTTGTTTTCGAGCATCATTTCCACACTGGGAATATGCTCTGTTTTTCTGTGTGACTCCACGTTTACTTTGGAGTTTTAATATTTCAGTCAGGATGATTGAAATGCTGGTCTCTTGAAGGCAGACACTGTATAATCAGAAGGTAGATTGTGCTCTAAACATTTACCAGTCACTTCCTCCTAGTTTGCCCTAGGAGTTTCTAAAACTTTCAAGCTTTTACATTTTTATGTAATTCTTTCCGTTTGAAGATTTCTAGGATTAAAAGGATTGGCCTTTAAGACCCTGGGTTGCTTTTGACCTGCTATTGTAGTATATCTTTTATTTTAAACTAATAAAGGTGATACAAAGCTCAGGTCCGAATTAACTTAGTTGAATTGTGATTTTGCTGTGTAGTTTTTGGTCATTTAGTTGGTCCATGTATTAATTGTGGATTACATCTAAAGTTATTTCGGGGTGGGGGTAAACTTACTTTGAGAAGGCAGAACTCATCATGCTCAAAGAAGCAAGAACAGCTTCAGATCCCCAGTTGTAAGTATTTCACCACTTCTGCTTTGTCTTCCTCTGCTTCTCTTTCTGGATATAGCTAATTTACATGTTATCTTGTTTCTGAACCATTTGAGAGTAGGTTACAAATATGATGATGTCCCTTACCTCTAAATGGTTCAGTGCATATTTTCTAAGAGTGAGGACATGCTCTTACATAGTGATCATAATCAGGAAATTAGTTTTGATATGATATCATGATCTAAATCACTAACTTTAACACCTTTTTACCAATTGTCTCAGGATTGTCCTTTTTGGCAGTTAAAAAAATTATGGTCCAGGATCTCACTCAGGACCATGTTACATTTAGTTTGTCGTATCTCTTCAGTTTCCTTGAATTTGGAACATCTCCTCAGCCTGTCTCCCTTGTTACCCTGATAGTTTTGACGATTACATGGTGGTTATTTTAAAGACTACCTCCCAGTTTGGGTTGCCTGATTCTCATGACTAAATTCAGGCTGTGCATTTTTGGCAGAAGGGCTGCATCCTTTTTGGAGCATCGTGTCTGGGAACATGTGATATCCACTGTCCCACTGTGGTGATGAGCACTTTGATCACTTGGTTCAGGTGATGACTTGCAGGTCTCTCCACCCTATTTGTCCCTTTGTCATTAGTTAGCATTTTGTGGGGAGATAATTTGAGGCTGTTCCTCTCCCTTCTTTCATTTGCTAGTTGTAGCATCCATTGATGATCTTCACCTGAATCAGTTATTAATATGATGGTTGCGAAATGTTGATTTTTTTTCTAACTTTGTAATTCCTTTTGTATTTAGTTGACTTTGTACTATAAGGAAGAGCTTTCCTTATCTTCCACTTATTTATTTATATAAGTATGGCCTCAGAAATTCCTGTTTTATGCAATGAGCTATGATCTTTTGCTGTCACTTAGTTTGATGCTGTAATTATCTAAGATTTGGCTAGTGGGAGCCCCTTCATCCTGGCTCTTTTATCTTTTGTGACCTGTCTCCATCATTTTTTTGGAGCACTTTCTTACTTTCTGGCACAATAAACTGTTCCAGGTGCACCTTGTGCTTTCCTTGCCCCAGGGCTGGGATCAGCCATTTCTCCAAGGAGCCCTTGGAGAAATGGTTCATTTTAGTAGTGAATGGTATTTAGAAACACGATCTAGGCACTAAGCGTGCTCATTGCTACAGAGTTGTCCTTGCTTTTAGGGCCTCTCAGTAGACAGAGCTAAGAAGTGTATGCGTGTATGTGTGTGTATGTATGCATACACATAGACATTAATTACACATATGCAAACGTGATTGAGATCTCTTTCTGCACCTCTTGGTGATAAAAACCATATGTTTAGACTCAGTGTGTCCAATTCCAATACAGTACCACAGGGTGCATTTTAGTCTTTCCTCTTCCGTATTTGTAATTCCCTTCTCTGACAGTGAAAAACCTGGCTCCTTTTATCCTCCGTATCTTTACTTATTCACTCAATCCTAGAATATGCAGAAAGTAATTTGAGAATGCTAACCCACACCACGGTGATAAATGAACCTCCACCCCCAAGTTTAAACTGTTCAAATCAGCAGTTAGTGGTCAGCTTCTGTTCAGCTCAGTGCCTTGTCAGTTAGTCATCCAAACAAAACAGATGAAGTAATGCTCTGCAGTTCCCCAGGGGCATGTTTAAGAAAAGAGCTGCCAGACTCCATCAACAGCTTACTTTCTGGTGATGTCGGAGCACAAAATTGAAAAATCAGGAGTCGCCAGAGAAGAAAGGGAGATTAATTTCATACAGTTTATAAAAAGGACACCTGTTGTGGGAAAAACAGTTTGTCATCTTCATCTCAATGTACAAATTGCCAAAGAGAAGAAATAAAAAGGAAAGTGTTGAGCCAGTGAGAATGGGTGTGTAGAGGAGGATGGGTCGAGCGGACCTTTCTCAGGGATCCAGTACATTCTACAAGGAGGAGAAGAAGCTGAGTTCATGTGTTGGAGTAAGCTGTGAGTCATGACTTGAAAGACTGTTGCTTACTGCCCTTCATTGACTAAATATTTCTTCCCAGAAACCACCTGCAGTAAATTCAAAGCAGCTATGTTTCTGCCTCAGTGCGGGATTTCTGGGAACTGAGTTTATGTGCAGTCAGTCCCAGAAATCATGGAACGGTGGGTGAGATCTTAGGATTTCATTTGCTGTTCTGTATTTTTCTTTTCTCTCTCTCTTTCTCTCTCTCTCCCCCTCCCCGCCTCCCTCCCTGTGTCTCCCTCTCTCTCCCTGTCTCCCTCTCTCTCCCTGTCTCCCTCTCTCTCCCTGTCTCCCTCTCTCTCCCTGTCTCCCTCTCTCTCCCTGTCTCCCTCTCTCTCCCTGTCTCCCTCTCTCTCCCTGTCTCTCTCTCTCTCCCTGTCTCTCTCTCTCTCTCCCTGTCTCTCTCTTTCTCTCTTTCTTTCGAGACAGGGTCTTGTTCTTGCCCAGGCTGGAGTGCAGTAGTATGATCTCGGCTCACTGCAGCCTCCATCTTCTGGGCTCAAGTGATCCTGCCTCAGTCTCCTAAGTAGCTGAGACTTTGAGCATGTGCCACGACACCCAGCTAATTTTTGTATCTTTTTTTGTAGAGATGGGGTTTCGCCATGTTGCCCAGGCTGGTCTTGAACTCCTGGGCTCAAGCGATCCACCTGCCTCAGTCTCCCAAAGGCTTGAGATTATACACAGGAGCCACTGCACCCAGCCTGTTCTGTGTTTTTCTACATTAAATGATGACACGGATATTACGTCGCTGACTTGGGGAGACAGTCTCAGTTTCATATATTATGTTCTGTACTGCCCATAAACATCCTCATGCTTGTTAGATTGTGTTCTGGAAAATTTGGCCTCTGTATTTCTAGCAACCCTTTCTATGATGACACATTTTAGCAAGAAAAAAAATCATAATTTGCTTATTAATATTTTAATGGAGAAGGGCTTTTGATATTAGAAAACTGGGAATAGGCCGGGCGCTGTGGCTCACACCTGTAATCCCAGCACTTTAGGAGCCCGAAGCATGCGGATCACGAGGTCAAGAGATCGAGACCATCCTGGCCAACGTGGTGAAACCCTGTCTCTACTAAAAATATGAAAATTAGCTGAGCGTGGTGGTGCACGCCTGTAGTCCCAGCTACTGGAGAGGCTGAGGCAGAAGAAGCGCTTGAACCCGGGAGGCAGAGGGTGCAGTGAACTGAGATCACGCCACTGCACTACAGCCTGGCGGCAGAGTGAGACTCCGCCTCAAAAAAAAAAAAAATCTGGGAGTAAAAAGTCATGACTAGGGGTAGTGAGAATGACTGCTAATAGGTCAAACATTCTGAGGAAAGTTTTTGAGCTAATGGAGATGTTTTGGAATTAGATAGTGATGAGGCTGGAAACGGTGATTTCTGCCTGTAATCCCAGCATTTTGGGAGGCCAAGGTGGGAGAATCTCTTGAGCCCAGCAGTTTGAGACCAGCCTGGGCAACATAGTGAGATTCAGTATCTACCAAAAATTTAAAATTCGCTGGGCTTGGTGGCGTGCACCTGTAGTCCCAGCTGTTCAAGAGGCTGAGGTGGGAGGATTGCTTGAGCCTAGGAGTTTGAGGCTGTAGTGAGCCATGATTGTGCTACTGCACTCTAGCCTGGGCAACAGAGCGATGACACGCTGTCTCTTAAATAAATAAATAAAAATAAAGAACAAAAAGTCATGGCTAAATGTGTGATACATTTCAGATTTTGAAATAGCTTCAGTTATTGAGTGTTTACTATGTATAAGCCACTTAATTTTCCTACCCCTTACAAAGTAGGCAGTGATAACATTATACCTGAGGAAATGGAACTCAGAGAGGTTTTTTAACTTGCCCCAGCTCAGGTGGCTATAGGGACAAGGTTACCACGCGCACAGTGGGTTCTGCCGGGGGTGGAATCCGCCTGTGCTGGTGTCTCCTACTCTGACGTGCGTCTCTTATGGAGGAATTTGACTCAGTTTTTTCTACTCCCACTCCCCCTCTCCCTTTTTTTGGTGTTAGAAAAAGTGAAATCACCTCTATTTGAAGGAGGGGATTGTGGATAAGATTTGACCAGGTTTCAGTTGTGATTTGATGGCATATTTGGAAATTTTGTGGAAAAACCTGGGTTAACTTTTCAGGAAATCGCAGTCAAAAAAAAAAAAAAAGAGAGAGAGACTTTGCTTCCCTGTAGATTGTTTCAGTCCTGGTGGTGTCTTTTGAGATAGTGAAGAGCATAGCTGAAAAAGTGGAAACTGATGATGCTTTAGCTTTTATTGTTTTTTAAACATTCTGGGAAAGTTGAAGGGAGAGGCAACTTTCTGCTATGCTTCTCCTGAAAGTGATATTAACATTAAAAATCGGTGTCATTGTTTTTCTGCTAGTGTGAGCTTTATATTTTTTTTCTTTTTTTTTTTTTGAGATGGAGTCTTGCTCTGTTGCCAGGCTGGAGTGCAGTGGCACGACCTCGGCTCACTGCAACCTCCATCTCCTGAGCGATACTCCTGCCTCAGCCTCCCGAATAGCTGGGATTACAGGCATGCGCCACCACACCCAGCTCATTTATTTTTGCATTTTTAGTAGAGACAGGGTTTTACCATGTTTGCCAGGATGGTCTCCATCTCTTGACTTCCTGATCTGCCCGCCTCGGCCTCCCAAAGTGCTGGGATTACAGGCGTGAGCCACCGCGTCCGGCCGAGCTTTATATTCTTGAATATTGGAGTCACCTCTGCTCACCAGCATATAGACCGAGACATAGAGTATGTTGTTAGACTCTAAAACAGAAACGGCATTAATTTGCATAAAATCGCATATGCTCTGTTGCAATAATTTTCATTGTGCCTGTTTTAGAATTGAGTTGACACTTCATACAGAGTATTCCAACTCAATTAAAAAAGAGACATCGCAGAAGAATTTGTGTGGCTTTGAAATTTATTTTGGGCACAGTCCCTGAAAGAAATGAGCCTCTAAGGACTTTTGTTCTTTGTGGTGTTTTGAAACCTTCTCGCCAGTTATATACATTAAGAACACGTAGAGCAGGTTGGGGTTGGTCTGCTGGGTAGAATGCCTGCAAAGGGACCAGAGGTCTGTCAGAACAAGAGTCTCTTAGTGCAGTGCCTCCCGCCGGGGGGTGACCTTTTCATGATGTTTGGACTGTCATCTTTGTTTCCCAGTTTCAAATGCCTAGCTCAGAATTATTTAGTGCTTGAAGTGGTTTTCATCTTCAAAGGACGTTATGGACATTATTTAATATACATGACACTGTGTAATGAATGAGCTGTTTATCCCTTGAGTAACGTCAACATGCCAGGTGCCATACAGCTGGAGAAGACAAAAATAATACTCTGTCCAGTGGGAGCTGATAGTCTAAAGAGGCAAGATGATTAGGCAGATTCTCTCTTTTGGCCTCTTTTAAAAATGTGCTGGGGAATAATGTAGAAATTAAAATTATAAAAGATGATCAACTAGCTCAAGTCTACCTAATTGAAATTGCCCTCAAGGTGGAAATGAAATTTGAGATGCTCTTAAAAAGACATCATGTGTTAGCTCCCATTTATCACACATTTACTGGTACACGCCTATTTTACTTGTGTTACAGGTGAGGAATTTGGTGAAGACCAGTGCAGAATTATTCTCAGATCTCCTTCCCGACTCGTCCCTTTCTCCCACTGAAGCTCCTCTTTTTGTTTGCATGGTCTAGGATGGCACTTTGTAACCAAGGCCACATGTGATGCCCAAACATACATTTATTATTTTTTTTGAGATGGAGTCTTGCTCTGTCGCCCAGGCTGGAGTGCAGCGGTGTGATTTTGACTCACTCTATCTTCTGCCTCCTGGGTTCAAGCGATTCTCCTGCCTTAGTCTCCTTGTAACTGGGATTACAGGCATGCGCCACCACACCCGGCTAATTTTTGTATTTTTGTAGAGATGGGGTTTCACCATGTTGGCCAGGCTGGTCTTGAACTCCTGACCTCCAGTGATACACCTTGGCCTCCCAAAGTGCTGGGATTACAGGTGTGAGCTACCATGCCTGGCTCAAACACACATTTCTTAGTTGCAGATCAGTCTGTCCTTTGTAGCTGGGCAGACCTCCTGGGAAACTTGGACTTCTTGCCCCTGTTGGCCTGTGTGTCTTGTGCTCTTGTACCTGTACCTCTTTGTGTTTGCTGTTCCCTCTTCTTCCTGGTTTCCCTTCCTAACTCAGCTCAAACATCCTTTCCTTTGGAAAACTGCACTTGACCATCCTGTCCCAGCCTCTTGAGGCCCATTGGTGTTGGCATGACACTTTGTGAGAACTGGATTCTGGACTGGTTCCTTTGGGTTATAATTGTTCCTTCACTCGTGAGTTTGAGTTGCTGGGACCTCTGACCCCAGCGCCGGCCCAGAGCAGTCCCCAGGTAGAAGTGCAGTAGATGGTTGTTGTGATTTATGCCTGTGGTTCCTTAACTCAGATTTTAGCATAATTACCTGGAAAGTTTTCTTTAAAAATACAGAATCCCTAGAGATTCTGATTTAGTGGTTCTAGATTAGGCCCCTAGAAATGTATTTTGAAAAAACTCTACTTGTAGTTTGTTTTGAGACAGCGTCTCACCCTGTCACCCAGGCTAGAGTTCAGTGGTGTGATTATGGCTTACTGCAGCCTTCACCTTGTGGGCTCAGGCGATCCACCCACCTTAGCCTCCTGAGTAGCTGGGATTGCAGGTGCATACCACTATGCCTGGCTAGTTTTTTGTAGAAATGGGGTCTTGCCATGGAGGCCAGGCAGGTCTCAACCTCCTGGACTCCAGCCATCTGCCTGTCTTGGCCTCCTGAAGTGCTGGGATTCCAGGTGTGAACCGCCATGCCTGGTCTCTACTGGGAATTTAGACGCACAGCTAGGGTTAGGAACCACCGAGTTATGCCAAGGCACAGTATTAGTTGTGGGTTATGGAATCACGGCCAATTTGGAGTAAGGTGTAAGTGCAGTTTGCAGAATCATTCCATTCACATATCTGGAGAGAGTGGAGAAAATGAATGCAGTCCCTTTATGATGAGGATGTGCTCCATGAAGGAGAAGATCCTGGCTCGTGGAGGAGCTTCCTGCTCTGTGAACATACTGAAGGCACAATTGGCCCTTCAAACTCTCATTTGAAGTCACTGTGTTGCCATAGAGATATTGTGTAGTGTTGAAGGAGATTAGAGAAATCATGTCGTAAATTATCAGAACAGATGGCTTGTAATTTAACACTCTTCTAGCCCATATTCTTTGTACTGACCTTGAGAACATTGAAGGTATCAGTTTTTACTTTGTTCTTTTACCTATAAAAATGGCAGAGTTCATATTGAGTGAGATCTAAAATGGGTATTAGATATGCCACATACACAGTGTGGTATGTGAAAGCATTTTAGGAGTGGCTTCCTTAACTTTGCTTGTATATTTTCCCCTCAGTTCCCTGGATATATAGAATAATGAGCCTGTCTTCCTTATTATTTTGATAGCACTGGTCAGGGATCATTTTTATATCCTGGCTTGATGATAATCGTATTCCTTTGCAAGTGCAGTTCTGTTTGCAAGTATTATATGATCATGTAGATTCAGGCAGCATAATCACTTCCAAGGTGTTTTTATATGTCATCAACCACATAAAGGGTATTTTCTTTTTTTTTCTTCTCTTTTGAGACAGTGTCTCTCTCTCTTGCCCAGGCTGGCATGCAGTGGCACGATCTTGGCTCACTGCAGCCTCCACCTCCCAGGTTCAAGTGATTCTCCTGCCTCAGCCTCCTGAGTAGCTGGGAGTACAGGTGTGTACCACCATGCCTGGCTAATTTTTATTTTTTGTTTGTTTGTTTTTTTGTTTTTTAAATTTTACTTTAAGTTCTGGGATACATGTGCAGAACGTGCAGGTTTGTTACATAGGTATACACATGCCGTGGTGGTTTGTTACACCTATCAACTCATCGTCTAGGTTTTAAGCCCTGCATGCATTAGGTATTAGTCCTTATGCCCTCCCTCCCTTTGCCCCCCATCCCTGGACAGGCCCTGGTCCGGTGTGTGATGTTCCCCTCCCTGTGCCCATATCTTCTCATTGTTCAACTCTTACTTATAAGTGAGAACATGTGGTGTTTGGTTTTCTGTTCCTGTGTTAGTTTGCCAAGAATGATGGCTTCCCACTTCATCCATGTCCCTGAAAAGGAAATGAACTCATTCTTTTTTATGGCTGCATAGTATTCTATGGTGTAAATTTTGTATTTTTAGTAGAGACGGGGTTTCACCATGTTGGCCAGGCTGGTCTCGAACCACCTGCCTCAGCTTCTTAAAGTGCTGGGATTATAGGTGTGAGCCACCAGGCCTGGCCAACTAAAGGGTATTTTCTAAAAGGAGACTTCTTTGAAATTTTTTCTGTCTCTCTATTCTAGCCTGGGTCTGATGTGTAAGTCTTAAAAGATTGTATCCTTCATTAAGGACAACTATTGCCTCTTGCAGGGAGCTGCATCCTGATTGGGATTCTGGCACATTCACACATGCACATTGTTGTAGATGACCAGAGTAGATATGTACCTAAAACATTTCAAATTAACAAAATCATAATCCTGTGAGTGTAATTTAAAAATCTAATAAAGCTTACCTTATTTTTAAAGTACTTGTAGTTAGACATATATTAACACAACTATTTCATATGGTTTTATTCTCACATGCTTGAAGTATTCAGGAATCTTAAATAGGCTCTTCATACATTTTCATGAGCCTCATTTCTTATGTGTCATACAGTAGGAAATTAAGTAAGTTTTCCGATCTCCAGATAATTCCTGAGTTGCTCTTGTGTGAATGTGTGTTTTAACTGAATCCAGACATTCATAGTAGTGAGCACTTTCTTTGACTCCTTTTTTACTAGCCTACACTGCTTATACTAATGGGGGTTTCTGATGCCACTCAGCAGTGGGACAGAGAGGTCAGTTGTGAGCCTGACCCTGTTGGATATAGCAATTTTTACCTCAGGATGACACATTCACGTGACTTAAATTCTTTGACACTTCTGTGTCAATGCTAGAAAATTTTTTATAAAAGTGCTAGGTAATTATATCAGAAAGCATCTGAAAAACAGTCTTATCAGAAGGGCTTAGAGCCATTACAGGAGTGAGGGAAATAGTGTGGAAATAAGCTATAATTTCCTTGATGAGCATGTCATACTACAAGACAAGGTTGGCTCAACCTCCTGGTAACTGTCCTGCCCCAGAATGGGCTAGCTCCAGCTTAAATAAATTGGAATCAGATTACCTGGGTATTGAATTGCATGGCTTCAGGAGAGGGTGTTTGGTTCTGTAAAGCCACATGTCATGGTAGTGAGGTGAGACTGATGGTAGTATTTGTTCAAGAATCCGATTTTCATTGAGGGCACAAAGGCTCTGTTGTGCCACGCTCAGGATCTTGTTTTCCTGAGATTGCTTCAGGCAGATTTAAACAATGGCCTCTCAACGTACTGGATTTAAAGAGTAAGTAGTTCTCCATGATCTTATTTCTCATTAGTAGGGAAATGTAAACTTTTACCTTTGGTCAAAATTTTGCTCCTGTCACCTGACCCCCTGATGTCATTATGATTGTCTTTTCCTTGCAGTATTGCCTTGTCAGTTACTCTTGCCAGAGGGATTTCATCATTGGAGTATCTGCATGTCTAAGTCCAATTCAGCTCTTTACATATAGGCCCCATGCCCTAAGTGTTGCTGTCATTTTGCCTGTTTAGTTACTTTACAAACACTAATGGCACGTAAGGCTCCTGGGAACCCTGGGTCTGGAACAGGCACAGGCCACAGAACAGATGGCCCTTGCCAGGTGGTCCTTGGGTGCACAGTGGCTGTGGAGCTGCTGTCTCTCAACAAAGGAAGGAAGGGCACTCTCAGGGAAATCAAATGGATCAAAGCCGTCCCCTTACCCGTGTTGCCCCTTTAAGCCTTCCCAGTAGCTCTACTTTTATTTTTATTTTATTTCAACTTTTATTTTAGATACAGGGGATATACGAGCAGATTTGTTATGTGAGAATATTGCTTGATGCTAAGGTTTGGAATATGGATCCCGTCACCCAGGTAGTGAGCATAGTACCTGATGCGTAGTTTTTAAACCGACACCCTCACCCTCTGGTAGTCCACAGTGTCTAGTGTTCCTGTATTTACGTCCATGCATCCTTAATGTTAGCTCCCACTTATAAGCGAGAACATGCAGTATTTGGTTTTCTGTTCCTGTGTTAATTAAGATTATGGCCTCCAGTTCCATCCGTGTTCCTGCAAAAGACATGATTTCATTCTTTTTTAATCAATGCGTAGTATTCCATGGTGTATATGTACCACCTTTTCTTTATCCAGTCTACCATTGGCGGGCACGTGGGTTGACTTCATGTCTTTGCTGTTGTGAATAGTGCAGCTGTATTTTTATTTTATTCTTCCTGTTGACCCTCTGTCTGTCTTTCTGAGGCTCTGTGTCTCTGTGGACCCTTCAAAGGGACTTTCCTTTGTTTAGGAGAGTGACTCATCCTGAGGTCATTCTCAACCTTTCCTTGGGAAGGGATGTAGCCCTTCGCAGACAGAGCTGCATTTGCCCAGAAGTAAGCATTTTCACAAAGGCCCCTGGATCCCAGGTGCCCTCCTGCACAGTGAACTCTACCGGTGGTGTCATTCTTAGCCTTGTGGGTCTGGGTTTCCCAGCCTCCAGAGGTAGGAACGCCAACCATCCTGGGATGGTAGGTGGCCGCTAGGCCCAGATGGACTGCATCCAGACCTGCTGAGTGAATGAATGCCTTTCTTCTGTAAATGGACTCCTTATCATTCTGTTTTAGCTCCTCTTTTTCTCATTTCTTCCTTTCTCCTGCATTTCTCTTGTTTCTCATTCTTCTTTGACCACTTAAGAGTGACGGTGTCACTCATGGCCATTGCCCATTGCTAAACTGTGCTGGAGGCAGTTAGAGATGAGTCTGATTTGTGGGGCAGGAATTTAGGGGGATGCTCCCGGTGGAGAGTCTGTTGGATTCTGCATTAGCACCTCACTACAGACTTCACCTGGGGGTAAGCCGTGCCTGGGGGGCACCCCCTTCTTTTCTGCCCCAAGGCCCTGGGTCTGAGCCTGTCTTCTTCTGCATGTCCCCTTCCTGTCTCTCAGTCGTCCCGTCACTTAGTGGGGTCTCTTGACACTTAATTCTCTTACTGCTTGATCCCAATCCCCTTTAAGCACAGTTTTGTCTGATTTAAAATTTGCATTTTATGGTGATCTTAATAGATTTGGCTTAGCAAATAAGTGTGATGCTTCTTAATTTCGGGGTAATTTAATCCCTTTTTCTAAATTGTGGTATATTATTCCTTAAAAATTGTTTTGGCTCAGTTGCCCTGGTGTCATGTGATTTCTTCTTGACGTTTTCTTTTCCGAGCTGCAGTTCATGTTGAGGTTAACTCCTACTCATCCCTCTGCCCCGAGTGCTCAGCACATAGTCAGTGCTTAGTAAGTGTTCACCAAAAGCAAGAACAAGCGCTTGCTGCATCCCCAAGTCCAGTGGCCAGTTTCCCTGTCTCAGGAGGCTGGTGGGACGTGGTAACTATTGAGCCAGCAAAACTGGGCCAGAGGCTGGGCCATTTTATGGTGTAATGTCCTCTCCAGTAGAAATTCATGAGAGGGGAAAAAGGAGAAAGGGAGACGGTAGATTCTTACGGATGAGGTGTGCGTGTCTGTGGAATATGGGCATAGGCAGCAGTGGAGAAGGGAGGTCTCAGCAAAAGCAGCTACCCCTGTTTGTTGGGCTGTGTTCACTTGGCAAGTTGCTGTGGATCTAACTGCTGTTCACTGTTAATAATTAGTCCTCAAGCGCCCATTCTTGGGCTTATGTCTTCTGCACAATTCCTCAGTCTCTAGATTGACCAGGCTCCCCGTGGACCCTAATTAATATTTTCTGACCGATCACTGGGTTTGATCAGTCAATGGAGGGTGAAGAAGCATCCATTATCAGGTTTCCTTTGAGATTTAAGATCTAGTTGCCTCTGGTGTTTCTATTATGTGTTAATGAGTTGATTTCTGTTTCCTAATGATTAGGCTGTGGAACAGTAACTCTGGGGGGAAGATGGCATTGGTAAGATTTGCTAAGTTCTTGGGTATATTTTTACAGGAGTATGTTCCATGAGCCCGTTAAGAATGTTCCAGGTCTTGCCCTGTCTCCCCATTTCCATACTTCACTTCCATTTTTAGGACTTCTCCCCAGCGTCAAAACTTTATTTACACGAACCTGAAAGCAGGCTGCAGGGCTGTTTGAAATCACACACGTCAATATGAGGCCAACCCAGTTTTTCATAAATAGGTCAGATTGTTTCTATAAAGCAGGATTCCAAAAACAGTCTTGTTAAAGAAAAAGTATTTTAAGAAAAGATACCCATTGTTTAAATCTTAACCCTATTGCCTAGGGCTTGGGATAATACTAGTACTAGAAAATGCTGATTTCTGGGGCCTGCCTTGGAAGAACTGAGACTTGCCCCAGACATCATGAAGAGAAAGCTTGCAGGCCACATGTACTAAGATCCGGGGATAGGTGTGAGTCAGAGGCTGGGCAAGGGCCTCTAAGGAGCTCTTGGTGCCCTTGAAGAGGAGCATGGTTCTGGGTGGATGCACCATGAAGGGCTGTTACTGGCAGCATTCACTAGTCCCCCTGACCCACCACCAGTGGAACAAGTACCCTTGCTTTACCTAAATACTGAACATTCATTTCTTACTTAGTAGAGATTGACTTAAATCTCTTTTTTTTAAATTGTGCTTTTTAATCTATATATCAGAATCATCTGATAATTGTGTGATACTGAGGAGGTATTTAAGCCATAGCAAATCAGGAAGGGAAGAAGCTAAGATGGGGTTTACAAGATAGTTCTTCACATGTGTCTGAAATTAGTACTCTTAAGAATGTTACTAATTTCTGGCAGGATCCCTGGAAAAGTTTCTAGAACAATTGGAAGAGAAGCCAGAATAGCTGTGAAAAATGGCGGTGTTCACAGGTGTAAATACTCACAGCCTCACACTCAAGTGTGTCATCCTGAAATCAGTGAAATGCTCTCACTGATTTCATGGACCTTATCATCCGTGAGAACTGGATATGCCACGTGTTTAATTCATGACTGAGTTTTATGTGCTGTTCACACAGCCTAATGCAAGACATTCACTTGAAGAAGTTTACCCTGAAATCCCCCAAATAGGGAGGTCCCACGTAGGTGAACTAAATAGGCTCTCTACAAGTACATTACTCATATTTTTAAAATAGGAGATTCCCAAGTGGATCTGGCTATTGGCCAACAGAATGAGACTTACACAGCCTGATATAAATCGGTTCATTTCTCCTTGTACTGTAGTTGATTTTCAGGAGGATTGATGTGCAATTTATTGTTTGTCTGCAGCAGAATGACTTGTATGGCTCTGGGTGCTGTTTTCTAGTGCTGTGTTTGTGGTGCATGTCTTCTTCCTGTTTCTTCTGATTCTGAGTTCCGCCCTTTTTAGCTAGCATTCAGTTGGTCTGGCTTTATTTGACTTCTTTGACTTGGTGAGTGCCATGGTTTGTGAGTTATACTATCATTTGTGGTTTAAACATTTCAGTTTTTGTTACTATATGTCCATCTATGTGGCCATCTTCTCATTTTAATTACCAATACATGTTTCAGCTTGCTTTTTGGAAAAAGTGTTGAGATGCAAATGTGTCTTTGGAAGTGTCACTGAGAAACCCAAGGTCTATCTGGCATTCCGCTCCTGGCGGCAGACCGTAGTCTTTGTCCACGGGTTGGGAAGAGAGCTGTGAAACAGGGAGGCCTTGCCGACTGTCCTACCTGCAATCTGGACTTTGCACATGGAGCCTCTACTTAGGGGATTAGTTTTTTGACTACTGCTGTTTGATTTTTGCTTTTTAATTGGGTTATTTGAGGTGAATGCATGGTTTAGGTTTCTCGTTCTTTGTGTTGGACAGAATTAAAGGGAAATTTGAGACATCCTGGTCTACTTATGTTCAACTCCGTTATATTCTTTTTTAATGGGCAATAAAACTGCCTTTTTTTTTTTTTTTTACTTTTCTCTTTTTTAGATGGAAGGTTCCCCATTTTTATTTTTACATCACGTTCTTCCTCATACAGTTTTCTTCAACAGTACCAAGAGTCGTATTTTTAAGAAAGTGTCTCTAAATTTTCTTTGCTTTTGTAGGACTATGTCATTTCTGATGATCATTAATTGGTATGCCTAACTCTCCCCTTTGACCCAGGTATTACTAATATTGACTGAAAGATGGAAAATTTCAAAGATGGAAAATTTGGATTACTGCTGTGTCTTTACCATTGAGTCCCAGGAAATAACTTGCCCAGTTTCATAAATTCTTAGACGTTGGTTTCTCTTGTGATTGTCAAGTCTTTGGTGTTCTTTACTTTATTCACCTGGACCACTTGAGTTGTTATTCATCGAACACACACGTGTGTGTGACATGAAGTATAACTTGTTCACCCTTACTTTGTGCAGTGGTGGTAATAAAATTGTTTTAAACCTCTTAATTATGGTTTTTCATGTTGGATTCACTGTGAGTTCTTAAAAAAAAGGATCACCCACTGATGGATTCAAATCTACCTTTGGAAAATTAAAGTGATAAGCACTTAATGGCATTTTGGGATTAGCTTGAGAATATCTGTAAGTTGATTGTACTTGAAACATGCAGTTGTGTTGTGACCATCTGTAGAGTGATGTGGTAATTAGGCAAAGCATTTTAGAAAGGCTTTATTACTAAAAACAAGTGGTAGCTAGTTTTCATAGGCAAAGGAGACAGTCTTTTAGAAAAGTGGTGTTCCAGGTGATTTAATGGAAAGCCAATGAAATTGGGGAGAGGGAGAGGGAGAGGGAAAAGGTGAAAGAAGTTCTGAAGTCAGGCTGCTTGGCAGGCACCGAGGGAATTGACTGATGGAGCTCATCTGTAATCCTGGGATGCGTTTTCTGTGTTTTATCCAAACCAGCGATTTTTGTTATAACATGTTTGGAAAGCCTTTTTTTCTTTTTTGGTAAGTTTCCTACTAGACATATAAAAAAGACTTATAAAGTTCTTTGTGAGAGCTTTATAATATAGATAATATCTAGCTTTTTTCTTTCGTAATTAAAAAATTCAATGGAGAGATTATAGTAGTTTGTATATACTGTAGTTAGAAAGGTTTGGTTTTGTTTAAAATTGTTGTACATTTGCTTTTGGTAATCTTTAGTTGCTTGAACCCTCCACCCTTCAGTTTAACTTTTATTTAAAACAATCTTTGATTCTTATTCATGCATTGAACATTGGCTGAGAACCTGCTATGTGCTAAACAGTCACTAAAAGTGAAGCTTCTCTCTCTTTTTTTTTTTTTTTTTTGGAGAAGTCTTGCTTTGTCGCCTAGCCTGGAGTGCAGTGGTGCAATCTTGGCTCACTGCAACGTCCACCTCCTGGGTTCAGGTGATTCTCCTGCCTCAGCCTCCCGAGTAGCTGGGATTACAGGCGTGCTCCACCATGCCTGGCTAATTTTTGTACTTTAGTCGAGACGGGGTTTCACCATGTTGGCCAGCGTGGTCTGGAACTCCTGACTTCAGTGATCCTCTCGCCTTCGCTTCCCAAAGTGCTGGGATTACAGGAGTGAACCTCTGTGCCTGGCTCGAGATGTAATATATTCTCTTGAAAGATAATATTACATCTAGGGAACTATCTTTATCACTTTATTTAACTATTTACATTGAAAATACTAGAATAAAATATAAGTACATATTTGTTTTTAACTTAATATACAATTTCAGTGTTAGATGAAATGAAGATGGAATATTAACAATGTATAAGTAATGAAAAATTACTGAAACTTGACTCTGTTTTAGCATTCCAAATCTTAAATTATATTCCTTGCCCTAAAATAAAATATCATGAAGATATTTTGGGTGAACAGTTGGAAATTGTTACAATTCTAGAGTATTAAAGATACCAAGAACATTCAGAGGATCCAGCCGAACCTGACTTGCCCAAGAAAATAAGTAAATCATTTAGTTTGTCACTTCAGTTTGCATGACCACAAAGAACTGTACACGCAATGAGTTATTACATTGTTATAGAAGAAACAAAATATTTTATAATAGTTTGCCAAAAATATCATGCCATTATGAGAAAAACCTGTTGACTAAGTCGGCCTTTGGTCACAGTAAATAATCACTGCTTTTGACCAAAACTGCAGGAATGTAAATCTACGTTTTTCAGTGTTTGAAAGACTTTAAAATTGCACCATATAAGGTAATGCTGGCTAACTAAACTTTATAACATTTGAATGTAGACCATAAGCTGATGAGCCGGAGGTCAAAATTAGATAGCTGTAAATTATTTGGGCTAATGAAGGATAAAGGTAGAGTTTAGCCAAACACTGTTCTTATGTAGTCTTATCACCGGTGGAGGTACAGATGGATATCACCCACAGAGGTGTGGGTAGGTTGCTTCAGAATTAATTTTTTAAGAAACTGTTAAGTAATAGAGTATCTGAAACTGGACTGTGTTTAAGGACTACTTAGTTGCTGTTGCTGGGTATTATTCAGTCTTAAGCTTCTTCCTGGTTATAAAATTAAAAAGCAAGAAAGAGACGGCAGGAAGGAGCGGGGTGGGGGGATGGTCGGTGGTTAGTAGATATGTGGACCTAGAGTAGCCTTTTCAGCCAGTTTGGGTTGTGAAATACTGCTGAGTGCTTATGTGGCCAAGTTCTGTAGTTATAGAAGATTATGTATACACACTCTTTTCCATTTTGCAAAAGTGAGCAAAGATATCCTTGTATGCAAGGTGTCATAATCCCATTCCTCTTATGTTTTGAAAAGAATTACATACACCTGCAGATAAGTTGAGTAGTGCATTGAGCATCTGAATACCCTTCCCTTCAATTCACTGTTAACTTTTTGCCAATCTGTTCTCTCTCTTTCTATCTTTTATATTCATTAGGACACTAATAAGCACTGCAGCATTACTAAGCTGTGAGTTACTTTTGCTTGAAGTCAGTGTCAGTTAGGTTTTAGAAAGATTGTGCATATTTTTGTTTTAATTTGTCTTGAGGGCAGATTTTGGGCTTAAAAATACCTCTGTAACTGAATAGCCAAGCAGTACTTGCCCCTGAGAAGCAGGAAGTGCAGCAGATTTAGTAGAAATGCTTGAACAAATCTAGCGTCTTGGTTGAAATTGACTAAAGTTCCAAAATAACTAAACAGTGTCACAGAGAGTAGTGACAGGCAGACTCATCTCAGAAGCAGTGGCTCCTGTCTTCTGAGTGACAGTCACTTTCAAGTGGCAGTCAGAGTGTTGACCAGGCACACAGAATAAAGCCCCTTCTGTTGAAGAACTGGCTTAATGGAGTGGGACAGGTTAACAACAGTTGATTAAACCAAAACACAACTCTAACCAGGCAGAAACACATTTGGTCACAATAACAGGGGGGATGATATCAAACCGGAGTGTTGTGGCTATGCAGTGAAGTGCGGAATTAGAGGTGGAGCCTTCGTGGCATCACTGAGGTGGAAGGCTTTTTCAAGACCATTGGATTCAGTTAAACAAATGAGTTGTAGAATGGGGATAAGCTGAGGGATAAGTAATCCCATCCTTTACGGAACATATTTTTTGGAGGTGGAACTGGATACAGCAAATTACAGCATACAGAATAACATAGGTGCTATCTTGAGGCAGGTGTCATATCCTTGAGCCTGCTGAGGGATCAGAGTGGACTCTGGAAGAGCTGGCCTTTGAGTGGGGCTGTGAAAGATCAGCGGTGGAGCGAATAGTCACTCAAGCCTGCAACTTAGGGTATAGGGAGGAATGGGGTGGCCCACCCACCAGCCCCTCTGATGGCTTCTAAACATTTGCAAGCAGCAAAATCTTTTCCAAAAATGCTTGTTTCAGGGGAAGTTGATCACTAGGCATGGGTAATATGAGAAATGTGACGGTTGGGGTGGTCAGACCTCTTCCTCTAGGAGGTCCAGGAGTATAAGTTACTGAACAGCCATCTCAGATGCTCACATTGTATGTTCCTTTTTTTTTTTTTTTTTTTTTTTTTGGCGGGAGGGAGGATTTATTTTTTTGAGACAGAAACACAGGCTGGAGTGCAGTGGCGAGATCTAGGCTAATTACAACCTTCACCTCCCAGGTTCAAGCAATTCTCCTGCCTCAGCCTCCCGAGTAGCTGGGACTGCAGGCATGCACCACCATGTCCGGCTAAGTTTTTCTATTTTCAGTAGAGACGGGCTTTCACCATGTTGGTCAGGCTCGTCTCCAACTCCTGACCTCAGGTGATCCGCCCGCCTCAGCTTCCCAAAGTGCTGGGATTACAGGTGTGAGTCACCGCGCCTGGCCTGGTAATGTTCTTAAGTGTTCTGTGAGCCGCTAATAAAAATCACCTTGTCTTCATTTACAGAAGCAATAAGCCCACTGTTTTTTGTTTTGTTTTTTGTTTTTCCTAGGAGGCTACAGGCAATCAGGAATAATTAGATAAGGATTGGGGGCACCGTTCATTTCAGTAAGAGCAGAATCGAAGAGCTCTACGCTTAGGACAGATTAAGAGACTGACTTCACCCACTTAGGCTGATAATGTAATTTTGGTTTTCTATGTTTGCTTATTGCTAATTAAAAGCAGTAACAGTGATAGAAGAGCACAGAGGTTTGCTTTGTTTTCCACATGTAAATTAGAAGCGTCTGTCTCTGTGACTGTTACTCTCCTGTAGTAGTTTGTATAAATGTAGAGCCACATGCTGTCTGTATGTCTTGGCTGTTCTCTTGAAATACCCAGTAGTGCTGCCCAAATGGCCAGCAGTGAGCACCAGCGGCTGCAAGTCCATTTATGCAAGGCTGTTGTAGGAAAGTAAGACAGAGAAATATGTCTGCTGACATGTGAGGTCACTAAAGTATAGATTCTTTGTGTACTGTTTAGAGAGATCCACTTGATAGAGCTGCTGATTTATGGAGAAATGAGCGCTAGTTGCCTTCCACCCGTGTGGCTGTAACCTTCTGTTGCTGTGGTTGTTAACAGTCCCCATGTTGAGCAGGAGCATGCAGAGTTTGCCCTACGCTTTCAGAGCCTCACTTAGTTAAGGCACTTTTGGTTGCTGGAGCAAAAAAGGAAATTTATTTTCAGAATAAAGAATCCTCTGAGCTAACCCGAGGGAAGGTGGTATAACCCCACCTCACCCCAAGAGGAACTGCTGCGAGTGGGAACAGGCAAGCCCCAGCAAAGCTGCTCCAAGTTTGTTTCTGTTTCCTGTTTCTCCCTAGGGGTCGGCTTTATGCCCGCCTGCCTCTCTATCTACCCAGTCAACTTCCTCTCACCTTCCTAGTTCAAGACAGGATTGATGAGCAACCCTGAAAAGTTTCACATTTCTGATGGTCACGTGATGGGTCAGGCCATCTGGTCAGCAGTCGTCAGGGTCGTATACAACACACACAAGGCTGCGGGCCTGAACCCTTGCCCCAAGAAGATTCTGCCACAGAGTTTATGGCCCCAGTTAAGAAGATGTTCTTTGATCACTTTTTGTGACATTCCCTCCATAGGTAGAGGTCAGATCGCCAAATAAATAATAGTATCTAGAGTCAGGGATTTTAGTCTACAGTCGAGACCTATGAATTTTGGTAGGAAATAAATGAATTATATCTTTATTTTCGTGGATCTCAATAAAATTCAGTATTTCTTTCAATTGTGAATGTAGTTCTAGCAGTATCTGTGACTTTTCACCTGTGGATACTGCAGATATTTTTAATCGACATTAATTATTACAGATCTCTCAAAATGTTGTTCATGCTCATCACTTCAAAACTGTAGAAGTTACTAGAATGACTGCTATTTTCATTTAATGTGTGGTAAAGATGCACATATTACTTTAAAATCTTTTGATGATCATTACTATTTTTTTTAGATATAATTGGTTTTCTGGTTAAGTTTCTCTATGCACTTAAAAACAGTGTTCTGAGAAGAGCTTCATAAGTTTCACCAGATTGCCACTAGTTAGAAATATACTACTCCCCCAAAATTGCTGGTTGGAATTGAGATTACAGTTTTCTCTTTATGGCTGTCAGGATTTAAATTTTTCTTTTTTTCTTAAAGTTTTGGGATACATGTGCAGAATGTGCAGGTTTGTTACATAGCACATATACATGTGCAGGATTCAAATGCTTTCTAAAAGGCGTTTTCTAATTCCTTTCCAGTTTTTTCCACTCCTTACTTAGAACTTCTTTGTCCCTTTCAACAATTCCTACTTCCTTTAATGTTTTAATATCTAGTAATAGATTCCATTTTTTGTTTGCTTTTTGCTGCGTAAATTATACATTCTTTGGAGCTAAAGATTCTAGATTATTATAGTATTGAAAGTTAGAGATATGTCTAGATACAAAACTAGATCTGGGAACATAACCCCAGATGGGGAAGCACCATATATTTTGCAAGCTTGTGTTTCTCAATGTTAGAAATGATGAGACTCAGAATAAAGCTTACTTATATCTACCTGGGCATTTTAAATAAAACTAGTTTTATTTAAAACTAGTCACATTGAAAATTACACAAATATTTGGGAAACTCCCCTGTACAATAATGTAGCCTATTTCTAACATAGAATACTATACATGCATTTAGTGAGAGCTCCGCAAAATCTGTGCGAGTCATGAAAATAGACGGGATACCTAGACTGCTAATGTCCTGGGTTGGGGAGATACACCTTATGAAAGAAAAGTTCACAAAGTGTCATGTTACAGTAAAAGTATTTCCTTTGCATCAATACTGATTTGTGAAGAATATCTGAAGGTTAATGCATTTGAGAATACCAAATATCAACCATAATTCTTATTTAAAAATACATTGTATGCTAATTCCTTAGAAAAGCCAGGCAGGGTGGCATATGTCTGTAATTCCAGCACTTTGGGAAGCTGAGGTGGGACGATCACTTGAGTCGAGGAGGAGTTCAAGGCCAGCCTGGGCAACAAAGTGAGACCCACCCTGTCTCTGTTAAAAACAAATTCAGTTCATTCTTTCTTTAAAGACAGAGTCAGGCTGGGCTTGGTGGCTCACACCTGTAATCCCAGCACTTTGGGAAGCTGAGGCGGGCGGATCACGAGGTCAGGAGATCGAGATCATCCTGGCTAACACGGTGAAACCCCGTCTCTACTAAAAATAAAAAAATTAGCCGGACATGGTGGCGGGCGCCTGTAGTCCCAGCTACTCAGGAGGCCGAGGCAGGAGAATGGCGTGAACCCGGGAGGCGGAGCTTACAGTGAGCCGAGATCGCGCCACCGCACCCCAGCCTGGGTGACACAGCGAGACTCTGTCTCAAAAAAAAAACAACAGAGTCTTGCTCTGTTGCCTAGGCTGGAGGCACAGTCACTGCTCACTGCAGCCTCGATTTTCTGGGCTCAGGCAGTCCTCCTACCTCAGCCTCCCGAGTACCTGGGATTGCAGCCGTGTGCCACCACACCTGACTAATTTTTGTATTTTTTTGTAGCGGTGGAGTTTCACCAACCAAGTTGCCTTGGCCGGTCTTGAACTCCTACCCACTTGGCCTCCCAAAGTGCTGGGATTAGAGGCGGGAGCCACCATGCCCAGCCTCAGTTCATTCTTTTAAAGATGATTTTAAAATTTAGAAACATGAACTTTTCAAAAGTAACATTTTTTGCTTACTGTTAAGTAAATGGAAAGAGCCAAAACATTTAATTTTTCTTAAGTCACAGGCACTTGAAAATCTGGTTTTAACTTTTCTTTATGGCCATTAAATATTTTATGCACATATTACAGGGTTGATAATATTATAATAGATTCATTTTAGAAATGAAACACTTGACCATTACATTTAGTTTTTATAAGAATATTCTTAGGTAAGCACAAACAACCTGTTTTCAAACACTGTGTGTCCAGCTTTACATACTGTAATTGGGTTCCATGGACTCTGCCCTGAGGTTTGAGCGCCCAGGGCACTCATGGGTTGACAGTGGTGAGCATACAGTTATGCCCCAGGAGGGCAGGTGATTTATTCTGGAATTCACTTGAGTGTTGAAAACAGATTATTATTTATGTTATATACGTGAGAAAACTCTTACAAGCCACCACTTTTAAGTTTTGCTTTTAGTGGCTTATATTTCACAAGTTTAAAGGGCACTTTTAAATTTTTTTTGGTAATCACCGGGATATGAGCAGATGTTATGAAAATCTTCTTATGGGGATTTTCAAACATAGAGGTCTTTTTAGTGACATGCACTTCTGGCACTTGTGTGAATTTCATGATAATTCTTGGTATCTGACTGCTCTGAAACGCACCATCCTAGGTTTGTACCATCCTTGCTGGAGCTCCTGTTCTGGAACCTGGGTGTCTTCAAGGATAGCCCAGGATTCTTGTACTTTTAAGCCTGCTACCTGTGGTTTATGATCAGATAGGAAATTTAAGAACAACAACAACAAAAAAAGCTAACAGGGTAGAGAGAGAATATTGCCGGGCTGACTGGCTTCCATCCCTCGCTGGGTCCCAGAGCCCAGGACCCCTTGGAGAGGAAGAACCACTCCTCCTGTCTCCTGCCCAGAGGTCTCCCACTTCTCATCAGTCCCTGGGCTTGGGTGCCTAGGAGTTTCCCTTCTGCCTGTCTTGAGGGCTGAGTATATGGACTGCAGGAAGGAGGGGCTGCTTTGCATCTTCATGCTAATGCAAGACTTTCTCTGGAATTTTCACAGGCCCATTATTAAACAGAAAAGCAAAATCGGTCCTCACCATACCGTGGCTTGGCTCTGTTTCTAATGCACTGCAAGTATTTTATCAACATTGTCTACTTTTTTGTTTTACTTGATTATTTTATATTTATTCACCATTTAATTTAATATTACAGATACTGTTTGTCATGTGTTTGGCTTTTGTGTTTGCTTTTAACAAATACTCTTGTATTCATGGTTTTCCTTGTTTGTGGAGTAATTCATTTTGCCACTTCTTTTAACCATTCTTCCCTAAAAATAGTCTGCTAGGGCAGAGATTCCATTCGGCCTTTATTACTTTGGATTTGCCAAACAAGCAGCAGAAACAGAGTTGTACGTGTGGTCCTACACCACAAGGATTTTTAAGAGAGGTCATTTGTAGGTGATGGTTGTTGACACAGGAATGCTGTCAATTAAAAAAGGGGAGAAAATGAATAATATTCAAATTTACTGGCATAGAGATGTTTGCACAGATTCCATGTGAGAGACGTAGGCTGTTAATCTTGTGTTCTGGCCGCATGTTAGGAACCCTCTTATGGTGTGGATAAAAAGCCTTGTGCCTGCCTGGTATTAGAAAGGTGACAGGTGTTGCTGTCAAATATTGATGCTTTGATATCTTCACATTTCTTGATAAGCTGACCGCGTAATTGTCTAAACAGAGATGGTGTTGAGAGTGAAAGAGGGTGTTACCAATAATTATTCTAGAACAGTAGGGGTAAACTGAGACTGTGTCTGTCAAGCTAGGATGTGTGATGACTCGACCTACTGACTGACCATAGTTTCATAATTCAGTATGTAGAGGGTGAGAGTCATGTGAAGATATTTATGACTCCCACTGGTCATTTTTTGTGGCTCACCCCTAACTTGGATAAAATGATGTTTGACTCAGTCCAGGATACATAAAGGCATGGACAGTTGGCCAAGGAGAGTGGTCACAGGGGTGCTGCTGAGTCAGCACCTCCTGTCAGTGGTGGTCTGTTTGAAAACAGACCTACAGCACATTTGAAGAAGCCTCCTCCCCATAGCCTGGAGTGGCTGAATCGCTCATTTTGTGTGTGAGCTAAGTGTGACTTGAGCCATGAATCAGGATTTGTCAGCCCCCAGGACCTGGCTTGCGTCCTACCCTTCTTTACCAAGAGCTCAGAAGGGGGTCTTTGTACTCCCCCCACCCCCGCAGAAGCCGGGACTGGAGGGTGGTGAGAAAGCCTTTGTCACCGCCTTCCCATTTGGAGTGAGGGAAGAGTTTTGGTCATAGTCCCCTGCTGCTCCCGGCCAGCACGTCGGTGTCCCGTCCTGCCACCCACCCCGCTTTGGCCCCACCCCCCACCTTTGTGGGTCTGGTGTCTCAGAATGGAGAGAGAAATCCTGTTTAGCAGTTAGGTACCCTGTGACTTCTTTACCATGTGCTAGACTCAAACATACGGTGAAGTTAGAGGAATTGTTTTGTATTTGTTCTTAATTACTCTGTAATACTACATTACAATTTTAAAACCATTTTAAAATAAAAATGTATTCTTTTCACTTGTTCTGCCCTCAGAATTCTTCAGTAATATAAATATTTAAATAAATCAACAAAGCTTTTTTTTTTTTTTCTTAAAATCTGGATTTTTTTTAGGGTCTCACTCTGTTGCCCAATTTGGAGCAGTGGCACAATCACGGCTCACTGCAGCCTTGAGCTCCGCTGAAGTGATCCTCCTGCCTCAGCCAGGCATGCATCACGAAGCCCAGCTCAGTTTTTGATTTTTTTTTTTTCTTTTGGTAGCAGTGCAGTTTCACTGTTTTGCCCAGGCTGATCTCGAACTCCTGGGCTCAAGCCATCCTCCCAGCGTGCTGGAATTATAGGCATGAGCCACCACACCCAGCCTCAATCTGGAATTTTACACATATTTTAAGTTCATTTGATTTTTGAACATGTATTGGCTAAATTAATGATTAACTGTCTGGGCATGGTGGCTCAGGTGTGTAATCCCGGCACTCTGGGAGGCTGAGGTGGGTGGATCACCTGAGGTTGGGAGTTTGAGACCAGCCTGGCCAACATGACCAGTAGAAACCTCGTCTCTACTAAAAAAATACAAAATCATTAGCTGGGCGTGGTGGCACGCGCCTATAATCCCAGCCACTCGGGAGGCTGAGGCTGGAGAATCGCTTGAACCCAGGAGGCGGAGGTTGCAGTGAGCTGAGATCGCACCACTGCACTCCAGCTTGGGTGACAGAGCAGGACTCCTGCTCAAAAAAAAAAAAAAAAAAAAAAAAAAAAGATTAACTGTAATATAGATGTGGTAAAGCCTATGCGTTATATTCCCTAGTTTTCTGGCACAACCTCTTAAAGTTACCTGGATCAAAAGCTGGTTACATGCTGATATTTTCAGTCTGTGGCCTGAATTTCCAAACCGATCATTAGATGTTGCCTGGAGCTTCCTATTCTCATTGGATTAAAAAAGATTATTTTGAAGGTAATGGGACAAAAGAAGATAACTGACTTTACAACTTTTTATAAAACTATGCTGAGACTTAGTATTGTTTGAAATGAAAGCTGTTAGTATTCTTAAATAAATAAGGATTGTTTGCCTTCTAAAGAATATAACCTAAATTGTTCCTTTGTAAGAATCACATTTTTAACTTAAATAAAAAAGGCAGACCATGTTGTTAGAAGTGTCTGATCTTTGCATATGAAAATATAGGCCAGACACAATGGCTCATGCCTGTCATCCCAGCAAGTTGAGAGGCCGAGGTGGGAAGATCGCTTGAGGCCAGGAATTTGAGACTAGTCTGGGCAACATAGCAAGATCCTATCTCTACAAAAAAATAAAAAGCTGGGTGTGGTGGCACGCAGTTGCAGTCCTAGCTACTCAGGAGGCTGAGGCAGGAGGATCTCTTGAGCCCAGGAGTTTGAAGCTGCAATGAGCTCTGATTTCATCACTGTACTTCAGCCTGGGTGACAGAGTGAGTGGTCCCATGTCCCCCCAGTGCCCCCACAAAAAAAAAAAAGAAATATAGGTAGGTAGGCAGTTTTAATTTTCTTTTGAAATTTATGATTTGAGTTGGCTTATTTTCTGTATATACTAAAATATTTAATTTTGTCTAGGGAAATCCTTCAGAAAAAAGTTAAGGTATAAAGAACATGCAAGAAAATTGTGTTCATAAACATTCACATTTAGAATTTTCCTTGTTTCCATTATATGGATTATAAAAAAATAACAATGGAATACTACAATGTATTTTTTTTTGTTTCATTCTTCTATTAGCTGTATTTCTTAGGCTCTTACCTTTTTGTAGGACATACAGCTAACACTGCAGACTTAAAAAAAAAAGACATCTTATTTAAGGGATATAGAATTTCTACAAATACCGTATTATTCTTGGATGCCTTAAAGTGTATTAGAGAACCATGAAAAGGAAATGTCCTTTCAGATACTGGCCTGCTTGAAATTTTGTTAGTACTTCTCTGAAGTTTTTGGTGTTTGTTGAAACTAAAATTGTTGTGGGCTGCTTCACCCGAGCCCAGACAAATCTGTAGAACTAGTTATCTGTCACCGTCATCTGTTGTTTCCTGCCTGGGGGGTCCCTGGCACTGTCTGTTAGAACTTCACAGCCATTCTGTGGCCTGCCCAATCTCAGAATCTGTGATGGCCTTTGTGCCAGATTGCAGATGGTCGTGGGCAGGCCTGTGAGTGGATGTGGAGCGTTTCTGGGGGGCGTAGTCTGTGAGATGGCACGTGGGACCACTCACACAGGACCTGTGTCTACGGTTGCCCCCAGGCAGCTGCACTGCAGAAATCCTTTGAGGGCCATTTCAGTGTCCTGAAAACGCTGGCTGCCCCCTGCTTGACTTAGAGACCAATGTCAGGGGTCTGTAAAGGTGGATTAGAGGATTGAGGCCAAGTTCAGAGTCTTGAATGGATGGCAGGAGAAAGAAGAGAAAGTCTGAAGACCACATGGTGGCCACGCCCCTCCCGGCCTGGGCTCTTTTGCATCCCCACTTGCCCTCACTATTCCTTTTCTGGTAGTTTCTACACTCCGGGCTGATGTGGGTCTGAAATTCTAGGTCTGACCTCATAGAACTCTCCAGAATATTCAGTCCTCTGTTTTTAATCTCCTTCTCCCCATCCCCATCCTCCCTGACTTGTATTTAAGAAATTAATATTTTGAATATGAACACCACTTCCCACATATCATTGAATTTCATGTTATTACTTTTGGTTCTTCCTGTTCAAATCTTTGAAGGGCATTTTTTTTTTTTCTTTTCATCCAACACAGTAATGACGTCTCTGAGCTGTGTGGCCTGAAGATTTGATAAACGAGACTTCTCTGTGTTATTCCTCAGGAGCAGGCTCCTCTGGGAAGTGGGAAGGACCCCGGCTCTGCTGTGAGGCTCAGGGAGAGAGAGTGCACGTCCTCCTATTTGGTAGAACCGCCTATTACTCCTTGTTGGTTCCCTCTTAGCTGAGAAAGCATCTTGGTTCCCTGGATCTTAATGTTAGTCTTTGGCTCACTCTTTAGAGATGCTTCTACCTTGGGACAAATTTATATCTGATAGAAATTGTTGTCAGAGTGTAGGTGGAATAGCAAAGTTTTAGAAATGATTGCCTTATCAAATACAATGCAAGTTTCTTCTTGTCCATAGACATAGCTAAAAATCTTGTGGTAATACATACATGATTCAATGACAGTATCAATTCTATGCCTTAATTTTGTTGATAATTAAAGTGTTAAAAATTAGTGAGAAATTTACATGTAGGAGCTTGGTCTGTAAGAAAATGCCATTAATTATTACACTTGCTGTACTTTTTCTCTGATTAAATCTCATGATTTGCTTTTCTTTCTAAGACATTATCTGTTGGAACATTCACTAGCCTTTAAGAATTCCCTTAATTTCTCCTGACAGGTGAAGTGCTCCCTAGGTATGAATTTGGAGTTCTGATGATTTTTAAAAATCCTTCCCTGATTTTCCAGAGATTTCCTAAGGAAAATTGGACCAAATACAGTGGAGACCCCCCCCCCTCCACTTTGCCGTGCACTTTGTTCTAGAGCAAGGGTGGCAGCTACAGGCATTTGCGTGCCCCTGCCTGCAGGCCTGGCTGTAGCGCATCATCCTTTGTGCTCCCTTTCCTCTGAGCTGGGCCAGGGCCCCATCCTTTTCCGCAGGCCTCTGGGCAGCACCAGGTAGACAACAGTGCATCTCTAGGATGGGGCCAGCTGCTCCATGAGCTGGGGAGGTGGGGTCTTCGTTAGGGTTCAGAAGGATGCCTGTTCCTTCTGGCCTCCTGGGGCTAACTCCTTATCACAGCTAGGTTTGTTCCCGGTGGCCTGGACTTTTACAGAAGCTACAACCTTAGTGAGGCTTTCCCTTGCTCCCCTCCGTTGAAAGTCTCTGAACTGCAGTTCTGTGGGACGTATGTTGTGCCCTTGGGAGTCATTTTTTTGTGACTTCTCTCCATCAGCAAGATTGTGATGTAAGCAGGGGCTTTTCTCTCCCCTTCCTTTAATAGTAAGTATGCAGTAAACATATGTATGTTTACATAATGAAAAAATATGTCCTTGGAGACTTGTTGCTTTAAAAGATGCTTAAAAGGGATCAGTTTGTTAAAGTACTCTTTCAGAATAATTATTGCATCCCCTAAAAATGTAAACAAATAAAGTATTACTTTCTTTGACTAAAATTGAAAACAATAAACTCCTCCCTTCCCCCCCAAGAAAAGCCCTAAAGAAACTCTGAGTAATTAAAAAGAGAAAAAAACAGAAAAGAATTTAACATTGCTATTTAACCATCAGAGTCTCATTTTTTTCCCCCTCCATAATGGGTTTGGTTTCAGACTTGGATCAAAAACTGGAACAAAACTTTCTGTGCTGTTTCTGCCCCTCCCGTTTGCTGAGGAGGGAAGGCATGCGGCCGCAGTTACAGCATGCTGGCTGCTCCTCACTGCCCATTTGGGATATCTAGAGGTTGTTTGTTGGTGTTCTGGGATCCTGAGGGACACTGCCAACTGTTAACCTTTGGCAGATAGTGACTGTTTTACTTCGATTTTATTTTCGTGGTAACCGTTTTTTAAAAAAGATTAATAAATTACCCAAGAGGACATGGCAGAAGGTAAGGATGTGTCCCAGACTTTAAAAAATACAGTTCTTATTTTGGCTCTCTGATGTGTGGCTCGAGGGTTTCTCTAGGAGGACTGTTGATGGACCTTGACCTCAGAGCTCCTAGGCCAGATGAGCAGCCATGACAGAGAATGTTGTGTGTTTGGATGGTTGGGTGCCATGTCTGTTAAAAATCCAACCGGCTAGTAACGAAACGCCTTGCAGAAATCATCCTGTGGGGATTTAGAAATGTTTTTTTAAAAGAGATTTGCTCCTCAGCTTAGCAACAGCAGTTCTGTTTTGAGAGCCGAAGGGAGCACTGTGCGCTGTTTGTGTATCCGCTCAGCAAAATCACAGTGGGAAGCTGCTGCAGTGATGTGTCCCAAGGCTGCAAGGCCACCTTGTCCCATGGCCTCTGTACAGCCATGGGATCACAGCTTCCCTTCTGCAACGTGCCCTGCACTCTACTAAAGGCACTTGGCAATGTTATTGAGACTTTGAACATATGTTTTTAGAAAATAATACTGAGCAAACTATAAAGCTTCAGTGGACTGGAAAAGTGTTTGCATTTTCTTTATATTAGCCTCTAGTGTAATTCAGGACTTCATTGCTATGGACGAGTCTAATTTCCCTTGCTAATTGTTTATGTTTTCATATGAACACCACATATTCTTAGAGGAAAGAGCGCATCTCAGCATCTTTTAAATGCTCCTGATACAAAGTCTTAATGTAAAACACTTGTTCTAGTATGTTTCTTTCCAGTACATAGCCTATGTAGTTAGTTCTTGGTGTTTCAGAAAAAAAATGAAGTTAGGTTAGTGGGTGTGAGCGTGGACGCCTCTTGGGTCCAGTGCGGTTGCGGGGTTGGTGCCCTACAGCCACTGCTGTGCTTCCCTCCTGGCGTCTGTACTCTAATCTAATGCACGAGGGCAGTCCTACTGCTCATTAATCACGTTTAGTGTTCTCACTCCTAACCCAAAATCGGGCTCCTCCTTGGAGCAGCATACTTGGTGCCAGGCTTGGGTGGACGTCACCAATACCTCCTTATTCGGGTCCATCTCAGTCGTCCATGACTCATGGACAGTTTTAGGATTTCCCTAAAACTTATGTGGACTGCCACATCTCAAAGGCATTTTAGTTATTTTCAGTGATTTTCAATCCTGAACATCTGGGCCTTTCCACTTCCCCCATAAAATTCGCCCCCCTTCCCCGCCCCCCACCACCATTCTCTCTCTCCTTTCCTTCTTGTTTCTTCTAAAGGCTAATAGTGGGTGTTCTCACCCTTGAAACCAGAACAGTGAAAGTTCTGGAGGATTACAGAAGCACTTGGTCCTATTTTCTTTCACCCAAATTGAATCCTGAAAACTCCTGATGCAGACTGAATGGTGAATACTTAAAAACATGAATAGCACAGTTCTTCCTGGGCCTAACTGGGGTGGGCACCCTTTGCATAGCTGTGATGAAAAACGTGCCCAGCATAGTTGTTAAACATGGCAGCCACAGCACGTCTGCTGGCTCTGAGCAGGCTCCCAGGCCCAGACTGGCCACACACGCACTGGAGCTGGCTGGATCCCTTGCCACCTGCCCCTGCCTGCACTTAGGCAGAGATGGCTCCTGGCTGAAGAGCAGGGAGAAACTGGGGCAGCTCTTCTCAGGCCAAATGCCTAGGAAAGGGTGGGGAGGGGCTGAAGGATGAGTGAAAATGATTGGGAGAAGACAGAGGGAAAAAAGGCTAAGTTGCTAGGAACGTGGTGGGTGAGTGACATTCAGACTTGGCTTGCCCCTCTTACAGACGGGTTGATTTCTCTCATTTGTAAAGTGAAATGGACAAATGTGAGTCCTTGGTGACTCACTGGAGCTTCTCAGATCTTACCCAGGGATAGTCTAGTTATGGGTGGTGGACATGGGGTGGGGTGAGGAGTGTGGAGTTTTTCATCTTCCAATTGGAGAAGACTGTTTTGCAATTTTGAGTACCTCCGCCAGTGAAGAACTGTGCAAAAGGCCGATTCCTAGTTGTGCCCTAGTAAATGTTTTCAGAATATTTTCCTAGGCAGCTGGGGACCAGAGTGTTTTGAATAGCTTGTTAAACAGACTTTTAAGAGGTACACCCAATTAGCACTACTGAGTAGTATTTAGATGTTGACTAGATTCATGGGACTATGCTGGAAAATAAATTGTAAACTCAAGTGTGACATTTTAAACCAGCTTTTGGTCCTTAAAACCACTTTGCCTGAGCTGGAGACAGCCAGTTTCTCCCTTGTTTTTCTAGCCTGATCACCAGGCTTTTGAGCTCTAGGCTGGCCTTCCCAACTCTCAAACATATTCCTTTTATAGAAATAAAAGTACCTGGCCTCTATGATGCATAACTGTGAGTCATCCAGTGGATATTAAAGAACTCCAAAAACATGCTTCAAGATAGTTTTTCCACTTTGTTCCAGAGCACGGTCTAAATTTGGACTCATTGGAAATGGAAGTGAAAGGCCCCGATGGAACCTTTCTGGTTGCTGCCTTCTTTGAGTTGCTGTGGTGGGTGGGCAGGGACAGACAGCCTTACCTGCACAGAGGCATGGGGTTTCTTGCATTCATTTCTGAATGAGTCGGCCTGTCGTTTGCACATTAGTGACCAATTTCCTTCTTTCTTTTTTTTTTGAGGTGTAGTCTCACTGTGTTGCCCAGGCTGGAGTGCAGTGGTGCAGTCTTGGCTCACTGCAGCCTCTGCCCCCCTGGTTCAAGCGATTCTCTTGCCTCAGCCTCCTAAGTAGTTGGGATTATAGGTGCATGCCACCACACCTGGCTGATTTTTGTATTTTTAGTAGAGATGAGGTTTCACCATGTTGGCCAGGCTGGTCTCGTACTCCTGACTTAAGGTGATCCACCTGTCTCGGCCTCCCAAAATGCTGGGATAAAAGGCATGAGCCACCACGCCTGGCTAGTGATCAATTTCTAATGATTGAGACTCTTGGGCACAATGCCACATGATTTTGTCATGCTAGTGTGAACCAATATCCTGTTCCCATGGTGGATAACGTTATATTAATGTTTAGTAATATTTGTGCAAATTAGATAGGGCGTGAGGGCTTGGTAATACCAAGATATGTAAATGTGGAGAAGTCGTGTGATGAAGAAGTTACTTGTCCAAGGCAGCCTAAAGCGATGAACCAGAACCTGATGCTAGTATTTTAGGGAATGTCGGTTCTGGTCTCTCTTACGTGTCTAATTATAGTGTCAACTGCAAAAAGTTGATAAGTACTAAAATGTATTATACTTTTTCCCCACTCCACTGTTTCAAAATGTAGTATATAGCATTAACAAGGACTACAGATCTAATGCCCAGCCAACAGTTAATGGGAGATAAGGATTTTTACGGAAAAGCAGAAGTTGCTAGATGGTTTTTGTTGTTTTGTTTTGTGTTTTTGATGGCTGGGACTCTTAAGGTACAGAGAGAATTGCCAGTCTTTCTGTATTACCGAGAAATTGTAAACATCTGTGTTGTGGGCTTTATTTTTATTCCCTGCAGTCCTTAACATGACATCTCCCCCATAATTGACTCTCAGTCAGTACCTTTGACTCTGTTTTTGAAAACCATTGTACCGAGGAGTGGGTCTAACAGCCACAGGCCATCCTATTTAATCTAAGTAAGTTCTATTTCTTCTGTTTGTAGATTTTTGAACTCAAGAGCAAAAGCGAATATTTCTAACAAGATTTGACATGTGCATTTTTAAGTAGATGCCACATAAAAGTCCAATTAAGTAAAAGGTGATATGAATGTTTATTTTATGTGAAGTACTTTTAAGTGATTATTGTTATTTAGGTGTTGCGTTCTGTGGAGTTTCCTCATTATTAAAGTAATGTATTTGTTTACAAAACAATGACAAAATGAGACTTATGGGAGGGGAGGAAGGAATTATTAACATAATAGGAGAAAGGGCTTTCTTATGGGGATAAATGTGTTTTGTCACTGAAGTTTTTATTTGTTCTGTCACCGAGCCAATCTTTATTGCGTGAGAAGCAGACCCTGCTGTATTAAATGTGCTGATGGGAAACCCGGATGTCTTTGCTTTTCTCCTTGCCAGCCGAGGAGTTAGACTAGAACACCTTCAAGATGAGCTGTAACTTTTGAATAGTGAACACAGATTTTATAATATCTGCTGGTGTTTTATTTGTCACATCTGCCAGTTTACCTAAAATTAAAATTTTGAAAACCATTTTTTGTGGAAAGGACAAATCATGTACTTGTTGGAGTTCTGGGCTGAATATTTTGTGATGTGGTTTTCAAGTGATCTTAGAATAATTATGATGCCAGCTAACTGTCCTTGAGTGCCAATGCTGCCATGTATTGTTCTCATTGCCTGTATTATTTAATAAGTGTAATATTTTCTCCATTTTACAGATGAGGAAACTGAGGTACAGAGAGATTGGTTAAGTAGCCCAAAGTACAGAGTTAGTTAAGGGATGGGGTGGTTTGAACCTAGTTCTTGGCCCATTCTCTTAACCACTTCGCTATAACTGTTGTTAACTAAATCATATAGTAGACATGAGTATAATTTAACACAATTTGTCTTTTATATGACTGATGAAATTAGCCCCGTGGGTTTATTTTCAATGCCTTATACATACTAAAGTTATGCAAAGTGTTTCTATTTTTGAATGATTTTTCTTTCCTTATTTTCATTGTTTTCCCCTGCACTGTTGCTGATAACCTTACAAATAAAGATTGTAAAAGACCAGGAGAAAGATAAGCATGCCAATCATAAGTTTTGGTTCTGTACAGTTTTCCTCTTTGACCCATTGATGCTTTTCAGCTTTCCCACTATAATTCTTCATTAATTTCCAGGTTTGTCCCGCGCATTGAATTCCATGGTTTTTAGTGTAGTTTCTTGCCTTTTAGCCTGGGAACTTTTGGGTGGGGAGAATATGGTGATGTAGTTCAAGTCGAAATACTAGCATATGAATACTTTCAGAAGCCCATACACTTGTGTGCACATTAACTATGTTTTTAGCAGTTGAGCTTTGGTTCATTGTAGTGAAAATGTTTTTCCATGAGTAATTCTTAAATGTTGGTCTTGAGTTTTTACCACAGATGTTACAGGTTTGGCCATGGCTCTCTCTTGAAAAACTCATACAAATTGCCAGTTTGGTATAAGCGTTAAGGAATCACATTGCTTTTTAATTGTATTTATTTCTATTTTTAATATTTGAGCTTTAAAATATTGTAGTAGTATTGTAAAAATGTATCTATATGTTATCCTACACTAAGCCTAAGCTTTAATGAGGATATTGGTACCTGACTGTCCTGTACTTGGAGCATCTGTCCACTTTTGAATACATGTAACACTTTGATGCTCCTGTCCCCATGGTTTGATGAAGTACTTAATACCTTGAATGCTATATTTATTATCAAATTTTGAATGAAATCACTAGCCTAAATACAAGTGAGATGTTTTTGAAATTTTCATCACCTTTGAAACACCTAGTATTTCTGTAGAATTGGATTGAGGAGGGCGGAAAGAAGGGTTAATCCCCCCAAATACAAATAACAGCAGTTCCTTTTTATCATAAAGTAAATGTGTGGCCTGGGAGAATGTGTTGGATAATTCTCATCTTAGGTTGTACATATATGACCAAGGCACTGGATAAATTCACACGTGAGTGTCGTTTATTTTCATGCACTTAGAAACGTATTTAGTACTGTTTCTGCCAGTCTAAGCCTTAAAAAGGTCTGTAGCTCATTTGGGATTGCTGAGAGCTGAGGAGCTGCTGTTCTGAATGTCTTCGTTTTAACTTTTTTTTTTTTTTCAAGATGGGGTGAGGTCTTGCTGTGTTGCCCAGGCTGGAGTGCAGTGGCCTGATCGTAACTTACTGCAGCCTTTGCATCCTGGGCTCAACCTGTCTCAGCCTCCCCAGGAGCTGGAACTATAGGCGCATCCCACCATGCCCAGCTAATTTTTTATTTTTTGTAGAGATGGGGTCTTGCTGTGTTGTCCAGGCAGGTCTCAAACTCCTGGGCTCAAGCACTCCTCCCACCTGGCCTTCCCAAAGTGCTGGGATTACAGGTGTGAGCTACCATGCCCGGCATATCTTCAGATCATTCATATCTGGCACAGACAGTTGACCTTTTTTTAGTCAACAGAGCTGGTTTGCACAGGAGATTGTAAGTGGGTCTATAGAGATGGAAAGTTACAGGTTCCATCTAGTAGAGGCTACTAGTTTTTGAATAGAGGGAGAGAAATCTATTCCAAAGGAATTGCTTCCTCAATCCCCACTGGCCACTGCTTGTGCGGTGCCAGGCAAGAGGGTGGACTACAGGGGCAGGCAGTCCAGCTAGCGGCACAGCCATTCAGTGAGTCAGGAGTCTTTGTGCAAGGAAGGCTGAGGTGATGACAGAGCTAACAGCAAACTCAGACAATCTGAAAAAGAAAAGAAAAAATCCAGAAAAATCAACCACATATGCAGATACTGAAAACTATTTTTGGTGAACCCCTTTGTGCATAAGAGATCATTTACAAAATATGTGTGTGCGAGATAAGTCTATTCCTGTAAAGAAATCTGAGTCAGTCTGAGGAGAGTGCAGAAATCTGAGTCAGTCTGAGGAGAGTGCATTTGGTGCCGTGGAAGCGTCATGCTTGTGGCCGTTCCTGCCCTGTTTAAATGATTCAGGCTCATGAAATGTCTGTATAAAGAATGCTTTAAGTTGTCTTCTCCGACTGCCCCTTATTCACTTAAAGACAGACTCATATGACTGGGGCAGTGACTTGTAGAGCTTCTGGTCCTTTGCAAATACCATGCTGTCCTGTCTTAAAAGAGCTGACTAAATTAAAAAAAAATCCACCTCAAAAAGAAGTGAATGGCTGTTATGATCACCTCAGAAGTATCTCAGGACAAATATACACACACACCCCTTCATCTGACACCTGTGGCTTTTAAAAAGAAAGCCAGATAACGGATAGCCATTTAATCAGTTTGTATCCACACAAGCACTTCTCCGATTTCCCTCATGCATTAGGTAATGACACTCTCCCCTGAGATTGATATGTATATTATAATTAATAACTAGCGCAGCGTGTTCTCCAAAGGGGCAGCTGCAGGAGGAATACCACAGCCTCTGCTGTGACCCGCAGACCTCAGTGGGAGGGACATGGGACATGGTGGCTCGCACTGTGTTGACCAGCAGCCCCTGTTCATTGCATGGCTGGGTCTGGTTCCTACCTAGTGGGTCAAGGCTGATATATTAAAGTTCTGATGTTTTGTCTCAAAAAGACCAATATGACCTAGTTGGAGTACGTATATATAAATGTGTATGTGTATGTAGCATTCTATATTCACAAGCCTTTAAGTGATTTTTCTAGGAATTAATAAGAAGTAAAGGCCAGGCACAGTGGCTGCACTTGTAATCCTAGTGCTTTGGGAGGCTGAGGCAGGAGGATTGCTTGGGGTCAGGAGTTTAAGACCAGCCTGGGTAGCATAGCTAGACTCTATCGCTACAAAAAAATGAAAATATTTAGCTGGCCGTGGTGGCACATGCCTTTAGTCCCAGTTACGTCACTCCATACACTCCAGCCTGGGTGACAGAGTAAGACCCTGTTTCTTTAAAAAAAAAAAAAAAAAAAAGTGGTAGTAGTAGTACATCTTCTATTCCTGTTTTTAGAATGGGCACAGCAAACTGTCCACTTATTTTCATCATTAACATATGGAATGTAATTTATGATATTTTCTTAGAGAAGATTAAAATCATAGGTAAAGTGAATAGGGAAGTTAATTCTGATACTGAAGTTGACAGTAATCAGAACTTAGAGAAGTAAGCCACAGCCAGTCAGGAAAATCGCAGACTGGAAAAGATAATTATTAGTAAAGACTTCTTGTGGTTCTTAATAAATTGTCTTCCTGAACCTAGTGGCTCTGCTCCTTCACCATAAAACTCTGATTTTGTTGATTAACCTTTTTGTATTCAATAACAACTCTAAATGGCTCATTTATTGTTTAATGTTTTCTATTTTTCTTTTTTATACCAGACAAATTAGGAGATGTTGGCATATCAAAGATGTGAAGAAAAATAAAAGGAATTCAGAAAGAATCATGTATCTAATATCCAGGAGATAATGTAGTTGCATTGATTGTGTTGTAAAGAAGAATATATCTAGCATTAGTAATGGCAATGGCAATAATGATGACAATAATACAGATTGCATTGAGCCATATATACATTATCTCATTCCAGTATAAAAGAAGTGCCCCCAGCAACTTCTTGGACGCCAAGGAGGTTTCCAAATTATTTATTTTACAAACTCTTACTTTATTCCCTTTTTTTTCCTTCTTCTTTTTTTTTTTCCCCCAAGAACAGAGTCTTGCTCTGTCGCCCAGGGTGGGATGCAGAGGTGTAATCTTGGCCCACTGCAACTTCTACCTCCTGGGCTTAAGTGATCCTCCCACCTCAGCCTCCTGAGTAGCTGGGACTACAGGTGTATGTCCACCTGTAGTGGATGCACGCCCAGGTAATTCTTTAAATTTTTTGTAGAGACAAGGTCTCACTATATTGCCCAGGTTGGTCTCGAGTCCCTGGGCTCAAGTGATCCTCCCGCTTCGGCCTCTCACCATATTTTTAAGAATGAGAGGGAATGCTATTAATAATATCAGTATTCTGGGATAACAGGTGCCTATAAGGCAGTTGATAAAAAGAATATAATGGGACCCTACTTACTCCCTAAACAAATGTCTTTGAACATTTACAGGTCAAGAATACAAGAGAGGAAGGTCTGCTTAATAAGTGGAGTACATTAACTCACTGACTTACTCTGGGTTGCTATTGTATTAAAATTCTGTATAGACATTACGTAGCCTCAGAGTTGAATTTGGACTGCCCTTAAAATAAAAAATTCTTAAATCTTTAGTGTGGTGTCTGTTAATTTTTATGATGATTTACAAGTTGGAAATGATTACTTTGCAAGTCATAGTTTACTTTGAAGTTAATAAGAGTGATTACAGTAAAGGAAAAATGCCATATATGGCATTGTTCTTAACAGCTTATGAAATTTGGAAAACGATATTTTAGAAAGCTTTCTCTTGTTGGCTGGAATGAAGTGGAGACCCTGCTGGGAAGAAACTCAGATATGTTGATAATTACTGTAATTATGAGAGTTCAGATTTGGAAGATTGTCTGAAAATCTGTGTTGCCATGCAGTTTCTGGTAGTAACAGTTTTGAATTAATATTTATTGTGTGATGCAGTTATTAAAATATGTGTAGTAGAGTAATACTGAAGCAATATATCGTGACACAAAAGGATATTCACTATAAATAAGTAAATCAGGCAATTAAAAAGCAGTATTATTATTTGTATTCATTTTTTGTTTTAGGAAAAACGTACCTGTGGGCACACATATACAGATAAAATACTGCAAGGATATTTTACTAAATTTAAATGCTTATTTGAGGATTAGTGGAATTTAATTTTATCTCCTTGTAACTAATAAATTGACCATATTTTCTGTTTAGTTTTACTTTAAAAATATGAAAACATAAACATTAACCTGTTTCCTTTTATTGAAGTGCTGGTGTGTATTCTAAAGCTGGCTAGTTTTTTATGTTCAAAATAGTGTTTTCAAGTAATGGAATCATTCCGTCATCTCATTCTTAGGGTCAAAAACAAGGGGTAAGTCACTATATATCCTCTAGAAAATGTTTTGTAACCAGTTAGGCAGCCATGTGGTTGGCAAATGTTCAAACAGTTCATGTCCATTTTTGTTTTTTAGGTCTCTGCAAAGTCAGCTGTCAGAGAGTATCTCATTGAACACTTCCTTTGATTATTTCCAGATACATTTATGTGACTAATTTACGCGAAACTGGAGAATAAGACCTCACATACATTCTTATAGCCTCCAAAAATATTACACATGATGGCAATGATGATGAGGATGCTGACCTTACTGTAGATAACAGTGACCGTTTACTGTGTGTTCGTGTGCCTGGTACAGACTCTGCCCTGAAGTCCTTACCTGCTCCTTTCACTAGACTCAGTAGTCTGTCTTATCTTCCCGGTAGTTTTTCAGTATTCTCAGCAAGGAAGCTCATCCCATCAGCAGTTGTCGTGGCCTGTCCAAACCCTCCATGCAGTGAGTCTTCTTCAGGTTCGGGGACATAGACATAGCTTCTGTCCACTCAAATGTTGAATATCCCTGCATTGTCAAATTGTACCCATTACTCGGTACCTGTCTACCTATAGAAGTTCCTTTAAAAAAAGAGCTGTCTTTTTACTACTTCCTGGCATGTAGTTTTATACATTGATCGGATTCATATTATTTTGTCTTACAACTTGATGTCTAAATATGTAAGCAGGTGGGAGTAGATTGTTTTCTTTTGTATTTCTGCTCTCTTTTTCTCTGTAAAGTTTTTAAATGGAAATAAAGTACATAAGGCTCGTATTATGTGATCTCTTGTTGGCAGTATAAAAGGTTTTATAATAATTGTTTTCTTTCTTTATTGTTATACAGGTGCTCCATTAGGTGAAGAGGTGGAGAAGGGTGAAGGATTTGAGGACTTGATTTGTTTTTAAGTTAAATGTTAGGTTGCTGGATATCTCTAGATATCTAGCTAGTAACTTAGCTTTTGAAATTCAGTGAAATCCATGTTTCAAGGGTGGGATGTTATTCCAGGAATTCTGCTGAAATAAACAGTATACAGAGGCATATCTCTGAATATTTAGTCATTGCCAGTGGCAAAGTTGGTAATGCTGCTTTGTGGTATGTTTAATAGAGGAATAGTGTATAGCCTTTGTAGATAATGATTTAAGTCTGTATTTATTTTTACAGAAAGGTAACCACATACACACATATATGCATACGTCTTTTAATTTTGAAACAATTTCAGACTTAAAAATGGTTACAAAAATTACACAAAGATTTCTATATACCTTTTACCCAGATATCTTACATGTTAATATTTTGCCGTTTGTTATACCACTTATACCCTTCTTTCTGTATTTGCACATGTATCACCTAGATAAACTTTTTTTTTCTGAAACATTTATAATTAAGGCAGACATAATACTTCTTTTACCTTTAAATATTTCAGTGTATTTTTTTTTTTAAACCAAGGACATTCTCTTCTGGAAGTAAAATGATGAAAATTGGGAATACCACATTCATTCAATGCTGTTATCTAATTTACAGACTTTATTCAGATCTTGCCAGGTGCCCATTAATGTTCTCTATTTCGTGCAGTATCCATTCCAGGAGCACACGTTGCATTTAATTGCAGCCCTCTTTAGTCTTTTTTAGTCTGGAAGAGCTATTCAGTCTGTCAATCAGGACCTTCACAGTTTTGAAGAATACAATCTAGTTAATTCTAGCAAGTTTGCTGAACGACCCTTGATTTGGATTTGTGTGGTATTTCCTTGTGATGTGGGTGGGAATACTACTGAAGGGTGGTATTGTGCTCTCTGTGCATTTTGTCAGGCAAGGTGTTGATATGCCTGTCCTATGGGTGATGACATAAACTTTGGTCACATAGTTAAGATGGTGTCCGCCAACTCCATTGTCAAATTGATAACTTTTTTCTTTGTAATGAAGTGTCTTGAGATTCTCTGTGAAAGTATGTAAATATCTTATTCCTCATCACACTTTTACCCATTAATTTTGTACTCATTCATGATTTTTGCCTGAACCAGTTGCTAGTGTGGTGTTCGTCAAATGGTAATTTTTAAATTCTTCCGCTTATTCCACTTTTGTAGTTTAAGTCCTACTGTAAGGAAGAGCTTTCCCTTCTCATTGACTTAATTGTTCAGAACAGGCTCATGGGTCCTTATTTGATTCTGCTGATTGTGATCTGTTATTATCATGATTGACTGGATTGCTCCGATTGTTCCAGGCTGGCCAGCGGGGACAGTTCAGGCTGTGCCTGGTCCTGTCTTTTTCCAAGCCCTTGCTTATTTTTTTTGTCTGTTCTCTTTCAGTGTGGGGGTGGGGAGAGGCGCAGTTGTGGATTGTTTTACTAGATTTTATCCAGCTTTTTCTCCATATCTGTATTTGTATAAATTTTAAAAACTGAGCATTATTTAAATGTTTATGATGGTTGCCTTTGGGTTGTGGGATTACTGGTTATTCTAATTTGTTTTTCTGGAAAAAAATCAGCCATCTAGCACATGTATTATTTATATCAAGGAAGAAAGGCTTTTTAAAAACATTGCAAAGATTTGTTGTGAGGCTAGGCATGGTGGCTCATGTCTGTAATTCCAGAACTTTGGGAGGCTGAGACGGGGTGGATCACCTGAGATCAGGAGTGTGAGACCGGCCTGGCCAACATGGTGAAAACCCCCTCTCTACTAAAAATACAAAAATTAGCTGGGCGTGGTGGCGTGCTCCTGTAATCCCAGCTACTCGGGAGGCTGAGGCAGGAGAATCGCTTGAATCCAGGAGGTGGAGATTGCAGTGAGCTGAGATCACACCACTGCACTCCAGCCTGGGCAACAGAGCCAGACTCCGTCTCAAAAAAAAAAAAAAAAAAAGGATTTGCTGTGAGTGGTGGAAATCACGTACCTCTAAGACTGACTGAGACTATCTTGTGTTTTGCACCTGTCATTTGAGAGCATTCATGTTTTCCAGCACACATCATATGTGAAATGGAGCACTGTCACTAAATACTGATCCCATGACTTGAAATCATTATTCTACCTTCAGAAGCTGGGAAGTCATTACATTATAACCTGTGCTCTCCCCGTTTCTTAAGACAGATGAGGCACCTGGTGCCTGCGAAGTTAGGTTACTTGCCCAAAGTCACAGAGTTAATTGAGCAGATAGATGTTCTGGCTCTGAGTCCAGTGTTCTTAGAAAATTCTTAATAATGTTTTGTTTGTTAACTGCCTTCTAATGACCAGATACTGAATGAAGTTTTAAAGATCCTTTAGCTTAAATTTGCATATGCCATTCGATGAGTCATGTTCCAAAATTTTATATCCGAAAATTATCAAAGGCCATTTGGCCATGCTGGATGATTAACAACTTCAGGTGAGTCTAAATTGATTTCTTGGTAGACCATAGCTGTGGAGTGCTGTGATTACTGCCTGGTGTTCAATGCGTAATTACACTGTTATTCTATACTTGTAAAAAACATCGTTGGATTGGAAGAATGGAGGCCTGATAAATTTGTGCTGTTTAAACTTGTGAACTTTCTCTGGAATCAAGACATGCCTGCCAGAAGAAAAAAATCTACTTGGGCACGACTAAGTGCTATCTGTAGATTGCCAAGGAAGCTTTCCCCGCCCCTGTGACTTGCTGTGAGTCCCCTGGGCTGTCCTCCCCTCTGAGCACCAGATACTGATTTGTTGTGCCTGCTGTGGTGGTAATTACATAAAGTGTGTATCGAGGTGCTTCCTGTCTGTCTTATCCCCAGCTCCGTCCTCAGCCCCAGTCGCAGAGCCTTTCTCACAGCAGGAGTGCAGGAAAAATGAGAATGCTCTTTACCCTGTCCAGGCTATCTTGTGGAGATGGGTCTTCTCTTGATCTGTATCCCTCTCTTTTCTTGTCTTCTTCTTATTTTTAAATACTCTGATTTTTAAAGCAGTCATATCATTAGTCAGGGCTTTTGGTTGCAAGCAGTCAGAACTGTCTCTAGCCAATTATAAGCATCTCATATGGCAACAGTAGTAGTTATTTGCCAAGAACTATGAAGGGTCTGAGCTTCTTTACTCTATTTGCAAGCTAGGTTAACCTGCCTTAGTTTGCTAGCAAAAGACATGAGACTCCTGGGTCAGACAGAGGACTTTATTATTCACAGTGGTAACAGTAGTCATGATATCAGCATTTGTTTTTTGCACCAGTTCTTCAAGCCCTGATTCTCACAGAGCGACTTGCAGAAGGCCAGTTGTGCACACACAGTGGGTTGCATTGCAGGAAAGGAACCCTGAATATAAGGTACCCGAATCTCTTATACTGGACTGCAAGCATGCCTGCTTTTTGTTCTTAAGGGAGATGCTGTCTCTGTCTTCCAAGTCTGTAAGCATACCTGCCCTTTGCTCTGGAGGAAGACACTATTCTCTAAGTCTATTCACTATAAAAATATCCTTGTAATGATAGTCCAGAACAAAGATAGTCATTGCCTCTGCTTAAATCATGTACAGAATTGCAAGAGACCCACGGAGAATTATCTACCAACAATATGCATCATAGAAATTTAGAAAACAGAAGAAAAGTCACTACAGTCCTACCACTCTTACTGTTAAGGTTTTTGAAATATATAGAGTTTTAGCCATAAATATAAATGATTTCATATAGCATGTATTTTATAAAAATTGGTTTATACTGTACATTCTATCTTGTGATGTGATGTTTTTCACCTGCCACTGTATCATGCCCATTTCCCTCTCTCTGCTGTCTGTATTCTTCTTGATGTGGTGAAGCATCTTTGCCCAATCTTCTGTTCCCTTGTGCCCTGCTCTCTGCCTAACATTTAATTGTACTAAGTATACAATCAGAGTTTTAGAGGTTGAAGAGCAGAGATTTCAGATCATCTGGTCCAACCTTTTCATTTAACATGTGTGTTAACTTTCTCATTTAACATAATTACATTTCACTGAGACCTTCTGGAACCAACAAGAAAACCTTAATATGGAACTGCAATGATGGGAATTTGGGGCATTGAAAGAAGTTGGGTTGGCAACATTGCTTGGGTGATTTCCTTGCTAACATTGTACTGTAAGGTGTGAGGGCCTTTGCATTAGACTCTGACTGGGCTCTGTAAACCTGAGCCTCATTCTTAGAACCTCTTGAGCCCCTTGATGTTGCCCAGTCAAGTCCATAGTGACTGTAGGGGCTGAACTTCAAGGGCCACTTTTGCTTATAGCCATCACCTGAGAGCACCTCCAGAATCAAAATGGCCTTGGGAAGTACTTGCCCCAGAGAGAGTTTTAAAAATTATTCTGTCAATCTGACTCAATTCCTTGTAGATAGTTCATTTCCAGGCATGTATTTTCTTGGAGTTTGTTAAAAACAATGGAAAAATCTTATCTTAAAAGTACCTCTTGGGCCGGGTGCGGTGGCTCACGTCTATAATCCCAGCACTTTGGAAGGCTGAGGTGGGCAAATCACCTGAGGTCAGGAGTGTAAGACCAGTCTGACCAACGTGGTGAAACCCTGTCTCTACAAAAATACAAAAATTAACCAGGCATGATGGCAGGTGCCTGTAATCCCAGCTACTTGGGAGGCTGAGATGGGAGAATTGTTTGAACCTGCTGCATTCCAGCCTGGGCAACAGAGTGGGACTCAAAAAAAAAAAAAAAAAAAAAAAACCTCCCTAAAAATGCAACTCAAAGTGTTAAGTATTCATATTTCTAGATTCCATTAAAGGCAGTTGTGAGGTATTTATATTAATGGAATTTGCCTTGCTTAAAAAAATTCAGGACCATGAGGTTTTGGATTATTAATGCAGAACTGCTAAATAATTTTTTGAATGGTAGCTTTCTTTCAAAAGCCACAAAGCTGTGTTATCTTGCTTTCAAGAAAATATTCTTTGTTGAATGACTTAAGCTTATTAGTTCTTGGAAAATTTTAAGGATGTGCTGCCTTCAAACAGTAAAACAAGTTCCAGCTTTTTGTACTAAGAAGAAACTGTTGTCACTAAGGATCAGCTCTGCTCCTGGTATCAGTGGGCTTATGGAGAGGATGGCAGAGAAGCTTCTTGGGCCTGTGGCATTCTGCATCCTAATGACCATCTCCTTTTTCTGTTCCCTGCCCCTCTCCTCTTTCTTTCCCCCTCCCCTTTTATCCTAAAGTAGGGGATTTATAGGATGATGGCATTTACTACCAAAGCTTTGCTGGCCTTGAAGCAAGCCTAATTTCCAGGTGGCATCTTGAGATTTGTCTTGTCCTGGGTCTGACCATTGCCAGACCATGGTTTCTTCAGTTGGAAGTAAGGCTGTACCTATTCCAAGACAGGGAGTTGGGGAGGAGAGGTCAGGGCCAGGTCTGTTAGAATGAGCCGAGACAGACTTAAAAGAGAGAACATAGACAGCATTCTCTATGTGGAGTGTTCAAGGCCAACGGTTATGATTAGGAGGCCTGGCTGAAGTAGCGTCAGCTGGTTTTCTAGTGACTATACTAGGGTTGTGAGATCTTAGTGTCCTGGCAACTAGACAGTGGTTCATACTTGGGCTTCTGCCCTGCAAGAGAGTGAGAGAACCAGCCAGGACAGCAGTGTCCTCTGGGTGCCAGGCATTATGTACTAGGGGCTTGGCTTACTGTGCCATTCAGCCAGGTGGCCGTGCCCTGCCCCTCCCCTCCCTGCCATCCATTATATGCCTCCATCCTTCTCAGGGCCCTTCCCTTCCCCGTGAATCCCCAGCCTGAGGTCGTGCTTAAGTGCCACCTGCTCAAGAGAGAAGGCTTCCTGCCCGCGCCCATGATGTAAGTCCCCCCAGATGCTTTCCACCATCCTGTCCTTTGTCTGTAATTGCGCTTGTCGCTTGAACAGAATCCTAATTGTGCTGATTACATGTTTAATTTTGGTCTCCCCTGTAAGACAGGCATGCTTTTTGGAGGCAGGGACTGAATGTCATTCACATCTGTGCTCCTAGGGTCTAATACATGATGGTGCATTGTAAGTATTCAGTATATAACTTGTTGAATAAATGGATCGGGTTTAGCATTTTCCCCCATTGGACCTGGATTGACCTGGAAATTGGTGGACTGAACCTGCAAGTAGAGATTAAAGGACCTAACAACTGTAGAGTGGCTGGTGAAGGTAGATATAAGTGCAGTAAGGGAGGGAGTCATTGATGTTGTTTTGGTTCGTAGTGCAGAATAAAGCTACTTATGGAAATATACGACTCCTACTCTTAGTTTCTGCTTTGATGTGGTTACTGCTGTTGTTTAGCGTAAGCATATAAACAAATCACTGGCTTAGTGGGTTAATTTTTCTTCTCTTTTGTTAAACAGCTGAGTTTTTGCTGTTTTCAAAGTTAGCCAAAAATTCCATTTTCATGTTTAAATGATTTAGAAAAATCATTTTTCTTTAAAAAATAACAGTACATAAAAAGAAAACATTCTCGGCTGGGCGCGGTGGCTCACGCCTGTAACCCAGCACTTTGGGAGGCTGAGACAGGCAGTTCACCTGAGGTCAGGAGTTTGAGACCAGCCTGACCAACATGGAGAAACTCCGTCTCTACTAAAAACACAAAAATTTTAGCCGGGCGTTGTGCCACGTTCCTGTAATCCCAGCTACTCGGGAGGCTGAGGCAGGAGAATCGCTTGAACCCGGGAGGCAGAGGTTGCAGTGAGCCGAGATCGTGTCATTGCACTCCAGCCTGGGCAACAAGAGCGAAACTCCATCTCAAAAAATAAAAAATAAATAAAAAATAAAACGTTCTCATCTATTTTTTAGAGTAATTTAAGAAGATTCTGCTTCTTGTTTTACCTTATATATAAAGTACGACATGAGTTAAAATCACACCTTGGTTATAGCAGCTTTTTAAAAAAAATTAAAACACACTTTTAAGTAGGAATTCCAACACTAGTTAATTACAGATAAATACATAGCATTTTTAGTGAAATGCTTTGCTAAGGTCATATCCTGTGGTTTTAAGAGCATTTGGCAGCATCGATTGTTAACTTTGAGGATTACGTGTAGTTATTCTGATAACAGAAACTTTCCTGGTGGGTAGGAGGCAAGCTGTGTTCTAAGATGATCCTGTATCTGGATCAAAGGAGAGATTGTAAAAATTACTTCACTTAGTCAGATTTACTTGGAAATATTAATGAATTTGTTCTGCTCATTTGTTAACTCTGAATAAATTGTTCATCTTTTTAAAACTAAGTTGTCTGTGAGTCACAGGCCTACATTTATATAAAAGCAAAAATACAGAAATGATTAAAAATCTGGGCCCCAAGAAATAGGTGGACCTGAATGGCAGTCATGTTTACTTGGCTTTGACAGTTTCAAGAAAAAAGTTGAAAATTGCGTGTTCTCACTCATAGGTGGGAATTGAACAATGAGAACACATGGACACAGAAAGGGGAACATCACACACCGGGGCCTGTTGTGGGGTGGGGGGAGGGGGGAGGGATAGCATTAGGAGATATACCTAATGTAAATGACGAATTAATGGGCGCAGCACACCAACATGGCACATGTATACATATGTAACAAACCTGCACGTTGTGCACATGTACCCTAAAACTTAAGGTATAATTTAAAAAAAAAAAAGAAAAAAGGTGAAAAGTTCTGTTATGAACTTGTGAAAACAGCATATAGCATATAGATAACCCAGCATTGCTAGGCAGTTCTAAGGACCCGTACCAGGCTTGTCCAACCCATGGACCAACACAAATTCATAAACTTTCTTAAAACATTTTGAATATTTTTGTGATTTTTTTTTTTTTTTTTTTTTTTTTTTTTTTTTTTTGCTCATCAGCTATCGTTAGTATTGGTGTATTTTATGTGTGGCCCAAGACAATTCCTCTTCTTCCAGTGTGGCCCCAGGGAAGCCAAAAGATTGGACACTCCTGACCTACTATGAGCAAGTTGAAGTGATTTTGAATACTGTAGCTCATGTTGTGATTACCAGTATCTCCATTTGATATGCTTTGACTGTGTCCAAACCCAAATCTCATCTTTAATTGTAGCTCTCATAATTCCCACATGTTGTGAGAGGGACTTGGTGGAAGATAATTGAATCTTCAGGGTGGTTTACCCCATACTGTTCTCGTGGTTGTGAATAAGTGTCATGAGATCTGATGATTTTATAAGGAGTTTCCCCTTTTGCTTGGCTCTCATTATCTCGTCTGCCGCCAAGACGTCTGTGACTGACCCTTTCCTGTACTCTGTACAATGGGGCCTCACTCTTCCGGCAGTGAGACATGCCTTTCACCTTCTGCCATAACTGTGAGGCCTCTCCAGCTACGTGGAGCTGTGAGTCCATTAAACCTCTTTTTCTTTATAAATTACCCAGTCTCGTGTATGTCTTTATCAGCCATGTGAAAAGGCCTAATACACCATTCTGGTCATTTATAATTTTTATTTATGCTTTTATTTATAATTTTTAAGATCCACTCAGTCAACCTACAGTCATGAGAAATGATAAGCTATTATCGTTTGAGCCATGATAAGTTTTGTGGTGGTTCGTTTTGTAGTAATTAGATACCTGATACCTCAGGTTATAGTCGTAACTTTTTAAAAAATGGAGTAAACAAGTTTGATTATTCTGTTTGTGTATATTGGGCACTGAATAGTTATTTCCCAAACTGTAATCTGTTCTTAAAAAATAATGGCTTACTGCATTAAGGATTTTTCCAAAGAATGTCCTATAATAGGCAATTTGAAGAGAGAGATTCCAGAAGGCGTTGAGTCCTGGCAGTGTTCCTGTGGAATAAGTCTGCAGCATCCCAAGGTGATTGCTTTTTGGTATCTTAAAAGTAAAACAGCTTCATTCCTTGTGTCCAGAAACATTTCCCCGCAAGGACTACAAAAGCCTTACAAAACATCATCATCATTCTCACAGTATTTTTAGAATCAAGTAGGAAGGTAATTTTCTTTTTTTACAGACCATGTTTCCTGGTCAGATATTTCTGGTTTTGTACTTAATAATGAAATAAGCATATTAAGACAGAGATCTTATGTTCACCTGTGAGTTTTATGGAAATGACCTTTTTATATTGTTAGAATAAAAAGTAACAAATTCTAAGAAACAGTCTTTTAAAAAATGTATGTAGTAATTGTCCGGTGTGGCGTTCAGTGCCCTCAAGCATGGGAATGGAGCCCTTGACGGGCATCTGTGACTGACCCTTTCCTGTACTCTGTACAAGGGGGCCTCGCTCCCCTGGCAGTCACCTGCCCCTTGCTAGGTGCTGAAGCTGTACAAAGCCTAGTCCTTTTCTCAGCAGACCAGGGAAAGGGGTGGGGGTGGGCTGATGGCTTATTAGAGAAACACAGCAGGAATAGCGTGTAAAATTGAAGAAGGAAAGTGAGCCCTTGTTAATTGTGCACTCAAACCTGGTAGCTTTTTCCTTTTTTTCTCTTATCGTTACGTTGCACCTCAGAAGATGCCTGGTACTTTTAAGTAAAGCAACAAATGTAGGAAGAATTGAACTGCTCTTTTCAGGATCCTGATGGATGTCTCAAATGTTTCTAGACCTTGATAAAAGTACTTGAGCCTGTCAATAGCCTAGACGTTTTAAAAGCTGCTTATGCTTTTTATTTCTTGGGAAATGCTTGTTTTGAGTTGTGTGTCTTGTTTTAAGCCAAACAAGTGTCATCTGTGGTTGTGCTGCTAGTACATTTCTGCTTGACCTCACAATAAAATACTGATTTTGAAAGCACCAGCCTGTCTTTTTACCGCAGAGGTAATTTGAGAGAGGAGTGGAGGGTGCCCGGGGAAGGAGTTCTGCACTGCCAGCCTCATGGATGCCAGAGAGAAAGGGGAGTTCTTTTCCTTGGTCGATGGTCACAGAGGAGGAAGAGTGTGAACTTACTCCTTTTTTGTTCTGCAGGTTGTCTTGGTCTGTCTTTATGATCGTGGGCAGCTTAGGGACAAGCAAGGTCCTGGCACCCATGGTTGAGTGAGTGGACCACATACTAACATTGTATGGTCAGTGTTGGTCTCTAGGTCTTACGGGAATGTGTACTTAAGTATGGTGGAACAATAGCTAATTAAGTAGAGATTTCAAGAAACAAAGGATTTGAGGAAGATATTGCCCAAAATAAGACTATTGTATATTATCCTATGAAGTCCTGAACCCTGTCTCTCATTAAAATGCTATTCAGATTTTGGGGAACAGACATGAAGTAAAAGATACAGTGTAACATGGAGAGTTAACCTAAGGATATAGGAGCTTAGAGCAGTGACCCTGACCTGGGCAAGTGCCTTCCCCTCTTTGACTCTGTTTCCTCACTGTAAAATGCAGATAACAGTAGTACTCATTCACTGGGCTGTTCGGATGATTCAGTGATTTAATATTTGTAAAGAGCCTAGAACAGGGCCTGCCACCATGTATACACTTTAGTAATAATATTAGTCAGGGGTGTTTCTAGCCGTGTAGAAGTCTGGGATGCGTGGTGTCACCCCTTCTTCAGGGTTCCTCTTCCAAGCTCTTTTTCCTGCTCTCTGTTTCCACCGTGGCTGCAGTAGAGACAGAGGCCAACATTTGTGGTGCAAAGGGAAGTGCCCACGGATTCAGGAGGGCACAGGATTTTATTGTCTTAAATCATTAACTATTGCCCGAAAAATCCACAGAACATCGTTGTGTAACTGCAGCTGCAGGAAGTGTCTGCTTTCTGGCCTCAGCGCCAGGGAGGTGGAGTTACTTAGCACATCCACCGCATGCTTCCTGGGCTGTTTCTTTTGTGGATTGCAAATTCTTTGGAAAATAGAACATGTGATCTAGAGAAAAGAAGAAAATAAGAACAAAGGATAAAATAATTGTCCCCGTAATGTAGCAGCTAACAGTTTCATTCAGAAGTACCTGAAACAGTGAACAGTAGTTCCTCAGCATTTGAAGTAATGTTACAAGTCAATACACTGTTCATTACGTTAGATTCAAAATGAAGGTCTATCTTGTATCTGAAGTTCCTTGGCCAGGGAGAGGATAAAAACCCCTGGAAAAAATAGGAATTATGCAGCTGTAGTTACAATTAAATTTAATTCATGAAAACTACATATCATACTTCATAATAACATTAATTTTTATTATCTGGCTACTGTGTTATTAACACAAAATATAAGAATTATTAGTGTTTCAGAAGATGCCAGTTGGTTTCTTACTAATGAAAACATTATACGCATACAAATACTTTTATACAAATGTTTTTCAATTTATTTATTTATTTAGAGACAGAGTCTCATGCTGTCACCCGGGCTGGAGTGCAGTGGCACGCTCTCTGCTCACTACAACTTCTGCCTCCTATGTTTAAGCGATTCTCGTGCCTCAGCCTCCCGAATAGCTGGAATTACAGGCCCGTGCCACCACACCCGGCTAATTTTTGTATTTTAGTAGAGAAGGGGTTTCACCATGTTGGCCAGGCTGGTCTCAAACTTCTGACCTCTCAGGTGATCTGCCTGCCTCAGTCTCCTAAAGCGTTGGGATTACAGGTATGAGCCACTGTGCCCGGCCAAATATTTTTCATTTTAAAATGTACTTTTTATTTATTTTTATTTTTGAGATGGTTTCTCACTCTGTCACCCAGACTGGAGTGCAGTGGCGCAATCTCAGCTCACTGCAACCTCTTCCTCCCGGCACAAGTGATCCTTCCACCTCAGCCTCCTGTGTATCTGGGACCATGGCATCGCACCACCATACATGGCTAATTTTTTGTATTTGTGGTAGAGATGGGTCTCACTGTGTTGCCCTGGCTGGTCTTGAACTACTGGTCTCAAGCAGTCCACTTGCCTAGGCCTCCCAAAATGTTGGGATTATAGGCATGAGCCACTGCACCTGGTCTAAAATGTACTTTTTTAGAAAAAGAAACGTCTTTTTAAAAAACTAAGCATACTGCTTAATTCCTCTAGATTCTTGCTCTTGTCTTGAGGACTTTGCATCCTCTGAACTCAACTTGTGGTCAGATTCTCCGGATGTTTCTTATCCTCGAAAGTTTAACTCAACCTCTTTCTCCCAGTAAGCCTCTGAGGTCCCAGCAGCCTCTTTCTCAGGTCCCGCTGCCCTTCTGTTCTGGCATGTGCCTAACCTGACAGTTGCTGCCTTGCTCCTGAAATTTGTCATTCCATTTCGATGGTGCCTGTGTGTTACCTGTGTATGACTGAAGTACATATTCGTTATCTGCGTGAGACAGTACAGATTGGTGTATAGTATTTTACAGCCACTTCATTATATGCTATTTCCGTGTACTGGCAAAAAAGAGAATAAAACTTCCTAGGATATAAGTACCTACTGCTGTTTTGGTGCATGTCCAGTTAGGCTTTTCTCTTTTTATTTGTTTGTGTACCTGTAACTCCATATAAGCATATATAATCATGTTACATATGTTTAAAAGGCGTCATTTTGCAATGCAGTTTTATCACTAGTTTTTTCTCTGTCAAGGGATGTATAAAAATGGATCACAAATCTAAATTTAAAACTATAAAACTTAGGAGAGAATCTTTGTGATCTTGGATTAAACAAAGATTTGTTAGATAAGATACAGAAAGTATGAACAACATAAGAAAAAAGTCTATAGTTTAAACTTTTTTATATTCAGTTTTGCTTTTCAAAATATACCTTTAAGGAAATGGTCTGGGTAAGGTGGCTCACACCTGTAATCCCAGCACTTTGAGAGGCTGAGGTGGGAGGTTGGCTTGAGGCTAGGAGTTCAGGACCAGCCTGGGCAACATAGCAAGATGGTCTCTACACACACACACACACACACACACACACAGCCAGGTAGCATAGCAAGACTGTCTCTCACACACACACACACACACACACACACACACACACACACACACAGAGCCAGGTAGCATAGCAAGACTGTCTACACACACACACACACACACACACACACACACACACACACACGCAGCCAGGTAGCATAGCAAGACTGTCTCTCTACACACACACACACACACACACACACACACAGCCAGGTAGCATAGCAAGACTGTCTCTCTACACACACACACACACACACACACACACACACACGGAGCCAGGTGTGGTGGCATGCACCTGTAGTCCTAGCTGCTTGGTAGGCTCAAGTGGGAGGATTGCTTCAGCCCAGCAGTTCAAGGTTACAGTGAGCTGTGATCGTGCCACTGTACTCAACTCCACCCTGGGCAATAGAGCAAGACCTTGTCTCAGAGAGAGAGAGAGAGAGAGTGAAAATACAAGCCACAGACCAAGACAAAATATTTGTAAATCATATATCCAATAAAGGATTTTTAATCCAGAATATATGCAGAACTTTTATAACACAATAAAAAGAACAAAACCAAATTAAAAATTGAGCACAAGATTTAAATAGACACTCAACAAAGAAGGGCAAATAAACACATCAGAAGATGTTCAATATCATTAGTCACTAGGAAAATACAAATTTAAATCACAATGAAATACCACTACTCACTTAGAACAGCTATAATAAAAAAGATTGACATTGCCAAGTGTTGATGAGGGTGTGGAGAAACCAAAACCCTCATAAATTGGGAATATAAGGTTGTACAGTCAGTTTGGAAAACAGTTTGCAGTTTCTTAAAAGTTTAAACATAGGCTTATCATTTGAACCAGCAGTTTCACTCCTGTGTATCTCCTTCTAAATAAATGAAAACATGTCTGCACAAAGACTTTTCTACGAATGTACAGCCGTATTACTCATAATAGCCAAAAATGAAATGATCTAAATGTCCACCAACTGGAATGGATAAACAGGATGTGGTATATCATCATCATATCCAGACGGTTAAATACTCCTCAGCAATAAGGAACAAATTTCTGACACATGCCACAACCTGAGTGAACCTCACTGACTGCATGCTAAGTGAAAGAAGCCAGACACAAAATACGACATATTGCATGATGCCATTTCTATGAAATTTCCAGAAAAAGCCAAATTAGGCAAAAAAGCATTTCAGTGGTTGCCTTGGGGTATGGGCCGGTGAGAGGATTGACTGCAAAGAGTCACAAGGAAACATTTCAGAGCGAAGAAAGTGTTAAACCAAACTAAAGCCTGAAGATGTCTCTGTGCTTTGAGTCCTTATGTAAGCAACTGTAATCTAACTTAGTATGTAAACTAACAGAAAGTCTAACTGAAGAGTATACTTTTGTAACAAATAGCTGACTCTCAGCCAATCACAGCAGCTGGGCTTCAGTTAGTCACAAGTGGACAGTTCATCAGACCTTGTTCAAATAAGGCAAAGGCTGAGCTTTAACCAGTTGAGCTGTTTCTGTACCTCACTTCTATTTTCTGTTCATAAGTGTTACCTACCTGAAGTGGAACTCTGAACCCTCTGCTGGTTCTAAGGGTTGCCTCATTTTCGAATCATCCTATTCTCAGTTAAACTCTGTTATAAAGTTTGTTTGTAAAACTGGATTGTGATGTTGTAAAACTGGATTGTGATGCTGGTTGTGCAATTATAAATTTATTACAGTCCGTGTAAAATGGGTGAATATTTTTAAAATAGTGCACCAGAATTTATTCGACAGGTCGCAGTTTGCCATTTTCTGTTTCATCTAGTCCTAAGAGGTAGATTACATTCCTGTTTTCCAGAAGAGGAAACTGAGGGCTAGTGCCGATAACTTACAGGTCTCAGAGCCAGTAGGTCCCATTCTCATGTTATGACCATAGAGCCCTATCTGCTAAAATGAGTAAATTTTATGGTATGTAAATTATACCTTAAAATACCTCATGACGTTGTAAAGACCATATTGTGAACATCCTTTATGTCAGGAACTATATTTGCCATCATTTCTTAAAATTCATATTGGAACGTTTTAGACATACATAGAAGTAGAAAGAATGGGTGATGCCACCCGTGAGCTCTTCGGAAGTCACCATCTGTGGCCTGTCACGTGTCATGTCTCTACTCCCTCAATTACTTTGAGGCAAGTCCCAGTTACTAATATATTCTTTCTCCTGTAAATAGTTTAGTGTAATGTCATTATTTTTAAAATGATTGCTTACTCTTCCATGCTTGTATCGTACTGGGTTAAACCAGTGGTTGATAGTGGGTCACTTGAGTTGACTCTTCTGTATGGCCTTGGGGGTGCTGCCACAGACACCCTGTTAGCTGGATCTCTCGAGCAGCGGTTGTTAGTTGAGCTCCGTGGTCTAGAGGAACTCTGTGTTGTTTGAGGTTGTGCAGCACACTTTTTTTCTTTCATTAAATGCTTTAAAATGTACTCTAAGAAAGAAAAAACATTCAACAAAATTGACAGTATTGGCCCTCAAGGCAGTATTTTTAAATTGTCAGGAGATTTTTTATCAGACTCAGATCTTCTGGTGAGAGGAATTTAGGAGGGCTTCTGCACAGAGGGACAGAGGCAGTGGCAGAGCATTGCAGCCCCCCAGAATGGGGTCCCCAGGGTGTTGGCTGCTCCCCCTCTCCCTGTGTGCTGAGCTCCCTGTGTGCGGGCCTAGCATCCAGCTTGCAGCGTGGACCAAGTGGGGTCCTGGTGCCGTGGGAGCCCTGATTGCTGGAGGAGCCCAGCTGGGGCCACAACTAGGGCAGCGAGTGCAGGGTATGGCGCCCCAGGTGGGGTCAGGGGGAGTCAGATGGAGGAGCGGTCGGCCCCTTTGGTTGAGTTTTGAAGGAATACAAGTAGATGGTAGATGAACGGGGAAGTTCTGTGTAGAAGGTTGGAAGTGTGAAATGGCATGAAATTAAACCACTGGTTACTTTTGAGGACAGCTTCCTTGTTGACAGATGTAGAAACAGAGTCTAGGGAAGCTTTGGCTTGTCTGAGGCCACCAAGGTAATTGTCCAGCGACCCCAGCCAAGAGTAGGGGTGTCCAGCTTTCCCCAGGCTCCGCACCCTCTGCTGTGATCCCCATGGGGACCTATTTGCAGCCAGCCATTTTGTGGCCTGCGTTTAGCTTCTTGCTGTCCAGGTGCCCTTTAACTTATGGGAGCATCTGTCAGAGCCCATTTAGAGGTCTCTCTTTTCCAGATCTGTGGAGCAGTTGAGAGGAGGTTATTTTGCAGCATTTGTTTCTTCTAAATCTCCTTTCAAACCACTTTTGAAAGTGTTTTTTTGTTGTTGTTGTTGTTGTCGTGGTTTTATGATTGTTTTGGGGAAAAACCATGAAAGAAAAAGGAAATAAATTTTTATTTCAACATGAATCATAGATATCACCCTTATTTTTCCATCAGTTATTGTAGCGGTATGTTTTTAAAGTGCAGCTTACTCTATTCAGCCTTATTGTCCAGTAGTTCTACGTACAGTTAAAATTAAAATTTGAATTCAGCAGAAATGAAGTGGATGTCAGAGGATGACACATATTCAAAAAGTCCATCCGTCCTTATCTTGTCCTACCCTCCACTCCCTTCCTCCTTTCACCCTTCTCCTCTCTGTCCTCTTTCTCCCTTCCCTTCTTTCCATCTTCCCCACTCCTGCCCTTGTAAGTTTGCCATGAGCCCCTAGATAACTTAGGTCTATTTCCTTGACATTTTTGGAAATTGCTGAGGTTTACTGGAGACCACTTGAAGCCGTGCCAACTGCAAATAATAATCATAATAAAAGTCACATTATTTTTAGACCTTTTGACTTTACCTTCTTCTGACTTTCCAATTAGAACAGTAAGTTATAGTTAGATCAACGATTCATATATTTAACAACTGCCAAAATCATTTCCTCAAAAAGAGGAGAATCAGAGAGTTGGGTTTCTAGTATCTCAGAAAGAATCATCATCTCAAAGATTTGATGTAAAAAGCTTAGCTGTTAACATATAATAATTTGGGCTGGCAAAATGCCTAATATGAATGAGTAATTTAGACCTGTTTATAAGCAAACCTGGCATAAAGCTCATATTTTTAAATGGCTTGCTAACTTTAAATGGACTGACATAAGCAGTCATTACTATAAATTTGCCCCTGCTGTGAATTAACCTATAATAAAACATACAATAATTTAAAATATGAAACAATAAAATATTTTGCCATGTGTGCTTGAAGGTATATATTAAAACAAGAATCTACCAGTTGAAGTGTATATATAGAGCTTTCCTGAGCACACTCAGTTGTTTTTTTTTTTTTTTTTTGTAAATTTAAGATCTGTTCTTTAGAAATTAATAAGAACAGTCTTTTTGTCACATATGTTTTCTCTTGGCTAGATCTGCATACAGAGAGCAACAGTTTGTTCTTAAGAAACAGAATGTGGCAATCTTTTTAGTATTCTGATCAAATAGTACTATGAAGAGAAAATTATCAATGAAATAAAAAGTATAAAGAGAAATATAGTAGATTAAAGTAAATTAGTGGGGACAGATGCCATGGCTCACATCTGTAATCCCATCAACTTTGAGAGGCCAAAGTAGAAGGATCACTTGAGCCCTGGAGTTCAAGACCAGCCTAGGCAACACAGTGGTGAGACCCCATCTCTCCAAAAAAAAAAACCAAAAAAACAAAAACAAACAAACAAAAAAACCAGGCATGGTGGCATGCACCTGTGGTCCCAGCTACTTGGGAGGCTGAGGTTGGAGGATCACTTGAGCTTGGGAGTTTGAGGCTACAGTTAACTATGATCCTGTCACTGCACTGCAGCCTGGGCGACAGAGTGAGACATTGTCTTAAAAAGAAAAAAAAAGGCAAATTAATGGTTTAATGGTTAAAATGTGTTATTTATAGTTTGTAGAGTACTCAGGAAGGATAGAATTATAAACAGGTGGCATGGACAGCTTCCATCCCTATAAGGACCAACAGGCGGGTTTCTGAGGACCAGAAAAATTTCCAGCTCGCCCAAGTATGTTGATTTGGTGCCTGGGCTGGTGGCTCCCTCTGATGTCACACCCCAGTGCAGCTCCCCAGGGCTCCTCTGGAACCTTCGGGGAACTCCAGCCAACTTCTGTGAACCTTGTTTCCACCCCAACTCTCCCTCCAGACTCACATACCTGCTCAAACGTGCAGATGCTGCTTTCATTGAACCTCAGATGTCTCAGGCATGTAGGGTGTTTTAAATTTCAGACACCTAAAATAAAGTGTCTGAAGTTTAAATGTTAACCTGTGCCAGTAAAAATAGCAGAAGTGCCTGAGGAAGGCCTGTGGTGGGTGGGTAAGAATTGTTGGCATTATTGAAGAAAAAGGAAAGAGCTATGTCCCCCCAATCCCCAAAATGGAGAACAAAGCAAATTACCCTATCCTGACCAGTGTACATCAGGTCTACTGATTGATTATAGCCAGGAAGTTAGGGTTTGGCACTTTATTGCTTAATTTTTTAATTTACACATTGAATTTGCTTTGCATCAACTTTTGAGAAAGTGGTTCTCATGACTTATATTTGTATAGTACTCATACTTGTTCATTTATTTTCTAGCAATCAGGAGACCAAATAGGGTAGCCTGTACTTTCTTCATGTTTGCCTGATGAAAACACTGTACGGTTAGTTAAGACTCATGGCCGGATCTGATTTGTAATTTCTTGTTTCTGACCAAGAAGAGTTCAGTTGCTGTTGAACAACACGGACAAAGTACACTAGGGGAATTCAGAGCAGGTGTGAGGTTCTTCCTGCTCCTAGAGGTTTGTGTGCTCTTTACAAACAACCTTGCAAACACTGAGGTTGGGAGGGAAACAAGTCTGCTTTGCACTTAGAGCGCAGAAGGATTTCTTTGGTTGGAATGAAGGAGAAGGAAAGTACAATTTTTTTCCTGCTTCTCCTCCCTCCTCTTTTCTTTTCACTCTTCTTCCCCTCTTCTCTCTCAAAAGTTATTTCTAAATTATCAGGTTAATATATGTAAACTAATATTGGTATATATAAATGACACTATACTATATTAATACATAAATATATAAAATTATTTATAATATATGCACTATATATATATATTAACTTGATAATTAACTCTAGCTGCTAGCAGAGGCGAGCAGGCTACTTTCACATGCCTGACTCACCAGTTAGATACTAAGCTGATGCACAAGTTAGCTGTGCTTGTTTCTAACCCATTTATGCCAAGGACACCTTTACTATCAACATGTAATTTAATTAAATATTTTCTGAGTATTTTCAGATATGAGTGGGAAAAGTATTTCTATAAAGGCTAAATTGATTTGGGATGACTTGTTAAAGATGGTATGTTTAAAATAAGCTGTCACATTAAGCACAGGAGAGAACTGTAAAGTCAGGGAAAATTTTGTAAACATCTATGAGCATTCTGACCTTAGTTTCTTTCAGAGTGTGTCTGTATTCTAACTCCAGTTTAATAAGGATGAATGCCAGAATTGGAGTATTAGGGTTTATTCAAGTAAGACAATGAAGAGCTTCTGTCCAGGGATTCATCCTTCATTCACAAAAAGACCATGGTACTGGCCCAGGGCAGGAGACTGACAGTGAGGGACGGGGCTGTTCAAGTGGCACTCAGCAATGTGCCTGTATTGAGCGGGAGGATGAAAGAAAACCATATTTAATGTGTGCTTTCTAATGACTCTCTGCTTTAACTGACTTAGTTAAAAATTATCTTACCTGACTACAAGTGATCCCCTTGAGAAAGAGAGCTTCATGCAGTCAGGCAAGCCGCAGTCAGGGCTGTCACTGCTTGAGTTTACTGTCATGTGCTCCTGCTGGAAATCAATCAGATTCCTTATTCTTTAAATTACACACAGGTGGAAACCTAGAGAAGGGCTGGGTTGACTGGCCATCTTGAAGGCTGAAATTGGTGGCATCAGTTGCTCTCTGCTACCCTGACAGATCCATAAGCCGTGGTGTTCATGGTTAGAGACAGAGCCCTTCAGGCCCCAAGGAAGGGTATGCCATGGGTCACCTAGGGAGGGCTGCTGGAGAATTCCTCTCTTCACAGGCAGAGAACCGAGGCTGTTTGTCCAAGACTCACAGATGTTTGACCACACACTGAAAAACTCAGACTCCAGTATTGAGAACTCAGTAGGTGTTTCCTTACCACCTGTTTTCTGAAAGGATGCAGGGTCATCTCAGTTTGGAAATACAGGTTAGTCTGACAAACACACAGTTTTTTGCAAAGGTTAGGGGAAAAAAATCTGTTATTTAAAATCTACCGGATGTTATTAGCATCTACCGTAGCTCACCACAAAGTTTGAAAGAACATAGCAGAATGGGTGCAGACCTATTATGATACAAATCAGAAATCAATTTCATTGTTACTTCAGTTTACCTAATTATTTTTTAATGGATGAATGAAACCGAGTGTTATATTTCACTTTGATGATACAGGACCTCATTGATTTGTCTGTGACATCAGTCAGTGTACGTGTGTAGACAAGTGTGTGTTCTATTTATTTCTGACAAAGGTGAAATAAACACCTTAGGTAATGAAACATCCTACCTTAAGTCATTTGAACTCATTGATTTCAAATCAGTAGTTATGATGTTATTTTTTCCTTTTACAGTTTAAAAAAATTGTGTTGAATGAAGTGCCTTTAAAAACTTGACTTGGAGGAAGAAAGTAAAATGATGAGAAATTTATTTTGTATGAAAAGTAAATCTTTTCTGTATTTGGTGTTTACCATGTGTAATTTAAAAAGGAGGCTAGACTGTCTAGTTCAATAATAAGAATGGAGAAATGAATTTAGACCAAAAAAAGCAGCCTAGATTTCCTCTACTTCTGTACTGATAAAGATGATTTGGAGCTTATCTTCTTCACAACTGTTTTAGGTGAAAGAAAAAGAAAACCATAACAAACCTAACTAAAAGCATGCATCGTTTTTTATATGATGCTAATTAAGAGATGGTTGAATTGTGGCAGTTGCTTCTACTACATTTCTTTCACAAACGTTCTTTTGTAGTGACTTTGTTATTCGTGTCTGCCAATGCACACTGTTAGTGTTTATTGGTGTATAATGACAAACCTTGATTGTGATCTGGAAACCTATCACAGTTTTATTATGATTTTACATCTTATTAGTGAATATGCTAGTGATAAAAACTTGATTTTTTTCCTTCAGCTTTCTTTATTCAGACCAACCTTCTTTTATATATGGCCTTGAGAACTTCTGCAAACTTTGGTTTTTCATCCATAAAATGGCTTTAGACTAAATGATTCCTTAAGTTTCTTTAGTTCCAAGATTTGATGATTCCACAAAGTTTGAGATCTTTTAGCGCCAAGATCTAATGATTCCACGAAATGTGAGATCTTTTAGCTCCAAGATCCAGTGATTCCATGAAGTGTGAGATCTTGCTTGTATGTACAAATCTATTTGCAATTTCTCCAATGGCGTGGGTTAAGTTCTACTACTCCAAAGTGCCTAAAAATCGAGAAACCATAAAACTAGTTTTTGTTCTTCTAAATAGACAACTGAATTTTGACAATAGAAGCTAGTTTTGAGAGTCGGTGACTTATTTATGTTGATTTGGTTATTTTAAAAATTTTCTTTAGCGATTAAGAACTCGTGTTCTGGAATCAAATTTGAATTCCATCCCCTCCACTTAATCAAGCCGTTTGATCTTAGCCATGCTGCTTGCCTTCTCTGTGCGTTAGTTTCCTTGTCTGTAAATTAGAGGTAATCATGGTATCTACTTCTTAGCGTTCTTGTGAGGATTCAGTGAGATAATCCATGCAAAGCTTGGCTCACAGCAAGAGCTTAACAAGGGTTGACTCCTCAGATTGTGATGGGGACTCATCCTTTTCATGATAGTAGCAAGCCTGCACAGACGTCTTTCCTTCCATAAGTTCAAGAGTTCTTTGAGTCTGCCCATAGCACTAGCTTTTTGATCTGGAAATGCTGCAGATTCTGTTTTCTCTTAGGTAGTTTATGAATGGGTTTGGCTGTATTAGAGTTGAATTTGTCTCAGAGCCAGCCATAGAATTCACACTTGTCCAACAATTGTTGTTAGTTTTGCCTGCCCATTTATGTATACACCTATTTGAAAAAAGATGTGGTGTTTCAAACAACAAGGTGGTTTTTCTCTTCTTGTTTGTATTTGCTTCACCTTCTTGGATTGTTGGAGTTGGTGTTGCATGTCCAATCATTCCAAAAGAGCTGAATGGTCATTGAGTTGATTGTGTCTTAGAAATAACTTGTGGTCTGTTCTCATAATACTGACATCAAGGTGTCGTATTTCAGTGCATACCATAAACATCTGTACAGTGGATTGGAGTCCTACCTCTTGGTTTTTAAAGACTCTGTGTATCGTATTATTGCCAATGTCATTCCATTTGGCATGTGCCAGGATGGTAGCAGTATTATAAAAGCATGTTTATAGTTTAACATGATTCAGTGATTCCAGGGAAACTGCCTCCAAGGGTCCTGAACCTGGTCAGTACAGTTGTTTTTACTGTTTTCCATGACTGGCCTATTTGCCTTGGTGCATCAAATCCTTGTAATAGCTTCATATGGTAGATAGCCAGACCAAGGTCTCATCGTTAGGAAGGGGAGCTGACATTGGAATCTAGCAGCCTGGCCAGAGCCAGGCTCTTAACTGCTATGCCACCTCTTAGAAATCTCCTACAGGGCAAGGAGGCGTGCTGGGAACAGCCCAGCTTAAGACGGCAGGGCCAAGTGGTCTGGTATGTGAGCAGAGGCCCAGATCATGCATTCCTCCTCCAGCACGATGCCCCATGCGTCACCGAGTTCTCTGATCACCGGTCTTTTACATACTTCATTCCTCCCATTGTTTACTAAAGGATGTTTGTTACTAAGCATACCTGGAGCCAGGAATGAACAAAACAACAGAACCTACAGTGTCCTGAGAGCCACTGTACAGAATGTGGTCATTATACGCAGGCCATTCAGGTTGACTCTCTGAGGTGTCCTAACTCTGTCCTGTTAAACCATTACCAGGAGAGTTCACAGAAAGGAAATGCTATCCCTACACCTGCAGCTTCTTTCTGGGCCCCTTTCTTGCCCTCAGTCCTGGCACTAGTCCCCAGGAGAGTGAGAGTTGTTGCATTGAAATGACCATAAAGCTTTTCTTCTCCCTCGTGCTGTCCCCCACGAACCCAGGTATGAAGTATACAGAAGGTGGGGAATTAGGATTCTGGGGCTTTCCCATGCCAGCCACGACAGCTGCAGCCTGCTCAGTCACAGGCACACTCAGTTATTAAAATTAGATTTCTGATTTATAGGAAGATTGTCTTGATCAATGATGACAAGGGCATACCTGACTAAATTAATGAGAAAATGGCTAGGGTAAGTCCTGGGCAGCTATGTGAATGTGAGTATCATTCTAGAAGTGTGTGTGGCACTTGCTGCAGCCCTGTGTGGCTGTCCTGGCACTTTGTTCCCGGTGTCAGGGCCTCTGGTGTGTGATTGTCGCAGCACGTGTGGGGCAGTGTGTGTGGGCATTCCCAGCCTGACACATGGCTTGCATAAAGATTGCATAAGGTTATAGGAAAGTGTCTCTGTCTTTTACACCGTATTGCCAGTACTAATCAGTCCAAAGTTTGAGAAAATAGTAAAAGAATAACATACATGGTTGAAATCAAGCATTTAAAAACATTCAGTAACTTTTTGAAAGAAGACTCTGCTTTTCTGATTAAATAAATAAAAGTCTTATTAATGATTTTTAGTATAACTATAGTTCATGTGTGTGTTGGGGGGAGAGTCTCGTTTACCTTCCCAAAACAGGTTGGATTTTAAAATGCAACTTTTGCAAAGTAAGTAAGTTTCAGCACAAGGGCATGTTTTCATCTCTGCACTTTGTCATCTGTGTCAGTAAGCAGTTAAGTGGCACAGACCTGCCTGGACCCCCTTTGGCAGGTTGTTAGGATGAATTAGTGAAGTCGTCGGTTTAAAGAGCTTAGGGTGGTGCCTGGACAGAGTGAGTGTCTAATGATTGCTAAAGTAATTTTCTTAGTTTTACTATGGAATCATAATAACCCACATAGAAGACTGATATTAAGAGCACAGAAGAAATAGTCCCAATGTTTATGTCATTTAATTTGAAAAATTTCTTAACTTTTCCAACAATTAGCATCTAAGGACCTGAGCTGAGTCTCTAAGAGTCAACTCTGCTGTGAAATTGATGTTGAAATACAAACAAAACAAAAAAACCTCAAAACCCAACAACATAATAAGAGTAGTTTGTAACTGAAAAGAAAGTCTCAGGCAAGTCTTAAGGAGCAGGTGGGCCCTGGGCGAGGCTGCGCAGTGGGGCTGGAGCAGGGGCCCCTCCCCACAGAGCTGTGGCTTCTGTGGTTCCTGTGCACCTCACAAGAAGCCCAGTGGGGCAGGTGAGGGTCGCACAGCCTGTGCAGCCAGGGCTATACCCGGCTGCTGTGGGGGTTCCGCGGCCACTGCCCTCCTGCATTAGATGGGGCACCAATTCCTGGTTGAAACATGGCAGATGACAATTTCCAAAGGCTGTGAACTTTCCAATAGCAGTAAACTCCTCTGAAGAGGACTGGGATGTGGAAGTGGGATCCCTGTGCCGCTGGCAGTGCCGGCAGCAACCCTTCTCCGGCTCTTACTGAGCTAGGGAAGCTGTTGCTCTGCGCCTTCTTGTTTAGTTTACAAGATTTAGGACAAGTGCCTCGGTTTCTGATGCTGTCAGAGACTTGGTCAAGGTGAAATCTGGTAGCTCAGTTTATAGAACTATGACAAGGCTAGTGTGGTGGTGTGACATTGGTGAATGTTTGTGAGATGGAAAAGTACTACTAGACTTTAGCAGAGCCAGTGGCATAAGAAACTTAAGTTTAAGGCCAAGTGCTTTGTGTGTGTATGTGAAGTGGAGAGGGAGGAGGATGATTTGCTTTCTTTTTCTATAATTTTTTTTTTTTGTTTACTCTGCAAAAGCCTGACCAGATCATTGTTTTCCTTACCCCCCGCCCACAGTGGAGTAGGAGAACTCCATTTAGATCCTTGCCCTGTACTTCTGCCTCTGCAAACCTTGCTTTCCTTGTTGAAAATACTCAGAGAGTCTTTGTGTCCTATTTCAGTGCTGAAAAAAGATCTGCTGCTTTCTAAAGTGTGCCTGTCTTACCAACCCGTGTGGGAATGCTGCCCGCGTGTTTGGATGGCTCTATCAAAGCCTTAGGCTGTTTCTGGCCGGAGTCATAGGGGACCCTTCAGGTTTGTGGATTCCCAGTTTTAGTACAGTGTCTTTACCACCAATCCCGTATTAATAGGACAGTACTGCGGGTGGCAACCTGGGCCGGGTCTTCTGCTGTGATGAGGAATCACCTGCATTAGTGTCACCTGGAATACCTGTGAAAACGCAGAATCCTCAGCACCAGCTGAGGCATCAGAATCTTTGGGATAGGGTTCAGGGTTCACTTTTACTCCAGGATCTTTACCTGAGGACTAACATTAAAGAACCATTTCTGGAGGAGGTAAAATAGATCAGTATTTTTCAAGCAGCATGTGGCGTCCAGCAGTTTTTTTTTTTTAAACTAAAAGATGCCCTAAAATAGTACAGAAATATCAGAGTTCATTGCACATATCAAGAGTGATTTTGTGAGTCTCTAAAGTCAGTATATATAACACAAGTGTTCATGTACAGGCATTTTTTTTTTTTTTTGCACTTTGTTCTATTGTACAGATACTGCGGGGTTTTTTTTTCTTCTTCCTCTTCTTCTTCTTTTTTTTTTTTTTTAAAAACAAATTGAAGGTTTCTGGCAACCCTGTGTTGAGTAAGTGTATCCATGACATTTTTCCAACAGCATGTCCTTGCTTTGTATCTCTGTATCAAATTTTGGTAATTCTCACAGTATTTCAAACATTTTCATTGTTACATGTTATGGTGATCTCTGGTCAGTGATCTTTGATGTTTTTAGCGTAATTGTTTTGCAGCAGTATGGACCACACCTGTATATGGTGGCAAACTTAATCAGTAAGTGTGTGTGTTCTGACTGCTCCATTGACCAGCTGTTACCCCGCCTCTCTCCCTCTCCTCAGGCCTCCTATTTTTGAGACACAACGATATTGAAATTAGGCCAGTTAATAAATCCAACTATGGCCTCTAAGTGTTCAAGTGAAAGTAACGTTTGCACATCTCTCATGTTAAATCAAAAGCTAGAAATGATTAAACCTAGTGAAGAAGGCATGTTGAAAGCTGAGACAGGCCAAAAGCTAGGCCTCTTGTGCCAAACAGCCAAGTTGTGAATGTGAAGGAAATTAAAAGTGCTACTCCAGTGAACACACAAATGATAAGAAATCAAAACAGCCTATTGCTGACATGCAGAAAGTTTTAGTGGTCTGGATAGAAGATCTAGCCAGCCACAGCATTCCCTTTAGACAAAGCCTAATCCAGAACAAGGCCTCAGCAAATTCTGATAGAGGTGAGGAAGCTGCAGAAGAAAAGTTGGAAGCTAGCAGAGGTTAAATCCTGAGATTGAAGGAAGGAAGCCATCTCCATAACAAAAGTGCAGGATGAAGCAGCAACTGCTGATGTGGAAGCTGCAGCAAGTTCTCCAGAAGACCTTCCTAAGATCAGATTTTCAGTGTAGGCAAAACAGCCTTCTATTGGAAGAAGATGCCATCTAGGACTTTCACAGCTAGAGAGGAGAAATCAACATCTGGTTTTAAAACTTCAGAGGACAGGCGACTTTCTTGTTGGGGGCTAATGCAGCTGGGGACTTTGTTGAAGCCAATGCTCATTGACCATTCTGAAATTGCTAGATACCTTAAGAATTATGCTGAATCTACTCTGCCTATGTTCTGTACATGGAACAACAAAGCCTGGATGATAGCCCATCTGTTGACAGCATGGTTTACTGTTTTAAGCCCTCTCTTGAGACCTATTGCTCAGGAAAAAAGATTTTTTTTTCCCAAAATACTGATGCTCATTGACAATACACCTAGTCACCCAAGAGCTCTTGTGTAGATGTATAAGAAGATTAATGTTGGTTTCATGCCGGCTAACACAACATCCGTACTGCAGCCCATGGATCAAAAACTAATTTTGACTTCCAAGTCTTATCATTTACAAAATACATTTTGTAAGGCTGTAGCTGCCATAGATAGTGATTCCTCTGGTAGATCTGGACACAGTACACTGGAAACCTTCTGGAAAGGTCACCATTCTAGATGTCATGAGGAACATTTGTGATTCATGGGAGGAGGTCAAAATAGCATAAACAGGAGTTCTGAAGAAGGTGATTCCAGTCTCGTGGATGACTTCGAAGGGTTCAGCACTTCAGTGGAAGAAGTAACTACAAATATGGTGGAAACGGCAAGAGAACTAGAGCTACAAGTGGAGCCTGAAGATGGGACTGAATTACTGCAGTCTCGTGATTAAACTCCTCAGGGATGAAGCGTTGCTTCTCATGAATGAGCAAAGAAAGTGGTTTTTTGAGATGGAATCTACACTTGGTGAAGATGCTGTGAACTTGGTTGAAGTGACAACAAAGGATTTCCAATGTGCCACAAACTTAGTTGATAAAGCAGCAGCAGGGGTTGAGAAGCTTGACTCTAATTTCGAAAGAAGTTCTGCTGTGGATAAAATGCTGTCAAACAGCATCACATGCTACAGAGAAGTTTTTCATCACAGGAAGAGTCGATAGATGCAGCTGCATCACTGTCTTATTTTAAGAAATTGCCGCAGCCACCCCAGCCTTCAAGCAGCCACCACCCTGAGCAGTCAGCAGCCATCCACATCGCGGCAAGACCCTCCACCAGCAAAAAGATTACGACTCTCTGAAGGCTCAGATGATGTTAGCACTTTTTCTTTTCTTTTTTTTTTTTTTAGCAATAAAGTATTTTTAAATTAAGGTGTGTTCATTTTTAAAGACAAATACTACCACACATTTAATAAACTACAGTATAGGATAAATGTACCATGTAACGTATAGTGTAAACATAATTTTTATATGCACTAGGAAACCAAGAAAGTTGTGTGACTCGCTTTATTGCAGTTGTCTGGAACCAAACCCACAAGCATATTGAGTTGTATTGTAAAAGGTATTTCTTAATGTGGGTTAAGGTCACAAAAGTTTGAAACCCAGTAGGTTAGATGATGTCTTAGTTCCCTTTCATCGCAACCTCATTTTGTATTGTTTTGAATCCTTAGCTCAGACCCCCAGCCAGTAAATCATCTGCTCTGAGACAAACACTAAGAATAAAAGAAGCTGGGAAGCTTTTAACCTGACCTAAGCATTGTCTTGGAAACAGTAAAATGCAGCCCCTTCCAGACCTCTTTTCTCAGTATCTTTGGGGCGGGGCTTTGGAACCTGCATTTTGAGTAACTGTTCCACAGGATTCTGATGCAGGTGTTTATGGGACCACCTTTTAAGAAATACATGTGAAGTTTTAAACCTTGTAACAATTCTCTGAGGGGCACCTCCTCTCCCTCCCACTTTTCCCTGTTTCCAGGTAAGAATCCTGAAGCCCCAGTTGATCAGACTTGGTGACTTCTAACATCGCAGAGATGTTAAGGCGCGGGCTTGGTAGGGCAGCACGAGGCTGCCGTTCCTCTTGCCCTTCCTACTTGGAGAGAATCAGATGGCGTGCAGTGTGGACATGTAAGTTCCTGATTGAGGGCGTCTCCCGGATCAAAAATAAATAGGATTGTTGAAAATGATAGTGTTGGAATCCTGGGCATGAAGCCTTTTGTCTCTGGGATAGCCTTTGAGACCTCCTCCTTCCATGAGTGCAGCTGACACAGAGGCAGGTAAGAGGACAGGTAGCCGTGTCTGCTGCTTATGAGTTGTCCCAGCTCTGCCCCAGCTTTGGAATCTTGGGCAGTGGCAGAGAGTTATGTGACAGCGTCTATCCCTGAGAGTTCTTCCAGATTTTAAATTCTATGATTCTATCTTTTGGAAAAATAGTATTTCCTGTTTCTTACCTTGACAGAGATACTGAATGGGTCGACAAAAATGTATGCACGTCTTTTGAGTTCCCCCAGAAAAACGATGTAAACAGAATCATTCGTTGGCACCCTGCAGTTCAGTTCAGATTTTGTGTGGGACACAGCAGATCTCAGCGTGCACTTTGAGAGCTCCTCCAGGAGCAGGCTCTCCTTCCCCATAGGAGGCTGGTGTAAGTTGCATCACAGCCATGTCCTCTGTGTCCTATTCACCAAGGCAAGCATTGGGAACAGGGCGGTGGAGCAACTAGCCTAGGTGACCCTGCTTGGCTTCAAGTTAATCTTATTACGTAAAGAAACAGAGAAGGATTTACTTTCAAAACCCCTTCTGATGGTGTGTAGGTGGGAAGCCACATCCAGTGAGATTTGCGAGAACAAGAGGAAATGGCCAAGTTTCCGGGAAGCAGGGCTGCGGTGTGCAGCTGTGCATTCTGTGGCCCTAAACAGGCACTTTGTTTTTCATTTGAAGGTCATCATCTCCCTTTGGCACATGTGCTTCCTCTCTTTGTAAATGTGTAATATTTTAGGCTCAAATTCCTATCGAATTTTAGTCTTAATCTAAGTCGGATTATAGAGGTACATATTGTCTTACTGTTACATTTTACTGATATTCAGTGTTTGATATCCCCAAAGTCTTGACTTGGATTCACAAGTGATTACATTTGTTATGCTTGTCTTGATATCCAGGAAGTACATAGTTAGAGACAGAACCCACATTTGGCCTGAAAATAGTATTAATAAAAGTAAATGTTTTTCAAGCAGAGATTGCAGCCATAGTTTTTGATATATGCTACCAAATCATGTTTTATTTTGAGAATTTTATGTTTAATTTTATTTAATGTTACAGTGTTTATCCATTTTTCATTTCTTGATTCTTTTAATGGAAGAACACATTATTATTATATTATTATTATTTTGTTTGTTTTCAGAAAGTATGTGAAGCGAGGACCCTACCTCATCTGCAGGTTAATCTTATACATACTGTTTAAGTAGAAATTCCTGCATTTGTCTTTTAAAAATAATTTTTAATAATTTTAATTAAATTCTAAAATAGTTTACAATATAAGTTATAAGCTGTTTTCAAATTTAGGTTACTCTTGGAGTAAGGAAGAACTCTTAGCTGAGAAGATGTAGTTAAGTCTGAGGTTCTCGGTGAGCACAGAATTAAGTGAAGAAAGAATATACTAAAAGATTCACTGAAGGTGACATAGTCTGTAATATTAGCACCATCTTAGACACTTACTTTGTATATATTTTAAAGCATGGAGACTAGCTTGGGAAGGCTGGATGGTTGTTTGCTTTCATGAATGAGTTACGAGGGATAGTCCTAAGTTGCTTGCAGGCATCCAAAACAAATGTTAGTAAATAAAGCTTTACAGAAGAGGCAAAGTGGAAGGACTCAGTGGCTAAAATATAGTTCAGTTGCCAGAAATGATTGTCGTTAGTTGTTTTTGGAGGACTTAACCCTAATGGATCTAGGCATGGAAGTTGAATTATAGACATGAGAGAATAACGAAGAACTGAGAAACAGGACATACCACCAATTTTTAAATGAAAGGGCAAAAAGTAGGATACCAGAATGCATAGGTTAAGATATGTGACATTATGTTAAATACGCAATAGGTGTTTTTAGTATCACATGTAAAAATTAAAGGCTGTTTGGTCTTTGAATACTTCACCTCCCTGAGCCTTCGTTCCTTGTTCCTGAGAATGAAAGGGGTCGCACTACCTCATGTCTGATGTAGAACTCCTGAGCAGTTTCTGTTATTTTGGGAAGCCTGATGGAGATGGTGTGCTCCTTGTGACAGGACCCTACAGCCCTAGAGCATAGCCTTCCCTCAAGTTTATCTGAATCGTAGAGAATCAGTGTAGAGTTATTGGCTGTAACACGCTGATCAGAAACATTAATTGTCTGTTTTATGGATTGGGGTGAGGTGAGAGGTGCAGACAGGAGGGAGGAGATTTGGTATACTTCTGAGAAAAAAAGTAAAAAGCAGGTGGAGTTAAATCTGTGGAACCCGAAAATAATCTAGGTGCTTATGTTATTTTTGCCTAACAAATTACCACAAACATAGCAGCTTGAAACACTCATTTCTTACTCCACCGTTTCTGTAGGTCAGGTGTCTGGGTAGTTGGATTCTCTGTTCAGGGTCTCACAAGGCCATTGGGACTGCATTTCCATCTGAAGCTTGGGGTCCTGTTCAGGTCCATTCAGGGTGTTGGCAGAATCCACTTCACTGTGGTTGTAGGACTGAGGTCCCAGGGTTCTTGCTGGCTGTTGGCAGGGGTCACTCTTTCCTGGAGGCCACTCTCAGGTCCTTGCCACACGGCCTGCTGCACCCTATGGCAGTTTGCTCTTCTGAGGCCAGAAGGTCATCTCTCTGACACTGCACCTGCTTTTAAAGGCTTCCCTTGATGAGTCAGGCCCACCAGGGAAGTCTCCCTTTTGATGAACACAGAGTCAGCTCATTAGTAACCTAATCACAGGCATGCTATCCCATCATATTCACTGCTCCCACCCCCCCCCCCACCTCCAAGCCCAAAAGGATGATACAAGGGGCATAACAACGGGGGTGGGCAGATGTCCTAGGGCTATCTAAGAATTCTGCCTGCCACTGTGTTAGATACTTGCAGGTTGAACTAATGAATGAAAGCAAGGGAGGAAGGAAAGAAAGGGAAATAAATTAAAAGTCAGCTTTGAGTTCCGCCGTGGCAGGGCTGATGCTTCCTGCTCCTTTCCTTCCTGCTTCCTGTGCATTTGACTGAGTGAGGGTGGGAGGTTGGAGGGACCATAAGTGACTTCAGGGAGGCACCTGGTTAATGCCGGAGCTCACACAGGAGAGGCAAGGAGGTGGGCTGAGCATACACAGTGCAGATGAGATGGGCTCCTCCTGATGGGTGGGTCTTCATGGGACCAGCATGGAAGATTCCAGTCCTCCCACTTAGGTTATTTGATGATGATGATGATGTTGATGTTCCCAACTGCCTGTCTGATTGGTGTCACCAGGTTAGAAGGAGGGAACTTCAAGTCCTTTTTTCTGTAGAACCCCACAGCCTTGCAAGCCCTGCTAGCGCAGCTGTGTTTTTAGAAGACCTTGTGGAGGTTGAAAACCAGGGTGTTGCCAGTTTCATGCAGCTTTCTGGTTGTGAACAAGACTTACCCTGAGAGTGGAGTGGAGCGTGGACGACAAACAGAATAATTTTACTTACGGAGCCTCAAGTTTTAGTAAACCAGGAATCTGAACATTCTTTTTGAAACTAAGGGTAGCTAGATAGAAGGGTTTTTATAAAAGTAGTTTTCTTTTGCACAATATTGTTTTATTCCAAATTATGCATTTATAAGAGGCTGTAAGACATGGAATTTCTAATAATCACAACGTTATAGTTTAACATTGTCCCTGAAGCTTGGTGAAGCATTACGTCTTCACTTATGTGACTAACCTGTTTAGTCAATTGCCTTGCTAACCCAGCACCCTGAAAGGCTCCACCCTGAAGTGGAGGTGCTGGGTAGAGTGTTTCCATATCTTCCCAGGGTTCGGAGACGTGGAGGGCACAAGTGGCCGATGGCCGGGAAGTCAGAAGAAGGGGAGGAAAGTGGTTTCTGCAGCTCTCCTCCTCCCTGGTTTCTGCAGCTCTCCTCCCTGGCTTTTGCATTGCCCTGTGCTTAAAGTAGGAGTCCAGGAGGGAGGAACACAATCTGAAGACAAGCGTCCTCCAAACAGGGAAAAACATCATAGGAAAGCTTTTCATAAACTCACAACTGCTGGGACATGGAGAGTTGAGGCACATGAGACAGCTTTGGGGAAAACATGCGGAAATAGGAAACGCTGTGTTATCTTAACAACTCAGTTTGTCAGCCAGGTTTGTCTTGTTCCGCACCCGCAGTCCTTGAGGTATTTCAAGCATTTGGTCATTCTACCCTTGATGGCCTTCAGGAAGTGCACAGATGCCAGCCGTTGTATCACAAATGCTAAGGGACCTCACTCCAAGGCCACCACTTGGAAGGTTAAAATGAGGATATTTTCTATCAGTCATAGCAGGAAGAGAAAGTGGAAAAACTCGACGTTTGTGATAAAGGACAGGGACCTCCTTTTGTGCGTGGGAAATTGAATCCTTGGGTAGCTTGTTGGTTACAGTGTAACTCTAGACTTCTGATGGACCACCTCATTTGTGGTTGTCATACTGACGATCAGTTTTACTAAGTGGCATACTCCAGTTTTTTATTTAATGCAGTCTGCTGGGGAGTACTTTCTTAGTTATCTATTGTGTTCTCAGAACTTTGTTCCTCTAAGATTTGTAGGACATGGCAAATAAAAGATACCACCCTTTGAGGAATTTGGTTAGGAAGGAAGACGTGAGTTTAGGAGACACATGTAGAGCCCCAGAGTGTTTTTCACTAAGTACAAGTAGGCAGATTATGTTGTATTAGATATGATGCAATTGCATCGGGAGGGTTTAAGTAATCTGATACGGACTCTTAACTCTTAGGTTGTTTACTAATTTAGATATAAAATTTAGGGAAACAACTTTAGCATTGTTCTTTAGTCTCAATGGAAAGGTTATGGTATAAGAATGTTAGCTTTTCAGTGTAATGAAAAAGTCTCTTATGAGTAAAATTAGAATCTAGTTTTGCTAATATCATACTTGTTGTATATTTGATATTCACAGTGAGGACAGCTCATCATTAATGCTTAGCCAAGTATTCCATTAATAGATGCCTATGAGCATTTGTATCTGAGCTTTTGGGGGGATTCAGAGGGAGGGTGTGGGGGCCTGTGTGGAGAGGAGGCCAGGGAGCTGGGCCTGTTCAGGGTTTCTCATGTCCGATTTCCTAGTAGAGGAAACTGTACCTCCATCTCCAATAAAGGAAAAAAGAAAAACAGGTTTGTTTTTATTACTGCCTGGTTAGGCTTGGGGGAAATGATATTTGTGTATTTTAATGCAGTGTTCCACACCTGGAGCTCCAATTCTGATGTGTTTTATGGGGCACAGAATGGACAGAAATCAATTCCTGGTACCTGTGACAAAGAAAAAACCATCCAGAATTGGAGACTGTTCCCTGCCGGGGGAACAGCCGCAAACATGTGAGCCTGTGGTTGACAAAAGTACGTCATGCATTTCAGAGTGCGTATTAGGAATCAGAGGACAAATGGCTTGAGAATGTCACACAGAAAGTGCATAGCATAACTGCAGCAGCACATGACTGAATTTCCTGGGCGCAAAAGCTGTTGAGGACTGAAAGTCACTCAGTAGCCCATCTCGTGTTTTGGATGCAATTCTTTGAACTTTTAGAGTAGCAGATTCCATCAGGGAGGCCACATGTGGATTTAAGCAGATAATTTGTATAGGCACAAATCATATCATTTTGACTAAGTTTTTTGGAATGAAATTGATATCTGCTTTATCACCACTTGTACTTATTGGACTATTTTGGCTTTTTAGAACCTTACTTGTTAGAAAAAAAGGCTTTCTGTTATTAAGGTTGTTTGAATAGGCTGAAGCAGGAGAATCGCTTGAACCCGAGAGGCGGAGGTTGCAGTGAGCCGAGATCATGCCACTGCACTCCAGCCTGGGTGACAGAGTGAGACTCCATCTCAAAAAAAAAGAAAAGAAAAAAGAATATACCAAATTATAATTCATAGAGTCAAGCCATCCTGATCTCAGGCTGTGATAAACAAAATTAGGCAGAGAATTTTAGGTATGTGTTCATAAAATGAAAGAGACTAAAATTTAGGAGTATTTATTGAAGCTCAGACTATCCTGCTTATCTCAAACATCCCTCATAGTATTTACATTTGTAATATTGATTATGATATATATAGATTTATTTAAAATTAAAAATAGGTTTAAGATACAACTAAAACACACCAGGGTATGTCTGATCTAGAACAGGAGTTGTCTGTTCATACCCTGATCTAGAACAGGGTATGTCTGATCTAGAACAGGCTATTAACTTTCTGTAAATAGCCGGATAAATACTTTAGTCTCTATCTCAGCTACTGAGCTCTGCAGTTGTAGTGGGATGGTGGCCACCTAGTAGCATGGACACAGTACACATAAGATGGCATGGCTGCCTTCCAGTGAAACTTCATTTACAAATGCTGACAGAGGAGAGTTGGCCTGCAGGCCCTCCTTTGCCACCTGCAGTACTGTTGTAAGGCCTGGAGGAGAGGGGATCTTTTTTCTGTACTACTAGTCAGTGAAACTGTTAAACATGAGCAGTCTCTAGAATCTGTCCTAGGAGTTTAATTTAGAGTTGGTGTTATGTAATTTGACCATTTGGAATAGCCCAGGTAATAATGCCTTTTTTGATAGGTTTCCCTGTACCATTAGGAAGACAACGTTCAAGGCTGGGTCCAGGTGGTTCTTCTCTTTGGTGATAGCAGTGTTGACTCTGTTGGACCAAGCTCCCCTATTTATGATACATTGTGTAACGCTCATTGTAGTGTCCTGAAGTGTGATTAACACATGCTGAAAACACGAAAATAGCGCTTTAACTCACAAAGAAGAAATGAAAGGAAATATCATTTATAAATACTTATTTAAATGTAGGAATGCTTAGGTATGACTGCTAAAACAGTGGTACCGAAATGCAGGTCTGCTATGAGAATGTCATCTCTAAACCACTCAACAGCTGCCTTCTTTGAGTCAGTCTTGCTGTGAAAAAAGAAAGAGGTGCAAACTCCTTCTCTAAGCACCAGGAGATCCTAATGAAGGACTTGTGACCAGTCTGCAGATCACACTTTGAACTCCAGAAGTTGTAACGTTTGCCAGCGCTTGCACGTAGAATCCCCCTGCACGGGAGGTCCTTAGAGGGGTCCTATTGGCAACTCATATATTATGAGCCACTTTGCCACTGGTGACATGATTTTCTGAAGAGGTGGACAGTTTTTGGTACACTTCCAAACTGAAGTAGAGATTTCCTCCACTTATGTGATAGTTCCTCTCCTGAAAAATATTGTGTATAAAACCTGTGCCCAAAAATGGGTGAAATGGAGTTGGGTCTATGCTCAGGATTTTTACTTACTGGAGAATGTCTGGAAATTGGAAAGTCAGGCAAGATGTTTGTGTGTGTGTGTGTGTGTGTGTGTGTGTGTGTGTTGGGTGATGAGGGGAGGCTGTCACACACAATGTCTGTCCCCCATCATTGTGACAACTGCAGATACCCCCACAGATTTCCAAATATAAAATGAAACAAAGGAGCATGCAGGTGAGGATCTGGGGAGAGTGGTTACATGTGGGGATCATACTTTCCTGTGCTCTCATAGTGCAGAGGAACCGCAGAGGGATGATAAAAGCAGCTGAACTCTCTCCTGTGCTTCCTCAGAATTTCTGACTTGTTTTCCATGAATGTCTTCTCATATACATATATATTCATTTCTTCCTTTTTGCCCCCCTCCCCTAATACGGCCCCATTTTATTTGGTCATTTCTCCTTTGTATCATTCTCTAGGGTAAATTTTCTCATCTTGCTGTTTCAAGATATTGGTGAGTCTTAATCGTTTTGTAAGGTGTGTTGAAAATAATTTATACCAATTGTAATTAAAGCACTGGAAATGTGTAGTGTACTGTTTCTAATATCACTTACTTGCTTATTGATTGTTTTTTGAGCTGGAAAGTGATGGAGTTATGGCCCCTGCACATCTTACTTCTGCGAATGGGGCTACTGTTAGTACCTTTCACATAGGGGTGTTGGAGGATTAAATTTGCAAGTTAGTGCCTGCTGATTACTTGCCAATGCCTAGTTCTTGTGTTTAGTTCTTTAAATGGTAGACATTACAAAGACAGGAAAAAGAATTCTTGTCTTTGTTTGCTCTTTTAACAATCCAAAGGTTTAGGAATTTACTTTGCTCTAACAACCCTCTCGATCCTCTTGTGACCCCGTTATACTCAGTGTTGCTGAAAAAGTCCATTTTAAAATAATGGCACCTACCACATCCATTTTTCCGTCTTTAGGCCAGACCCTCTGATGGTTGGTGGATTTTAGTATTAAAGCTTGTGTTGAAAGTGGAGGGGGTGTTACTACTGTTGTGTCTGAAACAAGAGTTAAGGTTATATTTTATGAAGCAGTTTTGGCTTTTTCAACAGATGTTGGCCACTCACTTTTATGGATTTCACATTGAGTAGTAATGAGTCATAATCACTACTTAATTTTCCCAAACCAGAGGGAATATACATTTTATTATTGGACCCTCCAGGCTGTCAATGAAGAGAGAAAACCTTTCTTTGGAATCAAGTTGAAAACCTGTTGTTAACACCTCTCTCTGGGCCTTCTTTGCTCTCCTTAGCACGTTCATTGCTAGGGGCTGCCACTTCCATCTTCTCTGCCTTGGAAGCATAGAGTCGTTTCTCAGCCTCATTCTCACCTTTATGAGTTCATTTAATAATGTGATTAGAACATATAAAGTATGCAAGAATAAAATGTGTCATGATGACCTTAAAACTTTTATTATTCAAAGTTATAGAAAGTTACGTATTTTATTGTAGACTCATAATAGGTGAACCTTTCTGATCTTGGGGATTTCTTGTATTTCCTTGGAGAGTCTTACATAGGCATAAGCCAGTGACTGATTTTTTTTTTTTTTTTGATTGTTTTCTCATACTATCATAGGCCATTTGAGGGGAATAAAACAAATACTCGTTGGGAATCTATATGTAGAAGATCATTCAGGCAAAGATTCTGGTCTTAAAGGTGTTAAAGTCTACTGGAGAACATAAGGACTTAATTATAACAGCAGCCACAGCCTCCACCAGCCCCTGTGATAAAAGCATACTATGTTATCTCACTTAATCTTTATGACAGCCCATGGAGGGTAGGTCTCATTATCTTCATTTTTAATGCTGGAGACTGAAGATGAGAGACCTGTGGTTGCCTAAGGTCATATAGCTGGTAGGGGCAGAGTTTGTGTTTTTGCCACTGTTCTTGATAGCATATTTCTGCCATATGGGGGCTTCTCCCGGTTCCGTGAGTGAGGCATGCCCTCCTGCCATAGCCTCCGTTCCTTCTGCCTTCAATGAATACACCTTCCATACCACTCCCCCCAACCCCTCCCATTAAATTCTAATCATCATTTAAGTTTCATCTTTGGTGGTCTTAGGTGTCACTGTTGCAGACAGGCATTTTTCTGGCCCCTGCACCAGCTTACAGCACCCCCACTCCTTGACCTCTATAACGCTCAGCTTTATACTTGGTTACGTTTATGGTGTTTGTTGCTCTGTTTGTCTGGTGTCCTGGACTCTAAGCTCCGCAAGGGCAGGAATTGTCTGGCATCATTGCTGCACATGACACCTGGTGGATGTACATATTTATTAAATGAATAAATGAATGGATGTTCATACTTTTGTCCACCATGTTTTATGCTAAATACACACAGAGTAGATAATGAGAGAGGCTCTAATAGCGAGGTGTGTATCCTTTGAGCTATGGATGACAAACTTAAAAAATTGCCCATTAAGTTAGAAAAGAATTGAGTATATCTTTTTAATATATGTGTTTACTTAATGTACACGCATATTGTAAAAATACATGATATTGGCATTTTAAAAAGGATGAAAATATTTAAAACAAGGAGTTTCTAATATGTTTTTCTGTATGTTAGAGGACCAGCTGGTATCCAGGACCCACTAAACTTGGAGCTGGGGGTGCCAGGGCAGGCCCTGTGGGAATACATGTAACTAAACAAGCTCCATGGCCACAGTGGAACCAGACTGCAGTTGATCAAAGCATGGTTGAGGGTGGGAAGTGCTGGGCTCATGCGAGGGTGTGTGAGTGATTGTGCATCAACATGAAGGATCACTGGGGGAGTGGTGGGGTGTAAGGTTCATTGGAAGTCTGGGACTCAGCTATGATTGAGGTCAGATACCTAGTTCAGGGGATAAGACCATATCATCTTGAAATGATGGGCTGCTGAAGGGTCTTAAAGAATCATGGGTACAGTGGCTCACGGTTTTAATCCCAGCACTTCGGGAAGCCAAGGCAAGTGGATCACTTGAGCCCAGGAGTTCGAGACCAGCCTAGGCAACATGGCGAGACCTCGTCTCTTAAAAAAAAAAAAAAAAAAAAAAAATTAGCCCGGTGTGGTGGTGTGTGTCTGTAGTCCCAGCTACTTGGGAGGCTGAAGTGGGAGGACTGCTTGAGCCTGGGAGGCAGAGGTTGCAGTGAGCTAATATGGCACCACTGCATTCCAGCCTGGGTGACAGAATGAGACTCTCTGTCAAAAGAAAAAAAAAGGAATCATGTAACTGTCCTCCCTTCTCCTTTAGTAAATATTTTTCCTTCCTTTCTTCCTTCTCTTATTATTATCTTATTAATACATACCAAAACATGTATCTCTTATTATTTCACAGTGGCACACTGAATCTAAAGTGATCCTCCTGCCTCAGCCTCCTACAGGCATGGGATTCCGGGCATGCACCACCACGCCTGGCTAATTAAAAATATTTTTTTGTAGATATGAGATCTCCCTATGTTGCCCAGGCTATTTTTTGTTTTGTTTTGGTTTTGTGTTTTTTGTTTGTGTGTTTTGTTTTTTGTTTGTTTTGAGTCTCACTTTGTCACCCAGATTAGAGTGGAGTAGCACAATTAGAGCTCACTGCAGACTTGAAATCCTGGGTTCAAGTGATTCTTTCACCTCAGCCTCCTGAGTAGCTGGGATTGCAGGTGCATACCACCACAACCAGCTAATTAAAATTTTTGTATGTGTGTGTGGAGACAGGGTGTCACTGTTTCCCAGGCTAGTCTCAAACTCCTGGCCTCAAGTGATCCTCTCACTCAGGCCTCCCAAGGTGCTGAGATAGGCATGAGCCACCATGTCTGGCCTTGGTTAAGCTTTTTTATCCTATACCAGAGACGTCTAAAATATTTACTTCTTGTCATTATTATTGCCAATGAGGTTCCTGTACAAAGACGATGTTGACTACTTTAGGCCCATAGGGAGATAGTGGTAGTTTCAGAGGTAGAATGAATGGCAGAGGATAAAAAAGTACAGTTCAGTGGTGATAGTTGGACAAGCTGGGCAGTGGATAGGGGTGCCGGGCAGTAGAGACCTTAGAAGCTTGTGGCAAGACCAGTGAGTTGAGGAAATGCTCCTGCTTTTGCTAATCTGTGGGTGGGGTGGTAGCTGCCCTGGCATTTTTAACATTCCCTGTTGTTGAGAGATGGGCTAATAATGCTAGTCAGAAGTCTGATGTTTGCCGGAGGTAGCCCCGTGAGCAGGTTTTGCAATCTCAGTAGATACCTGTGTGAGGGAAGGTTTACACCACAATTGAGTTGGGGGAAATGTTCTGTGATCTGTACTTACAGAAGCAATATTAAAAAATTCATATTTGGTGTAGTAAAGGAATAAAATAGTGAAAATTGTTTCTGTTCCTACATATACAAGTAAAGGGAAGCCTTGTAATGCTTTAATGATTGCGGATTGTGATGCAAAATGTATTAGCCTATTTCACAGAAGCAAATATGTCAATTAATTAAGAGAAATGCCTAAATTGCCACGTCAGATCATTTCACAGAGGTGTGGAACATTTAAAAAGTACTTTATTTGCAAAAAGTTCTGAAATGACTTATTTTAAAATTTTCATCTAATCTACAAAACTAGATTATTTTCAAGGAATGTCTTTAGTCCGGAATGTTAAGAAAAAATTGTTTTAAGTTAAAATGTATTATTTTTTCTTTTAAAATGTTATTTTATTTAAAAAGTATATAACAGGTGTTCTACTTTGCCCTAAATTATAGTCCAGTAATTTGGAAATTTTGATCTAAATATTAACAGAAGCTTTAAGAACATTTGTTCTCTTTGAGGAAACCCTGACTTAGGGAATTAAGAGAAAAAATGCCATCTGTAGAAAACAAACCAAAGTAAAAACTTGTTACCCTACCCATCCTGGCATAACTTACTCAAAATATAAGGGAAACCTAGGAAGTGTATTTTGCTATTTATGAAATATTTCTTTTCAGATTTTTTTAATACTTCAGAAGTATATTCTAAGCATTATAATAGTCAACTTCATTAATACAAACTAATGTAAATTCCAGAAATAAAGTTAATGAGATCCAAACAAAAATTTAGGCTCTGGGTTGAGTACAGTAAATAGCATGAAGTCAGAAGACCTGGGTTTGATGATTGCTTCCTGGCTGTATTTTCTCTAGTAAGTCTTCTAGTTTCATGTTTGACACTGGAGTCTCTGGTTTCTAAAGTGTAGACAATAAATATGTCTGTCATACAGGATGGGTTTAGGCATGAAGTGAGTTAATAAGGCTTGGGAAAATAGTTTGAAAACTGCAAAGGTCTATATAAAATGTTTGTTGTTACAGTTACAACTACTAGCTTTTAATGGTAGAATTTTGGTTGTTCTGCTAGGTCTGCGGTGGTTGAATTGGACACAGAATGGAACTACGCTAGACAGATGAGATCTAGGGTGCCCTTACACCCATTCGAATCCACAAGCATGCATTTGGGAAACAGTTCATGGGAAAGTTGTCACAAGTTTATGGATAGGGGATATAGGCTTTTTGTGGTTTCACTGATAAAACTGTACATTTTAATTTTTAATTAAAAAAAATTTTTTTTATTAGAGTTGGGGTCTCACTGTGTTGACCAGGCTGGTCTCGAACTCCTGGCCTCAAGCAATCTCCTTCCATTTTGGCCTCCCAAAGTGCCTGGATTACAGGTGTGAGCCACCATGCCCCAGCCCTATAAAACTGTACATTTTCGATGATACATAAAACTTATAATTGTAGATTCAAGCAACTCACATAGTTGGTTAAATAGATCACCTACTTAACAAATAATTTGTGGTAGAAACCAAGCTTGTGTTACTGCACTGTTGATTTCTCAGAGTGAAAGTCCAAACGACCTGGAATTGTGGTTTGGCCTGTGAGGATGCAGTAAAATAAAGCCTCCCCACCCCACCCCCAGAACATCAGAGGTCCCCAGAAAGGAAAAATATGATTAACGGTATTTTCTTCAAATGTGTTAAAAATTTTAGTGTTTTCATTTTTTCTATACAGTGATAAAAACATTTTATGAAAAAATTGTCCTGATTATTAAATCTTAAATGTTCCTTTTTCAGGGCTTAGTCTTACAGTAAACTACTTGCCATACTGAAGGTAATGAATACTTAAATAACTATCTTTCTTCTCAGTACACCAAACGTAACTCTTGGGTTCAGAAATGATTTACTTAGGATATATGCACTTATTTTTCTAGAGGAGTACTTCACCAAGGTATTAAACATTGTTACCATTTTAGTTACTATTGTATATACCAAAACTTTGTGTGGTTTTAGGAGAGAAGAAGTAATCATACCTTATCTACCCAAAATGGTTTCTCCCTCATTCAATATATATGTTTTAAATAACCAATTACTCTTTTGTGTGGAATGTCTTAGTATAATAACATTTCCAAATAACCTGTTTTGTGTAGCAGCTTTATTGAAGTATAATTCATATAGCATACAATTTCCCCATTTAAGATATACAGTTCTGTGGCTTTTAGTATATTCACCTACAGAGTTGTGCAGCCATCATCGCCAGAAAGAAACCCCACAGCCCTTACCCTTCACCCCTCCAGCCTCCCCATTCCTTCCAGTCCCAAGCAACTACCAGGTGACTTTCTGTCTCAGTGGCTTTGCCTATGAAACAACCTGTTTTTATAACCTGAGAGAGGTATCCACAGGGAAGCTTCTCAGCCTCTCCTGTTACACTCTGTGATAACCTGGTGCACCTTTGTAAGCCGCTGAGAGAGGAATGGGACCTGCCTGCTTGTCAGCATTAGAGAGTTATTCTCCCCTTTAAAGGAAGCAGGAGTTATTTTGCTTTGGTAGTACAGGTTGAGTATCACTTATCCAAAATGCTTGGGACCAGAGGGGTTGTGAATTTCCGGTTTTTCTTTTAGATTTTCTTTCAGATTTTGAAATATGTGCAAATACTCCCTGTTGAGTATCCCAGATCTGAACATCAGAAATCTGAAATGCTTCAGTGAATATTTTCTCTTAAGTGTCCTGTCGGCACTCAAAATATTTCAGACTTTGGAGCATTTTAGATTTTGGACTTTTGGATTTGGGACATTCAACATGTAACTTGGTGTTAATGCGATTGTCAGTACAGTGATGAAGAAATACAGGGGACAGTGATATTGTGGGGCTGTTGTGAGTGTCGTGTGATGGGGCCCGTAAGAAATGGCTTGCATGTTGCCTTGAACACCAGAGAATCCGGATTCGTGAAGGCAGGATGACTTGGCATGTGTGTCTGCTTGCTTTGGTGGCACGCTGGAGATGTTTGGGCACATGTGTCGTGCGCACACCTGCTGCGGACAGCAGTTGTTGGGTGGAAATCAACAGTTGTAGCCTTGACACAGATGGAAGTGAATGTGAATACAATTGAATATGAGGCATAAAACCCTCTACATTGATCAGCATGGTGTTTAAAATGCCTTAACGCCCAGGCTCAGCCACTTTCTCTACCTCTAAGTAGATCTTTTGATTGATAGATTCTTAGTTCGCCAATAATATTGATCAGGCTTTGATAGCTAGGTTTTGAAAAGAGAAACGGTTACCAGCTGAGCCCAAAACTGCTTGCTTGGTTTTAATTTGGAGGTTGCTACTATTTGAGGTAGAATTCATGACTCATCAAATTTTCTTCTTTCCTCTAACATTTAGCATTATTACTCTTTGTTGGACAAATTTACCTTAAGAATGTTATTCTGAGCAGCTTGTAGTCACTGCCCATATCCTGCCTGTTATCCACCAGAACATGTAGGAATTTTCCTTTTTACTTTTTGTGAATTTAAGTGATTATAATATTTAGATGAAGTTAGAGATAGTGAACTTTATACATGAGAAAGTAAAGTTTATGTCAGTTCTCTCGAAACAGTGTACGTGTAGTTGATTTTAGTAGGAATAAAAGTTAGAAAAATGCACAGAGATTTTGTTCTTGGAGGGATAGGGTCCTGGAGGTGAACTGACTACTGCATGCTGGGAGGGACTTCCTGCAGCTAAGTGAAGAGAAGCATTCCATTGTTTTCTTTGATGCTGATTTGAATGTGGTCATTAATTTGCTCATTATTTTAAAACATTTATACTGTCAGTGCTAGGGTTTTTTCCCTCCTGCATGGTATGGTGTTAAGTAAACTCGAAGCCAAGTATCTGCTGTCCCATCTTTGTGCCAGAGCATTCGCAGCCTCCAGGGCTCCACCAGCCCATGTGGGCCCTCCTGGGTCCCTGTGGGCCCCGTGCACCACCTGTCATGGATTCCTGCCGCTGGTGCATGGGACACCCGAGGAGATAAGGGGTATGAATCTTTCTTCTTTATGTTCCATGCACATTTAATAGCAGACGATATTAAAGAGAATTCAGTGTTAATGTAACTTTTCATATTTCATCTTTTTTTCTTTAAATAATTCATAAAGTGCTACTTTAAGTTAAAATCTTACAATGTAGGATCCTATTGGATGGTTCTTTTTAAAGAGAAAAGTTTGGAAAGGCCCTGGTGGGGGGTGCAACTAAAATGTTTTCCACTTGGTCTTAAAGAGTGTTGTGCAGAGCTAAGATGAACCTGATTTACATCCCACATCTTTGCCACCTGGCTGGCTGCCTTGTTAACTGTGCAGGTTAATTAATCCTTGCAAATCTCCATTTTCTCATGGAAAATAAGTATAAAAACAGGTACTTCGTAGGATTAAGGGAGATGCCAGCTTGTATCACTGCAGTGAATGGTGACGCCGATGAGGCTTGTGCTGTTGGACTTATTTTTCCATACACGATGGTAAGAGGTGACGTATAACCTAAGATTGTTGGCTCTAGGCTTGAGATGTGCCCAGGGTGTTTTTTATATGTAGTCAACAGAGTTCAGAATATTGAAAAATTCAAATATTAAAATACCAGGAATAATTTCAGAATATATAAGTGGTATTCTGACCTGTTATGCTAAAATACTTCTTTTTGATAGGAAGTCTAAAAATTATTTCTATCCTAGTTAGCAGTAAGGACTCAACCTCCCCTCCCCCCCATTCTTAGTTCTTATGTAAGCGTTCTTGAAAATGTAGTTATTCTTCCTTCTATACTTAGTTGAAATGTATAGAATAAGAATTAAATGCAGTGAATCAAATCTGCAGTGCCAGCTTTCTTGTTTCCTTGGTGTCTCTACTAACAGAAATACGCAAGCACAGCAACATGGGAGAAATAGCGTTCATCTCCCCACCCTCACAAACCCCTAGAGGTGTCGTGCACGTAATGACTTGTATTCACTGGGCACTCCACTGGGTACTGATTCCCTGTTTGATCCTCGCTGACCTCATCAGATGCTGCTGCCCCACTTTACAGGTAGGGATTCTGAGGCATGGAGTGTTAACAGCCTGCCCAAGGTCACCTAGTTGCAGAACTGAATTCTGATCAGCTTGAGCCAACTCTAAAAACCCACATTCTTTCCACTATTGTCTGCGTTCTCGTTGCATGGAGGGATAATATAGGAACATGAATGACTATGAGATTTAGAACAGAGGCGCAAAATTCACTTCAGCAATGAAGAATGGGTAGGGAACTGTGTAGGATCTGAAAGGAGAACATTTGTTTTTGATCACTAGGAAAGGCTTCATGAAGTTTGAGATGCCTTTAACGAAGGATGCTTTTCACGGGAGGGAACTGCCATGGGAGGAGGAGGAGTATTTTCTTGATTTAAAAGTATTCGTATATAATTTAGAAGTTGTTTCAGGGTACCCTGGTTTTCTCATGTAGATCATCCCCCAGGTTTCCCTGTCTCTTCAGCGGTTCTTTCCTAAATTAGCTTTTGCCTGACTTTCCTTCCTTTGCAACCTCAGTTTCTGATTTTATGTCTAGTCTGTGACTAATAAGTTTTCAAATAGTAATAAAAAGAGTTAAAGGGACTCATACAGGTTTGTGGAATGAGGCTTGAGAAACTAAGTGAAGCCTGAAGTTTATTTCCTTTTATGAACACAGTGTGCTTACATTGGTTTATTTTAACATAAACTATTTCTAAAAATGGAGTCAGTTATTATCTACTAAATGCAATTTGGTAGGGAGATTTCTTTCAAATCATGAGCTTCTCAGTGGGGATAAAGGAAGAAAAGGGGGTTCTCAGTGGTGAAAAGATTGGGAAGGACCAATATTCTTATGTCTGTGAAAATCACTGTAAAATTTGAGCTAAGCTGTTACCCTGAAGCTGTTTTCCCGTTCTTTTACATCACAGCAGATTTTCATTCTTCTCCTCTTTCCCTTGTGGTGAACAGTTGCATTTAAGCATTATCAGCATTAAAAACATATTTGGGATGAAATCTAAGCCAAGCATCTGTTAACCAGTCAGCCACTTTCCAAAACCCTTTCAGCTGCAGGGAGTGGGTATGATTCCATGGGGTGTGAGTCTGACATCAGAAGACTTGCTGCCTTCTCCAGAGAGATGGCATCCTTTTGTAGATTTTCAGACAAGACGGACTACTTACATTTCACTGAAGGTGAAAAGTTCTAAACAAGACCTCAATTGTCAATATTACATTTTGCAAATCTACTAATTGGTTTATATTTGAAAGGATATGAAATTTGGGTGTTCCCCCCCACCCCTTTTTTAACTATTGAGATGGTATTCATTAAAACTGTTGGCAAAACCTGTTTTGGAATTAATATGGTAAAAGATTGAAGTTTTACATTATTTTCTTTTGAATCGTGAAATAAGTTTTTAAGAGAAGTTCTTGGGTCCCTAGAATGAGTCATTAAAATACTGGTGAGGTTTTTTAGGGAAATAGCATTGTATGTCAATACGTTGAAAGAAACAAAAATGCTACTTTGATTCTCTTTTTTATTTATCAGTGTTAGAATTAAGGCTTTTAAAATCCTACTGACTTTGTTTTTGGTGAAGACTTGCTAAAACAATTTGAGTTTTCTTCAAAGAAGGATGTTTTCCAAATACCTTTTTTCCCATATGAACTACAAGTATAGACATTTTGGGGGGCCTTCCTCATATATATTCAAATTTATAGTTATTGTGTTCTATGAGTATCATGAATCTGCCTGATGATTTCATAATAGGAAATTGAATGACACTGATTTGGGGAAATGAGGTAGAAATTATGGGTTAGGCAGAAGCTTCTGTAATCTGTTAGTAATTGTTTGGTAAGATCATACAATTTGTACATAGTAAAGCAAGCTAGTGAATTAAGCTTTTCGTTATCAGATGCTATGGGAGTGGTCTGAGAAGGGAGTAATAGAGTAAGCTGTTGGTTTCTGCTTAAGACTAAAACATGTGCTTTAAAAATGTTCTTAAAACCCTTTATTTAATTGAAACTTGATTCCTACTATAGGCTAAATTTTATATTGTTGTGGATATAGAGGCATTGTCAGCTCTAAAACTCTGATTTTAGGATGCTTCATATTTTATATTATTTAAAATAGCACAATTTTCAAGAAGGCAAAACAGTAGCAATTCAAACATGGATTTGTTCACTTTGGGTTCTTGTTTCTTCTGTCTTCCCCCAGACACTCTATAATTGGATTTGCTTCTAGGTTTACATGTTAGGATATACCAGTTAGATTAGCAGTACAGCCTGTCGGTGCCAAAGATGTGGGACAAATTATATTCCATTGCAAGCTTAGAACATTTTTTTTTGTAGCAGTTCAATACACTTGAGTGCTATGATTTTTGAAGTTAAAAGTAAATTGTATTATTCCAACGACACTGTAAATATTAATTACACTGATCATAGTCACTAATGGTGTTTGCCATGTGCCGGGCACTGGTCAAAACTCTTGCCTGTATCAACTCTCATCCTTACTACAGTGCTAGTAGATGTGCATATTATTTTACAGATGTGGAGACAGAGATATGGAAAAGTTAAATAACTTATCCAAGGCCACATACCTGCCAAGTGGCAGAGACAGGCCTGGAATCCAAGCAGGGAGGCCTTGCTTCTGTGCTCTTAGCCTCTGGACTACTGCAGTCTACTTCATGTTTTCCGTTGACTAACAGAAAGCTCTTTTCTCCATTTCTTTACTGTGGCCTCAGATATGAATGTATGTATTATATGTATATAATAAAGACATGCTAAATCATCTTAACCTACAAATCTGAGTGCAGAATAAAGATCATTTCTGTGAAACACAAAAGATACCAATCTTATACAAATCAGGGCTCTTGTCAATTCTTATGATTAAAATATTATTAAAATTGATAGACTTTTTTCTTTGGGGATCCTCACAAGAAGAAAATAGTGTTGCCTACCAGGCATAAAGGAGTTCTGGTTTTGTATCCATACTGGTTCACAAATGACTATCAGGAGGAAAAGATGGTAACATGCTCCCCACTGCCCCCTTTTGAGACAAGGTCTCACTGTGTCACCCAGGCTGGAGTACGGTGGCAGGATCATGGGTCATCGTAGCCTCCGCCTGCTGTGCTCAAGCAGTCCTCCCACCTCAGCCTCCCGAGTAGCTGGGACTGCAGGCGTGCCACCATGCCTGCCTAATCTTTTAAAACATTTTTTTTACAGAGATGAGGTCTCACTGTGTTGTTCAGGCTATTCGGGCTTTTTGATCTATTATTTGATTGCTCCAAGTCAGCCAGCCCTTATATTCCCACTCTACTCTGCATTGTTGGAGGATAAACCAGAAATGGGAAACACAGGCCCTGCCTTCTCTAAATCCCTCTCTACTCCGGAAGGTAAATTGCAGGTGAGCTTTGGGATACCTTGCTCGGGCAGAGGGAACAGACACATGCAGTGGTTGGCGGCCCAGCCAGGGGGTCTCTTCTCTCACAGCCACATCTGCAAAGACAGCAGGGCTTGGTTGGAGACTTTATCAGGCCCCTCAGTGTGAAGAGCTCAGGAGGAGCTCAGTCTTGTGTTGAAGCCAGTGAAGAATTCCGGGCACTCCCATTACTGCTATGGCTCTTTCCTGCTGCTTCTGTGTCCCCTCTCCGGCTCCTGGGATTTTGGGTGTGTCCATGTCCTGGTCCCTGCCTCTGCTGTTACTCCCCCCTCCCTCTCCATTCGTGTGTACCCTGCCTTTTCTCTCAATGTTTTGCTCGCAACTTAGACATGAAATGTTTTTTTTTTTTAAGTTAGATTTAAATTTGATTAAAGATTATATTCCTTAATGCAAGTAAAATTCCACCCCTCCTCCCAATTCAGTTGTTTCTAGCTTAGAGTCCTTGGCTGATCTTTATGTCTATGGTACTTAAATTAAGTTTCCATGTATCTGTTATAATGGTAACTTTTATTATGAGAGTCTCTTCAAATAATTAGAAAATGATTTTTGGAAAGGTGTATGTCAAATAGAGGTCATAATGACAAAACATAATATCTTATAATGAATGTAATATTCTGGACTAAAAAAAAATTATTCCATAGGAGGGTATAAGCCAAACTAGTTTTTCCCCAGCATTTGTTTTCCTCATACATTTATAAGGAAAACATATGGGATAGAAATAATTAGGTGCATTAAAAGACCATATTGACTTTCTGTGTTAGCATTTTTTCTTTAATTGTGTACATTTTTCATGAGTTTTTGTCTAGTATGATCCATTTTTGGTATAGGCATGCCAATAGCCTAGAGCTTTTAATTCATCAAAGAGAGGGTATTTCTAGAAAAATAGCAAAGGCCTCATAGGAGCCTACCACTTGCTGTTCAGCAAACTAGCTAGTACAATAACAGCGCCATATGCAGGGCCATGCCTGGCAGAAGGGCTCCTCTTAGGGAGGAGTGACTCAGGTCCTGCAGCCAGGACCTGCTTGGCTGTGCAGCTCAGCCGCTGCTGACCAAGGGGAGGCAATTTAGCATTTTACACTTCGGGTGCGTTGCTTAAAATAAGGAAAGTAAAACATCATGGAACGTTTTGAGGTCTTTGGGTAGCACACTTTAACATAGGGATTGATCTTTTAGGTTCATGAAGGTAGATCTTAATAACTTAAAATTATAATCTGTTTTTCACAAAGATATTTACAATGTTGTATTATATTTTGCATTTGAAGTTGCCAGTTTCGGGAATGCACTTTGAAGTTGTAATTTCCTGTTTAATTTATGATATTTAATATAGAAATGCATAGGATTTCTGAATGATGGTTTGGCATTGTCTGCTGTAAATGGGGCAAATATCATGGAAGAGGCTATCTTTGAAGCTATAGAGAATGTAGAAATCAGATGCTTTCTTTTGAGACTATTAAAGATACTGGGTTTTCATAGTAGTATGTAGAATACTTAAAAGCACCTTATGGCCAGTTTTTCCAAATTGGTTATTTACATTCTAGAATATGATTTTTCTGTAGAATTGTTATCTGTATGGCTGGGCTCTCAGGCCAGCCCTAGAAATTGTCTTGTCCTATAATGTTGCTGAACTGCAGTACTAAGAATGTCAGAGAAAATAAGCATTAATCATTAAAATAAATTTGAAATTCTGCTGAGCTTATGGGACCATGTTTGACTCCTCACCGTAGCCCACAGCGGCAAGAAGCAGCACCTGGGAACTCCACGTTCCACTCCTTGCCGTCAGCCTGGATTGCAGCGGGTCCTTGGTGTATTCAGGTGGCATCTGTGAGGATTGGGTCAGGCTCATACAGGGAGGCTGCAGTTGCTGGAGCAGGGAGCACAGGGTAAATGAGGTTTGGGGTCTGTGAGAGGCATAGGCAGAGGGGGTGGGCTGCAAGGGCAGCTAGGGGAGGTATAGCCCCAGGAAAAGAGAGTCTGAGACAGGCCCAGGGGGATGCAGCTCCGAGTTAAGTACTTGAACATCGGGAGCTATGCATCCCACAGTTCTCTACAGCAAACAGTAAAATATTACTGACAGACTTGGGAAAAGCCAGCGAGTCTTTTGAGTCAATGAAAAGATAGCATTTGCTGTGATCAGCTTCTCTAATATTGTTCCTCTGTAAGGGTTTCACTGTTCTCAACTTTGAACATCCACTCGCCGTTCTGTGGTATATCCATTTGTCCCTAGTATTTAAATTAGGTTATTGTAAAAGCTCCTTTGCACCTGTTGAAAATGCTGGCACAGTTTCTCCATTAGTAAACCCTAGAAATCTGAGCTCTCTTTCACTGAAGTTTCTTATTTCAACTGGAACATTCTTCTTGAATGTGTGTGATAGGATCAGTGTACGGTTTTCAAATGGTTCAGTCTTTCTGCAACCACAAAGTTTCTTATTCAGGGGAGTGCTTGCAGTTCTCTTCATTCCCCTCCTCCACTTGTAGATGAAGAAAAGAAAGGCTTATATTATTTTTGAGGCAGCTGCTAACAAAAAACTTGGTTTCTTGAGAGCTGTGCTTGTCATTGCTTAAAGATAGTGTATGTCAGACCAAGCTGGTGACAGTTCTGCGCTACTGAATTGGAGATGCCTCGGCGTGGAGAGTCTTGTCTGCAGATCAGTGGCCTTTGCAATAGACACACTCTTCTTGACCGTTTTTGCACCGAGTGGACTGATTGTAAGGCTGTCTCCACCTGTGCACACAGAGGTCCCTGAGAAGAACACGGGGCAAATGAAGGGCAGGCGTAGATATTCTGGCCCGTGCCACAGATCCAGAATAGCTGGTGACCCTGGTGTGCTGCCACCATTTCCGGCCAGGAATTTGGCCTTCCTAAAGCACAGTTTGCCAGGTGATGTCCGTTCCAGGTAAATGACACAGGCAATGGAATTAGAAGCCTATTAGGGTGTTGAATATTTTTGATGTCTATTCCATTTAGGACAAGATTGAAGCCTCCTAGGTTAGAGTGTACATTCAACATTGCTTATTATTCTGGGAGTAACTCCCGGTTAACGATATAAGGGGAAAAACACTCATTATCCATTCCCTTGATTTACTTAAATCCCTGATAAATTTTACTTCCCCTCTCACCTTAAACCATTTCTTCTATCTGATAAACAGCTACAGTTTCGTTGTATCCTTTGAAACAATTTAAATCAGAAGGTGAAAGTTCAAAATAATGCCTTTTAAAGATAGAAAATAAAACATAATTATAAGATCAACAGTATTAAATTTCTGCTACTTCATTTTTCTTAAATTTAAAACTTGATTTACTAGCTGTTAAACTAGGGGGAACTCTGGGGTTTAACATCATTGAGGGCTGGGAGGTACATGTGTTTGTGGAACTTCGTTAATATTTTAAAATACCAAGTCCATGAATAAAGTCACATAACCTCTTTACTGGAACTTGGAAAGCGCAGCCAGGAATAGGCTTCACTTTCCCTGTCTGTCTCTGCTCTTGGTCGCTTCTCAGGCAGACCCTGTGGCTGTCACTTCTCTTTTGGATATTGGAACAGTCAGTGCTGTAGGCATTAAGAGCCCAAGCCAGTCTCAACCGGAATGTCACTCTTTCACCCACTGGAAGCCCTCTTCTTCCCAGCTGAGGCCTGCCCCCTTTCTGTGGGCCAGCCTCAGGGAAGGGGCTGTATTTCTTCTGTTTCCCTCTCCAGTCACCCCTCGCCTCCTGTTCCCTGTGGCTTCTCCATCTGGGGGCTAGGGACAAGGAAGAAGGAAAAGGGTAACACTCTTTTGACTCAGCCATTCCCTGCCATTCTGTTGTGCTCTGCTTCTGTCTCTGCACCTGTCTCTCGGATTCTTCGGAGACACCCCCCACACCACCTCCTGGAATGTTCCTTGGCATGGTGGTGCCCACTCCTGGCCACCTTCACAACTCCCCTTCAGAGTGCACCCTGGAGGTGCTCCCCTCTCCACCCTGCTCACTGAGTCCCTTTGCCTTGCAGGCAGTCCTCCTGGCCTCGCTCCTTGGTGTTTCTCTGTCCACACCAGCAATGTGTGTCCTCCCAAACTACAGGTAGCAGGCCACCGCTGTCTGTCCACCCCCCACCTCCCCCTTCCCCACAGCTCAGCCCGCTGAGCAAGGGCTGGCACCTGCATTGTGCAGGCCTGGTGGCCCCTCAGTGAGCCTCGTGTGCTTTCTTCACGTTGGTGTTAGCCTGTGTGGTCCCTTCCCTCTGCTGCCCTCGGCTGGAGCCTGGGCCAAGTCAAGACATGGAAATGTCCTGTCACTGTCACAACTGGGTATTGGATGCTGTAATCCATTGTTGTGATGTGTGGATGTAAACTTCAGAATTAGGGGAAGATTAGCCTGAACTATGAAACATGTTAATATGCATTTCAGTTATTTCCAAATGTAGAAATATACTTTTAAATGAGGGTTTCAGCTTTAAATGAAGTCTTACTAATTCGTATATCCTATTATGGTAAGATATAAAAGTCTTTTAAGGAATATGTTCTTTTAGATTAACTCAAGACTTGAAGTGATGTTGAAGAAACTCTTGATCATTTGAACCCTGTTTGGGAAACTTTACTGAATTTTATGGTAGATTCCTTGTAGGACACATACATATTTGATTGGTATATGTCATATAAGATTTTGCATTATATTGCACTTAAAATAGGTGTTAATTTTGTTTTAGGATGTTATAGTCTGTGCTAAGAAGAGCATGCTATTTTGACAATAAAGTTGATAAGTTGGAATACATGGGCTTAGATATATAAATTAAATATAGAGAGGGAAGCAGAAGAAATATAGACCACTAGGCAGGGCACGGTGGCTCACAGCTGTAATCCCAGCACTTTGAGAGGCCGAGACAGGCAGATCACGAGGTCAGGAGTTCAAGACCAGCCTGGCCAATATGGTGAAACCCCATCTCTACTAAACATACAAAAATTAGCTGGGCACAGTGGCTTGTGCCTGTAGTCCCAGCTACTTGGGAGGCTGAGGCAGAAGAATGGCTTGAACCTGGGAGGTGGAGGTTGCAGTGAGCCGAGATTGCGCCACTGCACTCCACCCTGGGCAACAGAGCGAGACTCCGTCTCAAAAAAAAAAAAAAAAGAAAATATAGACCACTGCCCCTTCTTTGCAGCTGGGGTTATTAGCTTATGACTGTGGGATGTTTCAATGGGTCTTGTACCTCATGGTATATTAGGAAATCATAGAGTTAGAACTTGGTAATGCACCAAGTTAAAATAATCAAAATTAGATTTTGAAGGAATCATTCTTTAATGTTATTACCTTCCCACTTAAAAAATTACAAATGGAATGTCAAACCTTAGGCATTAGGTAACTGAAATCTTATAGCATACCCTTCTGTTCAGACACTTGCTCTTGCGAAGTGTGTTGAATGCATTTTAGTAACATCCACTGCCAATTTAAAGTGACATTGAGTAGATTAGGAAAGTAAAATAAAGTGATTTGATCCATTCGTTACTTGAATGGTTAATTTTATGTTGACTGTGTGGATTAAATACACCCGGGGCCCCAGGCAGTGTCCCTGCACCTGCTGCCGTAGGTGAGGGGGACAAGGCCTGCCTGGAACAGAAGGCAGCTCAGGGCCTGGGAGTCAGTTTCCTGAGGGGAGCCCCTTGCAAGCGCCGTCCACACAGGGCCCCCAAGTGCTGCCCACCTATCTTGTTCATCCTCCCTCGCTGTCAGGAACTGCTACCCTGGGCTGTGCTTTGGAACAGGTCATCAGAGCTGACATTGGTGGACACTGTTGGTGTGTGCTACAGTGGTGCTCAGTGCTTTACAGACTTCTCCTGTAATCCTCAGAGCAAGCCCACCAATAAGAAATTCTGATCCCCATATTATGGGCAATGGCTCCAAAGCTCTAAGGAGTGTATTAACTTGGACGTGGTACTTCTGGGGTTTGATTCCAAGCCTGGCTGACTTCCTGACGGTGGTGATCTCTCTCACCAGACTGAGAGCCCTCAAAAAAGATTTGCTGAGCTTCTGTCCAGGTGAGGTGCTATGCTCAACACAGGGGTCCAGGTGAGCTAGATGTACATAGTTCCTGCCTGAGGTGCCCATAGGCTGAGAATAGACGGGCAGTCTTGGCAGTGCTAACCTTGGCTGGAGGCAGACTGACTTGTCGGTTTTTCAGAGGTAGATGCATGGCTTCTCCTATGAAGGAAAACAGTGGAAATGTACAAGAGAAATAGAAATGGAGTCTTGTTGGTAAAACAGATTTGGAAAGGTTGAAAATGATTTCTGATTTAGTTGATTTCTGAGTTCCAGAGCCATCCTGAAATTCTGTGGTGCGGGAGATTGTTGGTAGGAAGCTGATGAGAGCCCGCCCATGGTTAGGCTTGCCCATTTGTTACTACCCATCACTCCAGGCAAATGCCAGTTTACAGAGTGAGTGGAGTGGGGGAGGGAGGGAGGCACCATCATTACTTCAGCTTGAAAGATAGCTGAACTTTCTGGACTTTCGAGGGGGGAATTGCCAATGGAGAATGGGTTCATGTGGTTCAGGCTTCATTTGTTCCTTTATGTGAGTTTAATTTGCATGTGTTGAGGTTAAGCAGCTGGTCCGACCCCTTGGCATAAACACCTTGTTGGATGGTGAGATGGAGAGCAGCTATAAAGGGCAGGCATGTTTACTTGCAGGACACATTTTGTGAGCAGGTTTCTTGGTGATAACGTCATTCTGAGCTGATGCCTGCCTTGCTGGTTTAATAGAATTATGTAAAAATGAGCAGAACAGCATTCTGGACCCAGTGACAGCCCTGCATGAGGATTGGTTTAAAAACCTGCATCCTCAAGCTGCCTGACACCCAGAGCAGCTTCATTTGATGGTGGGAGAGAACATGGAGACAAAGTATAAATCACCCACCCTCAGAATGGAAAGCTGTGATCTGGAATGAGAATGCATGTTCTGCTGATTTTCATACCAAGTTCATAAAAAGACCAATTTTCCCCCTTTCCACTTTAGCAATTATCCTGTTAAACAGTGTGCTCGAAAAGGCACAGGGAAATGACAAATAAGAATTTGTTAGAGAAGTCCAGGCTGCTTGATTGTCTCATCTTTTGGAGCATGTTTTATTTTTGACACAAAGGAGAAATAAGGGCAATTTACACCGACAGAAACTGCAGCCCTCTGTAGCGCAGCCCTGTGAGGTGCTTTAGCCAGTGAGCAGTTGCTCCTCCCACAGTTCATCTTTGCACAAAGGAGATGATGTAATCCCTTTAGCTGCCGGCCACGTGGCCAGCATGCCGTCACTGTCTTGACGATACCTCTGAGCCACCTCTGCGCTGCCAGCAGTTTATCGGCTCAGAGCGACTGTGCGTTTGTAATTAAATTGCGTTTTCCTTGCATGCCTGCTCCCCCTGGCCAGGGCTGTCCCTCACCTGGGTAGGCCTGTTAATGAGGGTAGTGTGTGGCTGGCTTTACAGCTGAACTGCAGTGGGAGCTTTTATGCAGAAAAATGACCAGAGTAGCCTCTTGTACAGCGCTATGGAGCCTCTCCGTATGCCCACAAATTAGCACTAGGGGAGGAGATGCTCTGTTGCCATTAGTAACCGCTTGCCTATTTATTAGGGGAGTAAAAAGCTCAAAGCTTGGGCTTTTCCCTCCCTTGCCCTGCTTTCCCATGAGTTCTGAGAGCACCCGAGCCTGTACACTCGAGAGGGATGGAGAGGCTGTACTGTGTTCAGCTGTGTGTACATAGAAGCACATCCTTTTCAAGGAAAACTGAATCCTCCTATGGTGCTGTTTTTTGGTTGTGCCTTTCTCCGTGGTCACCATTGCATCCTGTTTGATTGAGGGCAGTTTGATTTAATAGCTGCCATGAATTGTGCCCAGATTTGCTCAGGTGAATTAAACACTTTACACGCATTTTCTCACTGAATTCTCCAGCAGCCTTTTGAAATACATGGCTTAACAGAGGAGGAAGCTGCGGCCAGGAGAGGTGAAATGATTTGCTCAGGCCCTTCCATGTCAGAAAAGGGAACACACAGAAGACAGAGGAGGGGGCGAGGGGAACCCTTTGAATTTGATCCCCATTATTTTTTTCTTTAAAGAAAACATGAGATTTGGGGTAGGGGGTGTGAGCCCTCAGCCACTGAGGCTTGATGAGGCCAGGACAGCTTTCTGCTCTTGGTCCTGGCTTTCTTGGGGTTGGTATTATGGTGATCAGGTGCTACTACATGTCAGATACAAGAAGTTACAAGGTTTCCTTGATTTCATAGTTGATGATTTTAAAAGTGAAACTGTCTTGATTGTATTAGTAGAACCTCTTAGGAACACAATGGAATGGCCCAGGCTTCTGGCCCTATGCCTCTAGGGACTCTCAGTTAAACTGTGTCCCTACTGATTTTGATCAGCACTCACGGGCAGCACGTAACCTGACAGAGCCTAACTCCTGTATAATTAAAAATCATGGCACCCAAATCCGAGATTCTTAAACTACCATGGTCTTTGGAGAATTTGGAGATGGAGTGAACTGGAGATGGCAAGGAACACTTGTTGGTGCTGCCGTCTTGGCGCTGGGCCTGTGCATCTGTTCCTCCCTCTCCACAGCCACCTGCAGCCTTGGGGCACCAGAGGCTGGGCAGCCTCTTTGAAAAGGCCCCTCTTTCTCCCTCTGGACAGCATAGGCTCCTCACTGACTGGGTGCAGGGGGAGAAGAGGTGGGGCGTCTTTTCGTTTATTGAGCCTTCACCCTTGCTCACCTCGAAGCTACCCTGGGAGGTGGGAACAATTGGGGCCTTGAATTCACCTGCAGAGGGAAGGTGTGAGGATGGGGGTGGCCTAAGTAACAGATGAAGCAGGTGTCAACAGAAGCCATGGGATCAGGAACAGATTATTTGAGAAAGACTGCATCTGTTTTCTCTCTACAACCTGAGAGGAGGCTGAGGTAGAGGTGACTGGATGTGACTACATTTGACCAACTTTTGAAATGACAGCAGAGCCTTACCAGATGGTTTTGAAAGAGGCAACTTAAAAAAAAAAAAAAAAGCCCTTCCCAAGCTGTGGTACCTCCTTAACCAGATGCTGTAAAATATGACATTGAAACAATCAGTTTGGCTTTGTTTATACTTGTTTACAGAAGGAAAAGGTTACTTTCTTACTGTAAACTCACTCCTGGCAATTTTGTGCCTTGTTCAAGATTTTGTCTCATTAAAAATTAAGCATCTTTTATGTAAGACTCTTTGCAGAGACTTCAGTATGTCAAGGCCTTTGCTTTACGTGCCATGTCTGTTGATAGATCCAGTTGCTTTTCCTTCCTGATAATTCTACATCGATTCCTTGCTCACTCTCTATCCAGCTGTGGCCTCACCGAGCACCTGGCCACCATACTAGACTTCCTGCCTGCAGGCTTGCCACCTTCTTGGTGATTTTCAGGGTAGCTGCTCAACCACGTTTACTGTTAGGTGCCCACTGAGAGGCAGCCCTTGTAACTGGCCTGCCACAGGATGTCAGAGTGGCAGGAATGCCCCAGCAGGTTGAACTCACATTCTACAACAGGTCTTACCTGGATCCCCGAGGGACTTCATCTGTGTCCTTTTTAAATGGTACCTGTGCTTTCTGTTGCTGCTTCTCATAAAAAGAACAAAAGATTGCAGGAGAGCCCAGGAAACAATTAAAACCATCCCTGAGACATCTCCTTTCAAACTGACCTTTCTAGATCCGAATTACTCCCTTTAAATGGGGTTACTTGTATATAAACCAGGAATACAGATTTTTATTTTTAAACCAGAGGGCATCATCCCTCTGAGGCAGCCTGGCCCCGAGCCTTCTGCAGCTCACTCCAGGAGAGAGGGACGAGGTTGTGCAGCCTTCCTGCCTCCCTAGGTGCCATTCATTGAGGGAGAGGTTGAGGGGAGTGGAAGCAGGCAAACCATGGGGGAGCTGACCCCAGGGCACACCCAGCAAGACTGGCTTGTATACTTGGGGCTCCTGGACTGCAGTACCGCCATGCACACTGCTATCATTTCGCCTCACTGGGGCAGCCTGGCCCCAAAATTACAATTAGCCATTCATTTAACCAGGGAAATACCTTCTGTGTCAGCACAGTTTTTAGCCACTGATGCAAGTGACTCTGATCATATCACTGTTACTCCAGCAGTAGTCAAGACAAACTCTGCTCAAGAAAAGGAAATGCTGATTTCAAAGAGGACAGGAGTGCTGCACTTGCCACATGCACCACGGTCTTCTGGGTATGGGAAGAAAATAGAAAAATCTTTTAAGAAATACTTATTTATGGCTTATTTTTAAATGCCTATTTAGGGGTATGTGTCACTGCATACATACTTTACTAGTACAGAATAGTACGTGTGTAATTTAGGATTGAAGGTATGTAGTGAAATTCTTTAGTGATAGGATTTTATTTATGTATTTATTTTTGAGACATCTCTCGCCCTGTCACCCAGGTTGGAGTGCAGTGGCATGATCTTGGTGCGCTGCACCCTCTGCCTCCTGGGCTCAAGTGATCCTCCTGCCTCAGCCTGAGTAGCTGGGACCACAGGTCCCGGCTGATTTCTTTTTTTTTGTGGAGACAGGGTTTCGCCATGCTGCCCAGGCTGGTCTTGAACTCCTGAGCTCAGGTGATCTGCCCGCCTTGGCCTCTCAGAGTGCTGGGATTGATTACGGGCATGAACTCCCGCACCTGGCCAGTGCTGGGATTCTTGATCAAAAGTGTTTGAAGACTATGCCCTTAAAGCGGCAATTCTCAAAGTGTGGTCCCAGGGACCCCTTGGGTTCCCTAAGACCTTTGTAGGGAATCTCTGAGTTAAAACTATTTTCACAACAGGGAAATAAAGTCTTAGCTATTTCTCACTCTCATTCTCTCCAAAGTGTATGCTGAAGTCTTCCAGAGGCTACCTGACATGTGACATCACAACAGATTAAAGACAGAAACATAAGTGAGAGTTAAGATGAGTTCTCTTAAACCACACATTAAAGGAAGTCTCAAAAGTGTGAAACAGCGCTGGCCTTCTTTCTGATTTTTTTTTTTGGAAAAAGTATTTTATGTTAATATGTAATGAATTTATTATTTTGAAGATATTATTTCAAAAATTCTCTCAGATTTAATTTCTAATATGGTAAATACCCATATATCTGAGATATCTAGATATTAGGTGGACAGAATAGTAAAGTAAGTAATAAATAGAACCCACGTAATGCAGAAGCTCCTTGGAGTCCTCAATAGTTCTCCCCCCCTCCCCCCGCCTGAGACGGAGTCTTGCTTTGTCACCCAGGCTGGAGTGCGATGGCATGATATCGGCTCACTGCAGCCTCCGCCTCCCAGGTTCAAGCAATTCCCCTGCCTCAACCTCCCAAGTAGCTGGGATTACAGGCGCCCGGCTAATTTTTGTATTTTTAGTAGAGACGGGGTTTCACCATGTTGGCCAGGTTGGTCTCAAACTCCAGGATCCTCAGTAGTTTTTAAGAGGTATAAAGGAGTCTTGGGCTTCAAACCCTCAGAAACTGCTTGCTGCATGGAGGACCATGATCGCCTTGTCTGGTTAGTGCATTCCAGCAATGTGCCATGTGAGGCGCCTGGAAAGGAAGGATACAGGAAGTGGGGAGCCCTGTGGATGGCCAGGCCATCTTTCTACCGTTGGTCTTGGCTCTGTTCTCCCGCGAGAAAGGCAGGAAGGTTTTTGGTCTCCACCCTCCTCCTCCTGTTTCTTCTCCAACCACACCAGTAGCATAAGTGGGTTATTGTATATGAAATAGGCTTTGGTGGGCTCCTCTCGGACCCTCATAGCAACCTGTAGCATTATTTCTACGGGAAAATATATTTTTTAAATTGAGAAACAGCAGTCTTCTTAACAAAGTTTTGGAACCCAGACCACTTGGAGGTTGGAGACTGAGTTTATGGGCAGGTCTCCCCAGCAGTTCCTTTTTGGCACTTACTTGTAGGGAATCTTAAATGGGAGGAACTATTAGAGGAATTCAGTTGAGACATAAATAGAAAGGGAAACAATGGGGTATCCTGTTCTTTTAGTCTCACACTTTTAAAGCAAAATATGAAAATCTAGTTTATTGTTTTATTGGTTCAGAGAGTTTAGAATCCAAAATTGATTTCAGATTAATCTCTTGTCCACTAATATGCCTGTTTCTGTATTCTTCAACTCATTTGGTAAAAGGTAGCAGCAAATGGTTGCATCCTTAAATACATAGACTGGTCTGACGGACAATACAAGCTTTAAAGAGGATGTGGAATACAACCCTTTGGGAAAACAGTTTGATATTAATTCATAAACTTGGGAAAGTGCGTAAACGGTAAGCCAGCCATTTAACCCTGACATATCTCTAGGCGTAGAGATCCACTGGCCTTGGGTTCTCGGGTAGTGGATGGGGCTGTTCATGGCAGCATTATTTGTAATAGCAAAAATGAGAGACAAAACAAATGTTCACTTACAAGATTGCCAAAATAAGTTCAAGTTGTAGTCATCAAATGGAACACTATGCAACAGTGAAATTGTATTAAATAAAACTCAGCACGCACATCAATGTAGATGAGTCATGCAAACTGGAGGCAAGTCACGGGAGAACGCAAGTACAGTTCCAGCGTCCCTCCTCTGAAATGCTGGGCACCAGAAGTGTTTTGGATTTCAGATATTTTTGGATTTTGGAATATTTGCATATACAAAATGAGACATCTCGAGGATGAGACTCAAGACCAAACACAGAATTCATTTGTGTTTTGTATATACCTTATACACATAACCTGAAGGTAATTTTATACAATATTTTAAATAATTTTGTACATAAAGTTTTGATGTGCTTTGATTGAGACCTGTCACATTAGGTCAGGTGTGGAATTTTCCACTTGTGGTAGAGTCATGTTGGTGTTCAAAGACTTTAGGAATTTGGAGCATTTCTGATTTTCTGATTAGAGGTGTTCAGCCTGTAGCATGATTGCATTTATATAAAGCTCAAAAATAAGCAACACAGCAATATATTGTATACTAATAGGTTAGGTTTGTAAATGGCAAAACTGTAAAGAAAAATAAGGACTGAATGACATACTAGTCTGTTCTTTTGTTGCTATAAAGAAATATTGGAGACTGTGTAATTTATAAGGAAAAGAGGTTTATTTTGGCTCATTGTTCTGCAGGCTGTGTAGGAAGCACTGTGCCAGGATCTGCTTTTGGTGAGGGCCTCAGGAAGCTTCCACTTGTGGCTGAAGGTGAAGGGGGAACTAGTGTCTCACATGGTGAAAGAGAAGAGAGAGAAGTGGGAGGTGCTACTCTCTTTGAAACAACCAGGTTTCACATGAACCAAGTGAGAACTCACAAAGACAGCACCAAGACATTCATGAGGGATCCACCCCCATGACTCAAACACCTCCCACCACGCCCCACCTCCAGCATGGGAGGTCACATTTCAACACGAGATTTGGAGGGAACAAAACATCCAAACTATATCAAATGGTTATGCAGAAAGTCCGCATAGTGGTTACGTCTAGAGCCAGGGAGGTGTGTGCAATCAGGGAGGGGCATGGGGAAGGCTTCTAGGGGAGTGTCAGTGTTCTGGTTCTTAAACCGGATAGTGGTTTCAAACATATGTAATAAATATACACACCTTCTTACAGGTCACATCAATTCTCTTCCAAGTCTGGGGACTATTTTGCTGAGACTTTCATTTTAGTAGCTGAAAGAATTAGAAGGATTGATTAAAAAGCCTTTTTGTTTTACCATAAAGTGAGTAATTGAATATTTAAAACCACCAGGCCCCTTAGAAGTTATTTACTATAATGGCAACTGCCCGTCCTCCTCCTGTTTGGAGGTTTTGAAGGTGTTACAGTGTTTTGGTCGCAGAGTTGACTGATGATATCGTACTGTGAGCTTTCACAAAACCATCTGGCCTGGCTTTTGCAAGAATAAAGAAGGAAAACTTAGTGTGGCTTTTCATTACTTTAAACAAATGAGTTCAGCCTTTAGCATAGTGGGCCAAGGGTGTGGCACCAAGGGCAGTGTGTGTACAAAGGCTGGCATCTTTGTCTGTGTGTCCAGTCACTGTTCCCTGTGGTGTTTGCCTCTGTGCCAAAGTAGAGTGGGAAGATCCTGTTTATTTTTGATTATCTGTTAAAATGAGAGATGTTTGCCTATTGAAAAGGGAGCCCAAAGGTGGAAGCCGAAGATGGGAGGAGAATGAGGTCTGTCTGTGCCTCTGGCGACCTCCTGCTGTCCAGTCGCGGCTTTCCGCCCTCTTGCCCTCTGGACACCAGACAGGCTCCTGCAGGCACCTCCACCAGATCCAGGGGCCACTAGCAAGGGTGAGGCCGCAGCTGCAAAGCGTTGTGATAGCATTCACTCTCACCTGTCCCACCTCCATCCTTTAAGGGAGACACGGAATTCTTAGCACAAGTAACAAGATGCAGAAAGATAGACAGGTTAATCGAAGCTTTTGTTGTCACCATTTGGGAGAGAGGTAGTTAGTAGTCTCTTCCAGGAAAAAAAAAAAATTTTGCTCACGTGGTTTTTTTGGCTCATGTGTTTCCATTTCTGGTTGTATTCTGGCTGGCCCTTTTCACAGCCAGGAGCAAGGCTGAGCAGGACCCTGAGAGTGCTCAGGTGCTTGTGGGGTGGGGAAGGGGGACAGACGGGGCGTGGGAAAGATCTTCCCGAGTGGCTTGACTTTCCCATTGCCTTATAGTTCCTTAAATTATTTATAGTCCACCTGGGAGAAGTTATGGAGAAATTATTTATAGTCAGGTTAATTTACTATGATTGTGTGGATTTTTAAAAATATGTCTATTTGTTAGTGGCTTTTTAACAATAATTACATGTCTCAGTCTGTTCTTTTAGTTTTAAGTAAAGATGTCTGTCTTAACAGAATACAATAATTTTAGGTAAATGGGCAAAAATTCCCAAAATTCAGTTATTTAAAGCACTTACCAAACTTGTACAGCTAAGTTTCAGATATTAATACTTTAATACTGTTACAACTGCTACTGTTAGCATTTGTTAGTGAGTTCTGTGAGCTGTGATTCTCAGGCTGTCCATTTCACAGACGAGGAAGCGAAGCTTTGGAGAGACTAGGTAACTGCCCACAGTCACCCCCCCTGGGAGGTGGCAAGCCCAGGCTCCTAACTAGACACCTAAGTAACTGTTGACACAAAATTTCGTTTTGAGTTGTGGCACCATTGTGGTTTGCAGCCGATGTACTTAACACTTGTAATGCTAGTGAAGTGCAGCTTTGCCTGTCCCCACAGCGAGCGTGCTCCTGAATCCTCTCCACACCTCATCCCCATGTGTGTAGCTCCCTTTTAAGGTGGCTGCTTGTAACCCTGTGTCATTTCCTCTGCTGGATCCCAGCTCCTGGGGCAGCAGGCACCCTGAGGTCTCCCTGCAGGGTACTGGAATGATGCTGTAGGTGCAGAGAGTTGGCCGGTGAGGGAGTGCCACACACCTTATTTAAATGTCCTTACTGCACTGCCGTTTTTATTACTATACTAAGTTTAATTTGGAAAACGATGTTCCCTGTGCTTTTTAGTAGATAAGATACTGAGATGTCCTGTCAGGAGTGTAGCAATTAGGAGACTGGAAAAAGGAAAACAGATTCCCCAGCCTACAAGACGTTCAGCTTTGCAGAGTCTTTTAGGATCTTACCCCACTCAGATTGGGCACTGCAGGGCAGGTGTCTAAAGATATGAAACTGCGGAAGAGCTTCGTCTGCCTCTCACCTTCTACCTCCCCAGTATTTATTGAGGGCCGCCCAGTAGCAAGCAGGAGGAGGCCCTGTGGCCCCAGTACCAGCCCAGTTGCCTCTAGCCATCCCAGCCTCCTGCTCCACAGCAGTGGCCCAGGGGGATAATGAGTGAGATGGTCACACAGTTGGAGCTGCTTCTGTGGGAACTTTTTGTGATCACTGGATTAGCTGTGCCGTGTCATTTCAAGACAGTGGAAGCAGATGAGGGCTGCAGTCCTGCTGGGTGGTGGGCTGCAGGGCACTGATGCGCAGTCCTCTGAGCCTGTGCTGCCTTCGAGTTCCTAAGTACCAACCTCCCCTGAGGTAATCCAAGGGAGGAGACGCCACCAGGCCACAAGTGAGCTGGTCGTTTCCTCAAGCTCACTTGCGTCTCCAAGCAGTGATTTCCTTCTGAGGCTTCCCTCTGCCGGGTCCTGGAGGGTCCTCACGCCTCCAGCGGTCACTTTCGGTTTTAGTGTGTGTGTTTGCATCGTTCTGTTGATCAGTGAATGTGTTTGAATATGTATACAGATGCCAAGAGAGAGGTGAGTCCATCACAGCAAATCTGTTTCTGTGTCAAAATTTGTTTTCCCATCAGTATATTTAAATTATTTGGCTTAATAAACACATTTTTAACCAGAATGAAAAAAAACCAAAAACCCACCACTCACCTTTTGTCTGTATGCAGAAGGTAATTTGAGGGGAAAGGGGTAGGAGGAGAAGAATTGAAATGAATTTCTCTTTTCTCTTTGTTTTCTGCGTTAGCAGATGCATTACTTTTCTCAACCCTCTTTGTAATTTCTTAAATTTCTCATTAGCAATTCAGTAGGAGGGTAAATAATAGGGGCCTATCTACCAGAATTCTTTTTCTGCTTGAGAAAAGAGGGTGTAGGGCAGGACAGCAGCACCTGAGTCAATATGAGCAAAAGCCAGTGGTTGCCAGCATCAGTATAATCCTGAGACAGTTGGACAGGTATGGCCTCTGGGTTAACATACTTGTTGAGCAGTCAAATCTTTTTACAACAAATAGAAGGATCTGGAAGAAAACTTCCAAATTAACTGTAGATTGCATGCTGAATTCAGCCTAAAAACAAGTTACAAAGTGCCAGGTTTTTTGTTTTTTTTTTGAGTTGTCATAATAGTAACAGGATTGCTCTTACGGGGGTTCTTAGACTGCTACAAGGCTGTCTGGCCTCTGCAGGTCAATAAACATCTAAAGAGCAGGACTTGGCTGGCCTCTGATCGGATGAATCCTCAGAGCATCAGATGTATTGCAAATTACATTCAGAGAAGAAGGAACAAAGCTGTCAAAGCAAAGTAGATTAACTGAAGTAACTTAGGCAAGGCAGTTTATATGTGAGCTATAATATGGGTTTCTAATATTAGAACATCACAGTATTAATCTTTGAACATGTTACTTACGTTATTATTCACTAATGGGCTTTGTGTTTCTAATCTCCACAGCAAGCGTTTCCAACCCTTTCAGAATGGTCTGGAACACCTTTTTTATGTTAAGGACTTATTTTTAGTGTCAGCGATAGATACAGCATTTCAATGAAAAGTAACACTTTTAAATGGATTTGTCTAATTAATAATAACAGTATCTATATCTCTTTACACATAACAGTGTGTTTTGGAAGACATATTTGTCAGCTCTTACTGTTTACACAGTTAAGGCTACGGTTAGTGTAATGTGTGTTTTATTTTGTTTTAGAGTATAAGCTTCTTAAAATCAGGAACATGCCATTTAGGGGAAAAATCTCTGGGGTTTAAGAGAGTACCATGCATAAATATGTATTTTATGAATGCCAAGCGATTAAACACAATTCTAAGCTTTATCAAGGGACTGACTGGCAGAAAGTTTTGCCAAATTCTTTGATGTTATTAAAGATTTATTTTTGTACTGAGTTTCATGTTAGAATCAAATCCATGCTTACTGAAGTGGAAATAACTTTTCAAACCTTCAGTTAAAAATTCTGATGTTTGTTTGTGGCATTTACTTTATATTCTATATTAATAGGAGTAAATGAATTAATGGGATTTTTGCAGTGGGCATGGACCTAAAGTATCTTAACGTTGTGGAGTACATTAGGGAAACTTTGGTATTTTAAATGTGTAATTTAGTAACTCTGAATACTGTATTTTAAATTCAACATAATTACAGGTCACTCAGATTAATTGATAGCTTGTTCAGACACTCAGCTTTGGTGTATGTTTTCCCCAGGGCTGGAAAATGAATCAACACAGAATACTGGAGTAGAGGGGATTGGTAGGCATTTGTTGGTGAGCAAGGCCCCTGGATGAGGATTGCGGCTTCAGTGACTAGTACCTGCACCTACCCCCTCCTTAAACCCTTTTTTGTTTATCTGTGGAGGAAACATTCATTCAGAATCAGAACCTTTGAGTTTTAGGGCCGGCAGGAGGTAAGGCTGGGGTAGAGGCTACTCATGTGGAGATAAGCTAGAATAAGCCAAATTTTAAACCCAAATCGTGGTTCAGTGCTGGGAATTCAGTTCCTTTTTCTTCTGGAAATGTATAGACTGTCTGGAACGCTTTGGCTTGGCCTACCTGTTGTATAGTGTTTGTTGTGTACCCTTCGTACTCACAGTGAGTCCCAGGCAGGATTTCGTGGGTAAAGTAGTACAGATGTTCTGAGGAGTTACAGTTTGTGCTGGGAGGCCTCACAGAGGCTTAACTTGTGTTCAGTTAATGTGGCAGCAAATGGAGTCACGTGAGCCCTCAGTAGGCTGCCTCCAGCCAGCCTTATGAGGCTGAGGGACCTGAGACAGCAGTGTGGGCTAACATTCAGAAGAACAAAGGCGGATGCTCAGCTTTGAGGTGTGTAGAGTTGACTTGGCTTGCTGCTTCCATCATGCTTGGTCTGTTTACAAAATCTCATAATGAAAACATTTCAGTGTCACGTTAAATTCTTGGGGGAAAAGCCCACTGACTGCAGAGAAGCAGAGCTGTGAGGCTCTGTGTTTCCTGCTTAGACACCACTTCCCTGAAGGCTTGCGTTTCCTTTGGTTGTGGAGGTGCTGGAACGACAAGCCTCCCAGTTCACTTCTTCCAAAGCAGAGTCTCCTCTTTCCATCAGAGAAGATTGGTTTGTTTCTTTGGTTTGGGCAGATAACTTCTAAATTACGTTGTAAAAACTTAAGGTAAAAACCCTTTTCTCCTTTAAAATATAGATTGATTATATGTAAATGTGATTTTATGTACTAATCAGTCACCAAATATACTAGACAGAGAATGAATGGAGTCACTTTAGCTTTTCAAAGGAGTTTTTATAGCCAGTTGCATGCGTTGGAGCTGTCGCTATTGCTCTGTGCCTAGATGGATACTCTGCCCAGAACTGCGAATTGTAGAGTACCACGTGTTTGCTATCTTGAGGTTTAACTAGCTGGGTGTTAAGTTCATGCTCTGCGCCATGGCAGTCTGCTCAGTGAGACTGCCATGCAGTGGGACTCAGCATAGCCCCTTTCCTTTAGGAGCCCAGCTGCTAATAGGAACACCGAGAAGTCTTTTGATATTTCCCCTGCAGTGCGATAAGGATTTGGGGTGTTGTGGGAGTGCATCTTGGCGGTGTCTAGTTGAGCAGTGGGGACTCCAGACTGGGGGCAGGTGAAGAAGAGGTGTGTGTTGGGGGCGGGGAGGGGAAGGCATGTGTATGGAGGTACAGTGGTGAGGGGGAGGTGTGGCTTCCCTGCAGGTAATTGCAGTTCCTGGAGTGAGCCTGGGGAGATGGTAATGATGAACCAATGAGGTTGTGGAGGCAGCATACATCAGATCATGAGGGACTGTAGTTGCGGGCACCAAGAAACCATTGAAGAATTTTAGGGGAGTAAAATGATGAGATATTTGTTTGAGAAACATGCTAGGGAGAGTGGCAGAATGCATTCGAGGGAATTAAGAACATCTATTAGGAGATCGCTGGAATAGCACATGAGGGCAATGCTGGCAGAGACAGGGGTGCTTCATGGGACTGTGGAGTCCCTACAACTCCTTGTTTCATGGAGGTAGGGGATGGGAGAGAGGATGGAGGGCAGGGAGAAGCCTGGTTCCTGGTTTGGCCACGAGGTCGATGGTTTATGAGGCAGGTACTGTTCTGGGACCTACACTGTGGGGAGCAGGTTTGTGGGCATGAGCATGAGGCAGGGTTGGATGTTCAGGGGGGCATGGCTATCCTATAGGCATGTGGGTGCCTCTTCTTCATGGCACTTCTTTGTTCCAGTGATGGACAGTTTCCTACCTATCAGTCAAAACCCACTATAATAGCCCACCCCACCCCTGCTTTCTTCTCTTCCATGAATGTTTTGTGTTTTTGTTTGTCTACATCTATTGATGCTGCTTGCTCTGGCTGGAGTGCTCTCTGTTTTCCAGTGTGCCCGGTTTTGGACTACTTCTTCCACACTTCGCACAGATCTTTTATTTGATAGGACATCTTCTCCTATTCTCATCGCTCTGGCCCTGATTTTTCCATACCAAATATCTGTACCACAGAACTGACAACTCATATGTGTTGCTTTCTTTCCCAAACAGGCTAAGGTCAACAAAGGCTCTAGATTACACTTTGTATATGAGCACCCCCAACTCCATGCAGAGCTAGTCCATGTGCACTGAGAGAGGTTTTCAGATAATTAGTTTATATCACTTCTCTGTGGTTGAGAGCCCCTCTGGCCCCAGTTCCTTATGTAGTAATCAAAAAGACAATAGAGGAAAAGGAGTAGAATTATAGCTTTATTTTCTGAAGCCTTTTACAGAATATGATTTTCTTTTGCATTAAAACACATGGGATAATTGAGTTTTTTCTTTTTCTTTGTCTGAAGAAGAGTAAGAGTGTTAAAATTCGTGAGCAGATTGATACAATGATTGAATAGGGTTTCTTTTAGCACTCAACCTTCTTGATCTGATGTGTATCAAACCACTTGATATGATGATCAAATTGTAGTAGTTTTGTCCCTCTGGTTCATTTGATACACACTAAATTTCTAAATGACTTTCCTGAGACACTCCGGTAAAGCAAGTCTTTGGGGCAGGACAGCATCACAGAACCCTATATGTGCATGTATGTGTGTGTGTATGGGTAAGGGGATGTATATATGTAGATAAGGGTGGGGTAACTCCAGTTCCAGAATACAGCCTCAGAGGCATCCCTGACAGGCTTTACAGGGACATGCACAGACAGGTAGACGAATGTGTTCTTTATTCTGGCATTAGGCAAACAGGATCAGTTTTCTCTGTGCATAGCTCTGTGCTTGTCCCTGGGGATCCAAACATGAACGGCACACCTGGGCACATGGTTTCTTTTTTGACTTATGAGACTGTAAGAAATAGAGTCCCTTTATAATACTACTACTTCTTGACTATCAAAATATTCCCTTCCATTGGTCTGTGATGCTTTTAAATTAACTTCCATTGCACAATTAATACATAATTAAAACATCAAACCTTAAGAGTTCTACAGATTGCTTCATTTACATTAAAAATATATATATTTGTTTAAACTTTTTTTTGTTGTGGTCTTTTTGATTATTTTGGTTTTCTTTTGTATTTTATATTAAAAAATAGAACTATTTTAAGTTGAAATTTCTTTAACTCCCTTGAATTAATAAAAAATAAACTACTTTCTTTCTTTGAGGTATGCTGTTATAGGCTGTTGCTTCTAAAATTATGTGAAGGGGTAAATTAGCCAGTCCAACAGTTATAACCATAAAGGTTATAGGTAAAAATTGTAATGCTGTATTATGAAACCCGTCCATATTCTTGTGTGGTCTTGTCTGTGAACATGTCCATAAGTCTTAATTCATTTTATATGCATTTTATAAGTGTGGATTTTGATATATTTATGTTAAAAAAATAATATAAGCATTGTATTATGTTTTGATTTTTTTTTTTTACATATTAGAAAAAGTGAGGGTTATAACCTTGTGTCTTCCCCCCACCCTTTAACATGTTCATTAGGGGATCTAGGCTTGTTAAAATGCCTCCTTCCTATGCATCACTTCTAGATGCGTGCACAGCTAAAACCCTTGATAGCACAAACATCGGGCAGCCACGTGCGGCCGCTCCCTGTGCTGAGAGTATAATCCTGCGGGCTCCGCAGAGAAGTGGCCGGCCCGGAGAGGGTGACGTCACCTCCCTCTGCGCGTGCGCTTGCGGAGCGAGGGCGGTGCCTGCCAAACTGATGCAGATTTATCACTCTTCTCTTTGTGTGCAGGCGTGCGCGCGCGAAGTTTCCCCCAAAGTAACTAATGAGTAAAATTCGGTAATTACCACTAAGACCCAGTACTTATAGGAAGCTCCAGTTTACTATTTAACCTTCTTTTTCTGGTTGTTTAAAAATACTGGCTGATTTATTAACATTTTTGTTACTGCTGCAACCTGTGTTTTGTTAAGTATGTAGGATTCTTTTTTTTTTTTTTTTCCCAATCTCTTCCCGCAGATTATTTTCCCATTTAGTAAACACTAACTCGGAATAGCTGACAGGCAAATGAAACCCCTGAGAATGGGTGAGGAGCACAGCTTGTCTTGTGGGCTTGGCTGCTTTTAAAGGAGGAGACGCAGCCAGTTTAGAATCGCATCAGTTCATTTTGTTCAACAGCTCAAATGGTCAAGGAATAACTGTGTTTCTTCTAACAGTTTTTACTGGAAAACTCATTTGACTAGTTTAATTTGAAGATTAGGTAAAATTTCAGATTACTAGTATCTGCCAGTGTCCTGGGAGAAATACAGGATTAAAAAAATAATAAAACCTATGTTTTACTTAAAAAATTTTAAAATTTGATTCATTTGATTCATCTTTCTGCCAGTTATGTAAAAATACCATTTTTAACATAATATGCTATATAAAAGCTTTTGCTCATTGTGAAAATATTTCTAGGGTGCTTTTTATTATAAATAAATCGGAGAGGGGCTTGTTGTTCCTGGACTATTTGTTATTGTTGTCTTAAATTTAATGCCACAGAAGTGACCAAGTGAGCGAGCATTCTGGTCATCAGTGACTAGCTTAGAAAGGTATTTGTCTCAGTGCAGCATCTCTTTGCAGGGTTTCAGGATGACAGATGAGTAATTGATTTGGTCAGTGGGGTATTAGATAGTTGAAGTTCCAGACTGTTGATTCAGTGGAAAGATATTTCACTGTTGAATGATAACTTGCAGAATATTCCTTGTTAGGGCAGAGAGATTAATTTTCCATCTTATGAATATAAATCATACTATGATTGAAGGCTAAACTACCTAACATTTCACAAAACAAAAATAGAAAGTACTAAGGAATTTTGGGGTTCTTGGGTAGGGGTTCAGGGTCAAGATGCTGTGGAAATATATTTATTTGTTGGTTGAGTTCATTGATTGATTGATTCATTCATTCATCCATCCATCTTTCTTTTCCTTTTCTTTTTTTTTGGAGACAGAGTCTCGCTCTGCCGTCCAGGTAAGCAGTGGCATGATCTCGGCTCACTGCACCCTTCGCCTCCTGGGTCCAAGTGATTCTTCTTTCTCAGCCTCCCGAGTAGCTGGGACTACAGGTGTGCACCACTGCTCCTGGCTAATATTTTTTCGTATTTTAGTAGAGATGGGGTTTCACCATTCTGCCCAGGCTGGCCTCAAACTCCTGAGTTCAGGCAATCTGCCTGCCTCGGCCTCCCCCTTCATCCATCTTTCTACCCAGCCAACCCACATCTGATGAATGCCCTTTGCCTGGCCCTATCTTAGGTATCTAGGATACAGCAGGGAGCAAAACAGACATGTCCTCTGGCAAATTGGCTGATCTAGAGAAAAAGAGGCAACTATTCATTTGATGAACAGTATAATGTTTATTATTAAGGAATAGAAGTGATTTGGGGGTGCAGATTTAACATTTATGCTCACACTGACATGCTGTCGAACCAAACAGTAATTTAAAAGGTGGTAACAGAATTAATTTTGGCAAGTAGTATGCTGAAACTTGTAGTTATTTTAAAATGAGTATGTTAAAATCTCTAAACATTCCAATTTGTTTTAGGGAAAGGCAGTTTTTTGTGTGTTGGCTTGAAACCAGAAAGAAAATCATCAAGCACCACCTATATATATTTATATTTAGTTAACAACTATAAAATCTGATTTTTTAACCTAAGCCTGTTTTCCTCAGTAGCATTCAACAAATATTAGTGTAAACATTCTGAACATAGTCATTGTAGACTTGGTTCAGAAGCATATTTGTTGCCTGCCTTTAAGGACTCCCCTGGGAAACATCTTCTGCACCTAGAGATAAGCCTCGACTGACTCCATTCTTGCTGTTTCACTGTTTCCTGAAGCTAGCTTTTCATTAGAGTCCATAATGGTTGCTGTATTTCAGATAGTAGCAAAATATGCCTCAAACTGTGACGGAATCCAGTCTGTCTTTTCTGCGCAGTTAATATGGGCTCTATATAACTTAAAAATTATATAATTCAAAAAGTGGGTACAACTAAATGTCCCCCAATTTGGGCCATTTACCCTCTGGTTATCTCCTCTCAAGTTGCTCTTCTTTGTCTAGGCTTTCTGTTAATCCTAATTTTACCAAATTTCTCTTTGTGGCACCCCCTTCCACCTATTTAAGTAGCATTGACAAACCCCCCTGGTGGCACTGAGAAGTAGAAATGTTGCTGACGCCTGGTCTTTGGTACAAAGATAAGGTCTGGGATCCTATCAGGGCCTCTGTGCGGTGGTATTTGCTGTTCCTGAACCTCTCTGTGATGGTGAGAAGTATGTGCTTCCAGGGGGCGGCCACCGAGGGCAGCCTGTATTTGCTGCTGTTCAGTAAGTTTGAGAACCACAGTTAGATCCTTTAATGCATGAATGAAGAAAGTATTAGGAGTTGAGTCTTATCTGCTGTGTAATCTAGAATCTGTGGAATAGCAGAGAAGCCACTTATTTTTAATTTTTTAGAACGTTTTTATAGTTCCACACTGTTTTCCTAAATAGCTCTTCAGGGCATGGAACACAGCCTGCCTTTTTGATCTGAGGAACTTTCATGGTTGGGTTCTTCCTGCTTTTTATTGAAAGTTACATATGATATATTTAATCTGGTTTTAGTATTTATACATGCTTCCTGAGTTCTTTGCTTATTGGTTTTTTTTTTAAATGGAAATGAGATCTAAAATAATACCTAAGTGACCAGTCACCACAATAATGACAAACTCAAGTTTCTTTGTGTGGTTAGTTTTATATTTTTGCCCTTTTTATATTTTCTGTTTTTGAAGTATTAATTGATGGTTTAAATAAAAGTAACTCTTTTTCAGTGACAATCTACAAAAATATAGTTAAACTGGTTAGAATTTATATTCTGGTCTATGCGTGGGCATGTACCTACATCGCAATAAAAGTGAAGCACCTTTTCACATAAGTTTCTCATTAATTCATGTACTTTTCTTCCTCTAGAAAGACTGAGTCTTCCTTAATTTGGGGGGAAACTGAGGGACCAATAGGTTAACATAACTACAGCTCTGAGAAATGAAAGGTCACATGAGAGGGAGTCCATGACTCATAGTGGGACATAGGAAATTGAGACATTTATTGAGTTCTGTTTTCTGCACCCTACTTTCAAATCAATATGCTATTCCTCCTGTGAGATGGCCTGGAATATGACAGCCCTCACTTCCATCTTCCACTCCATTGTGGGTATCAGTAAATAGGTGTGATTCAGAAAGTTAGCAGTAATTGTCAAAAATGCTTTGGAATGATGACTCAGGTCACACAGCTCTCTATTGGGATATCAGCATTGGGATCAGGACATTCTTCTTGGTGATGGCTGTGTGACTCACAAGTGGGGCTCTGTCTCTCTAGTGTCGGAGCCAGGGCTGCAGTTGGTGGTGACATTTCTCTGTCTGAGGGCTTTGCTGTGTCCTGGCCATGACGTGTGGGTGTGGACGTGGGAATGGTAGGAAGCATGCGTTTTCTCATCTGAGCAACAGAAGGGGGAATCCTCCCTTCAAACAGATAGGGATCTACAGCTGTCGCTTACTCCTTCCTAGTATTTGTCTATCATGTGATCTGTCCCCTCCTCATTTGCCTGGGTCCCATAGCACTTCGTGCTGCCTATGAACATTTCATAATCTGCCTTGTTTTATAGGTGTTTGTCAGCTTGTCTCTTTGAGGGTCGCTGGGGAGCCTTAGTCCTCTTTGCCTTGCAGTTGCCCCAGTGCCATCTGTGTCCACGGCAGCCACGGCAGATGAAGTCAGTCTTTGTAGACACATTCAGTGAGTTACGGTGACTGGCAGTGAATTGCTGACTAGATTGCATCCATTCAAGAGTTTTGAAGGAACCTGAGGATGAAATTGCAGAACTCTTGGCTCAGATGTTTTGCCTTTTATAAATAGCCACTGTTTTCAAAGCTTGGTGGGTTGCCAGCACAAAGCATGGTGCATTGGAAAGGAAAATGGCCTGGTGCTGTGGAGGCCCCAGCTCGGTCAAATCTACCCATAACTGGCTGAATAGTTCCACGCAGCCTTCCTAGGACCTCATGGTCCTCAGCCGGATGTGTTTGCTGTGAAGTCTGTGGTAATTGTCAGTGTCATAGTTAAATCTCATTAAACTGGGTTCATTATACACGTGGACGTATTCTATGGACAGGAGCGATTTACATTAAGAAATCAGATCACACCGCTGATTTATTCATTCTTTGTTTCTATGAATGATAATGTTGTAGAGACTGAATTCTGCTATATTCCTCCCGAAGATGTTGATTTTGTTGCTGCTTGTTTGCCTGCTTTAGCAGGCATGTAATTTGGCCTGACCCACACTACACATTCTCTGTGTTTGCAGTGGGCAGCAACTCAAATTTTGATGTAGATCTTTAATCCTTAGCAGGGCTGCTTGGAATTCACCTGGTTTTTGTTTTGAAAGCTCCACATTGCTTAGATGGGGCCCTGCCCTCAGGCTAACAGCCCTAATGATGGGTTGTGTACCCAGGGTCATTTCCTTTTCCAGGTGTCTCTCCCAGCTTTTGTCATTCTCTAGTGCCTGGAGAGAGTCGTTTTTTATAAATGTTCCCTGTAGCAGGGCTTGCCCGGGAGTTGCTGCTCAGGACACCAAAAGTGAAATGTTCACTCCTTGACTTCAGTACTTTCCTTGCCTTCTAATTCCAAGTCTACATCTTGCTGTGGTTGTATTACCATGCTAGCATTTGCGATGCTTTTCTTGTACTATTTTGGCAAAAACAAACACAAATGGGGGTGGGGAAGTGGTGTTTTGTTTTTTCCTAGAGATTGTTCTGCTAACAGTGTTAGTTACTAGTTTTGGTAGGCATCCCTGAACCTAGATGACCTCTGTTAGAGATCGCCGAGAGAAATATCCAGTTATTATGATGAGTATGGACATTTTGGACCCCAAATTCCCACGTAGGCATTCACCCTGGTGAGCTGGGCTAGATATTTTTGGGCTGCAAGAATTCCTTTTGCTTAGATGGATTTTGGCCTAAATTGCCTATTGCATGCTCCTTTTCTACAATATTCCCACTGGGCCTTCTAAGATATTGGGAGCAGGGGCAGAGTTGGTTTTTAGTGAGAAGAGGGACCTTGGCCACCTCTGAAGCTGGAGTGGCACTGGGCCGTATGACCACATTAGCCATTGACATTCCTCCAGGGGGCATGACCCAGAAAGCCTGGAAGGAGAAAGCCAGGCCCCAGCTATTTATAATCCCCTCTCTCCGCCTTGCCACTGTGTATTTTTAACCAGACCCTGAAGTCTGATGGAATGAGGCATTGAGCTCCCCCTAGAGGTTTTAGGATGTCACAAGCAGCAATTTTTATAAAGCAGTGTTGCTGTTTTCTTTGTACCAGCAAAGATTTATGTACATTAATCTACATAAAAATTAAGATTTGGTAAATAATCTGGACTGATTTCATATCCTGTCTCCTTTTGGGACCAAGTTGTTATTGCTAGAAATGACTCAGAGCGAGCCTTTTGGGGACATGAGCCTCTGGGTCTGTGTGCAAATCATTAAACATTAAAATAGAAGACAGTTTTGTGATCACAGACATGGAATTTAAATGTTGTGCTATGATCATGTTTCTTAAGTTGATTTAATGGATGTGGATAAAGCTGCTGTGTTGGCATTGGATAGAATGGTTAAGGAATTAACTGTCACTCTGGCAACCCAGTAATTTTATTTTCTCCTTCTGTATTTCAGGGTTTCGAAAAAACGATGAAATGAAAGCTATGGATGTTTTACCAATTTTGAAGGAAAAAGTTGCATACCTTTCAGGTAAAGTTTAACTTTCAACTCTGCTCTATCCAACTGCTCTGACACAATTTCAGAGTCTGACGTAATAAATGAACTCACCTGCCACAACATATAAAAACATTGGCATTTCTATGAATTTTGAATGGCTTTATTCTTGTAGCACTGTTTCTGAGAAATTAGTGCCCAAAGCATTTTCTTCCAGTTAGGAGGCACATGATAAGTTAGTTAGTGTTGGTGATGAAAATACATTTGTTTCTGCCATTCAACAAAAATTCAGCTGTTCTGCCCCAATCAGTTAAGTAAAAAAACTGATTTTAAAAATCCGATCATTTCAACAAAGATGGTGGGAATGTGATGGTATGTAGATGGGTCCTGAATTTCTCACTTTTGTTTCTCGTACTCTGTACCTGCCTCTGTTGCCTTGTCTTTTGGGAGGCAAGGATGCCTGCTTCTCCTTGAGATCTGCTCCTTTGTGGCTCTCTGGTCATGGAGTAACTAGGACCCATGTCATGGACGATGAAGCCCTGGTGATTTTACCAGCTGAGTCTGTTTCCCTGTAGACCCAGTCTTTGAGGCCCTGGCCCGCCCGCAGACAGACTCTGGGCCAGTCCCTTGGGCTTGGGGGCACCTAACTGCCCTCTCTTCTGCACATAGTCAGCGTTAGGCCGTTTTGGACTGTCTTCTTGGGGCCTCCCTCCCACATAAACAGAACAGCCCTTGGGTATTATACCTTTTGGACCCCAGTTCACTTGTTACCAAACAAAGATTTGCAAGATTTTTCTGCTCTATCAGGAAGTACATCTGTAGATTGTCGTCACATGCTTTTAGATGAATTTCCCTTGAGAATTTTTATCTTTCTTAAATAGGCATTCTGTGCTGATCTGTGTATCCTCTTGAACACATATCATTTTTAATATATAACACTGCTAGCTGCTTTTATAAGTTTTTCTGTCCTTTGGACATGTGATACTGCTATATATTTAAGATGCAGCTTCCTATGGTGTTTTTGCTAATCTTGTTTTGCTTCATGTTCAGTAATATTTCTTGGCCCCTGTTAATATGGTTTGATTTTGTGGGAGTAAATCTAATTCATTATGTATTTGGAAGGTTCACAGAAGAGTGTAAGGAGTTCATGAAAAGAAGGTGCTTTAAATTGTTGGAAATACATGGTGAAAAACAAATACTGGCTTACAATACACTGAGTTTTAAAAGTAGCATTTATTTGCTCTTCTCTAATCATTTACTGACAAACTGCATTGTAAGGACTCATGCCAGCTTTGCGAACCCCTGATTTTGTAGTTTACAAACAGAGTAATTGAAAGACTCTACTTATAAAAATTAGAGGTATCTGTAAGGAAGGCTTAAAGCTGAGTTCATGTGTTTATCAGTTTTTTATTTTTAAAGTCTGGGTCTGTGATAACAGCACCTGCTCCCCCAACCCCTCTTGTGTTTCTGAACGTTTTGTTCCATTTTCTTCTTTCATTAGTACGTGGAGATGGACATGTGAAGAAAGGTGGAAGGTTAAGATTGGTGGGTTTTATTTGTATTCATGCTTTTATTAGGCAGTTAATACAGAATATATTATCGGCTGACATTTTTATATAGTTTACAGTCAACACTAAAACTGTTTACCTTTTAATCAAAGAAACAAAATCGGCAGTCTTTCAGAGTTTGTCTTAAATGTTTAATAAATACTTAAATTCTGCAGGGTTACATAAAGTTGGATATCTTTGGTGGGGTGGGAAGTTTTGCTTTACCACAGATTAGTAGGAACTGTTTAAGATATTAGCGATGGTAGAGCTTCCAGCAGTCTTAGCAAAATGACGTTAGTAGGTGTCACCTCACTTTTACAGTATTCCTAATTTATGACCAGAACTGGCAAAGCTGATTAGCATGAGCTCATTGCTCTTTGTTTTAGGCTTATCGTTATCTCCTTTAGGAGGGAAAAAAACCATAAAATTAAGTAGAAATTGACTACTTGTGTTGTATTACATTTTTTGAAAATTACAAAGAATGAGTAAACTTTACAAAATAAAATTTATCTCTAACTCATTTTTTTGTTTCTTTTTTATTGAAATCTAATTCACATACTCTAAAATCCACCTTTTTAAAACGTGTGATTCAGTGGATTTTAGTGTATCACCAGGTTGTGCAACTGTTACCACTAATTCCAGAACCTTTTCATCACCTCCCAGGAACCCCATATCCACCCCCAAGCCCCCAGCACTGGCAATCACTAATTTACTTTCTGCTCTGACCCCATTTTAAAAAATATTAGGGAATATTATGATACCTTTGTAAAAGCTGTCCATGTGAATGGCTTTTAATAGTTAAATCTAAATAAAATGGCAGGAGCTTTGTAAAAGTAGGCCAAAAGATGAGTGATTTTAAAAGATACTTATTAGGTCAAGATCTCTAAAAACCCAGTGATAAACCCCGTGATAATTTCTTGAACTTGAATATTTCCGATCCTTAGCGCCTAGGTCTTCTAAAAAGTAATGCTGATTGCACTTAAGTAAGATAGAATGTACTACTTCCTTCATTTAGGATGAACTCAGTGAGGTTAAATGTCTTACTGACTTTGTGTTTGAAGTCAGAGGACGGTGCTGTGGTTTGATGGATCACCTCCAAAATTCAGATGTTGCCAGTGTGATGCTATTAAGAGGTGGGACCTTTAAGAGGCAATTAGGCCATGAGGGCTCCTCCCTTGTGTGGGATTAAGGCCCTTATAAAGAGGCTTTACCCTTGCCCTTCAGCCATATGAGGACGCAGCATTCCTCTTCTGCCCATGGAGGATGCAGCCCTCACAAGACTACCAAACCTCGTAAAAATGCCCTGTAGTTTATATTTAATGGAGTTTGCGCCTAATGGCATCTTACATATAATGTCAACTATTAGTGTGGTTCCTATGCCACTAGGGTTTGAGCCTTAGAAAATCTCACACGACAACCACCAGAATTAAGAACGCATTCTTTTTTAACTGTTTATTATGGAACATTTTAACATCAAAAGGAAAGAAAATAGTATAGTGAATTTGTACGAATTCGTTGCCCACTTCAGCAACTTGTTTCATCTATATTTCCACTTAGTCTTCCGTTCACTCTGGATAATTTTGAAGTAAATTCCAGATATTATTTTATTTATAAATATTTAGTATTTATCTCTTAAATGTAAATGTTATAAAAAACCGCTGCAATACCAATGACAGACCTAAAAATTGAAGGTAATTATTTCATATCCCCCCAAAAAACCCGATAGGTATTCAAATTTTTATGCTTGTCTCATATGCATTGCTGCTGGTTGAGATGTCTGGTAAGGCTCTTTTAACCTGTAGGTTGTGTGTTACCTCCTGATGTTTTAGGAAGCGAGGAATCCAGGTGTCTTCCTGTGGATTTTCCTATAGTGTAGATTTTGCTGGTTGTATCACTGGGTGGTTTAACATGTTTCACTTCCCCCATATTTCTTGCAGACTAGGAGTTAGGTCTTGAGGCTTGATTAGACCAAGCTTTGATCTGGCAGGGAAGGTGGCAAAAATACTTAATGGGTGTGATTGTTTAGTTTCATAGGGAGTTTTATTAGGAGAGTCTTGTCTTATTTTTATGGTGTTCATTGATGATTATTGCTTAGATCTAGTATTTAAGAGTTGCAAGATGGTGATATTCTACTTATGTCCTTTCTTTTTCATTTATTAACTTGGATATCCCGTAAAGAGAGATGTCCCATCACCACTTACTTGATTGTCCTGAGAAAGAGTTCATACAGGAGAAGTAGGATAAGTGATTGGTTCCTGTCCGTAACCAGTTTTCAGGCTATTGAAAAAGGACCATTGTTTGTTTGTTTGTTTTTTCCCCCAATAAAGACTTATTTCAAATGCATGATTTTAAATATATATGATGTTTTGATTCATTACACATTTTCTCTCTTATGAAGTTAAAATTGTCCCATCTTTGGCCAATGGGAGCCTCTTCAAATTGGCTCCTAAGTTTTGTTTGCTGATGTGACAAGATGTTTCAGGACCATCTTGTATAATTCCTGCCTCAGGTCTGGAATCAGCCATTTCTCTAAAGAGCCCTGGTTCCTTTTAGTAGGAAACAATACAGGTTGCTAGGCATATCCACCGGGTGGGTTGTCGTTTTTGTGTCTCTTTAGTGGACAAATCTGGGGGAAAACACACACACGCATTTTAATGAGAAATGATATCGTGACTTTATATTAAAATTCATAGTTCAAATTTAGGATTATAGATATTTCATTTTACTTTTTCAATTATATATTTGTGGATATCTGTTTCATGAATCTAAAAATGTTAGTTCTTATGTGGACATAATTACTTACTTTGTAATGCTAATGGTATTAGCACAGTATATGACTACCAAATGTAATTTAGTATTTTTCTTCTTGTCTTGGTCCTGAGGATGTATGCTATTAGAAATCTACAGACCTACTACTGTATTTTAAAGTCACATGAAACAGTTCCTCTCCATGTGGATATGCTATCAGCTTGAAACCTGGAATCATTTGTTTCATTTTGCTTTACATTTGTAAGACTTAAAAACCCCAACTTGCTTCAATTTTAAGTAAAACTTAGCATAATTCCACAGTAATAACTAAAAAATAGTTAAAAGTTAAGGTATGGTTAAAAAAAATCTAGTTTTTGTGTTTGCTTTCTCCACCCTGTGCCTCCCCTATAGGAAAACTTTTTTTTTTAAGTTTTTGGTTTAATCCTTCTGCTTTTAAAATATGAGCAATTCTATTGATTTTCCCTTCTGTTTTCATCTTCTTCTCCCCGAGATAAACAAAAATGTAATAGGCCTCATTTTCTATCTTTGCTTGTTTTATTTCAAAGAATATTCTGGAGATCAGTATATAGCAGCACATAATAGAGTTCTCATTGCTTTTTACAGTTGTGTATTACTCTGTTTTGTGTAACAGAGTAATACACAAATATATATATACCAGAGTAAAACACAACTCTGTCTCTATGTGTGTATATATATATATATATGTTTATATATATGTGTTTATATATATGTCTATATGTATGTTTATATATATGTGTGTCTATATATATACATATATATACATATATATACATACATATATATATATACACACACACATATGTGTATATATATAGTTAATTCAGTCAGATGCCCATTGATGGACATTTGTTTTTTTTTTTTCTTTTAGAATAGCTTTTTGGGGTGCAGTGAACATTCACTCTTATCAAGTTGGGGATATTGACAGGAATGTGGGATTTGATGCCTTAAGGTTTGCTGGTACCTTAGTTCTTCATGGTCTAGTTTTGCAGAGTACTGCATTTCCCCGGAAGAGAAGGGGAACCTTCCATTCATCTTGAATATTCTTGTTAGCATCCTAGCATAGTGGGAGCTGGCAGGGACTGACTGAGAGTGCGGGAACTGGCGGGACTTTTCATGCAGGCTGCCGAGTCTTCTCAGCCTTCAGTAGAAATACTCCATGAGCCAATTCCTGGTTCTCAGGACCAGGCAGCAAGAGGTGAGCCTAGAAGGTGCAGGGCTGGCGAGGTGCTCGCCTTGGCTGCTGTTAGAGCAGGAGCCCCGTGGGCGTCCTTTTAACAGAGTTGTATTATTTTATGGCACACTTAATAGACGTTAGCCATCATTTCTCTTTTTCACAAACTGTGTCTTTCAGAGATTTCCTTGGCAAAGGCTGCTTTTTATTGTCAGTGTGAGTTAGACTGTTCCTTGGGAGTTGGGAGTGGGAGGTTGGACAGCGGCTGAAGAATCATTTCAATTGAAACAAGCGCTATGGAGAGAAAGATACAGTTGGTTCGTTGAAATTTACATTTTACTCCTCAAAGCAAGCGTGGCTTTCTTGCAAGTTCTTTCTAAATAAGTGAAAGGTGAGCTTCTAATTCATTTAAAGAGAAAGAGGTGATTGTGAATCTAGCTGTTTCTGTGGTCATCCTGGGCCACATTGCTCAAGAGACCAAGTCTCCTGGAGTTTTAAGAAGAGGGAAATGAGGTCTCAGGGTTTAAGGAAATAAGTGTCACACAGACATGTATAGCTATAGTGTAGGACCCTTTCAGCCTTCTTTCTATTATTAAAATAAACCTCAGTTCCCTTAGCATCCACAGGATATCCATCAGGCATTGCTGCTAACTGATACCTGATAGGAGGTATTTTTAGTTAATGTTGTGTGGAATATGGAAAAATAATCCATTCAGCAAATGCCAGTCTCACTGGGCATGGAGAGCATTGTGTATTCTTAAATCAGCGAATGAAACAAAGATGTTTGCCCTCATGGAGCTTATGTTCTAGTGGAGGAGACAGATAGACAAAAAGAATATGTAAATTGTACCATTTCCTAGAAGGTAAGAAGTGCCTTAGAGAAATAAGATTGGTTATAGGAGAGGATGCAGGTTTATGTGAACTGAAAGTAAAACACCATCATTATAAACAAAAACTGGTTTGTTTTTGTTTTTGTTTTTTGCTTTTTGACTAAGGCAGCATTTGGATAAGCAGATAATCAATGAGCTGTTGTTTGGTTACAGACATGAAAAGCTTCCATACATAGACATCCTGTGATGCTGGCAGCATTTCCTGTCTTTTTCATTTCATTGTAGAAACTAAGGCATTGATTTCCTATCTATAAAATGAGGCTGACATCTGTCCCGCCTGCCTCACCATGTGGCTTACGGTTGATAACACACACACATGAGTGTATCTAATAGGTGAAGTTTTTATGAACTGCAGTGCTGTTATTTTTACTAGTTTCGGAACAGGAACAGAACTTTGCATTTGTGACTTTTCTGCGTTATACTCAGATGCTATTTTCATTTGGGTACTTCCTGTGATGTTGGAAACCAACCTAAATCTTGGGGAATAGAATTAAACAGACACCTGTGTAGTTGATTTTAAGCTCCTTGAGGTTTAGCGACCATGTTCCTCTGAACTATACTTCATCCTTTCTAAGATTTTTTCTTCATACCTCCCTGAGGAGGAGTCAGCAGAAAGTGATCATTAACTGCGTTATGCCATCTATTGGAAGGTGCACCCTTAGCAGGGAGATTAGCATGTGAAAAGATTCTTACTTCACAAATGATTTTTGATAAAATTGTAAAAATATCCCAGTGAATTTTCTGAAGTTCTTTTCTAGGAAAAGGAAAAGTGAAAATTTTTCCTCTATCTTAAAATTCAGATTCAGGTGTCTATAAGCTTTTCTTAGGACATGACTCAGCGCCTAAGCAGATGAACTTGGTAGCAAGTCTTAGGATACTGCTCACTAGTGCTACCAGCCTGGGAGAAATCTTTGTAGTTGAAAGTTGGAAAAGTGTAGTAGGGGCTGTCAAAACTTCTGCACAGAGCTGCCTTTGGTTCTCAGGTCTGGGGTGATCAGAATGGCCGTGCGCATTGTGCAAACTACTGACTTCCATGCAACTTTCTTAGATTGGCAGATTTTGGATTCTGCTTCTCACACCCGTGGTGGAGCATGCCTTGCTTGACTTGTGAGCTACGGTGACCCAGGAGGGAGGAGAGTGTCATGTGGGTCCCTATGGAATCAAACATCATGCTGCATTTCAAACACATTTTAAAAATTCAGAACTGTGGTCGAGAAAAAATGTTAGATGCTGGCTTTCTCTTTACCCAAAGTGAGGGGAATGTTTTAATTTAAATAATAGGTACTGTATTTTTAATAATTCAAGTTTCTGTAATATGTGTTGATCTATGATAATTTCAGTCAAGGAGATTGACTCTTTTGAAAAGCATGAAAGCTATTGGGAAACGAAAAATATTGAAATTGTTAATCTGTCTTATCTTGGGGATGAGAGGTATTCCAAAAAATTAGAGCCATTGATGTTACCCTAAAAATCATATCAGATGTTTCAGAAGATCAGTTGATAATGAGCAGTACTGCTTCTCATGTTTAATAGTACTTTTCATTCATAAATGTTAGCCCCCTCTAAGGACCAGGAACCCGTTATTTAGTTATCTCTGTGACATTTTTACTACTAAAAAAGAAGTAAAGCCAGTAGTTCGAAAGATCATGCAATTTTCTTTTGTCTGGGCGAAGACCTAGCGATGACAGTGTTGCATAGTTCCTTCATCTTTATTTAAGCTTTTGGAGCCTCAGTATCTTTATAAGACTGGAATGATAAAACCTCTCAACAGAGTCATTGTAAAATCACATCAGAAAGTGTATGTAGAGCACGTGATACCCTACCTGGATCTGTTGTTACCTATGATTGTTGCTCCCATATAATACCTAAATTATTGGATTTAGAAATAATTTAAGGCTTTTCTAGATTACATGACTGAACAGTACATGTGGATTGCTTTAAGTATTCCCAATCAAAATGAAGTTTCATTATTATTTAGAATGAGTACATAATTCCTATGAAGTTATGAAAACCATATTGGTAAAATATGTTTTTAAAATACCATCATCTTCTGCTGTATGCTTTTTGGCTGTTCTAAAAGGAAAGAATCTTCTGGGTTTTTTTTTATTTGTTTGCTTTCTTTCTAATTTTAGATGATGATTTTTGGTGCACAGAAAATAATGAAGAGTTTTGTATTGTGACTTGAATTTTGAGGTCTCCCGAAGAGAGATCATTAGAGTTCTAAAACTAAATGAAGGATCCACTTGAGAAGGCTAAATTTTCTTCCTCTATTTTCCTGACAACCCCGATGGAAGTAATAAAATAAATGTGACAATTTTACCATAAGCGTTTAGTGATACCAAGCTGACTTCATTAGGATTGTATATGTTAACAAGAAATCGTTCTGCCTGCCTGTCTGTCAAAGTCACATACTCTGAGATTTGTACTCTTAGTGTGTGATAGAAATTTTCTAAAATCCTTAAGCTAATTAGCTTTAAAATTCTCATGTGGTTCTCTCACATGCATGTGTGTGGTTCTGTGTGAGAGACTGGCAAAGCTGGACCAGTGAGGGTCAGGTGCCATCCGTCGCAGATTATAAAGTCATCAGCATAGCTTGGAGAATGTTCCTTTTGCTTTCCTTTCAAGACTTAGACCCATCTTGTTGATAGGAAAGAAAGAACTTTGAATGCAGGGCAATGGGGAAAAATGTGGGGGAGACTGGCCTAGAGAGCAGCTGTGAGGGAGGTGGTTGTCTGAGGTGAGTGAAACACATGGACGTGACAACTTTTTTTTCTGTCCAAAACATAAAAACTGAAGAAAGGAGTTTTTCCCAAAACATTGGAAGAAAAAGACAAGGCCATATGTAGTACCTTCCATGTGGCCTGCAGAGCTCAGAGATTTTCTCCCAGATCCCCTGAAGGGATGACATGTCCTCACTGTGCCTCAGCTGAAACAAGGACTTCTGCCCTGTGCAAATTTGTGTAGTTGCTTTAGGAATAATTTTGACAGAGTGAATGGATGATAACATAGGATTTCTGTCTTATCTTGTGTCTAAGTGTATTCCTAATGTTTGTTTTTTAGGTGGGAGAGATAAACGTGGAGGTCCCATTTTAACGTTTCCGGCCCGCAGCAATCATGACAGAATACGACAGGAGGATCTCAGGAGACTCATTTCCTATCTAGCCTGTATTCCCAGGTAAGTTCTGTGTGGCTTGTGCTTGTCACTGATGTCACATTTACAAGAGATGTGGCGCTATACTCGTTAGAAATCAGCTAAATTGTAGCCTGCATTCCAGGCAAAGTAGTATAAAATGAAAGTCATTATCTTTCACCTTATTACCATTTTGTGACCATTATTGTCTAGTGTAAAGCCCTTTGGGGAGCAGGGACATGAAGGTAGGTAAGAGCTTTGTGTGTTGACAGTGGATCTGGGATACTCAGCTGGGATTTCAGGATGTGGCGCCTGAGTTAGAAAGCCATTGTTGATGATTCTAATACCGTGACACAGAGGCCTGGGTGATCAGAATTGGGTGCTGCTTTTGACAATGCATTTCTGCCTACTTGGCAAACGTTAGTTCTTTAAAAATAGTCTGTTGATATGTAGCACGAAGTTTGTGGGGCATTAAAAATCCTTATTAGCTATATATTGGGCGTAGATTTGGGAATCTCTATCAAAATTGAGACTCCATTGGTAATGGGAATTTTTAGCATAGATGCCAAAGAACACCAAGAGCAAGCAATGTTGTGTTTTCTGGAGAGTCCGCAAGTGGGGAGTCATGAGTTACTAGGAGCTGGCCTGTGTGTATACTTGAGGAATTTAGAATCTGTTTCTGCTCTGGAAATGTATTACTCGAGTTTAATTTGTAGATCTAGCTGACAACTGGTGGAGGAAATTTCCTCCCTATATTAATGTATTAGTTCTTTCTCACACTTCTATTAAGAAACGTTTGGGACTGGGTAATTTATAAAGAAAAGAGGTTTAATTGATTTAATGGCTAGGGAGCCCTCAGGAAACTTATGATCATGGCAGAAGGCAAGGGGGAAGCAGGCACATCCTCACATGGTTGGAGCAGGAGGAAGAGGGTGGAGGTAGGGGGTCAGGTGCCACACACTTTTAAACAACCAGATCTCATGAGAACTCCATCAGGGGACAGCACTAGGGAGATGGTGCTAAGCCGTTAGAACCCCCCCCCCCCGCCCCGTGATCCAATTACCACCCACCAGGCCTACCTCCAACATTGGGGGTTACAGTTCAACATGAGATTTGGGTGGGGACACAGAGCCAGATCACACCAATTAATATCTCCATTTAATTGTTGCAGTTATATTCTGGAAAACATAATACCATGCTGATATAATCTAAGGATACAGTCATGCCTGGAATAGGAGATTTGGTGTGTGTTGCAGGTTGGAGGGGTGCCTATCTATGAGGAAAGGGTGAGTCCTCAGGTGTCTCTTTTATTCCAGAAAGGCACATACTGAAGGGCATCAGTGGCAGCCATGGTAGAGTGAGAGGAGGTGTTTCCTAAGAGACTAAATGAGGATGTGTGAGAGAAAACTCGGCCATAATATGGGCTGGCTAGATAGTAACCTTAAGGAACATGTTACAAGAGAATGATGTAAGATGGTAACAGCATAATGGGTTTCAGGGGTTGTGGTAAAGGTAATAGATCTACCACAGCACGTGGTTCACAGCACTCAACCTGTGTAGGTTGACACAAGCGGGACAAGGCAGCCATGCCCCTCCCTAACAGGGCTGGCTGTGGCTGATGGCAATCAGCTTTTGGTCTTGATAGTTTGACTTGCTGGGGAGGTTCTTGGGTTTTCTGTCAGAGTATCCTTTATGAGAAAACTATCACTGTGTGGCATCAGTGACTAAGTGAGCCCTACTTATCTGGAGTAAGTTTTCCCTTTCTTCTTCTGGTATTTCTTAGGCAGCTGACCTGTTGAAATCTTAGAGTTGGAAAGTAGTTTAGAAGTTATTTATACTCACTATCATTTATAAATAAAAATAGAGTGTAAACTACTACTTACTAAGCTTTGACTATGTGCCAAGTCTGTGATAATGATGGAAAAAGAAATACAAAGGGCAGGGTTAAAAAAAAAATAACTGCCAATCAAAATGATACTTGTCATATAGTTTAATAAGAACTAAAGTTGAATTTGATATTCACTCTTGTGAATTTGAATACTATATAGTGGTAACTTTGACAACTTGCTTTTTGGTCTTGAAACCTATGTTAATAGTAAATATTAAAAATTATTCATTTAATTGATATAGAAATTGGTTCAAGCACATTTTGGATAATCTGGATGACCCACTTTAAAAAAAAAACCTTTTTTTTGTGGGAAATTGTGAGAATACACAAAAGTGGAGAGAATAATATCATGAACACACATATACCCTTCACCCAGCTTCAGCGTTTATCAGATTTTGCCAATCTTGTTTTTCTCTAATTATTCACCTGGTGTATTTTATAACAAATCCCAAAGATCACATCATGTCATTCAAAAATACTTGAGTGTGTAGGATGACCCTCCGGCCACTGAACAGTCTCTTCATGTCAGTACCTAGGTTTGCGTTTGCATTAACTGCAGTCCCAAGTGACAAGAAATGCCATTTTGCTTGTCCTCGATTAATGAGCAAATAAGAGAGGTGGATTAACATGTAAATGACGCATTTGCCGAGTGATAATGGAGAAAGATTTCAGAGTAGTCCAAATTGAAAGAAGTGGCCACAAAGTGAGTCCTCTCTGGGCCCTCTCCCCCAGGGTCCTGCAGGTGCTACCCCTAGTGAGTGTATAGCAGCAGGAGCGCTGTTTGGTTTTAACCAAACAAATTATGTGATACAGATTTCACCAATCTGTAAAAATCATCAGCAAATTACTGGTGTGTGAATTTCTTTGGACTTGTGATTTTGCTTATGTGTAGTTTGTAAGTCTGATGGTTTGTTGTAGTAGAGTGGTATGAACACAAGGCGTTTCTACCCAGCTGTACATTTGTGTGTATGTCTTGGGGCCTGTGAGACCTTTTGCTGTGTCCAGTGCTTCCTCGTGCTTCCCAGATTTGAAGGCAGCCCTTCGGCCATTCCTCAGTTAGACAGTCACAGGGCTGGTGTCATATGTGAAGGGAGAACATGGGCCTCAGAATCAGACTGACTGTGACCTGGGACACATGACTTCACTTTCATTGCTTTCCTGATCTGAAAATGTGATAATGACCTGTACATTTTGGGATCATTGTGAGTATCGAGTAAGATTATTCCTGTAATCTTGCATGGTGCTTGACATGCAGTAGCTTGCTGAGATATAGTGCAATAATTTTCTGATTTCATATTCACCCTTCTATTTTCCTTCAATTACTTTCCTTTTGACATGATTTCTAGAGGCAGATCACATTGTTTTCTTCTGCATGCTTTCTAGATTGTCTGGGTCCGGCACAGTTCAACAGGAACGTGACCTGAGCAGCTGTGAGTGATTTGAGTATTATTGCTGGGGTCGCCCCTCCCTGCCCTTTTTTTTTTAAACAAACAAACAAACAAACAATTGTAGTAACAAGGTGAGTTCATAAGATTCATTTGCAATGAAACTTTCCACTAAACGTGTGTAGGAGAAATAAGAAGCAGCAGCAGTTCTTGCTGCTGTCATTGCAAGTCCTGCACAGTGACATTAATCTTAGAATGTCTCTCGGTGGCTGTTGCTTTTATTACTTGAACTGTATTTAATACTAATTATGTTCTAGAACATTCTGCCTTCTTTAGAATGATTTTTGGTTGCTAAATATTAACAGATAAACCACTCTTACTCCTTGTTGTCCACTAATGAAATGATACGAAGATTTTTAATTGATTCATTCATAAATACTCACATAAGAAGATACTTTCTTCCTCTAGGAACGAAACAAGTAGAGTTTCTCTTTTTTAGGGACCTGTGTTGAAAGGGGACCTTATTTTTATGTGAACTTTCTTTATCTCACAGATAAACATGAGGCTCTTTGGTAAAAATGCTAAAATAACTGGTTAATAAGTCACATTTCCCAAAGAACAGTGTCTCTTAGGTGGTGGAAGGGCTTGGGGGCCCTTCTCCAGTAGGCAGCTGTTTATTAGGTGCTCATAAATAGGACCCAGGTTTGGGGATGTTTACAAGTCACTGCTGTCTTAATGATGACTGGCTTTTAACTTGATAAAAATAGATGGATTGAAATGCTGTGCACTCCCAGCCCAGTCCATTTGCCATTTTCATTACTTAGGAAGCCGCTGGGTGGGAGCAGTTTGATCACAGAGGAAGGCGAATAGTTAATCCTTCTGTAAACTGTGCAAGCTCAGCGTAGCTTTTGGTTTTGTTGTTCTCCCGCTTATTCCTGTTGTTAAGCCTGGAGTCATTCAGGATTCCTTTTAAGCTTCTTTCAAGTAGAGGGGCTTTGTAGTTCGTGTGCATACTGTGTAAGGCCATGTTAGGAGAAAGACAGGCTTCAAGGGAATTTATCTTGATATGGTGAAGACTGATGGTTACAGTGCGGTCTACCAAACAGCAACTAGTAAAACAAATAAAACATATTGCCACCGTTTTACAATCTCCTGTCTTTGGTGTACGGCAGCAGAATATGTGAATCTGGAGTAGAATGCCTTACTGGGCAGCAGGCTTCCTTTGCAGAGCTCTTGGCCTCCGGGCACCTGCCTCTTCCTGCTTAGGCTGCCCTCACCCCAGTGCCTCCAGGGCCCTGGAGTTTCTGTGGAATGGAATCTCGAGGGATTGCAAACCCCATTAGAGCCCAAGGAAGTCTAGAATGCTTAATTTCCATGACAGGAGACTTTAGGAGATGTTTCTGGGAGTCCCATTTGCCTCTAGGTTTCATGAAGGAGGTCAGAAAACAGGTGATGTTTCTGCCCGTGATGTTACCCGGATTGTAACCCACGACCTAATTGGGATGTGGAGGAGAAGTGATGGCATGAGGAGTATTTGAAATCATTTCAATTTACATCCCTATGAGATAGTTATTAGAAGTTCATCACATCGTTCCTAATCAGTTTTCAGCATTTGGGTGATAAACTAAGCTGCTGGATCTGTTTTCTCCTCCTGGCTTTAGACACTGTGCTCCTCTGACTGTGAGCCGCCTTCTGATTGGGTCCTACTGCTGGGCTCTAACCATACAGGCATTTTTTTGGGGTGTTGATGTGATACACCCTCTTACTGATGTAGATGTCATATGTACTTTGCATTTGTAAAACGTGGGAAGCTAGTTAGTCTGATAGTCTGAATCAAGATATAGAAGGGAATGGGGTGTGTGAGTGTGAGTTAGTTGGGAGGGGGAAGGAGGGCAGGGTTAGGGGAGTGAGCCTATGTAAGAGCATGAAATTGGTTTTAATTTTGAATTAATTTTATTTGCATTACTTAATGATAGCAATTGGTTTTCCAGGTTTTTAATTTAGACTAGTTTTTTGGGGGGATAATTATCCAAAGCAGAAAAATGTCAAATGTCTTTTCTACCCTAAGGTACATTTATGTTTGGGGAAAACCACATATGCGTATTGAGTACCATAAGGTCCTAGGTATATTTCCAAAAAAGACCTTGTAGGCAGTCGTTACCTGGTTACTGTCTGGTGCAGGCATCAGCAGCCTGCACAGACTGTCAGAGACCCCTGTGTAACAGTGAGGGTTGCAGTTGTTCCTTACTGTAGGGCCATTCGGAAGCTTCTATCACTGAAGTTGTAACCAAGTGCGACTAAGTATTTTTTTAACCTGTGTTTAAGGACACCTTAACTCTTGTTGCTCATTCTTTATTGCAGATTTGCATTGTATGTGTTTCCCATGTAGTCAGTGGTTGAGATTTAATACAATTAGAAGCTGGCACTTTTTTTTTTTAAGTGCAATAATGTGGAGAGGAAGAACATAGTGACTCCCAGCACTGCCTTGACGTGTGTCAGAGGCCAGCAGTGTTAAGCCAGCGTTGCTACCACATAAAGGCTTAGTACAGTTGTGGAACTAGATTAAAACCACAGAGCCTGCCAGAAGGGTGCCAAGAACTCCCAGGGACGGGTGGATGGTATGGAAAACCACTGAGATAGCTTCAGGGCCAGGGATAGGGTAAAGGGAATAAAATGGAACATAAGAAAGTTCTCATCATTGCCAGCCATGCTAGTGGGGGGTCATTTTCAGCACCTGGGGTGCTGGGAGTCCTGGGGTAACTGCCGTCCACAGGTCTCAGACTGTCCCCAGTCTGGGTTTTGTTGCAGGCTGTCAGGGTTTTGTACTCACCCGATGCTCCCTGGAGACCTTTGCTCGCAGGAGTGACTGGAGGAGTTCATGTAATCAATTAATGCACCAAAGTCAGGAGAAATGGGCATGGTGACCGTTGTTTTCCTGAAAAGAAGACGGGATGCAAAACCATTAATACAAAATTGAAATCTTAACAGGTTTTGCAGGTTGAACATGAAGCGTGTATAGCCTGGGTCTCTTCCTTTATGGTACAAGGGAGGGACGAGAAGGAGCTGAGCACAGTGTGCTCCTTCCCCTGCCTCCGCACGTGTCCAGCAGGGGAGGGAAGCTGGGTCTGTGGCACCCAGTGGGACTCTGACCAGGCAGAGTGGCAAGAGATGTAACCCGTCTTCAGCCATGTTTTCTTTCTCTGCAGCGAGGAGGTCTGCAAGCGTGGCTTCACGGTGATCGTGGACATGCGTGGGTCCAAGTGGGACTCCATCAAGCCCCTTCTGAAGATCCTGCAGGAGTCCTTCCCCTGCTGCATCCATGTGGCCCTGATCATCAAGCCAGACAACTTCTGGCAGAAACAGAGGACTAATTTTGGCAGTTCTAAATTTGAATTTGAGGTAACTTCCCCCGTGTGGCTAGACCCACTAAACAAGTTGGTGTGGTTTACTAAAAGCTATTGAGGCTAATGAGAGATTTTTTTTTTAAACCACATATTAAACAGGAGCTGCATATCTTACGAACATGTGATACGTAAAATTAGTTACTGCATGAAATAACAGAGCTGCGTTCATCATCCGAGTGGATTGTTTTACCCACATGGGCTTAGGTTTCAGTTCCCTTGGGTTGGGTGATGGGCTGTTGAGTTGTGAGGCCTTGGCAGAGAAGCTTGCTGGCTGCCTTATATTTCACTTGACAAACAGCTTTACCAGGCAGCACTGTGGCTTTGCACAGTTACAGATTCATTCTCCTTGCCTCAGCCCTGGAGATGAGGGAATGTTAGGGAGAAATGCCCAACTTCAGAGTCCCTAAGTTTCATCCTGTCATGGATAATGGAAAGAATGCATGTATTAGGCCTCTGATTTCTGAAAATGGAGATAGTGTGTTAAAAACTGTGCAGAGTCCTGAATTCAGTTAGGCATGGAAGATTGCCGTCTTTCAGTGGTAAAAACAAGACAAAACCCTCAGCCCACTAATTATTTTGCTTCCCACTGTAACCTCCTCTCCTTAAGCTACCAAGGTTCTGACAAGGCCTTCGGTGCAGTTAGTTTAATGAGATGATTATGGGAGGAAAGTCTTCCTGCCAGCATGAAACTTGATTCTTGCTCCATTTGGAATAAGATTTTAATATTTTCTAATAAGAAATACTTTTTGGTTGAATAGATTGCTTCCTCTGGCAAATCTGCTCAAACGTTAGGTTTCAGTGGATGTATTCATGTATTTTAAGGTAAACAGCAATAATATTAAACATCAGACAGTGTTAATCCTTAATCTTCAGGTTATAATGCTATACTTTTCAAAGTGTTTGCACAGGTGTATTACTTGGATTTTTAAATTCTTTCCATAGTACTCATTTTTCTATCCAAAATATGAACTTAGTTTTAAATTTGAAACTACTCAGGTTTACTACACTCCATCAGAAAGATGAACCCAGTAAGCCTTTATCTTCATAGAGAATAGGAAGTAATTTTGGAGGACAGTTTATTGGGTGTTAATTATTTTCTTGATGCAGAATTGAAAGTGCATTGTATTTAATTATAAGTGTTTTAAGTAAAAATAATGGTCTGGCAATACAATTCATACAGGTTTTTCCAGTCCAGTTTTGATCTCTCCCTCAGGGCTCTTAAAGGCACCAGTTTTTCTATGGAACTTGTTACATTGTTACCAGCCTCTCTCTCCCCACCCAGTGATTGCCTCTGTGGAGATTATTAAAAGTCCAGCAGGACCGGGTGTGGTGGCTCACGCCTGTAATCCTAGCACTTTGGGAGGCCGAGGCGGGCGGACCACGAGGTCAGGAGATTGAGACCATCCTGGCTAACACGGTGAAACCCCATCTCTACTAAAATACAAAAAATTAGCCGGGCGTGGTGGCAGGCACCTGTAGTCCCAGCTACTTGGGAGGCTGAGGCAGGAGAATGGCGTGAACCTGGGAGGCAGAGCTTGCAGTGAGCCGAGATTGTGCCGCTGCACTCCAGCCTGGGCAACAGAGCGAGATTCCGCCTCAAAAAAAAAAAAAGTCCAGCAAACGAGAGAGGAATGGGCCTATGGTAGGATTGTAGGCATAAGTGCTGGATCAGGAGTCATCCCTCTTCTACCTCTGCTGCCTTCTGATGTTTCTTTTGCCAACCAGCACGCCGGACCAGCCCTTCTTGTTTTCTCTTTTGGTTCTAGGTCACAACTCTTTCTCCTTCACCTTTGTCTTTGCATTTAATCTTCCCCCTCCATGTTTTCCTTGAGGCATATTAATATTAATCTGCTTCACATCATGATAAGGTGAGGTTAAGATTTCTTGCCGAGGCCAGGCACAGTGGCTCATGCCTGTAATCCCAGCACTTTGAGATTCTAAGGGAGGAGGACTGCTTGAGGCTGGGAGTTCGAGCCCAGCCTGAGAAACTTAGCAAGAGCCTGTCTCTATATTTTGTTTTAAAAATTAGCCAGGTGTGGCCGGGCGCGGTGGCTCATGCCTGTAATCCCAGCACTTTGGAAGGCCGAGGCGGGCGGATCACAAGGTCAGGAGTTCGAGACAACCTGGCCAACATGGTGAAACTCCATCTCTACTAAAAATACAAAAATTAGCTGAGCGTGGTGTAAGTCACCTGTAATCCCAGCTACTCGGGAGGCTGAGGCAGGAGAATCACTTGAAATCGGAAGGTGTAGGTTGCAGTGAGCTGAGGTTGCACCACTGCACTGCAGCATGGGCAACAAGAGCAAAACCCTGTCTCAAAAAACAAACAAACAAAAATCACCAGGTGTGGTGGCACACGTGTAATTCCAGCTACTCAAGAGGCTTAAGATGGGAGGATGGCTTGAGCCCAGGAATTTAAGCTTACAGCATGTAATCATCGCCACACTCCAGTCTGGAAGACAGAGCATGACCCTTTTTTTCCTTTTTTAAAAAAAAAGGTCGTGTGCGATGTCTCATGCCTGTAATCCCAGCACTTTGGGAGGCTGAAGTGGGTGGATCATTTGAGATCAGGAATTTGAAACCAGCGTGACCAACATGGTGAAACCCCGTCTCTACTAAAAATACAAAAGAATTAGCCTGGTGTGGTGGTGGGCACCTGTAGTCCCAGCTACTCGGGAGGCTGAGGCAGGAGATCACTTGAACCTGGGAGGCAGAGGTTGCAGTAAGCTGAGACTGCGCCACTGCACTCCAGCCTGGGTGACAGAGCAAGACTCCATCTCAAAAAAAAATAATAATAATAAATATAAAGATTTCTTGCTTAGACTGTAATTGACTAAAACTTTGTCACTGTTAAATTGCAATGTAGTACAGATTATATACAACTCTAGGACTGTTCAGAATCACAGCAGATTATTGCAATGAATAAAACATTGCCTCTATCCTTAGCTCTGTCAAATGAGCCTCTGCCAGCTTTCTTGCCAACTCTTGAATATTTTCTAAATTTTTATAAATTCATTCATATCCCATCATCTGTTATTTGATGGGCAGTGGGGTTAGGCTTAGGCAAGATGAATGATAGGGTGGTCTGGTTGGAGCAGCATTCATCGTTTAATAGGCAGCCCACACGTAATTGAATTTAGAGTGATGTTACACTTAAAAGGGTTTTGATGCCCTTGAGCAAGACGTTTGTGTAATAGCAAGTAGTAGAAAACCTCCACAGAGTTTCTGGCATGGATGAAAAAGAATGGGGAGAAGAATGCATTGATGTAAGTGAAATTTCTGAATTGTTTGCTCTGAACTTGCAATTTAACCTGTTTCCTAGTTTAATGTGTCTGTTATAGTGGGTTAATCTCCATCTTCTTGGAAAGAAATCTCATTTCTTTAGCTCTCATGAAATACACGATTCTACAGTTTTGGGTATTCCAGCTGACATATATGTGTTGCTATAATGGATTTGTCTTTCATTGTACTGATAATGCTTCTTTCATCTACATTTATTTTTATGGGGCCAGAACCAGGTATGTTATGTTTTCTATAAATAGATTACTTTAACTTTGAAAACCTGTGACTGAGCATTGCAAATTGCATTATGTTAAAACTATATAAAATTGGTTCATCTTCTCATACGTGATTTTTTTTCCCTTAAGACAAATATGGTCTCTTTAGAAGGCCTTACCAAAGTAGTTGATCCTTCTCAGCTAACTCCTGAGTTTGATGGCTGCCTGGAATACAACCACGAAGAATGGATTGAAATCAGAGTTGCTTTTGAAGACTACATTAGCAATGCCACCCACATGCTGTCTCGGCTGGAGGAACTTCAGGACATCCTAGCTAAGAAGGAGCTGCCTCAGGATTTAGAGGGGGCTCGGAATATGATCGAGGAACATTCTCAGCTGAAGAAGAAGGTGATTAAGGCCCCCATCGAGGACCTGGATTTGGAGGGACAGAAGCTGCTTCAGAGGATACAGAGCAGTGAAAGCTTTCCCAAAAAGAACTCAGGCTCAGGCAATGCGGACCTGCAGAACCTCTTGCCCAAGGTGTCCACCATGCTGGACCGGCTGCACTCGACACGGCAGCATCTGCACCAGATGTGGCATGTGAGGAAGCTGAAGCTGGACCAGTGCTTCCAGCTGAGGCTGTTTGAACAGGATGCTGAGAAGGTAAAGACGGGGGAGGCTAATGCCTCAGTGGACATGGGGGAAGCCAGCGCTGGTGGGTTCGGGTGGAAGGAAAGAGAAAAGGTGGAGAATGGTAAGGCTATACTCACCGTGTGTGCTCTAAACCAGCGAGAGTCATTTCAGAAATGGCACTGAAATCTGTTTTCCGGTTTTACTCGTTGTGCAATACAGTGCTGTTTTAGAAATTTTGAGTTCAAATTACTTATTCTTTGGTCTAGGATGCCTGTAAGATAGGAATGATATTTTCACTTAAAAGAGTGAACATTTCGGCCGTGCTCACGCCTGTAATCCCAGCCCTTTGGGAGGCCGAGGTGGGCTGATCACCTGAGGTCAGGAGATTGAGACCAGTCTGGCCAACATAGTGAAACCCCGTCTCTACTAAAAATACGAAAATTAGCCGGGTGTGGTGGCACGCGCCTGTAATCCCAGCTACTCAGGAGGCTGAGGCAGGAGAATCGCTTGAACCCATGAGGCAGAGGTTGCAGTGAGCCAAGATCGTGCCATTGCATTTCGGCCTGGGCGACAGAGTGAGACTCCGTCTTAAAAAAAAAAAAAAAAAAAAAAAAAAAAGTGAAAATTTCACAGGGTTATGTTATTGACAAAACACCATTCCAATCTATTGAGTATGTTTTTTAAAATCAAGATGAGTAATGTGTTAAAAGTAACAGTTTCTGGGTAATATAGTTGGTAATCACCTCTAGTCTCATGTTTTATTCTTATGCACCAGGCAGACCAACTGGTCAAAGTGAATCCTTATCAATTACTGGCTAATTGAATCTTAGCAATGTGGAAACTGGGCACTTACCCATAGGTATGTGTTGCAAGCCATGAACATGGGTGAATTAATCATTGAGTTTTATTGGAGCTCATTGAATTTTATATTACATGGACAGGAGAATATTTTGTAAAGTAAAAAACCACATTAGAATTCTTGGATGTAAAAGGACTTTTCAAAAGGTGATAATCCAGTGTTTTTATTACTAAAGCTTTTAATGTATCTGTCAGTGTTCTTTTGTTTTAAGTAGCACCTTGTCTAAGAGACTGGAATACCTTCTTTTCAATTACTGGAAGACCAGGTTACTGTCACTGGGATTCTGGTTCAAGTCATGGTAGCAATGCTAATTGATGATAGTCATCTATATTTTCTTAAATGTTTTCATTGCAAATGTCTTAATTGACATCCTTGTCCAAGTAACATCTATATTGAACCTTAAGGGAGATGTCATAGTTAGTTTTTCCCACCTTTTTTATAGTAAATTTTATGTTTTTGCAATCTGCACAGGTGTCTGTGTACTTCTTGATCAAACAGTGGAATCTTTTAGTCATTGATATTTCTGTCAGTAACCTGTGGGCACAGCAGAACCCATCCAGAGACCCATAAGTTCCTAATTTCACCCTAACGGGTCTTTAATTGAACCTCACTGTGGCAAATTAAGTAGTTCAGCGTGGCAGGGAGACTGGGCTGAGAGTCAGAGGATCAGAGTTTTTAATCAGCCTGGGGGATTAGAGTAACTCTCTTTACTTATCTGCTTCTTAATTCCTTCTCTGTAAGAGGAACACATCAGATAAGATTTTCTGGTAGGTCCTGCAAGTTCAGAACTGCTGACTTGTTCTTCGAAGTAAAGACTCTTCTGAGAGAATCAGACAGCGCTTGAAGTTGTCCAGGGAAGGAAGTTGCCCTTTCTTGGTACTGCCCCATCTGTGGGCTTGTGTCAGTAATTTCTCTTTCTGGAGTGATTGCGGGTTGTCTTTTTCCTTCCGGTAGATGTTTGACTGGATCACACACAACAAAGGCCTGTTTCTAAACAGCTACACAGAGATTGGGACCAGCCACCCTCATGCCATGGAGCTTCAGACGCAGCACAATCACTTTGCCATGAACTGTATGGTAAGACACTCGGAACAGCTGGACCCTGGCATGTGACAGTGTTTTAGCAAATGGGAGGCATTTGGCAAATTGTATGCTAGGGCTTTCAAGGGGCCTTCGGAGTGGCTGTTGATTGTAGCAGCTGACCTTCACATGGAGGGTGTTCCCTAGGGTTCCATTGTCTCACTATCCCACATTTTAAGTTTTAAACAAAAATGAAAACAAGCAAACAGACGAACCAGTGAAACTTGAACCAATGACTTGGCTAGTTCAGCACAGACACTTGGGATGCTGGCTCCTGTGCTGCACTTCATAGGAGCCCACGGGGGCCCCAGCAAAGCTGCTGGGAGGCACAGTGAGTCCCCCAGACGGAGCGCTGTCAGTTTGCTGGCTGCTGTTCATGACAGCGAAAGGAGCAAGCCTGCTGCTGACCTCAGGGCACTAGCTAGTTCTCCTGAGGCATGAGATTTCCTTCCAAGCTGAGCTGGAGGACTGGGATCTGGCCCTCAGCCTTGCCTGGGATCCCCTGGCCCTCTTTAAGGTTGTTGCATCTGCTACCCTTGGCTGTCGTGACTGTCAGGATCTTAGAGGCCAGATAGGGGGTGACTGTAGGACTACATCACAGAAACCAAAACCAAACCAAAACACTGAATTTTGAGTAGCACTTCTGTTACAGTTTTATAGTTAATGTTACTAAAACTGTATGTTCTATAGGACATTTGCTTGCCTCTGTAGTCTGTGAAGCTTCTAGAAATTTCCTCTTCAGGGACAAGGAGTTTTGGTTTGGACTTTAAGCCAGCCTTGTGAGGATTGTCCACTCTTAAACCTTGTAACGTTTGTTGTAGAGCATTAAAGCAATATGAACCGGCCTGGGCAACACAGCAAGACCCCATCTCTAAAAAAAAAAAATAATAATTAAAAAATTAGCCAAGTGTGGTGGTGCACACCTGTAGTCCCAGCTATTTGGGAGGCTGAGGCTGGAGGATTGCTTGAGCCCAGGAGTTGCAGGCAACAGTGAGTTATGATCACGCCACTGCATTCCAGCTTGGGTGACAGAGCAAGACCTTGTCTCAAAAACAAAAATACAAATAAAGCAATATGAAGACAGGGTTTTTGTTTAAGTTAATTCAGAAAGATGCCATTTAATTAAAATACAGTCAACTAGGTGCTACAATTTAGGTAGTTTCAAAGATAAGATTTTGCAATATAATTTTTAGTAATAAATGCCATCAAAGTTTTACGTCTGTTCTAGAATTTAAAGTAAGAGAATTTCTGGTTCGAATCGTCAAACCTGGGCATAGATAAAAATTTGTTTGTAAAAAATTACTGTCAGTTTTTTTAGAATTTTCTGAAACTTTTGGCAAGAGACCATTCAGTCTGCTATGCCACATACTTTAAAAACTAGAAATACTAAAATATGTGCTAGAAATGAACAGAAAAATATATTCTCTCTTCCCCCTTTCTTCAGCATTATTAGTGGCAGATTTAGGACTCAAGGGAATAGGAACCATAGTGTAGAAGACAGGAAAATGGGTTGTGGACGTAGAGGCTTTTAATTCTGACTTTCTTATTTGCCATGTGACCTTGGGAAGGCTGTTTAACCTCTTCGAGCCTCAGTTTCCTAATCTGTAAACTGGGGGTAATACCTGCCTTCCATGGTATTACATGTATATGTAAAATGCAAAACATACTGCTTGACATATAGTAAGTACTGTATAAATGTTAATTCTTACCAGTGATGTTATCAATATAATTAAAGATGCAGTTAAAGCAGGTAAGAAACTTAAAAGTATGAGTTACAGCTATTTTTTTTGGGAGGGGGGTCGAATATATTTTCTAATTTTCTACAATATACTTCTGTTACTTTTCTAAGTTAAACTTGTAATACAATGCATGCGGGTAGCTCGGTGCCATGAAGGTGATGCCTGCTGGGGAGCTTTCTGGACCAGGCCTGCTCCTTGTGTTGAATACCTCCACGAATCCCTTGTATCTGTGGCATTTAATAATGCAGGGCAAGGGTATTTAACCTTCAGCCCCTTCTGCTCGCTATAGTGTTTTGAACAATTTCTGACAAAATAAGGATACTAAATACCAATATGCCAAGTTAACAGCTTTTAAAGAAAGCATATTAAGGGATACCAACAATTATGCATGTTCTACTCTAACAGATATTTATAAAAACTATGATGATAAGCCTGTAGGTGTAGGTACTTTTAATTTAGGGAATTGCACATTACCATATTGATGTCCAGGCTGTAGATTTAGGCTGTATGCCACCATACTCGTTTATGTGTGCTAGAAGTGATGGAGAGATGGAAAAAGCATCATACATAGACTAGTAAAGTCTGTTTTTATATAAAAGTGACACAGGAAGCTGTTACAATCTAGGAATGGGCAGGTATGGTCAGTGGTTGTCACAATAGAGCCACCCAAGGAGACATCTCTTCTCCAGATCCTAACAGAGTGCATCTTGTGCTTTTCCTAACAGACCTGTCGGACTGGCTTTTTCTCTTTTAAGGATATAGAGAAAGCAAAATTAGCAAATCTAGTTTCTTGTCACTTTACTAGGAGGGAGGAAAAGAGAGAAAGAATGCACTTGGGAATGGGAGGCCTTGCTTTTAATTTACCAGATGCCAGTTAGAGCGTTAATGCCACACGAGCCAGAGAGGTCACCTTGCTGAGCATGGCTTGACTGTTGCAGCCTCTTTCTGCGACTCCAGACATGCGATGTCTGTTAGCTGATTCTAGCCTTCAGATGCAGCCCGGAGATGTAACCCTGAGGCTGGAGTCCTGTGGCTCTAATCCCAGACAGAGGCAACTCCACCAAGTTCTGGTTTGGGTCAGAAATAGAGGGAAAGGATGAATGAAAGAAGATACAAAGAAATAATGAACAAGTGAGTTCTTTCAGCTGCTTACTTGGGTGGTCTGCAGGCAGCAAGAGACAGGAAGGAGGCTGTTGTGGGGTCCTTGTTCGAGGCAGTGGGAGATTTGCTCAGAGGGGTTGTGTGGGAAGTGAGAGAAGGGGGAAAAACGTAGGGAAGTTTGGACAGATCAGGAAATCAGATTGGGGCAACGTTGAGAGGAGCCAAAGAGGTATCTACGATTTTGGGGGACCCATGGGAAGGAGTGATGTGGTAACAGTGAAAAAAATAAAAAATACATGAACAACAGCAACTTCGGATTTGCTGAAGGTCTGAATCCCGCACCACACCACACCCTGCGATACTGAGCCTTAAAGAACTTTGGAGGTGGAAAGGGAAACTCCATATGAGAGCTTGTTCTGCAAAAAGGGTGGGTTTTTAAAATCCCTATTTTTGCAATAAACTGATAGACTTGAAGATAGGAATTTTGACAGAGTAGAAAAGCTTTATTTAAAATTTGAGCATAGCGTTGTTGTGTTTTTACTGCAATTCATATTCCTGGGAGAAGGTGGATCTATTTACAGAATATTTTCTGTTGGCACCCAAAAATGACTTGGGCATATGTAGAAAGGAGAGCTTGCTTTCACACAAATAGCCTTTGGTTGCTAGGTACGTGTTTTTGGGTTTCTGGGTTCTGGTTAAAAACCAGAGCGCTGGGTCCCTCAGTTCTCTGTGACTGCCTGGCAGCAGGCTTGCCATCTGGACCCTGTTCAGTATTTGAAGCCAAGAAGTGAGTAATAGTATATTTGTGTGCACCCACTTGTGTATTTGATTGCTTTGTGCTGAACAATTATGCCTTTCAGCTAGTTGATTTGTAATTTTACAGTTTTAAAAATAGAAATGGAAACCAATACTTCAAGTTTATGGAAATCTAGAGAGCAAATATGTATAATATTATATATATCAGGTGATGCTCCTGGGAGAGATGTGATCACTGTTAGAAGCCTGTGTTTCAGCAGGTGGCATCTGGGCTTCTTAGAAGGGAGCCTCCTATTTGCTCTCCCCTAAGGAGCCCTCTTTTCCTGCCCACTTTCCAGAACGTGTATGTAAATATAAACCGCATCATGTCGGTGGCCAATCGTCTGGTGGAGTCTGGCCACTATGCCTCGCAGCAGATCAGGCAGATCGCGAGTCAGCTGGAGCAGGAGTGGAAGGCGTTTGCGGCAGCCCTGGATGAGCGGAGCACCTTGCTGGACATGTCCTCCATTTTCCACCAGAAGGCCGAAAAGGTCAGTGCCTTGAACCCCCAGCCCACGAGGTGGTAACCAGAATAGTTCTTCCTCCATGAATATTGGTGTGTGTGCAAACACTCTTGTGTAGCACATACTGTGAGCTCCGCATGTGAGCTCTGAAGTCACTTGGCCCTGAGTTTAAATTCCAGCTCTTTTAGTCCTTGCTGCGTAACCTTAGGCAAGTGACTTAGCCTCTCTGTTTTGTTTTTTCATTTGTAAAGTAGAAATAAAAGTACCTGTTTGAGTGGACTGTTGATGTAAATGTGATGCTAGGTGCCCTACACAGTGCCCGGCACAGTAAGCACTAAGAAGTGGCAGCTGCTCTTCTCTTCCCCTCCTCTCCTGGCTCCTTCTTTGCTCTTATTCCTTGTTGATAGTGCTTTATTACTCCAATTGGGATGGTTTGGTAGCAAGGAACGGAACGCCCATCCGTGGTGCAGATGTCAAGGGTTTAGTTTTCTCACAAACTGCGAAGTTCTAAGGCGAAGGCACCTCTAGCTGCACGGCTATGGAGGGGTGGTGTCTGCTGCCCTCAGGCTTGCTGGGCCTCCCCTCACAGTCAGGGCAGCACACCTCAGCTCCACGCACCAGCTCCTCCTCAGCCACAGTGCTCACCCTCCGCAGGGATGGCTGTAGCTGTCTTTGCCTGCCACTTTATAAGGGAAACATTATTTCCAGAGGCCCCGCCCCCAGCACATTTCCCCTCGGCTAGTCTTGGGGTGCACATCCATGCCTTGCTGCAAGGGGTGGGGGAAAGGGTGGATCTGGTGTTTAGCCTCCTTAGGGAGGTGCTGCCCGCAAGGGTGAGGGAGGAAAATGGCTTTTTTGGGTACACAGTTGACAGTGTCTTTCATAATTATAAACTTAGCTACATGGCATCTGACTTTGGCTTCATTTGTTGACAGATGTGTTGTGTCAAAATTTCTAGTTTAAGAAGTAATGGGTAATATATGCCCCCAACACTCCCCATACCTCCATTTAAGCAAACTTGCTTAAACAAACGCTCTGAAAGTAGCAAAATGAAAGGGATTTGCTCATGACTCAGAGTTTATTATCGGAAGGTGAGCAGCACAGTGAGTACCTTTTCAGGATGTGGAGAAAGGGCATAGGAACTTTTAACCACCAGGAAGACACATATATGGGGTAGAGGAAAATGGTTGCTTAATTTAAAAAGGAAAAATATCAGTATATCTTCCTCAGGGTTAATTTTTGGGGGAAAGACTGGATTCAGGCATTTGCACGGATGCTTCTTAAAAAGGAAATAGTATCTCTTTCATCTAGAAACAGTCTCTGTTGAAGAGTGAAGAAGTCAGTAAAGGAAGATAGAGGCCCCAACTTGCCTAGGATTTTGGCAGGGCAGTCAGAATGTTGCACAAGACACTAATTAGCAGTGATCTCAACTCTAGAGACCTTTAAAGTATAAAGCAAGAGAGGAAGCTGAGTGATTTATAAAGAGAAACAAACCTTCATAGCACCATGTAAAAGCTGAGAGTTTCAATGGTAAGGATTTTTCTACTTTCTAACTTTTTGCATTTGACTAATTTTGTGATAAAAGATAGACAAAAGCCCACACACAAAAACAACTTTTTAAAGTAACAGGAACTGCTTCAGCGTAAATAAAACCATCTTCATGACCCTGTAGCCATCTCCGATCCTTATCGTTGTACAAAGTAGCAATACCCTCGATCATTTGGCAGTAAGGTGATATGAATGAATTTGAAGCAGGATAAACTGCGTGGGTGAATGTCAGGCTGAAGCATAACACACAGAGAACATCTTTCATAAACATGATGAGATTCAGAATTGTAAATAAACCCAGAGATTAATTACCACTGTGACCTGCCTGAAAATAATCTAGAAACATGGGTGTCATGGGGCATTTTCCTTCCAGTGTTTTATTATAAAAAATTTTAAACATACAGCAAAATTGAAAGAGCCTGGGGTATTCTCATCTGGATAAAATGAATGAGTGTAATTTATGGATTTGAAGGAAATGAAACTAGGTGAACACATTATTGAACAGAATTTCATGGGACCCTGCATGAACTGTAAGGGCGCCTGAAGTCTCAGTGCATGTACGGTGGCCAGAGAAGAAGCCAAATAGGAGTGAAGGGACAGTAGCCTAATGAAGAAGGAGCCCAGCGTGTATTCCAGACCTTAACGAAGCAACAAGGCCTGCACGTAGACAACTGAAATGCACAGATGGGAGATTAGGACGTCTTCAGAAAGACAGTCCTTACTTGCAAGTAAAAATGTGTTGTGTCTCGTCCCCCTCACTGAAGAAAAGTAAGATCCTTGAAATTCTGATGCTCCTCACTAAAGTAGTTTTCTTTTCCCAAGAGAGCAATCCCAAGACTAGGTCAACGTTGTTCCCTCATTTTAAATGATTTGCCTTCTAGTTATGCTCAACCTGTTTTCATAAACTCAGTCTGGAAAGGACCAGAAGCTTGGACATCCTAAGTTAAGTTTCCATCATAGTCACCTCTTTGAATCACATCCAGAGTGTTCATGTGGAATTTAAATCTGATTAGGGGGACATAAGGCTCAAATATGTGACTCCATGGTTAATGAGCTTACTAACGGCAGCCGCCTTCTCTGTAAGGATTACAGCTCTTAGCTGCACCGTCCGGCCCTGCCCTCTCTCTCCATGGGTGGTGGTGTGCTAGCATTTGCTGTGGCTTTATAAACATAACTCTGAAGTTAAAGCTAGATGAGAATGATGTTTCATAGATGCTATAACTTCCATAGATGTGTCAGCCAGTCTGTTTTGTGTCATCTCCAGTGAAGGTTGTGGGATCACAGTATCCGTTTGCAAATATGTGGACACACAACCACAGTGTTAATGTTGTTACTGGTAGATGTTGCTTAGGGGCTCCAGCCTTCGCTTGTCTTGGTCATGTGGTATATCCACAGGACAGACCCTTTATATTAAGACGCTTTCACAGCAGATACCATTAGAATTAACATTTTTATAAAACAAAGTGACTTGATTTTGCTACAGCTTAAAATATCTTTTTACTGTGACCTCAAGCTGCACTGCCCATTGTGATGGCCTGTCACCATGTGTGGCTATTGAAGCTACTCAGAGTTAAATAGCAAGATGATAAAATCATTTTAAAAAATAGAATTAAATTAAAATGTAGTTGCTTATTCACTGTATCGGGAGCAACATGTGGCCAATGGCTGCTGTAATTGACAGCACAGATACACATTTCTATCCACTCGGGTAGTGCTTGCAGAGGCTTACCTGCAGAGTGAACCACACATCCGATCACCTTAATTTATCTATGACTTTAGGCCTTCTGTACTTTGATAATAACCAAAAATAAAGTAACAGTGTTTGTATAGTTCTTTAATATTTAGAGAACCCTTTAACATGAAATCTCATTTCATCCTTAAATCAGCCTGGTGGAGCAGATGGGACTGTAGTATTATTGTCCTGATAATCTGTATGGGGAGGGATTTGGCCATGTTTCCCAAGCTAGAACTTTCGCTGAGGTCTATGGCTAGGTCTTTCAGTTCCTGACATAATAACAAACTGTTTCACACTTGCATTAATATTCTTATAAAAGTTCACTTCCCATAAATATTTTTAGAATTAACATTTATTATAAACATGACATAGATGCAAGTTCTAAATCTAGGAAATTTCCGTCCCTTTGTCTCCTAAGTCCAGCTTAGTGCCTGTGCTCAGCTGAGGCTCCGTCAAGAGGTGGCGGGGGTGAGAGATGGATGGGAGTGCAGTTCACTAGCTTCAAGGATCCCAGCTCTGGTTGGTGGGACCCAGAATAGGCAGAAGAAATGAGTGGCTCCCAGATTGGAGGCCCCCTCTCAGCAGACAGGGAGTAGTAGAGTAAATGCTTAGGAAAAGCAATCTGTTAATTATTTATCCAAGTTCTCCTCTTAAAAGCTATGTATATGAATCACTGTTCCCCTCCTCTGCTTGCCTCTGTTTTGCAAACTGGGTGATCCAGGCTTCCTTCATCATTTATTCAGCAACACTTTCTTAATACGACCATTCTGCTCAGCTTCAGGATCCCCAGATCTGAAGCAGGCTCCTGATCTGAACTGACAGAGCAACATTTCATTCTTTCGCACTCTCCTGCCTTTATCCCCAGTCCCCCAGATGCTTTGTGTTCACGTATTTTGATCTAGGGAGCACTTAAAGCATCAGATACTAAGACAGCTGCTCTGATCTCATTAGACTGCAGTAGCCACCTTCTGTCCTCATCTCCTAAGTGTCAGGCTCTGTGCTAGACATGTTCCCCCAGCATTGCAGTCCCAACCTGGGTTACTCAGGATGGTAACACATATGTGTGTGTATGTGTATCAGAGTGAGGGAAGTACCAGTCCCCCCTCGTATGATATCATTGTCATATTAGAAGCTTTTCTAAGAGGTTCTGTTATGAAGGTACCTGTTGAATTTCAACACCAAACTTGACCTCAGGATGCTTTTTCTTTGTGGAGTATCTGTTGACACCCTGTTCCCTGTTCCATGCATCTCGGAACGGGGATTGCTGTGCTGGTGCTGTTGGTTTCACACCCTCTGGGCGTTCAGCCTTTTGGAAAACAATCAGGCCTAGAGCTTGGTCTGTGGAGTCTAGGGTTGTGTCTTAGAAATAAAGAACAGAAAAATGATGCTGTGCAAAACCCTCTGTAAAACCATGGCTAGGATTATTTCTATCATGGGCTGTTATTAACCCAGAAAAAGGGCAGAATCCTTTGTCCACAAGGTTTTCATGTAGCACACCATCCTTCCCTGGCTATATGTTTTCAGAGAAGTATAATCAGTGCCCTCTCAGGATACTTTAAGAAATTATAAGTTAGTTCTAATTACAGGAATATGTAAAACTTCTTGAATGTTTTTTCTTTATTGGTTGTTGCTTCAAAAATTGGAGTCCAATATACTTTAATGATTTTGATATAGTGATATGTTAATCTGATGCTTCTGTTCATTACATTATGAAGTATTATATAACTGAAATGTGTTTCCACCATGTTCTGTCAGAAGCGTTTTGATCTTAAGAATACGTTGCAACTCCTCTTGGTTTTGGGTGTTCTGCAGTGGCCATTGTCCAGGAGCGCTTAATTGCTGACTTAGACCTGATGATTTATTAATGATGATGGTTAACCTCAATCAATTTGTGTTTGAAAAACAATAATTTAATAATTGGTATTAAATGCAATACAGGAAGATGATAGAGTGAAACAGAGCTCAAAAATACTGACAATCATCTGACCTGACCAAATTGACATTTATAGAACATGACACCCAAGAAATACTCAGTTGACACTTAATGCCGTATGAACTGGCTTCAAGCCGTAAGGTCTGCATAGATATTTTTCTGCACTCAACAATAAAAGGATTTCCATAAACAGTTATTATTTGGGTGACTTGTCTATTTTAATGTCCTAAAAATAAACTGGGAGTTTGTTCTTACTATATTTTAAGGGAATTATAGCACATTTCTTTCTGGTCAGTTGAGTATTGCATTTCAAATAGTCATCCTCTGCATTCCCTGCTAAGTTAAAAGATGTGTGAGGAACAGGAGTAAAGAGGTTAAAACCGAGGGAAATGTGTTGATGTCTGTTTGGCTTAATTGAATTAGCTTTTTTAATTGGGCCTTCCGCACTTGCCTTTCACTCTTAACTGTGATGGATTTCGATAGGATCTCCCTAGGAAATTTGGCAGTGATTTCTCAGCTGTTGATGATCCTGGAGATGGAGGGTGTCAGTGGAGGAGATTGAGCCAGGGTTGGGATGGCTGCCGCAGGACCGTTGATGATCCTGGAGATGGGGGGTGTCAGTGGAGGAGATTGAGCCGGGATTGGGATGGCTGCCGCAGGACCGTTGATGATCCTGGAGATGGGGGGTGTCAGTGGAGGAGATTGAGCCAGGGTTGGGATGGCTGCCGCAGGACTGTTGATGATCCTGGAGATGGGGGGTGTCAGTGGAGGAGATTGAGCCGGGATTGGGATGGCTGCCGCAGGACCGTTGATGATCCTGGAGATGGAGGGTGGCAGTGGAGGAGATTGAGCCGGGATTGGGATGGCTGCCACAGGAATTGATGATCCTGGAGATGGAGGGTGTCAGTGGAGGAGATTGAGCCGGGATTGGGATGGCTGCCGCAGGAATTGATGATCCTGGAGATGGAGGGTGTCAGTGGAGGAGATTGAGCCAGGATTGGGATGGCTGCCGCAGGACTGTTGATGATCCTGGAGATGGAGGGTGGCAGTGGAGGAGATTGAGCCAGGATTGGGATGGCTGCCACAGGACTGTTGATGATCCTGGAGATGGAGGGGGCAGTGGAGGAGATTGAACCAGGATTGGGATGGCAGCTGCAGGAATTGATGATCCTGGAGATGGAGGGTGGCAGTGGAGGAGATTGAGCCAGGATTGGGATGGCTGCTGCAGAACTGTTGATGATCCTGGAGATGGAGGGTGGCAGTGGAGGAGATTGAGCCAGGGTTGGGATGGCAGCCTCAGGGCTGTTCGCATGGCTCAGGCTTTTCTCATTTGCCTGCAAATTGGGAAGGATGGGAATGATGCCCCTGCCTCCTTAAGCCTTTCCTAAGATTCACAGAGAAGTTCAGGCCCCTTTTTCTTGGTCTCCTTTTAATTCTGGTGTCAATTTCCTTTGAAACAGTAGCGGAATGGACTGGCTGCTCTTCCTTATTTCACATAAATGATTTTTAGATACCTGGAACTTTTTCATTACATCTCAATGAAAAAGGAAAGGAGTAAGGCTGACGTGTAGCTGCAAGGAGAAGGAGCATCCTGCTATTGAGCCCTAGTTAAGGGGCACGTGGAGGAGTCATCTTTCTGTCCTCCCTTGCTAGGAGTGCAGGGCAGTTAGAAACGTGGATTCAAAGGTGGACTGGGAGAATTTACTAGAATGCCCAAAACAGGGCTGCATTGCTCTAGGGGCACACCCAGACCTGGGCAGCAGTCAGTTGAGGCATTCATCTGAAATGTGGATTCCTCGGACTCACCCCAGTCCTGCTGGAACTCACTCTGGGATTGGAGTCCAGGAGTCTCATGTGAGTTGAGGATGCCATTTGAGATGGAGAGTCAACCATGTTAAATTCTTAGGATCTCCCTCAAGTCCCCTAATTTTCAAAACCATGTTAAAAAATGTCCACTTCTCAATATAAATTGTCATTGATAGAAATAATCTTTTTTTAACCTTCCAAGTATATGAGCAACGTGGATTCATGGTGTAAAGCTTGCGGTGAGGTAGACCTTCCCTCAGAGCTGCAGGACCTAGAAGATGCCATTCATCACCACCAGGGAATATATGAACATATCACTCTTGCTTATTCTGAGGTAAGTGGCCAGTTTTACTTACATTGCAAAGCAGCATCATTTTTGCATCATAGTACACCGGAAGCTAGAAAAAAAAAAGTTTTGGGTAGCCCAGAAAAAGTTTATAGATTTCGAGTTAGACTGCAGTTTAATTGTTTAGCATTTGAACCCCTGTGTGTGTGGGGAGTGGGGTGGGGCAGTAGGGGAAGCAGAATGGTGTGCAGGCAGTAGCCTTTCCGATAGAGCGCTTATATGCTCAGCTGCTACAGTCAAGGAAAACCTAGTCTTTTTTTCTACATGTATTTAAGAAATGTGTATTTTGTGTGCTCTTCAGTCTAGTCAAACTCAATTTAATCTTCCCAAATGAAACCTTTTAGAGAAGATGGGCTAGATTGCAAGGCACACATGTGTCTATTTTAGAAATCTAAGTGTAACATTTTCTTTATTACTTTAGGGTGTATTACATTATTTACTTAGTGAATCCCTGTTTTATTTTCTGCCACCTTCTATGCCAGACTGTATTGTAAGGACTTTATGTAATGACTGACTTAATGCTCACGTACTGTATCTGTTCCTGCTGTTCCTGCTGAAGAAAATGAGTCACAGAGATAAATGACTGCGCCAGGTCAGCAGCTAGTGGAGCAGGGTTAGCCCAGGCAGGCAGGCTGCATGTTCTCAGTCACCACCCTCTGCGGCCTCTGTGCCATACCACGTGGTAGCTGCTTGATGATGCAACTTTAGATGGGTTGACGAGTACCACCCTTGCCCATGCCTTGTTCCTCTGGCCCTTGAGACCAGCCTACCTTTGTGATAATAGTTACGTTCCTGGAGGTGAAGGCGAGGGGTGTAGAGAGGAATTCTGTGTCCTTACTTTTCTGCAAGGTTTTCTCCCTGAGTAAGAAGCATCTATATCTACAGTGTTCTATGTTAATATGAAAGATTATCGCAAGGCTTCTGTAAGAGTTTCACAGCACCTGGAAGAGTGCTGGACAGTGTAGATGTTTAATAAATGCTTTCTGTGTTTAAATCTAAATCTTGATCCAAACACATCCAAACTTGTCAAAGTTGTTGGGAAGAAAGTGGCCATTTGCATTTCATTCTGATATTTCCTGTTGTGCTTCACTGCCCAGCTGTCACTCTCATATCCTTGGGCCTGCCTGTCTTGACATCCTAGTGTCCCTGAGCGAATTAAATGGACATGTGATTTGCTGCTACAGTTTTGTGTCTCATAAAGATGTTTTGGTCAGTGATGGACTGCAAATAAGACAGTGGTCCTATAAGATTATAATATTGTATTTTACTGTACTTTTTCTATGTTTAGATACACAAATACTTAGCATTGTGGTACAGTTGCCTACAGTATTCAGTATAGTAACATGCTGTACAGGTTTGTAGCCTGGAGCAGTGGGCTGCTCCCTATAGCCTAGGTGTGCAGTAGGCTGCATCGTCTAGCTTTGTGAAAGTCTACATTGTGATGTTCACACAAGGACGAAATTGCCTAATGATTCATTTCTCAAAATGTGTCCCTGATACCACGTGATGTCTAACTGTATATTTGCTTCAGAATGTGGGCAGTCCTTCTCTTTCCCGTGGCAGTTGGTATTTGTTTGTTTCTTTAGCCACCTTTGCCTAATAAGATACAGTTTTTTCAAGTAACATTTCGTGTTGGCTATGGAATTAAGAAAGTCAACTCTGTATTGTTTCTTAATTTTGCACCAATGTTTCTTAACTAATTTGGTTGTCTAGTCTGTTAGAAACTATTTAAATAAGTGATAGCCTTTTCTATAGTAAAACTGAAAATTGAACACATTTATAATTTTTTTAATCACATTGGCTCATGAGGATTATGTCACTTCTAAAAACCATCAAGTTCTTTCCCGTGATGTGCCATCTCTATGCATTGTCTAATTTTGACCTATAACACAGAAAGCAAATGACCCTGTTACTCACACATGTAATGAGGCCTCCACTCATCTGCTTATATGAATCTCTTGCTTTGGAGCTGTTCTTTGAATGCAGTGGTGGGCTTGCAGCCAGCTGTCTGCATGCCCTTGCCCTTGCCAAACCAAGATGGGCTTGAATAGCCTTCATTTACAAGGTGATTGGCAGACCCTGGGAATACAGTCTTTGTGCATAACTTAAATCAGAATCACCTTGACCCAGCCAGTGTCATCCTCCAGCCAAGCTGGCTCTTTCAGTCTGCTTGTTGCTCTCGGCAGTTTTCATTAAATACAGAATCTCCTAATTGTTACCAGTGCATTCTATAAAAATGGGGCATCTTGACACAGGAACTTATGTTTACCTGTGGTATAGTTTTATTTGATTTACATTGGTACCAGTATCTCAAAATAATTTGATAGGAAGTTAAACAGCCTCTCAAACTGAGGTCTTAGATGGAATTTTAGCCTAAGAACATGTTTGCAACTGAGCTGTAAACTCAAGGAGACAGTAATTTGAACTGGATGAACTGAAAGGATTTTCAGTAGAACAGAATGAATTATTTTGCCTCTTAAATTATTTACATTTTGAAATAGTTTCAGGGCTACAGGAAAGTGGTAGAATAGCACAGAGAACTCCCACATTGCCTCGACCCAGATTTTCCAAGTTGTAGAATTTCACTACGTTGCTCCACCCTCTCTCCCCACTGCCTCTCTCTCCAGTCAGCAAAGCACCATTGATACAACATGACCATCATCTCCACAGCCACTGATCCTATTTCCCCAAGTGTTCCAATGATGCCCCTTTCTCTTCTGGTCTGGGGCACTGTCCAGCAATGTGCGCTACATTTAATTGCCATGTCTTACCAATCAGTCTCCTTTAAAATGGAACGTTCTTTAGTCTTTCTCTGCCTTTATGTCTTTGACATACTTAAAGAGTACAGGCCTTTCTTTCTTTAGATGGCCCTCTACTTCTGGTTGCCCCCAGTTCTCGTGGGCTGACTCAGGCTGTGCCTTTTTGGCAGTGCATGTCCTTCTCTGGGTGTCATCACAGTGGACAGAGGATACTGACCTCTCCGGCTATGAGTAGTGTTCATCTTGGCCACTTGGTCAGATTGGTGTCTGCAGGGTTTCTCCAATGCACAGGCACCATTTAAAAAATTAGTCTTTGCTGCACATTTTGTGGGCAGCTACTCTAATAGAATACCAGTCTCTGTTTCTCATCAGACTTCTCACAGCCATAGTTTCCACTGAGGATTTCTGCCCATAGCAGCCACCACTGTGATGATGATCACCTATTTCCATTATTCCTTCTGTATTTATTAGGTGGCTTTCTACCATAAGAATGAGCTGTATTTCCTTTCTCTTTTGTTTGTTTATATCAGTATGAAAGTATGAGATCTTACTATATCAGTCGGTTATAATTTGATACTCTTTTGATTCCTAAATTGTTCAGACTTGGCCAGCAGGAGCTTTTTTCTGTGTCTTTTTGATATGTCCTTATTGTCCTTTGAGCACTTGTTCCCAGCTCATTTTGTACTTTCCCTGCCTACCCTGGGATCACTCGTCTCACTAAGTGGGATGGTTCCTTACAGTATTGTATGGTGTTTAGAATTTTAAAGACCTGGGTTCTCAGAGTTTTGTTTGTTTGTGAGGTGTCACTGCTTCTAGACCCTCTTAGCAGACAGACTTATGAAACATATGAATGCCATCCATTCACCCATCCATCCGTCTATCTCTGCATCCATCTGTCCACCTAACCACCCGTTGTTCATCCACCCGACCACCCATCCATCTACCCAATCACCCAACCACCCATCCATCCATCCACCCACCCACCCACGCACCCAACCACCCATTCATCTGTCCATCCATCCATCCATTCAGTCACCCATCCATCCATCCATCCTTCCATCCAACCATCCATCCCTCTATTTATCCAATCCCCATCCATTATTCCATCCAACCAATTACCCAGCCACCCATCCGTCCATCCATCCACCCTCCCAACCTCCATCCATTTATCCATCCATCCACCTAATCACCCAACCACCCATTCATCTGTCCATTTATCCAATCATTCATTCATTGATGCGTTCATTCATCCATTCATCCAACCAGTCACCCAACCACCCATTCATCATCCATCCATCCATCCATCCATCCATCCATCCATTCATTCTCCTAATCACCCAACCACCCATTCATTTGTCCATCCATCCATCCATCCATCCATCCATCCATCCATCCAATTACCCATCCATTCATCTATCCAACCAACCACCCATCCTACAGCCATCCACCTACATTTATCAATCTACCCATCTACCCATATCCATCCATCTGCCGTATCACTAAATTGCCCATCCATTGACTCAGTCACCCAACCACCCATCCACATTTGTCTAGTCCATCTGTCCATCCACCCAGTCACCCAACCACCTATCCATACACCCAGTCACCCAACTGTCCATCGCCACCTCATCACCCAACCATCCATCCACCCACGCAGTCACCCAGCCACTCAGCCACTCATTCATTTATCTATCTACCCACCACTTACCCACCCACCCACCCATCCACACATTATCTACACATGCACATACACATCCATATAAAATTACTGCTGTATCTATCTGTGTCTATCTGTATTAAAAATACATGTGTTTGTGCATTTCGAATCCAATACCTCAGGGTTCTTTCCATCCTTTCCCTTTCTAAGTTTGTTAATCTATTCTCAGGCAGCAAGAAACCTGGCTTCTATTTTCCTTAATGTATTAACTTACTTGTTCACTTGGTGTATTTGCTCCATTTCCCAACCATTCTGTCTGGGTTCTCCACCTCCAACTCCTACCACCCACTCCCTTAACCTGGCACAGGGACACCTCTTTTGGCACCTCCACCCCTCACTTCCTCATTTTCTTCATGCCAAGAGGGAAGGTGTCAGGAAGATGGGAAGGGAAGGACTGCTTTTGTTTTGTAAGTGATTTTTATTTTATATTCCTAAATCAGTGGTTTGCAGACTTGAGTGTCTTGGCTTAAAATGCAGCAGTACTCTACCCCAGAGATAGTGAATCTCCATTTTCAGAGGCCTTCCCTAGTTCTGCAGTGACTGATGCCAATGGTACACAGATCACATGCTGAGCAGCACTCCTGAGCTTGCTCTGAAGAGCTGGGGGTCTGCTGAGGAGGTGTCCATCTCACAGATACGGAGCCCCTGCTAAGTGCTAGACATTGAACTGGATGCCGGGTCATGTGGGGTTAGGAGTACTTATAAGCAGGGCTTGCTTTGCTTTTTTTTATTTCCTTTTCCTTGCCTCTCTCTTCCTGTCCTTCCTTATTCCCTTTCTTCTCTCCTCCTCTCTTCATTTTCTCTACAATTTTTTTTCTTTGAACAGGGTTTATAGTTTCTAGTCTCTGATCATATAAATTTGCTTTGGGAAACTTTCCCAGCATTTTTCTTCCAAGACGCAAGCACCTGCTCTGCTGTGCTTTAATTAGACCTGCCCGTGTCACTCCTGTTTGTGCTTTAGCAACAGGAACGCACCTGGGCCTCCTGAACACTCACTTGCTTCAGCTTGCCAGCTCTGAGCTTATCTTGTTGGCTACAGTTGATCACAAGAGAGTGAAGCAGTGTAAACGTCGGAGATAAGTTGTAGTCATTTTTAACATTTTAAGTAAGCCAACTCAGCTACCAGTTTTTCAACAAACTGAATTTATAAAAATGATTTTCATCTCAGTGTGCCTGTGTTGCCTCACAAGCCTCAATGCCAGGTGTTTGGATTGCAAGGTGAGACTGCATAGTAAGCAGCCACACATCCACCAAAGGGCCACTGCTGCAGCCACGGAGCACAAGCAAGGCGAAGTGCCATGGGGCGTTGGCCTGCTGGATCTCATGTGACTTCAGGGCTTAGATTCTGCATCCATTTCTCAGTTTAACAAATGTGCCAACTTAGTGTGTGCCTCAACAGGGCCTCATGGGAATGACTGATTTGCTGCCTGCAAAGCTGGTTGAGCTCCTGTTTAAAGGCACTGTATCAGTGGGTGATGGCAGGGTCAGTGCTATTAGCCTAAGATGAAAACACACAGCAAAATGAGTCACCTGGATAGGAAACTTCTTAAAACCAAAAAACCACCTCTCCGTGATGTGTGTGGAAGCTCAGTTCCCTTGCGGTAGAGTCACTTCTTTTTTGGCAGAGTGGAGTCTTCTTCTGTTGCCCAGGCTGGAATGCAGTGGTGCGATTTAGGCTCACTGCAACCTCTGCCTCCTGGGTTCAAGCGATTCTTGTGTCTTAGCCTCCTGAGCAGCTGGGATTACAGGTGTATGCCACCAGGCCCGGCTAATTTTTATATTTTTAGTAGAGACAGGGTTTTGCCATGTTGGCCAGGCTGGTCTTGAACTCCTGACTTCAAGTGATCCGCCCACCTCGGCCTCCCAAAGTGCTGAGATTACAGGCGTGAGCCACCACGCCCAGCTGTCACTTCCATCACAGTTGTATAAAGCCTCATTAAAGATCGCAGTGTTGCTGTAGCGACATGCAGTGCTGTAGTCAGCATCTGCCATAGTATCAGAGCCAACAGCCCATATGACAGCTGTCTTCTTCTCACCCCAAACTCAGCTTGAGGCCTTGCAAGCACTTGAAATATAAGAGCAGCAAAAGTAGAGCCCAGGTGCAGCCTATGGAACACACATGTCAGGCATATGGAACTGACTCACGCCAACTGGGCTGCTCCAGACGTTTCCTGTTTTGGTCTTATTTTGGTTTTTCCTTTCTGATAATCCCAGGTTTACAGGTGTCAGAGAGTCAAACCAAGGTAAACTGATCTGGTTTTGAATAAGAAACTGAATAGCTGAAAGAAATAGAAATCATCATTTGGAGGTCCATCCAATAAGAACTTTGCCTGGAGAAGGAACCAGCTTTCTCTGTGTTCTCCCTGAAGCATGGGAAAGTATCTGTCGTTGGGAACACACATGACCTTTCAGGAGGTAATTGACCTGCACTGTTGGTAGGAGCATCTTATGTAGCCATCTGAAGACAGATTGGAACCTCCTTACTCAGAAGGGTTCGATTGTTTGGCCAAGGAATGTCAACTGTTGCTGCAGAATAAGCTGGGTGGTTACCTGCTGACCCCTTTTCATTCTTTTCTGCTTTATTAGAACCTTGATATGAGAATAAGTTCAGCAAGAGTTGGAGAGGAGAGTGAAATCATTCCCAGGCTTCGTGTGGAGGTCTGTGCTTTGCAGGCCATGGCGAGCTAAGCCTGAAAAAGAATTAAGACGGTGTTGGCTTTGAGTCGGCAGAAATAGTGCAATTCATTTCATAAAAGTTTTGAAGGAACACTTTTTCTTTATTACAGGCTAAATGTCTTGGTGTATTTTGCCTGTTTTTGTTGTATCTTGGGAATGCCATTTTCTAGCACTTTTTAGATCTAAAACACTGCGTTTGGACCTAATTGATATGCTGTCACTCATCTTTATTTGGTCTTTGGGCAGTTGTTGCTTTTGCAGTGGTAAGCAAGAATGTCTAGATGCTATTGTCTTTCCTTAGGTCAGAGCCACGTTCATCCCTTGTGCAGGTGAAGAATATTCCTGCTGGAAACGCTCAGCCCTCATCTGATTTTACAGGAAACGTAGAGATCCCAGTACCAGAAACAAGAATAGGCAAATCTCTGAAGTTTTATGGCTCTTTTTAAGGGTGACATGCAGAAATCCAAGTTACAAGTCTATGTGCAGTTCTGATGAACAGTAAATATTCAAGAAGCAGCCCATTGTTCTACATTTTAAATAGTTATACTACCTTTTAAATATTAGGAACAAACATATCTTTGATATGGTAAAATTTTAAACTTACCTTTAATTACTTTTTCTGCTTTAGTTAGTACTTGCATTTTTCTGAACTCATTTGGATATCAGAGCATTTTAGTTTCTCTTTATAAAATGTTAATCTTTGTAATATGTAACTTTGATTGCCCTTCAAGTTCCCCAGCTGTGTATTCCAAGAAAAACAAAGAGCAGACTGAAAAATGAGCTGATCTGATCGGTTCAAAAATTATTATAGGAAAGTCCTGCTATTTAATAAGGTTGATTTTCTTTTTGCAGCTGTTGTCTCTTTGTGGCTCAGAGTTTCAGTGCCTGGAAGCTGAAAACAGAGTTTTAAACAAAATGTATAACTGAAGTAAATTCACTCACCTGGTTCAGTAGTTAAGAAACTGTGGAACTACACTACATGCCATAAACTTACATTACTTGTTTTAGCACTTACATTTTATATGAATTTTTTTGTCTGCTCTATATAGTCTCTTCTTTCATTAATTTTCTCCTGGTTATTCTGTACCATTTAAAAATTATTATCTCTATACAACAGAACAGCAGTCCTCATAAAATTGTAGCATGTTGTTTCCACATAATATTACTGTAATTACAAAGACTAAGACATTTTGCCAAAAGTGAAAACTATATATGCCATCCTTTATGTGCTTAAATCATACTTTTTAATTGCCAAATCTACAAAACTTGTACTGAAATAATATAGAATCATATTTGGAAAGGTTTATTGGCGAAATGCTGTTTTTGAACATGGATTTGGAGTTCCATGCTGTCTGGTTTTAAAGTGGGTCCAAGAGGTGTTATCTCGCCCAGGGTCTTTACTGCCGCTGTCACTATCAGTAAATGACAGTACCAGTGGTGGGACCAACAGACACATTAATCCCTGCTTATGAATTCTCAGAAGGTGGAGCTTTCCTTAATGAGTTGTTTTATGTTAAGGTATTTGTGTATTGACTTTCTCAGCAGACATTTCCCACTACCCCTCCACCGCCATGAGCAAGTGTGTCCTTCGAAATCCAGTCATGATCTCTGGCATGGAGATCTGTTAAACAGTTGCAGAGACACTCAAGGAAAGAAATATTGCATGGAATGTTGTTGCTTAGAGTACTCCATTCTCAGTAGAAGAATATTAATGGTGTCACAGGGATGAGTTTTGGAAACTTGCTGAGGGCTGGGAACTCATCTTGTCCTTTTGCATTTGGTGGTTTAAGTTGCAAAACAATGGCTTAAGATGGAAATTGGCTTTCTCCCTGTGTAAAAGAAATCCAAAGGCTGTCATTCCAGGGCTAGTGTGGTAGCTCTATTAGTAAGAGGATCTGTGGATCCTTCTGTCTTTCTGTGTTGCCTTTTTTAGCAGGTAGGCTGCTGTTCTTAAGATTGCCTCAGAGTCATCAATAACTGCTAAAGCTCCAGCTATCTCATTCAAGTTCTTGGCGGCAAGGAGGAGGAAGGGACAAGGGGATGAGCATACCTGCCAGCTTAGCCCCTAAACAGCTTTCCTGGAATTCCCATTCAACATTTTTTACTTTTGTATATTGGCCACTCATATATGTAAGCAAGGCTGGGAAATGTGGCATTACAGCTGGAGTGTTGCTGTTTCTGACTGTAGGGGTTTGGCTATCAAGGAGGGCAAGTGGACTTTGGGGAAGCAGCTGTCAGTTTCTGGCACATGTTCACCAAATCATAGGCTCTGATGTACATTTTCCAACAGTAATGCAAGGAGTAAAATGTAGAGGAAATATTTGTAAGGAATTCTTTTTAGGGTTAACACCATGTGAAATGTATGACTTGGAGCAGTAGCTCTCAGTTCTAAGAGATGCAGCACTCCAATGATATAACACAAATTTTATGACACCTGCTTTATGATCCTGAACTAAAATGCATACGTAGTTTAATCTACCTTTGCATATAATTTATATGTGTACATAAAAATTATATGCTACATTGTAAGTTGGAGACAAAGGTGATTTATGATAAAATGTTTTTCAGTCTATAAATGCCTAAATACATCTATTGTAGGTGAAAAAATTAGATATTCAGATGCTGGTCATATATATAAAACTATTGTGAATATAGCAACTACAACTGTAGCCTGGTCATGTGGCATCTTGGTGATGCGAGTATTGAGAATGGTTTTATTGTGGTCATGTGATATTTTGAAAGGGAAAACAGCTCTTGTAAAGTTCCAAAGAAAACCAAACACTGTCTTTGATTAACATGGTTGTTGGATTTGTGGGAAGATCAGTATGTTAAAACTGGGCAAAAGAGAAAAACCGTGTATTTATGTGTTAAAAACAGCCTTGCCTAGATGATCACGAAAAGCAGGACATTTCTTCACCATGTGCTAATATCCTGCTCATTTCAGAGTACCCTGCTTCTCTGAATCCACCACCCAAATCAATCATGGTGCCTCCTCTCTTCAAAATCTTTGCATCAGCAATGTCCACACCAATTTCAGTGACTTCTGGGCACAAATGAGAAGCCTGCTTGAGAAGACTGTTTAAATTTTCCATTTTTGTTTTAACTGACACTAATTCAGCAGTTAACTTGGTTGGTTTTTCCTTTATTATCTTTGGTTATGTCAGCTGAGCTGATTTCCTCCCAAGTTTTGCTGTTAGGCTGTATTAAGTGAATTTTAAACCCTGAAGCCTTCGTAAGGAATAATCAGCATTTCCAACGTCTCAAATTCAGGTATTGAAAAGTAAACGTGTTACAATCTGGCACAACTGCAGTTAGAAGAGGATTAAAGGAAGCGATTAGGAAATTCTGCAGGGTCACTTGCCACCAGGTTTTGGTTTAAAGGCTCTCAGTGTTAGCTTTTCCCATTTACCTATTCCCTGTGTGCTCTTTTTTATTCTAAGGGTTTCTTCTAAACTGGGCTTGTGTCTGTTAAAAGTGCCCCTGAACTTGCTCCTCTTTTTTTTTTTTTTTTTGAGATGGAGTCTCACTCTGTCGCCCAGGCTGGAGTGCAGTGGCACACGATCTCGGCTCACTGCAACTTTCATCTCCTGGGGTCAAGCCATTCTCCTGCCTCAGCCTCCCGAGTAGCTGGGACTACAGGTGCCCGCCACCACGCCCAGCTAATTTTTGTATTTTTAGTAGAGACGGGGTTTCACCATGTTGGCCAGGATGGTCTCGATCTCTTGACCTTGTGATCCGCCTGCCTCGGCCTCCCAAAGTGCTGGGATTACAGGCGAGAGACACCACACCCGGCCTGCTTACTAGAAACTCAAAGAGGTTTTTAGATTTGGAAGTATCTAAGCTGAAGGATCATGTGAAGAGGCCCTACCTACTTAAGACACCTGCATCCCACACCTGGTTACCTTATGCATCTCACACACACTTTGTGTTGTCTGATTGTCACTTTTTTTCCCCCCAATAACATCTGGCGTAATTAATTACTCATAAGTCTTATGAATCACTTTTAAGTAGGAAAAATACATAATGTTTTTCTTTCTAAATTGCACCCTCACCTTTTCTTATTTCTTTGATTAACCCGAATACTTTCATTTAATTGTAGTTTGAGAATAAATTGCCATAATATAGCACTTGATGGCATTTTAATTAAAACTACCTTTTAAAGTTAATGAACCAAATAGAATGGCATTTTAAATTTTCTTTTGTGAAGTTAAATTGCTCTCCAGCTATGTCAGAAAGTTTAAGTACATATTCTATGCCTAGTGCTAGATTGATTTTTTTGTTTTAACTGAGGCTTTAAGGAACAATTTTGTTCCATTGTGATGATCTGCTGTATTCTCTTTAACATGTCTCGAGATAAAATTATTACTTTTAAATTTTAATTTGCAGATATCCCAGGAATGCAGTTTCTGTTAGTTGATTTATGGCATTTAAGGCAAATAGTATGCCTATTCATTGAGTGGTATCTACTACAGTGTTTTGTAGTAATTAATGTTCTTTTATTTTCACCTAGTGTTTTGCATCATTTGGCTTTGTGATGTCATTGGATAGCTGATGGATTGTTTTAAATTTTATCCTATATAAAACTGCCTCTGAGTAAAACTGTGGTGTGTGAATGAATGTCTGGGCATGTGTGTAATGTGTGTACATGTACGTGTGTGCCTGTATGTGCACACACATGTATCCAAGGACAGCATCTGTGGCACAGCCTAGGCCAAACCTCAGATCGTGAAGAATCACTCATTTCTTTTGTGGGCAGGTCAGCCAAGATGGGAAGTCGCTCCTTGACAAGCTCCAGCGGCCCTTGACTCCCGGCAGCTCCGATTCCCTGACAGCCTCTGCCAACTACTCCAAGGCCGTGCACCATGTCCTGGATGTCATCCACGAGGTGCTGCACCACCAGCGGCAGCTGGAGAACATCTGGCAACACCGCAAGGTCCGGCTGCATCAGAGGCTGCAGCTGTGTGTTTTCCAGCAGGACGTTCAGCAGGTCAGTTTCGCCTCATGCCCTTCTGCATGGGAAATGGCTTGTGTTGAGTAGAGTTTAAATACATCATCATATTGGGAAGATCTGTGCTTAAGGAGTGATGACTAGAAGATAAGGAGAGGAGCTTTTTTGTTGAATGTAAGTGAAAACTGGGCTTAGGAACGCGTGTTCAGGCTGCTGTCAGCCAGTAGCTCCTGTGCACAGAACCCAGGAGAGGATGTGGGGCCTACACTGGGAAGTTTTCTTCTAGAATCGGATCATTCTCATTTATATTTATTTGTGACAATAATGCTGGTGTGCTCACACCAGTGTATTGTTATAATTTAGTTAACACTTGTCTGCTTTTCCAACTATGTAAACAGTGAGGTGGTCATGCTTCACTTCCCACGTGGTAGGTAGTGCAGTCCATGGTGCACAGTAGGTGCATTATAATTAGTTGTCTTGTTGATGAAAAGTACACTTTTATGACTATTCATTTCTAAGCAGTTGCCATCTCTTTTGTTTTAAAGAAACAAAAATAAGAGTAAGTCCAGTTCCCCATTGTTTTGCTTCCTTATTATAGAATAAGAGTTTTAAGGATTAAAGCTATGGGAGTAAAATATGACATAGCTTTAGGGATAAATAAGATGATAGCCATGTCCTTGCCCCCAAATAGAGGGAAAGACAAGGGAATGAATGAGGTGTCACCTCTGGGGAGGAGGAATCCTGGAGTATGCAGGGTAGCCCATGGCCTCAGGAAGTTGGCTGGGAACCGCCGTGATAAGCCTGCAGTAGAGCCACTCTCAGGATCTCAGGTTTCCATCTCCCTGAGTGTCATGTGAAGGTGAGTGAGTTTTCTGCTGAATGGGCTGGGAATTTGGAGAGTCGCCCTGTGTTCTGATGAGACTGAGATTCTCTGTATGTCATTCACCATCATTCTCATCATTCTTCACTTCATGTGAATCTGGTAAATTCAAAAGACGTTGAATGGGCCAGGTGCGGTGGCTCACGCCTGTAATCCCAGCACTTTGGGAGGCTGAGATGGCAGATCGCTTGACGCCAGGAGTTTGAGACCAGCCTGGCCAACATGGTGAAACCGTGTCTCTATTAAAAATACAAAAATCAGGCCAGGCGAGGTAGCTCACGCCTGTAATCCCAGCACTTTAGGAGGCCAAGGGGGGTGGATCACCTGAGGTCAGGAATTCGAGACGAGCCTGCCCAACATGGTGAAACCGTGTCTCTACTCAGAATACAAAAATTAGCCAGGTGTGGTGGCGCATGCCTGTAATCCCAGCTATTTGGAAGGCTGAGGCAGGAGAATTGCTTGAACCCAGGAGGCGGAGGTTGCAGTGGGCCGATTATTGCACCATTGCACTCCAGCCTGGGTGACAGAGCAAGACTCCATCTCAAAGAAAAAAAAAAAAATTAGCCTGGCATGCTGGCACATGCTTGTAATCCCAGCTACTCAGGAGGCTGAGGCAAGAGAATCACTTGAACCCAGGAGGCGGAGGTTGCAGTGGGCCGATATCGCACCATTGCACTCCAGCAAGACTCTATCTCAAAAAAAAAAAAAAAAAAAAAAAAAATTAGCCTGGCGTGCTGGCACATGCTTGTAATCCCAGTTACTCAGGAGGCTGAGGCAGGAGAATCACTTGAACTGGGGAGGCGGAGGTTGCAGTGAACCAAGATCACACAACTCCACTTCATCCTGGGTGACAGAGCAAGACTCCATCTCAAAAAAAAAAAAAAAAAGACTGAATGGCCCTGTAATTTTTAATTTTCATATACCGTGCTTTGATTCTAATTTTATTTTTTGAGTTCTCTGAAGGTTACATATACAGAGTGCTTCAGGAATGATCATTTTGTTATTATTCATGCTTCTTAACAATGTTGTTTTAGTCCAAGAAGATAATTGCCAGAGAAAGAATACAGTGCAGGAAAGAAGAGGCTGGAGCCAGTGGTGAAGAGGGATTGAGAGGACAGACATTGTGGGAATGAAATCATGAATAATCGTGTTTTTGAATTGTCCAAAAACTTCTACAAACCATGAAATGTTGGAGTTTAAATCTAATTGTTGAAAAATTCCCCACATTCCTTGTATCCCTTAGGTTGAGCATAATTCCACATCCGTGGACTGATGCACTTCCCAAGAGGGGGCCTCATTAACTCTTCCGAGGCAGCAGCAGCAAGGGCACCCCCTCCTTTCCCCCCACACCCCATTTCTCATGGCTCTTCTTTCTCTCATCTCATGCTTAGGTTAGAAAAGGGCACAAGGTAAGGAAGCCCTTGGGAATAGGCTGAATCTGGCTATCTAATTTGGTGCCAAATACTTAATGTGCTTGAATTTAAAAACAGCAAACATGTAGAAAGGTAATTATAATTATGAGGCCAGTTCTTTAAGCTAGCTTTTTTTCCCCTCTCAAACAGCATATTGGCTTGGATGTCAGCAGGAGAAAGTGTTTTTTGCAATACACATAATGCATATATGGTCCTGTTAGCAATCTATAGAAAATAGATATTGCTCATTAAGGTAAATATTTTTGTTGATGAATGATCTGGAATGGTCTGGACTTGTTGTGTGAACAGGAAATTGCTCTGTAGGCTTTGACTTGTGAGGTAAAGAGTGAGGCTGGTAAGATTAATTAAAGTAAATACTGTGACAATAGGATGTCAAAACCAAAAACGTGTTTCTGAAACTCAAGGAATTAATGACACATAGGGAAGTTTTTGCCATATTAAGCATAGAGTAGGAGAGGCAAGTCAAGAATAAATGAAAGAAAAATAGTAGTACTTTAGAAGGACGTTACCAGCAGAAGATAAATTTGTAAAGACAGTAGTAACCGAAATCCATAAAAACATAGTAAGCCGGTTAGAGACACGACAGTGGTTTTCATTTGATTGTTTTGAGTGATGCAAAAGCACCTGTAAGTACATTGAGAAAAAGGAAGAGCAAGTTACTGAACAATAGGCGAGGCATGGAATGATTACAGTTTTATGAAAGTAACCCCAGAGGAGTAAATGCTTGTCTGTTGAAAAATATTTGAAGGAGCAAATATGTCTATTAGTGGGCCCTGAGGAACTGAATGGGGAAGGATGACAGAGGGAGTTTGGTTTGTAAAACATGGTTAATTTTGGTTTCGAGGTTAATTTTTTCCCCTCTTAATAAGCGGGGGCCAATTCATAACTTCTGTGTAGAAGGCATTTTGGATGGTAGTCAGGCGTGGCGGGAAAGGTGGTTGAAGCTGCTGTGTGTAGCACACTTACCGTGCTTCCAATTTAGAGCTGGGCGGGGAATTGGGAAGACCTGCTGAGGACTTTCCCAGATGCACATGCTGGCTGCCTTTGCCATTGTTCACTTAAAAAGAAAATGGAAATTTTTTATCACATTTCCTAATGATCAGATATATACATCTCTCCATTGCCTTATGTTTATTATCAGAGTAACTCTCAGCGAAGGTTTGGTTGAATGAATGAATAAATGAATAGCTGTGTTACTGCTACACACTGTTTTCTAGTTTAGAGTATGCTTTAGTTTTCTCTAGGAAGGTAACTCATTTTTGCTTTACCTGTTCAGATGGGTAGTAGTAGTCCAAAGAGGATGCCATCAGACTTGTTTTTCTGCCTCAACTGTTCGGCTGGCGTGGCTCTTCTTGGATTGTTGAGATTCAGTTACTCTAGCATGTCAGGAGCAGTGAGTGGCCCCATGTGTTTGCTTTCCTGAAGCCTACTGAGTCCCCTAGAGGAAGCCCCTCAGCAGGGATGCCTTCTGCAAAGCCCCCGTTTCCCCCACAGCCCTTCATGTGTGAGCGCCACCCCCTTGCAAGTGTCTCTTGGCAGGACCCTCCAGGGCCATGTTGGACCATTTTTTAATTAATATTCTTTAAAAAATGATCAGGCAAACCTAGTCCACTCTAAATTCTTCTTGTCCAGTCTTTATTCTTTTTTTCTCTTTCCAAAATACCTTAATTGAATGTGCGATGCTCTGAAAGTTTCAGGGATAAATATGTTGACAGGGTCCAAGTTCCTTTTCTCAAGGAATTTATAATCTGATAAGAGCAGATTATTTTTAGCAGATAGTTTTGTAGTCTACTAAATTTGACTGTGCCAGGCTCATCTGCAACACTCATGTCTTTGGTTATTGTGGAGTATAATTTGCTAAGGCATAAATTTGAATCCTCCTTGTCAAGGTGCTATCAGGAGTGAGGGGTGGATGAAACTTGCGACCTCTTCTGTGGTGTCTGATTGCCTTGCAGCATACACATTTTGATGGGGCATATCTACACTTCAGTGATTTGTGCAAATTTGAGTGTTCCTGAGAGCTTTTTCTGAATTCTTCTCAAACGTCAAGGGTCTAATGCACAAGGAAAAATGAAAGGTCCTATAGTAGAGGGGCAAGTAGCAGCTATCATATTGAGGGCTACTAGGAATATCTTCGTGGAAGAGGTAGAGTTTGAGCAGCTGTTTGAAGGATGAGGAGAAGGTCAGTAGATTGAGGAGTGGGCAATGGGAATTCCAGCAAGAGTAGGACAGAAGAGGCAGGACCCATCCAAGGAGCGGCAAGTGCCTAGTGTGGATGGAGAGGTATGAGGTGGGGCTGGTGCCAGCAAGGTAACATGGGGTCAGGCACAGAAAACGTGGCCCCCACGATGAGGGTTTTGGGCCCCTGTTGAAGGAGCTCATGCTTACCTGCGCCGAATGCCAGTGCATGGTGCAAGGGCTGTGTGTGACTTCTGAACAGCATCAAGCTCATCTTGGTGCTTTGTGGGTGCTCACTGCCATGTATGTGTCTTTCCTCTCTGCATGCTCACAGCTGGCCCATTGAACTTTACCCATTTCACCTCATAGAGTTCAAAGCCCGAAGGATCTCCTATTCTGTGCCTTTTAACTTGATGCTGTAGGCAGTGGAGGGTGGATAGCAGGAGTGAACCTAAAGGCCAGGAACCTGGTTAGGTTCCCTTGTGGACGCCTGATATGGTTTGGCTGTGACCCCACCCAAATCTCATCTTGAATTGTAGTTCCCATAATTCCCACTTGTCATGGGAGGGACCCAGTGAGAGGTAATTGAATCGTGGGGGTGGGTCTTCCCTGTACTGTTCTCGTGATAGTGAATAAGTCTTGTGAAATCTGATGGTTTTATAAATGGGAGTTCCCCTACACAAGCTCTCTTGCCTGCTGCCATGTAAGACATGCCTTTGCTTCTCCTTTGCCTTCCACCATGATTGTTAGGCCTCCCTAGCCATGCTGATCTGTGACTCCATTAAATGTTTTTCCTTTGTAAATTACCTAGTCTTGGATACGTCTTTATTAGCAGCATGAGAACAGACTAATACAACGCCCCTGCAAGTCATGGGTGAGTAAGTCTTGGAGAGTAAGAACGTGAGGACCACAGAGACAGCCATCAGTGTTTCATTCACTGGTGTTTCCCAAGTGTCTGGAAGAGCAGATGTCAGTATTTGTTGAATGACTGAATGAGTAGTTGAAGGAATTTAAGGAATTCCCCAATTTTGCTAATTAAAGATTCTTTGGGGTTAAAAGTTGCTTCATTTCTTTTAAAATGGGGGAGGGTTGGTCTTATATCTGGGAGATCTGCCTGAAGGAATGGAATCTTTGATTGATGTTGGGGAACTAGGGGTGTCCAAGGAAGGAAGTGATAATTTCAGTGCATGGGAATTTTGGAAGTGTGAGATCTCTCATGAGGATTTTGGTCATTTGAATGCAAAATGAGGGTCTTTTATGCTGAATTCCATCTGGAGGAGGGAAGTTGGCATATGCCTAAGAGGCAAAGCAACACATCCCAGGTCTATAGAGAAGTAATTTCACAGATTTGCCTCAGGCCCCAGCCTATTTCTTCGGCCTGCAAAAGCCAGCTCTGCAGGAAGCCTGACTCAGGAGCTCTAGGTTTAGCATCACCTACACTAGACCTAGCTTTTAAGTGAAGTTTGAGTTCCTGAACTCCCTTGTCATCTGTTCATTGAGTCAGGAGGGAGTTTTCTGATTCCAGTCATCAGAATCATATAGCCCTAGCTGTTTAACACTTGCTTCTGTTTACACTCCAGCACTCGCAGTTTTGATTGTGTCTCTTAATTAGAATGGCTACAGGATTGCCATCTTCTCTGAGTTCTCTATTAGAATTAGGGAGTGCTGAGTGGAGGCACAGGCTTGGTTTTGGATTGGGAACTACTGGGCGCAGGTAGAGGCCACCTGCTGATCTTCCTGGTGGGTCTAGAGCCAGCTCCTAATTAACCTTCTGCAGTAGTGAGCACAGAGGAGGTGGGACTGGAATCCAGCCATCATAGGAACCACAGCCAGGATGGAGCTGCAGATTTAACAGTGAGAGGACAAAGGCTGGGGAAAGGGCTGGCTCCCTCCCACACACCCCTCATCTAAAACATCTTCAATGTCAGTCCGTGGTGAATGCTAGACCTCAAAAGTTCCCATTCTTCCCCTGGTCCCCAAAGCCCACAAATGTGTGTTGAATTCTGTGTCTGTTTTATTTCACTTTTAAAAGTAGTCTCACACACAATAGAATTTGAAGCTGGAGCCCCCTCATTTTCCAGGTAATAAAAGCAAGCCTTGGAAAAGTCGAATGGCTTGGCAGAAGCACCGAGAACCTCTTGGTGTTTTTTCTGTGTCACCGCTCTGGGTCTGAGGAGGATGCCTACCTTCTAAGCTAAGCAAAGAGTAAAATCAACGTGATACTGAAGAAAGAATCTTTGAGTGGTGCTTTTAGTCACAGGGAACAGGCTTTCCTAGAAGCTGCAATTGCCCGTGACCATGAAGGAAAACAGCCACTTAAGAACAGAGAGAGAGAGGAGTTTAGTCCTTTAGGAGGGAATCAATGGAAAGGGAAAAGGAGCTCCCATGACCACTCTCCAGCCCCACTCAGCTATCTCAGGCCTCCCTTGCTTCGCCGCATGGCGATTAGACAGCTGGGGGTGAATAATGCGGTCTGGGGTCTCCCTGAGCTTGGCCTCCGTGGGAGAGGGAAAAATAAGACCAGTGATTTCATGAGTAAAGTACGCCAGAGCACTAGGAAAGAAAGTGTGAGCTAGACTAACACAGGATGAGTATATGAATTCCAGTAAACTCAGAAGGATTCCTTCATTTGTGATTTTTACTTTGTAGGTAAATTTCATTAGTAGCATAATATTGACTATCCTTACAGCACTGCCAAACACCAGCCTTTAATAAAAATTAACATTATCTACGTGAAAGTCTTCCTTTATGGCCACCTACTTTGGTTTAACCGATCTGAAATGATGTTGCTTAGTCAATGAGTCATCTTTTGTTGTATATCCCTAAAATACCATTGATTTGATAGTCCAGAAAGCTCAGAATGTAATATGTTCATTTCTCTATCAGTTTCCCCAGCGATTTAAATAAAAGACAGTGACTGAGTAACTAAAATAAATGGAACCAGGTTGTTAATTTTGGTTTTATAGAGAATGTGGGCTGGCAGGGAGGAAATCTTTATTTTGCAACTGGAAAAAAAATCTGACTTTGTATAAAAAAGAACAAATTCAGAGTATTTTAGATTTACCTTTGCTTTTCATTTGTTTCATGTATTCTTTAAATGGATTATAGAATCAGAGGAGCTTATTTTCATTTTTGTGTGCGTAAGATGTGACTTAGAAGGGGTTCTCATTGTTTTGACTTAAAACACACTAATTCATTATGTATTGTATCTTGAGAACAGTGGCTACAGTTGACAGATGATTATCTATTTTCTCTGTGTGCTCTTTGGATGCAGAATTACCTGTAAAAACAAACTAGCTTAGTATGTTCTTGGTTGCTTTATGTCAGATGTATTATGTAGTTTTTCAAGTAGCAATTCTAGAGATGAAACTCTAGTTTTAGAAATATTTTAAAGACAGTATTTACAAACTGAAGTGGAATGTAGTGAGCTTGGAGTTGAGAAGACCTCCATTTGAATCTCTTTTCTTGGGCAGGTTACTTATCCGAGCCTCAATTTCTTGCTTAATAGAAATAATGATTAAAGTCTGCTCTCTTTTTATTTGTAGCTTTTATTTGTGATTCAGAATTCAGAATTTCTCAAAGATTAGAAAAGTAACACAGTGTACAATACTAACACTTCTAGTGGCATCTGGACAGCCCCCCCATAATCAAATGCATGGCTATTTCTATAGCTGAATGTTCAAGGACTTGCACTTATTAAGTACTCAGTAAAGACTATGTAAGTACCCTCAGGTTAGGTTTTATTGACGGATGAATTTTTAGAACCAAGTTTTGAAAAATATTTGGAATTTCAGAGCTTTCTGTGGTTGAGATCATGGAACTGTATTGCCCTCCCAAGCAGAGCATAGAACAGTCATTCAATAAATAGAGCTGATGGCAATGATGCGATGCATGACCATGATAGAAAACCATTCTAGGAAGTATTTGCAATCAACACCTCTGCATTTCAAAGGGAAAATATCATTTACATTGGTTTTCACATCGTATGTTGTTGTGAGGTAGGCTTTGAAATACTCTCCTGTTTGATGAGGGTTTAGTATGTGTTTCTTAGTCTGTGTTGCTATAAAGGAATACCTGAGTCTGGGTAATTTCTAAAGAAAACAGGTTTATTTGGCTCACGGTTCTGCAGGCTGTACAAGAAGCATGGCACCAGCATGTGCTTCTGGGGAGGCCTCAGGCTGCTTCCACTCAGCATGGAAGGCAAAGGGGAGCCGGAGCTGCGTGTACAGAACACACGGCGAGAGAGAAGCAAGAGAAAAAGGAGGGAGGTGCTGGGCTCTTTTCAACAATGAGCTCTTGCAGGAGCTAAGAGTTAGACTCACTCCCTCCCTTGAGGTGGTATCAGGCCATTGATGAGGGATCTGCCCCCATGACTGGAACACCTCCCGGTAGGCCCCACTTCTGACACTGGATATCATATTGCAGTGTGGGACTTGGCGGGGCCAAACAAACCACAGCAGAGAGAGAAAGAGAGAGAGAGAAATTTTTAAACAAATTTTTAAATAGTAATTACTGAGAAAGAGGAATCCGTAAATACTCTACAAGACCACAAATACTGAGTATTAGGTAGTAGGGACCTACTACAGAAAATAATTTTACAAATAGCTTATACAGGATGCCAGAACTCTGCAGCGGGACTGAGGAAGCATTACCTGTGGCCAGTTCCTGTTGCATCTAATCAAGGGTTGGTAACTATTCGCAGATTTACCCTAACTCAGTTTTGCTGAGCGTTGTGACAGCGTCATTTCCTAAGAGGTTACTTACCCAACAGCCTGAACCATTCTGAAACAAAAGCAGAGGTCTTTCCTTTTTCATCTCACCTGTATGTCAGGGCAGAAGCAGTGTAGACGGGAGGATGAGCCCTGAGGCAGGCATCCTGGCTTCTAGTGCACACTCAGGCTTTCCCATAAAGTCACAGAGGGCCCTGCCTGTGTCTTCATCTGTAAGAGGATAGGGATCGCCCTACCCCTGGCTCACTGTGAGGATGGATGGCTCACTGCACACACAGCCTTAGGTCAGGGGCTGCTTCCACAGCAGGTGCTCAGATGGCGAGATGATTGCTGGTCAAATGACCGTAATCATGCCACCATCACGTTCAGTCTTGCAATTAGGACCTTGGTTTCCTTTTCATTACAAACAGGGAGTTAAGCTAAACATTCTGAACAGCTTTCTGCCTTCTGACATTTGACTTAGGTGCTGAGCGATGGTAGCTGTTTCAAGTGTGCACGGTCCACTTTGGAACAACCGTGACCTTGGGACTGTTGTTTTGTCCATTAGAGGGCACTGGTGTACTGAGGAATGAGCCCACACCACACCCTCTGAACAGAGAGGAAGGTGGTGGTGGTCTCCAGCTTTACTCTTCTGCCTCTGTGCAGAGTAGCCGTGGGAAGGGATCAGCTTTTGTGTTTTTCATCTGGAAGGGAAGCAGCAAGCCCCAGGCCAGCCTTATTGTCTGTGGAGTTGAGGACACAGAGCAAATAGATAACAGGACTGTCTGGGAAGGGGGCGGAGGTGCAGCTGGCTGGACTGGATAGATAAAGGCCTGTAATTTGCTTATCTTAGTATGTTTTAAATGGGAAGATTTCACAAGCATGTCTTTAAAATGTTACTTAGACCAGGTATATTGACTCAGGATCACTGGGTAATCTGAGTAATCTACCCATACTTAGAATCAACAGCCTCATGGGGAGTTTGGTTTTGAATATTAGCTGGATTTCATAGCTGTCTGCAATTATTTATTATTATTTTAAAAGTGGAAATTATCATTGGAATTTGTACATATTCCTTTGAATTATTTTCATGTTTATTGGAAATACGATTTCACCTGGTATTTACATTTCTGTCTGAAGGAATCACTGTTAAAAGAAAAATGCCCATTATAATCCTGAGTGGTTGGTTTATAGCAGCTTTTATTTCCAACTTAAAACTTCCTAAAATACTTGGAAACAAATTTCTTTTTTATTTTTATTTTGTTGTTGTTGTTGTTGAGATGGAGTTTTGCTGTTGTAGCCCAGGCTGGAGTGCAATGGCATGATCTCAGCTCACTGCAATCTCTGCCTCCCAGGTTCAAGCGATTCTCCTGCCTCAGCCTCCCAAGTAGCTGGGATTACAGGTGTACACCACCACGCCCGGCTAATTTTGTATTTTTAGTAGAGACAGGGTTTCACCATGTTGACCAGGCGGGTCTCAAACTCCTGACCTCAGGTGATCTGCCCACCTTGGCCTCCCAAAGTGCTGGGATTATAGGTGTGAGCCACCGCGCCTGGCCAGAAACAAATTTTTATTAATTTAAAAATGTTGTATTTTGCTTCCTCTGGCCCTTTCTACCAAATAATGTTTATCTTTTATTTTTTGAAATTGTGCCCTTATTTCAAGTCTCTATGGACTTTCCAGTAATCATCAGGTTTGCTGCTTACTGGTGACTTAATTTTTCTCTTTACGTAAGTTAAGTAATATACCGAATATATTATATAATTTAAAAAAAAGTCTCCTTAGCCCTCCTGTAGATCTTACAGGCAGGTGAACTGTAGCAGAGGTGTTACTTATGTACCTCTAAATTCTTTTCAAGCTAGAAATATTTGATACTTCTCTTTTGCATGGTTTGGCCTCATGCCCAGGAGCACATTCCATTAAATGTATCCATTCTCAAGGCCGAGAGGTCCAGAAGTTGTCCTTGAGACATTTCTTTAGCCGTGGAATGGACCTGTGTTTTATAATATAAAAGACTGTGGGACAAACAACTCAGCAACGCTTTGTCTGCCTCGAAATCAGGTGGTGAATGTAGCAATACCTTATAGGACTCTCTTTTTAATCCCAAGAAAGAAAAATAATGTACTAAATACATGAGTTAAAATAATATACTCAATGCATGAGTTAAAATAATGTGCTCAATACACTAATGTGCTCAATACACTAGTTAAAACAATGCGCTCAATCCACCAGTTAAAGTGCACGCCCAATACGCTAGTTAAAACAAAGCACTCAATACACCAGTTAAAACAACGCGCTCAATACATGAGTTAAAGTAATGTGCACTCAATACGTTAAAACAATGTGCAAGTTAAAACAATGCACTACTTAAAACAATGAGCTCAATACGCTAGTTAAAACAATGTGCTCAATACACTAGTTAAAACAATGCACTGAATACGCTTGTTAAAACAATGCACTCGTTAAAGTAATGTGCACTCAATGCACTAGTTAAAACAATGCGCCCAATATGCTATTTAAAACAATGTGCTCAATACACTAGTTAGTGTGCTCAATACGTGAGTTAAAACAATGCGCTCAATACACGAGTTAAAATAATGCGCTCAATACGCCAGTTAAAACAATGGACTCAATACTCTAGTTAAAATAATGTACCGAATACATTAGTTAAAATGGAATATGTACAGCCTGTGCCGTCAGGAGCTTGAAATGAGATGGAAGCTTGCCATGAGTTCTGGTTATAGGCGGGGATGCCATTTGCCACACTGACATTAAGATGCTTGACATAGAGGTCATCGAATGCTGACAACTACCTGTGACTGTCACCACTGGGCAGGTAAGGAACCTGAAGCTGAGAAGGAATAAGGAACTTGCCCAAGAGCACACAGCTAAATTCTATGTCTCTGTATAGGGGGGCTGGAAATGGAGGGGTGGAAATGAGACCAGGCTCGGCCTCCACCCCCACCCCACACCTCCCACACGTCTGATTTCAGTGCCTGCCAGTTCTAGAAGGGTCTGTACAGAGGACCACAAGAGGTTTGTTAAGGTCTGCAATTTACCTGTAATACTAACTTTGCTAGACCTTGACCAGAAAGGACCCTCTGCCAGGCCCTCAGATGTGAAGGTCAGTGGTTTGGAGCAATGAGGAACATGTCAGGCTCTGATACTCACCAGCTGCTGCTTTTTTCCCCCTATATCTATGAACATGGCTGATCTCTCTACAGTACAGTTGATCAAGGGCAAGGAACCACAAGCTAAGCCCCTTTTATTTTGCCATTAGCAGAGCCATGGCTGGTTGGCTTCCCAGATTGCCCCCTAGACCACTGTCTTTGCTGTGTGTGCCCATTTGTTCTTTAGTCCAAGGTGATTTTGATCTGCATCGTCTGAATGTTTGTGTCCCCCCAAATTCATGTTGAAATATACTCCAGAAGAGGTGGGGCTTCCAGGAGGGAATTAGGCCATGAGGGCTTCACCCTTGTGAATAGCATTAGTGCCCTTATAAAAGAGGCCTGAGAGAGCTTGTTTGCCCCTTCCTCCATGTGAGGACACATAGAAGGCACCTTCAACGAGGAACAAGCCTTCACCAGTCACTGAGTCTCCTGGCTCCTTGATCTGGGACTTCATAGTGTCCAGACTATGAAGCCCTACATTTCTGTTGTTTATAAATTACTCAGTCTAAGGTGTTTTGTTAGAGCAGGCTGAATGGACAAAGAGAGCACCAGAGTTACAACATGCAAAGTATGAGTGAACCTTCAATACTATAGCTGTGCATTAACAAATATGTTTAAATATTTAAAATCTTTTAAAGTTTTTAGTTTTTAGCTAAAGACATCACTGACTTAGTTTTTTGCTGGTTATCTCCTATCCATCAAAGAGGACAAAGTGGGCATTTGATGTAGTGTAAATGCAGTTGTCCCTCAGTGTCTGCATGATCGCCCACATATACCAAAACCTATGGGTGCCTAAGTCCTGCATTTGGTCCTCTGTATATGTGGGCTTCACGTTCTGCAAATACTGTAGTTTCAGTCCACATTTGGTTGTGGATGCGGAACCCTTCTGTACGGAGAGCCGACTGTACTTATTTTTTAAAACCACATAAAAGTGGACCTGTGTATTTCAAACCCATATTGTTCGCAGGTCAACTCTAGTTTGTTAGATATTGTCAGCGTTTTGTGATTTAAGTATGAGACCCAATGAACTACTCAGTTCCAACTACGAAGTTTAAAACATAAGATTATACTGCTTTGTTTTTACTTTTTCTTTAGTGTGGTGGATTTCACCTAGCAAGAACTTTTAAGTAATTAAATTCATGAAATGCTTAGCTTTTGCAGCATCTTAGTTTAAAGAATAAATTATCCAAGCTCAAGACTGAGGCATGTAAGTGTTAGGTTTTACTTCATGTGTTTGAGTCTTCTAAAGAAGAGATGGAAAAAAAATGACTCTGTAGTTAAACTTGAATTGCCTTAGTAGTGTAGCTTTAAGCCTTATAAAATTGCTAAGTTAAATTGGCCCTGTGTGACTTCCTAATCACTGTCTTATACAATACCCAGTCAGTTTGGTGGCCCAGTGGTGCATAGATAAGTTGAGATTTAATTTAATCATTATTGCATGCAATGTTTATACATAGAAAGGTTTCCACTTTTAATGTAAGAGATGATTAAAGTCCTGCTGGGAAAGCTGATGTAATTATCAGCTTGTAATTATCGAGTGTGTTAAATTAGTATCCAATTACTTCTTCCCATTTTTTTTTCTCGTTTGCTTCTTGTTTCTTACAGAGTTTTAACAACAGAAGGGGTCTTCATTGGATAACCTTAAACATTGAACATGGCAGGACATTGTTTTTATGGCATATGTACCTGTATTTCATTGTAGGTGCTAGACTGGATCGAGAACCACGGAGAAGCATTTCTGAGCAAACATACAGGTGTGGGGAAATCTCTTCATCGGGCCAGAGCATTGCAGAAACGTCATGAAGATTTTGAAGAAGTGGCACAGGTAAAACAATGGCTTCTATTATTTTATCCCATAAATACCCGTGTGGTTGATTTTGGATTACAGTTTTAACCACATTTGAGATAAGTTAGCATTAGCTCGATGTGTTTGACACCTCAGATGAGGTAAAGGCTCCGATTTCAGAGTGAAGTTGTCATTGCCTAGGCAGAAACATGATTTGGTAAGTTGACGCTTTCTAAAATACGATGTTCTTGGAACAGAAATGTGACTTGGGTGTTTTTGTCTTGTTTATTATACCAGTGCCTTTTGACTACTTTGTGAAATTCCAGTTTATAATCAGGAAATAACAGTTCCTTCTGCGTTTCTATAGTAGTAGGCTAAGCCTTACTTGTTCTGTTTGCATTTCTTTAAATGTGTGGGCTTAGGAAACAGGAGCCGGGAGTCCAGTGTGTTCCGAATGTGGGATTTGTGGGGTTTGAGCACTGGCCGCCTGACTTTGGACAAGTCGCTTAACCTTTCTAAGGTTAACTTTCTGATCTGAAAAATAAGCCCAGTAATTTATTTAATAAGATTTTTCTTATAGTCAACTTCTTTAAACTAGTGAGTTGTGGCTTGATGAAGTAACACAGCAGAGATTCAGAAAGGAAGTGGTGAAATGTTATGGTTGAATTCATTTAAAAATGTACTAAATATAGATTTATTATATAGAACAGTTCTGGTGTTCTGAGAAGGAGGAACCCAAAATTCGAACCTCATGTTTAGGTGGTGGAAGCGAGTCATACAGTGTAACTTCTGCAGACACAAGACCTAGCTGCAGGGGCCCTGGGTTTCAGAATTTGTTTTAGACACGGCTGCAGTCACCTCAGGAAGCACTTGGATCCATTTTGCATGCAGTTTTGCAGAGTCAAGAACTTCCTCGTAACTAATTTGAAGGTCCTTTCCTTAATTTTGTACAGTGATTGTGAGTAGCTCTATCCTGTTGAATGAATCCATGCTAATTGATGTGTATGTGTGGTGTGAATAGCCATCGTGCATTTTCATGGGCTAGTGTAAAAAAAGAAATAAAAAATACTTTTCATGCGAAGCTTTTTGCAAATAACTGTCAGGAAGATACTCTTTCATGTTAATGTTCCTGTTTTAGATTTTAAAAGTTATGATTAAAACAGCCAGTAAAGCCCAGAAAACTCAGGTTCAAGGAAGAATCTGGTTTTGAGAGCACAGAAGGTATCTTTACTATCATTAGTAAATCTTTGGCATAGCATCCTTCCTAAGTACCTGCTCTGTGAATTCTTAAACCACCCTCGCTCTTTTCTGCCTATCCCCCTGGATTCAAATTATCTTTCAGAGATGTAACCTGTCACAAAGTTATTATCCAGGAAGCCATTTCTGTCAACAGCTTTTCGTATGTGCCACGTAATTATCTTGTCTTCCTGGATAAAAGAGTTTGTCATTTAGGAAAGCAGGAGACCTTGAATTCATTCTTGATTTTTAAAAGAAAAGCAGACCAGTGACTCCCTGGTCATGACTTAACTCATTCATCTTTTGCAAGGAGGATAACTGCCTCCATAACACGTGGACATACAGAATGTCCCCACGTGTAGCATGCTCTAAATTCTGATTTGTGACAGCCGTTAGAGCATGCATATGTACAAAATAGGCTGTTGCTTTGCAGTAAGTTTGGTTCCTAATATAAGATGTATTGTTTTTAATCTTTTAAAATAAATTACTAGTGGAAAATTCAGGTCAAATTATTTGCTATCAAGCATTTTCTTTAGACTGGCACGTATTTACAGGGTACCAAATCTTCTCATCTGCTAATTTTTCCTTATTAAAAATACTTCCAAAATTTACCAATATGACTCCACTGCTTTCTGATTGCAAGACAGTGGAAAACTTCATCTCTCGGAGCCTCGGTTTTCCTTGCTGTAAAATGATACCTAACACCTACCTTCACCGAGTCGCTGTGATGAGAATACATGTAGAAATGCCTGACACCCAGCAGGCGCTTGTGGTGCTGTCTTTGCCTAGAACAGTACGATCATTCAGATTATTCAGATCTTTTGGTGAATACTAGCCTTGTGTTTACGTTTTGGGACAAGAGCCACTAGAAGCCAAATGCGCCTGCGACTTTGCCCTTCCTGCAGTCTTCAGCTGCAGGACCAGTTTTTACTAAAGACGGCCAGAGGCTGTATTTGGAATCCAGTGGAAAATAATGAGACTTGGCTCTTCCTGCAGTCCTCAGCAGCACTGGAAAGCAGCACCAGAGGATGTTGGAGTTGTATCACCCGCGGGCCACTTCACCTCGCTAAAACCCTCCCACTCCCACACTACACAACAGTGTGTGTCCGGTCAAATGGTGAGAGACATAGATAGTTGTCTGTGTTTTGCTGTGTCCAGAGAAATCCACAGCACTTCTTGGGTCCACTGTTAGTTAGCGTTTGTGGTGCTGCTTACTCTATCCTGTGGACACATGTTGCAGGGGCGGTGAGCTTGTCTCTTGGGATGCCGTGTTTTCCCTTCACGGATGAAAAGACGATCCCTGGGAATTTGTGTGCCTTTTAGGTGATAATTTAAGTTACCTGGGGCTTTTAATTTGCACTGTAGATGTCCTGGCCCATCATTCTTCTGATTACATTTCTGTATTAATAAAATACCTTGGAGGTTTTCAATATGCAGACTTTGTTGTCTTTTAAACCAAGCAAATATAATGAAAGTATTTAGGCCTCAAATGCTCATTTTCCTTCTTTTTCCTATCTGTTCTAAGTTCCCAAAATCCCTTATTTTCCATTGAATTCTAAGTACAGCCCCTGGTCATCTTTAGTGAGAAACAGCCCTGCAGCCAAGGATTGCAGGAAGAGCAAAGTCTCATGCACCTTTGCCTTCTAGTGGCTCTTTTTGTCTGCTTGAGTCCTACCAAGTTCTCAAGAAAAAGAGGACACCAGTTAGGCCCCCACCCTGGCCTGGCCTTACCTTATTCCTTTTAATCCCCATGGCAGGGATGACCCACACACCACAGATCAGAAAACGGCTCTAGCATGAGATGCCTCGGGAACAGGATAGTAGGAGTTGGACAGGAGAAGCCCAGTCTCTCAGACTCTCAAATGCTCCCTGACTCTGATATCCTCCCCACTTTAGTCCAGTGTCTCAGTTTCCCCTCGTGTGAGGAACTGTGGCTTAGGTACTGGTTGTTTTAACAATCCCAGCTCTGCTGACTGACTTGGTGGACAAGTTACTGCACCCCTCTGTGCCTCGATTTCCTCGCCTGTGAAATGGGAAATCAGGTAGTATCCATGTCCTGCCGCTTTTGTGAGGCACAGTGTTAAGTGCCAAAAAGGTAGCATTTCTGATGAGTATGGTTGATACTAGCACAAAGAAATCTCTGTTCTCCAGTTGCAGAAGGACCCAGGGAAGGTCTCGTTCCCGGGAAAACCTGGCCAGGGGTTTCAGAGGCACGAGTGCTGACACAGGCCCCACCAGCCCTGGCACCTTTTGTGCTGTCTCATGTTCTTCAAGCACAAGATTAAAAGGGAAATAAATGATGGCTGTTTCACGTCTCAGATCATTCAGAAATGCACTTGTTTCTTTGGGACATTTTAAAAAATATCTTTACTTGTTGGAATAGACGTGGGAAGGCTTTCAGAAACGTAATACTTGGCTGTTGGGAGGCTCTGTCATCTTTAGATCCACTTACCAAATATGAGAAGTCCACAATTCCAAAACTGTAGTGGTGATCATAGGAAAACAGGATTCAGCTCTTTAGAAATGTGCGTCTGTGGCACTCTGGGTTCTCTGTACAGCTTGCTACACCGTTAGCTTCATTCAGCATGGAGGCCCCGTTGTGCCCATGATAGAGATGCAGACACAGGAGTTCCGAGGTGACGCTCAGCTGGGGGTAAGCAGGGACTTCCAAGCCTTCTTCCCTGGAAGGAAGCCACCTGCAGGTGCGGCCTCTGATGGCTAGAGAACCTTTGTAGGCAAGAGTGCAGGCAGACCCTCCACAGCAGAGCCGTTGGTGCTCATGGCTGACCATGGTCACAGGAGTGCCCACTCTTGTGCCCAGAGGCACAGGTGGCAGCCATAGGAGGGGAGGGCCTGGATGAGAGAAGCCCTGGAAAGCAGTCAGGAATTGTTCCATAGGTGAAAGCTGCTTTTTAGATCTGTCTCGTGTGTGTGTGTGTGTGTGTACACATGCGCATTCACATCTGTCTGTTAAAAACCATGTATGTATTCATGCGAATAGCTCCAATTCCAGCCCAATGCCAAGAGTTCACTCAAGTTTTCTCCTTCGCTATATTTATAACTCCCTTTTCTCAAATAGAGAAACCTGGCTCCCATTATCCCTCAGGTATTGGCTTACTTGTGTAATTCCATTCTACTAATGTAACCAGTCTCCCAACTTGGAGGCCACCCCTCCCCACATGACGCCCTCACATCCTGCTCAGACCCTCACCGATGAGACGCCTTCCCTGCTCATCTTACATCTCTGAGAAGGATAAGGATTCACCTTGTTTCTCAAGGGAAACCCAAAGCTGACTTCCTGGGCCTTCTTAGAAGGCCTGAGCTCCGTTCCTTTCCTGTCCTGGCATCCCCCAGCGTCTCCCGGGGCTCCCCTCCCACCTGTGGACCCCTCCGCAGCAGCTTCCTGTAACAGCATCAGGGCTCTCGCATGCCTTCCTGTTGGAGGAACCCACTTACAGCCTCAGATTATTAGGAATTAAGGTGATTTTTAGAGTATTTTAGACACGTGTTTACACTTTGAGCTCTTTAAAACTCTGGCTACTTTAGAGCCATTATAGTTATTATTTCCTTTTTCTCAAAAAATGTGGCCAGGCAAAGTGGTTCATGCCTGTAATCCTGGTACTTTGGGAGGCCAAGACGAGAGGATTATCTGAGCCCAGGAGTTCGAGACCAGCCTGGGCAACATTGCAAACCCCCATCTCTCCTAAAAATACAACATTTAGCTGGGCATGGTAGCGCATGTCTGTGGTTCCAGCTACTTGGAAGGCTAAGGTGGGAGGATTGCTTGAGCCCAGGAGTTCAAGGCTGCAGTGAGCTGTGATCACACCACTGCACTCCAGCCTGGGCCACAGAGTGAGACTGTCATGCAAGCTGGAAAACAAAACAGAAAAATAAAAAATATATAGCCTTAAGTAGAAAGAAGATGAGCACAGAATTACCAACAAGTAGAAATGTGTGAAAAGGGATAGCAACTTATGTTTGTTTGGAATTTAACCTTTAACTTGTACTTCGAGAATTATCGTAAAGCATTGTATCATACGGAAAGACATAGACTGGAACTCTCTGCTTGGTGATAAAACTGGAAGAAAAAGTGAAGCAGGCATTTGTTGCTGGGGGCCGTCTCCTGACTCCACCTTGGCAAAAATCTGAAAGCTCTGAGTCACAAGACAGCCAGCAATTGCCTGCAGATAGTCCATCACTACCTTCAATACAAGGGTTTTGATATGGGGTTCAAAGTTTAACAATCTAAAACAACAGCGGGAAAGGAATTCTGCATAGAATTCCCAAAATCATCTCTCCCCATCATATTTTTCTGTTTGATTCATGTAAGTGATCAAAAATATCACAAATTGACTGTGTTGCTATATATTATGGCGCCCAGCCTGGCTGGTCTGCTTTTCACTTACCTTCTGTTTCTCTGGGATGTTCTCTTGTGCAGAACACATACACCAATGCGGATAAATTACTGGAAGCAGCAGAACAGCTGGCTCAGACTGGGGAATGTGACCCCGAAGAGATTTATCAGGCTGCCCATCAGCTGGAAGACCGGATTCAAGATTTCGTTCGGCGTGTTGAGCAGCGAAAGATCCTACTGGACATGTCAGTGTCCTTTCACACCCATGTGAAAGAGGTAAGGTGCCAGGAGACCAAAATATGATCTGTGCTTGAAAGGGTCTTTGAACTCTTTTGGAGGAACCTAAATTTAGTCATAATGTGAGAAAGTGGACAAAGGTGGCAAGTTGTAAGATGTAGCCCATTAGTGCTGAGTGTGTCTGCGTGGACAGGGAAAAGCCGGGCTTGTGCTGGCTTTCCTTGTTTTGTGAGCGCATGGCTGCCTTTGCTGGGGCTTTCCATAAAGAGAGGACCCATGAGGGTTGGGAGAGACAGAGAACGTCCATTTCTATAAGTAGGGGACCTGCGCGTTGTTGGTCAGAGCTGTTGGGTCTCCTTCCTGGCTGTGAACCTGTCACATGGCTGCCAACATGATTGCCTCTGGATTTTACGAGACTTCTCTCAGATGCTAGTAAACGTGAGTGTTACCTAATATTGAGTTTAAATGTGCCAGAGCCAACCTGGTACGAATAATATTAAAGCTAATGTCATAGGCATGCACCTGTTAATCAGCTCATCTCATGACAAGAAATAATGTTATTTGGTGTGTGAAAAATAGGTAGGTACTAATTATACCTTGCATATATGTTATTCTTGGTAGAAATCATATAAAGTTACATGAAAGAAACTACTATGTAGCTTCTGAGGAAAAAATAATTTAAAATAAAAGTTCATATTCAGGGTGACTACAAATTGAGTAGGGATGTCAACTTACCACACCTTACTTCTGTGTAAAAAAGAAAATTCCCTGCGTCACTGAGGACCTTCACAGAGGATCGTAACTTATTCAGATGCAGCTCTTGATGAACTGGAAATGAGGGGCCCTTCTGGGTAACTGGGGACTATGCACATGGAAGCTTGTGGTCATAGGATGGGAAAAAGGATCTGGAAGAGTAGGACTACTGGGGAAAGAGGGGAGGGCGAGGCCTGACTTGCCTCATTTCAAGGCATCAGTGCTCGGAGACCCACCAATTCCTTTAAAGGAAAAGAACGGCACTACCAGCTCTGAGATCTTGGACAGTTAGTCCTCAGTCGGGTCATTTGTTGCTGGAATGTTTGGACTGCAGGCTTCCCTCTGAAACCCTGTGAGGCTGTGAAGGAGTGGAGGAGAGTACACAGCAAACCACTGGGACCCCTGGGGTTTGCACTCAGTCCTGCCCCGGGCTGGCAGCTGGCTCTCTCGATCCTTTCTGCCAAGGGGCTGGTGCTTCTTGGTCCCGAGATGGTCATCAGGATAGAAACTGGCACAGCTAACTTCTTTTCCTGCTCCTCAGAATGCCATCACTGAAATTGCTCTTGAAAATTCTTAACAAAAGAGGCTATTTTTTTGAGGAGACACATTAAATGGACATTGTTCTGTGGCAGTTCCTAGTCATTGCTGCACGTGCCTCTAGACTAAGTTTCCCACTCATTGTGAACCGAGCTTGTCTCTTGCTGCCCTCCAGCCTCTGCTAGCTCTTTGTCCCAGCCTCCCTGTGGCACCGCTACCAGAGTAATTTTTCTGAAATAGAAATTTGACTAGGCCGTACCCCTGCTTTTAAACTACCAGTGGTTCTTCTTGTATGTGGGGAGCAGCCTGATACCTCCACATCCTCACAACATAGACCACGTTTTTCCTTGCAGCCTGTCTTGTGCTGTGTCCTCCTCTTCCAGGACCCCTCCCGCTCAACACAGTATCCCCTGATCCAGAACTTTCTGGCACCTTTGAGACAAGGATGGGCGTGGTTAGCCGCTCTCCCTTGCACCTTCTAGAGCTCCCTCTACATGCACCTGTTAACGGCAGTTGTCATGCGTGTGATTGTGTGTTACTTTACATGTTTTTACACCGTAGCTGAGAGAGAAGGAGAGGGTTAAGGTGATCTGTGTATGAAAACAGATTGTGGCATAGTTCACTAAGCTGTGACATTGACAGAACATGGGCCAGGAGCACAGCAGCCTGGACCCTTCTGAGGGCAGGGACCTGGGCAGGGATGTCCAGTCTGCAGGTTCCTCATTCGGGGCCCAGTGACCACAGTTGCCCTGGATGCTGTAGATGCCATAAGGGAGAGGCAGGAAGAGTGTCAGGCAGCTGGGAGTGGCTGAGAGGCCAAATCGAGAGGAAGGGGCAGAGGGAAGAGGGCCTTGCATCTGTGGCATGTTCCAGAGCCAGGTGGTTGGAGCTGGTGTTTGTGTGGCATGCCTGGCCATATTCTATAGCAGCTTAGCAGTCTGAGGTAAGGGTCTAGCTTCCTTATAGGACAGAAGACTCTTCCCACCAAGCAGTATTTGTGATTTAAGTCACCTTTTCAACTCGGCAGTGGTTTTCAGAAACCAGACACTAAAGGATAACTGGAAGGAAAGTGCTTTTTCAAAAGCTGTTACCTACAAATAATTAAAAAAAAAATTAGCCGGGTGTGGTGGCACCTGTAGTCCCATCTACTTGGGAGGCTGAGGCAGGAGGGTCACTTGAGCTCAGAAGGTGAAAGTTGCAGTGAGCCGAGATCACACCATTGCACTCCAGCCTGGGCAACAGAGCAAGACCCTGTCTCAAACACAGAAACAAAGCTCTTGTCCAGAGGCTTCGTTTGGGCTCATTGGCTTTTGTAACAGCAGTGTTTTTAAGGAACAATCTTCTAATAAGAGCATCCACTTATAAGACCATGGAGTCTGTATTGTCACTAGGTTTGGAAATTATTTAAAAGTAAAAATACATTTTGTTTTCATTGACTTACACAATAGGAATTTCTAGTATGTATGAGTTTGTAGACTAAGGAGACCTTAAATCAGTTTTAAGGACTAAGTGGTTCACTTTTATGACTGCAGGATTTTTAGTGCAGTCTATGAAAGGCCATCTTAGTAGCAGAGAAACTGGCATGTTTTCCTCGACCTGCACCATCTTACTTGTGTGCACGTCACGTAACCTGGGACCAAGGAGGGATCGGGGCCCAGTTAGGGAGGGCATAGCAGGACACACGTGTGCCCGTGTGATTGGCATTCAAGGACGCTGCCCGCAGGCTGGAATGCTGCCCGTTTCTTCAGTAGATTTGTCTTTCCCTGACCAGCCTGAGAATTTCCCTCAGTTCTTTTTCTGTGCTGTACAAAAGCCCTGAAACTCCCAGGAATCCTTGGTAGGTTCCATGCGGGAAAGAATGGTTTCTTCAGTCATCGTATTTTGAAGCTGGTTATTGAATGAAAACTAAGATAAGCTTAGAACAAGTTTAATTAGTTTAAAATGAAAAGCTAGATGGGCCTAGAAGAGGAAATCATGCTAATTTGCTAGGTGTTTGCATAAAGTCACTAAATGTATTTGCATATCAGATGAACGAAAAATTGCTAAAAGATACACATTGTCTGAGTCTGTTCTTCTTAAGCAGATCATACAATTAAAAATTACATAGAAGAAGATAGAAAAAGTAGCTTGTCTTGGCTGGGCGTGGTGATTCACGCCTGTAATCCCAGCACTTTGGGAGGCTGAGGCAGTTGGATCACGAGGTCAGGAGATCGAGACCATCCTGGCTAACACACGGTGAAACCCCGTCTCTACTAAAAATACAAAAAAATTAGCCAGGCGTGGTGGCGGGCGCCTGTAGTCCCAGCTACTTGGGAGGCTGAGGCAGGAGAATGGCATGAACCTGGGAGGCAGAGCTTGCAGTGAGCCGAGATTGTGCCACTGCACTCCAGCCTGGGCAACAGAGCAAGACTCCGTCTGGAAAAAAAAAAAAAAAAAGAAAAAGTAGCTTGTCTTTTTCATTTAGGCAAATTCATGAAGCTTTTTTAGAAGTTGCTAAAGGCTCTCGTGACAGAAGTTAGTCTTCCTTGCTGCCAGGTGTTCCACAGTGGCTCTCGTCCTCACTTTATCTGGAGTATAGTTGTCACTGTCTCTTTTTGCAATAAATTCCTGGCCCTCTGATGAACAAGTAATACAAACATGAGGTCATAACAACTCACTTTAAAAAGGTGCAAAGTCAAGGTGATGTTTACTGAGCATTAGCTCAGGAATCTCTTTAAGAAACCCCTGGAAGAAGGTGGCTGCCGGAAGTCTTGTTGAAGACCAGGCTCTTAGACTCCAAAAACTGAGACCTCTGTACTCTGGTTCTTTTACCCCAGAGGACAGAATAGACACTTGTTCCTGAGAAGAGAGAAAAGGGGATGCATTTTACCTAGGGGACAAATATTTTCTACCTCGAGGTAGAATGCAGCAGGTGGTTGATAGAAATTTCAGCCCATTTGCCCCTCAAGCCCAGATTTGGAAGTATTCCAAGATGCTGTTTTCTCTAAAAAGAATCCTGAGGTTCGTAGCCTCCTTTCAGAATGCCTGCAGCCTGGTGCTTTGTTCTGTTTTTGTTTTGTTTTTTAAGTATTTGGAAGGAATGTTGATTGGCCTGACATAAGTTTGGGTTTGATTTGGGAGGATCTTTCTCCTCCTACACGTTGTCATCCACTCTTAGTCCCCCTGCAGTATGCATTCCCCTTCAGTCCTGTGTATGGCATTTATTCACATCAGTTCTGTTGATAATGCTCCTGCTATTTGTCCTTTTTTGTTTGTCCTCCTTTCCTTTTGAATGCATTTTTCACTGTTTATTTGTTCATTCACTCTTTTCACTCATTCATTCCAAAGGGTCTCTCAAGGCAATGGTAATGTGCAAGGAGGTGATACCTAAATGAATGACCAAAAGAACATGCTTCTGCTTTTGTGTGTCTCCTACATTTTAGACATTTGTTTGTTTCTCTTGGTAGCCTTTAAATTCCTTGAAGCCCAGGACCATGTCTCACTTACCTTTGTGTTTCCACTAACTAGTCTACCTCCTGGAATTGGCAGATACTCAGTGAAAGCCTGTGAAATAAGTGATGTCTATTTCTAGCATATTATTCTGAGATTTAATGATAGATTTAGTGATTGAATGAGATTTCCATTTTCAAATACAGCAAAAGCATAACTATTTTCATTCATTCATATTCATTCAACTTCATTCTCAAAATTAGGTCCTGAGTTAACTAATAATTACCTTTGAAATGTGTGGGTTATTTGAGGCAATCAGGTGGTGACATTGAGCTCTCAGCCAGAGTTTGTTTCTGGAATTGATTCAGTTCCATTGCATTGATTTTTGTTCTCAGAAGCCAAGGTTTCCCAGGAAAAATCATTCCCACTTGAATTGGGCTGTGATTCTTGCTGCGTTTAAGTAAAGGAAGCCTCTTGGTTCTAGTTCTGCAAACTTACACACTGAACTGGGACAAGTTTTTGTTTAGAGTAATGGCTGGGAAAAGAGGAACCTTTCATTTTATTCAGAAGTCAAAAACAAAGGCCTCCCAGCCACCTGGAGATGTTTTGTTGCAGACACCAGCCTGGCTCTGTCTTTATGCCTAACAATTGAGCATCCAGTCTTCTTTGTGCTGGGACCATTGCTCAGCTCTGCAAGGGGAAAAGAGGGAGAAAGCCAGAGCTGCCAGGCTTCTTGCACTGGGGCCGGGGGAGGGTTCCTGGGAAGCAGGTGCTCTCTGGCTTCTTGGTACGTGAGGCTCTCGGAGCTGCCTCTCCTCTGACCCTCAGGTCCTCACCGAGTTTGCTCCAGGAGTATATTGAAAACATACCCAGTGCTCTCTCAAGCACCCACTGCTTAGAGGGCCCAGATTTCTTTTCCTTCTTTCCCTTGCAGAGCTGGAGACTGCATCGGGCATCTGGTGTTTAAACTAAACAGGAAAACTGACTAAAGGTCCACAGTGCTCATTGTGTAGACTAGCTGCCCTCCGATGGGTGCTCTGATTATCAGTGGTTCCAGTGCAGGGCCTGTCACTAAACAGGCCTCACTTCCTCCTTGGGGGCTTTCCCATGGGAGGTGTGGCTTTTTACTCTACATGGAAATGACTCTCTGCAGCCACAGAACACAGTCATTTTCTGAATTATCCCAGTCTCTCATGCGCCCTGGATTCCTCCAGATGCCTTATATCTCTTGTGCAAAGTTGTCTAAAATTTGGTTCCCAGCTTCCAAGCCTTGCCTTTTGGCCTTCCTGGAAGTATTTTTGTTGATGAGTCGTCTGTCATTATTCTCTAAAATGATTTGCTTTTTGTTTCTTTCATTCCTATTTCCACCCCACATATACACACATGCTTCTTAACTTAGGGGATTACATGCCAATAAATCTATTGTTGAAAATGCACTAATACTATCGCAAAGATGAAAATTCACAGGCTGAACCGTTGTAAGTCCATATGCTCCTCAACTTACATGTGTGATGGAGTTATGCCCAAATAAGTCCATCGTCAAGTTGAAAAATCAAAATCAAGCCATCTTAGGTTGAGGACCATTTGTTTGTACCTCCAAAGATGTCATATCTTTAAACATACTCCCTAGCTTTTCTTTTTACTTTTTATTTTGAAGTAATTATAGAATCACAGAAAGTTGCAAAAAAAAAAAAAAAAAGAGAGAGAAATGGACAAGGAGGTCCCATGCATCTTCACCAAGCCTCCCACAGCGGTAGCATCTTGCATAACCTCAGCACACAATCAAACCAGGACACTGACTTTGCTGCAGCCCTCAAGGCTTATTCACTTTCCGCGAGGTTTAGATGTGTATGTGTGCCCATGTGTATGTGTGTGTTTAGTCCTGTGCAATTGTATCATGTATAGATTTGTGTAACCACCATCACTTTCAAGATACAGAACCATACAGAATTTTCCCATCATCAAAGGGTTCCCTGCACTGGCTTCCTTCAGTGATATCTAACCCCTGCTCCATCTCTAACCCCTGGCAACCACTTATCTGTTCTTCTCTGCTTCTATTATTTTGTTATTTCTAAAATGTTACATAAATGGAGTCATGCAGCATGTAACTTTTTGAGATGGCTTTTTTTTAACTCAGCACAATTCCTTTGACACACCCACTTTGTCGCATGTGTCTGTAGTAGTTCCTTCCTCTTTATTGCTGAGTGGTATTTCATGGTCTGGATATATCACAGTTTATTTAACTATTTGTCCACTGGGGACATTCGAGTTATTTTCCGTTTTTGGCTATTACAGGGAAATACACAGAAATTATGAACAATCCTGTCTAGGTTTTTGCGTGAACATGGTTTTCATTTCTTTGGAACAAATGCCCAGGAGTGCGTTTGCTGGGTCCTTTGGTAAGCACACGTTTAGTTTTTAAAAGACACTGCCAAACTGTTTTCCAGAATGAGCGTACCATGGTACATTACCACCAGAAATGTATGTGAGTGATCTTCAGCTCTTCAGCATCTTACAAGTCCAGGATTGCTTTAAGCTTGTCAGTGAGAATGGTTAAAATCCAGTATGTAATATTTTAGAGTAGAAAGTTCAGTGTATATGATCGAGCCTCAGTAATTTTTGTTTAATATGAATTATTTAGCTGCGCTCTTTAGTGCATTAAATTCTCTCTATATGCTTTTACACATTTGATTTCTTTATTTTTCTGACATGGGTACAAATGAGTAATTAAATATGTCCACCAGCTGGTGAAAGCAAGAGGAAACTAACAGCCTAGAACTGTCGACTGCATCATCAGCCCCTGTGTGACTGAGCATTAGATTTGACCTTGGCATCACTTGGCACCTGCTGGCGTAGCATTATGTCTTTACATAGACTGCGGTATCTAGCGTGGCATACTGATTTTAAAAAACAGGTGGTCTTCCCATTGGTGGGAATATCCAAAAAAAATACATCTAGTCAATTATGTCTTTCTATAAAAATATAATCTTTATTGAAATAATTGAGAAAATATAGTATAACAAACACACCCCCTAAATTTGCTGAGTGATCTGGGATAAGTTACTGTGTAGTACCTCAACTTCCTTAGCTACAATATAGGATAATACAATCTCTAAGGAAAGTGAGACAAATTAAATTACACGTGGAAAGCACCTCAGAATGCTTTTCTTAGGGTAGCTGCTGGCCAGTGTTCTTTTTTCCTGTCCTGACCCCGATTGTAACATCGATATAGATAAAATAATACAGACTTTAAAGTAAGGGGCAAAGATACAAATATCTAGGTATAATGTTGTCTCTACCTCATTAATCTTTGAACAACAGTAACTGCTTAATCTTCCTGTCCTCCTCCGAGTAATAACCTCACTCTGATCCTATTCTTAACATCAAAACCAAAAGCCTTTCGTGGGATATACACAACTCTGTCCATCTCCAGCTGCTGGCCCTCAGAGCAGAGTAGACTGCTGGGAAGAACCCTTACCCATAGTTCCCTTCATATTGGCAAAAATCATTTTGTACACATCACTAAGTACAAAGTATTTAGATCTTAGATCCCAGCTAAAGTTTCAACAGAAATAAGTGATTTTTTTTTCCTCCAAATAAACATGTATAAAGCATTTGTACTGGCCAGTGGGAAGAGAGTGATATTATAATATTATCTGAAAGGAAAGTCCTTTTATCAGAATAACTTAAAACGCTACATTTTTTTTCTGTAAGATGATGTAAAATTGTGGTTTAAATTTATACAATTTTTATTTGTTAACATCGGATCACTATTTTCAAGTAGAGAAAAGTTTTATGCCAACAGAGAGCTTAGAAGTTATTGTGGAAGATCATGCAGTGCTGATATACCTGACACATCATAGTCACCGAGTAGATGATTATCGGATGAAGGAATTAACAATATATTATCTTCATTTGTAACGCAGTTTTTCAGTAGGGATTGATTGAAAATATAAGACTGTCCACTGACTTCAGATTTTATAGTTTCTTGCTGAGGGTCATTTGTAAATGGAGGGTTGTAAATGTCTGCTTTAATTAGCTGTTTGTCAGTAGGACTTGATTAATGTAATGTAAAAGGTGAGGCACTTCAACACAAGGTCAAGAGATGAAGTGTTAAGGCCTTAAAATGCCCAATTGGAAATAGGCGTACATGAATAGCCCTGTTTTTTTTGAGACATAGTCTCACTCTGTCACCCAGGCTGGAGTGCAGTGGTGTGATCTTGGCTCACTGCAACCTCTGTCTCTCAGGTTCAAGCAGTTCTCCTGCCTCAGCCTCCCAAGTAGCTGGGATTACAGGCGTGTGCCACCATTTTAGTAGAGACAGGTTTCACCACGTTGGCCAGGCTGGCCTCAGACTCCTGACCTCAAGTGATCCACCCACCTCAGCTTCCCAAAGTGCTGGGATTATAGACATGAGCCACTGTGCCCAGCCCTGTTTACTTGTTAAATTTCTGTTTTAAAGGGCATTTTATGATTCTCTATTTCTTATTTTGTTACTCAGCTTCATAAACTAAATATTTTATTATCAAAGAACCACAAGTCTTTGGTGAGGAAAGAGGTAAACTTACCTGTATGTATTTTCGTATGTATTTCTGACACATTTGTACTGATCTTCGTTGTTCTTATTGAATAGGTAGAGAGATTGGCCAACAATGTATTAGCTAGAGTTTTGCCAGGACAGCTTAAAAGCTCCAGATAAGCCAGGCTTGGAGAGACTGGTAAGGCTTTTTGGGTTTTGTTATCATTTGTTTGTTTTCCCTTCCATTTGTTGAGGTACAAAAATCAGAACCAGAAGATCAAGGAAGGGTTGAGCTTTCTGCTTGAGAGCTGTGATGTTGATGAACGACAAGCAGAAAGTGGACCCCATCATCTCTCACTTTGGTTCTTGGTCTCCTCGAGGGGAGCACTCTCCAGACATAGGCCAGAAGAAGCAAAAGCCCCAAATGGTGAAGGCTTTGTAAGGAAAGACTTATTTAATCTAAGCACGTTCAAGCCTCTGTTCTAGGACAAATTAGATCCCTGGGTACCAAAAGAACTTGATAATTATATCACCATATTGAGCATATCAGTCCAAGCAACTGTGGGAAAGTGGGCTGATGCCAGAAGCTGAAAACGCACTTGTGCTTTTTAAAGAAGGTGGATTTCACGCATTACTCAGAGTGAGGTTAATCCTAGGCAGAGTTCTAGAGACAATTTTTAAACCGCTGGTCAGGAAAAGTGAATGAACAAGTTATAATGTGTTAACTTTATTTTGTTCTCTACTAGGTTTCTGGCTTGAGGAAGGACATGTGGTGGAATTAGTGGGCAGGCATTTGACCAGGCCTTTCAACATTTAATTTGTAGACAAGAAAGGAAAGTATGGGCTATCTCTTAGTTACTAGAATTAGACTGTTGAATGGCTATAATAAAAGAATCAACCAAGGGTGCTAGCACGAGACCAAAACTCTCCTCATCCTCCCACACTGATCTCCAGGTAGAAGATGTCAGGAGGCAAGCTTCTGATAGTAAGACAGTCCTCATACCCCACAGGTCAGTAAGGAAGTCACGTCCAGTCTGGAGCCACAGTTAGATCAGACGTGCTGACTGACAAAGGTAGTGGTGGATGATGCTGGACCAGTCATCTCAGGTGGACCTGAGGTCCTGCAGAACAGAGATGATGCTGGACCAGTCATCTCAGGCGGACCTGAGGTCCTGCAGAACAGAGATGATGCTGGACCAGTCATCTCAGGCGGACCTGAGGTCCTGCAGAACAGAGATGATGCTGGACCAGTCATCTCAGGCGGACCTGAGGTCCTGCAGAACAGAGATGATGCTGGACCAGTCATCTCAGGCGGACCTGAGGTCCTGCAGAACAGAGATGATGCTGGACCAGTCATCTCAGGCGGACCTGAGGTCCTGCAGAACAGAGATGATGCTGGACCAGTCATCTCAGGTGGACCTGAGGTCCTGCAGAACAGAGATGATGCTGGACCAGTCATCTCAGGTGGACCTGAGGTCCTGCAGAACAGACTAGTTTAATCCCTGGTGTCACCGCCTGTAGGGGAGAAGAGTGCAGTCTTGCCTTTTAACTGACTCCACGTAACCTATTCAGGACTTTTATGTCTGTATGTGACATCTGGAGAGACTGCTCATCCCAATTCAGGCATCCGGAAAACTACTTTGCTGTGTTAAGCGCTATTTTTCTTAAAAATGGGCAAATTTCCAGCGTATAGCAAGGACAGGCTTAGTGCCACAGCCGAAATAATTGTTGCTGCATTAAAAGCTTTGCAAGTGAGACTGTCAGTGCAGAGGTTGGTGAGTGGATGACGTCAGCAGTGCTGGAGGGAGTTTCTAGCGTCATGTTGCAGGTGTCTGTTCTCATGCAGAAAGCCTGTGAGTGGTTGAATTGGTTTGGAAGGTGTGTGTATCAAATCTAGACAAGGGCCTGTCAGATACGTCAGGTGCTAGAATTCAGATCCCAACAGATCTCAGCACCAAATCAACCACAGAAAGTTTCATTAATCAGTTTTAATATATGAGTGTTTTGAATCAGTACAGAGTAAGAATCACATAGGTGGCAACAGCATGTGTTTAATGAAGAAATGAGCTTACATGTGTTATTTGGTTGAGTCCACAATGCTGTCATGCCCCCAAATAACTCCTTCCACTGTGGTGACCAAGGGAGGCCGTCGTCTTGCTTTCTGGCTGCTGTTTGGATCACGTGGGTATTGTGTACAGTTGTCCAGTCCCTATGTCGTTTTGTTTTGCTTAATGAATATCACATCAATTTAATGTGTCCACACTGGGCAAAACTGACTTGAGGAGTGTGAGAGTAATAAAAACAGGATATATTCCAGAATGATCATCTGGTAAGAACATGCCCTGGAAGCTATAGTTATAATATCCTCGAACAGATTACACTGGTTATTTATACACTCTTTAGACTTCTTAGTGCTCAACAATTGATGAAATACCATTTCTGGGGAGTCATGCTTATGTTTAATTTTCAGTAAGGACTGGCCACAGTTCTATTTATTTCTACTAAAAACATCTCCTTGGCAAGGAAAATGCCCTTTCCATTTTCCTGCTTGTGTGTGCGTGTGTCTGTATGTACGTGCACATGCACGTGAGGATGTGTTTTTCCTGCTTGTATATGTGTGTGCACACACATCAGCATGTTTTTCCTGCGTGTATATGCATGTGCATGCACATCAGCATGTGTGCTTTTCCTGCATGTGTGTACACAAACATGCATGTGAACCTGTTTTTCCTGTGTGTATATGTGTGTGTACGCACATGAGCATGTTTTTCCTGCATGTTTATGTGTGTGTACGCACATGAGCATGTGTTTTTCCTCTGTGTGTGTACGCACATGAGCATGTGTGTTTTTCCTGCATGTTTGTGTGTGTACGCACGTGAGCATGTGTTTTTCCTGCGTGTTTATGTGTGTGTACGCACGTGAGCATGTTTTTCCTGTATATGTGTATGCACATGAGCATGTGTTTTTCCTGCATGTTTGTGTGTGTACGCACGTGAGCATGTGTTTTTCCTGTATGTGTGTACACACGTGAGCATGTGTGTTTTTCCTGTGTGTATATGTGTGCGCACGCACATGAGCATGTTTTTCTTGTGTGTTTATTTATGTGTACGCACGTGAGCATGTGTTTTTCCTGCATGTTTGTGTGTATGCACATGAGCATGTGTGTTTTTCCTGTGTGTATATGTGTGTGCATGCACATGAGCATGTTTTTCCTGCGTGTTTGTGGGTGTGTATGCACGTGAGCATGTGTGTTTTTCCTGTGTGTATATGTGTGCACACACATGATCATGTGTGTTTTTCCTGTGTGTTTGTGTGTGCACACACGTGAGCATGTGTTTTTCCTGTGTGTATGTGTGTACGCACGTGAGCATGTGTTTTTCCTGTGTGTATATGTGTGTGCACGCACATGAGCATGTGTTTTTCCTGCATATGTGTGCACACATGTGAGCATGTGTGTGTTTTACCCTATTATTCCATATCTCTTTCCTTGCTCTTTTTTTTAAGTGTTAAAGACTTTTACTTTCAGACTATTTTAGAGGAGTCATTTCATTAAACCTTTTGGAATCCCACTGAAGCCGCAGGGCCCAAGGTTAAGCTGTGCTCTTCCCTTAGGAATTGACAGTCGTGGCGACTGCTGTCTTTAGTACATTACCAGGAAGTTTCCAAGTGGCAGTTCTACAAGATGAGCCCTTGAAGAAGCCAATCCTGTTTTCTATCTTTTGCTTTCAACATACGAGGTGAACTTTTACCTTTCTCCATTTAATATAAACCAAAATCCGTCTTTTAAAAAAATGTTTATTTTTAACTTTTATTTTAGATTCAGGGGTACATGTGCAGGCTTGTTATATAGATAAACTCATGTCACAGGGGGTTGGTGTACAGATTATTTCTTCACCAAGGTACTAAGCATAGTACCCAATAGGTATTTTTTCTGATCCTTTTCCTCCTCCCAGCCTCCACCTTCAAGTAGGTCCTAGTGTCTGTTGTTCCTCTCTTTGTGTCCATGTATTCTTACTGTTTAGCTCCCACTTGTAAGTGAGAACATGGGTAGTTGGTTTTCTGTTCATGCATTAGTTTGCTAAGGATAACGGCCTCCAGCTCTGTCTATGTTGTTGCAAAGGACACGATCTTTCTTTTTTATGACTGCATAGTATACTCTGAAAGGGGAGAGTGTTGGGAGGAGAGTGAGCTTGTGTCAAAGGAGCTCCAGGTCATGCTCTGCCCGCAGAGTTCAAGAAATAAAATGTCACCCTAAGGAAAGGCAGGCAGGCTGTGAGAACATGGGCACGATCTGCAGGTATTTGAAGACTTGCCACGGCAAAGAGGAATTACACTTTGGCCAACCGCAGTGAGAGACTGTGGCTGCTCTCCAAATGACCTGAGGGTGGGGGAGCAGCATTTCCCAAACTTGACACCCCTGGGTAACAACTTTTGTTGAAGAGAGTGTCTTACCTTGCGGGGATGTTGGGCAATGGAAAGAAAATAAAAAAAACCCCAAAGTCAAATTCTTCTTTTAGACTTGATACTGTTTGGTTAGTTTAAGTCCATGGTGTTCCGTCTGTGAGCTTTGGCCCCAGGTTAGTCACGTCCATCTTCTGTCCTACTTGGGTGTCATCGCCACATCCCCTGTGCCTTATCTGTACTCAGTCTCGCACCTCTGCAGGGCATCTACCCTCTGGTGCTGGAGTGTCCACGCACTGTCCCATCTTAACGTGCATAGCTGCCCTGAATATGCCCCTGTGTTTCTTCTGCTTTTTCCTCCTTTCTTACATGTAATACATTTGCATGGATAATTACTTCATGATGCTAACTTTGGTTTGCCCTCTGTTCCTCCCCACCTCCACCCCATACATCCTTCATAAATTTTCTTTGATCATATTAAGGCGGCGGTCCCCAGGGACCGGTTTTGTGGAAGACGATTTTTCCACAGACCAGCGGTGTTGGTGGGGGCAGGGATGGTTTTAGGGTGAAACTGATCTGCCTCAGATTATCAGGCGTTAGTTAGATTCTCATCCCGTAAGGAGTGCACAACCTGGATTCCTCGCATGCACAATTCACAGTAGGGTTCACAGTCCTGTGAGAATCTAATGCCGCTGCTGATCTGACAGGAGGCTGAACTCAGGTGTTAATGACCACTTGCCTGCTGCTCACCTCCCACTGTGCAGCCCAGCTCCTAACAAGCCACAGATCAGTACTGGTCCGCAGCCCACACATTGGTGACCCCTGTATTAAGGGATCTTTTACTCCACCTACCCAAGAATGAAAAGGTGCTTCCCGGACTCTACTCTTTCTTATCAGGGCAGCAGGCATGTGGACCCACAGTACAGTTCGTCATTTCAGACAGAGGAACATGCTGCACGTGGATGAGGCAGTTCTGTTTTTATCCCTGGTTTTTATACCTGAAACTGTGTCACATTTTATGTGCATAGTGGTTGTCCTCTGAGATTCCACCTGCAAGTTGCCATTGAAACTCCTACTTCTGCTTCTGACTTGCAGCAGCTCTGGGAAGCTGTGGCTTTCATACTTCCCCTGCTGGCCCTATGGCTCGCCCATTCCCACAAGTACCCAGATGATTGTCTTTGTCAAAAACAAGAGTAGGGAAACAGATACCAATGGCAACAGCTTCTGTTCACCAAGTGCTTATAGAAGTTGAATACTTCACACGTGGATTCTCACTCCGGCTTCCCAGTTAGAGAAGATGCATGTAGTAAAATGCTTTCATTACATACAGGAGAAAACTGAAGATAGAGTGCTCCAAGAATTTCCCAAGGCCACACATAGGATAAGGACCCCAGGAGATGTGTTGGGCCCCTCCTTCCATACCCCACCTCCAGACGGACACCGATTTTAGCCTGGGTTCAAACTGCATCAGCTTGTACCCCACTGGGGAGCACAGAGAGGTTGCAGCTGGAACAATTCCCAGCTTAGGGCCCTGATCCTACTTTCGACTTAACTGGAGGCTTGGTCCTTTCCGAGGGTCCACCACCCCAGCCAGGTCCTCTAGGCATCCTCTGTGGCGGGGTCTCCCTTTCCAGGTAGTGAGGAGGGGCCTTTTCATCTCAAAAGCTAGCTTTTCAAGGGGATTTCTTCCAGCAGAGCTGTGGGGCCCATAGAGGCTTGTGGGAGGCTTCCCACATCTTAATCACTCGGGTTTTCACCACAGAACTCCATGTCCCTTCCTAGTCATCCTTCTGTGTGGATCCTGGTCCATGAGCCGGGCCCTGTACACACCTGCAGCCCACTTGTGGGCTGAGTTCAGGTCCTCTTCCACCCAGCCCTCTGGCCTGCAGATCCCCTGGGCACCTCTCAGCACTAGAGATGGCCAGCAATAGCTCTGATGGCCTCCAGGGGGCAGCCTTGCCTAACCCTGTGGCTGCCAGACCTGCTTCTGTTTCTCAGTAGAATCCAGACTGCTGTGAACTTCCATAGGACACAACTCTCTTGCTGCTGGGCAAAGATTTATCTTTTTATTATAAATTTGCAGCATGCCCAGAAGTACAATTTTTCCTCTTAGGAGTTTATGGTAAGAATTTTATAGGCATCCTAGAGGTTTTTTCTCGTTGCTTTATTCAGGGATATTTTAGGCATCATGTACACCATTTTAAAAACTTAAAAACAGACTTTCCTTGAGTGATGTTTCATTATGATGTGTGCCCATTCATCCCCAGTTGATATTAGAAGTGACCTTTATCTAAGACTTTTTTCTCCAAATTGAATGAGAATATTTCCTGTAGGACCAGACAGAAAAATTCCGAAGGGGCAAATATTTTAAATGGTTAAAATGTAGCCTTGCTCCTTCTGCCTCATTTAGTTTGGTCCTTTTTTAATGTCATGATCCCAGGATCAGTTCCTTCACGGTCTCCTCAGTACCCGCGCTGGTTTCACCAGCCAGCGGGAGGATGAGCACATCCAGTGTGCGGTAAAATATCCAGGATGTTGCGGGGAATACGCTAGTTTTTGGGTTTTTTTTTTTTTAACTACCAGGTGGAAGGGAAAACGTTTGACCCCTAAAGATTCATGGCGCTTCCCCTAGAATTGAGAGGAAGTGATTTCTATAGACTCTAACAGACTAATTCTAGCACGTTTTCCTCATACTGTACTATTTTTAGGAGTAAAAAGATTTAAATGTGGGATGATGTTAAGTTTACTAGACCAAGTGACATATTTTGAACAATTGGTAGGAACCCGAATGTGTTTTGAAAAATATCTAGAGAAGGAAGATTTTAAAACTGTGATCTTTCTTATTATTAGAAGAGTTTTTCTTAGAACAAAAACAGTAACAGTGGCTAGCATTTACTTATTTCTTCACTCTGCATTGTCTTCTCATTGAAACTTCTAAGCAACTTTTTTTTTTTTTTTTTTTTTGAGACTGAGTCGCCCAGGCTGGAGTGCAGTGGCATGATCTCAGTTCACTGCACCCTCTGCCTCCCAATTCAAGCGATTCTCCTGCCTCAGCCTCCCAAGTAGCTGGGACTACATGTGTGTGCCACCACGCCCAGCTATTTTTTTGTATTTTTAGTAGAGACAGGGTTTCACTATATTGGCCAGGCTGGTCTCAAACTCCTGACCTCAGGTGATCTGCCCGCCTCGACCTCTGAGTGCTGGGAAATACAGGCGTGAACCACCACACCCAGCCCCAAGCAACTTTTTGAGGCAGGCATTATTACCATGCCCATTTTATAGATGAGAAAACAGAGCTGGATCCAGGTAACTTGTCAAAGTTACACCCTAGGAAGTGTTAAGTCAGTGCTTGAACGCAAGCAGTCTGGCTTTGCAACCTACACTCTTAGTCATTATTGTCTATTACCTCCTATGAGAAGTGTTTGATTTGAATGATCGTTTATGGAAGAAGCACTAATAGTAACTCTTAGGCTGTTGCAGTGGAGTTGCATAGAAGCACAGCTATGTATCGTGCATCCGGCCAGTTCTGAGTCATTTTTCATCTTCTCTTCACCGGAGTGTAAAAATGAGACTTGGTAAAATCGTTTTGTATCTTAAGTGTTATTTTTGGTAGTATTTGCTGGAGAAGAGGAATTTTGCAGAGGTCCCCACCCAAATGGCCAGCCTGCCCCCCTTCCTGTACCACGAGTTGGGTCCTTGAGTGAGGCCTCACAGTGAGTCAGGGGACAGGCTGCTGATCTCCCAGTTCAGGGCCCAGACATCCCCGAGCTTCGGCTGGCAGGGCTTCAGGGAGAGGGCCCAGCGGTGCTGGGGGCCTGACCCCTACTGTCTGAGCAGGGCTGGGAGGGTGGTTGGGACACCTGTATTTCAGGGCCCTGTTACGAGGTGTGTCCTGTCCAGGGTATGTGGATTCTCTTCTGCTGTCTTGATTAATTTTGTTCTGTTTTGCTGATTTTGCTGTTTTTCTAGTAGGCTTTTTTTAAAAAAGCGTTTTTGTTTTCTCAACAGATTTAAAAGAAGAGATATTAATTTCTATTAGTGGCATAAGAACCTAGCTAAAGGGGAGTGCAGCTACAGCCAGAGGCCTCCATTGGCTCCTGCCAGCAGGGGACCTGGTTTCTCAGTGCCCAGAAGGGCAGCTTGTCACTGAGTGACCCGGACGCCCTCCTGCTGCGCTGCAGGTTCAATATTTGGGTCAGAGTTGGCTCCTTTACCTTTATTTTCAGCTACATTTCTTCCAATTTGATTGGAGTGAGAGAAGAGCAATGGGCTGCAGGATTGTAGAGTGTCAGCTGTTTTCTGAGGACCTTTTTCAGATGTACATTTGCTTAAATCATTCACTTCTGCTCCAAGTTTGAACATAAAGTGCAGAGGCAGCACCGTTGGTAGCGTCTTGGCAGTGGGACAGAGTAATAAGCTAACTATGCAGAGTCCCCTGTTGATTCCTTAAGTGTTCTCCATTTTTTGTCCATTGATTAGTACTATAGTTATCACAGGCAGGGGACCCGGGAATACTCCATTTCCTAGGTCCCATTGGACAGTGACAAGGGTGAGGGCAGCTTCAGTGAAGCAAATGTATTCAGGCAGAAGATACAGTTGAGATTTTTGAGAGAAAGGAGTGAAATAAATGGTTTATTTTCTTTGTGAGCAGAATCAGTGCAGTTGCACAGCACCGCTTTTTCATCAGCGTCCAACTGAGGAGAGGAAGTTGGAAGGTGGGAGGCTGCAGTGGCTCCGTGCGACTCAAAGGGTTTGCTTTGGGAGTGAGTGGGCACCCTCTGTGTGTGGCCAGTTGCTCACCCCACCCCACCACCTGCATGTGGAAGGCAGGTTACCATCTTAAGTAGAAATGTCCATGGATTGGATAATGTCATGGATGTTTTTGATTAAATATTTTGACTCTTTCATGAAACATTACAGCCTTGTTCTGGTAAATGGTTAGTTATAGCTCAGCGCAGCCAAGTTGGCACATACTTGGTTTGTTAGAGCAAATCTTGCCTGTTCAGTTAATTTAAGTCCATCCTTATAACCAGGGTAATAATTTTGTCCAGAGCGTTGCTGTTGACGTGAAGCCCTCTGCTGTGTCCTCTTTCATCTGCTCCTCGTAGTGACGCCTTTAGGTGGCATTGATATTCCTAGGATCCCTGTTTTAGCAAACTGAGTCTCTGAGAAATTTAAGTGATCTTTTAGGTCACACAGCTAATGCTTTGTAAAGCATTTCCTAAATCCAGATCGCCTTACTCTAAATCTTATAATACTGTTACTACTATGCCATGTGACTTGGCAACTTGGAATGTTTTTCATGGGAAATGTTAGTGCAAATTGGAAGAGTCCTTCATGCTATGATCTTTCCTATTTATAAATGCAACTGCCATGTTCATGAGAATTTAGAGGAAAACAAAAGAACAAGAAAGCATCTTATTGATGATAAAGCCTTTATAGATGGTGCAGAGCATCAGTTCAGATTTGATGAATTGGTGCGTGGCATTTTCATGTGGAATTAAATACTGATGCCAACTGTGGCTCAGTATTCTTTCTGATACCAGCTTTTGGGCATAGTACTTCATCACCTGGGGCTTCTCTTCCTTAATGTATAAAATGAAAATTTTGAACTAGCTTATCTCTAAAACTCCATTGATTAAAATTCTTGAACTGTATGAAATTTGATAACTTAGACACAAAAAATAGGTAGATAATATGAGAAAAGTTAACAAATGTTTTATTTACTTTAATATTTTCAGTAAAATTAATTCTTAGGACCCTGGGTAACAGGATTGAAAAATAACTTCTTTGCCAGCACTTTTCTTATTTTAAAATTGGCCTGCTATATTTTAAATGTGTACTGACCTGCAAATAACAATAAAAGTATATTTTATGTATGTAAATATTGCTCAGTGAACAAATTGTAGTATGGAATTGATACTAAGATTTTCTGTGTTAAAAATGGAAGTCAGTTTCCCTATGCATATTTCAGAGAAACAAAGTCATCTGGTAATAGTGTGTTTTTGAAGATATGTTTGACAGCAAAAGAACACTTAAAAGCTTAGCTTGGATTTGCCATCATTAGTAATTAGGGAATTGGAAATTGAAACCATAGTGAGATATACCACTCATTTAGAATGGCTTAAGTTAAAAAGACTGACCACATCAGTTATTGGTGAGGAAGTGGAGGAATTGAAACTCTCATACGCTGCTGGTGGGAAGGTAAAAATGATACACCACTTTGGAAAAGCTTGGCAGTTTCTTAAGTTAAGCATACACCTGCCATATGATCCAGCCATTCTACACCTAGGTATTTATCTAAAAGGAAGGAAATCATAAGTTCATACAGAGGTTGTGCCCAAATGTTTACAGCAGCTTTATTTGTAGTGGCTCCAAACTGGAAATAACCGAGATGCCCACCAGCAGATGAAGGGATCAATTGTGGTTTCACACATGCAGGGACTGCTATTCGACAGTGGAAAGGAACGAACCCTTGATACACACAGTAGTATGGATAAATCTCAGGGTAATTATGCTGAATGAAAGAAGCTGGACAGAAAAAAAAAGAGTACATACTGTCCCATTCCAGTTCTAGAAATTATTTTAGAAAATGCAAGGTAATCTCCAGTGGCTGAGAGCAGGTGAGTGCCAGGGAGGGAGCATGACAGAGGGCATCAGCCAGCTTTGAGGTGAGGGAGAGGCTCACGGTGAAGTGGGTATAGACAAATGTCAGAACTCACATTGGACACTTTACATTTGTGCAGCTTATAGTATGTCAGTTAGTCCTCAGTAAAGCCGTTTTGTAAAAAGCTTGGCTTGGAAACAGAAGACCACATGCACACACAGTTTCTTTCTGCAAGTGCAGTTTTGACTTATGAGTCTTGAGGCAGCAGGCGTTGCACAGGGTATCAAGCGGGAGGTCCCGACTTGCCCCATCTCACCAGCTGAGCCGGCTGTCCCCACTAGACATACAGAAGATGCGTGAGCTGACTCTTAGTCCCTGAGGAGGCTGAAAGCATTTTCTCTACATACAAGCCACCAGGGCCCATTTAATGTAATTAATTGTCTTTTTCAGTTCCGTGAATAGTACCCCAGAGATCTGCAGGAGTTAATGGACTTTCAGGAAGTAGGCTCTGCTCCCTGGCTCCCACCTGGCCCAAAGTCATTCTTGCCACTCTCATTCCAGGGTGTCTTTACTCATCTAGGTCTCCAGCAGCCTGTTTTATGGTGGTGGCAGTGGAGGTGTCTGCATCTTTTCAGCATGCACACTCTTTCCGTTGAAGGCCCGAACTGTTGGCAGCCTGATTGTGGGGCCTGGGCTCGTGCCGTCACCTCCCTAGCTCCACACCCTGGTCCCTGGCCAGGCTCGGTGGTGAATTCCTCTCATCACATTGTGCACTTCCTTCTGTGTGCTTCCGGGGGAAATCGGTGGTTTAATAATGAAAAATTGAAATACAAGTGTCCACCTGCTAAGTAAGAGCCCGAGACATATCAGCAGATGTTTCTGCGAACTGAGGGTCTTTTCTTATTTCCACTGCAGTCTGGATTGAGCCTCGGGAGAATGGGAAAGAGCAGCTTCCCTTCCCTTTCCTTTTTCTCTTTTGTGACAGTGCTGCCCGCCGTTCGCCTGTTTATTTTCCTCCCTGCGGCGGTGGCATGCTGCTTTTGTTGTGCATGTGTTCCGCTGGCAGTGGGACTGGATGCCCCTCCCTCCCGTCCTTCCTTCCTTCCCTCCGGGAGTGGTCTGTCACCAGTCCCCTCCCAGGGCAAGTCACACACCGTCTCCACTGGGGCCCCTTGGACACCGGGCGGCCCACCTGGTGGTGCAGCCAGGCCGGCCGGCCTCACCCCCCTCTCCCCTTCCCCAGCTGTGGACGTGGCTGGAGGAGCTGCAGAAGGAGCTGCTGGACGACGTGTATGCCGAGTCGGTGGAGGCCGTGCAGGACCTCATCAAGCGCTTTGGCCAGCAGCAGCAGACCACCCTGCAGGTGACTGTCAACGTGATCAAGGAAGGGGAGGACCTCATCCAGCAGCTCAGGTGGGCCTCACCCCTCTCCTGGTCCGAACAGATTCTGAAACCCTGCCTGTGACTCCCCTTCCCCTTTTACTCTTGTGAGTGGTCAGCTCTGCTTCTCTGTCCAGCTGAGTGCAGAGCTAGTAGTGTCTGTGAAGGCAAAGGAGAGAGAAACGGCTCTCTTCTCTCTTTTCCTTTCCCCTCCCTTCTCTCCCTCCTTACAGTTTTAACTTCATAATAGTTTTCATTATAACATCGACTAATAAACCACATAATTTAATTTTAATATTTTCTCTTAACATCCAACTAGTAATTATTGACACTTCTTTATAAACCAGATTAATGTGAGCTTCCAAGGATTGCGCCCTCAGGCTGATCTAGAGCACAGCAGTATTCACCTCCCAACGTCCAGATTCAGTCAGGCCTGCATGGGGCGGACACCCACCCCCAAGTGCTCTTCAAAGCAGGATATGGAGGCAGAGCCAGGATTGGTTTTGTTTCCTCTGGAAGCAAATTTTTTTTATTGGGTCAGGGGGACCATTTAACCCCCTACTGTATCACTCAGGAAAATTTATCAAATCGTTGACTGATAACTTTACGTGACGTTCACTTTGCTGAGAGAGGCAGGCAGCAGTTACTTAATAAAGGCTTAATTGATTGCATTAAAGGTTAACCTCTCGTGTCCAATATGACTCTGTCATTTATACTAACCAGGTATCATCCATTTTTTACTTAAGAAGAAAAGTGGCTAAAAATACAACTCTAAAGTAATTTTCTATAATTATTAGCCTTCTTACCAAGTGATTTCAGAAAATGCCAGAGAAATTCTTCAATGTATCCTCAGATTCAGCAGGATTGCCCCGAGGAGGAAGCCTAATATTGTTTTGCAGGAGAGCAGCCCGTTCCATTTTCTGAGACAAGCAGTGCAGCTTCCTGCCAGCTTTCTTCCCCTGAAGATTTGCGTGGCCGGATCTGGTATCTAACAATGTGTGACTTTCTCATCCAATTCCTGTTCCTCTGTGTGCTCTCGCAGGGACTCTGCCATCTCCAGTAACAAGACCCCCCACAACAGCTCCATCAACCACATTGAGACGGTGCTGCAGCAGCTGGACGAGGCGCAGTCGCAGATGGAGGAGCTCTTCCAGGAGCGCAAGATCAAGCTGGAGCTCTTCCTGCAGCTGCGCATCTTCGAGAGGGACGCCATCGACGTGAGTGTCCCGCGGCTGGCGCCTGCCTGCCTGTGGGAGCCCTTGGCTTCCTCCACAGCACCGGCGCCCTCTTGTCTCTGCCCTGCTGAGGTCCTGTGTCCTCACCCACACCCCAACCCTCTGCACCAGGAGGGGGTGTGGGAGGGAGAGAGGGTCCCTGGAGGCTGGAATTGGATCATCCCTGGGAGGCTGGGGTATGCTCAGCCCTGGACCCTAATGTTGGAAACTATAGAGCAGGCAGCTCGCGTGGCAGGAGCAGAGCACAGCAAGCGCTGAGCGGAACAGAAGGAAGCCAGCACAGCTTTCTCTCGGCCTTGGGGTGTTAAAACCTCGATTGGGTTGCACACAGCACTCCCTTGTCCTCAGCTTAGGCACAGGCATCAGCTTCAGGCAGCAAGTCTTCCTCTCTTCCTCCCTGTCGTCTTCTCATCCTTCCCACTCTCCTCCTGTCCTCACCCTCCCCTTTTCTCTCTCTCTCCACCTTCTCTCTCTCCTACCTTTTCTCTTCCTTGCTTCCTCCCTTTCTCTTTCCATCTTTCTCTCTCTTGCCCTTCTCTCTTCTAGAGTGGGAATAATCCTGACTTGTGGTCGTAGCATTTTAGGTAACAAAAAACACAATTTCCCCCCACAAAGAGGTGTTCTTAGATTATCCATGATTCTTACCTAAACGTGGACTTTTGCATCTTATATGTGAACAGGAGAAAGAATTTACAGGTGTCTTTTATCTTTCTTCAACAAAAAGAGAGTGGTTCTGGGTTCTGTGCTTAGGAGGAGCTCTCTTTTTTGATACCATGCGAGCAGAAGTCAGTCCAATCACATGAGCACGAATTTACCTGGGAACGTGACGTAAGGAGCCTAAGCTCCCCTCAGTGGTGAGCCTGCTCTCCTGGAGTCTAGCCGCTTCTTACAGCTGGTGGCTGTGACAGCCCGAAGGCCTCCTCCACATACCTCTGGGCTGCCCTGTGGGTCCTCTGTGATGGACACCTGTAGAGCACACCCTCTCAATATTTATTTCTTGTCTCTGGTTTAGAATTCATCAGCAGTCCTTGGCACTCAGGCTGGGGATGGCAGGGCTGTGCGTAGCCTGCCCTCAGTCACCTCGGTACAGGAGGGACCTTCTGCCCATAGTGGGCCGTGTGGCTTCCCCTGGGCCTGTCTATAGGCCTGCCCTGGGGAGTGGTTTTGGTTTGTGGTGCAAGGGCCAGACCAGCCCTGCGCAGGACTCTCCTGGATGCCTTTGCTTGGCCACTTGTCTAAGTCTCCGGCACTGTTTTCGTTAACAACAGACCTTCTTGGCTCTGCTCATTCTCATCATTAGTGAATAACAAGAAAGGAGTCAAACCCTAAACATGTGGCATGGTGAAACCTGTTCAGATGCTCTCAAAGTCTTGACATTTAGATCCACATGGAGCCATGTGGAGAAGAGGCACCTGCACGCCGACCTCTGCCCCGTGAGGGCCTGCCATGTCCTCCCCAAGGTAGCAGCACAGAATAAACGGGAGGCCAGCCACGCCTACTTTCCTCTCTGACTTCAAAGGACTCGCTTTTGTAAAACTTAGCTGCATATTGAATATTTTCAACTAGAAAACACAAACCAACCAGAAGCATTAGTTGCAGTTTTTCTTCCAGGACATTTTGATACTTGAAAAAAAAAATCGATTCGTTTATCTTAATACTATAAAGAGAAAAAAATTTTTAATATTTAAAAAATTGTATTTATCGTAAGTATATGAAAGTACTTCCGCTTTCATTGAACCAGATTAGGAAACAAAAACATACATTTTTCCCCCAACAAAGCCACGAAATTACAAGTGCCCTAGTTAGAGCCAGTGTGCCACAGCCTGGGGGAGCTCATCCTGAGCAGAGGAAGCTGTACCTGCAGCCCAGTCTCAGGCCAGCTTCAGATATGGTTCAGAAGCTGTTAGAAGATCACAGCCTGAGAACCTCTGTTCTCTTTAATCCTGAAAAATGAAAATCTGAGCAGTTCAGGCTTTGGCCAGGTTTCCTCTGTTATCCAGGAAGATGCCACATCTGACGGCCCATAGGAGTATGGAGTTATGTCGATGGTAGAATTGATCTGTTACCCGGTTAATTTATTTTAAGTCCCTCATATCTCTTGTGTTTCAATTGGAGTAGCGTCTCCATCTCAGATGTGGATGGAGGTCCAGTGTGGACAGTCCTCCTGTGGAGAAGGTGCATAGGATCCACGGAAAATGTCACTCCACTGAAGTGGGTGGTGTCGTCATCTCTCGCAAGAAGCTTTTCCTGCTTTTTAGATTTTATAATCTTTTTAAAGTTTATTATGGCCAGACGTGGTGGCTCACGCCTATAATCCTAGCACTTTGGGAGGCCAAGGTGGGCAGATCACCTGAGGTCAGGAGTTCGAGACCAGCCTGGTCAACATGGTGAAACCCCATCTCTACTAAAAATACAAAAATTAGGCGTGGTGGCGTGCACCTGTACTCCCAGCTACTTGGGAGACTGAGACAGGAGAATTGCTTGAACCCCAGAGGCAGAGGTTGCCATGAGGGGAGATTGCACCATTGCACTCCAGCCTGGGTGACAAGAGTGGAACTCCATCTCTGAATGAATGAATGTCTTCAAAGCTATACCGAAGCACAGAGGACAGTACAGTGGAACTACCGTGTGCCTGTCCCACAGATTCAGCATGATTTTGCCAGACTGGTTAAGCTTCTTTGGTTATGGCTGTGCTATAGTATTTTAGAGAAAATCATTGCCAGTTTATTCTTTCACTCCTAATGGTTTTTCTAAAAGATGAGGCCATTTTCTTACATCCCCTCAATCAACTAAACATCTCCCCAATTTGACAGTCATTTCTTATTGTCATCGACTCCCAGCGTGTTCGGATTGATGTGGGTGCCTCAATTAGGAGGCATGTGAGGTTGGCTCTTGTGTTTAATGGTCAGTTTCTTAATCTAGAATTGTCTCTCCTTTGTCCTCCTCCTCTTCTTTTCATGCCATCATTTGCTGAAATAACTAGATTGGTTGTCAAAGGAACCAGATCCCACATTCAGTGTTTGTTCACTTGTATTATTTTAGATTGTGTAACTTTTAGTTTCCCTGGCGTTTCCTCTAAACTTAGAAGTTAGATGCAAAGACCTGATTCTGGTTCTGTTTTTGTGCACGAGTCTTTGCGAGGTGGTGCATCGTAGTTCCCCATGCGAAGGCTGGGCCTGTCTAATCCCACTTCCCTCGGGACCCTGAGGCCGGTTCAGGCACCATTATGCTGAGCCTTCTGTGGTTAAGTCCCCTCAGCCTTTTTCTCACGACAGTTTACTATGCGCTGATGATCATTGCTTATGAGAATGTGAAAACAATTTTCAATTTTATTATTCTTTCTGCATTTAATAGCTAGATTCATCTATAAAGAGGAATTCTTCATTATGAAATGTTCTTTTATCTTTTAATTAAGCACCAATATTTAGGATAATGATTGGTTTTCTATCTACTTTTTTTTTTTTTTTTTGAGACAGGGTCTCACTCTTGCCCATGCTGGAGTGTAATGGTGCCATCTCAGCTTACTGCAACCTCTGCCTCCCAGGTTCAAGCGATCCTCCTACCTCAGCCTCCCAAGTAGCTGGGACTACAGGCACATGCCACCACGCCCAGCTAATTTTTGTATTTTTTGGTAGAGATGGGGTTTTGCCATGTTGACCAAGCTGTTCTTGAACTCCTGACCTCAAGTGATCCGCCCACCTTGGCCTCCCAAAGTGCTGGGATTATAGGCGTGAGCCACCACCCCCAGCCGATTTACTGTCTACTTCTAGTGGAGACCAAATACTTTTTCTTTTCTTTCTTTTTGACTTTTAGCTTCTCTTACTATTTTTGAACACCATTAGGAATATTACTGGATTTTTGTATATACGGTATATTTTACACAGTTTTGGTAATTTTTCTCTTTGGATACACAAAGAGAAAAATTATTTATCTTCTCTTTCGGTATCTGTGGCCATTGGGAACCCCTTCATCTGGCTTCTGTGTCCATTTATTTATTTATGTTTAATTTGTTTAAACAGCTTTATTGAGGTGTGATTTGTATACCACCAAACTCATGCATCTTAAGTGTTTGACGTCTCTGTCCTTTGGCAGAGAGACATCTCTTCCTTCCTTACTTGGTACAGAGTGAGAGGTGGCTGCATGTATATTTTTTTTGTCTTGATCTTAAATACCTTCTTTCAGATTATCTCAGACCTCGAGTCTTGGAATGATGAGCTTTCTCAGCAAATGAATGACTTCGACACAGAAGATCTCACGATTGCAGAGCAGCGCCTCCAGCACCATGCAGACAAAGCCTTGACCATGAACAACTTGACTTTTGACGTCATCCACCAAGGGCAAGATCTTCTGCAGTATGTCAATGAGGTCCAGGCCTCTGGTAAGAGGGCTCACTCCATCTGTGTCCGTTGTGATTTCTTCATGTCGTCATGGCAATTCGGCTTATTTCAGTGGGATGACTGCAAATTTTGTTAGTTCCTATGATAAAGGTATTATAGATACCTGTTCTTTAAAAGAACGTTTGCATTTTTATGTAATACAGTCACATTTAACATGGTTAGAGTACTCACCCATGATATTCTCACATACTATTTTAAGTATCATGAACTTTAATTCTACACAATGATATGTTGTATCTCTGTAAATGAACTATAAATCCCAGGAAAACATTTTCACATTCTTTATTTTTTTAGTTTATGTTTTACCAGCAGATGTCACTATAGGTTCAGAAATGTATTAGAAACTTAGCAACAACCTGCATACTGCATTATTCATTTTACACAAATTAAATGCTTACCAAAGAGGAAACTGCAAGTAATGAGGATAACAACAAAAAAAACCCTGAAATTCGCTCATTTGTAAAGAATGCCACACTTTCCTAGTTATCAGTGTGGGAGTAGAAATGGATGGGATGTGGATGTGGATTGATTGCCTATACATCCTTTGACACACTTTGCCCTCCTTGAACTTGCCCTTCAGCATAATGGCTTGGCCCCCAGCTGGGCAGATCATTCACAAAAGCAGATTTTGTGCCATCCACCCTTTGAGAACAGAAGGTTGAAGTGCTAGCTGAATTCTAGGGTCTCCCTTTAATGTCCACAGGTGTGGAGCTGCTGTGTGATAGAGATGTAGACATGGCAACTCGGGTCCAGGACCTGCTGGAGTTTCTTCATGAAAAACAGCAGGAATTGGATTTAGCCGCAGAGCAGCATCGGAAACACCTGGAGCAGTGCGTGCAGCTGCGCCACCTGCAGGCAGAAGTGAAACAGGTGAGCAAACGACTGGATGCTTGGGGAGGCTGCGCTACAGATGCTTGATACCTCATCGACTTCCCGGAAATTCTGACCTGTAGCATTGGGAAGGATTGTGCCTGCTCAGAACACAGCTTTCCTGATATGTAAGATAATGCGCACATACACACACCCCCGCCCCCCGATTACAGCCATCCCTAATGTGTGAAAAGGGAGCCAGTGGCCAGGACAGCTGGCTGGCTGTTCACCCAGCACAGGCAGCACTTGAAGGTAACAGCCCTTGGCTTCTTTCAGTATTGATAGTCTGTCTCTTGCTTGAAACCCTGAGCATATTGCTTCTTATATGACTTTTTCTGCCCAGTACTGTTAGGATCTGGATTGTTTCTCAGACTCCAGATGCCTGGGGCATTTCTTTTGTTATCAGGATACTGTAATACCACATCCTGATGGCATGACAAAGTGAAAATGGGACATGGGGAAGGGATTGCTTTTGGCTCAGTGCCAGTGGGATTCTGTGCATGGATATGACATTTTATTAACTGGCTTGATGGAGGGAGAGAAAAGCTTATGGTGCCCTGAAAGATGCAGAGAAAGCAAACAGAAAGTAAGTTTGGTTGGAGGGGACTTAAGATGCCTCTGGACCATGAGCAGGAGGTGGTGCAGAAGTAGGTGGCACTCACATCAGAACAGGTAGACTCTTCAGTCAGAACTGTTGAAAAGAGCACCTTTCAGTCTCCCACATGCCATCTGCAGTGTGGGTATTTTTACATATAAATAAGTGTTGTGACCTGCTAACAAAGCCCTCCTTCTTGCCAAAACACAAAACAGTTTATTTAAGAAATAACGGAATAAATAAATGTATCCCTTAGGATTCACCTTTGCCTAAAACAGAGACTAAAAAATAGTGGCTTTGAAAAGGTGTTTTCCGCATGTGACAAGTCAGAATGTAGAAGAAGATTGCTGGTCTGCATTTAGTGGTCCCATGATACATTAGGCTGAGATCTTGGTGATGGCTGGCCTTTCCCTTCTGGTTGCCAAGTGGCTGTTGTAGCTCCAGCCATCACCTCCATATCCCAAATTATCAGGAAGGGGAACGCATAATGAGAAAGAGGCAGCCCCTCTATCAGAAAAGAAATATTTTCACAAACTTCCCCAGAGACTCCTGCTTTGCTTTCATTGGCTAGACTTGTACATTACTGTAGCCAAGCTGTAATAGGAGCTGAGAAGTGGTTTTATTGTTTAAGCCCTCTTCCAAAGTTGGGGTTTTACTTAGAAAACCCCAGACACAGAGTGGTTTTATTGTTTAAGCCCTCTCTCAAAGTTGGGGTTTTACTTAGTTGGAGTTTTTCTAAGTAAAGCCCCAACTTTGGGAGAGGGCTTAGACAATAAAAGTACTTCTGTGCTAAGTAAACGAGAGGGCAATAGGTATTATATAGGTTACTTGAGGTCACTGCCACACCTTACTATCCAGAAGACCTCCCACAATCTGTGGTTTCCACTGTTAGAATTTACTTCCTCTGAGTGTGTGTGCAGTTGAGAAGCTCATGGTTTGAACCTGATCATTGTAGCACAATGTTATTCATACCTTGGTTATTATGCCATTCAACACTGCAGTTAAGTTGGAAAAAGAGTTCGTGAAATAAATTAGTTCCCCCTTTTCAAGCATTTGCCAATTTTTCAGTCCTAAAAATGCTGGAAAGGAATGAAAAATATTTTTCTTGATTATCAGGGAATTCCTGGTGTCAGTAGGTTTTCTAAAATATGGCCCATAATCTGTTTTGACTTGTGGACTAATTATCAACAATCCACTGGACCCTCCACCTTTTCATTTCCCATTTGCTACTAAAAATAACAGAACTAATTAAAAAGATGCAGCACTTGCAGTCAGGTACCATGGAAGAACATCAGGCTGTTGCCTGGATTTTAGGATGATGAAGGCATCAGTGCCTCGTACCTGCCAGGAGCAACTGGACTATCTTGCACGCTTGTATCTCACCCCTGGTGGTCCACAGGATTCTCTGGGAAGTCCACTGCTTGGAGTTATCCTGTGTAATGTTTCAGGTGCTGGGTTGGATCCGCAACGGAGAGTCCATGTTAAATGCCGGACTTATCACAGCCAGCTCGTTACAAGAGGCAGAGCAGCTCCAGCGAGAGCACGAGCAGTTCCAGCATGCCATTGAGGTAAGGGCGCTGGGCCTGCCTGTGTGTTGGCTCTTTCATTCCTCAGGACAAACATCCTGAATCCCCCAACATGGCACTGACCATGGGAACCACATGGGGCTGGCTTGGTAAAGACGACTCAGAGGACCCAAATTGGCAACGCTTCTAAGTCTGCAGCTGATTACAGGAAAGGGAAACAGTGTGGTGCCACGGTGAGGTGAGGATCTGCATCCCAGCCAGGCAGCCTCACTGCAAGGATCCCAAAGGTCTCGGAGGCCAGGGGGTTCCTGTTGTTCTCCTGTTGTAGGAGCCCTGGCAAGATGCACTTTCTCTCATCTGGAATGGCTCAGAACCGAGGAGCCCACGTTGCAGTCTCAGCTGAGGTTTTCTAATCTTGCTGGTCTCTTAAGCACATTTCTGCTATGTTACCAACCTCAACCAAGCAGAGAGCTCAGCAAGACCAGGTGTATATCATGAATTCACTATCAGTCAGTAAACGATGCCGACAGCAAAACTCCTCAGATTCCTGCTTAAAAGCAGCCTTGTTCACCTTGACAAGGGTCACTGCCATGCCAGAACTGTCGCAAAATGACTCAGGCCAATTCCAGGCCTGATCCAATTAACTGTCAGCATGTGGACTAATTATTTTTATTTTTTGGTATGGGTAGGGCACATGGGTCATGGTTCTGATTGGTAGTGGTGAGGTAATGTCAAAGGAAAAAGAACATTTGATTACAGAAATGTTATCTCCTGCTCTGCTCACATACATGTTGTCAGCTAGAGAAGAAAGCTACAGAAGTTGCCACTAATTTATTCCCTGGATTAATTTATTGTCAACTGTTTGGTGCCATTGGACATGCATTAACACCTCTTCCTGAGGTGCAAACTCTGGGCATCTGTATACTGTGCCAAGGGATTTCTAGTAATTAAATTGCAGGTAATAAATCACTGTGTCTGGGTAAAGGATTAGAATATATTGTATATAGTGTTTTATGGGATCATTTGTACTTCTTCAGGCGAAATGAGAGGTTTTGCTATTGTTTAAAAAAAATCTGTCCTTAGAGACCTGTGCTCTCCCTGACCACACCCTCCCTTGGCTCTACGGCCTCACTGGAGAGAAGCTTACCTCTCAGCCCATCCTGGCTCTTCTAGTGAAGACAGCTGAGCAAAATCCTACTGCATTTGCCATGCCATTTGCATAGATTTATCAGATGGCATGGACCTCCAGAGAACACAGTTGTTTCATTCTTAGCTTTTTGATTTTTCTTTCCTTTTTAAAATCAATAGTTCTTGAAAACTTTTCACTGGAGTCCAGAGTTTAAGTTGCAAGTGAAAATAAAAAGCATTCACTCTGGCCACCTTTTCTCTGCTTGTTCATTTGCTTCCAGCAGCTATTATGAGAAGGATCAACAGGAATAATAAACTTGGAACATTTCAACCACTTCTTTGGCTGTTAAGGGTCTTTCCTGCTATTTCTCAGACTAAGAACCCTACAACCGAGACCCATTCTGGGAGGTCCTGATCAATTTCATCCTTCATTAGCTAATTTAAACATAGATCTAGTTGTTTCTCGGCATAAAACCTTTTTTGCTAAACTGTCTGCTGTGCTTTTAGAAGCATCCTAGTGAGTATTAACTGAAGGTATTTCCACAAAATCATGAAGAACAGAGTAACTGTAGCCATCCTGGTTCCTTTCTAGTCAGTGGGGACACTGACAAATAAGCCTTCCCTTTTGTTCTCTGTCTCTAGAAAACACATCAGAGCGCGCTGCAGGTGCAGCAGAAGGCAGAAGCCATGCTACAGGCCAACCACTACGACATGGACATGATCCGGGACTGCGCCGAGAAGGTGGCGTCTCACTGGCAACAGCTCATGCTCAAGATGGAAGATCGCCTCAAGCTCGTCAACGCCTCTGTCGCTTTCTACAAAACCTCAGAGCAGGTCAGGGGAGAGGTTCCCTTCCTTGAACTCCACTGATACTTTATTTTGAGCTTAATTTATTGGACAGCTCAATCATTGTTAACATGTTCATCGTTATTGAAACAATCAGTTGCCAGTCAAGCAGGGAAAAGGCATTCTGGAGTTAAAATTATTCCTGTGTACCTTAGATGTCAAAGGTAATAAGCTAGAAAGTAGCTGAGAAGACACCTCTCTTCTTGTCATTTAAACATAGGACCTGAAGCACATTAGAGAGAGACAGGATATTTGCTTTGGTTTTGTTCTCGCTCTGAAAAGTCTGCCTGCTTTTGACCCTGTAGTTGTTCTCCAGCCAGGTGGAGCCCATGGCTCCTTCTTATGGTCTTGATCCTCCTGACAGCATCTTCATCCCCAGAGCCCGACTGAAAGGGCTTTCCAGGGATACCAGTCGGCAGTGGCAGATGCCAAGTCTGAGCCTCAAACTTTTCCTGCTCACAGGTCTGCAGCGTCCTCGAGAGCCTGGAACAGGAGTACAAGAGAGAAGAAGACTGGTGTGGCGGGGCGGATAAGCTGGGCCCAAACTCTGAGACGGACCACGTGACGCCCATGATCAGCAAGCACCTGGAGCAGAAGGAGGCATTCCTGAAGGTAGGGGCAGCGCTGCGGGACAGTGCACCCATCAGAGGCTTCCTGCCTGCCAGGTGCGCGTGGCACAGTCATCGCTTCCCAAGGGAGCCTGCCCCACACCTCTTGCCTGCTGTGGAATGTAACGGGGCAGTGTCGCATCAGTGAGAAGTCAGCTGAAGAAAGAAAACCTTAAAATCCTTTTCATGTGCGATTGCCTTGTCTTTCTAGTTTTCACAGGGAAATAGCTAAAAATCTGTATGAGTAAGGATTGGTTGGAAGTCACAATACCAGGTGATGCTGGAGACAGAGTGATTGAGTGATTGATTAATTTGGTGAAAAACAATACCTATAGCTTAAAATAATCTTCCTTTGGAGACTCAGCCTCCTCATTCCCTTCATAGGGAATGAAGATTGCATCTCAGAAGAGGTGTAAGCACGGCATGGAGTAGACACAGTGCGAGCGCCACACGGCTTGTGGTGGCAGTTGCTGATACCTACTCAGGAAATGCTTCCGACAAGAGAAATGTGTCACATGCAGACCAGGCTGGGAGTTTTCTCTCTGAGAAGCTTTAATGAGGAATTTTTCAAGACTGCTTTTTCTTTTCTTTCTTTCTTTCTTTCTTTTTTTTTTTTTAATTCAGCGAAGGGGTCTCACTCTGTCACCCAGGCTGGAGTGCAGTAGTGCAGTCACAACTCTCTGAAGACTTGAACTTCCTGGGCTTAAGCGGTCCTCCCGCTTCAGCCTCTCTAGTAGCTGGGACTACAGTGCTCTGTCATATTTTTATAAATGTCACATTTAGTCATACATAGTCACAGACGTGCTTTGGAACAGTTAAATTTTTCAAAGTAGTTGAAACATTTAGCAACATTTGGTGCTGAATGTTCTGTGTTGCATTCTTGGGCCCTTACAGAATTTCTGAGGCTCTGCTTGTTATCACCACCCAGACCCATTAAAAGTAGGGGTGGTGGTCACTTTTCCTCCTTACCTTCTCATTGCTTCAGCGTTCTCACCTCTCTGACCACTTTCCTGTTACACTTAACACTTTCTGTGTTTTTTTCTGAAGTCCGTCATCTGACAGAGTTATTGTTTAGTCTGGGAGGATAAATTGTAACTCTTTGGAAATTATATCTGGTAACTTACTTTGTGCTCCCACCACAGTGATTTTCTTTTTAAGCAAGCTCCCGGGGTGAAAAAACCATCACAGTTTCCACGGTCATTAGTTATAACTACGTCAACAGCTTTTTAAAGCCCCTGCCCCCAACATGTCCCTACTGCTTAAGTTTACCAAATGCTGACCGCTGTTAGGATTTCGAGGTGGAATCATTAGAATTTTCCCCTTTGTCCAGGATCTGTTTAGTATGAAAGAAAAATGAATGCCACTTAGTTCATATAATTAAGATAGCTATTTAGGTAAAATTACAAAACAAAAATACAGGCGGTCCTCAAGTTACGATGGTTTGACTTGTGATTTTTGGACTTGTTGGTGTCAGTGCGCTGTGCATTGAGTAGAACCTGTACATCAAATGCTATACAACCATTGATTTTCACTTTCAGTGCAGCATTCAATGAATTACATGGGATTATAAAATAGGTTTTGTTTTAGATGATTTTGCCCAACTGCAGGCCAGGGTAACTGTAGGCTTAAATTGAGCACTTTTAAGGTAACTAGGCTAAGTTAAACTGTGATGTTGAGTAGATTAGGTGCAATAAACTCATTTTTGACTTACGATTTTTTTGACTTACAATGGGTTTATCAGGATAAGTCAAGGAGCATCTGTAATCACAAGCCTTTTTGGATCCCTTTGTTCAACTAGAATTTTGTGGTGTTTGTGTATAGGATATTTAAGTACCTTTTTATTATGGGAATTTGAAGATATGTACAAAAGGAGAGAGAATGGATTCTCCTCCTATTTTACTCCTTACCCAACTTTTCTGATTATCAATGTATGGGCATATATCTACCTTCAGTGGATTATTTAAAATTCTAGATATATCATTTTATTTGTGAATTTAAACATTAAATTCTCCCTTTCAGAAATACAAATAAAATACCATTATCATATCTTTAAAATTATAGTAATTCTTTAATATTATCTGAAATCCAGCATTGTTAAAATTTTTTTGATTGTTCTGTAAATGTTTTTTTTTTTTTTTTGAGACAGGGTCTTGCCTTGTCAACCAAGCTGGAGTGCACTGGTGTGATCATAGTTCACTGCAGCTTTAGACTCCTGGGCTTAAGTGATCATCCCACCTCCGCCCCCCTAGGAGCTAGGACTACAGGCACTTGCCACCACACCTGGCTAATTTTTGTATTTTTTTGTAGTAATGGAGTCTCCTTATGTTGCCCAGCCTGGTCTCAAACTCCTGGGCTCAAGTGATCCTCCCACCTTGGCCTCCCAAAATATTGGGATTACAGGTGTGAGCCTCCACACCTGGCCTATAAATGTCTTTTTATACATGGTTTTAATTAAAATTCAAACAGGGTCCACATATTGATTTGGTTGGGTATGTCTTTTGAATCACTTTTAATCTAAACAATACTCCCTCCTTTCATTACTATTTATTAATTGAAGAAATACGTTCCTCGGATTGAGGCATTTCCCCCATTCCAGATTGGTAATTACATCCTGTGGGGTCATTTAGCACCATCCACAATTTGTAGATTTTTGTTAGGTTGTGAGCCTTGATCAGAGCTGGTTTGAAAGGCGGAGGGGGGGCGATGGTGGGGGAAGAAAGAGAGGCGGGGGTGTGAGAGAGAGAGAGAGAGAGAGAGTGCAGGCGAGCTTGGAAAACCTTGCCAGTGGTGCTTGTACTTCCTATGGGATTACTCAGGAGACACATAATGTCTAGTTCTCTCTTTTGTCTCTGTGATTGGTAAGAAGATTGATCAGTGGTTCAAGTACGGTCAGTGCAGTTCATCCCTCTGTACTTCCCATCAGCCTTTCAGCTAATGGTGTTAGTACCCAGTGGTAATAACTGTTTTTTAGGAATTGCAAAATGGTAATACTCTAATTCTATCATTTCCTTTGGCCTCGATTAGCTAGAATTATTCCCTCTCAGCTATTTGGTTATTCTAAAGTAGAGTTTGTCCAGAAAAGGCAGAGTAAATGCTTGCTTGATCCTTTTTATTTGCCATTTTCAGGATAATGAATTGTTGCTATAGCAACTTCTACATATGACTTTTTTTTAGTATCATCATGGATTTAAATATATTTGGTGTGTTTCAAAGCAGTCACTGTCATTTATCTTTTAACACGCAGCTCATCCTATCCATAGGAGCCCTTTCAAGGCAGGTTGCTTAGCTGTCCTTAGCCATCACCCTCGTAGTCTTCAGCGTCTTCCTTGTTGTTTGGTTTGACAGCGTATTAGTCCATTCTCATGCGCTGTGAAGAAATACCTGAGAATGGGTAATTTATAAAAGAAAGAGGTTTAGTTGACTCACAGTTCCATAGGACAGGGGAGGCCTCAGAAAACTTACAGTCACTGCAGAAGGGGAAGCAAACACGTCCTTCTTCACATGGCGCGGGAAGTAGAAGAATGAGAGAAGTACAGGGTGAGGCAGGGAAAAGCCCCTCACAAAACCATCACATCTTGTGAGAGCTCAGTTGCTGCACGAGAACAGCATGGGGGACCACCCCCATGATTCAGTCACCTCCCACGAGGTTTCTACCGCTGACATGTGGAGATTACAATTCGGATTACAATTCAAGATGACATTTGGGTGGGAACACAGAGCCAGGCCATATCAGACAACTCGAAATTTCACACGAATCAGTAGAGACTCATGATGTGTTTTTCTCTTAATTGAAAAAAAGGTAGCCTCGCTCCATCTACTGAAAAAGTCTGGAAACAGTGACCAACCCCAAAGCCCTGACCATCCCGAATGACTAGACTGTGGGCTCTAAATACCATTTAACACTAGAAGGAGATAGAGCTCCTTGAAGAAAAGATTAATTCCAGACCCAAGACAGGAAATGCACAAGATGTTTCCAATTCACATATAATTAAAGGGTTTTTTCCTTACCTTCTTTGATTTTATATTTGTATTCTTTTATCTAAAACCCTTATTTTAAAATATGTGAATGAAACTGGTTTGGTTTATCCTGCTGCATAAACATAAACACATATTGTCAGTTACCATAATAACATCACATAACAAAGTTTCAACCAGGGTTGGCAAGTTCTGAACTGAGGGCTAAGTTGGGCCACATTGATACAGTTTACCTGTCACCTGTGGCTGCTTTCATCTGTTGTTTGTTTGAGTAGTTGTGACGGAGAAACAGACTGTATGACCCCCCAAAACTGAAAGTGTTTACTGTCTACCCTACGTAGAAATCCAGGCACAGCCCAGCTGAGTTCTGCAGCTCAAGGTCACTCCTTAGGCTGTGATCCAGGGTCAGGCCAGGTGTGCAAACCTCTCTAGACTGGACGGAGACAGGGCTTCCCTTCCTCCGTGACCGTAAGCCAGGGGCTGCCCTCTGTTTCCTGCCCCATGGGCCTCTCTATAGGGCAGAATGTAGCAGCAGGTGTCATCAGAGCGAGGGCTTCAGGAGAGAGAGATTTTTTTTTAATTGAATTAGATTTTATCCTATGCATTTTCTAAACCAGCAGGTGGCCAGATAAATATTTTAGGTAAAGACATACGTTAGAGTGCAGTGATGTGTACTCCAAATACACGTTTGTAGAAGTCAAATTAGCAACACATTGCTCTCCATTGTTTTTTAGGCTTGCACCCTTGCTCGGAGGAATGCAGACGTCTTCCTGAAATACCTGCACAGGAACAGCGTGAACATGCCAGGAATGGTGACGCACATCAAAGCTCCTGAACAGCAAGTGAAAAGTGAGTAGAGCTGGGAGTCTCCAGGGGTGGCCCAGTGCATGCCTGGCAAGAGACAAAAGGAGCCTGCACGTTGTGTTCTGAACTCTCAACTTCAGTTTCATTTTAAATGTCCGTTTCATGTTAATGAAGTCCTTACTAATGATCTTAGTTTAATAATAAAAAGATTAAACAAATTTATAGGTTGATATTATATTGAATAGGTTGATAATTTATTGAATAAGTTGAAGAATATAAACAGGGAGAAAATGCAAATTCAGGATGATATTTACTGACATTGGCTATTTTGTTAAAGTAAGTAAAAAATAAATAGGGGGAAAGGGAAAACCAGAGTTATCTATAGGCAAAGGATTTTTAAAAGCTCAAATAGAGAAAATACATCCCAATTTTATCACTATAAAGTATTATTAATTTTGTATACCTAAGGCATAGTTAATAAAAACAAATTGAAAAATAATAATATATAGGTTATATCATTTGAGTGTAAAAACCTGTAAAACCGTGTTTGTGTGTGTGTGTGTAAGTGTTTAGAAAAAGGTCTGGGAAAACGTATACTAAATTGTAATAGGATTGATGTGGAAGGAAAATGGATAAAGAAACTAAGGCACAAAGCAAGTAACTTTGACCAGGGATACACAGCCTAAGTTTAGTTTTATAGGAAAAAAAATTGTGATAATCAGTTAGCAAATGATTCATCTCACACTTTTCAAAACAATATGATTGGCAAAAACTTTGTACATTACATTCTACTGTCTGCTCATCTGATTCATCTGTTAGTTGTCACAAAATAATTTTGTTACACCACTATAATTCTCTAAGTTCTTTCAGTAAAACATATTTATTGATGGGCTTTTTCTTCTGGAAAAATGTGCAACTCACAAAAGCAACCGTTTTTCTGCATGAATAAGTCTTCTGGGCCAGCAAGTTATTTGCATTGATAATTGGTTTATTTGGCTCATTTCCTGTAGAAATAAGTTCACCCATCTCTCAATATTGCTTTCATTTGTTGGTTGTGTCCTGTCTTTTCTGATTGAAGATATTGTGGTCCTTTTTAGGTTGCGCTAGTTTGACACACGTTTTTGTGTGAGAGGGAGACTGTGTTTCGTTTATTCCCTCGTTAGATCTTCATTATGCCTTTGCTGTTGTATATCCTAATGTTGGATGCTGTGAAGAATTAAAATAGAAGTGTTCTGTTTCCCTCAGAGCCTACTTGGGGGTGAAAGGTTTATTTATGCTCGAGTCAGTGCACTAAGTTCCTGTAAGAGTAATGGTGGCAGAAAAGACAGTCTAACCCCAAGGCACAGGCAAGGAGGAGTCTCAGACCACGTGGTCAGAGGACCCCCAGGAGCTTGAGGAAGCCCCGTATCCAAGAGGGCGCTTAGCACTGTTTGCTGCTCACTTGCCCGAAATTAGTACTGGCTCAGGCAGAGACTGTGGAAATAGGAGACTAGAAAAAATGCGTTATCTCATATTCATTTTCATGTGCAATATTTTCATGTAAGTGATAGCTTAATTTTTTAGCAGACTTCAGATTTCAAAGTTTTAATTTATCTCACTGTGCTAGTTTACCTCTTCAGTGGAGTAAAAATAACAGCATGACCACTGGTCCCTGGGGGATAGTTGGCAGTGTCTAAAGGCATTTTTTATTGTCATCAAAAATGATGACACCATATTGTCACCATAAGAATATGGTGGTATTTAGGGTGATAATGGTAGAGATGGAGAAAAGTCAATAAATTTGGGGTTCATTTTGGAGGTAGTATTGAGAGAGTCTGTTGTTAGGCTGGATGTAAATGCTGCTCTTCTGTTCTTACTTATCACAAAGTACAGACTGCTAGGAACTCAGTAAGTATTTGTGGAAAACTTCCTATATTAATGGTTTTCCAGTGTAATAAAGTTACCGGGAACCCTTTATTTGATTTGCAGTTTCAGTCTTGGGAATTTTTTTCTTAAGTTTTTTGTTTGTTTCATAAACTTCTAGAGCAAAACAGACTTAGTGTCAAAAACTCAAAAAGTGTACAAATACATATGTTAGCTAATTCCTTAGCTACTGGTAACCACTGTCAAGGCTTTTGTGCAACCTGTCTGTGCATGTAAATGTAAATATGTAGAGAAATACAAACATATATTTCACTCACCCATCCCACTTTTTAATTTGTTACAAAAATGGGACTATATTACCTTGCAACTTGCATCTTTCACTTAATAATATATCTTAGTCATCTTTCTGTGTCAGAATTTAAAGATCTGCTGTTCTTTTTAATACCCAGTATAGCATTTTTGAAGTTAATTTGACCTGTCTCTCAATTGATGGGTCATACATTGCTGCCTATTTTCCACTGTTCTAACCAGCGCTTCAGTGTTCCAACATCTTTGTACAAACAGTTTTGAATAGTTGTGTAAGCACTGTTCATCTGAAAGTTAAATTCCCAGTTCAAAGGAATGCATGCACCTTTTCAGTGTCATTCCCTGGGGTCATCATACTCAGTTTTTCTCCCTCCATAATAGAGGATCATGATTACCTGTTCCCTTACTCTTTCCAACACTGGATCTTACCCGTCTAGCAGGAAAGCAGTGAAAGATGGTCTCATTGTTTGAGGTTAAATGTGTTCCTGTATATTTAGTGACTGTATTTTTTAAATTGTGAACTTCGTATTTATAGGCTTTACTCATTCTTCTAAAGAATTGTTCATCGTTTTTCTGTTGACTATTCTATGTCATATGTTCCCAATGCTTAAAAATTTTTTGTCTGTGCACCAGTTTTTGGTGGTTCTTGTTTGGTTATGACATTTTAAATGTTTGTGTCATGAGGTTTGTTTTTTTTTTTCTTGCCTTTATAGCTTCATGCTTCTCTGCTTCCCCACTTCATGTCCTTTCCTCTCCTAAGGGGTTATGGTTTTGTATTTTTTTTTGTTTTTTTTTTTAGACGGAGTCTTGCCCTGTCGCCTAGGCTGGAGTGCAATGACATGATCTTGGCTCACTGCAGCCTCTGCCTCCCAGGTTCAAGGAAGTCTCCTGCCTCAGCCTCCCAAGTAGCTGGGACTACAGGCACCTGCCACCATGCCCTGCTAATTTTTGTATTTTTAGTAGAGACAGAGTTTCGCTATGTTGGCCAGGCTGGTCTCAGACTCCTGACCTCAGGTGATCCACCCATCCGCCTCAGCCTCCCAAAGTACTGGGATTACAGGCGTGAGCCACCGCGCCCAGCTTGGTTTTTCTTTTTTTTTAATCCACCCTTGTTGATTATTACTCCACTATTTTGACACAACCTTTAATCTGTATAAAAGTCCATCTACACAAGGTTTTAATAGTCTTGAAAAAAATGCTGATTTTTTTTCAGCCATTGTCGAATTGCATATTATAAAATTGTGCATTATGTCGAATTCATATTACAAAATACACATATCCCACGAATCCATCCAGCCGGAGGTATTACAGACTGACGTTAAATTTCCAGTGGTGTCTTTATCGTAAGATGGTCAAATGGAGGTGAGAGTGAGAAGAGGTCTGGTAGACATGCTCACTGAGACAGGAAAGCAGTGTGATTCTTTATTTATCGTGCTGTCTTGCAATGGCATTTGCATAAAAGTCTAAATAAAAATGAATGGAATTTCGCGGTTGTTTTAATTGATTGCAAGCACCAACATACATCATTTTCTTTTTTCTCTCAGATATCTTGAATGAACTCTTCCAACGGGAGAACAGGGTATTGCATTACTGGACCATGAGGAAGAGACGGCTGGACCAGTGTCAGCAGTACGTGGTCTTTGAGAGGAGTGCCAAGCAGGTCAGTGCACACCTGGTGCCCAGCCTCCCCCTAAACTCCCGTGCTCACACCTGTCTCCACAGAGAGGCTGAGCTTGACATTTCCGCCATCTTGAAAACCACTTTCTAATGACAAACAGTATAGCCTTCTAGTTAAGTTTGTTATAAAAAGAAAACCCCACAGCCTGGTAAAAGCATGTCACTCAGTGATTTTGACCCTCAGCAAGTGTGCCTTCCCCTACTGTCTTTACCTCATCTCTAAGACAGCAAAGTACAAGTAATAATGACAAGGATTATTTAAAAATTATTGGGGAATCTTGGTTCTGTACTTAGGTAAATATGATGGATTTTTTTTTATATTGATGTATTTATATTTTCAAGACAAAGTTTTTATTTTTCCGATTAATCAAGTTAAAATTAAGTAGGAAATGTGACAGAATATCTTTCTTTTTCTGTTTCTTTTTTTTTTTTGAGACAGAGTTTTGCTCTTGTTGTCCAGGCTGGAGTGCAATGGCACGGTCTCAGCTTACTGCAACCTCTGTCTCCCAGGTTCAAGTGATTCTCCTGCCTCAGCCTCCCAAGTAGCTGTGATTACAGGCGTCCACCACCACGCCTGGGTAATTTTTATATTTTCAGTGGAGATGAGGTTTCACCATGTTGGCCAGCCTGGTCTCGAACTCCTGACCTCAGGTGATCTGCCTACCTTGACCTCCCAAAGTGCTGGGATTACAGGCATGAGCCACCGCACCTGGCCCAGAATTTCTAATAATTTAGTATAGTCAAAAAGTGTTGATGTATCAAGGGGGTACATTTGGAGTATCCCCTTCTTAAGTCATTTTGGGATGAAGTGCTTCTGCCTGTATCATCAGTCATGGACGAAGATCATTTTATTGTAAAAATCTGACCCCGTCTTAAATATTAAGATTCCTGTCACTTCTGTTTTGCCTTAATGGTTGCTTAAGAATCCGTAAACTTTCATCCAGAATTTGGGGGGTCTGGAGGGAAGCACAGGGGAGAAGGTGATTCCCCCAGCGTCTGTGTGTGGCCCAGCCCTGGTCTGGGTGCCTTAAAGTCCCCCAGGGCAATTCTGTGATGACAGTTGGTGTTGACCCACATTCTGACCACGACACGGACCCATTTTCTGAATCCAGCTTGCAACCTCATATGCAGCTGATCCAGAGCAGGCATTGGATACATGCTTTTTAGCTGAAGAAAAATTAACTTTCTTAGCAGAGGTTTCCCACTTAAGGAACAGCTCTTGTTCCAATCTGAAAAATGTAAGTCTAGAAGGACGCAGCCCATGCTCAGAACTGCTCAGTTCCCAGAGTTAGATGAACTGGGTTCCTAGGCCAGGGATCTGGCGCCCCACCTTGGTCCTTCTCTCCTCCTGGTGACGTTCCAGGTGTAGCCAGCATGTTCCCAACAGCCAGGTGGCATGCAGTCACGTTTAGTAAATTATACTCTCTTAACATTTATTAGACAGTTTAACCATATTCAAGATCATCGGAGGCCTGGTTAGATTTCTAATTAGAGATGGTTTCAGGTTCTTTTCTCACATAACTTTATTATCTCTCTTGAAAGACAATCCCTCAGCTATAGAAAAGCAAAATTGTACATAATTTTGTTGGCAGAGAAAGATAATGGAATGTATTGTTGCATTTTCCTAAAGTCCGCTTATTCACCGAAAATAAAATCCTGAAGTGCGTGCTGTTGCAGGTGGTGCCCCATCTGCCTTCCAGCCGTTCTGCTTCTGTTCACTGTCACAATATGCAGCACATACCCAGTGCTTTCGCAGACCGGCCTCCAGGGCTCTTGCTGATCTTGCCTTGGCGCAGGCCCCTCCCGCCTGCTGGCCACCCACCCCAGGCCTCACTGCTCTCCTTCCTATCTCCCACTCTAGTCATTGCCTTTCTTGGCGCTCATTTTTGGCTTGTTCTTATCTCTCTTTCCTCTTCTGTCTTTTCTGTGCGCTGTCTCCCAGCCCAGGCCTCCATTTCTGGTCTCCGGATTCACAAATCCCAGTTACATCCTTGACATCACTCCACAGTGACTTTATGAGAAGCAGAACTGCACTCTCGGTTCCCTGTCTCCGTGTCCCTCTTGTCTTACGTGTTGTTAGAAACAACTAGGTGTGGTGTTCTCAGTTCCCTCTTCCCGGCGCCCCGCCTCCTCCTTCGCGCCCCGCCTCCTCCTTCGCGCCCCGCCTCCTCCTTCGCGCCCCGCCTCCTCCTTCGCTCCTCGCTCCTCGCTCCTCCCTCGCTCCTGCACCAGGTCCAGGAGGCGCAGACCTCTGGGTTTCTCAGCCCCATCCTGTCGTATCCCATCCCGCTTCCCACTGCTGCCCTGGCCATGTCCCCTTGCCCCTCTGCTCCAGGGCGCTCCCCAGGGCGGCTGACTCCCCTCTCTCTGCACTCTAGTCCCTTCCTGAAAAGGCTCATAGTAGTGGTTTCTTTCATTGTACTTTTATTATGCCTTTAGGTTCATGGTTACAAGAAACTCAAACTATTTTTTGTTTTTTTTGTGGGAGTGTAAATTAGTTCATTACGACAGTATGGCAGTTCCTCAAAGATCTAGAACCAGAAATACCATTTGACCTAGCAATCCCATTATTGGGTATATACCCAAAGAATTATAAATCATTCTACTATAAACTCATGCACACGTATGTTTATTGAAACACTATTCACAATAGCAAAGACTTGGAACCAACCCAAATGCCCATCAGCAATAGACTGGATAAAGAAAATGTGGCACATATACACCATGGAATACTAAGAAACTCAAACTTTTTATTGTTGCGACATAAGTGATACTGTTATAACCATCTAGAATATCCTTTTTAAAAATTTTGTAATTGTGGTCACACTTCAGTTTTATTTAAGAAACTTGCCTCTCTGGGAGGGAATGCTTCTCGATGCTGCCAGCCTTGGTTTGTGATTTGACCTTTAAATGAGGTGCTCGGGGCTTTGGGCTCCTCTCAGGAATGTGTAGCCCTCTGACTCCATTCATTCCTTCCCCTTCCAGGCTTTGGAATGGATCCATGACAATGGCGAGTTCTACCTTTCCACACACACCTCCACGGGCTCCAGTATACAGCACACCCAGGAGCTCCTGAAAGAGCACGAGGAGTTCCAGATAACTGCAAAGGTGGGTTCAGAGTGTACTTTGTATAGTGGCCTCTAAGTCGAAAGCGAGTCTTCAAAAATATCATAAAGAAATACCTCATGAGATTGGAGAAAAGGATGACCCAGTGGGCTGTTCCACATTAACTGGAGGATGCTTCCTCCTTCCGTTCACGTGTGTCCCTCCGTGTCCTCCACCTCCTCCCTTCATCTGTGTCCTTTGTCCCTCTGATGTCTGTGAATACGGCCATCTCTCTCCTTTTCTTCCTTGTCCTTCCCATTATTCCCTTCTACACTTTCCCCTTCCTGTTTACTTCTCTAAGATGTTTTCTGAGGACTTGCTATTTTTATGAAACACTATTTGGTGTCCCCAAGTTGACCTTTATGTATTCTTGGGGTGTTTTCTTTCCTACACCTGGGGGTGTTTCACCGTCTTTAGATGGTGAAAACTGTTACAGTCGTGTTGCTCACGCTCAGTTTAGTCTGCAGTTGTCTGTGTTTTATGGTTGGCAGAGTCTGTGTCATCGCCTCTGTTAGTGCTTGTTCAGAGGTGTCTAAAACTTGAGGCATTTTCATTTTTCTCCTGAAAATAAAAATAAAATTATGAAATCGAATTATCTTTATGGCATATGCCATATGTGTGAGTAAATATGGCTTTTTGAGGAAAAATATAAGAATCTGCATATTGACCTGAATGTTGTCCCAATTAAGGCTTATACCTGCAGAGGCTGAGTCCTTCCAAGAACTCACAACAGTTTTGAGGCTCTTTTCAAGTCACCATTACAACCTGTGGGGTTGTTGTTTTTCAGAGTCTGAGTATACGTCCTTTGTAGTATTTTCTGAAGTGCCTCTATTGTTGATGACAGATTTCGAGTTTTTGGAAAAATCTGACAATTATTTCAAATGTATAAGAGTGGGAAATAAATGATAAGTGGGATAATATTTTTGGTTAAAAAGAAGTGTTTCTATAAAGTAGCAAGATTGGTTATCTCCTGTGGCCCCTACCCTGGCTTTGAAAACATAACAGGAATTTTTCAATCATGTAGAGAGAGGACAGCTACTTTGTATTATATTTATTTGTCCATGTTTATGTTTTCTGTTACTGTTACTGACTCCTCCTGCTCTTCTTTGCCACTCTCTGCTCCTGGTCCCCAAAGCTCTCCTTTCCCTCGGCCCTGAGGTGCTGGGCTCTCTCCTTTTCCACGGCTCCTATCCTGGAGGCTCACACAGGCAAGCAGGGCTGCAGAGAGACCAGGCATGGGGGGCGCAGCAAGAAGACCCGGCCCAGGGTGGGGGTGTGGTGAGCACTGGGGGAGGGCAGGGCGCAGGACCAGGGGACAGTAGCTGCCCCCAGAGGCACAATGAGCTCTAAGGAGGGCCGCCCCACCCTCCCCTGCAGGGAGGGATCATGGCTTTTCCTCCTCCACATACACACCTGGCTGGACAGTTTTCACTTTTTGTTAATATTTAGATATTACATAATAGTTATGCACATTATATGATCCGTATTTAGGGGCGTGTGTGTGTCTGTGTGTGTGTTAGACATGGGATCTTGCTCTGTTACCCAGGCTGGAATACATAATAGTTATGCACATTATATGATCTGTATTTAGGGGCGTGTGTGTGTCTGTGTGTGTGTGAGACATGGGATCTTGCTCTGTTACCCAGGCTGGAATACATAATAGTTATGCACATTATATGATCCGTATTTAGGGGTGTGTGTGTGTCTGTGTGTGTGTTAGACATGGGAACTTGCTCTGTTACCCAGGCTGGAATGCAGTGGCACCATAATGGCTCAGTGCATCCTCAAACTTCTGAGCTCAAGGGATCGTCTTCAAACTCCTGAGCTCAAGGGAGGCTGAGGTGGGAGGATCGCTTGAGGCCAGGAGTTTGAGACCAGCTTGGGCAAGATGACAAGATCCTGTCTCTACAAAAAGAATTTTTTTTAATTAGTTGGGCATGGTGGTGTGTGCGCCTAAAGTCCCAAGCTATGTCTGCTTATTTGAATATTGTTTGATTATAAAGGTATTAAGAAAATGCCTAACATCACATACCACACTCAAAGCTAGATTTAAGATTTGCCATCTTTCACCTCTGCTCCACTCTGCAGGCCATTGTGTATGGCCAGACAGCCTGCTCACTGCCCAGCTCCAGGGGCCATGCATGGGGGATGTGATGTACACATGACTATTTGGAATTGAGTAACATGGTGGCCTGCTCCACTAATAAAGTGTATATGAAAGAATTTTTCCATTCCTGAATACTCCTTTTCCTCAAGTTTGATGTGTGGTTATTGAAAGATTGGGCAATGACAGGCTTATTTTTATTCTTGTATTTTATAAGAAATGTCTAAAATTGTGAGTGATATATGACCTTTCTGATCCTCAGATATGTAGAACTGTTTCTTTTGTTGGGTTTATTGAATTGGTTATACCAGGAGGAACTGGTAGATTTTGAAAAGAACACCCCTCACCTTTCCTTTTCTTAGCAATCTTTTTCTTTGGTTTCTGACTGCCTTTCCCTTAATCAGAAAACACCTGCTTTGGTGTTTGGAGATGTCCTTTGATTTTTCATCATGAGCTGAGGCTCCCTCACTTGCCTTCTGTCACCCGATCTTAGAATCTTCTAAGAAACCATTTTGCTTTTACTGTATAGAGAATTCTTAGCTCTGAAAGGAAAGTCTTTCAGTGCACTTGTTACAATGTTATAACATTTTTAGTGTTGATGGAAATGAAGCTGGAAGGCTAAACAAGAGTCTCCCATCCCCGGCTCGCTGAGACTCGGCTCGGTCCCTTTGCAGCTCTCAGTGCAGTCATTTCTCCACGGGTCTTGCAGGCACCACCTGCATCCAGGTTGTGGGTGTTTATTTAAGAGAGATTTCTGTCCTCACTCCAAACCTAGTGACGTAGGCTCTCTTGGAGTGAGGCCTGCGGATGAGCATTTGAACAGCTCACCACTTGATTTTTGCACACACTGAGGTCCGGAAGCCATTGCCTTACTGACGCCACAGCCTTCTTCCCATAGGGCTTCCTGTGGTCCTGATCACCAGCGTCCGCAATGCCAAATGCCTTACTTTGTTAGAAAGTGTCTAACACCATTGAATTTCTGTCTAAGAAAATGATGAGCAAAGCTCTCTTGAGCTTGTGGACTTAAGACTTCAATTTGCTTTTATTTTTCTCCAGTTCCTCGATTATGCCTACAGATGAAGTTGTTCAGTTAAAATGTTTATGTGCTTTTTAAGCACTGTAACGATCTCTAGAGATAACAAATAGAATAAGAATGAAAATCCTTATAATATCTCACTTTAAAAGATGTAAGAATTTTTTTTAATGATGTTTTCCAAGGTAAATGGCTTTGGAAAAAAAATTAAGTTGGATTTATATCTCACCTTGATACCGAGATAAATACCAGAAGAAGATTTAAATATCAGCAGTGGTACCTAATAGTACCAGAAGAAATAACAGGATATTTTTTATATCCTCGTATGGAGAAATTTGTCTAAATGACACAAAATCCAAACCATGAAAGAAAAGGTTAATAAATTCACCTACACAAAAAAATGTAAAACTTTACACAAGACAGTCCACCATAAGGAACATCTAAAGTTAAAAATGAAATAGAGAAGATATATAGGCAGCTCATATCACAAAGGACTGATTTGCCAGTAAGAAAGAACTTTTACAAATCAATAAGGAAAAAAAAGACCAAGAAAATGGACAAAAGATATTAAACATGTGTCATAGCAAGGGAATAAATGGCCTTCACCATGAGATCATCAACTTTACTTAATATAAGAAAAGCGTACATCAAAACCACACTGAGTTCATTTCACCCAGTGGATTAGCCGAGATCAAAAAGGTGGACCCCATGCTGCGTGGACGAGGCTCCGTTGCTGGGGGAGTGGAGCAGGGCAGCCCCTCAGAGGCCTCCGGTGGCATCTTCCTGCCCCCTCGCACTCCTGCCTGCTCACACTGCACTTCCTGTCTGCCCCAGCAGTTCCAGGTCTCACAATGTGTGTTACGGCAGCAGCACTCAGGCACGTGTCTAACCACCGTTCATGCAACTGATGGATTTCTTGCATTGTTGCCGTGGTAGACGGAATTTGGAAACAACACGGAGACCTATTGGTGGAGAGACGTTAACTTACGTGCATCCACACAGTTCACATCCATATAGTGAAATATTACCCAGCTCTACCTAAACACAGGCGAGGACTTTAGTTCTGATCAGGAAGGACAACTAGGATGTGTTCAGTAGAAAATGCTAATACAGAGCAGTGTGTGTTGTATGCAAGTACACGTGTAAGAAATATGAGAGAGAAAAATACTTATATACATTTGCGCACTTGCTTGTACATGCACATAAAATGTCTCTGAAGTGATAGCAAGAAGCTGGTGATTGGAACTGGTGACAGTGGAAGGTGGGGTGAGAAGAGTTTTTACTTTGTATCTTTTTTATCTTTGGAATTTTGAATCCTGTAAATGTATTTTAAAAATACCAATGCAAGTAAAAATATACTGAGATATTTTTAAAGTTCATAGGTTAGCAGATTTATGGTACTTAGTTTTTATCACACCATTCAGTTGCTCAATAATTCTTGTTTAATTTTGGCAAGCTGCATTATCTTTTTATCTTCACTTCTGTGTCCCCATCACTTAAAACACTCAATAGCTTTCTTAACCCCTTAAAGATAGACATACAGGTAGTTTACAGTGCCCTCCACAGATGGCCCTTGTGGCAATGTAAGAGATGTTAGTGAAACAAGCAAAGATTTCTGGGCTGTGAAGGTGACGTTCTCACAGGAGAAGGACAGACGACGATTGTAAAAAATCACTTGCACCCTCTGTCAGAAGGCCATACATGCTATGGGAAGCAGCAGAGCAGAAGAATAGGCAGGGAGGCAAGCTGCAGTTTAAGGGGGTCCAGGGAGGGCCCGCTAAGAGAGTGGCGTTTATTTGAGTAGAGACATGAAGGAGCCATAGGGATATCTGGGGGAGTGGCTTTCCAGGCAGGAGCACCAGTGCAGAGGCCCCAAGGAGGGTGCTGGCCTGGAGGGGTGAGTTGGTGAGCCACAGCTGGGGGACGGGGGTGCTGTTGGGTGGCTAGGGGCTGGCTGGAGTGTTGGGGTTATTTGTGTAGAGTCTGGAGGATCTTGACAGCTGACTTCACAGGTTACCCAGTGAATTATGGCTTAGAACTTTGATTTTACAAGCTAAGATCATTTATCTGGGTTTTGAACTCCGACCTTCTTTCTTTTGGGGATTTTTAAAGTCAGTTTCCTGAATATGTGTTAAAAAGATTTTCTAGTTAAAGCTTAATGGAGAATAGCAGGTTCCATAGAAGAGGAGTAACTCACTTATTTGAAAACACTATAACAAAGGAAGCCTAATAGTAATAACCATCGAAATGGATGTGAAGAGAGAGAGCTGTTGAGAAGTCAGAGTTGAGTGAGGTTGCCAAATGGTATATATAACTTGTTGTATGGTTGTCTGTGTATCTCTGTGAAAAATAATAAACTATGCTTAACTTAATGAAAGATCTTTTCTGTGTACATACAAAATAGAATAATTTTAGAGAGAGCTCTCAAACAGGGAAACAAAATTTACAGTACCTCTATATAGATGATTTCCTGACTAGTGAATTTTCCTTCACATTTTCTGAGAGTTAAAGCAATCAACACGACACAGAGGAGCTTCATGAGGAATTTTGTTGAGTGCCTGCTGTGGGGACAGCCGTGGCCACACATGCTTCAGGAAAACCAAAAAGTCAGATGACTGCTTGCCCCGAAAGAGCTGTGGGTCCAGTTGGGCACAAAGAGTAAACATGCATAGAGCGAGGAGCTGTCTTTGCTCAGCGGCTTTGAGGAGAGTAGCAGCATTGTGAAGACCGCGTTCTTCGCATACATTCCTCCATGCATCCATTCTACACATTTTTACTAAGCACCTCCTAGATGAAGACGTTGCTGAAAAATAGTCTAAGTTTATTCTTTGAGGTCATAAAAATGCCATTCGTTGTAGCAGAGCTGAGGAGAGATAGCTGGTCAGGAATCCGGGAGATGGAGTGGGTGGACCTGGGGCTTTGGTCTCAGTTTCTACCATCAGCCGGTTTTCCTGTTCAGAGCTCAGAGTTGGAGTCAAGTCGCCACTGTGTTTGAGGTTTCTGGCAGTCGGATTCATTTGCCTCACAATACTTTCCTGTTGTTTTTTGCAGCAAACCAAAGAGAGAGTGAAGCTATTGATACAGCTGGCTGATGGCTTTTGTGAAAAAGGGCATGCCCATGCGGCAGAGATAAAAAAATGTGTTACTGCTGTGGATAAGAGGTACAGAGATTTCTCTCTGCGGATGGAGAAGTACAGGACCTCTTTGGAAAAAGCCCTGGGGATTTCTTCAGATTCCAACAAATCGGTAAATGGCCTTGTGCAAACTGAATAAATTATGGTCTTCTTCCTAACGCCCTCTCTGCTGATTTAATTAACTGAGTTCATTGGCTCTGTTATTCCACAGAGTAAAAGTCTCCAGCTAGATATCATTCCAGCCAGTATCCCTGGCTCAGAGGTGAAACTTCGAGATGCTGCTCATGAACTTAATGAAGAGAAGCGGAAATCTGCCCGCAGGAAAGAGTAAGCCAGTCTTTCAGAATCTACCAGGATTCACTGGAAAAGTGAAGAGAATGTCATTTGGACAGACATGCTTCTGTGTGTGCTTTGAAGTCACATGGCACCCAGGCTTTTTGTTGCTCTGGGTGGACTTAGTTGTGTCAGCACAGACTTCGCTGCGTTCACTGTCCTCTTATCACCTGGTTCAGAAACAGCATCTAGTTTTTATCCCTGTGCCTGTGTTTCATTTGGAGTTGATGAATTGTCATTAATAGATAGTGACACTAAGGAGAGGAAATTAATAGTTTTTATCACGCCTAAAACAAATTTAGTTGTGTAAAAGTTGCCAGTTAGTAAACTCTATATAAATAAAAAAGAGTGCTCTAATCCAGTGGTTCTTAATTGGCAGTTTTGCCCCCAATGTGAGGGGACACTTTGGTTGTCACAGTGGGGAGGGGGAGGGAGTGCTGTTGGCCTCTAGTGGGAAGCTGCTGAGCACTCTCCAGTGCAGAGGGCAGCCCCACAGCAGAGTTACCTGGCCCCAGATGTCCACAGTGCCAGGTTGAGAAACCCTGATCTGTCGGTACCTCAGTAAAGTGTGTGCAGAAATCTTTTTTTCCCCTTTGAATTAGCGGGTGGATACTGTTCTATTTGTGATTCACCTCTCCAAAATGATCAATCTAAGACTAATACTTTTAGACCCACTCTGTTATTTCATAAATCCATAAAAGTAGATAGTGAAGTAAGCTGCACCCTGACTGTACTCCTCACTGTCTTCCTCTCTTTAAGGTTCATAATGGCTGAGCTCATTCAAACTGAAAAGGCTTATGTAAGAGACCTCCGGGAATGTATGGATGTAAGTAAGTTTTTTTTTTTTTTTTTTGCTTGTTTATTTAGATTGAGCATAAGCTTGCTATTTTATTCTTACCTGTTGGTAGTCCTTAGAATAATCACAATTTTTTTCTGTCATTTTTTTAAATGTAAAGTATGCTTCAGCAGCCGGTTTCATGTTTCTGCACTTCTGTAGAGTTCTAGGTTTGTTTTTCACTCATTACAGAGATGATACAGCATTAATCCTCTCATTCTGTTTATCACATGATGGCCTGGCTAACACTCTCTTTGTATAGAATTGTACAGCAGCTTCAGAGAAATGTGCCTACTAATTATGACTGGCAACTAATACTCAGTGGTATCAGGAATATTGGTTATACTTGTGGAGTAGGTTAATTCCAAAATTTGAAGCTGGGAATAATTTTAGAGTTGAAAAGTATAGGAACTCCTCTCAAGTATTAACAGCAACTGAGGGCCTTTTTTAGAAGGGTTTTTTATGTTTTGTAAAAGGGTCCAGTCCTTAGTTATACTTTCACTTATACATTAACTCTGTGTGTTTACAGATGTCAGAAACAGCTGTTTCTTGAAAATATGGTGATTATTTTTGTCTAATCCCTGTTTCCCTCTCGGCTAGACGTACCTGTGGGAAATGACCAGTGGCGTGGAAGAGATTCCACCTGGCATTGTAAACAAAGAACTCATCATCTTCGGAAACATGCAAGAAATCTACGAATTTCATAATAAGTGAGTGGCTTTTTCTTTGGGAGCAGTTACGCTTGAAATCCATGTGCTGAAGTTTCATCACAAGAAATGAACCATTCCCATTGAATTAAGCAGATTTCAGTGATTTTGTTTCCATTTGAATGAAGCCTATCAGTCTTTCTCCAAAAAGACTGACATTCTAGAAATTCTTTTAATACAGACTCAACTTTATGTTTGTACTTATCTTCTACAGAAATAAGATCAGGAAAACTATGAAAATATTTTTATAGGAAGCTTAATTTCTCTGAAGCCGAGCCGTCAGGTGCCCTGTGACTTACTTCTGAGGGTTGAGAGACAGTGGAGCCCCCTTGGGACTGCAGGCCTATGCTGTTTGCTCTCTTATAGTAAGAGAAAGGAACTGAAGAAGCAACAGAAGTGTATTCTGACCAAAATAAAATGCATTTTCCTTTGGCCACAGGAGGTACATGATTCTCTTTTAATATTGTTAAAGCAGCGGCAGCAGAAGCTCCTTTAGGTGGCCTGTGATGAGATGATGCTGGGGTCAGCAAGAGCGCAGTCCCCTCACCCCTCAGCAGAAGGCAGAAAAGACCAAATGGGTCTTCAGCCAAATATTTACGTCTCCGAAGTATATGCTCAGTGAACACACTAGCACTTGCCCAGAAATAAATTTGTTAGAAAGCATTTGAAGGCGAAACTGGCTAGCTGTTTGAAAGTCACAATAACTTACCCTAGTTAAGAGCTACATGTTTTGTTCATTCTTTAGGGGGCACAGATTTCTCAGTTTCTGGCATATCTCACTAGTAAAATGTTTTAAAACACCTTTGTAATATGATACCATTTTTATTCTTTGCAGCATATTCCTAAAGGAGCTGGAAAAATATGAACAGTTGCCAGAGGATGTTGGACATTGTTTTGTTACTTGGGTAATGAAACCTCAACCATTTGTTCTCTCCCAGCTATTAGGTGACGTTGAAGGAAGTTAGGAGGGATGGTCTTCATTTCCTTTAAGTCACCATCTTCTGCTCATATCCATGCTTGCGGAGAAATAGACTTTACCTCAAAGAATTGCATACTTCAACTAATTGTTTTTGTGGAGTGAGTTTTTTTATTGGCCCTGGTGATGGTTTGAAATAGAATATTTAGTGTGCCAGGTCTCCGCTTGACCCTGGGGATTTGCTGATAGGTGAGTTCCCAGTCCTTCTGGGGGATCGTCTAGTCTAGAGGGGAGGCAGACAGGTGAACGTGCGGTCATGCTGTCCAAAGCCCACAGCCAGCTCTGCACGCGTGACTGTGGAAAGAGAGGACTGGTGCTCAGCCCGACGTGTCGGGGTCGGGGAGGCTGCTGCAGCTGCATGCTGTCAGAACGATGTGTTTCTTATTTCAGTAGCTTTCTTTTTAAAATAGAGTCTCTTCAACTCGAGGCTTAAATTTCCGTTATCCATACTGCTTCTTTTCTATATGAAAGTTTATCATGCGTTGACTTGTTATGATTTAAATGAGATCTTTTTTTTTTTGGCTTACAGGCAGACAAGTTTCAGATGTATGTCACATATTGCAAAAATAAGCCTGATTCTACTCAGCTGATATTGGAACATGCAGGGTCCTATTTTGACGTAAGTAATAGATTCCTAAAGAGACCATAATTTTCCAAGTTGTGTACATAAAATGCGGCATTACTCATAACTTTCACCTAATTGATAGTACAATGTTTTCATTTTTGTCTATCATTTTTGTCTATCATTTTGTCTATCATGTCTATTGGGCTATTCTTCTATTGTCTTCTGTTTTTAAAAGATCCTACACAAATACTGGAAGCCTTATATCTGTAAGGAACTCAGATTGTAATATATAGATGTATGTTTGTGTGTGTGTATATGTTATTATTTATATTCAGTCATTTATAATATCATTACTATTTATATTCAATACATTTTTTCACCTGTAATACTGTATACAGAAGGCATAAACTATTAAGCTTCTTTTCCCCCTCAGTAAAACAAAAATAAATGTGAATCTTTTTATTTTTCCTATTTTAATTTCATGATGTTACGAATTTTCAAAAACAACCTACCAGTAAAGTTTTACAAATAGTGCCATAACAACTAGGATAATTAGAAGGTTAACTAATTGTGTTCTCATTGGAGTAAACGTAGATACAGGTCATCTGTGTTTTGAAAGCTGTTGCAGCGGCTTATTCAGCACAAAAGAGATGGAGCTTTAGAACGTGATACACAGAGTGCTTTCTGGGTTTCCAGAACTTGGTCAAATATGTGCCAATACATTTTGATTGAAGGATAAGGTGCTATTGAATAGTGTGCATAGTTTGGTGCATAAGGTTGTGAGGATGTTGGACTTGTTTTCTGTCTTTACACTTGTGCATGGACTGGTGGGATCATCAGCTCTTATGTGAAAGTCTGGGGAAGTAGAATAAACTTTTCAGTTTCTATCTTTGAGATGAAGCCCTACCTGTAGATGACCCTGTTTTAATTGTCATTCTCCTGACCATTACATTACACATTACACATCACTGCCTTTGTTAATAGGAAGCCTTCTCCCAGGCCAAAGTGGCCTTTTCTTGTTAATATTTCACATGATTCTAGGTCTTTGCCATCAGACAAAATTCAGCACCTGTATATGGAGTTAGAAATATTTTAGTATTAAGTATTTCACTTAAACAGTGAGGGCACATAGCACATTTAATGTTTGGAATCAAAGCCATTTTAGAAACCCTTATGCCCCAGCAAAATAAACTATCATCAGAGTGAACAGGCAACCAACAGAATGGGAGGAAATTTTTGCAGTCTAGCCATCTGACAAAGGGCTAACATCCAGAATCTACAATGAACTTAAACAAATTTACAAGAAAAAAAAAAAACCTATCAAAAAGTGGGCGAAGGATATGAACAGACACTTTTCAAAAGAAGACATTTATGCAGCCAACAAACATATGAAAAACTCATCATCACTGGTCATTAGAGAATGCAGATCAACCACAATGAGATACTATCTCACACCAGTTAGAATGGCGATCATTAAAAAGTCAGGAAACAACAGATGGTGGTGAGGCTGTGGAGAAATAGGAATGCTTTTACACTGTTGGTGGGAGTGTAAATTAGTTCAACCATTGTGGAAGACAGTGTGGCGATTCCTCAAGGATCTAGAACCAGAAATGCCATTTAACCCAGCAGTCCCATTACTGGGTATACACCCAAAGGATTATAAATCATTCTACTATAAAGACACATGCACACACGTTTATTGCGGCACTGTTCACAATAGCAAAGAGTTGGAACCAACCCAAATGCCCATCAATGATAGACTGGATAAAGAAAATGTGGCACATATACACCATGGAATACTATGCAATCATAAAAAAGGATGAGTTTGGGCCGGGCACAGCGGCTCACGCCTGTAATCCCAGCACTTTGGGAGGCCAAGGCAGGTGGATCATGAGGTCAGGAGATCGACACCATCCTGGCTAACATGGTGAAACCCCGTCACTACTAAAAATACAAAAAAAATTAGCCGAGCGTGGTGGCGGGCACCTGTATCCCAGCTACTTGGGAGGCTGAGGCAGGAGAATGGCATAAACCTGGGAGGCGGAGCTTGCAGTGAACTGAGATCACGCCACTGCATTCCAGTCTGGGCGACAGAGCGAGACTCCATCTCAAAAAGAAAGAAAAAAAAAAAAAAAGGATGGGTTCATGTTCTTTGCAGGGACATAGATGAAGCTGGAAACCATCATTCTCAGCAAACTAACTCAAGAACAGAAAACCAAACACCACATGTTCTTACTCATAAGTGGGAGTTGAATAATGAGAACACATTACACAGGGAGGGGAACATCACACACTGGGGCCTGTCGGGGGGTGGGGGTCTAGGAGAGGGATAGCATTAGAAGAAATACCTAATGTACACAACGGGTTGATGGGTGCAGCAAACCACCATGGCACATGTACACCTGTGTAAGAAACCTGCACATTCTGCACATGTATCCCAGAACTTAAAAAGAAACCCTTATGCCCTAAAACATGTCTTCAAGAATAAGAGAAATCATGCCTGAGAGATTTCACAATTTATATGCTTTCAGTATTCCTTGTACAGTTGGTTTATTTTTTTAGAGGCTTTCTTCTACAGCTTCCTCTCTTCTCCAGGCTATCTGATAACCTTTGATTATGCTTCTTACCAGTAACAAGCATTATTGAACATCTGTATGGTGCTCATTTAACTCTAAGCTCTGTCTTAGGTGCTAGTGTAAAGTGGTGAGTAGCACAGACAGGGCCTGTCTTCACAGCAAGGAATACAGCAAGGAATACAACCAGTTGTAAAGGAATACAACCTTTACATGCAATACAGATCATTGCATGTAAAGGACATAATTACAAAATGCAAAGTGCAAATCATGGCATTAAAAGTGCAATTGAACAGTAAGGTAGATCCTCCTGCTCCAAAGTACCCCTTCCTCTCCAGAAGTAACATTTTAGAAGCAAAGAAGTTTGTGTTAATAATTTAAAAGCCTCTTAGGAAAAGGAAACTTTATTATTTCAGCATGATTAAACAGTTGTCAGGTACAGTATTTGGAAAAGTAATGTGTTTTATGGCCATGATTTAATAGTGTAGCCCTATGATAACTCTTGTTTCTTGTTTGGTTTTAATACAGGAGATACAGCAGCGACATGGATTAGCCAATTCCATTTCTTCCTACCTTATTAAACCAGTTCAGCGAATAACGAAGTATCAGCTCCTTTTAAAAGTATGTATAATGCGTCTTCAGCCTGTGAAATTTTATGAATTATGTATTATTTTGACATTTACTATATATTTATATAATTACCCTGAATTTTTTGAAACACCTAGTCAATTAATTTTACTTTTTAATTCATTAGTATTTATTGACCTGCCTAATTTCTCATTGCAGGAGTTAAATGAGAGTGTGTGTCATGATTATGCGTCTGAACTGCACTGACTGACCCTAAACATAAAATGAGAAATCATCAGTTCTTGATATTTTAGTACCCTTAGTTCCCAGCTGTGGCTTGCTGACTGCGGGCCAGGCATGGTGCACTTTGGTACGCTCTGCATATGTTAACCTCCCAACAATGCTAGTCTGCAGGCATGGAAACTAGCCTCAGACTGTAAGGAGTGTGCCCAGAATCACCACTCAAACACGTTAACAGGCTCAGCTCAGAACACAGATCTGGCTGATGCCCAGGGCTTCCACTGAAGCCACGGAGAACCCATGCCCAGGAGGCTTCCTCTGTCTTGTTGCTTGTCCCTGATGTCACACCCCTCGCGGCACACCTTGTCCATACAGACCGCAAGTATTGGAGTCAGGCTGACCTCTGCTTTTTATTAGTTGTGAGTGACTATAGTTAAAATCACATTTAAGAAAACAATAGTGATTAGTCTTGACAATAGAAAGGTAAACAAAACTTAGAATTTGTGCTAAGAGTTGTCACAAAATGTATTTTATTTTTATATTATATATCATCAATACACATTTTCTTGACTACCTAAAAATTGACAGATTTTGTCTGGTAATGTTCAGCATACCATTTTCTCAGCTGGTGAATGTTATTAAGCATTAAAATGTAGAAACATGCATTCATCCCAGTGATGGTATTCTATGAATCCTGCCATGTTCCAGGGACTGCCCTAGGCTCGACAACGGGAAGTTATTATGTAATTTGTCTAGATATAAAAGAAATTTAGAAGATGGAGTTACAAATGCTGGAACTCTTCTTTACCCTTTTTGTTAGCAAGAAAAATCTACAGACAGTAATAAGTAGCTACATCGTTTTGTGAAAGTGATACTATTATGGGATTTTTCAATTGGAAAAGCTCTCCTGTACTTTTATATCAAAATGCCGTTAAGTGATTATGTGACCATTCCCGCAGAAATATATAGTTACTATGAATGCAAAATAAGTCAGGAGGCTAATTTGTTCATATTCAAATTTGTCCTTTGCTTTCTAATTCTACAAAGGCAGTTTACCTTTCAGTGTCCTCAAGATGTAAGGATTTTGTTTTCAGCATGTAGTTCTGCTAAACTGGTGCTTAAATTTGTAAACCTCGCCTTACTCTGCCAGAGGTTCTTCAGGAGAACAGTGATAAGCTCTCTTGAGCTCCCCAACAAGGAAGGTTTTCTGCCAGTTGTCAGTTAGTAGGCTCAGTACACTGCATTTGTGAGCAGTGTTTGCCATGCTGCTTAGAATCACAGGTAAACACCATCTGGTGATGAGGGAAGGTGCCCATCAGGCAGCTGAGTTCCTCTCAAGTAACCACTGGGAGACCAGTGCTGGCTGCAGTGTCATACCTCTCTTTTGTTGACTACCAAGACACAAAACACTGCTATTGCTATTACTGACTGGTAGTAATTATTAATACACCAATAAGAAAGTATCTTGGCTGTAATCCCAGCACTTTGGGAGGCCGAGGCAGGCGGATCACGACATCAGGAGATGGAGACCATCCTGGCTAACACGGTGAAACCCCGTCTCTACTAAAAATTCAAAAATACTAGCCGGGCATGGTGGCGGGCGCCTGTAGTCCCAGCTGCTCCGGAGGCTGAGGCAGGAGAATGGCATGAACCTGGGAGGCAGAGCTTGCAGTGAGCCGAGATCACGCCATTGCACTCCAGCCTGGGCGACAGAGCAAGACTCCGCCTAAAAAAAAAAAAAAAAAAAAAAAGGATCTTGGAGCCCACCAGAAGGTGAACTTACTGTTCCTGTTATCATTCATTTAATAACGGATGTTTCTCTAAATGGCTTTGCAATGTAATCACACACATAGGGCTCCCCAGAGAGATGTAATTCAACCATTAGAGCTTTTCTAAACATCCTACGCAAAAAGGAAATGCATTTGACTGTAAGTAACTCATGCGGTGTTACTGTTTCTGCTGCGTGGATTGGCTGGTCCGGTTTAGATGGGACATTGCATTCATAGCTCCAAGGTGCAGAGTCACGCTGGGATTGTGTGGTAAACGCACAGTTGGACCTGACATGGCAGTCAGCTGTAACCAGTAGCTGATGGTGTGTTACATAATAATTAAATATTTCTATTTATCTTTTTTTTTTTTTTTTTTTTTTTTTTTTTTTTTTTTTTTTTTTTGAGACAGGGTCTTGCTCTGTCCCCCAGGCTGGAGTGCAGTGGCACAATCTTGGCTCACTGCAGCCTCCACCTCCCAGGTTCATGTGATTCTCCTCCCTCAGTCTCCCAAGTAGCTGGGATTACAGGTGCATGCCACCATGCCCAGCTAATTTTTTTTTTTTAAGTAGAGATGGAGTTTTACCATGTTGGCCAGGCTGGTCTCGAACTCCTGACCTCAAGTGATTCACCCACCTCAGCCTCCCGAAGTGCTGGGATTACAGGCATGAGCCACCACACCCGGCCTCTGTTTATCATTTTTGAGGCTTGATTGTTAACAGGTATACTAATTTCATCTTAAACTGTGAATACATCTGGCTTACTCTGATTAGAACAGGACAAACCCTGCCATCCATTGAATAAAGAGGTAGTAGTTTATTTCTATGAGAACATATGCCCAGTTGACCACATTCTGTTTTTATCTTGAAAGCCATGGGCTTTCATAAACTGTTTCTGCCAAGGTCTTATTGGCAGAGCATTCTGCAGTCTTTACCTAGTTTCTGTTGTTTATCTTTGCAGGAGCTGCTGACGTGCTGTGAGGAAGGAAAGGGAGAGATTAAAGATGGCCTGGAGGTGATGCTCAGCGTGCCGAAGCGAGCCAATGATGCCATGCACCTCAGCATGCTGGAAGGTAAAGGACCCTCCATACCCCAGTGTGCATCTATGCAGTTTCTAATGACACTGTTTGTAAATGGATTTCCTGAACCCTAAAAATCCCCGCTTTATGTCTCTATGTTAGTGGTTAAGAACATTTCTTAAAGAATCAGTGTCATTGCTTTTCTTGAGGACCACATAAAATGTTTCTATACTCATTGAAAGCCTTTTCTGGTCCCTTCACTGGAAAACAGCCTCTCCACACTCTGGACTCCAATAGCACTTTGTGTCGCTTGCTGCAGGCCACCTGTTCTCCCTGTTAGATGGATGGGTAGGTGGGTGTATGGGTGGATCAAACCCCAGGACTGTAAAATCCTTAAAAGAATGTGTTGCTTCCCCACCTCTGTATCCATTGCATCACTTGCTAGAGCCTGGAACATAGTAGGCACCAGATATTTCCTTGTGTAACATGGTAAAGAGAAAATTAGATAAATATGTTTCAAAATTAGAGCAATTATAATTTCCATAAATGCCTCTGTTTAAGAAAGCTCTTCCTGTTGTGCAAAGCTTGGTTCTTGCCAGGCTACACAGAATAAGTTTTAATCCTGCCCCAAATGCTTTTGCTAGCCTGTGTCTTTATGGGTAACACTGAACATAGGTGCCACTGTGGGTAATAAGACCCAAAACTCAGAGGCCAAGCAAAACAGATTTTTCTTTCTCTGATATAAAATGCTGATCTGGTATGGCCGCCCTTCATGATGTCATCCAGGACCCAGGCTGTGTTCCAGCTAGTTTCTCTCCATTCTAGTTGTTTTTCTGGCTGGCTAGGTCCAGGGTGTTTCAAGACCATGCCAACATTCCATTTAGCAGGAAGTGGGGAAGAAAGTCAGGGAGGAAACTCCAGATGGGCAGACACTAGCAGTAGTACCCGCTACTTTGCTCACTTGCCCAGAGCGTAGGTACCTGAGCTGCTTTTAACTGTTCCTGGGGCTGGGGGATGGAGTGCTTATTTTGAGCAGCCCTAGTGGGAGCTTCTACTATGAGAGTAAAAAGAGAGTGGAAGTCAGGAGGTAATGGGCAGCCTCTGCCCTAGGGCTGGCTTTACTAAGCCCTGGTGGCTTCATAACCAGGTGATAAAGCAGGCCACTTCCATGAAGAGAGGAGCAGTAGTGAAGTCCAGAGCACGAATGATTCACATGCAGACTGTCACATTCAGAGGAGGGAGGGTGCACCAAGCATGGGCAGCCAGGGACTTCTCCAAGAAGCAAGACCAGGACAGGTCCTTGAAGAAAGCCTGGACCTGAGCAGAGTGTCTGGGAAGGATGCTCTGGGCTGAGGAAGCAGAGAGAATCAAGACGGAGGCTGGGAAGTAGGTGGGGGCTTAGAGGAGAGTCGGAACTGTTTCAGAGGAGGAGCTTTCGGTGGTGGGATGCTGCAGGAGAGGGCTGAAGAGAAGTAGAGGGTGGAACCAGATCTCAACTGTTGCAGAGGCCCACCAGAGGGATAGAACTCAAAGAATAAAGCCATGAGGAATCGCAAAATGTTTTTGAACAAAGGAAAATATATGTAAAGTGGTGTGTTAGGAAGAATTATCCTCTGTAGGATGGGTCAGTGGCGTCGAGTCAGGATCAGATGGGAAACTCTTATCTAGGGTTGGCCGATGGGCATTTTTAAAATTGTTGAAAATACTAATAATGCTTTCTTGTGCATCAGTTTTTATTTTTCTTTTAAATTGATTTGCCTCCCTTTTTTCATGTTGTAGGGTTTGATGAAAACATTGAGTCTCAGGGAGAACTCATCCTACAGGAATCCTTCCAAGTGTGGGACCCAAAAACCTTAATTCGAAAGGGTCGAGAACGGCATCTCTTCCTTTTTGAAATGTCCTTAGTATTTAGTAAAGAAGTGAAAGATTCCAGTGGGAGAAGCAAGTACCTTTATAAAAGCAAATTGTTTGTAAGTATAGGCGTTCAGAATTGTAAGTCTAAAGGTAACACAATTGCAGTCTTTTTGTAGGTAGAGAAGAATTGTTCATTGTCTTCAGTTTAACCTCCCAATCTGTCCTGAAATGTTCAAGTCTGAATTGTGGTAGGGTTTTCATCTTCAGTGAAATTATTTCCCACCCTCAAGTCCACTAGAGGGTGCTCTGGAGTTTATAGACTTAGGAAACTTGCTCTTCTTAAATCCTGTATCATATAACTGCAGGATAAGAAAACATTTCATAAGTGAAATCATTTATCTCCGGTGTGCTTAACTAGCTTTATAAATAAAATAATCATATCTATGACTAAGTTCTTATTATAATTAATTTTTCAACCATAAACATTGGAGTATATGGAAACAGCCTTACTGGGTGGCTCACATTTAAAAATAAATGTATGAAATATAAGTGCATGAGTAAATTTATGGTTGTTTATAACAGTGAAATGTCATTATTAGAGAAAATATACTTAAGCCAAAGTACAGTCTGAAAGATCCACAGCCCCAGCTATGTGGAGACAGCTGCCCCTGAGTGCTTGGCAGATCCGGTGATGCATTTTAATTCGTAACCTGTCATTGTACTTCTTGGCAAGAGCAACATACCTGCTGCCATTTTGTGACCACTGGCTAGCCTTACCAGCCTCCCCAAGGGCAGCATCGTCTCTGGATCCAGTGTACTTCCATCTAACTTAGTGGGCCGTTTCTCAGAGGCTTATTCATGCAGGGTCGCTGGGCAGGGCCAGGCAGAAGGGACGATTGGGTTGCACTAAGGAGGAATCATCATCAAGAAAAGAATAGAAAATGCCAAGAAGGTGGGTTTCTTTACAGCAGATCTCTTATAAATACTGGTAGATGTTTGCAATTTGGACAACTTACACATCATACTTTTTGTGATGTCCATATATAATGAAATTCTTCAGGTAATAAAATGTCCCCGAGTATGGAAATCATCTGAGTAATAATCTGGAATTCACAGGTTCCAAATGATGGTTTTCATACCATTTTGTTTGGCTTGTGTTCTGTTTGAGATCGTCTTTTGGATCACAGCTTGCCTGACATCATTTTAGGTCACATTCTGACTGGAAAGAAAAAAATGCAACATTGCTGGCTAGTAATTTCATTAGCTGGCTTTAATCTCTCTTTAGAGACCAAGCTCATCTGTTTTAGCAGCCAATACATCTTCACTTAATTTATCTTTTAGAAGTTAAGATTCCCTCAGAGGCTACCTCTGGAGCTCTGGATGATGAATCACTTCCTTTGCTGGGGTGGAGAATGCATCAGGGGGACCTTGACTGTGGGGGAGGGGCTGAAGCTATTGACCTTTCTCTGCATGCTTCCATGTTCTGCATATATTACAGAGGGATTTTGCCTCTTAGCCGTTAAAATTATTGATGAAATACTAAAAGCTAATGCTATTGATAAAGAAATTGGAGAATAAGCTGTTAAAACATCATTTGCCCTCTGGGAAGCTGTGTCATTAATACTGAAGAGAACATGGTGGCAGCCCTTTTGCAACCAGGAAAGACTCATTTTGCAGTTTGTTGCTTGTAAGATTGCAAATAGTCGAATCTTGATTGTCAGATAGTAGGATTTTCACATGTTGGTTTCCTTCCCCTGAATTTTTTGCTCGTTGACCTGCACTGGGGTCTCCAGTAAGAGACGCTCACAGGAAGCGAAGGATGAAACCAGTCACCTGTAGCCTAAGAACACAATGTCCTCATTATAACTCACATGACAGCTGAGATCACTAGTGACGTTCTTATAACCTAACATGGCCACAAGTAACCAAAACCTGTTTCCTTGGTCTCTGTTCTGCATCCTTCTAGAATTTTACTGTCACCTAATTATATAATTGTCTTTTTATCCAGACCTCAGAGTTGGGTGTCACAGAACATGTTGAAGGAGACCCTTGCAAATTTGCACTGTGGGTGGGGAGAACACCAACTTCAGATAATAAAATTGTCCTTAAGGTACGTTCATTTGAAGCTGGGAATGTGCTGTTTGAAACATTTACTGTGGCCATCCATGCTTGCTTTTCCGTTGTTTTCATATTATTATTATTTGTTGTTGTTGTTTGTGTGTGTGTGTTCTATTCAGATTGGTGACTACCACAAAAAGAATAGTGGAATAAATTCAGTTTGGTGTTCTGGTGATGAAACAATTTGAGTTAAACTTTCACTTGACTCCTGAAAGGGCAAATGAAGCAAGGTCTTTTTATATTTTTCCCATTCTTCCAGTCTTTGAATTCATTGACTCTATAAGAGATGCAGGAAGTCAGGGTACAGGAGGAATGAGATACTGACCAAAAACTCTGATTGCGCACTTGACCTGTTTCGAAAGGAAAAAGTCACCTGGTGCGTGTTTGAGGACCTGCGACAGGAAGTCGAGGCCAACCGTACCCACAGTCCTTACAGAGTCCTCAGCTCTGTGGCTTAATAGTTTGGAGACGGAGGGAAAGAGGAATGATTATTAGTGACAGGGTTTGATACTGTTATGATTTAAAATTCAAAACCACTAGGGATGCTTTAGGGTATATAGTCTTTGGGGGAGGAAAATATCTTGGAATATTTGATTTGAACTCTGTTTTGATTATACTAACCTCTCCTGGGAATGGTCAAGAGCTCTAAGGTTGTCTTATGTATTTTCCTCCTCTGTGTTTGAGAAAATACAGATGGAACTTTTGGAGCCATCTGGAAATGCCATCAGCGGCTTTGGGATGTTTGGGGGACGGTGGAGCTAAGGCTTATCGAATATTGGGAGATGAGCCAGAGTGTAATGGGACTCTGGTGTATGAACCTGCATGTCACCCCTTGTGTCTCTTGCATGCTTTTTCATCTCTTTGGTATTTTCAGTGACTGTGAGTTACTCCCCTGTATGTCAGCCTTCTAGAGCCTGTTCTTCAGTGGAAGCCATTGTGTTCATAAGATTTTTGTTCATATGTGATAGTGGGTTGTTTTGCAGTGAATATGTGATTATCAGCCCAATGTGCTCTGGCTAGTACTGGCATAAAGCCCTATATGATATCAGTTGCACCGATAGCTAAATTTAAATAACTGTATTTTCTTCCTAAGGTCTAACATTTTAAGGTATACTCAAAACCTGGAAACTTGCAACTTATATAAACCGCTTATCCAGACTAGCTACAGTAGTAGATGCCAAAAGGTGCTTCCAAAAAATAGTGACAGATACTTTAGCCAGATCTGGACTTTCATTTAGGATGTCGTAAATGCTCATGGTACAGTTGACAAATAAGACTCTTCTTATTTGTCAGGCTTCGCCAGGTACAAGTTTTCTAGGGAATTTTGGGTAATACCTTTCTGACTTCCAAGGAGAAAGTAAAGGAAACGATGTTCTCATTAATTTCAGGGATTGCTGCATGGTGTTGGTGTAGAGAGGCAGGCGATGGTGATGGTGGGAATGGTAGTGTAATGATGATGTAGGTGGAGGTGGTGGAGACGCTGTGGTGGTGGTGATGGCGGTGAAAGTTTAGATGGCAGTGAGGGTGGAGATGGTGGTGGTATGGATTTTGGTGGTCACGGTGGTATAGATGGTGGTGAGAGGGTAAGGGTGTAGAGGAAGGTAGTGGTATAGATTTGGTGATGGGGGTATGGGTACAGATGGTGGCAGTGGTGTAGATGGTGGTGATGAGGGTATAGATGGTGGTGGCATAGACTTTGGTGGTGATGGTGGTGAGGTTGTAGATGGAGGTCATCGTGTAGAATTTGGTGGCAGTGGTAGTACAGGCGGTGGTAGTGCTAGTGCAGGCAGTGGTAGTGTAGATGGTGGTGAGGGTTTAGGTGTTGATGGTGAGGGTACAGATTTTGTTGGTCTAGATGGTGTGGTGAGAGCGTAGATGGAGATACTTTAGATTTTAATGGTAGTAAGGTTGGAGATGGTGGTGAGGGTGCAGGTTGTGGTGAGGGTACAGGTTGTGGTGGTGAAGGTGCAGGTTGTGGTGGGTTGTGAGGGTGCAGGTTGTGGTGAGGGTACAGGTTGTGGTGGTGAGGGCATAGGTTGTGAGGGTGCAGGTTGTGGTGAGGGTGCAGGTTGTGGTGGTGAGGGTTGTAGGTTGTGGTGAGGGTGCAGGTTGTGGTGAGGGTGCAGGTTGTGGTGAGGGTGCAGGTTGTGGTGAGGGTGTAGGTTGTGGTGAGGGTACAGGTGGTGGTGAGGGTGCAGGTTGTGGTGAGGGTGTAGGTTGTGGTGGTGAGGGTGTAGGTTGTGGTGGTGAGGGTGTAGGTTGTGGTGAGGGTGCAGCTTGTGAGGGTGCAGGTTGTGGTGAGGGTGTAGGTTGTGAGGGTGTAGGTTGTGATGAGGGTGTAGGTTGTGGTGAGGGTGTAGGTTGTGGTGAGGGTGTAGGTTGTGGTGAGGGTGCAGGTTGTGGTGAGGGTGCAGGTGGTGGTGGTGAGGGTGTAGGTGGTGGTGGTGAGGGTGCAGGTTGTGGTGAGGGTGCAGGTTGTGAGGGTGCAGGTTGTGGTGGTGAGGGTGTAGGTTGTGGTGGTGAGGGTGCAGGTTGTGAGGGTGAGGGTGTAGGTTGTGGTGGTGAGGGTGCAGGTGGTGGTGAGGGTGCAGGTGGTGGTGAGGGTGCAGGTGGTGGTGAGGGTGTAGGTTGTGGTGAGGGTGTAGGTTGTGGTGAGGGTGCAGGTGGTGGTGAGGGTGCAGGTGGTGGTGGTGAGGGTGTAGGTTGTGGTGAGGGTGTAGGTTGTGGTGGTGAGGGTGCAGGTTGTGAGGGTGCAGGTGGTGGTGAGGGTGCAGGTGGTGGTGAGGGTGCAGGTGGTGGTGAGGGTGCAGGTGGTGGTGAGGGTGCAGGTGGTGGTGGTGAGGGTGTAGGTGGTGGTGGTGAGGGTGCAGGTTGTGAGGGTGTAGGTTGTGGTGAGGGTACAGGTGGTGAGGGTGCAGGTTGTGGTGAGGGTGTAGGTTGTGGTGAGGGTGTAGGTTGTGGTGGTGAGGGTGTAGGTTGTGGTGAGGGTGCAGCTTGTGAGGGTGCAGGTTGTGGTGGTGAGGGTGTAGGCAGTGGTAGAAGTAGAGGTATCGTGCTGCTGGTGTGTGTGCTTATGGTGGTAGAGAACGTGATGGGAATGGTGGTAGTGGCGATGATGATGTCCTCATAGTTGTAAAACAAAATTTTGGTTATTTTCACTTCTCTAGTCTGGAAAAGAGAATTTTATTTTTAAGTCTTAAGCAGATTGCGACTACCCAGATTATGAAATGAACTATCCCCTCTCTTAGCCAGGTAGGACCTTGGTATTTAGTACTTTACCTCAGTTACCTTTCTCTTACTATTTCTGAAAAACTGACATCTTTTTTCCTCGTTTAATTTCTTTAAGGTTAGGAGAATTACTCTCTAAGTGTAACGATCAATTCATATGAGAATTTTCTTTATTTCTGAACCATATTAACAGTTTTCCTCAGTTGTTTCCAAACTCTGCCAGTTGTTCTTTTGCAGGTACTTCTCTTTAGTTGACCTTCCAAATACTTTTATCAGGCATTTAAATTCCAACCAATTTGTAGTTTTTAGAAAAGTTTCTTCTCCCGAGTCCCTTACTTTCCCCCCGCTTTCCCCGGTCACCCTGCCTCCTTCCTGCCCCCTCGCCAGAAGACATTGGTTTTCCTGCTGTCCTATGTCACTCCGGAGAAGAGGGAGCAAGAGGCTGCCTTTACCCATCATTTCTTTTCCCTGTCACTACCTGTTAGTAATGTTAAAGACAGGTCCTCTGGTTAAAACGGTTTCTGTAGAAAGAGGATGATCAATTTTAATTTCCTTTCCCAACATGGGCTTTGATTTTCTGTTTTCAAAAACAGGATACACAGTGAGAAATGCTGGGCGCTCCCCACTTTGTGACCTCATCTACGATGAGTTATGACGGGTTAATTATAACTGCAGGGAATTATGCTTATATCATAGGAGATTGATATTTTCTGTGAGGAAATTAGAAAGCTGTTAGGAAGGCCCAGAACATGCAGAAAGAAAAAAAAAACCTCCTTTGAGGCAGAGTTAAAAAAAAAAAAAAAGTCTGGATCAAGTGATGTCGTGCGTGCTCAGTCTGCAGGTGCTTGCTGACAATCTAGTCTGTGTGGTTCTCAGAGGACATTTCTTGAGAGTTGTAATGGAGTCAAGGTGAATCTGCCATCGGGGATTGGCAGTTGGTGAGCTTGGAACATTGGGCACATTTCTTCTGTCCACACCTCAGTTGCTCATTTATAAGACGGGGCTGCAGGAGTCTCCCACCCGCAGAGTCCTTATGGGAGTGGATGACAGCATGCGAGAAGCCCTCGGCTAGGCACAGGGGGCTGGAGGTGGTGGCAGCTGCGCCGCTGTTCCCTGAGTCCAGCAAAGGAGGCCGCAAGGCTGTGGGGATTTGTTCAGTTTCCTGCTGGCAGTATGCCCCCTACTGACCAGTGCGCAGTGTTTGCCTCAATAGCCTCAGAGGCGTTTTGGTGGCAGTGAGGGTGGCTGTGTTGGTTTATTTGCCCAGGGCTGCTTAAAAGGTCTTGGGGCTGGAGAATGATGGATTATTGCAATAGTCAGAGATCTGGAGTAATATACGTGCTATAAAACAAAAAAGGTTTTGATGAAAACGTATTTTTAAATAGTCATTTATTTGGTAGCATATTAAACGTCGGATGTGGTTGCTTTTCTGCTAAAAAGTCATTTTGAAAATAGAAACTCAAGGAATGCAGGAAACCTGGGTGTGGTTAGGGCAAGGTCTGGAAAGGGCCGTTCCGTATCCTAAGCAACGCTAACACCTTGTTAAGGCTTCCAGCATAGAGAACAAGCAGGACTGGATAAAGCATATCCGCGAAGTCATCCAGGAGCGGACGATCCACCTGAAGGGAGCCCTGAAGGAGCCCATTCACATCCCTAAGACCGCTCCCGCCACAAGACAGAAGGGAAGGAGGTGCGTGTCTGGGCGCCACTGGAGGTTTGTGGATGTGGGAGGGAGGGGCGAGGCGGTGTTAGCTCACCCTGCTTCAAAAATCCTTTCTCTCAAACATTTTGAGGAATACATTTTTTAAACTGCCATTTGTGGATAACATCATTCTTAGTAATGAAACTGCTTTGTCAGAGATAAGAGCCTCTATTGGCTTAGAGTAAACGAAGGGCTGTGTGCAAACCTCTCATTGTTTTGCCTTTCTCACCCCGAGCACCATACAGGGCACATGTCTAACTCATGCACATGACCTTGGATAAGTTATAAAGCATCGAGATGTTGCTGTTTTCTCATTTTTAAAATGGCAACGATCATATCAACTATATTTTATGGTGATGGGAATCCAACAGGATGATATGTTTTAAACACTCAGCACAGTGCCTAGCAGAAAGCCTGTGCTCGGTGAAGGGTGCCTTAACCATTGTCCGCATCCTGGCAGCAGCAGGCACTCACGAAGGCTGATATGCACCTCATTAAACAAATCAGTTGCTTCTCCAGTGACTGCCAGCTCAGCAGCATCAGGAACTAAAAGTTTCTTTGCACCGCCAGGGATGGAGAGGATCTGGACAGCCAAGGAGACGGCAGCAGCCAGCCTGATACGATTTCCATCGCCTCACGGACGTCTCAGAACACGCTGGACAGCGATAAGGTGAGTCACTGCCGGCACTTTGTGTGCGGAGGGGAATGTGGCCAGTCTCTGGTCAAAGCAGCCCCCTCCTTTCTGTTACTCACAGTTTGTCATCAACATTTTCAAGCAGTTGATACGTGCCAGGAGTGGTGCCAGGATCCCGTGGTGGGGCAGAGACTTGGGGGATTGGGGTGAGAAGACCTGAACCCTGAGGATTCAGGAGAAATCATTCAACTCTTTCCATCCTGCCCTTTGCCAGTGCCAAGGGTGTTACTGGACATTCGAGGGCAGCATACTTAGACTTTTTAATCTTATTCCTAAGCAGAAGAACCTATCATTTAAAATAAAATCCTACACAGAACACCAGCGTATGTTTTAATTTAGGATCTTTAAGATGGACAGCACCCTTCCAGCGACTAGGAGGGACACAAGATGGAAATAAAGAGTGTTGCTTACAGGTTCTGGGGATCACACGGCATCCCTGGAGGACAGGGAGCATGTGGGGAGAGAGGAGTCCTTGGGCCAGGCCCTTTATTGTGTCCAGGACATTATCCAAACAGGTTTGGCACAGGGCGTCTCAATGAGTGGGCTTAGAGCAAGCAGACACGAGTTTCAGAAGGTCATGCTGTGACTAGGAAGTTGTCACTCTGGCATATCTGCACAGTCCACATGAGGTGCGAGTGTCAGCAGGGCCAGTTAAGCAGGTCTTATATGGCTATCCCTTAGAGAAATGGTCACCAGAAGGAAGTTCTGTGAAGCAGAGATCAGGACCTACCACACTGAAGGCCTGGGAGAAGATGCTCCTGTTATGAGAAAGTCCAGCTTCTCTGGGTTCATAGTGATGCCAAGGCAATGTAAAATAGTAAGAACTCATGGCAGTGTAGAAGCGGAGCTGCTCTGATGGAAATGGGGGCTGTGGCCCTGAGATGCCCTCTCATAACCATAGTGTGCAGCAGAACATAGAAAACCTGCCCTGGAATTGGCAACAGTGATGACCACTGTGAGCTAGATCTGATTTTTATCAAAAAAGTTTGTATAGGTGTATCTTCTTCAGAAGCAGCCTAGAGTATCTCATGATTTTGTCTGATACAATCCAAAAATCCCACAAAGTAAATTGCTAGTAGAATTTGGAATCCTGGGTTTACGTGATGGACAAAAGACAAAATGTTCTCTGTCAGCCAGTGGGGAACATTGATCTTAATGAAGTCTTCTGTTCCTGCCAAGACTAGTGTGTTCTGTTACATTACTAGAATGCTAGACTGAATTCTTTTTAAAAAAATTGACAGTAAATAGGGGGTTTATTTATGAGCCCAGAATTGCTGAGCTTCTCATTCTCCAATGCAAGTCAGACCTCATTTCATGAGACCTTTGTCCCCATCATGAGACCCGGGAGTCTGTTCTCTGCACATCATTTCCGCAGCCCACTCATTGGTAGGAAGGAACAATGCCCTGACCTCACCGTCCTTGGGAATTGATTCAGACAGATGACAGAGTCCAGTATTTGGAAGGTTATTTCCGTGGCACATCTTTTAGTCCCAGACTGGCCTTTTCTCACTTGGTTTTGTAGGAGGATTCATGATACTTAATGTTCTAGTTTCAAGGACGGGAGTCAGTAGATTTAAAATACTGCTCTGCTGCAGTGATTCCATTTTCAATATCCTAGTTTAAGTGATTAGATTTTTTTTCTCATTATACTTTTTGGGTTCACTAAATAATAGATCCTAGGACTTGGAGTGGTTAGAATGACAAGACCAGAGAATAAAAAGAATTTCTCATTTTATTTTGTTCAAGGCCCTATGTATTGGCATTCAGCAAATATTTCTTGGCATGTAGTAAAAAGAAATAAGATAAATGACATGTTCAGGCATCTGATGCCTGATAGCATTTCTCTCCGAGACCCCACCTATGGCCATTGAGGTTAAAGAAATAAAGTTTGAGCTTGGAAACACTTTGTTAGAGTAATATTGATAAATTTTTTATTTTATTTTACTTTTTAATAAAGTAATCAAGGGGATTATCTGGTGAATTTCCATGAGGCTGCCACCTGAAAGGAAAGTTGAATCATGGGTGCTCAAGTGTGTGGGAAAGTGGCCCGCATTCAGGGCATTTCCAGACCATTTGAGATCACCGTCAAGCCCCAAATTCCCATTCTTAAGATAAACTCCTAGGGGTCTGCTCTGGATTTCCCCTAGACATGAGTTCAAAAGTTTATTCTTTTTTTAAAAAAAAAAAAGTAAATTTTTTGAATGAAATTGCTAAAGAGCTAAGTGGAAAAGTTAGCTTTGGAGGGTTCCTTTTTTGGAAGTTGGTCTAAGAGGCAAGGATAACTTGTTTCCTCGGGTAGTTTATGGATAAATGGGTGCCTGGGAGTCTGGAAATGACCCCTCTATCCAGGAAGGGGCTCTGGAGTCTCCAGTTCATTATTCCGGACAGAGTTGCTGGTGCCACGACTTATCTCCTGCGTGTGGAGAATTCCTTGGCTGGTACCCACCTCCTCTCAGCCCCAGCACAGCCCTGGCCCCTAAGGCGCGTGGCTGATTGGGATTCCCCAGCGGCTTGAACAGAAATAAGTCTCTATCCTGGAGTTAGGAGTAGTGAAATTAGCACGACTTCACATCTGTTATAGCATATTAGGGAGGGCTTACGTGAACTGGGAATACAGCAAATTATATTTGTATCCAACGAAAGAGGAAGAATAAATCACTACCAGAACAGTATAGGTTTGCCAAAAAAAAAAAAAAAGCAAATTTTACCCTAGCAGTCCACTAGGGTATGAAAATGTTAAGAAAACTCCCTATGAGATACTCTATCTGTGAAGATGATTCACCAGTTTCTCTTGACCTCATCTGATGTGTTGTCCCTAAACTTCACTCCTGAGCTCAGAAATCCCTGAAGGGTCGGCTGAGCACGCGGTGGCTCACGCCTGTAATCCCAGCACTTAGGGAGGCCAAGGCGGGCAGATCACGAGGTCAGGAGATCGAGACCATCCTGGCTAACATGGTGAAACCCCGTCTCTACTAAAAATGTAAAAAATTAGTCGAGCGTGGTGGTGGGTGCCTGTAAGTCCCAGCTACTCGGGAGGCTGAGGCAGGAGAATGGCATGAACCCGGGAGGCAGAGCTTGCAGTGAGCCAAGATCAGGCCACTGCACTCCCACCTGGGCGACAGAGCGAGACTCCATCTCAAAAAAAAAAAAAAAAAAAGAAATCCCTGAAGGGTCTCTCCTGCCAGTTCCACCATTGCCTCTCCAGCCCCGCTCCTGGGAGGCTCTTTCTTACTGAGGACCGCAGCCTGCCACGCAGCAACACTCACCCTGGTATTCTCATGGTTAACCATCTTGAAGGAATGACACTCCAGACTCAGTTTCTTAAACAGACCTGGCGAATTTTCTTAATGCCACTTGCTGAGAGCATCGGTCCTTAGTAGGCTCTAAAGCACAGAAAGGATGAAATGTCGTGTCGTGAGAACAGAACCACAGCGGGTGTCTTACTCCGTTCTGGAGACCTGCATTTGGGATTAAACGGCGTATGAGACTTGCCAATAAGTCAGAATTTGGAATTTGGAGAGGACGTACCCATGCGGCCTTACAAACAAGAAGGTGCACGTTTGCTGCCCACGTGTGCCTGCGTTTGTGTGTGCTCTGCTTATGTGACGTTTTCTCTTAGCCATCTCCCTCCTTATGCCTCTCCAGTAGAACAGTTGAGGGTCATTAGATGACTCAAGAACACATTTTGAAAATCAAGGACTCCATCCTTTCCCTAGTCAGTCTGCAAAATGCACTGTCCCTCTGAACTAGGCTTAACCAGCAACCCCATCTCCGGTGACGGTAATTTTCCTGAGTCTCGAAGTTCTTTCTGCCCTACGTAGTTTAAGTTTAAGCAGCCTCTGATAACGCAGGCAGATGGATCTGGCAAGGGAAATCACTTAACGACATTCTGCCTGTTCGACTTAATTTATGATGTCTGTTATTAGTTAGTTGTTATCATGGAATTTGGTTTCATTTCAGAAACTGGGTCGGGGGATGTTTTTGACTCGGCCTCTTGGAGAATTCTGAAGGCAAAAGTTATCTGCTAGGGCTGTTAGTAATTCTCAGATGAGGCACACAAGGTTTAGGGAGAGTCTGAAGGAGGGACCCTGGAGACGCCCTCTTTCCAGGGAGCACTGTCAGCAGAGCGGGGTTAGCCAGGCCACGGCCATGAGCCACAGGCCCCAGCAGCACGTTTCCTACTTTGAAAACATCAGTTTTAAAATATGCCTTCTTTTTGTTCCAGAAGTGAATTTAGTACTGATCCTTGCTGATCTCCATGGTACTTAACCTGACACAATGATCTTATGAAAATATAATTTGGATTCCAAAGAAATCAAGCGCTTTCCAGATTCTTATCTCATCTGTCCTGAGTGCATCTCCCTGCGGTAGGGAGGAGAGCGCTGAGCCGGGCCTGGGGCACTGCAGGAGATCCAGGCCCTCTGCAAGGCCTCCCAGCAGCAGAGGGCCACAGCCAGACACGGAACATGCATTTAATCATCTGTCATTTTCCAGGCCTTATTATTTCATGCAAGAGCTGAATTTGGAGCTCAGTATTTTTACTAAAGACACATCTTTAAAAATTTTTTCCCTGTCTCTTCCTTATTAGTCTGTGATTTATAATCATTAAACTAAAATCCATATTACAAAGAAAATAGAAAACATGGAACTCAAACTGTATTGTAGAACAAAGCATCTTGAGGCCAACATGGAAAAATGGCCGAGGCGAGATGAGGTATCCTGTGGAAAAGCCGGCCCGAGCCAGCAGGGCCCAGGTGTGAGCTGTCTTTCGAATCTTAAGCCGTATGTTTCTTATTTCTAATGAGTGAGAAATTCAGTTGAGACTGATAACTTCATGTGGAACCCCCTTCCCAAGCTTATAACATGAATATATGGATTCACATATTTAAAAACATAACTGGTTTCAGTCACTCTTTTTTTAAAATTCCTGAGGCAGGATCTCACTTTGTCGCCCAGGCTGGAGTGCAGTGGTGTGATCAGAGCTCACTGTAGTCTTGAACTCCTAGGCTCAAGTGATCCTTGCCTGGCCCCCCAGGTAGCTAGGACCATAAGTGTACACTACTATGCCTGGCTAGTTTTTTTTTTATTTTTGTAGAGACAGTATCGAACTGTGTTTCCCAGGCTGGCCTCAAACTCCTGACCTCAAGCAATCCTCCCACCTCAGCCTCTCAAAACGCTGGGATTATTGTCCTGAGCCCCACTGCATCCAGCCAGTTTCAGTTATTCTTAATGAAGCCTTAGCACCGTGTTGGAGACATGAGGTTCTATGTGTTGTTTTTTTTCTTTCTTTCTTTCTTTTTTTTTTTTTTGAGATGGAGTCTTGCTCTGTCTCCCAGGCTGGAGTACAGTGGCATGACCTTTGCTCACTGCAACCTCCGCCTCCCAGGTTCAAGTGATTCTCCTGCCTCAGCCCCTCTTGTAGCTGAGATTATAGGCAAGTACCACCACACCCAGCTAATTTCTGTATTTTTAGTAGAGATGGGGTTTTGCCATGTTGGCCAGGCTGGTCTCGAACTCCTGACCCCAGGTGATCCACCTGCCTCGGCCTCCCAAAGTGCTAGGATTACAGGCGTGAGCCACCATGCCCGGCCACGGTTCCGTGTATTTTAAAATTTAGAAAAGCAATCAGCTCTTTCTGTCAAGTGACGTTCTACACTCCAGGAACTTGGTTTGACTTACATAAATTGCAGCGTCGAGGTAGTATGTAAAGTAGTTAATGCCAATACATTTTGAAATATGGCCTAATTCACCATCTTGGGTAAGGGTGTATATCTATCTAATGATGCTTGCATTCAGCCTCCCGAGGTTGTCCTGCAGTCCTGCGTTCTGCCTCTATTCACCACATGGAAGGCGTAGGGCTGCTCGGCCAGGCACAGAGGTGTCCTACACCCTTCCCTCTGGCTGGAGCTGCTCAGAGAGGATGCTCTCTGCCTCCTGGCCAGCTCAGGGCTCTGAGTTTCCCAGGACCTCAGATAAGTTTGCCCCATGTAAGCATGAAATTGAGTCATTTAATTCAGAAGCCTTTTCCACAGGATGGTGCTTATTTTAACGTCCTTTATAAAGAGCACTCCCAACCGCAGTTGACCTTCCTCTGCTCAGAGTGTACCTGGCAGTGGCATAGCATATACAACACACCTAAGAGCAGGCAATCAAAAGCGAGGATGTACCCACCAGCAAACCTCTGGCCTCTGCCTCAGCAGCTGGTGGTCTTGGGCAAGTCACCTCACCTCTCTGAACCTCAGTTTCCTCATCTGTAAATGGGAATGATAGTACTGCTCACATATATTTAGATCAGTGACTAGCATGTTCTAAGCACTGAATAAATATTCAGTTTCTGTGTCTCCGTTATACAGATGGCTTCCTCCTGCCTCACTCGGGCTATTGGCCGGCATTGCTGCTGTTGCAGGTTACTGTCAATTTCAGCCTCCCCTTCCTTCATCTGCACACTCTTGGGGCTACAGTGGATTTAGCTGTTGATTGTATTGTACTTGTTAGGATCTGGAAGCTGTCCTAAGAATGAAATGTTTTACTTCAGTGCCTGGCCTGATGAATTGTGGTGGCTCAACTGCAAAATTCTGTGTGTGGAATGGGCACAATTACTGCAGAAGGGGGAGAGTCTTGCGTAAAGCACCTTTCCAGCTGTTCCGTCTTTCATCCTAGCTGCATGCGTATCCAGTGACCTAATATTCAAAGGGTGGGTTCATTTATTCTCAGATATGTATTGGCCACCCACTGTGTGCCATCCCTATGATAGGCATTCAGCGCACAAGAATGAATGAAGGAGACAGAGCCCCGCTCCCCTGGCGAGCTCTGAGTGATGGGTTCCGTGTGACGTCTGCTTCCTTCTTTTACTCATCTTTGTTTTCTGTTTTTCTAAGTGATGTGGCTTTTTGTATATTTTTTTAGATGAGTTTTTTAAGTTCTCTCATAAAACCACAAACTGAATGTCATCTTTGATCATTTCAGTTACCAAATCAGAAAAACAAAATCCCCCAGGCAGAAGTAGAAAGCCTCAGTTCTAAGAAAAGACAGATTTTTTTTAAGTTTGGTTAGAAATGTTACAAATTAAGTGTTTGTAAAATAGTAGAGCACTGAAAAGTGCTATTTAGTGTAAATTTTACACAACATGATCGAAGTTACAGTTGGAGATGGTGATAAAGTTATGTTTCAGACTCGAAGCAGGTATTTATTCTGATTGCTCTTCCTGGTGAGGGCCCAGTCAGCTAGTTAACATAAGCTGGTTGAGGTCAGCTAGTTAACGTTAGATCTCAGATCATTGTCCCTCCATGAAAGACAAAAAGAGGTATTTCAAATTAAGCTTCCTCAATAAAAGATTGCTTTGGTCACTCAGGAAATACAGCCAACAGGTTTCTTTGGGTTAAATGGTCCTAAGAAGTTTCTTGCTTTCCAGAGCCTAGGGGAGTGCACTACGTGAGGCAGGTGTTTTTCAACTGTTTGCCTCTTCCCCGCCCTCGTTCCCTTTTCCACTTCATAGCCAGAAAGCGTTTACCTGCCACGCCACAGGGCCGCCTGTGGGGCCTGCACGGCACCTCCGGCATTTCTCACTGGGATATGCTAAAAGCAAGAGTACAATGTTGGTCCAGGTGAGCCTCTGTGAACCCTTGAAGCCTAATGCGAGGGAGCTGCCACGTCTCTGGTTTGCCTACCCTTTTTAGTTGTATCTTTTAAATGCAGCCGTTTTTCATCCAGTATTTCATTCCAATTCATGTGTATGACAACACACTCAAGTCTTCCGAGATCAATCTTCACATCAGAAAAGCAGTGTGTGAGCATGTGAGTAGACAGTAGAGGGACTGGCATCCTCAAACACTGTCCTCACTCCTTCTTTTCCAGATACAGTGTTGAGTATGGTAAGCTGCTGGTTTTGAAAACGTTTTTTCTCACCGATTTTTTTTTCTTTAATTGTGGTTAAAAAAAAAATGTAACGTAAAGTTTACCGTCTTCACCATTTTTATGTCCTCACAGGTTTCTTTCTGTACCCCTAGTGTATCGGAGCCTATCACAATAGTCCTCCTCTTTTAAACTCTAAGTGGCAGATTTTAGTGAACGCTTCTTCTTGGAATTTGACCTTATGTAAAGCAGCTTGGGTGTTGGCGTGAGCACGGAGGGCCTGTTGTTCACGTTAGAACAGCTGCTGATCAGCCCGAGTCTCCGTGAAGTTGCCCTGTGGAGAAGCTTGGGTGGGTGAGAGCCTGGGGCATAATAGCATTGATTAGGGAAATTGTTCTGGCTGCCTATAGTTACCCTTTTTTGTAACCATTGCTAGCAATAGCACTGTACTCTCTAATTCCCTTTAACCAAGTAATCATTTTTTGGCCTACTCTGTGTGAAACCTTCACGGAACCGCAAGACCCTTTTGTGAGGTTTCTGAATGACTGAACTGTAGTGGGCTGTAGGCTGTGACGGTTCACGGGAGTTAATACACTTTGTTCTTTAGGGGAAAATGGCTTTTATTAGGCCACATTCTCCTTTTGCTTTTGAATTGCTCTCAGAAAATTGGTCAGAACCCACCTGCAATTGATCTTTACCACATTAGACTCTTGTTCTTGAAGTAGAATTGTTTGCAGCGAAGACTGACTGCATCACCCACCACACCAGTCCGAGAGAGCCCCCTCTTCCTCAGGCAGAGCTTGCCCCAGAACTCATCGCAGAGCTTGGTAATTCAAACCAGGTATTGCCGCCGTCTATCGAGAGCCATATGTTCTTGAGCCATACATGCCTCATTGTTGTGTCCAGGGCGGGGGTGTTCTGAGGAACAAAGGAAGACGTGACAACTCGCAGTGTGAGAAGTCCCCAGCCACAGCTCTTGTTAGTTACAGCCATTAACTGCGTTCGTGCAAGACAGTGATATGACATGGTTTCTTTGGAGAACATGAAAAGTAGAATTCTGTTCTATGTGGTAATTGTTGAAGGTTCACATGCTTGCAACCAGAGATGAGTATTTCATTCTCTCGGGTGAAACACAGTAAGTTGTTTATTTTCAGTCATTTTGGAAAGAATTCAGGAAAGGAACCGATTTGATTTTGCCAATTGTCCATATGTCTGGGCCTAAAGAGGGACTTGGGTGTAGTCTTTGGAGGAGGCACATTGGTGGTGGGTCCCTGGCCCCTGGTCCAATTAAGGCTGTTTTGTTGTCTTGCTTGTTAGTCACCACATTCATTTTTTTAATAGTGAAAAGTTGAAAGGTTTAAAAAAATCTGTCTTCTGATATGAATCTCGCAAGTGTTAATGTGAGTCATGGAAAGTGAGATTTTCACAAATTGCAATCCTAAATTCAATGCATGAGGTGGGAGCCCATGATAGAAACCCATTAAATATATAGAAGCAACGAAGATACTGTGAGAACTTGCACAAAATATGGTTAGAAAGAAAAGGGAATTTTTAAACTAGATAAATAAAATGGTAACTCTTTCAACTGAGGGTAGAAATTCTCTGAAAGCCAAGACCTCCGTCAGACGTAACATACGAGATAGTGGCTGAATGTTTTCTAGTTCGGAATTTAATTTTTCTTAAAAAGCAGTAACGATTTGCACTGCTTCCTCAAAATAGTTATCACAAGTCTTTTGTACACAGAAAAGTTTTTTTTTTTTAATTAGCAAACCTGGTTTCAAAGATGTTTTGCAGCAAGAAGTTAAAAATATTCAAATGTGAGCATTGAGGTGCATCCCCAGGACAGCTCTTCTCTGGGCTAGAAAACACCCATTTAATCCTCCCCTATGGGGCCTCTCTTTTTGGGTAAAGCCAGTTGATTTGCTGGGAGATGGGAAGATTTTTAAAATAATTGTAGTGCCCTTTGAAATATTCTGTTGTTGGATTTTCTTAACAAGTTCTTAAAAGCCTTTAAAAAGGAATTTTAACTTTGTATATGATTCTTTGGCAGAACATCCTTGATTTTTATTTCTTATGTGCTGTCAAGTACACAGATGTTTCCAATAGTTTTTGATTACTCTTTAAGGGCCTAAAAAATCAGTGCCAGAAATAAAGTCTAGCTTAATCCTCCTTCTTCGGCAGCCCCTCTCTCCCCTTCCCACCCTTCCCCCACCCGCAGCCCATGGCTTTGAGCCGTCTGGAAAATTAATAAGACTCTGGAGAATGAGGCAGCCAGAGGGCAGGTGATGAGACAGTGCACTTCCCAGCGTCTGGGAGTGGGGGCTGCTAGAAGAATGTCAGGGAAGCCCAGTGGGTTTCTGCTGGGAGCTTCTCACGTGCGCTCAGTGAAGCAGCGGGTGGCATCACTGGGGAGCTCTAGCCAGACCCAGAGGCCTGGGAAGGGCAGGTCCAAGGGGCCATGGCAATCTGTACCCTCCTTCGGGGCCTGCAGACCGGTCCTGTGTTCCCGGAACAGGAAGCACCCCAGCTCTAAGTCACGGGACTAACCACTCCATGAGTGTGGTTCTACAAGGAGAGTTCTTTTCCAGGCTGGGCCTCTGCCTTTGAGCTTTTAACATTAGCATCTTTGACTGTTCAGAGACCTGAAAAATTTAACATGGGTTTTCCACGGAGAAGTTTGTAAGATTGAGAAGGGGATTTATGAAAATTTTCCTTGTGGCCTAGCAAAGCTGATTCACTTTGTTGATACTGTGCTTCATGGTAGAAGAGTTTGGTTTTGTTTTGGTCTTTGTGGTTGTCTAGTGGACATGTGTTTCTTATTCTGAATATCTGAACTTTCTCTTAAAAGATAGGCTCCTACAACAGGAGGATAATCAACAGCACACAGCATGGCAGAGGCTCCCAGAGGTCCTCAGCACAAGGGGGCAGCCCCAGAACACAGCGGGAGTGTGAGCCATCGGAGGATGTGCGGGCTCCTGGGTCTCTGGGTGTGGGCTTGTGCTCAGTGGACTCCCAACAGGAATGTTTCCCAGCAGGAGGCTGGGCCATTTCCTCCTCCCTTCTCTCACTCCCACAGCCAGCCCCATAGCCCGCAGCACACTCTTGTGTCCCTGTAGTTTGTCTGGGCTACTGCCCTTTAGCAAGAGGTGACAGGGGAGAGCTGAGCGTCTGCAGGCTAAGCACAGGCAGAGTGAGCTCCTGAAGCCAGTGAGGAAAATCCAGGCTTCGTTTTGGGTTTTCAAATGCATTGCCTTCATTTTTAGAGCATATGTATCTTTTCTTTTTCATTTCACAAATATTTGAATGCTAGCTGGATGCGGAGCACAGTGCGAGGCAGGCTGAGGAGGAGACCCACTCCTAACAGCTTCTGTAAGTCACATGCCTACCACCACTGGCACTGGGGGACTCAGGGTGACTGTGCCCAGCCCCATCTCCGCCCTCCCAGTCCAGGGATGGAAAGTTCACAGAAGAGTAGGGTGAGCCTGCTTCTGGTGATGAAGGCAGACACACACACGTGTAACTCCAGCTGTGGCTCACTTCAGAATTGAAGTGCCATGGAGGACAGGCACGAGAGGGACTTCTCGGAGCCAGTGGGGAGCTTAGAATAGAGGGGACGTGGGGGCTTTCAGCAAGAGGGATGGTATGGGCTACTTACAGGCAGGACCCCTCAGGAGGAGGAGGGAGGTGCTTCTGGCCACTGGGGGGGACCTTTGCCTCCTATGCTAAGGCCTTTGTGTGTGAGGGTTTTGCATAAGAGGATGACGTGTTTTTAGAAGGTCTCCTGCCAGCAGTGTTTAGATGGCTTGGAAGGAGAACCTGGAGTCTGTGAGGGAGGAAGCTCAGGAGCCCCTGCGGGACCCAGTGAAGTGATTGGTATGGGAGTGCAGAGAAAGGAAGTGATCGGAGAGCCGCGCAACATCTGCTCGACAGCATTTGGAGGGAAAAGAGTGGGGTTTTTTAGCTTGAGTGACTTGATGGTGATACTGTTACCCAAAAGACAACACCGGAAGAAAAAGAGATTTAGGGGGTGGGAGGGCATGATGAGTCATGTCCCAGACTCTGCATTGCGGGGACAGGGAAGCATCCAGTTGCCCAGCAGGGATCGAAAGTAGTCTGCAGTTGGGATGCTTGCTTTGCTCGGGAGGAGTCAGCTTGAGGGTGTGGTTGAAGAGTCCCTGCAGGGGGACAGTGGAGAAGCAGCAGAGACAGAACCTGGGACAGTCCAGAGACCAGGAGCTGCTCTCGGGATTCTTATGTAGAAAAAACAATGAAAAGATTCTTAGGTAGGAGGGATGTTAATGAGCGCATGAGCCCTGTCCCCACGGAGTTTACTGTCTAAGGGAACACACACCAGGGCTCAGGCCATCTGAAGCAGACAGTCATGAGAAGACCATGCACTTGTTTTACCGGCAGAGGCCATGGGGTGTGTGTTGTTAGAGAGTTTATGGATGAGCTTTGAAGGACCGGAAGAGTTTCAGTAGGCCTAGGTGAGAGTGAGCATGGTAAAAGGAGAGAAGGAGGGAAAGGAACGTCAGGCTGGAGGAACAGAAGGCCAGAAAATCCAGGACCTCTGGGAAACGAGCCGATGTCTGCAGAGCCTGTGGTGCCTGCTGCGTGTTGAGGCCTGAAGTGGGGGAGCCTAGAAGGAATCTGAGGGCAGAGGGCAGAGGGCCTCAGGAGCCACACCAAGGGGAGCCCTGGACAAGCAGGAGGAGGCGCTTGAAGGATTCTGAAGAGAGGCAGGTGTGCTTTGCTTCGGTTTCAGGGTCATAGCCCATTGCCTGTTCAGTCCCGTTCTTGTGGCTGCCTCTTTCCTGACCCAAGGGATGCTTAAAGAGCCCACATATTCCAAAGCATGGAACGCCCAACACTGGGTCAGAACAGAAATTTGGAACAGAACTTTATCTCATTTTATCACCATATTTCATGATAATCCCCCAGATAGCCTTCAAGCAGAGTTTTTTTTAGTCTGCTGTAAGTTAAAAAATGAGTGTATATATAATACCACTTTGTGAGGAAGGAAATAGAATGTCTCAGGTTCAAGAAATTTGGAAGCTCTTATGAAAAATCATATTTTCATACGGAGAGTGCAGTGATCACACAACCTCGGAGCACTCAGCTCACTCCGGGGCAGGGTGGCAGGAACCCACCTGGAGGACTTCCCAGCTGTACCTGAAGGCACCATGGCTCACACTGGCTGACCTGTCCTCTCTTCCTCTGTTCCCCCCAGCTCTCTGGTGGCTGTGAGCTGACAGTGGTGATCCATGACTTCACCGCTTGCAACAGCAACGAGCTGACCATCCGACGGGGCCAGACCGTGGAAGTTCTGGAGCGGCCGCATGACAAGCCTGACTGGTGTCTGGTGCGGACAACTGACCGCTCCCCAGCGGCAGAAGGCCTGGTCCCCTGTGGTTCACTGTGCATCGCCCACTCCAGAAGTAGCATGGAAATGGAGGGCATCTTCAACCACAAAGGTAGGAATCAGTGGGGCATGGGTGGCAGACCCCTACTGGAAGTGGCCCTGGAGCGCTCTGTCTCCGCGCCTCTCCTGCCTGTTAATGTGCATGAGCTTCCTTGTCAGCTGTGCCTTCAGCACATGGTCACTGACTGTCCGGGCATTTCCAGTCCATCAGCACCTGAAGAGGAAATGAGGATTTCACCCACGACTCAGAAATAATGAGTGATCTCCTCACTTCCAGGGCGGTGTAGTGAGATATGACATCAGTTTAGAGAAGAACACTGATTTTGGAACATTCCAGTTGCTTCCTTCCTTTATCATCTGTGCCTTCTTCTGTGTGTCATGATACCTCCTGGAGGCCATCCCCTGGCTCCAGAGGGTTAGTCATTCCAGGGAGCTAATGAAGCTGCAAGAGAAAACAGCTACTGAGTAGTTCTCCTGATTAATTATAGGCCAAGCCATGTTCCGGATTTCTCAGGACCTAAATGTGAGTTTACTGTCACTTCGGTAAGAAACAGGAAGAATTAGGCTGTTGTTTCTCCAGAAATCTGAAGAGAAAGGCAGAGGATTTTCAGACTTTGGCCAAAAGCCAAAGGTGTCCACTTCCATTTCTGGTGAAGCTGCCCATGCATTTGGAACAGCGGTGGGCTTCCCCTCGTGGTGTCTTTGCATTTAGAGATCTGAGCCATGCTGGCTTTTAGCCTGTTGCCAGAATGCTTTGCATTCAGTATATTCAGTTGCATCAATATAAGTCCTTGAATTTGAGTTGAAAATAAAGTACAACTTTTCCTGAAATTAGTCTGTTCTGCAGAGGGGCCCTGGTGAACTTAAGCATGCCTCAAATAACACTTGTTCTGAAGGATTTCTTCCGCATGTGCCTTTCCTGTGGTGTGTTCTTACTTCCTGGTGTTTGCAATTGCAGGCTAGCCAAGGCGAAAGAACTAGGCATTCATCACACTTGGCTTCGTCCGGAAAACTTCTGGTGGAGGTTGGGTTTTTGAATGTTGCTACGTTGTACCATTTTGTTTTTCCCTATGATACTCTCCGATATTCTTGTACCTGGAAAGTCACTCTGCCCCTCACAAACCCTCTAATGCCCTATTTTTACCAAGAAGGTGTTTCTTAATGAGCAAGACCTGCTGTGAACTTATGCCAGCCAGTGGTTAGGGGCTCAGAACTGTATCCATTTTTTTCTTTTTTCCCTTATTTAATTATTTATTTATTTATTTTATTTTATTTTATTTTATTTTATTTTATTTTATTTTATTTTATTTTATTTTTTCCTGTAATGCAAGGAAACTCATAAGATTGTTCCTGGCCAGGCACGGTGACTCACGCCTCTAATCCCAGCACTTTGGGAAGCTGAGGTGGGTGGCTTACCTGAGGTCAAAAGTTCGGACCAGCCTGACCAACATGGTGAAACCCCGTCTCTACTAAAAATAGGAAAAATTAGCTGGGTGTGGCGGCAGACGCCTGTAATCCCAGCTACTCGAGAGGCTGAGGCAGGAAAATCGCTTGGACCCAGGAGGCAGAGGTTGTAGGGAGCAGAGATCGCACCATTGCACTCCAGCCTGGGCAACAGAGCAAGACTCCATCTGAAAAAAAAAAAAAAAAAGATTGTTTGTTCCCTTGCAGTGTTAGGAGCTGCGCAGCAACAGACAGCAGGTGTGGGTCAGAAGTAACATGGAAACGGAGGGCGTCTTCAACCACAAGGATAGGAAGCGGTAGGGCGTGGGTGAGGTCCTGACCATGTCCACGTCCAGGAAACCAGGCAGCTTGACCAGAATCTCTGTCTAGGAGACAGAGGCCATCATCAAAAAGTCGGGCAACAAGGGATGAGGATTTAGACGTGGAGTCCAACAAAAGACATAGGAACTGCAGGAGCAGGAGGCCTCTGTCCCCTGGGAAGCAGAGACCCAGGCTTGCCTCTGCTCAGCCCCACAGTCCTCCCCCTTCTCCTGCCCTGTGTGTGAAGAGGGGTGCTGCCCCCACGACTGGAAAGACATTGGCATGTGCCGGCCTGCCCATGCCAGCCATCCACATGCCTCTGCCCGTCCACTCTCTCCTTTTGAGCCTCTTTTCAGTATAAGAGCTGTTCAGGCTTGAAGGATATGCAGCGAGCGAGTTAAACATGGCCCCTCTTTGCACACCATGGCATGCATCATTCTGGCAGCTGGGTAAGACCCCCTCCAGTATCAGATGTTCAGGCTGCCTTGCCTCACCCTCGCTTCAGAACTCAGGGACGGTATGGAACTGGCTTTACAGATTTGCCTCTTGTTGCTTGCTATTAAAGTTAGTTTCTTATATGTCTCTGACTCTTACTGCTCTGACCTTCTAGGCAGGAGGAAGGAGCACCTTCATTCAGTTCTAGTGTCTCTACATTTTCACAACCTCAGTGCCTCAGTAATTTTTTCATAACACCCTGATCCAACTTTCACATTTTTATGTCAAATGTAAAAAACATGCCTATTAAGGTCAAATGACTATTTATTTGCTTGCGAATAATAAGCTGTTTTAAGGATTGCAATGAGTCTAATTACTCAGATCAGCCAAGAAGGGTCCAGGATCATGATGAGCCGTGCTCAGGTTCACGTGGTGGTTTTGAAGCTGGGCTAGACTTGGAAGTCTGTCGGACACTGAGAATCCATGGAATTTATGAAGACCAGATTTCTTTTATCGGCTATATATCCTTAAAATGATTTGGGAGAGGATAAAAATACAGCTTATTTTAAATGAACAAGAAATTCAATTACACAATTTGTTTTTCAAGGAGATAATTTTGTGTCTGAAACAAGACTCTGCTGTGAACATCATTCCATTGAGAAATGCTATCTTGTGGCCAGGTGCGGTGGCACACACCTGTCATCACAGCTGCTCAAGAGGCTGAGGTGGGAGGATCGCTTGAGGCCAGCATTTTAAAACCAGCCTGGGTATCATAGCAAGACCCAGTCTCTTTAAAAAATGCCATCTGTTTTGTGGACGAAGTTTGCTTTGGAAGCTTGCATGTCCCGGTGTCCTTTGGGCCGGCCAGCCTTCGTGTCTGATGGCGCCTTCTGCTCTTGCTCTGGCTGTCCTTCCTCCGTCTCAGCATCTTGGTCATGAATTAAACAGACGCCGGGCATAGCAGGATTGAATAAGGGTTCAGCAAACCCTTGTGCTCCAGCAGTCTTATTTGTGTTTGTCGTTTATGCTGTCTGCCGTTACCTCAGAGGCTCTGGGGCTGGGGCCTAGGCCTGGAGGCTGTGTCTGTGCCCCCAGCGAGTCTCTTCTGCATTCTGGGCTGAGGCCCACTCACCTCCCTTCACTCTCTTCCACTCGAGTGTGTAGTACGTGGGCTCACTGTTGAAATCGGTGTCACGTCACCATTGTTGATGGCTCAGTAAATCCAAGTTCTCTTTCCTTCCCATTGTCTCAACTTGTAAAACTTGTCACTTTTATGTATTTATTGACAGTCTTGGTCACAGGAAGTAAACAGAAATGTCAAGAATGTGTATATTTCCAGTGAGGCCAGTTCAAAACATCCTCTTTGCCCTACGCTGCCCTGCTTTTTTCACCTTTTCCCTTTCTTCCCAACCAAGAGTCGCCCTACACAATGGTCCCTGGGGATTTAGCTCCAGTGTGATCGGAAGGAAAAGTAGCCAGGAAAAAGCAAAATAGTGTTGTCACAAACCTGGGCAAATGAGCGTCTCTCACTCTCTGCCGGATGCATTTCTGGAGTGCCTGGCATGAATCTTTTTGACTGATAGTGTTTTGAGGGTGGGACAGGAGTTCATACCCTGTCCTGGGGAGGGCCTTCCGTCACCCTCCCCACTCAGGACATCTGGAAAACCACCCCAGGGCCTGTGTCCCGCACTACTGCTGCCCAGAGCCTTTGCCATTCGAAGTTGAATCTGGAAGGCCCCTCTCAGACCCCATGGAATTTTTTTTTTTTTTTTTTTTTTTGCTGAAATAAGGCTTTAACCAGGAGTTTGAGACTACAGTGAGCTATGATCAAACCACTGCACTCCAGCCTGGACAACAGAGTGAGACCTCATCTCTAAAAAATAAATAAATAAATAAAATGAAATGGGCTTTAAGAAGAGACCTTTTGGTGGCAAGGGAGGAGTGAGTGGTGAGCTTGGAGGATGCGTTCTTCCTGTCAGGAGGCCTGAGATGGGGCGGGCGCAGGAGGCCTCCCAGGGTCTTGCCAGCTCTGACATTCTGAGTTCAGAGTTCTTAGAAGGCTTTATGAGCAAAGGCCGATTCAAAACTGCCGTTTCCTTACACCAACCCATCATGTGATGACAGGTGGCCTTTTTGCTTGTGCTTTCAAATATGTCTAGAAGAAAACACCCACTTATAAAAATTAACCTTTACCACTCTAAAAGGCATTCACAATTTTAAAGTTTTTTCTCCTTTGGATAGAGAAAAAGTATGGTTCAGTACCTGCATTTTATTTCGAAGAAGTTCAGAGTATGAGTCATCTGCAGTGAATGAGAAAATTAAAGGGAAAAAAAACATGAGAAATAAAACCTTTTGCTTGTGGGTGACTTGAGCCTCTAAACCCAGGGGCTTTAACTCAGGATGCTACGTTTTACTATGGTAAAATCTGTGCCAAAAACAGTCCCCCATAGTTTACCACAACTCCAGTGGGCACTACCAAGATCAGCTCTCAGGCTTGACCAGACTGGCTGCAGTAGTTAAGAGAAGACGCAGGGACTGTCTTTCGTAAGTGTAGTGATACATGATTGCTATTAATCAAATGGGGCATTTTTTTCTAACTCAAGTTAAAAATGAGAAAGAGACATATTTTCATTCGGAACTGTCCGAAATGTTGACTTTTCTGTGGGTCCACCCTGCTTTTCTCCAAGCTCTCCTTGCTTCTCTCCAAGCTCTCTCCCAAGGGTTTTCTTGTCCACCCGAATAGTTTACTTTTCCACTTGACTGTCTTAGCAACTTTTTCAAATCTGAAGTATTCAGATTCCCTCTCCCACCATCTCCCCACTTGTTCACCCAAGAACATGGCTAACGCACGTGAGGGTCTCTCCACTGCCCACCACAGTTTTTAAAAACTGGTAAACTCCACATAACAAAATGTATCATCTTAACCATTCTTAAGTCTACAGATCAGTGGCATTAAGTACCTTCACATTGTTATGCAGCCGTCATTACCATTCACATCTAGAATTCTTTTTTCCGTCTTACAGAACTGAACCTCTGTGCCCATGGAACAAAACCCTCCGCTCTCTCCTCCCAGCCCCTGGCACTGCCCCTTTCCTTTCTGTCTCCATGAGTTTGACTGTTGTAGGTGCCTCATGTGAGTAGAAAGTCATGTAGTCTTGTCCTTTTGGGACTGTTTATTTCTTGTAGAAGATTCCGTGTTCTGACTTTTGTCAGAATTTCCTTTCTTTTTAAGGCTGAATAGCATCCCCTTGTATGCAGATGCCACATTGAGTTCAACATTCATCTGCTGATGGGCACTTGGGTTGCTTCTGCCTTTTGACTCTTGTGAATAATGCTGCTATGAACATGGATGTACAAGTAATCTCTTCAAGTCCCTCCTTTCAGTCCTTCTGGGTGTATACCCAGAAATGCAATTGATGGATCATATGGTACTGTTGTCTGAATGTTTGCGTCCTTCCAAAATCCGTATGTTGAAATCTAACCGCCAATGTGATGGTATTAAGAGGTGGACTGTTGGGTGGTAATTAGATCATGAGGGCAGAGCCCTTGAGAATGGGATTACTACCCTTACAAAAGAGGCCCAGGGAGCCCTTTTGTCCTTCCGCCATGTGAGGGCACAGAAGGCACCGTCTTTGAGGAGCAGGCCCTCTTTAAATACTAACTCTGCCAGCGCCTGGATCTCAGACTTCCCAGCCTCGAAAACTGTCAGCAATAAATTTCTGTGCTTTATAAGTTATCCAGTTTAAGGTATTTTATTATAGCAGCAGGAATGGACTAAGACATATGGTAGTTCTACTTTTAATTTTTTGAGGCTGCCCACTCAGTTTTGTTAACTTTATCTCAATAATATATTTCAAGTATGTTCTCTTTTCATTTCTACCGTTACTCTTATCACCTGATCACCTGACCTCACTTCTTGCCCTTTTTCGTTTCACCTAAAACATAAATGTTACCATACTCTCTTGCTTAAATTTCTTTGGCGACTTTCTCTTGGTCAGAGAATAAAATTCAGCTTCCTCACATGTCCAACAAGACCTTTCGTCTCATAGACGCACATGTACACACACATGTGCACACACACGCACACCTATACACCTTCTCTTGGAGCTGTACATCAGGTAACATAGGGGCTTTTTTCCCTCTCACTCACCCCTACCTAATAGTCCCCGTCTCATTTCATCAAATACAAATACAAATCCTCATGGGAAAAATAAATGTATTCAGTGAGCTCATGGAAGGGAGGAGAGAGCAGAATAAATCTTGGTCTAGTTAGCAAGTATTTCCACACAGAGGCTCCCATCAGGTCAGCTGAAAAGTCCAGTTAGATGAACTCCAAGGAACGCTGAAGACCCACAAGGAACTGTCCAGGAACTCACTGAAAGCACCTTAAACAGATTGTAACAGGAATGATGATTGCAGATACACTGTTGAACTTAAAAATGGGATAGAGGAACTGCAGACAACACAGGTGTTTTAAACCGTAGGCTCGGTAGAGAAAGCAGCGAGTCTCCGCAGATGGCCGGCACTGAGAGCCAGCAAGAAGCGGAGGAGATGGGCCTTCAGCAGGGGGTTGCGGGGGGAGCTTTAAACTGAGCCCTGTAAACATGGCAGAACTGCTCAGTGGGAGACTCTCAGCACAGACGGTCATGGGGAAGTGAGTGCAGTTCATTTGTAATCTTGTTGTCGAGTTCTGGGTTTTTTTTGTTTGTTTCGTAACTTTAAAGGTATGCACTTTATATAGATTTATTTATTTGCTGGGACCGTTACTCAGAGTTCCTAGAAATGTACACAGCTTTTTTACCAGGGTTACTCCTCAGAATCACTTGTCACTTCTTTAAATGAATGAATGAATGTGCCAGGCCCTATGCCTGGAGGTTGGGAGCTTCATCTACATCACATTCTAACAGGTGACCACTGGGGTAAGCACTGTGTGACTGCAAAGCCAGGGTGTGTTTCCATCAACACCCAGATGACCGTGCCTATGTGCCCCTGTTGTCCTCCCTCCAGGACTGCCTCCTCACCCCACCCCTTTCTGCAGCTCCTCATCTAAACATCTCGCCTGGTGAGGTCACGGCTTAGCCTGTTGGCCAGTGGCCCCACCACCATCCTTCCCCCTGTGCAGATTGGAGGAGGCCAGGTCTCTCCCCTTAGCTCCTATGTCCCCTTCACCCCCCATGGCACAGATGAGACATTCACAGAGTTTGCAGATGATGGAAGAGAAGACTCCAGGTTGCCAGGTGTGTCCACTCTCAGGAACCCCCAGCCCAAGCCTCACTGCTCGTGTTCCCAGCCAACCCCAGCACGGGGGATACGCCGGTGCTGTTTCCCTGCTCAGAATACAACCAGTTACCAGAAACGACCTCACCCCTCCAACCACTTTCCAAGGTGCCAGGACAGAGAAGCCCTTCACTGGCCCACCCAGGGCAGTTGACAGAGGGATGCCCTCCTTGGAGGGGAGCCTCACCTCTACCCACAGGGCCGCGGCCTTGTCCTGGATTCTCACCGGGGCAGTCACGTCAGGATGGAGAGGTCCCATGTCAGCCAGTTCTTTGGTGGGGGTCATGTAGTCTGAAATGACCTGCCGATGGTCCAGGCTGAGCCAGGGAAGCCGAGCCTGGGTGCCTTTTTGGTGCCTACTCTGACTTGAGTTGGATTCATGCCACAGACCCACCTTCTTGAGCAACAACACATATAGCCACCAACACAAGAGCCAGCCACACACTGAGCAGAGAAAGTCCCTGTCGCCTCACCACCCAAAAACTCCAGCTTTGCAGAGACCAAGGTTCTTCTCTACCTTTGCAGAAGCCTCTGTGACCAAACCCGGAGCTTGCCCTTCTGAGGCCTCTAGCATTTCTCCAGGTGTTTTTCAGAGGACTTGGTTTAAATTTGTTCACCCCAAATGTGGTCTTTCCCGGATCATGAAAGGATCTGCCGCAAAGGTGAATCTGAGTCTCCTCAGAGTCATATGAGACTGAAACTGCTTATAACATTTCCGTGACCTAATAAGTCTTCCAAAAATGTAGGGTATTAAGAGTTTAGTGACATTAAAAAGTTTAGTCGAAAATATCGTGATTCAGGTATATTTAGACATTTGATTCATGCCAAATTGCCACTGTTATCAGAAAACACACCCCAAGCACATTAATGCCTAGATATTTCAAACCCTTTTCTGCCCACACATTCTTAAAAATAATATACTGAGAAATCTATATACAGGTTTTTTTTTAATTAGCTTGGAAAAGAGCAGTTGTATTCTGTTTGAACAGCTGCTAATGTCAATTCCTGTGGGAAGAAAGACCAAAGAACATGGAGTTACACCAAGAATTTTAAAACAAAGACGCTGTCCCTTTCCTGAGCACCGTGCAGCCAAGACTGAGAGATCAGTCTGAGACCTGTGATTAAGGAGTGTTTTCTACATAGCGTATAATTATGGAGCCACACAAGTGGGCCATTACTCTGTTGAGTGCTTCATGTTTGAGGTATTTTCGTGTTCCAACTTTACATTAAAGTGTTTATTAAAACAGGAAAAATCCACGAGCAGGTATTGACACTATCCATATTAGATCATCACAAAATTATATATATAGCAGAGTCATAAACAATGAGAAACGGTCTTCCCACACTTGCTTTAAATGGCCATGACCTAGTGTTTAGGGAAAGCAGTAAAATCAGCGAGGAGCTCGTGGGAAAAATGAGACGGGCCCTGAGGGGGTGACTCATGGGCCAAGCAGGGCCACACAGGTACCAGGCCGCCACGTCCTCTCCTGCCTCTCACTCTCTGGAGACTGGACTTCCTTTACTGCCTCCTTTCTGACATTTCCTAGACATCAGACTTTGCTACTTAGTACACAAACGGGGTTCCCTTTTAAATTTGTTCACTCTAGTTAGCATTTGCAGAAGCTGTGAAAAATTACAGAGAGATGATGTGTTGGGTAAGAGATGGTTTAAAAGTCCAGCTTGCTGTTTTTCATTAAGTGTCTTGAAAATGAGTAAGTGGCGTTCCTGGAGGGGAACAATCATATAATTCCGCAGGGTGGGTCTAAACTTGTTTTCTGATAGTGTTTAGCAGCTCATGGCTCTGAGGGCACCTGATAACACAGCAGCCAGGCGCTGATGAGAAGTGTGTGCCAGACAGACCCGAGTGTGGCTTGGCTCTTGCCTTATGTTCCTTTCTCTGTTCAGAGAAGCGTGAGATGAGATTTTGTGATTATATTGTACTCCTTGGGCTGACTTTCCCATGCACAGAATGTTTTACACATCCTGATAGCTGAGCTGAAAATGCAAAGAGAAGGGAAAATGCCTTAAATTGTTCTGGCTAATTTAGAAGCAGCAGGCCTTGGAAGTCTTTGTCCTGTGTCCCTGAACAAATCTTATGGGAGCTCTGGTACCTATGCCAGAAAATGCACATAGGCACAACACTTTTACATACACGTTCACACACCCCACCCATATGGAGAACTTTTTTCTAAATAAGAGAAAGAAAAATTTTAAGACTTACAAGTTATGTTTAGGTATTTTACATGGTTCAGAAAACAAGACATGAAGCGGTATAAACTGAGAAGTCTTGTTCCCACAACCCCACGTGCCAGGTACACATAACCATTTTTATTCACCTCTAGCTTGTGCTTCCAATGTTTGTTAGGCATATGTAAATAAGTGAATAGATAAGCATTTCTCCCTCCTTTTGCTGACATGAGTGGTGGCATGTTTTGCTCCTGGCTTTTATCCCTTGACCCCATTCCAGTACCTAGAGACCTGCTTCATTTTTTTAGATGTGTAATACTTCATGTGTGCGTGTGCCTTAGTGATTAACTCGTGCACTGTGCAGGGACATCGGGCTGGGATCAGTTTGTTCACTGATATATACAGCGCTGCGGGAGATACCCTCACATGTGTATCATTTGGTCCATGTGCAGGTGTGTCTGGAAGATAGAATTCTAGGCGTAGAATTGATAGGTTAAATGTATTTATAGGGAAAAAATCAATATAAAACTTTGCGTGTAATGATATTTGCGTGCTTTTTTTTTTAATTTTTTTACCCAAATAGCAAAAAAAAAAAAAAAAAAATTGTCCTTTTTGAATGGGCCTCTTTAAATCCATTCATATAAATTATATCTTGAGTCTCTGTGTGACCTGTCTGGGAGGTGAGGTTTGGATGGATGTTTTCCCACAGAATTACAAGAGCATGCAATGAAATATTTATGTAAATCATCTTTCATCAACATTTTTGCGCTTTTATTTTAGGGATTCTCCACATAACAAATAAATGGCAGTGATTTCCAAAGAGCAAGTAACTTCCCTTCCCTCAGTATGTATATAAAATAGCTTTCATGGTGCCCCATACGCCTTCCATCCTTGCAAAGTTCTTCGTGAATCCAAGCTATGCAGTTGCAAGAGATACATTCACAAGGCTGGGCTGTTGATGGCTCTCCTAGTGGGCCTTGGAGTCTCTGTATAATCTCCGCTCTTTCTGAAGGATTCAGTTTCTTACCACAAACATTTCACAGTGAATTTCGTTTTATTTTATTTTATTTTATTTTATTTTATTTTATTTATTTATTTACTGAGACAGAGTCTTGCTCTGTCACCCAGGCTGGAGTGCAGTGGCATGATCCCGGCTCACCGCAATCTCCGCCTCCCGAGTTCAAGGGATTCTCCTGCCTCAGCCTCCCGAGTAGCTGGGACCTCAGGCACCCGCCACCCTGACTAATTTTTATATTTTAAATGGAGGCGGAGTTTCACTATGTTGGCCAGGCGGGTCTTGAACTCCTGACCTCAGGTGATCCGCCTTCCTCGACTTCCCAAAGTGCTGGGATTACAGGCATGAGCCACTGCGCCTGGCCTGAATTTTGAATAAGACAGTTTTTAAAGCTCTCCCAAATCTAACTTCCTTCCTTCCTGACACTGTGGAAGAGTTTTGAAGGGGACAGAAAAAGGCATGGGGGTAGGAGGCTACCCTTTGAGCTCTTGCCCCTGTGGCCACCTCTCCCAGGAGAACATCCTCACGCCCCTTTCTGGGGTTCTGTGTGGCTCATGCTGGGCTGGCTGCCTGGGGCTTCTGAGACGTGTTCAGGGTCTGCCCTGCTTCATCGTGGTCTGACCAGCAGTGGCTGGAACACCTCAGACTTCAGGCAATTGGTCATTCCACATCACAGACTATTCAGGGGGCATCATCTTCCCGAAACCTTTCTAGCCAAACGTAGGACAGGGCCCCCAAAGTGTTTATTATTTGAAGGTCCTTTCAAACATTCGAGAGGACAGTAAACAGGCTCGTTTGCCTTGGCTGCATTGCACGGCGGCTCTGGAATTCTTTATTATTTTTGTCAAGAAATGAAGCCCTGTGTGTTCAATCTCATCTATTCTCTCCCCAACCCCTTTTCAGGAGTCTGTAGAATTTGAATGCTAGAGGGGAAGAATATTAAAGTTCTGTTCTTAGATATAGATGTGTTTCCTACTGTCTCAAAAACATTTAGATCATTTCAGTCCTGTATCATGGAGAAGATTATTAACAGAAGGGGGAGAAGGGTGTATTCATCTGCTGGCTGCCATAGCAAAATCCCAGAGCCTGGGGGATTAAACAACAGACATTTATTCTCTCACAGTTCTGCAAGCCAGAAGAAGTCTAGAAGGAGTCAGCAGGGTCGGCTTCCTCTGGGGCCTCTGTCCTTGGCTTGCAGATGGCCACCCTCTTGCTGATTCTCCATATAGCTGTCTATCTCCCTATTTCCTTTTCTGTAAGAACACCAGTCAGGTTGGATCAGCACCCACCCTAAGAGCCTCATTTTAATTTAATCACCTCCTTAAAAGACCTTGTTTCCAAATACAGTCACATTCTGAGATACTGGGGATTTGAACTTCAACATGGATTTTAGGGGGACACACTTCAGCCCATAGCAAGGGGGCCATTGGAGCCTTAAGAAATTAACAGTAGTAACAGAGAGCATGGGGTGCGGACTTGCCATTGCCAGCCACAGTGCTGTTCTCTATGTTCCACCCTCAAGATACCCTCATGACAACGTAGACATACACCATTATCATCCCCATTTTAGGGTAGGAAAAGGGAAGCACAGAAAAATCACGTAACCAAACATAGCAGGGGACGTAAAGTGAGATTTTCAAAGCAGCAGTCAGACTTAAGATAGCCACTGTACATACTGCTGTCTGTGCACGTTGGAAGAAACCTTTGGTGCAGGGAGGAAGCTGAAGCCCGTAGAGACAAACTCAGTTGCCCAAGGCCAGACATCGTTTATGGAAGAGCTAATTCTAGAACCTGGTGTCCTAAGTTCGCTGCACTCTGGCTTTGCCCATTCTTGAGAGGCCATGGGCCCTCCAACATTTCGTCTCTATGAAAAAGATCAAGTTTCAGATTTCCAGTTTGAATTGTGATCTAATAATTCCAAATGCATTCCACTGCCCAGAGAAGTCATCTTAATGGAAATCTTTTTTTCATCTTTGGGGGCCAGATTTCTCCTCTTCCTACTCCCCTAGTTGATTACAGAACTTTACTCACAATGAGCATGTTATGTATGAGTGAATAAATGGAAAAAGCAATCACAAAGGAAAAGCCATTTTTTCTTTATCAGTTTGCATCCAGGAGTAAAAGATTTTTGCCCCAAAACTATTATTCTGCCCCCTTTCCTAAATCAAAATCAGCTGCTTGTTCTCCTTTGCTCTTCCTTAAAGGAGCTGAAGAATTCAACTTCCTGTCAGCTCCCCGCCACCATCAACCCTGTGAATTTTAGCCCTATATCTCTCATTCTCTGAAGTTTAAGAGAAATGGGACATCAAAAGCACATGTTGGCAGTCAAGAGTTAGCTACATGGCTCTTAATTTTTTGAGCACTGTTGTTTTTGTTACTTTTTTGAGAAACACGATTTGTGAGGTTACCATATCACGTTGCAGTTCTGTAAATAATCCACAATGCTGGTGCAAACAGAGAATGTCACATAGTTAAAGTGAAATGTAAAAAAGGAGTATTTGAATGTTTGGTTTGTTAAAGAAAGAGAAAAACTCACATAGTTTGTGAAAAGATAGTAAATAAAGCAATGAAAAGGAGCCTATCGAATTCTTGGCACCCACATGAAGAGTTTGAATGCCTCCATAAAGGTGCTTTTGTGGATTGGCAACTGTGCTAGAAAGCAGCAGGAACTCCTGTGCTGAATGGAGCCCTAAGAAGCAGGGGTTTCGTCATCCCTTTCCCTCCAGAGCAGGAGGTATTATCTATGGGGTAAAGAAACCGGAGAAAACTTCCTCTGAACAGGAGTATCTTTGTGCATGGAACCTGAGAGACTCAATCCTGGTGGTGCAGCTGTGCTTGAAGCCAGCACTGTGGACATATTGTGCAGAGCGGAAACGCATGGGGAAGAAAACAAGGGCCAGGGAGGTGGCGAAAGGAAAACAGTCCAGAATTACTACTTTAAAAAAATGGTATGACATTTCAGGGGCCCAGCATCCTCAGCTGCAGAGCTGTGTGCTCCTTTTAATAATTGGGGTTTGAGGACTGACTTCAAGGTAGAATACTGAAATTTTATCAGTATTAATCAAGTCTCAGAAAACACTCCTGATTTTTAGAGGAAATTATAATATTCCTAATCATTATATCATTCAAGATCTAATCTCAGAATTCAGCTAATGTTGTTTTATATATCCAGTATTTTGATTTTGATTTTAAGGATCTTTTCATTCTATATTAATTGCTTAATTATAAATATATGTTTACTCAAAAAGCATCATAATTTCAATAGAAAGACTTCAGGTCCTTTGGCTCATCTTAATTTTAGCCTTAAGTATATTTCTAGTCTTCATTTTTAAAGCACCATTTGTATATTGATCCTTTTTACTGCTTTTGTTTTAGACTCCTTTTGGCAGAAATTACTTGTCTCATTTTTTATGGGCAGATTAATAACAGACACTTGAAATTGAAGTCCAAATTTTAAATATTTGAGAAATAATTGTTACAAGAGAAGGCTACATAAAAAGTAAATTTCGTGGGCATTAACTTTGACCATGACCATATGAGCTGCTTTTCAACTAATCTAAATAAAAATACTTTAATTTTCACGAAAATAAGATTGACTATTGTAATTTTGTTCATTCTTTTGTCCCACAAAAGTATGTGGAAAAATACATTTTGTATTGTGTTCCTTCAGTACATTTTTTTCGATAATCATAAACCCCTTTATTTACAGATCTTTAATTTGTCTGATACGTTTCTTTTTCTACAAAGATCTTCTCTGACTTTACCTACTTTTTTCTGGTAACTTTTTCATACTCTCAGTTTCTTTAGCTATTTGCATTTAAATAACACAACACTCAGTTTTTTTTTTATTTTTAAAAACAATTATGAAATAATTTTGGACCTACAGAAAAGTGACAAAAATAGTTCAGAGAATTTCTGTACACCCTGTACCCAGCTCCCCCAATAGTAACATCTCACATACGGTGATGAAAATCGGGCATGAACCCGAATGCAGTGCTCTTAACTAAGCCCTGGGCCTTATCCTGGATTTTGCTTTCATGTCCTCTCTCTGGCTTAATAGTCAATTAAGAATCCACATTGTATTTATTTAGGTTGATGCAAAAGTAATTGCAGTTTTTGCCATTTCAGTGGCAAAAGGCACAATTACTTTTGCACCGACTTAATAATTTCCCCCAATCTGTAGCAGCTCTTCAGTCTTTTTTCTTCTTCATGACCTTGACAATTTTAAGGCATACTGGTCCTTTCTGTCATAAGATGCCTCCCAATTTGAGTTTATCTAATAGTAAATAAAGCAGTGTTTTCTCTTAAATTTAGCTCATGCATGTTGGGCAAGAACAGCACTGATGCTATTGTGCCCTTCTCCGTGCATCACGTCAGGGGTACAGGGTATCCTGAGACGTCTCCCTGTCGGTGTGTGGACCTTGGTCACCTGGCTAAAGTAGTGTCGCAGGACTTTTCCTTAGTTCAGCTAAAGACAGGGTCCTCATCCATCCCATGGCCACGAAAATTTAGGCTTGCAGATGGTTTGAAGGCTGAGTACAGCAGGGTTTTATTGGGTGAAAAGGGAAAAAAAGGGGGAAAGAAGGATCCTCCACGAGGCCGGACTCCCTGCTAGAGCACCCGCAGTTTGAATCCCAGGTTCCACACAGGAAGAGGAGAAGCTGAGCTCCTCCCCGCTGCAAAGGGTGCAGACTTCCCGAGGCTCCACCACAATGTGCAGGCTGGTTGGAGTGTTTCCAGGGACCCCCTTTCACCTCACTGTCTCAGTAGCATCTGCAGCATTTCCCCCACTGTAAAGTTACTGTTTTTCTCTTTGTAATTAATAAATACCTTGTGGGGAAATATTTTTGAACTGTGCAATACTCTGTTTCTCATCCTACCTTTACCCTCTAATTTTGGCATCCCTCAGTAGTTCTTGCCTACAACACTATAGTGCTTACCTAATGGTATTTCATAGTTTCCTCATTCCTTCTGAATTTATCAGTTGGAATTCTTCTATAAGAGCTGTCCCTCTGCCATTCTTTACTTATATCAGTTGGAGTCGTGGATACTTATTGTGTGGATCATAACCCAGTGCTGTCATTGTTTTCTTCTTAGATTGTTCCAGCTGTGGCTATCAGGAGCCCTGTCTGTGAACTTCTGACGTGCTCCCAACTTGTTTTAGAGCACTCCTTTACTTTCTGGCACTATAGGATGTACCAGGCTCATATTGTATTTTGCCTGCCACAGTCCTGGAGTCAGCCATTTCTCCAAGAAGCCCTCCTGGTCCGTTTTGTTGGAGAATGGTCTTAGAAACTAAGGTTTGGGTGCTAGGTATGCTCATTGCTGTGTGTTGCCATGGCTTCAGGCCCTCTTAGCAGATGTGTGTGTACCAACCCATGCATACATAAACATCTGTATTTTCTGTTTCCCCTCCTCCATCCTCCCCTGCCCCCATCTCCGTCTCTTCTTGTATTCATCTGTTTTCACACTGCTGAGACTAGGCAATTTACAAAAGAAAGAGGTTTATTGGACTTACAGTTCCATGTGACTGGGGAGGCGTCACAATCTTGATGGAAGGCAAGGAGGAACAAGTCACATCTTACATGGATGGCAGCAGGCAAAGCAAGAGAGAGCTTGTGTAGGGGAACTCCTCTTTGTAAAACCGTCAGGTCTTATGAGACTTATTCACTGTCACAAGTACAGCACGGGAAAAACTTGCCCCCATGATTCAATTACTTCCCACCAGGTCCCTCCCACAACACGTGGGAATTCAAGATGAGATTTGGGTGGGGACACAGCCAAACCGTATCATTCCACCCCTGGTCCCTCCCAAATCTCATGTCATCACCTTTCAAAAGCAATCATACTTTCCAAACAGTCCCCCAAAGTCTTATTTCAGCAATAACTCAAAAGTCCACAGTCAAAAGTCTCATCCAAAACAAGGCAAGTCCCTTCCACCTATGAGCCTGTAAAATCAAAAGCAGGTTAGTTACTTCCTAGATACGATGGGGGTATAGATATTGGGTAAATACAGCCATTCCAAATGGAAGAAATTGGCCAAAACAAAGGGGCTACAGACCCCATGCAAGTCTGAAATCCAGCAGAGCAGTCAAATCTTAAAACTCAGAAATGATCTCCTTTGACTCCATGTCTCACATCCAGGTCACGCTGATAGGTGGGTTCCCATGGTCTTGGACAGCTCTGCCTCTGTGGCTTGGCAGGGCAAAGCCTCCCTCCTGGTTGCTTTCACGGACTGGCATTGTTTGCAGCTTTTCCAGGCTCACGGTGCAAGCTGTGTCAGTGGGTCTGCCATTCTGCGGGTCTGGAGGGTGGTGGCCCTCTTCTCACAGCTCCACTAGGCTCCTGTATGTGTGTGTATGACTTTACATCATACTGAAGTGTCTGCAATCTATCAACAAAGGCTTTATTCTAACCTTCTTCCTTTCCTCATTTGTAACCTCTTTCTTTGATAGTAAGACACTTGGATTTCATTCTCTGGAATGTGATTATTTGTTCCATCCTATTCTAAAAGTTCTTTTTTTCCCTCTCCTGTTTGGATATTGAATTTTTTACTAATTATGACTGTGAGACTCAGCTCCACCCATTCTCACTATAGTAGTTTCAGAATTGCTAACCCATACTCATGGAAGAAACTTACAGATTTTTTTTCCTTTGGTTTTACAGTATACAATCAAAAAGCTGTTTTTCAAAGTTAGGTTAGTTGTTTTCTTCCCCACCCACCTCGGGGTGATGTTGTTCAGCTGGGTTCATTGGTTTCTGCGTATTTATATTCCATTTGGAGTATAGTACCCCTCACACACTCATGCCCTGATGAGCTGTGCCTGGGGCAGCTGTAACAAAGTACCACACACTGCCTGGTTCAAACAACAGAAATTTATTTTCTGGAGACTGAGAGTTAGAGATCAGGGTGTCAGCAGAGTAGGTTTCTCCTGAGGCCTCTCTTCTTGGCTTGCAGAGGCAAGAACTTTCTTCTGTGCATGTCTGTGCCCTCATCTCCTCTTCCCGTGAGGACACCAGGCATATTGGATGAGGACCACCCCCCCCGCCCCAAGGACCTCATTTTAACTCTTTCACCTCTTTAAATTTCCGCCTCAAAGCACAGTCGCATTCCAAGGTCCAGGGCTTGGGACATCAGCATAGGAATTGGGGAATACACAGTTCAGCCCGTAATCCCACCATCCTGGTAGATTGTAATGATTTGGTTTGGGGCGATGTGAAATATGGCCATGATGTTAAGAGTCAGTGCCCAATTTGCTTGACATAGATATCACCCTTTTGTTCCTTCCCAGCATCTCTAGCTTTGGTCCTCAGAGACAAACGTTATGTCCTTAAAGCAGCACTATCTTGATGGATCTTCTGTTCTCTCTGTGACATTTTAAATTGTGTGTCCAGCCATCAAAGTAAAATGTCAAAAATTATCAAAAATACCAAAAAACAGAAGTTCTTGTTTTCCTTCACAAACTCCGTTAAATTTCTACATTACACGTGTTCTCTTCCGCCAAGTGCCTGTGACGTTTGTCTCTGACCCACCCCATTCGCTCCATTTTCACATCTCTCTCCTTTCTTTGCAAAATTCAACTCCATCTGCACTAAACCTGTCTCACTGTTTCATTCCTTTTCGAGGTCCTGTTCATTGACAATTCAGGCTTCTGACATCATTTCCTGACCCCCTTTACTTACTTGCTAATGTTCTCACACGGCAGATAGACTCATTCAGCAGATCAAATGAGGTTTAAGACTCAAAGCTTTAACCTCATTGTCCCCTTTCTCAAGCCTTTCAGTAGCTTCCAGTTTCCTTTCTGGTTACATCACATTGTCGCTTCTGTAATTTGTTCCCAGTTAACCAAGTCACCCACCTGTTTTCACCTCCTTCTCCTTCCCACCCTCACGGCCATGGTTTTGAACCAGGGTTTCTTCCCACGGTCTGTTGAGGTCACTAACCCCTGTGTCGTCTTCTCCTGAACCGAGTCTGTTCAGATTCTCAGACCAGATCCCTGGCCATGCCACCATGGTAGAAATAGGCCTTGGCGTCAAAACTTATTTCCAGGGAAATTTTGCCAGTGATTTGGACTTCCTTCCTTTCCTTTTGCCTCGCCTCCTCTCCCATCGGTCATTTACTCACCTCCGCATTTCCGCTGGTTCCGCGTTTCTGTCTAGTGGCTCAGGTTGTCGCCCTTCAGGGCATGCCTTTAATTGAGATAATTTCTCTTTACTTACTGTATAAAATGCCCTGTCCCATCTGACACGCTCTGCAGTCTCTCACCTACATGACTGGAAGGAGGGAGGGGACCCAGAAGGCGTCTTCCTTCCTCACTCCCTCATCTGTGCGATGCTACACCTCTGACAGATGTGAACTTGAGGGTTTTTTTTTGTTTTTGTTTGTTTGTTTGAGATGGAGTCTGTCACCTAGGCTAGAGTGCAATGGCACAATCTCAGCTCACTGCATCCTCCACCTCCTGGGTTCAAGCGATTCTCCTGCCTCAGCCTCCTGAGTAGCTGGGATTATAAGCATGTGCCGTCATGCCTAGCTAATTTTTGTATTTTTAATAGAGATGGGGTTTCACCATGTTGGCCAGGCTAGTCTCGAACTCCTGACCTCATGATCCACCTGCCTCAGCCTCCCAAAGTGTTGGGATTACAGGCATGAGCCACCGCGCCTGGCCCAAACTTGAGATTTGAAGTGATCAGTCCCTAGGGAAATTTCCCATACATCTTTAGCCAAAATTATTGTACTCATTTTTAAGCTTAATCCTCTTTTCTTTCATAGAGAACTTATATTACACATAAAGTAATTAAATTCCCTGACAGCTCTTTTTTAGTTTTTAAATTAATGGCCCATGTTGGCAGTCCGTATTTTGGAAAGGGACAAAGTCAACTTTTTAATAACGGTTGTAGTAACTGAAACCTTAGAATGTCAATTAACTTGATTTCCTTTAGGTCATAATTTTTAGTGCTTTTTGCTAACAAAAGAGGAGGTTATTTATTTGGCAATAAAGTTGTCTTCTCTTACATAAAATGTGCTCTGTGCAGAACTCTGCCTCTCGCTGGGTCCTGGCATAAGTACACCATCTGGATCTATCACGGGACCGTTTAAAGGGAAAAACAACCTTACGCTTTGCTTTTGGTGTTTTAAGAAGAATATGAAGCCTAACGTGGGCCCATAAATGCCAGACTCCCCTCTGCAGCAGTTGGTGAGAGAGCCGTTGGAGCGCCTGAGACAGTTTTCTCTGGGTGCCCTGGATATAGCATCTTGATTTTTATAGTAGTTAATTGTCTTAAACTCAGAAAGAAACTAGAAGTCTGTGCTGTTTTCACGTTCTTTTTCCTTTGAGGATTTTAAAATTTTATTATGCAACAAATGTGGAGGTGGGGACAAAACCAAAATTTTAACTTTTTTTTAACTGAGGAAGTAAAAAAAGGCAACATTCTTCTTAGCAAAGCCATAAAAAACAGCACAAATAAAATTGTTTATACTGTCAAGTTAGATAAAGCAGACATGAGAAAAATTATTAATATAAAGAATTCAAGATAGTACATGTTTTCTTAAGGTTCAACAAAGAACACTTCCTCAAAGAAATTGTAAGCAGCTCAGAGCCACACTACAGGTTGAGATATGTGGCGAATATTCCAGGTGACTTTTCGTCAGACCAAGGCAAGGGCATCCAGGTCTAGTGTGGAGGGCACCGAGGAACAGGGGAGCGCACACACACCACAGAAGCTGGAAGTCAGACCCGACAGTTCCCACGCAGTGGACATTCTCCTCTGAAGCCATTGTGTGGTGTGGGACAAGGGAGCGAACATATGGAAACTTTCAAAGAGAGAGTAAGAATGTTTCTCCGCTAAGGAAAAGATCCAATTTCCAAGGAAGACAAGAAAGAACTTCTAAGATACGCTTTCCTAAAAACTCCTTATAGTTCGCATGCAAGAATTTACATTTTCAGTTCTCTGGCTGCTTCCTGTGAGGAAGAATGAAGATATGTTTTTAATAAGTGAGGAGCGGCATTACAGCACAGTGATGTAACCAGTTGGCTATTAGGCCGCATTACATTTCTTTTTTTTTATCAAGTCACATCAGGAGGTGCTGTTTGGTGTGTGAGTCTCAGGGCGGACCTCCCTCCAGATGTACACAAAGCCCAAGTCAGGGAAGCCATTCAGAACGGCCTGCGTGGGGAGGGCAACTGTCACTTCACATTTCACTGAGTAAGGAAATTGCAGCTCTGGCTAGTGCAGGCGGGGAGAGACATCTGGTTTCCAGGGTGCCTGAAGAATTTCCTTGAGCTCCAATTAGAGTCAGTGTGGTAGAATGAAATCCACCGCGTCTGGGTATTCCCACTTGTGAAACCCAACTGCAGCGCGCGCGCGCGCGCTCAGACGCCAGCGAGGGAGAGGCGCGCGCTGGGCCGGGCCGTGGGCTGGCGCCGGCCGCTGAGCAACACGCTGCCAGTCTGTGTGCCTGTCCCTGTCGCGTCCCAGTCTGTGTCTGAGTGTCTGTTTAGCTGGTCGCTGCTTTTGCTGCCAAGCGGGTGGCTCTAGCTGCTGTGGAGGGAGAGGTAGGATAGGGGTTCTGCACCTTTAGCCTCCAGTCGGCTCCAGTCACCATGCCCAACGGATTGAAGCCAGTGGACACGCTGGACTCGCTGTCCTCTGTCAGTTCAGCCTACTGCAGCGGCGGGCAGCCGGGCACCTGCAAGTACTGGATCCTCGACCTAGGTACACAAGCTCTCTGCAGATGCTCGGGCTGGCGCTGCTTTCTCTCTGCCTGCTTTCTTTCCAGTGGCTGCGCAGTGATTGACATGTGCTTTAAAACAGAAATGTTTTGTGCTTGGAACCTGAAACGTGTTCCGTGGTGACCACCTTGGGAGGGGGCTGTGTCTGGGAGATGGTTTATGGGGGGGCCACTGGGAATGTGAGGAGCAACTGGGAACAGAGCACTGCACATCCATTGTGTGTTGTAAGACCTTTTTAATATCTGGGGACTGCTTTTTATTATCCCTTTTTCTTATAAATGGCATGTAAAGAGTGTAAAGTAATCTGTGCTACAAATTGCCTTATGATTTTAGTTGGCTTTATGTCTGTTTCAGGTTTAATTTTGTTTGGAGGTTTTCAGACTAGAGAAAACAACATGTCCTAACATATTTAGACTCTGGCTCTCCATGAGAACTACAGCCATATGATAAGATAATACAAAGTTAGCTGGGGAGAGGGATGCTTCCAACGTTGCCATTGTATTCAAGGGAGTGTCTGTGCCAGATTCTGGCTTTATCTGCGGAACTAGGGAAAAGACGTGAAGATGTGATTCCTGCAAAGGTTATTTGAGAGGTCGGTAAGCTTCACTTTGAGGAAAAGGCAACAGGATACAAAAGAGACAAGGTGAGGGGAGTTGGGTCTGCAGATGCCCATGGAATGCTGCCCTGTTCCAGAGGCCAGCTTTGTTTCAGTAACCTTTGACAGCTCTCTGTCCAGACCATACAGCCGAAAAAAGGAGTCTCTCACAGGGTGCCACCTGCATGCCAGCAGGAATGCTCTCTACCAGAATTTGGGTCTTGGCCTGGGTCACTTTCAGTGTTTGCCTTCACTTTCTTGTCAGCCGTTATCCGCGTATATGCTTCGGAAGTGGGCGGCAAGACGCAGAGAGCCAAGGGGATTTGCTGAGACTTAACGGGGCACTTCCAGTTCATTAAGAGCTCTATGGAGAAGGGTCTTTCGGGGTGCAGGGATCCCCCAAAGAAAGGGGGTAGGGTGTCGGATCAAAAGGGGGGCACAGAAAATATGTATTGGGCATCTGAAGGGGAAGTGGCGCTGCTTAACTCTACCCATTTGTTCATGGAATACTAGGAGGTAAGAGTTGGCTGCGTGAATGTTGCATGTGTGGTTCTCAACATCATTTTCAATAATACTCCTTGTATTTTTGTTCACAAAACCTTTAAAAAGTCTTTGACCCTGGGCTCTTTTTGTCATATTTATGCTAATTGTTTTACCACTCGAAGATGGTGACCTCCCTGTCTGCAGGTGTGCAAGCTGGGTAGGTCCCTCGGGGACCCTGTGCGCTAGGAATTCCTGCACTGGGTGGGTTAAAGTAGATGATGCATCTGCTCTCCTAATTTAATGTAGTAATTTCTGTGCAGTGCAAAGAACAACTGGTCACATGAAAAGTCTGATTTGATGCCTCAGCCGCTAGCTAGCTCTGAATCTTGAGTAAATTACCTTCTCTCTCTGAACTTCTCTTTCTTTGTCTGCAAAGTGGGAGTAACAATAGAGCACGCCCCTCAGGATATCATAAACATCCCCAAAGTTTAGAACAAAATATTTTAATGAACAATTTTTCTAAAGAGTAATGGATCTTAAGACATAGCATTCTTTCTGTAGAGGGAATTTTTGAATCTTAGTGGTATCTTAATTCCTTCAGAATTCTTCTCAAGGGACATTATTAAATTCGCTTTTTAAAGTACTAGAGGATAATTGTGCTGTTACATTTTTTGTTTCTCTCTATATATTTTTGTTGGTAATTCTTAAACTATTAAGAAGCTCTAGGTGGTGTTCTTCAAGCTGTCACCTCAGAATTTTTAAGCTAGGAAAAATTCGTAAGAAAAATTGATGACCCGTGTGGAATTTCCTGAACAAAAAATGATCACTTCACCATAAAGGATAGATAAGAAAAAGCGAAATTCGTGCATATGCGTGTGTGTGTAGAAAGTGCCTGCCCATCCTTTTCTAACGCTTATAGTAATTTCAAGACAATTTCCTGAATGCTGTTATATCAGAGTGATGTTTTAATATTCTGATTTTACCTATTAAATTGATTATGGGGAAATACATATGCATCACATTTTAAAAGGAAGAATGATTCTGGGTAATATCCAAGAAATAAATCCCAAAGTAACTTTACAGTGCCCATGAAATCACTGAGTGTGATTGCAAAGCCCGTCTTACACCTGCAAGCAGTCTGGGGCTTCATGTGTTAGAGTACTTTGGGAAAAGGCAGTTTTCCTGCTTCCTGAAGTTCATTGGGGCATCCCCCTGTCCAAATGTGAACCAGTCTTGCTTGGAGTAATCTGCACAGAAGCCTGTTTTATGTGCTGACATTGCCATTGTCAATAACTTACACAGACATGAGCCAGGAGAGTTTTACTGCTAAGCGATTGTTAAGAAAATAAGAGAAGGTAAGGTCAAGAAGAACTGTAAATCTTCTTTTATGACGTTTCCAATGGGAGAGCCTAGTTCTACGGATAAGAGAGTGGAACTATTGGGTTGGTTATCATTCTGAAATCAGTATTCCCTTTTATAGGACAGATGGAATCTATTCCAGTGCTATACGTATTCCCCTGACTCAAGCTCAGGAAAAACATAATCTGGTGACTCTCCTTAACACTGAACAGACTCTTACACAAAGTGAACTGTGTGCTTTATAATTCTTGAATTCTCTTGAAGTCTTTTTTTTTTTTTTCTTTCTGTTTGGGTTAGGAATATGGATTCTCACCACTGCAATTTTTGTTTTTATAAATTAAAGGGAAACATTCCAAAGACTAAATATAGGATAAAGAAATTTCTTTGCTGAAGAAATACATAATATGAACCTATTCTGAAAGTATCCAAGTGGATGAACAGTACTGCCTCAAATTAAAGCTGTCAGTACATGGAATATTCAGTTTCACATGAATAAACAAAAACCACAGAAGTACTTGTCACAATGTTGGATTGTTTCGACTGTGAAGACTGATTGTGTCACACAAGTTGCTGTGCAAACTAAATTCTATCTCAAATCGTTTTTTGCCCTTTAAGTATCTTTAAGTGAATGGTTTAAGACAGGATGTGCAGTATAGGATAGTGGGAATGGTGTGTTGCTGTAGAAGCCAGTTTGTCCCTGCTCACCCCTACCTGTGTGATCTTATAAGTTCTTGATAATCTCGCTGAGCTGCAGTTTCCTCATGTGTTTAAAACAAACAAACAAAAGAAGATAGAGAATGCTCGCTATTATGGTTATTATGCTCTCCAAAATCTACATTGAAGGTTCTATTTCATTTTAAGCAAACTGCATTTTAAAAATAATTTTGTTCCCTTGCTTCCATGTTAAACACGAAAAAAGAGTGTTACACATTGAATTTGTATATATTTTTAGCCAAGAAGCAAAGAAACTTGAAGTTATTTGGTATTATAGCCTTTTTTAGAGTGAATATAAAATCTTGAAATATTAGAATGTTTTTGAAGTTAATATTAAAATTAGACTGAAACCTCCCCCAAAAAGTGCCCAAGAAACCCACAGGTCCCAGGTTAGGAGCCTTCAGGCAAAGTGGCTTTTCCTAGTTTTGGAATTCTTTTCTTATTTCTAGACAAGGAGCAGGCACCCTCCTCGTTTAACTGTAATCTGTCTTTGGTATGTGCTCTTTCTAAGTATATCTCTTCACTAGATTTTGGGGGAACACAAATTTATAGTTTTTCATTCTGAAAAATTTCCTCCAGGTGCTCAAAGTTGGCCTCAGGGACACGTGAGCAAGTCCATAAACAGAGTGAGTCGGCCTGGGAGCTGGGTAACAAGCCATGGAATTCATCCATGGAGTCTTCCTCATTTCCTCTTCCTGTCTCCAAGGAGTGGCAGTGGGGGCTGGGCAGCCATAAAGATGCTCCTATTAATTTTTTGCAATTCTCATATAAAACCATACAAATATGAGCAAACCACATACCCCCCGCCAAATATCTAGTTTCTCTGAAACTATATGTGCTAAGTGGAAAACTCCCAGACAGAGCGAGCAGCAGAAGGGAACATAGCACCCTTAGGCAGCCACTAATCACGTTGGACACATCTTCTAGTCTGTTTATATGTAAAATGATGCTTCTTTTGTTGATACTTTTAATATTTGACTATAAGAAACCATCTCAATCATATCCATTGTCCAGTTTCTCAGATGCGCAGTTGAGAAACCTTGCTATTGCTACTTCTTGTTAAAATCAACAATTCCTTCTGTAGTGAAATGGACCTGTACCTATCAGCATGAGAAGACTAGAATTATTCTTCTGTCTAAGGATACAGCCTTTGAAAAACTTCTGAGACAAAATATATTAGCCCTAAGGCAACTTCCCCTTCCTCTTTTATCCTTGAAAGCTGATGGATTATGGTAAGAAGTGGCCCAAGGGCACAGAAGCAGGCGTGCAGTTGAGTAAGGAACTCTTCCATAATAAAAAGGGGATGTGCTTATTATGACATAGGAACTGAACATGGAATGTTTTTCCCTTTGTCTCTCTCCAGTTAAAAAGAAAGACAGCACAGTGCCCACCACAGGCACTCTGAGCCCCAGCCCCACGCAGGGGCGGTCTGCTTATTTCCCACTGTCGCCTCCGGTCTGTGGCCGTGCCTTTCATCACACCACGGGCACTGATTCAGCCAAGGACAAGATCCGTGCTGTTAATTGGTGTTCTTAGCAGAGGCGTTCCTTTCATTCCCTTTGTCTCCATCTCCGCGCTTGCTTTGTTCCTGCCTGGAATAACTCCAGCCCTCCCTCCCTCCCTCGCTCCCTTCCTCTATCCTCACTGTGATCACTCCGAGGCTTGACAGGCAGGGAAGAGTTCCTCACAGGAAGACTTAACAACAGGAAGGTGCGGGACATTCTTAGAAAGCCGCCTTCTCCCCAGGCACTGGCAGCACTGGAGAGACAGCGTTTGAACCCCATGTGGGATACATGGAGAACTCCAAAAGCAGTTGCTCCAGCCCTCTTTTCTTTTTGTCTTTGGCCTTTATTGTTGTGGTGGTTTTAGTATGTGATAACCCAAAAAAGTGGGAGACAGCTCTCAATAAATGACAAAATGGTGATTTGAAAAATAAAATGCAGTGCCATTCAGTGCATGTGGGTGGGCAGGGGGAAGAGAGGGGGACAAGATGTCATAAAATCAAATTAGTTCAGGTCTTGGTGTTGCATCCCGTAATGCTTTGTGTGCTTGGGAGTAGATGGTACCTGTGGGGTGCATGCACCTGGGGGCGCTTTACCTCCTCCAGTCTGTGCGACATGTCTTCATCCTGTTTCCAAGTGCTTATTAGCTTTAGTTGAGCAGCATTTTCCTTTTGATGGGGGAGTTACTCAAATATAATTGTAAAAGGAATTCCTAATTGGTTACAGCTTTTGTTTCTTTGTTTTTGAATTAACCAGGGACTGTATAATATAATGTACTAGATATTTGCTTTGTGGTTTATTGGGGGGAAATAATCTTCTGGTTCCTCATTCTACATAGCTGTAGCTCTTTCTAAGCTAATATTCCATCCCTTGAAACTCTGAAACTTTAGCTAACCTTTGCTGTAGACAGTGTAAAGTGGCTGGGCGTGGTGGCTCACACCTGTAATCCCAATACTTTGGGAGGCCGAGGTGGGCAGATCACTTGAGGCCAGGAGTTCAAGACCAGGCTGGCCAACATGGTGAAAACCTGTCTCTACTAAAATACAAAAATATTAGTCGGGTGTGGTGGCGGGCACCTATAATTCCAGCTGCTCGGGAGGCTAAGGCAGGAGAATCACTTGAACCCAGGAGGCGGAGGTCACAGTGAGCCAAGATCAAGCCACTGCACTCCAGCCTGGGTGACACAGCGAGACTGTCCCATAAATAAATAAATAAAGAGAAATAGTAGTTGGCAGGCTGATTGCAGAATACTCCAAAGCCACGTTTTTTCCCCTTAATGCTGTTATTAAAATTAGTATGTTGTCATGTGGCTCTGTGAAAACATGTATAAGTTAGCATGGTTTATAGTAAATTTTCTTGAATGTAGGTAAAAGATGTTTCCATGCTAGCATTCTGAATCTGGTATAAATTTTTTAAAATAATAATAAATGTATACATGAATGAAGAGAAATCATTCACCTCCTGAAATAAATCAGTCATATAGTTTAAACCACTAATTGCACAATTTTTAAAACCGTTTTGCCTGGGAGAGTCTTTTTGTGCCACCTGCTTCATTTAAAGACATGTTTCAACTTTTTAAAAAATCTGCGTATAGCCCCCTGCCCCCAACGTCTTTGGTATCCTCTTTAACAAAGCAGCCAAAGTGATTTCATTTTTTTTCAACAAATCATAGGAAGACATTAGCCAAAAATAAATATTCATTATGAAGAATACACTTCCATATGCCTTCTTCATGTAAGATTAGATCTTTCATTTCTAACACTCTGTGTTTAATGTCAAGAACTATTATGCCCATGGGTTCAACATTCATGTTTCTTAACTGGGTGAGCACCTCTGGAAGGCAGACTCAGATGGACAGAAGGGTGTGTGAGCACCGTGGGACTGCTTATTTCCCCCAGAATTAACTTTCTGTTTCCTTACATGATGGTTGTCTATTCAGGACAATAATAAGTACTTTATTGCCTTGGGAATAACTTCCCATATAGAGAAATTAAGAATCAAGAACCCATTATTTTATAACAGGGAGAACTTCGGTATCCCTCAGTCAGCAGTACACAAAATAATAGTCTCATACGCATGCTGAATTTGTTTTGTTTTGTTTTGTTTTTAATAATCTTTCTTTGTATGAGTAATACGAATCTTGGGTAATTTTGTGAAAAGAACAGCCATTTGACTTTTTGGGAACACAGAGGATCAGAAACATCTGAAAAAGCCACACAACTAGAGGAGCATTCAGAAGTTCTTGCTTTCTGAGCATTTAAACAGACCAGAGCCCAGAGTGCCGCAGCAGGCTGTCGCTCCTTGCCTGCCTGGGGCGGGGGCTGGGGGAATATGGGGTCACATGCTGCATCCTCGCCCTCAGCCTCCATCAGAGCGTGGGTTGTCTCACAGCAGGCCTAGACGTGGCCTTATGCCTGTTGTTCTGTCATGCAGGAGAGGTGCAGGGAACCGGATCTCCCCTGACCTCTGCTGTCAGACTGAAAAGAGGACCCTGGAACAGTGCCACATTGGGGCTCGATGCGGGCAGTGGGGCCACTCCCTGGCTGGAGAACTTTCCCCACGAGGGCTGATGCGACATCACCTTTCCAAGGTCCACTACCCCCAGCCAGTACTAAAGAGCCATGTGGACTGCGCGTTAGGAGCGGGGCAGAAAGCTGCTGGGCATGGATGTCTTCAGCTGGCAGGATGTGTGTGTGTCTTTCTGGTTTCATTTATATGGAATTTTTTTTTTTTAAGTGTCTCTCTTTCACCCAGCAAGGCTATCTGCTTTTGTTCTTGTGTAAAAGTCAGGAATGAGTCCAAGTCCCCTCCCAGTAATCACTGGTAAGATAGTTCCTTGGGGATTTTTTCCTTTTGTTATAGCTTAGACTTTTGGTTACAGAAAAAGCATACTGTTCATCTTCCCAAAAAATATATTTTAGGGGCTGGCTTACTTAAAAAGCAGTGAAAATGGCCCTATCATTTCAAGACAGCAATATGGCCTAGACATTCTCCTCTAGTCAAGTCAGTATTTGTCCAGAGTAGAGAAAGATCACATTAAAAAGTAAGCCTCGGCCTACAGAGTTGGGTTAAAAAAGACTTTTTTACAACCTAGTGATTTTTTATGACATCGTGGTTTTTAACAATGTGTGGCCATCTGCCAGGCGAGCCATCAATCTGAGTCTGCCTGGTTCACCCCATCTCACCTCTGGAAGGAAATGGGAGATGAGGCAGGCAGAACAGACTGCTTCCACGGCCGGTGGGATGAAAGACGCCCTCTCGGCCCCATCTCTGCTGGGAGGCAGTGTAGTGGGAAGCAGAGAAAGTCCCATGGAGGCGGCTTCCGTTAGCACTGGCATGTTCTGTTTGGTGACATCGACGCGGCCAGCCTCCTATCTCTAGGGCTTCTCACTCTGGGTGGTGATGAGGCCATTTTCTTTCAAGACGTGACTCACTAAGACTAGCCCAACAACCACCACTTGATTCCTATGTTGGCCTCTTGTTGCTCGGCTGCTGGTCACAAGGCAGAACAGCTATAGGCTCATCTTTTCCTGGAAGCCAACAGCCTAGTGATCAACTGTCCACCAGCTGCAGACCACGTGTTTCTAAAGCATTCCTGAGCCTCAGGCCAGCCAGGTCCTGTTCCGTTCAGGACATGTATAACTCCAGTCTCTAGCCTTGTTTTAATTCCTTACGTTGATCCACACTAGCCCATTTTTACTGTTATCCACGATCAGTAATTGGACTCTTTCTTCATTTATTTTATTTCTGAGGTGTTTTACACTTTCACTTTGGCAATATGTGAGATCCTGTGCATCTGATTAACCAAGCAAAGGATCTTACCATCTGTTTTCATTTACATTTAATTTCTTCACGTTTCTTTATTGGAAATTTCAGTGGTGAAAATAAAAAGAAAGACCTTTAAAATGAAATGGTTTCCTGACCAGAAATGCTGATAGATTAGCATTCCCCTTCCAAGAATCAGCTTGAGAGGAAAAATGATGCTCAAAGTCTTGCATTTGTCTACATAGCTACATTTTCCAATGCTTATGTAATGTTTTCAGTGTTTTCAGAAACGACGCTGAGAATAAGAGTGTAAGAGCCAGTGTGTACATGTGACTTCCGTTGGCTTGTTCTGTTTGGTGAGATCGACGCGGCCGGCCTCATATCTCTAGGACTCCTCACTCTTGAGTGGTGATGAGGCCATTCTCTTTTCATGACATGACTCATGAAGACTAGCCCAAAATGGGGAGACTGCAGTGTGTTCTCATTTTCATAATTCACAAAGAAGAGCAGTTGTTTTTCACTGGGTTGGTTTTAATTGATGCCAGTGATTACATTGTGTTCTGGCATTCAGGGTCACCTGGAGGTGTCTGCTGGTGAAAGCTCCCCACTGAATTTGTGGGAGGGGCTGCGCAGGGAACGGTGGAAGTGTTGGCCCTTCTCAGGCGGCAAAGACCATGTGTTCTTCATTACAGCATGAGCCGTGGCAGTGCTGTGTTGGGCCTCTGGTTGAATCTTGGGATTATTTAAGAAAAAAAAAACCTGGGGAATTTAACTTTCTCCTTCATGTTTTCTGTGTTCAATTCATATTTGAAAGCAAAGACAGAGTTCATATTTTTGCATTTAGGACCCACTGTGCAATATGTAAAATTTGCTTTTAATAGTCTTTTGCCACATTTTCAGTCATTACCATTCTCCAGACTCACGCTCAGTGCTTCTCTGGCTGTTGTAAAGATTTCCCATGCTGACATGACAGCATAACAAACAGTTGCAGCCCAGAATAAAGCCCTGGAACCCAGGTATGTGCAGAGAAGGAGAGAACCCCTGGGGACGCAGTGTCCATTCTAAATCTGGTGTTTCAACCCCTGATGAATCTTTCTTTTCCAGAGGAACAAATTAAGACTCACTAGTACTCACAGACAGATGATACACCAAACATATGTAAGAGCAAGGTAACTGGAATGAACACATAGAAGTCAGCCAAGAAACCTCTCCAGATACTTGCTCACAAATAGAATATAGATTTAAGTTTGGAGAAATGTTTTAAAAATACTTGTATATTCCGAACCACCAAAAGGGTAACTGTATTACTGGGCAAGTCAGTTGCTTAAGATTTCCCAAGTAATACCCCAGCTTTGTCTCATCATCATCATTTTAATTCAATATGCATTGCCCAGGGGATGATTATAATCACTGTGTAAGATGCAGAGAAGATGCAGTCCCTGGAAGTTGCATCCAGAGGATTAACTTACAGATTAACTCAGTTTTTATGTGATCTGTAAGAGAATTTCTAGTGCACTGTGGTCTTTTCTTTATTCAAAAAAAAAAAGGCCACCTTGATTCCAAAAGCATGGAATTCAAATCCAGTTTGAAAGTGTAGAGATGACAATCATTTACTCAGAAATTTTGCTCTAGAACATTTGAACCAACACCGTCAACAGTCATAAGCTAAGAATTTGATTATTCTTTTTAAGTAATTTATAGATCTGATTTTCACATTTGCCTTACAGCCTCCCTTGTATGGTGGAAGAACTTCCTGAATAAAAATGTGATTTATTGCATCAAATTCTTGACAAGACAGAAGTTTGAGAAATTGCTATAGGCCAGTTATACCTGATTACACCGGGACTGCCCTCTTTTCAAATAGTCTGATGGAGTTATTTTCAGACATTAGAAGCAGTTGCTGCAAAGTGCCTTTGAATTAGCTTTCATCAGCACATAGCAATAACTGCTAAGTGAACATTTCTTTAAATCCTTACAACTAGAATTTTAAACTAGCCCTTTGCTTCAAGAACTTGCCTCTGAGTTGTGCTGTATCCTGGTTAGAGTTTTTATCAAGACATCATTTCATTGTTCATTTGACAGATATTTTTGAACACCTACAATGGACAGTAAGATGGGAATATCTGTCTTTAACATAAGCTAGCTAAAATCCTTTGGGGGAGACAGCGTGGAGAATTTGCAATGCAAGACAGATGTTCACCGGAACTCTCCTGCTGTTGAGCAGGGCATCCGTGGGTGGCCCTGTCTCATCGGAAACGCCCTGGCTGTCAATCGGCAGCAGACCCACATGTGTGCATGTTTGGCTGACGTTATGTGGCATGAGGGCTGCCAGTCACAGCAGAGGCTTGGTGACCTTGTGGGGTTTGTGACCCTGGCTGTCCAAGGAGGCCCGGCCTTCACAGCCCCAGCTCTTCTTCCCACTCTGGGCCTGGGGCGCTTGTCCTTAGATTCGTCGTCTCGCCGCTCTGCTTCATCCTGCTTTCTTCCTCAGCCTTCTGCAGCTTTTTCCTACACATCAGTGTGAGTATTCCCTCATACTGTGTTAGGCTATAAGTTTCCAAAGACTTTTTTCATACCTTTTCCCCCCAGCAGCCTGGTAAAGGCTAGAGGAATCACTGTCATTTTACACATCAAGAAACTGAAGCAAAAAGGGGGTCATTGACTCATAAGAACCCACACCCAGCAGGTGGCAGGGGTGTTAGTGGAACCCCGGCCCGGTGGCCTTGAGTGTCCACTCATCTGTAAAGACCACACCAGGCAAATACCTATTGAACACATGCATGTGCCAGGCAGACTTTAAACTCCAGATATACAGCACACACAAGGCAGCAAAAGCCACTTCTCCTGGTGCTTCCATGCTGGTGAGACTGAGAAATGGAAGACATGCAGAGATTTGGGTGAAACCTTTTCAAATTCAGAGGCTGAAGTTTTTAGTTTGGCTTACTACTCTGCTCAGCAATGCAGTTGTTACTCTAGAACACTCAGAAGTCTTTAAGACTTTTTTACCATTGTGAAAATAAAGAGAGGGTTAAAGTGAAACATGATCCTCCTTGGTCTGCGACCAGCAGGATATGGTCCTTTCCCTCCTTTTTTTAAAAAAAACTTTTTTTTTAAGGTTTTTATTAATCACAGATGTCCCAAATTTACAGACTGGGCCTAGAAAACAGCCTCTCTTGTCCTGGCAGTCCCCGTGTTTTGTGTGTTCACATGGTGAAACTCTCTCCTGCGTGGGGCTGAATGTCAGCACTTCTGCTTTCTCTTCTTTCTTTACCTTTTTTTTCTTTTTTTATTTAAAAAGAAATCTAGCATGGACTTTTTTTGAACTCTTATTTCAGCAAGGAAGCCATCTATGTAAGGATTTTTCCCTCCTCAAAATAAGAAGGAATGAATTTGAATTGACTTTCTCTTGGTGCTTCAAGCAGATCACAGATGGCTTTCTCATGCGCACAGCTGAACATCTTTTTAAGTGACTGCGATGTGCTGATAGTATCTTGTGCTCAAGTTTACTTTGTTCTATTTTAAAAATAGAAATAGAATTGAAGTAATTCATCTAGATTGCTTCATTCATCCTTCATATTAAAAGTGATTTTTAGTACATCCTAGACGCCATGTTAGGCCTGCAGTTACAAATCTAATTGTGATGAAACCTAATTCTCATTTTCTGGGTACTCACAGTTGATGTAAATACAATGTAGTGAGTTCTGTGCTATCATGGAGTCCTTTATGCCTCAGCCATCCTACATTTATAAACACTTAACAGTTTATGAAGTTTGTTTGTTCCCATTATTTCATTTAATCCTATTACAACCCTGTGAGATGTGGAAACTCACATGCCAGAATGTTTGCTGTGTAGTGGGAGTGCCAGGTTCACTCAGGCCCTTTGACAAGTCCAGCATTCTTTCTGACATCCCTTATGGATCATCCATCTGGGCCTTGGATCAGCGGGTTTCCCCAGGCTGGAAAGGGGGAAGCACATTCCCAAACCAGGCTTAGTGGGAACTGAAGGCATTCTTGCTGATGAGAAAGTTAGCGATGGGGTGAAAAAGCAGGACTGAGAGTTAGTTGACTTTTTTTTCTTCCAAGGTGATAGGAGTTGAGGGAAAGGCAAGAGATGAGTAACTATTTCTTTGCATAATAGATGCATCTTTTTTTTTTTGAGACAGGGTCTCACTCACCCAGACTGGAGTGCGGTGGCACAATTCTGGCTCACTGCAACCTCTGCCTCCTGGGTTCAAGCGACTCTCCTGCCTCAGCTTCCCGAGTAGCTGGGACTACAGGCATGCGACACGATGCCAACTAATTTTTGTAATTTTAGTAGAAACAGGGTTTCATCATGTTGGCCAGGCTGGTCTCGAACTCCTGACCTCAAGTGATCCACCTGCATCAGCCTCCCAAAGTGCTGGGATTACAGGCGTGAGCCACCGTGCCCTGCCCAGATTGATCTTTCATGGTATTTCTCAGGTCAGTTCTGTCCTGAGCCCCCACCCCGACACTGCTTTACATGACAGGCAGTGTTCACGTACACTTAGTCTGGACTCTGCCTTCTGAGACAGCAAAGCAGTAACACAAGTGAGAGATGAGTCGCTAGAAGGGTTGCCTTATTTGCTTTGAATTATCATCTTTGAATAAATAATTCACAAACTCATGAACTTGACTAAAATTAGATGTTACTTGTGTTCACTTCAAAACTGATCAGGATATACCAGTAACTCAGGACATCACCATTCATAGTGGTTGACTTATCAGTCAGTATGCATAGGCTGAGAAATAATAGCTTGCAGCTGGTTTGTTGGCTCACCTGTTTGTCATTTATTCAGTGTATACTCATTAAGCTCCAGGTGTATGCCACGCTGCCTGCTGGCAGCTGGGTATGTAGTTAGAAACAACCAGACATGGTGCCCTGGAGTCTAAGGTCATGGTTGGCTTCCTGCCTTCACAGTTGCCCAGCTAGGAAAATGTTGTGTCCGAAATTGTTGGGTTCTTGGTCTCACTGACTTCAAGAATGAAGCCGTGGATCTTCGTGGTGTTACAGTTTTTAAAGATGGTGTGTCCGGAGGTTGTTCCTTCTGATGTTCAGACGTGTTTGGAGTTTCTTCCTTTTGGTGGGTTCGTGGGCTCACTGGCTTCAGGAGTGAAGCTGCAGACCTTCGCGGTGAGTGTTACAGCGCTTAAGGTGGCACGTCTGGAGTTGTTTGTATCTCTTGTCCAGAGTTGTTCATTCGTCCCGGTGGGTTCGTGGTCTCGCTGGCCTCAGGAGTGAAGCTGCAGACCTTCGCGGTGAGTGTTATAGCTCATAAAGGCAGTGCGGACCCAAAGAGTGAGTAGCAGCAAGATTTATTGCAAAGATAAAGCTTCCACAGTGTGGAAGGGGACCCAAATGGGTTGCCGCTGCTGGCTTGGGCAGCCTGCTTTTATTCCCTTATCTGACCCCACCCACATCCTGCTGATTGGTCCATTTTGCAGAGAGCCGATTCGCCGATTTTACAGAGAGCTGATTGGTCCATTTTGACAGGGTGCTGATTGGTGCGTTTACAATCCCTGAGCTAGACACAGAGTGCTGATTGGTGTATTTACAATCCTCTAGCTAGACGTAAAAGTTCTCCAAGTCCCCACTAGATTAACTAGACACAGAGCAGCGATTGGTGCATTTACAAACCTTAAGCTAGACACAGGGTGCTGATTGGTGCATTTACAAACCTTGAGCTAGACACAGAGTGGATTGGTGTATTTACAATCCTTTAGCTAGACATAAAAGTTCTCCAAGGCCCCACTAGATTAGCTAGACACAGAGTGCTGATTGGTGCATTTACAAACCTTGAGCTAGACACAGAGTGCTGATTGGTGTATTTACAATCCTTTAACTAAACATAAATGTTCTCCAACTCCCCACCAGATTAGCTAGATACAGAGTGCTGATTGGTGCATCCATGAACCCTGAGCTAGACACAGAGTGCTGATTGGTACATTTACAATCCTCCAGCTAGACATAAAAGTTCTCCAAGTCCCCACCCGACTCAGGAGCCCAGCTGGCTTTGCCTAGTGGATCCTGCACCAGGGCCACAGGCGGAGCTGCCCGCCAGTCCCGCACTGCACACCTGCACTCCTCAGCCCTTGGGCAGTCGATGGGACCGGGCGCTGCGGAGGCTCAGGCTGCGTGGGAGCCCACCGCAGTGGGGCTTGGGCATGGTGGGCTGCAGGTCCCAAGCCCTGCCCCGCGGGGAGGTGGCTGAGGCCTGGCGAGAATTCAAGCGCGGTGCGGGCGGGCTGGCTGGCAGTGCTGGGGGACCCGGCACACCCTCTGCAGCTGCTGGCCCAGGTGCTAAGCCCCTCGCTGCCTGGGGCCAGTGGCGCTGGCTGGCCACTCGGAGTGCAGGGCCCGCTGAGCACACGCCCACCTGGAACTCTTGCAGGCGCTAGCCTGCGAGCACCGCACACAGCCCCAGTTCCCGCCTGCACCTCTCCCACCACACCTCTGTGCAAGCAGAGGGAGCCCTCCAGCCTCAGCCAGCTCAGAGAGGGGCTCCCACAGTGCAGCGGTGGGCTGAAGGGCTCCTCAAGCGTGGCCAGAGCAGAAGTGGAGGTGGTGCTGAGAACGAGTGAGGGCCGCCAGCATGTTGTCACCTCTCAATGTGATCATGAGCCGATTACACAGGGCTCTGACCACAGGGCTCGCCTTCAGAGGGCTGCTCTTGTTATGGGTTTGAGCCATCCACAATCAAATCCTGAGCAAAAAAGTAAGGACACAGTGCCAAAAGGACAGGAGCATGCCTGCACAGTGTGGGTGTCTGGGCAGGGGGTCTCATGCTCCTGTGTTCACAGCCATCAGGACCTCTTCTGGGGAAAGGCAACTGTGTGCACAAAAGTAATTTAAGATCTTCCCATGGAGACTTCAGAATTCTAGAGCTCTGTGTTTATGGTGTGATATATCCTTATCCTGTGCCCAGTAACTCTGGAGACCTTAATTCTACTCAAGATACCATTAGGACATGGGATTTAATTTAAAATTCGCATCAAAGTAGCTGATTTAGTGGGCAAAGTCTATATTTTTCAGATAGCTAAAAATAATAGATATGTTATTTCATTCTGTTAATGATGGTATTAAGTTTAAAGACTTTTAAAGCTTTTTAAACTCCTAATGTGTACATTGTATCACAACCCAGCAAAGAGCATAGACATGGGCTGTTACATTCCATTGATTTAGGCCAAAGGAATTTCTACTGTGAAAAGAAAAAAAGTTTTTTCCCCACCAGAGAGAGTCAAATAGCATGAAGAATTGAGCATTCTTGTTAAAGAGAAGGGGTCATTATTGTCCCTCTACATTTGCAGACTTCTGAAACAAAATTTTTCTCAAGGTAAAATTTTTTAAATTCCACAAAATTTTTCTTATAGTTTATGACCACTGCTAACATTTTTCTAAGTCATAAATATTCCGGCAAAATGAAAGAATGTCACTTCCGTCATTCAATAAGTAGGAACTCAGGGCAAGAACTGCTGCTTCTCATCAATGGCAGTTGTCACCCAGTCCTTTGCATTTAATCTGTGGCACCGATGAGCTCCCACCTTGGGCAGCCCTGACCTCCCCCCCCCCCCCCGCCCCGCCCCCCGGTACTAGGAGTGACCATTTAGGCCATAGCCACATTTTTAATGCTTAACCTGCCAGGTAAGCAGGAAATCTCTTTCGAACCAGCTTCCCAAAGTGCAAAGAACCAAATCCCTTGCAGCTGAGCCCACAGAGAGAAGCTGGGGAATGACGTATTTAATTTCCTTTTCTTCTTGAACCATTTTTACAACAACTAGCTCCTTTCCCAGGCAAGGCTAAGTGTCCTGGGAATCATCCTTGTAACGCCAGCTGGGTGCCACAAAGCATTATTAATTGACTGTGGTTCCTTCTCTCATGCGTGCAGAGGCCGCTGGATCTGCTGAACAGTAGGGAGGTCTGTGTGCTTCAGGGCTGCCCTGCGTCCCTGCCTGCCCTGCATGCCCTTTTCCGAGAGCACGCCTGCTTCTCTGTAGCCCTGCAAGTCTGGGTGGACAGAGGGACCAGGTCAGAATACTTGGTAGGTGTCACTTAGGCTTCATACCACTCCTATGCCAACTCCCCCCAAGTTCTAACTTACAGGCCCAAAAATGTCTGTGAGGTTGATTTATTGGCTGAGGTCCTACTAGTTGTGATGTGTAAGTGTTCTGCTTATGAATGTTAAGACCTGTACTTGATTTCATTTTACTAAAATAAGTGGGCCTGGGTCTTTTTTTTTTTTTTTTCCTCCATCAGTTTATCCAAGGCACAGCAGAGCTCCGTGGTGACACCTCACCACATCTCAGGCATCCGGGCTGTCTCCCGACCTCCCCACGGGCCACACTCATAGTTCCTTGTCTTGTGCAGTTGTGAATCTATGTCAAACAAAAGACTGTCCTTAAAATATGAGCTGTGGGTCAGCTTGCTGTTTCTTTAGACTGTTGATTTCTGATGTTTCCATGTAATACTTGTGTGCCTACTGTATGCCAGGCACTGTGCAGAGCCCTGGAAGTACCTCAGGTCCCAGACAGATGAGGCCCCTGCCTTCCTGGAGCTTTTATCCATTCTCCTGACCCAGTGCCTAGGTTACCTGTGCCCACCTCCCTCAAAGGCCAGCTTCAGTGCCATCTCCTTCAGGGACCCTTCCATGGTTCCTCCTCCTGTTGCCCCTTCTCAACCCTAACAGGGTTTGTACCTCGCCTATAGTACAGGATAATTTTGTGATCCAAATACCACTGTGTGCTGAGTCACATGGATGAAGAAACTAGGTGTTCATTATCTCTGTCCAGTGGGAAATCGGGGGCTTGGCTCCAAGTCACAGCACAGTAAGTGACTCTGAAATCTGCCACCTGCTCCACCTGCTGTGAGCAGTGCAGGGTTCTGCTAGCAGTTGGTACTTTAAAAAATATTCGTTGAATAAATTGTCATCTGACATATAGATTATCCAAACCTGCCCCTTCTCTTTGTCCTTCCTGAGGCTAGGAACTGTGTCTACCTCATTTGCATTTTATCTTAAATCAGCACCTGAGAAAGTCCCTGGGAATGGATTTCATTCTTTTCCTACCTCCTTCCAGACCACACCGAAGGAAAGTGAGACTGATAGGGAAATGTTTTAGTAACTCTTGTTTAAAAATAGAGTAAATATATGAGAAAATATATATACATATAAGTACACAAACATAATATAGACACACATACAGAGGGGAAAGGGTTATCATTCTTTAACAGATATCAATGGGTTCTGAACCAGAGTTTGCCTCTGAGAAAAATCTGGATTTTGAAGAATGAATGATCCTGCCTAAAACGCATCATCTGTTTCTGGAATCTTCACTAATCTGTGTCTTGGGCGAAGGAAGGAACGGGACAGCAGTGAGACGGGCGTGTGCTGTCTAGTCCCAGCGTCGGAAGCACTTGGTGGGAAACCGCTGCCAACTCTGCTCCTGTAATCACAGGGTTCACCTGCAGCAGGGAATGGCGTCCAGAGCCAGAGAGGCAGTGCAGCCCCTACAGGTATCTGTGCAAAGGAGTAGCTCACAAGATTACTTGACTTGAGAAGATAGCAAGCACAGTGAATGATCACCATTGTCACCGTTCTGCTTTCTAAAGTTGGTCACTTCATTCCATGCCACCGTGGTGGAGCCCCTGAGCCAAGAGCTCAGGAAGGGGCCCAGCAGCTTTCACGCTCACTGGTGTGCGAGTTGTACAGTAGACGTCACACAAGTCCATGGATTGGCTGAGTGTCTGCTGTCACCCAAATTTCAGATTTTTGAATACAAAAATTAGCTGGGTATGGTGGCAGTCGTCTGTAGTTCCAGCTACTTGGGAGGCTGAGACGGGAGACTCTTGAACCCGGGAGGCAGAGATTGCAGTGAGCTGAGATTGTGCCACAGCACTCCAGCCTGGGTGACAGAGCAAGACTCCATCTGAAAAACAAAACAAAGAAAAATTGGATTTTTTTTCTTTTTTCTCTTGAAATGTCATCCACTCCAGATTGACTATATTTAATTTTTGAGATCCAATGAGAAGCTGGTTTGGATATATTTTCTGTAGAGCATTTTGGTTATTTGAGGAAGGCTTCCCCTCCTCACATTTCTTTTCTTTTTTTTCTTTTTTCTTTTTTTGGGGATGCAGTTTCGCTCTGTCGTTCCGGCTGGAGTGCGATGGCGTGATCTTGGCCCACCGCAAGCTCCGCCTCCTGGGTTCACACCATTCTCCTGCCTCAGCCTCCTGAGTAGCTGGGACTACAGGCGCCCACCACCACACCCGGCTAATTTTTTTGTATTTTTAGTAGAGATGGGGTTTCACCATGTTAGCCAGGATAGTCTCGATCTCCTGACCTCGTGATCCACCTGCCTCGGCCTCCCAAAGTGCTGGGATTACAGGCGTGAGCCACCGCGCCCGGCCCCTCACATTTCTTTTTAAAATGTGGTGGCGTTTTTGTTCATTGTTGCTGATATTTACTTCAGCACATGTGGTAAGTTTCTCAAGACTGTGAGCAAAGTCCCGGTGTGCCGCCGTGGCCTGGCCGTGAACAGGAAAGAGGCTGAGGGCCGCTCCTCCGAGAGCCCCACCAGCTCTGCCACTTTCCAGTCGCCGGCTTTGTCCTGGATGCTGGTCTCCCAGAGGCTGCTGCTGGTCAGAGTCTCACCAGGACAAATCACTGTCATTTTATCCGTAATAATTACACAATTCTGCTTTTGTTCACTGGTAGAGAATCAAACTAATGCACTTCTGCGACAGGATTAGCTTACAGTAAGCATGTCAGTTGGCATAGCTAAAACTTCTCAAAATTTCCTTTAAATTCATTCTTCTTTCTTGGTTTTTGTCAAGAAAATGGGTGAAAATGATTTTAAAATTCTGTCCTCCAATGTCCGCAGTACCAATGTCCACAGTATTTTATGTGATGAATGACATCTTAAATCTGGCTGATAACGATGCTGGTCTTCAGGATTGGTGACATGGGTGATTTTGGAGAGGACAGTGCATCTTGAGAATGATCATCTCTAGCAGAACTCAGGTTTGCTACACATTTGAGAAGAGAGTGCGTGTAAAGCATCAGCCCCTGTCATCTCACACCCCGTAGGCAAAGCCCGCTGACGAGGCATCCAGGCCCACTGGCTTCCCTGCAGCCTGCGGGATAATGGCATGGTCTTCACACCGGAGGGTCTGTGCGAGTCAGTGATACTCCCTCTCTTTCTCCCTGGCAGACTCGCTCTCCGTCTCCAGCAATGACGCCAGTCCACCCGCATCCGTGGCTTCCCTCCAGCCCCACATGATCGGGGCCCAGAGCTCGCCGGGCCCCAAGCGGCCGGGCAACACCCTGCGCAAGTGGCTCACCAGCCCCGTGCGGCGGCTCAGCAGCGGCAAGGCCGACGGGCACGTGAAGAAGCTGGCGCACAAGCACAAGAAGAGCCGCGAGGTCCGCAAGAGCGCCGACGCCGGCTCGCAGAAGGACTCCGACGACAGTGCGGCCACCCCGCAGGACGAGACGGTCGAGGAGGTGAGGCTCTGCCCGCTGGTTGGGGCCGGCGTGGCGGGGCCCGCTGGGCTTTTGCTGCAAGAATAGTTGCTGATCTTATGAGTAAACTGGTTTGGTTCTGTTTTCCGCACTTACTCAGAAATTACCATTCAAGTCTCTGCTTAGCAGACTGAGATTTAGTGGGGACACTTGAAAGAAAATTGAACCCAGTAAGCACATTCAGGACCACGTGTGGCTTCTGATTAAAAACAAACAAACAAACAAAACAGATCACCATGCGCCCCAGGCCCAGTCAGCCCCCAGGCCTGGGCCAGGAGGGAGACCAGACTTGGCTTCTGGACCCTCTCCTCCCCACTCCACCATGAAGCAAAGCCAGAGGCTCTGTGTAGTCTGCAGAAGATTTGGGCAGTCTCTGAGCTGATCATTGTGGCAGCATTTTGCAGAGAAAGCTCAAATTGGAAATTTGGAAGGACTTGTGGAGTGTTTGCACTTTCCAATTGTTTTTCCCCAATATTTATTATACTTACAGCTTGTCTTGAGTAGAAAATAACCAGTTAATTTACTTTGTTGACCCAGTAGTAAACATTGGGTTATTCCCATGTCACCAAAGGTAAGTGCATGTAGGTCAGCCAGAGATTTTTTATGTCCTATTGACAAGGGAGGCTTTAAATTACATTGCAAGAAACAGAATTCCTTCAGGATGCTGGAGATGGCCTTCAGCACTGGTGGTGTCAATGAGGGGTCCTCAGAGTTTTTAATTAACTTGGATCGACCCCCGACTCAAGTCTCACACAGGTTCGAAAAAGAAAAGGCAGAGAGTGGGGATGAGATTTGTGTTATTTGATTTATTTGGCAGATAGCTGTTTTCTGCTGTTTTTTTCCTGGGCATATTTTTGCCATGAGATTTTGTTGCAGTGTGGGGGTTGGGATGTATTATGTACATTCTTGATAAACCTCTGTCCTCTTAGGAAAACTAAAACTGAAATTTGTTTCTAAAAGTGAGAATAGAGGAAAAGAATACTCAAATCCAGTGCTTAAAATGCATCTTGGATTATATTTTTTATGCCCTTATTATTTCAGTGAACTTTTCTATAGCAAGATACCCAAAGTGAAATCAGCTGGACCAAAGGAACTAAATCAACATGAGGGTTGTAGCTCAAATTTTTGAGCCTTTTTAAAAATTGGCTTCTCAAAGATGAGCTGTGTTCAGAGCCTAACAGATCACATTGGCAGTCCCTTTATATGACACATGACACATTCAGTGGCCATTCTGTCATCCAAGTTGACAAGCAAAGCTATTGGGTAGCAGGAAGAGAGGAAAAGTTACCATCGAGGTCGAGAATAGCTTTGTTCCTGATTTCTGCCATCCCAGTCTCTGTCCCCACCTTGCTTCTCCAAGTAACCCTTGGTCCACGTCTGTGAACTGGCCTGGAATATAATGAGCAAATCTTGACTGGATTTCAGAGAGGCCGGAACGAGGGCCTGAGCAGCGGTACTCTCTCCAAATCCTCCTCCTCGGGGATGCAGAGCTGTGGAGAAGAGGAAGGCGAGGAGGGGGCCGACGCCGTGCCCCTGCCGCCACCCATGGCCATCCAGCAGCACAGCCTCCTCCAGCCAGACTCACAGGATGACAAGGTAAAGGGGGATGAGGGCTGGGGAATCCATGCCTGCCGTGCAGGGGCAGGGCACGCTCGGTAGCTGCTTCACACCAGCCTCATTTCAGGAGACAGGAGGCCCCAAGATGTGGAAAAGGGCAATGCAGTGCTCTTTCAGGCAGCGTCAGCCTGGTTGTACCCCAAAAGTATGAGTAACAAAGCCATTTAGAATAGCAGTAGGCCAGCGGGTGCAGTTTTTCTTACACATGTGGCTCAATGCATTTTTAATGATGCTTCAGTAATTGCCACTTCTAAAGTAATTTTAAAGTTTCCTAATGTATTGACTAGAATCCCTGAGAGAACAATCAGAGATATCCCATGCAGGTCTGTCTGAAGGCATCACTAAATGAAGAGTTGGCCATCTCCCCTCTGTGAGGTTTTTGCATGCAGGTTTCTGGTTTGAGATGAGGTTACATCACTGTCCAGTTACTTTTTCCAACATGCCAGACATTAGTTTGTAGGATCCCTACGCTAGAGTGCAGGCATAGTTGTCAAAGTGTAGGAATCAGTTGAAAGCTCTTTGGGTCTACGCAGGAGCTTCAAGCCATGAAAGTCATTTGTTTTCTTGAGTTCTTACGTAGTCTAAAATTATTTTGTCAGCCCAATTGTAGAGCCCTAAAAAATAAAATAGCAGAAAGGAAACCTGCTCAGTGTGGCTTGCACATCCTCTAGCATTCTGGCCCTATTGTGCCCCTCAAAATCATGCTATGAAGTCATTACTGGTGATGCTTTTTTTTTTTTTTTGGCAGTAACTAAATTTTCTGAGTAAAACAGATAACTTTATCAACATCTTCCCCCATGCTTCCCTTTTTCCTTCCCTGACTTCCTTGTCAGTACTTGCACAGTCACTTGCCAGATTAATCACCCTCTATTTTACGACATGGGATTGGCCTCAGCCGGTGCTTAGCAGCTGTGAGGCCAAGTCAAATCATGCACTCCTCTTAACCCAAGGCAGACCTGTCCACCACCCCTTGTTGGTGGAAAGCTACTCCCTCCTCCCTTTTTAACACGAGACCAGCACACTGTAAGGGTGCTGTGGGGCCTGCAATGATGGCTGTGAGCTGCAGGACTGAGCACAGGTTGGAGTCCTGGAGTTTTGTGTGCATCTGAGGTTCAGGCTCCCCACCATGTGTAGGGGAGAAGGAACAGGGAGCCTGAGGTGAGAGGACCACAGCCCCCTACCCCACCCAGTACACAGGCTACCTGGCTAGGACATGGGGCTGTGTGATTTCTGTGATATTTCCTAAGCTATTTTGTAATACGCTAAGCCATGCCTTTTTGAAAAGCAGAAAACTGGCATTTCTTAAATCTGGGTGGTTGTCCAAACATTGAGGGGCTGGGCCTTGTTGACTTACTCACCCATAAGGGAGGATTTTTCTCCATTTAAAGAGTGACCTGCACTGTATCCTTCTGTTTGCTAGTTACTATGTTACCTCGTTGAGTATTATCAGTAGCAGTTCTTCATTTACAAAAATCTGTAGTGATTTTCCCACACAGTATATAATCTCGTGACTAATTTTTTGTTTTGTTCTGTTTTCTCTTTTTGTAAACTTTCACTGCAGCATTATGTTGATTTGTGTTCTGTGTCTGTTTTGGCTCAATTTCCTTACCTTTCCGTTTGAATTTTTTTCTTTGTTTTCTTCACCCCATATTCCAAATGTCATTAGACCAAACCAACATTTGTTTTGCAAAGTGCATATTTTGACCCACACGTGTAAAAGCCTTGTTGTGAGTGTATGAGCCTGTATCTGTCTGCTGTGAGACACGCATGGCCAGGACAGCCCGCTGTGGGTCGCATGCCTCGCCGCTGTCCTTAATATGAAGCAAGGTTCATATTACGCCCCTTCTAGTTCCCAGTTAATTAACGGCTCAAGTAATCTGCAAACACGTCGTGTTTGCTAATTACTGAAACTCGAACTTAGTAGCCCCTCCCCCAGATTTCCTGTCAACCCCTTTACGCCCTCGATTCTAGCCATAAGTGGCATCTGATAGCTTGTGAGGCCTCAGCTCTTCTGTACTCTGCACTAATCATGGGGAAATGGATGGCACAGAAAATGGTGAGCTTGTCCCCCTCCTTCCCTGTCTGGTCACCGCACCCCGTTCCTTTCCTCTTCCTCGTTTCTTTTTTTTCTTAATCCCATAAACACAGTAAAGCCATTTCTTAGTACCTGTTTTGTTTCCTGATTATTCCAGGATTCTCTCACTAGACCCTAAGCCTCTCATTCTGCTGTAGGTCAGATTCTCTATTCCTTCTCCCTAGCCCAGAGCCTTGCCAGCACTTGCGAAAGTTACGGTTAGAACGTTCCCTTGCCTAGTCACCTCTTTGAAAAAAACACTGTGATGTTACATGACTGCGATTCAAATCAGACACTGTCTGCTTCCCACATGTATCTCAGACAGGTTTTATTTAATGTTTCTTGTCAGAATATTGTAAATTCAAAAGGATGACTTTAAATAAATGTAAACAAAGACAAACTTGTGGTCTTTTTGTCTGGAATTACTTTCACAAGAGATGGAGCTTGCAGGGGAATTTACTGTCTGACCAGTTACTAATGTGAGCCCTTGCCCCACCCCCTCCTTTTCTTAATTTCTTCTGTAGGCCTCTTCTCGGTTATTAGTCCGCCCCACCAGCTCCGAAACACCGAGTGCAGCCGAGCTCGTCAGTGCAATTGAGGAACTCGTGAAAAGCAAGATGGTGAGGCCTCCCAGAGAAAGTCTGACTTTTGGAAGCTGCTCTGTGTTGCTACTTGCAGATGGATTTGCCCTTGTCTTTGTATTGCTCTGGGCTGCAGAATGTGGCTGTGGCTTATGGCACATCTCAGGAGTCCCCATGACCACCCTCGGGTTCACTGATTTGAAGGACTCAGAGAACTCAGGAAAGCCATTATTCCCACATTTGCAGTGTATTCCCATGAAAGGACACAGATCAAAATAGGCAAGGGAAGAACTGCATAGGGCAGGTCTCAGGGAGTGCCTGGTTCAAGCTGCCAGCCATGCTCTCCCAGTGGAGTCAGGCAGACAGAGGATTGCCAACCACAGCAGCTCACCCGAGCCTTGGTGTTGAGTGTCTGTTTGGGCTCAGACGCATATGGCTGACTGCTCTGTGTGGCTGACCTTAGGTAGTCTCCTGCCCCTCCAGAGATCAAGACACTGTCACATTGCTAGCATAGACTATTTGCCTTGGTCCCAGGCCCCCAGGTAAACAGACATTCTCATCAAGCAGAACATTCCAAGGACTTACAAGTTCCCTCCTAGAAGCTGGGGGCAAACCTCACTGCACATACCCTGCCTGCAGTCACTGCAAATGTGGTCAGCTCCAGTCTGTCTGAAGATGTGCCAGGGTCAGTGGTACCCACAGTTAGACTCTCCGTTTTGTTTTGCAACCCCTGAGATCTTTCATTTGGGTTCACAATGTGTGAGAGAGAAGGGTTTACATTATTATATAAGGGCTTCATTTTCTTAGTGATCTCTTTGTTGCCAGTTGGCCAACGTGGGTTCATTTGATAAAAGCCCCAAATTAAATGTTGGTTCTTTGAAGTTAAGACAGGCATGTGTTGCTTCTAACTGATTCAAATCAATTAATTTCTGTTTTTGTAGTTTTCCTAACTGGGAAGTGGAAAAACCACCAATGGTAACAACTTTTTAGACTGGTATATCCTACTATCCCTATAAAGACAACGTCTTTTAAAAGCAGCTCCTCCCAAAGTAAAAGCCCTCAGTCTGTCTCAGCAATCCATTCTCCAGAGGTAACCACTGCGAATAGTTCTGATACGTTTCCCTCCAGACGTTTTCCTTGCTGGTGCAAACATATATATGTGTGTGCGTTTTCTTTCCAAATGGATTCATTCAATTTTTAAGACTCTAATAATTAACACATCTTAAGGATCTTCTCACGTCAGTACATACAGATTACCTCTTTCCTTTATTTAATAACTGTATAGTATTCCTCTACATGGATTCTGTGATAATAATACCACTGAGCACTTATTCTAAGCCAGGCGCTGTTCTAAGTGCTGAGCATGTATTAATTTATATACTTCCCACAACAACCCTATGAGGTTGTTATGCACTATTGTTATCCCATTTTACAGATAAGGAAATTGAGGCACACAGAACATTTAAAAACTTGACTAGCCACTAAGGGTCAGAGACAAGATTATGCTATAATTTATTTAAATATATTCCTAATACATACTTGTTTCCCATATTTCTCTGAACATCCATTACATGTTTGTGATTATATTTGTCAGGTGAATTTTCAACACTGGAATTGCTAAATCAGAGTATACTTCTTTAAAGTTAGAAGTTTCTCTTCCTGCATTTGGGCATTAACTAGGTACCAGATATATCATTCCCATTTCTTCCTTCATCCACAGACAACCTCTAATGAAACTGGTTGACTGAGTCAAATGGGAATTATATAAAGAAAAATTTGGACTGACGTGTCACCCTGCCATAGCTAGAAATTTCTCCCCAGGTAATCGTGTGGTGTTCCGGAGAAGACCCAGTGAACTTTGAACAGGAAGCTTGCTAGGGTGTGGTAGATAACTCACGAATTCGGACTCCACTGGTTAAGATTTTGGAATCAGGCCTGGTGTGGTGGTTCATGCCTGTAATCCTAGCACTTTAGGAGGCCAAGGCAGGCATATTGCTTGAGCCCAGGAGTTCGAGACCAGCCTGGGAAACACGAGACCGCATCTCTACAAAAAAATACAAAAATCAGCTGGGTGTGGTAGCATGCACCGGTAGTCCCAGCTATCGGGAGGCTGAGGTGGGAGGATCACCTGAGCCCAGGAGGTTGAGGCTGCAGTGAGCTGAGATTGTACCACTGCACTCAGCCTGAGTGACAGAGTGAGACCCTATATCAAAAAAATAAAAAAAGGAGCTTGGAACCATGCCAGTATGTACTGAGTTCAGCTACATCCTTGGTATCTCTTTAAAAGACAAGTTGATAAAACTGTCTAAATGAAGGGTGCTTAAATTGTATCCAGTGAGTTTTTAAGCATCCTTAAACTTTTTTTTAAAAGCCATTTATACACGTCAGTTAAATGACCATTAAAATCATTCTTACCAAATAGCCGAAATGGTTTCCCAGGGAACGCTGTGAGGCAGATCTGGCCACTATTCTGCAGCTGTTTAAATTGTATTGCATTTTATGTGGTCTGTGATTCATTTGTAATTAATTCACGTGGACTTCCAAATGGAGAGGTGGTCTGTGGCATGGTCAGTTTTGACTCTTACTGTGTTAATCTCCTTTTTCAATTCTGAAGAATTAAACTTTCTCGGTTTACTCAGTGAAACTGAGTTGTTTCTGCTCACTTCAGTGGGCATAAAGCTGTTGGCATAGGAAAGGCATAGGTTTTGGAGTCAGATAGACTTGGGTTCACAGTCTCATTACGGTGAGTTCCACCAGGCAAGTCCTTCAGCCTCGGAGACTGTCTTTCAGCTACACATGGGAGCTCTCAACCAGGTTTCATCCACATGGGTGTTCACTGGTGCCTTCCCCTCCCTTGGGAGAACCATGTTTGTACTTTATGTGATAGGTTCATCCCTTCTTCATTCTGCCAGGGAATGCGATCTAAATTCTCCCCTCTTTTTCTGGTTCAAGAGAAGCATCACCCTGTGTTGGTTTCCTGTCACTAATGCTCTAACGTCACATGGGAACTAGTTTTTGTCAGAAAACACTAATGCATCATTGTAATATCCTAAACTTATACTGACTCTGCAGTAGATCCTTAAGCATCCACATGTGTTTTCTTGTGGGTGATTTCTGAGGCTGTCGCACACTCATAATTGGATTTGAACACTGCATTGTTTATTCTTCAGAAACTCTGTATGTGTTTATTGGGTTAGGGAGGAGAGGAGAGAAGATGTTCAGCAGTTACACAGTATGATGTTTAAGGAACTGAACCTACCTAAACCTAAAACCTGAGGATTTGACTCGAAAAATGAAAGCCCCCCTGAAAACTGTTCCCTGGATTCATTCGTCTGGCTTACCTCCACGTTCTTGATGCAGCTGGTTATTTTAAAGGCTGTGCATTTTTCCTGCATGTCGGCAATAGAGTAATAGTTCCCTGCCGCCACAGTGATTGTGTGAACTTGACTTTGGGGTTTTCTTCTCTTCACTAATCAAAATATAAAGGGAGAAACAAGAAAGAATGAAAATAAATGAAATCACATCTAACTCAAGATGTTAGAAAAACAACAAAATAAACCAAAGAAAAGCAGAAGGAATGAATTTATACAGATAAAAGCAGAAATTAATGAGCTGGAAAACGGTAGCATAATAAAACCAAAAATTTATTCTTTAAATATAGGCATTAGGTAACCATGTCAAGAAAACAGAAAACACAAATTCCCAAAATTAAGAAATTATAAGAGAGGAAAAAACTGAGGAAATTCAAGCAATCATAAGACATTATTTTGTTCATCTCTTTGATAGTAAATTTAAAATGAAACCTGAATGAAATGGGCAGTTTTCTAAGAAAATGTAATTTATCAAAATTAATCTCATAAGAGGTAGAATATTTCTGTAGACCTATCTTCATGTAAGAAAGAGAGGAGAAGGACACAAAAAACAACCAAACCCAGAGAGTTTCACAAATAATTCATCCAAAATCTGTGAAGTCCCAGTGGCTGCAGTTTTGAGACAGCCTTAGGCTGGTGACAGCCTTCTCACACACATTTGTGGAAGAGGCAAATGGGCCACATGAAGGCGATAAGGACGTCTAGCCACAACTGCACCGCTTCAGGGTGTGTGCACCCTCTCGGCAGCCCATCTTGTCAGGAAAGATCAGATCTAGGACAGGCAGCCGAGGGGCCTGGGGACTCCATTGTTGCAGGTCGAGAAAGCTGGAAGACAGGTCCCCATGGACACTGATGAAGTCCGTGACTTTACCTCCCTGCCGTCTGCAGCATCAGGGGCATCTGGAGCCTTTCTCTTTCTTTTCTTTGTTTTTTCTCACTGTTCAAATGAACAGAATTCAATCTAACAGGCTTCAGCTGTCCAGGTGGGGGATGGGGGGTACAGAACATCCTCCCTTCGCTCTCAAAAACAGATGTGATCTGATGAGCGTGAAACAAGCTCTGCTACTCACAGCAAAATGTTTGCTTCCAGTAAAGCTCAATGGCTATTTATTTAAAAGAGTGCATTTATTTTTCAGATCAAACTCTGTTCCTTAACTAACTTAATGTCCTGTTTTTCAAAAATAAGATCAGCAGTTGGTGTGTTTTTTATAGCTCCATGGGTTTTAACAAGATTGCTTGTACAGTACATGCTTTGTGTCCTCAAAGCTCTGCTTAACAATGAAATCAGATTCAGTCTGTTACTGTTAAGAGGAGAAAATAGAACAAGTGTTAGAGATTTTAGTTTATTAATACCAAATGTTTTAAGTGAGGTATTGTTTTTGCATTTTGTATTGTGCTGTTCAAACCTAGAATAAATTCATCACATTTTTTTCCAGTTCAATCATATCTATATATCCAGTTTGTTGCTTTGGGAATGTTAAAAGAACTATAAATCTTATGTGTTCTGTGAATCCAGGTAAAACAACGAGATTAATATTTACCAAATTGAAAGCAATCAGTCACCAGTCATTGTCACATTAATCCAAGGAGAGAAGTCACCAATATTCAACTTACAGATTTGCTGAACACTTGCAAAGATTTGCATGAGGTTCTACTGGGGATACAGCAATGAAAACAATCACCTATAGAAACCAAAAGCCAGTGGGGGAAAGAATGTATTGCAGAAGTAATTAAGACAAGCACGATTACTATTTTGTATAGAGGGATAGAATGGAAGTTGCTAGATGGAGATTAATTTTACCAGAGTGATTTGTATGCATTGAAGTATGAGTCAAAGCTCTAGTAGGATAATCAGGAAACAAACCAAGTTTGTTGGATTGCTGATGTTGCTACATAGTCCACCAACAGGGAATGCAGGTACCATGTCCAGGTGCCACACTGGCCTGACCCACGCACATCCCAGCAGCTCATTTGGCAGGAATATAACCAGTAAGAAAATTGCTAGATATTAAATATGTGTGATATGTCCAAAAATGGGTGCAGTACTCTGACATAAGCAAGTATAACATTTCTACTTGTTTGATAACAAGAAATAGAATATATTAATGTATGTAAATTCACTATCCTTTTCATTCCAACTTTTTTCTCCACCTCCTTTGACTCTATTTTTTTATTAATAGTTGGGTTTTTTGTGTTATTAAATGCTATAATTTCACAAACAAAGATTTTATAATTTCACAAATACATTTTCTGTATTTTCTGACTTTGGGTATTTTCTTGTCTTAGTTTTAGCCAATCATGGGCTGTGGGCAGTAAGTGTTGTTGATTATGTCAATTTCTTCCAGGCACTGGAGGATCGCCCCAGCTCACTCCTTGTTGACCAGGGAGATAGTAGCAGCCCTTCCTTCAACCCTTCGGATAATTCCCTTCTCTCTTCCTCCTCGCCCATTGATGAGATGGAAGAAAGGAAATCCAGCTCTTTAAAGAGAAGACAGTAAGACAGAAATGTTTTCATTCTTATTGTTCTCTGGGTTCCGTCCTGTCTTTGTTGCCTTCAAAAATGTGACTGAGATTCAGCTCTGAATTACCGAGATGAGAAGCTCCAGGGCCTCTCATTAAGTAACTGCACGTATGTAAAAGACTCAGGACCTAATAAGGGCACAGTATTCCATAGCTGCAGTTTCTTGTTTTATTTGTATATGATACTTCATAAGTAAGAATGATGCAAGACAAAAATGTCTTCTGCCACATGTGGTGAGAAACTCCTAGACTTTTTATTGTACATGTGATTGTGAAAGAAAAAGTAATATAAAATTAGAACCAGTCCCCAAAACTTGAATATTCTTTGAACATACTTTACTGGTTTCTCAATGCCAGTAAAGCAGCATATGGTGAAAAGAGTCCTGAAAAATGTTACAAAAGGTTTAAACTTGCCTTTGGAGAAGGAAAAAAAAAAAACGTAAGCTACGAAACGGCAGAGACTGGGTGTTTTATTCAGCACTGTATCCCAGCACCTCCGATGGTGTTGGGCACATGAGAGGTGCCAGGTTGATGTTGGTTGAATGAATGACTGAACAACACATGGATGAACCTTTTCAGGCCAATTGAGGTTGTTTGCTATACTGATCAAATGGTTGTCTTCTGTTATCTGAGTGGCCTTAAACGGTTACTGAATGTAACAAACAGAAATACTTGTGAGTGATGTGATTAGACACAAGGTTTAAACATCTGATTTAAAAGTTTTTCTTGTATAGCCAGTGAAGGTTAAAATGACTTAATCATTTTTTAAAAGCCACTTCCTTTACTATCATGGCTTTGTCAGAAAGTTATGTCTAAGCTTCATTGTTGTCCCTGTATGTGATCAGAATCCAGAAGGGTGAATTCACCCTGATTGCCCTCATGCACTGTGCCTAGGTGTCTTTTGACCTCCAGAGCTCTCGTGGGTCACCCACTTGAACCTGTAAGTGATTTGGGACTCTCCAGAATTTAACACCTAAATGTACAAATTTGATACATTACTATTCAGTCCTGGAAGGAGTCCATCTTGACCAGGAGCAAAGGTACAAAAAAATTCATTTAGAAAACAGTTTGCATGATAAACAATATTTTTTCTCTCCAGCTACGTTTTGCAAGAACTAGTGGAGACAGAGCGTGACTATGTGCGGGACCTTGGCTATGTGGTTGAGGTGTGTATTGCCAGAAATTTAGTATCTTCGTATCAGTTCCAAGAGTTGTCAAAAGTAGTATCGTTTTAGACAGTTGAACACCTCTCAAAAGCTTTAAAAACATTTTTGACCCAAAATAAAAAGTGACCAACGATGTATTTCCGAAAAATTAAGTTTAGCCAATTGTCTTTACCATCTGTATTCAGTTGTAAATGCTTCTTTTTCGCATAGTGTATCTTGACATAATCTTTTTTAACAGTTGAAATTTACAATTATTATAAATAATTTGATATTATTATTAAATGATACTAAGTAAGTATACTGTAGTTAGTAGACAGGAATCTTGCCTTAATTGTATCACTACAGAAATGAAGACCTTACTGGTTGAAAAAGTCAGTGTGGCCCAGCTGTGGGTTCGGTTCCATCCTGAATCCACCCAGGTTCAGAGCCTGTACTGTGGCTGCACCAGGTCATTTACTTGATAGTTTTGTACAGAACACATTGCCATTTCCATTGACCAGAAGTTGCCAAGCACTGTAGCCATAGCAAACCACTGCCTTTTGTACTGGATCGAGAGCCATCTCTAGGCTAATCCCTGCCAGTCAATTCGGGGATTAGTGAGATTAAGAAACTCAACTCATCAAAAAGCTATTTTTGTGGTATAAAATTTTATGTGTATTCTTTCATCTTTGCAGATTTGTACAGGACAATACTTTTTGGTTACACATCCCATTAAAAGTACCAGCTATTAAAGTCAATTGCATAACACAAAAGATTTAACATGCTTGATTTATCTGCAGTCATTGTTCACAATGAGATAAGCAACCTGAGTACTTAAGAGGTTCTTGTACAGACTTAAATAGAAATTTTAAGCCACATTTTAGCAGCATATTCAATCAACTGTTGTTTAAAAATCAGTTTATAAAAAGAATATTGTTAAACCCTTATTTAACCGATTACACAAATAATCCAAAAAGAAAAGAAAATCTTTCTGTTTCTAAGAGATAAATGCTGAAAACAGGAGATATGATTCTGACCAAATATTTAATATTTACAAACTGTTTAATGAAACCATTTACATTTATTTAAACTTCTTTAATTCCTTAGAAGATTTTTGATCTGTGAATGCTGAACAGTCCAGGGAAATAAAATTACAGCAATGAATGTAATAGGTATATTCCAAGTATCAGTTAAGGATACTTTTCATATCGGTTTTTTTTGTTTGTTTTTAGACAAAGAACTGGTTACAAGACAGTGCATGTGTCCATTTTGCCCTCTGTGACTATTAATCAATAAGCCACTAGTTGATTCAGACATATTCCATGAAATACACTTATCATAACTGTTTAATTGTAGGGCTACATGGCACTTATGAAAGAAGATGGTGTTCCTGATGACATGAAAGGAAAAGACAAAATTGTGTTCGGCAACATCCATCAGATTTACGACTGGCACAGAGAGTACGTAAACATGCATTGTGCCCGATGGTGTGCAAAGCAGCCACACTTGCTAAACCAAGGCAGGCCAGGCCAAAGGGAATTTATTCTGTTCATCGTATTACCTGTGTAGCCTCCTGGAGGGAGCTGGTGCAAAGGAGATATTGATGTACCCAGGAGTTCTGCAGTAGCATTTGGTGGCACGGAGAGAGTCTTGTCTCTTCTTCGTGCTGGTCCATGTCGAGAGTCTGTGGAAGGGAGTAGCTGGAAGCACCAGCGTGGAGCCAGCTGCCGGAGCTGCTGGCCTGGTCCTGACCCCGAGCCCTCGGCCTCCCTGCTGTACACTTCCATTCTTCATCTGCACACCCACATTATAATGTGGGTTTTTTGTGAAGAGTGACTGAGTTAATACTTTTACCTCGTGGGTTTTTTGTGAAGAGTGACTGAGTTAATACTTTTACAGAGTACTTAGAACAACATCTGCATAGAATAAGCTTCAAGTATTTCTAACTAGAATTGCAGCCATCTTTAGAATAAATACAAGTTATCATTAGAGGACCTTGAAGACACTCATTTGTCCAATTATTTTATGTTATTTTTATTTTTTAGAGACAGGGTCTTGCTCTGTCACCAAACTGGAGTGTAATAGTGCGATCATAGCTCACTGCAGCCTTGAACTCCTGGGTTCAAGTAATCCTCCCGCCTCAGCATCTCTCAGCATCTCTAGTAGCTGGGCCTACAGGCACGCAGCACCATGTGCAGCTAACTTTTTTGGTTTTCGTAGACAAACACGGGCTTGCTGTGTTGCCTAAGCTGGTCTTGAACTCCTGGGCTCAAGCAGTCTTCCCACCTCAGCCTCCCAAAGTGCTGGGATTACAGGCATGAGCCACCACGCCTGGCCCAATTCAATTTTAATGGAAAAAGTAGACACGATTGCCCATGAAATTCAACTCTGATCCCACTACATTCCCCACACCTATCCTAATCAGGAGGCAATCCATCTGGGGGCTGGTGCTACGTAGCTCACCTTGGCTACCAGAGCTTGTCAACATACCTGTCCCTTTAGATCACTTTGCTTAAACTTTAAAAATCCTTAATCATCTGAGGATTGCTTAATGCTGGCCACTGGTCTTCCAGTGGAATGTTCCAGATGCACTGTCTGCTCCGGTTACCTGGCCGGGCCTTCTGCTCTCCTGTCTTGATGCAACTGCTCCTCCCTCTGCTCAGGGTGGAGCACGATGTCATCACCTCCAAAGCTCTGGCCTCTCTCTGAAGCTGAGCTCCATACTTGCTTCTCCATTAGGCCTGGGTGTTCCCCATCAGACTCCTTCTCTTCTGCAGAAGCAGATGGGAATATGCTCTTTTAAACTATGAGATACTGGACAGACATGAGGAGGAACTACCGTGTCACGTATCAAGTAGTGTTGTTATTTCTGTGCTTCTCCCTCCTAACAGAATGTAAAACCTTTGAACCCAGGTCAGAGAGGTCTTTATTTTCATATCCCCTGTGATGTCTAATTTATTTGGATTTACAGATAAATGATCGGTAAACTTTAGAAACAGCACTCCAGTTTATAGCTCTGTGCTGTAGACTTACTGAACAACTACAGTGAAACCAATTCAAAAAGGGATATTTTGTATTATGATTTAGTCTCCTACTTCCAAGGCTAGTTTTTAAGGCTGTGAAGGGAAGCTGAAAATGACACAGTGTTTCTGGGATGACCAGACAGACACTGTATCCAGAGATGCTGTCTGCGCAGCGGGGATAGTAAACCCCTTAGTACAACATTAATTGGCATGGTGGTTTATGAGTTAATGTAATACCAAATATTAACATAAATAAAAATATATTTAAGTGATAACTAAGCTGGACATATATCTTAAAAGACAACTACAGCCCAGAAAACAATGAACATTGTTGTCCTACAGCTATTTTGTCACTGTGATGATACCTAATTTTAATCTTAAAGGGAGCTGATGTTTATAACCTAGAAGTTGATTTTGATAACATTTGAGAAAACTTCATAAAGCTGGCACAGGTAACATATTTAGTTTTGTATATCTGCTGTCCAATTTGAGTCTCTAAAAATTATCTTAGAATGAATATGAAATTCGCAGGTATAAAGACCAAGTTTTCAGAAATAAAAAATGTCCAAGTACTTTGAAACATCTATTTTTCACTCATTATTCAGCCTAGGATATTAGCACTTGTGTCCTTGAACAGAGATGAGAATGTTTGTTATCCAAAGACCAGGAAGGTCACCAGCCAAGGGATATACAGTCGTGCCTCATCTTCTGTGCCTTTGTATTCCTTTATGCTTTGTAGCTTAACAAAAGGTTTTCCTTGTACTTGTTAAGTTTCCATATATTTGTTAAATATATACTTCACACTTCACAGTTGCTCATGTCAGAACAGACTATTGAAAATGTAAACCTGGCCAGGCACGGTGGCTCACGCCTGTAATCCCAGCACATTGGGAGGCTGAGGCAGGCGGATCACTTGAGGTCAGGAGTTTGAGACCAGCCTGGCCAACATGGTGAAACCTTGTATCTGCTAAAAATGCCAAAAAATTAGCTAGGCATAGTGGTGCACGCCTATAACCCCAGCTACTTGGGAGGCTGAGGCAGGAGAATTGCTTGAACCCAGGAGGCGGAGGTTGCAGTGAACCAAGATCACACCACTGCACTCCAGCCTAGGTGATAGAGTGACACTCTCTCAAAAAAAAAAAAGAAAAAAAGAAAAAGAAAAAATGTAAACCTAAATCTAAAATTAGAAGGCCACACTGGAAATAGTTCTAATATTTTCTCCTTTCTTTCCAGCTTTTTTTTAGGAGAGTTAGAGAAGTGCCTTGAAGATCCAGAAAAACTAGGATCCCTTTTTGTTAAACACGTAAGCACAATAGCATTGCTTATATCCTGTTCTGATGGTGTCATCCTTAGTCACTGGTTTGTCAGATTAAAGGAGAACTCACTTATACTTTATGTAAGTGCGTATGTTTAAGATAAAATCAAACTGCATGGTGTTAATGAGTTGGAATTAAAATCCCTTCTTCAACATGAGTTACCTGCTTTCCCAGTCACCTGGCTGAAGCTGGCTATTTGGCTAGCAACAGTACAGGTTGGTGAGAGAAGACCAGAGCCAGGCCTGAACAGTATCTGGGGTGTCTGTGAACAGGCAGGTATTGTTGAGTGGAGATGTAACTGTACCTGCAGTGGGTTTAACATAACAGCCAAATAGTGTGGATATCGAAAATAAGCGTATTAACATTAAAGTTTTTTGTTTTTTGGGAAAAATCATGATATATTTTTAGAAGTTAGTGACAGGAGTTTTTGCATTTTTGCCAGTCTCTTTAATGTCTTGCTAAGTAAAAGACAGCTGGATTTTTATATCTGCTTCTGCATCCAACTCATTGCTGTGTTTTTTGGTTCAAGTATCCAAACAAATCCATCTTCACACACATATAGTTAGAAAAGGATGAGTATTTTAATAGCCTTTTCAGATAATTACATAGTTTTCTTAGACACTATACCAAAAACTTGACAGCTGATCATTTCTTAAAGGTTAGTTGCAATACGGAATCTGAAAACCTACCCATGAACTTCTCCCTTGCTGTGACATTAAATACATTGAACTATTGGGCTTCGAGGCTCCTGCAGCCATGCGCGGTCCTGTGACATCAGGCATCAGTCCACTGGAAGATACCAGGTCACAGACTTAGGCAGATCTTCCAGAGGTTGACACGTTTCATTACACAGTATCCAAAAATCCAGTTTTTGAACTTGACCACCCATCTCTTTGAAGTCTTTAAGTGTTGTGAAGTTCAGAGTGGCAGATACATATTTCCAAAATTTTAATTTTTTGCTTGAAAGCTGTAATTTTCACTAACAAACACTGCCAGTTGTTTGCCTTGAAATGACAGGCTTATTTTGTTCATGTTCAAGAAAATGTCTAGCAGATACCCAAGAGTAAATAATTATAGTTTGTGTCAATCATTCTTCCAAGTAAAAATGGTGGTCCATAAAAAAAAGTGGTTAGTTCCACTCACAACTCGGTTACATAAGTGCTTTTTCTTGAGACATTTATCAAGTGCAATTAAAGTGTTATGTGGACATCATCTTGTCACAAGAATGTTAAAAACGTGTATACTCCCTGGTTGAGTTTTAATAAAAAGAATAATGTTTACTCATCCAGGACATTCTTAAGTGAAACCAGTTTTGTTTTGTTTTTTACTATAAATTTGTGGCAGTGAAGAGTTTTTGCCAAGGTGCCAGCAATTTCACCCACCATTGGTTTTGCACATCAGCACAGATGTCAGCACAACAAAAAGGACAACTGACATCTTAGTGGTATTTAGAAAATAGTTGTGACCAAATGGAGCCACTGAAAGGACTCAGGGGGCCCTGGGGGTCTGCACACTGTACTTTGAGGATCACTGATTTATGGAAAGGCTCATTGTCTACATTTTTTTTCTTCTGCCTTTAGGATTTGAGATTAAAGAGCTTCTTCTCTACTAAAACCAACCAGGCTTACTAGGACTGTTGGCAGGGTTTGGAGTGATGGCAGTAATTCTTTGTTTAATATTAAGAAGGGTGTTGCGGCCAGGTGTGGTGGCTCATGCCTGTAATCCCAACACTTTGGGCAGCCAAGGCAGGAGGGTTGCTGAGGCTAGTTTTGAGACCAGGCTGGGTGAAAAAGCAGGACTCCATCCCTACAAAAAAAAAAAAAAAAAAATTAAAAATTAGCCGGGCATGGTGATGCACATCTGTAATCCTAGCTACTCAGAGGCTGAGGTAGGAGGATCGCTTGAGCCCGGAAGTTTAAGGCTTCCGTGAGCCATGATCACACCACTGCCCTCCTGCCTGGGCAACAGAGTGAGACCTTATCTCTTTAAAAAACAACAACAAAAAAATGTTCTTTTGCTACCTATGGTGTTTGTTGGTATTTGGTACTGTAAAGTGAAGGGTTTGGTGTGTATGGAGAGTGATGGGGGAAGGACTGGTTTTGGAGCCACACCGTAGAATGCTGATCTACATCCTGAATCTGGAATTTACTCCCGAGAGCCTTAGCTGTGCAGCTTGGTTTTAAGATGAGTGCCTTTATGAATGTGCTGAAATGTGCGGGTACTCGTGTATTCTAATCGAATTTCCCATTGTTATAACCCAACTGTTTGCCTTTTTTATTCCTAGGAGAGAAGGTTGCACATGTACATAGCTTATTGTCAAAATAAACCAAAGTCTGAGCACATTGTCTCAGAATACATTGATACCTTTTTTGAGGTAAGACCTAAGATACAAACAGAAAGTATTTCTGAATCTTTTGTTCCAACTTATTTCTAAAAATGAAAGTATCATTGGTTTCCCAGGAGACTAATTTCCAAAGAAAATTAGCCTGAGTGATAAGACTTCTGAACCTTTCTTTCTTTCCTGTAAATCAGAGAAATGAGTATGAATTTAGTCTGTGGTCATACCCCTGGCATTCAGAAGACTGCAGTCATTGTTAAAAATAAGAGTTTTTAATAAGTGTTACACTTAAGTCTCATTACAAAGTCAGAATAATTATTATCTAAACTTATAGCCTAAAAATAATATATATATTTATATGAATAAAATAATGCAATTGAAAAAATGCCTTTAAACAAGCATAAAAGACTGCTTTGAAAAACAACTCAGGTGAAAGTGTAAAACTTGGAAATTCTGTGAACTAGCAAAGCTCTAGTTAGTCTAGTGCTTTTTTTCCTCGTTACTTTTACTGCCAGTGTTGTAGTCTTTCTGACAATTACAAAGACTAAAAAATTGCCCTTTAATGAACAGCCCATACGATCTTTTCTCTCTCTTAAAACTGTAGGACTTAAAGCAGCGTCTTGGCCACAGGTTACAGCTCACAGATCTGTTGATCAAACCAGTGCAGAGAATCATGAAGTATCAGCTGTTACTGAAGGTGAGGAGGTGGCGGGACAAACTCTGGTGTCAGGAGTGAGTTTGCTGAGAAAATAAGACTCAGTTGGGGAAAGAAGGATTTGGTAGGACAGGGGAATCATCTGTGTAACAGGTATATTATTTCTGATAAGTTAAACCTTAAAAATTTAAATCAGCTGTTAACTGAAGGTGAGGTGGCGGGACAGACTCTGGTGTCAGGAGTGAGTTTGCTGAAAAAATAAGACTCAGTGGGGGAAAGAAGGATTTGGTAGGACGGGAATCATCTGTGTAACAAGTATATTATTTCTGATAAGTTAATCCTTAAAAATTTAAGAAAACACTTCAAACAATTTTCTCAATTTTTTATTTACATCGAGTTCAGAATGAAAATATCAGTAAAAGTGAATTTTTTTTCCCCCACCACAGACCTTGGAATGCTAATGATTTTTCTTCTGCTCTATCAACTTTAATTATTTTCTAATCTTCTTGGAACCTTGGATAAAAGTAAATTTGGAATCCTTTTGTATTCCTCTCTGTTGGCTTAACACTAGCCCTTGATTGAGTTAAATTCTTAAGCATAACCGAAGGCAGAGTCACGTGTTTTTCTGTGATAAAAGAGACTTCAAGTGTATTGATATTCCTTCGTGTACAACGCCTAGGACCTGGATCTAGAGAGGGACAAAGAGCTTGTCTTGGATTAAACAGGAACAATTGGATAGATCTGGTCTGACTCTGTGTACTGCAGCTTGAAATCTACGTAGGAATGCCTTTTTGTTGTGTTACTGAGAGAATAATATGATAAAGTAGAACTAAGGCACCAGACAGGTGTGGTGGTACACACCTGTAGACCCGGCTACTTGGGAGGCTGAGGCAGGAGGATAGCTTGAGGCCAGGAGTTGGAGGCTGCAGTGAGCTTATGATTGCTCCTTTGAATAGCCACTACACTCCAGCCTGGACAACATAGTGAGAGCTTGTCTATTTAAAAAAAAAAATTCTTTCAGAACTAAAGTGCTGAACCCCAATGTCTGGCCAGTGTGAGTGGCCAAAAAGGTTAGCTTGTGTGCATTGTCTCATTCCTGTAGTCCCAGCTACTCAGGAGGCCAAAGCAAGAGGATCACTTGAGGCCAGGAGTTCAAGACCAGCTTGAGTAACATAGTGAGACCCTGTCTCTTAAAAAAAAAAATAAAAGGTCAGCTGCTGTTGTCTTTGTCACCATTATCATGTCCTCTCCATTTCCCTTGCAGGACTTCCTCAAGTATTCCAAAAAGGCCAGCCTGGATACATCAGAATTAGAGGTACATGCATCAGCGGCTGTGGGCACCCAAATCCCCACCAGCCTCTTTTCCTAATCCCCAAGTGTCTCCTAACAGTGGTCTGGCCCTGGGAGGGGGTCAAAGCAGTGGATGACAGAGTCTCTCCAGTGCATCTCCATAAGCCCTGCACACTAGAGGGTGGGGAGGAAGAACAGAACTTCATCAGGTCAGAGGGTGAGCACGTCAGATTTTCCCTAGAGGAACTTGAGCTTTCACTCTTCTCTCTCCCCTCCCACAGAGAGCTGTGGAAGTCATGTGCATAGTACCCAGGCGGTGCAACGACATGATGAACGTGGGGCGGCTGCAAGGATTCGACGTAATGCGGCTCTTGTTTTTTAAGAGAGCTCCTCTGCCTTCATCTCTTTCTTTTGTCTTGGATTATTTCTCTCCACATAGAGAAAGCTGATCCTTTTCACTTGGTTTTCTGGCTTCTCTCACTTTACCTCAATCTGATTGATATTTTATTTCCTTTTTTTTTTTTTTTTTTTTTTTGGTGCGTTTGGTTTGCTTTTTTGGGACTTGCCTGTGCTCAAAGCCCAGTGTCTCATGGCAGAAACAAGCAGGACCGGGCTTTGTCTCTTGGGCCCAGTACTGTAAGAGCTGAGTTTCCTTTCCTCAGCACTTAAGACCATGGTTAGCTATGGATGTAGTAGGACCTCGGAGGTCCCCACTCTCTCATCTCTGGGACTTGATACTTCCTCATTAGTTTAAGATATGTTTGCATGAGTTGCTAGACTATTCATATTACATATTAGCTATTACATATCCTCAAGATGAATTCAGAACCAGAATCTTCTTTTAAAAATTTGACTACGGAGTTAAGGAGGCAGGAGAAGTTTTTATTTTCTTGCCTACTGTTTTGCTAGAGAATTAGCATTGAAAGTTCTGGTGCTATGGTTCTCTCTGACGCACACACAGAGGCCGTTGGAGGGCTTCTGAAAACTCCTGTGCATGCCTGATGAGTTCCTGCTGGCGACCCAGGGACCACACTTTGAGAACCACTGTTCTAGTATAAACCAGACATTTAAAACTCCACTTTTAATCTGTGACTGTAATTGAGGCGCCAGAGGTCTATACAAATGTTGGCAAGAATTTTATTTAGATAATTATTCTGTTTAGAGCCAAGAACAGTAAAAGAAAAAAAAAATTAAACTCCATAAATTAATAAAAGAAAAATACATTATTCCATAGGAGGAAATCTAAAGAAAACAGCTTCAGATAACTTAGAAGGCAATGTTTTCTTCTCCCCTTCCTTTTCCCCCTTTATTTCTTGTTTTAGGGGAAAATCGTTGCCCAGGGTAAACTGCTCTTGCAGGACACATTCTTGGTCACAGACCAAGATGCAGGACTTCTGCCTCGCTGCAGAGAGAGGCGCATCTTCCTCTTTGAGCAGATCGTCATATTCAGCGAACCACTTGATAAAAAGAAGGGCTTCTCCATGCCGGGATTCCTGTTTAAGAACAGTATCAAGGTAACGTGTGTCTCTGTGTGATTTCTCTGTGCCAGCGCATGTACCCGTCACACCGATACACTGTTTCCTTTTAATGATGACATACCCTGATGCTTCGTTTAAGTATTTGAGAATTTTCTAGTATATTTCAGAGCCTTGAATTCACCCCATTTCTCTTTTTACTGTCTGTGTTCTTGAGTGGCTGATGTCTTGTACACACCTCTGTGTAACCACAGCCATTCATTCTTACCATGATGAGAACTGGTCATGGGTAGTGTTTATGCACCCCCTTCTCTAGGACCGAGGAAAACTGGTTTAAATTTGATAGCACGGATTTGGGGGATTGCTCTATGATCAGAGAAAAAGTTCACTCGGTGTCTTCTTCTCTTCCTCCACTCACCAAGGAGGTACTGAGCACTCAGCAACAGGCGTGAGGGCTCCAGGAATGGCCCAGCTGGATGCCCTCCCTGCCCTGATGTAGCTTATCCTCTAATAGGAAAGGAAGACAGAGGGACAAAGAAAATAATTGCCAATGGCCCTCAAGTCTGTAAAAGGGACAAACCAAGGGTGAGGTAGAGAAGAGCAGAGGGCAGGCCTGAGGTCCCAGCAGATGACTCCTGGGAGATACATGCCCCCGCCAGGGTCCTCCTGGCTCTGCAGCTGTGCAGACCCTGAGGTCAGAAGGGAGATGTACTTCCCTTTGGTAGGGCCTCCTGCCCTACGCCATCAGGGACAGGGAACTCTCAGACCGTGCACACCTGCGGGCCTCACAGCACACAGGCAGAACATTGCGTCCTCCCCCATCCGACTCTCCGTTCAGGCTTTTGTTGGCTGTCCCCAGCAGCCTCCATTTGCCTAAACCTGGGGTGGGTCTGTCCGTGGGCACAGGTGCCAGGCTGGGGGCCTCTGCCCACCAGCACCTAGGAGGGCTCTGGAGCCAAACAGCTGGAGAAGGAGGCCGCCTCTGCATGAGGCTGGGCTGCGGGCCCTCGCACCTCCCACCACCCGCCTGCCCCTCCAGACTCCGCCTTTTGAGGCCCCTCACCCTGAGGCCATGTCAGGCACAGACCCTCTGGGCTCACCACTACACTTGAGCCTCCCATCCCCTGAACTGTGCGCCCATCCCCTGGACGGCAGCCATCATCTGAACTGTGCACCCATGCCCTGAACTGTGCACCCATACGCTGAACTGCACCCATACGCTGAGCCGCACCCATCCCTTGGACTGCAGCCATCATCTGAACTACACCCATCCCCTGCACTGCACCCATCCCCTGAGAACCACCCATCCCCTGCACTGCACCTATCCCCTGAGAACTGCACTCATCCATCCCGGGCACTGCACTCATCCATCCCCTGCACTGCACCCATCCCCTGAGAACTGCCTACCCATTCTTCTCACAAGTCTTTTGGCAGAAAATCACTCCAGCACTGTAGGAATTTCGTATATATTTTTTACATATTTTTATAAAATTATTTGACATATTTTAATCATGATATCACATACAATTTTATAACATAGGTTTTAGTGATATTTGAGATTTGTTTAATGGTGTCATTTACTCCCTGGGAAGTAAGTAAGGATAAATACTGAGGCATCATAGAGGGGTTTGGGAAACAGGTAATCCCAGACGCATATTTCTAGTTAATTGTTCAGGCTGTTAGTTCAAACTATTAGTTTAACAGCCTTGTATTCCCCATGTACCTGAGTTAAGAGGCATTAAAAAGCTTCAGATGTTTTCTGAGGCAGTAAAAATGGCAGTTCAACTGAAAAGTGCTTGTTTCAGGATTGAGTTAGGATGAACTTCACTTTGCACTTGGCCAGTGGGGATCAATGTGCTTTAATTTTTTGTTGTGGTAAAATACACATAACATAAATGTTCCATCTTTAATTACCTAGCTCCATGGGATTAAGAACATTCATGTTTTGCAGCCATCACCATCATCTGTCTTCACAACTCTTCATCTTGCAGAGCTAAAGCCCTGTACCCATTAAACAGTAACTCCCCACTTCCCCACCCCCAAGCCCCTGGCAACCTCCACTCTACTTCCTATCCCCACATTTGACTACTCTAAGGACTTCCTGTAAGTGGAATCATAACAATAGTTGTATTTTGAGACTGGCATATTTCACTTAACATAACGTCTTCAAGGTTCATCCATGTCGTATTGTGTGTCGGAATTTCTTTCCTCATTAAGGCTGAAAAACTGTCCACATAGCCCACATTTTCTTTGTCCATTCATCGGTCAGTGGACACATGGTTTGCTTCCTTTCCACCTGTTAGCTATTATGAATAATGTTTTTTTTTTTTTAAGGTGAGTTGCCTTTGCCTGGAGGAAAATGTGGAAAATGATCCCTGTAAATTTGCTCTGACATCGAGGACGGGTGACGTGGTAGAGACCTTCATTTTGCATTCATCTAGTCCAAGTGTCCGGCAAACTTGGATCCATGAAATCAACCAAATTTTAGAAAACCAGCGCAATTTTTTAAATGGTAATGTGTGTTCTGTTACTAGATGTGTGCTTTCTTTCCTCGTGTACTCACTTGTATTTATCTTCCCTCTCCCATTCATATCCATAGTAATGACAGAACTTAGCACTCACCACTCTTCAGGCACTGCCTAGATATTGCTTTATTTCATCTTCACAACCACCCTGTGTGGCCAGTACTATTATTATTCCTGCTTTACAGATGAGAAAGCTGGGGCACTGAGCGGCTGAGTAATTTGCTTCGAGTCCCACAAGTTGTTGAGGGCAGAGTCAGGACACAGAGTGGCCATCTGGCTCTTGGTCTGTGCCCCTCGCAGCTACACTGTCCCACACATAACATGTACGAGGGCCCAGTCCTAGGAAGAGGAGTTTGCGAGAACACGAGATGGCATTGGCCAGAGACATTCACGAGGGCCTTGCACACCCACACCTCCTTTCCCCATTAAAAAAATAAGAGATGGGGCCAAGCATGGTGGCTCAAGCCTATAATCCCAGCACTTTGGGAGGCCAAGTTGGGCAGATCACCTGAGGTCAGGAGTTTGAGACCAGCCTGACCAACATGGAGAAACCCTGTCTCTACTAAAAATACAAAAAAATTAGCCGGGCGTGGTGGCGCATGCCTGTAATCCCAGCTACTCAGGAGGCTGAGGCAGGAGAATCACTTGAACCCAGGAGGCGGAGATCGTGGTGAGCTGAGATCGCACCATTGCACTACAGCCTGGGCAACAAGAGTGAAACTCTGTCTCAAAAAAAAAAAAAGAGACGGTTCAGTACTTCCCTGCTTCCGTGACTTGAGGGATTGCAGAGATGCTGCAGAACACAGCGGGCGTGGCCACACTACCCTTCCATTGCCTCTTAATGTATTTGATCTCTTTGCAAATGTTGGCTTCAACACTGGCTTTTAATTTGGTGATCAGCAAAGAACTTTGAGAATTCAGTCCGAAGCTATGTGCCCATGTCATCTGTGTCTTCTGGGTTCTTTGCTTCATGTTCGTATTCACGGTCTGCATCTATGCCTGCTCAAGCTCAATAGGATGTTGTAATGTTCTCTGTCACAAGAAAGCCACCTCTACACCTTGCGTGATGTTCAAGAGCCAGGAACATAGGCACTCAGTGAAAAATCTCAAGCCTCATGGCATTTTTAGCCAAGTGTTATGTGCTGCCTGGGTGTTAACTCCAAGTTTCCATCCTGCTTGCAAGCTGATAATCATTTACATCTGCAGCTAGGGGTGGGCGCTTGAGGATAGGGAGGCACAGTTCCTCAGGTGCGAAGAGGTTCAATGTGGTGTTCTTATGTGGTGCATTGAGTTCCAATCCATAGCTTGGAATTGAGAATGCTCTAAATTTTCATCATTGTCTTTAAAATAGAATGAACTGCCCCCAGATTGCACGCATGGTCTGTGATGTCAGAGTTTACTTGACACCCACTCAGTTGAGTAACTAGTAATACCTATCCCAGAGGATTAAAGGAGATCGCTCATGGGCTGGGAGCTTGGGACCCTTTCACCTGCTTCTTGCACACCCCTTAGTCCTGGAAGAGGCTGTGGCCAGCACAGAGTTTGTAGACTGCCTCTGGCTCCTCAACGCTTGCTCACACATGCCTGGGGCTGGGGCTGGGGGGCTGCATCTGCTTGTCGTATTTTTCAAAGGCTTTAACACTTCAAGAGTTTGTGCATGTTTCCATACATGTTATTTTGGCCTGATTTCTGTGTTTTTCTACAATGAAGATGTAAGAAAACTCAGGCACCCAAGTCAAGAGATGGGACAGCCTCCCGCTCCAGGGGCCTCTAGTAGCTCCTTAGCTTCCCTCAGGGCTGTGTTCAGCCTGCAGAGCAGAGGTGGTCTATGAAACCGCCTCCACGGCAGCCCCAGGGTTTCTTTTTCACCCCAGGACTCTGGTTTAGGAAAGACCTTTGCGGAAGCCAGTTGGTAGCTGGAGGAGTTCTAGTCAAATCTGTTGCCTTGGTCTTCCTGTGGACACTGGCCCTTAGTCCGGGATGTGCTGAGGAATGCGGCCCCTTCCACCCGCTGCACTCAGCCGGCATCCCAATACCTTGGCAAGCAGGGGCCTCTTCTAGCTCTCCTGATGGGTGGGGTTGCTCTGCGCCCCTGCACGGGGTCTGCCCCATGACCCATCCCAGGGTGGGCCCTGTTCCTCCCTCACCCCGCGGCGTGCTCCTTGGCGCCCTGACCCAGTCTCTCCCGCTGTCTTGTCTTACAGCCTTGACATCGCCAATCGAGTACCAGAGGAACCACAGCGGGGGCGGCGGCGGCGGCGGCAGCGGGGGCAGCGGCGGGGGTGGGGGCAGCGGCGGCGGCGGGGCCCCCAGTGGCGGCAGCGGCCACAGTGGCGGCCCCAGCAGCTGCGGCGGCGCCCCCAGCACGAGCAGGAGCCGGCCCTCCCGGATCCCCCAGCCTGTCCGACACCACCCCCCCGTGCTGGTCTCCTCTGCAGCCTCGAGCCAGGCAGAGGCAGACAAGATGTCAGGTACGTCCACCCCCGGGCCCTCCCTGCCTCCCCCTGGCGCGGCCCCCGAGGCCGGCCCCAGCGCGCCCAGCAGGCGGCCCCCCGGCGCGGACGCCGAGGGGTCCGAGCGAGAAGCGGAGCCGATCCCCAAGATGAAGGTGCTGGAGAGCCCCAGGAAAGGCGCCGCGAACGCCTCGGGGTCGAGCCCAGACGCCCCCGCCAAGGACGCGCGCGCTAGCCTGGGCACCCTGCCGCTTGGGAAGCCCCGGGCCGGGGCCGCTTCGCCGCTGAACTCGCCGCTCTCCAGCGCGGTCCCTTCTCTCGGCAAGGAGCCCTTCCCCCCCAGCAGCCCCCTGCAGAAGGGGGGCTCCTTCTGGAGCTCCATCCCCGCCTCCCCCGCCAGCCGACCCGGCTCCTTCACCTTCCCGGGGGACAGCGACTCCCTCCAGCGGCAGACACCCCGCCACGCGGCCCCTGGCAAGGATACTGACCGCATGAGCACGTGCTCCTCGGCCAGCGAGCAGTCCGTGCAGTCCACCCAGAGCAACGGGGTAAGCGCGTCGGGGGGCCCGCGCCCTCCCGCCCCCCTGCCTCTGTCCCGCCAGCTCTAAACGCCACCGCGGCTGTTCTCACTAACTCGGCTGCCCAGCGCTCTCCGCCGCCCGTTGCGGCCTCTACCTGGGACCAGGCTAACCCTCCTGCGGGCCGGCCCACGGCGCTACTAACTACTCCTTGCTTTGTTCGTGTCTTCTAATAAGAGCAAGCCGATCATTAACCTTCTCAACGCAGCGTCTTTTGGTTTCTTCCATTTCCAACCAGCAGAATATCTTCTTGGAACTTTCTTTTTTAACCTCTGCCTTCCTCACGCACCTATTTTTTGGAGGGTTCCTTTTCCCTGCTCTCTACCTCCTGTTTAAATTGAAACCTGTACACTTTAAGCTTTTTGCTCATCGCTTGGTTTTGCTCTTTTATGCCTTAAATTATCTTTGCGGCATTTTTGACTCATCTGCTGGGGAAGACCATTCCCTCAAGAAAACTTCCAACAGCAACTCAAAGCAAACTAAGATGAAAAAATGGGGGGAAAGAATCTGTCCACTGGGAACGCTTTACGTCACCGTGTTGCTCTGGAAGACAGAGACTGCTCTGGGCACCTGGCGAGGCGGCTCTGCAGTGCAGGCTGGGGCCGGTCCCTGCGGCCTGCTGGGCTCTGGCCTCGTTTGGCCCATCACTCATGCTGCCGTCTCAAGCACAAGGGTTGCTGTGGTGGGTTTTCCCTCTGTTTCCTGCTTCCTCACTGTCCTACCCACCTGTTTCCTACAGGGCAGATGGCCTGGCCCGTAACACTTTCCTGAAGGCATGCGTGAGTGAATAGAACTGTTCTAATGAGTGTATGTTTGAACGCTTTATAAATTTTTAAATACATTTCTCTAAAAGGGTCTGTGTCTCTCTTTATATTAAAAAAAAAATCTAGCTTTTGCATGTCTTTCTCTTTCCTCTGGACTTATTAATGCCTTAATTGGTTTGACTTGGTCTTATCCTTTCCTACTATTTTTTGTTATGTATTTTGTTAAACTTTAATTGGGGAAGAAATTAACAAATGGGTCTTGATACATTTATTTACAGTTGAAGTGGCCGGGTAGGCATCCGCTGTCATGGCCACCGTACTGTGTCCTCCAGAGCAAGGTGGCCTTTCAGTTAGGTTGGACGTGCTAGGTAGGCAGGTATGCTAGGCGGGTGAGCATAGATTTGAGTCCAGTGTGGGGTGGTGGGGAGATGCAGTCAACCCAGTGACGGGCTATACCCGTCAGCACTTAGTTGGATACTCAGTATCCAGGTGTGGCCTTATAGCTGTGACCCTCGCTGAATCTGCCAGTTAGCATCTAGAGCTCATCATAGCCTGGACACATTCCCATTCAGTACGAGAGGAGATTTCAGAGTCTGTGTTTCAAAATTAACACTTCAACTGCTCCAAGACAGGAGCCAATGCCAGTCTTCTCTGGACATTCATGAGAAGACATGAAAAATGGCCACACCCTGGCTCCATCCTGAATGCTGTCTCTGAGGCCAAGGCGCAATCTGCAAGTGGCACGTGTTCCCGCGAGCTTTAGGTTGGGAAAGTTGCTTTTGCTTTCTCTCTTTCTCTTCCTACTTGTTCTCATGTGGCAGGGAACCTGGAAAGGGAACTTGCTGAACAGGATTTCAGACAAGTCAAGATGCCTTACAGAAATGCCCTAAAGGCCTAGGAAGACTCCAGAGCTCCAAAATGGGGCTTTAAAAATGCCCTCTAGGCTGGGCATGATGTCTCACACCTGTAATCCCAGCGCTTTGGGAGGCCGAGACGGGCAGATCACAAGGTCAGGAGTTCGAGGCCAGCATGGTGAAACCCCATCTCTACTAAAAATAAAATTAGCTGAGCATTTAAAATTAGGTGAGCTGGCACGCACCTATAGTCCCAGCTACTTGGGAGGCTGAGGCAGGAGAATCGCTTGAACCCAGGAGGCAGTGGTTGCAGTGAGCCGAGATCGTGCCATTGCACTCCAGCCTGGATGACAGAGGGAGACTCCGTCTCAAAAAGCCCCCACGTATTTGCACTTCTGTCCCCCTGGAGATCTGCAAAGGCCTCCTTCCTCCTTGATCACTTCTGTCAAGCTGTCTGTGGTCACAGTCAAGCAGCTGTGCCCAGCCCACAGCCCGGCTCCCTCTTCCCCCTTTAGATGAGCAGCTTCTGCAAAGCTCTGCTGACAGCAGGAGTGACATGGATGTGGATCAACCCAAACCATGGCTGCACCAGTCCTTCCTGCAGCTCAGTGGTCTGGCCTTTTGGCCTGCTTTATTGAGCAGCAATAAAAGTGCATGCACACTGGAGTCACTCCAGCCCTGCCTTTCTTGCACAGGCCAGGTGGCCAGTGCCAGCTCACTGACCTTCCACTCTGAGAGACTGATAACCACGCCCACTGGTGGGTTGGTGGTGAGAATTAAGCAGGATAGACTTGAAATGCCTAGTACATAGGAGATGCCCAGAAAATACTAATAGTTAGGATTGTAGTAGCAAAATACTCTAATTATGAGATTGTAGCCTGGTATATTACCAAAAGCAGCTGTGCTGCAGAAGTTGTTTTTTGTTTACATATTCTTGGAAATTTAGCTTTGTAATCTCAGTACTCTTGGGCATTGCCATATAAGTCAGAATACTAAAGTCCATGCTAAAAGTATAATGCATAAATGAGTATGCACAAGCCAAAGCCTTCCCTGTACAGCACGCTTTTTTGCTGAAGAGCCACAGGCAAACAGTGGGCACCCACAGGGACAAGAACAGGAAGCAGACTCCTCCACGGCAGAGACAAAGAACAGGAGCTGGGCAGCACCGCCATGTTTTTAAGTATGCACCACAGGTCTAGATTCATAGCCCTGGCACCTGGAATTCCCAGTGGCTGGCTTGTTGGCTTTCTCAGGCTTGACCTCATGGAGGAGGGCCAGAGGTCTCTTCCCTCTGGTCCTTTTGGCCAGCTACAGCAGTCCGCCACCTGCTCCAGCGTGTACTGATACTGGCTCAGTAGACCAGGGCTGAGAGGCGGTAGAGCAGGGTTATCTGACAAATTGCATCTGCACTGACCCAGGATCTGCCCAGGGCGTCGGAGAGCCCAGCAGAAGCTAGCACCTTTGGAGCCTTGGGAACCCATGAACATCCCGACAGTACCCTCAGTGGAAGCCTTTGAGCACAAGTTCACGGGAACGAGGCACCAGATGCCGTTTCTCACATCCTAACTTGATAGAGGGGACTTGGGCAAGATGCAGCTTCAGGCGTTGGCAGGGGATCTGCATTTCTTCTCCACCCAGAACCATAGGCCACGCGCTAGATGAGAGTGGGACAAACACTGCCGTTTGTGTTTCTTCTCAGGAGCTAACACCACTCTGTGTGTGGCCTGGGTAGGGCCTTAAGAAATCTCTGTCTTGCTGTTGCAATCCTGCCTCACTGACCGAGTCACTCACCATATGTTGAGTTCCTGCTGCATGTCAGCCCTGTGACTGAAGAGATCGGGTCCCACAGGGGCAGCGGTATAAGGGTGGGGGTACGCATCCCACACCAGAATCCGTTCCCAAAGCTTGAGTCACAGCACCTGGGGCGAGTGGCACTGGGATGCTTTGTGATATGTTCCCATGGCAGCAGAGCCTTGGGGACACTTGAGTCATGCAAGTTCATAAGAGGGACACCTAGCAAGTTCGTATTGCTGGAGACAGAGTCGCTCTCCGTATGAGCAGAATAGTGATCGATTTACGTTCAGGGGTTCCATGTTCTTCTTTTTGAAGAGACGAAGTAGAAATGATTAGGCATGTCAGCAACTTAGCATGATTCTAGAGTATGCATTCCCAATGAACATTCTATCTGGAAGATTTAGGGACTTCTCTGTTATCTAATCTGTCAGTGAAATGAAGATTAATTTTGCATCAATTAATTCTAATACCTTTTTTTAACTGATAATGAGATTCACAGTGATGTGGCTATGTTTGCTTAGGAGTAACCTAACGTGGCGTCAGCAGGAGGACTAAGATGTTCCCGTGAGGGTGCAAGGAAGACCACAGTGGAACGAGCTTCCAAAACCAAAGAGTCATTATTGCAGTGAATTTTTTAAGAGCGTCCCTAAATTGCTTTCTAGAGAAATTACATTTTCAGTTATTGAAATAGATGCACACAGTTAGCCAGAGGGTAAAGGAAATGTTGAAAATTTCTCGGTGCTTGCCTGGTGAGCCCTGCACGGGGTCATGGTGCCATGGGGCACACTGACAAGGGATTTCATGTGATCAGGTCTCGTTTCAGTTCCTCCCTGCCTTTCTCTGTCTTCATCTGTCCCTCTGCAGAGTGAAAGCAGCAGCAGTAGCAACATCTCCACCATGTTGGTGACACACGATTACACGGCAGTGAAGGAGGATGAGATCAACGTCTACCAAGGAGAGGTCGTTCAAATTCTGGCCAGCAACCAGCAGAACATGTTTCTGGTGTTCCGAGCCGCCACTGACCAGTGCCCCGCAGCTGAGGGCTGGATTCCAGGCTTTGTCCTGGGCCACACCAGTGCAGTCATCGTGGAGAACCCGGACGGGACTCTCAAGTGAGTGCTTGACAGTAACGGCGTCCTGGCAGGCAGCAGAGGGAGGGGGCACAGCACCCGTGAGGCACACGACCTCAGACGGGGTAAGCATGTGGAAGGGAGATCTGCGCTGGTATGTTAGAACAGGCTCAGCTCTGAGCACGTGGGAAGATGGGTGGCCTTCCATCTCACACACTCAGACTCACAGGGTCTTTGAATAATCTGCATTTAGAAATAGTCTGTTCTAGCACATTGTTGAGGAATCCCATTTGACATTTTTGTGTTAGTCATAACTCAAGAAAGTGTTGTTTGTTTGTTTGTTTGTTTGTTTAAGAAACCTAAGGGGAAAATATCCCCTATCTTTGTTTCTTTGACATACATTCTTAGGCCGCATATTAGTCAGGGTCCTTCAGAGGAGCAGGACCAGTAGGGAGCGTGCGGAGATGTTGGCATAGACACAGGCACACCTCAGGTTGTTTTGTGCTTTGCTTTAATGTGCTTTGAAGACATTGCCTTTTTTACACGAGTTTTGTGGCAACCCTATGTCAAGCAAGTCTCTCGGTGCCATTTGTCCAACAACGTATGCTCACACTCTGTATTTGTGTCACATTTTGGTGATTCTCAAATATTTCATGCATTTTGTTATTGTATTTGTTACGGTGATATGTAGTTAGTGATGTCTGATGTTACCATTATAATTGTTTTGAGGAACAATGAACTGCACACATACAAGATGCCAAACATAATAAACGTGTGTTCTAACTGCTCCACCAACTGTCCATTCCCCCATGTGTCTCCCTCTCCTCAGGCCTGCCTGAGACACAACAATATCGAAATTAGACCAGTTAATAACTCTACAGTGGCCCCTAAATGTTCAAGTGGAAGAGTCACATGTCTCTCACTTTAAATCAAAAGCCAGAAGCTTAGTGAGGAAGGCATGCCAAAAGTGGATATAGGCCGAAAGCTAAGCGCCTCTCGCACCGAACAGTTAGCTAAATTGTAAATGCAAAGGAAATAAAAGTGCTACCCCACTAAACACACAAATAGTAAGAAGGCAAAACAGCCTTTGCTGAGACAGAGAAAGTTTGAGTGGTCTGGATAGAAGATCAAACCAGCCACAACCTTGCCTTAAGCCAAAGCCCAACCCAGAACAAGGCTCCATCTCTCTCCAGTTCTATAAAGGCTGAGAGAGATGAGGAAGCTGCAGAAGAAAAGTTGCAAACTAGCAAACTAGTTGATTCATGAAGTTTAAGGAAAGCTAATCCTGTAAAATAAAAGGGTTAGGGGCTAATGCAGCTGGTGGCTTTAAGTTGAACCCAGTCGCATTTATTTACCCTTCTGAAAATCCTGGGGTCCTTAAGAACCATGCTAATTATCATCACACCTTATATACCAAAAGGTTAATTCAGTTAAGAAACATGAAGCCGGTTTTGCTGCACTGAGTATTATTTTACTGAATTTGATGGCAGTTTTTACAACTCTTCATCCCCCTGGAATGCCTGCTGTGGTAGAGGCATCTACTCTGCCTGTGCTCTAGAAATGGAACAACAAAGCCTGGCTGACAGCACATCTGTACACCATGTATTTACAACACGGTTTACTGAGTATTTTAAGGCCAGTGTCAACACGTACTGCTCAGAAAACAAAAATTCTTTCAAAATATTACTGTTCTTTGAAAATGCACCTGGTCACCCAAGAGCTCCGATGGAGATGTGCAAGGAGATTCGTGTTGTTTTCTTGCCTGCTAAGACAATATCCATGCTACAGCCCACGGATCAAGGAGTAATTTGGACTTTCAAGTCTTATTTAAGAAATACATTTTGGGCTGGGCATGGTGGCTGACACCCATCATCCCAGCACTTTGGGAAGCCAAGGCGGGTGGATCACCTGAGGTCAGGAGTTCGAGACCAGCCTGACAAGTATGGTGAAACCCAGGCTCTATTAAAAATACAAAAATTCGCTGGGCATGGTGGCATGTGTCTGTGGTCCCAGCTACTTGGGAGGCTGAGACAGGAGAATTGCTTGAACCCTGGAGGCGGAGGTTGCATAGAGCCTAGATCATGCCACTGCACTCCAGCCTGGGCAGCAGAGTGAGACTCTGTCTCAAAAAAAGGAAAAGAAATACATAAATACATTTTGTAATGCCATAGCTACCATAGGCAGTGATGCCTCCAGTGGATCTGGGCAAAGTAAATTGAAAACCTTGTGGAGAGGATTCACCATTCCAGATGTCATGAAGAACACTCATGAATCATGGGAGAAGGTCAGAATGTTAACATTAATTAACAGTGGTTTGGAAGAAGTTGATTTCAACCCTCATGGATGACTTTGAAGGTTTTAAGACTTCAGTGAAGGAAATAACTCAGATGTGGCAGAAACAGCAAGAAAAATAGGATCAGAAATGGAGCCTGAAAATGTGGCTGAAGAGCTGCAATCTCCTCATCAAACTTGAACAGATGTGGAGCTGCTTCTTAGGGGTGCGCAGAGAAAGTGGTCTCTTGAGATGGAATCTACTCCTGGTGAAAAGGCTATGAACACTGTTGAAATATTGGCAAAGAATTTAGAATATTACATAAACTTAGTTGACAGTGCAACAGCAGGGTTTGAAAGGATTGATTCCAATTTCCAAAGAAGTTCTACTCTGGGTATAATGCTATCAGTGTCACATGCTGCAGGGAAGTCTTTTGTAACAAGGGGAGTGGTGGCAAATTTCTTGTTGTCTTACTTTAAGAAATTGCCCCAGCCAGGCCAGGCGTAGTGGCTCATGCCTGTAATCCCAGAACGTTTGGAGGCTGAGGCGGGTGGATCATAAGGTCAGAGTTCACAACCAGCCTGGCCAACATAGTGAAACCCCGTCTCTACTAGAAAAAAAAAAAAAAAAAAAAAAAAAAAAGGCCAGGCGTGGTGGCTCACGCCTGTAATCCCAGCAGTTTGGGAGGCCAAGACGGGTGGATCACGAGGTCAAGAGATCGAGACCATCCTGGCTAACAGTGAAACCCCATCTCTACTAAAAATACAAAAAAAAATAGCTGAGCGTAGTGGCAGGCGCCTGTAGTCCCAGTTACTTGGGAGGCTGAGGCAGGAGAATAGCTTGAACCCACAAGGTGGAGCTTGCAGTGAGCCGAGTTCGCGCCACTGCACTCCAGCCTGGGTGACTGAGCAAGACTCCGTCTCAGAGAAAGAAATTGCCACACCCACTCCAGCCTTCAGCAACTACCACCTTGATCAGTCAGCAGCCATCAGCATCAAGACAAGACCCTCCACTAGCAAAAACAGTACAATTCACTGATGGTGCGGATGATAGCATTTTTTTTAGCAAATAAACTGTTTTTAATTAAGGTATGTACATTTTTTAGACATAATACTATTGCACACATAATAGACTCTAGTATAGTATAAACTTAACTTTTATATGCACTAAGAAACCAAAACTTGATGTGGCTCACTTTGTTGTGGTAGTCTGGAACCAAGTCCCCAGGACCTCTAAAAGGTATGCCTGTCTAGAAGTGGATTTATGATGAGAAATTGCCTCACATAGTTAGGGAGACTGGCAAGTCCAAATCTGCATGTGGACCAGCAGGCTTCAGACCCCGGAGAGCACGTGGTGCAGGCTGAGCCTGAAGACAGTCTGCTAGAGAACGCCCTCTTGCTTGGGAGACCAGACTTTTTGTGTTCCCTTAAGGCCTTCGGCTCATTGGATGAGGGCCATTCACCTTAGAAAGGGCACATGCCTTTACTGGACCCATCAAAATGTTCATCTTATTCAGAAACACCCTCACAGGAATACCCAGAATAATGTTTGAACAAATATCTAGGCGTCCTGTGACCCAGTCAAGTTACACATAAAATCAGTTATCACAGGCACCTTTATATTTTCATCCTCAAACTTTAAGAGATTGTTGGTTTTATCTCCTGGTTCTTAAAAAAAAGGAACATTTTCTCTAACAGAGGTCACAGTTCGTAGAGGATTTCCCATCCCCCTGCACACACATACGTTGAATATTCAGCTTTTCTTTAACGCTTCCAGGCAGCACTTGGTGAATGTTGGAAAGGCATAATACCCACAGTGTGTTCATTTCCCCTAGGAAGTCAACATCTTGGCACACAGCACTCCGTTTAAGGAAAAAATCTGAGAAAAAAGATAAAGACGGCAAAAGGGAAGGCAAGTTAGAGAACGGTTATCGGAAGTCACGGGAAGGACTCAGCAACAAGGTATCTGTGAAGGTGTGTTCGGGGGTCTTCAGGAGTCCGTGTCATCCCAGCATGAGAGAAAGGATCAGGGAGGGCAGAGACTCTGCAGACCTGAAGCTGGGCTTGCTTATGACCTCCCTCCCACCCACCAGCCCCGTGCCCTGCGTGTCCTGTAGGGTCTTGTTAGGGGCACTATGCTGGCCAGCACAGGGATGGGTGCGTCCTACAAGGAACCAGGTAGACCCCTGCACACTTCCGCAGGTGCACATGTGGCTTCTAAAGAATATGGTTAGGTTTGCAAATGAAGCACAGAGACTAGGTTCTCAGAAGCAGCGAAGGTGCAGAGAAGCTATGGCTCAGGCTTCCTTCAGTGTTCCTGCCTTAAAGCCAAGGGGAAGTGGCTAGATGTGGGGGTGCATATGGGCTCTCTGGCTGTGACAGATCCCCTTGGGGACAACTTCAGTCAGCTTTAGTCCTATAATCGGATTGCCTGACACCTGCGGTGGGGGTTGCCTGGAGAAAAAGAAGGTATCTCCTGAAAGGGACTCTGAGCGCCAGGGGCCAGGGCGTTGGCGGCTCTGCATTAGGAACGCATCTGAGGACCAGCTGGACTCAGCCTGTAGCATGAGAAAAACACACATCTAAGCAGTGTTTTTGTGTTTGTGGGTAGGAAGAAAAAGACCCACCCAAATTAGTGTGACATGAAACTTTTGAGTGCAGTGAAAATGTGGTCTGTTTTGATTGATGCCCAGGCAAGTCAGTTTCTGCAAATCTTTCAACAATAATTGTAGCCCTGGAATGAAAGGAATACACCTTAAAGTAGCTCATTTCAGTTAATGCTTGTTTGCTGTTTCCATTTCAGCTTCTCAATCCCAACTACATTTATGACGGTGAGTTCTGTTCTTTTTCTTCTAGTCCTAGAGATGATTCTAGACCTGTGGGGCATGTTTCAGAGCACTTGAGTGTGGCCTCTGGAAATGAGTTTTCCGTGGCGCTCTAGGCGTGCATAGCAGGTTAGGTCCTATCAATCTGTCGGGGACATGTGGGTGGGTGTGGAGGAGGAGCCAGGGCTGATGGGCCTTTACCGACTCCTTTCCCATGCAGTTCCCCCAGAATTCGTCATTCCATTGAGTGAGGTCACGTGTGAGACAGGGGAGACCGTTGTTCTTAGATGTCGAGTCTGTGGCCGCCCCAAAGCCTCAATTACCTGGAAGGGCCCTGAACACAACACCTTGAACAACGATGGTCACTACAGCATCTCCTACAGGTGAGGGAGGCCCACTCCTGGTGGGTTTCGCTGGCTGGGAGCACCATCTTGTCACTTGGCAACTGGAAATTCCTCCTTCACGGATGGATTTCTTTGGCTGCCTTCGGCACTCCACTTCTTCCGTGAGAGCCCATTTCACGCCTGGGTGTACAGCTCCTCATCAGCACTTGAGCTCCTGCCTTCCCTTGATCCTGAAGGAGGAGGCCAGCGCTGATGGCCACGTGCTCAGCTTTTCTGATGCGCAGTGTGTTCCCATCTGTGCCGCAGTGACCTGGGAGAGGCCACGCTGAAGATTGTGGGCGTGACCACGGAAGATGACGGCATCTACACGTGCATCGCTGTCAATGACATGGGTTCAGCCTCATCGTCGGCCAGCCTGAGGGTCCTAGGTAAGCACCGTGCAACGAGGATTCTACGTGACCCAGTGGGGCACGTCTTTCAGGAGTCTCCTTAAGTCCTGAGTCTGCCCTTACACTCCAAGTGGCCTGAAAGATAGAACAATAAGTCATTTGTGGGGCTTCAAAAGACAGTTGTAAGTAGCAGACCAGAGTGTCTGGGATGTCACAGGAGAGTGACCTCTCGGCACCTTATGTAAAGTCGGGGGAGACACCGGAGCTCCTGTTGCTGGGAGGAGGATGGGGGCCTGCCTGGTGAAGGCCTCTGGCTGCCCACCATGGGGCACCAGGGCCCCCCACGACCAGCTTCTGAGTTGGAGCAGGGTGCTTTCCGTGCTCCTAGTACTCAAAACACTCATATCCAGCTACCCAGCTGAATCTGGATCTGGTCTAGGTTGGTCTCATGTAGAATGTGCATGGGAAAAGCAGGAAAGGAGATGTGGGTGAGTCCCGGGCCTGCGCAGGCCCTGTGCCTGTCTGAGACCCTAACAGCAACCCTTCTGGGTGAATGCACGCCCTCCTCACCCCATCCAGGAGGAGCCAGGCCCAGGGCGGCTCAGTAGCTTGTCCAGAGCATCTGGCTAGGAGGCATCTGCCATGGGGCCTGCTTGCTCCAGTGTGAAGAGCTTGTTCTTTCTCCTCAGCTAAACCACAAGCTCCCTGGGGCAGAACCAATATCTTAGGCTCTTTCAAAACGTCCTGTAGTTGCCTGATGTAGATAGCTGCTGAGAAAGGTGTGGACTGTTCTCTGCTGCCATCTTGCAGAAGGCCGGCCATGCAGTACTGGGCTGCACCACAAATGGAGGTGCCTCCAGAGGACAAATAAAACTCCAAATGAAAGATAAATTGAGTCCTGGAGCACCCCGTCTGTAGACAATAAGCAGAATTTGTCTTAGAACTTTTGTCCCAGATATCTTAATTTCCTGTTTTTAACAACATTAAATCAGAAGACATGTTCTGATTTTTTGGATCATGGAACAAGAAATCTAAAACTCTAGAATTTGGCAGTAAACAATAAAAGGTAAAGATTTTCTAATTTGTAAATAACACAGAAATTACACAGGTGATTTTTTTTTTTTAATCACTGGCAAAAGCTAAAGGACTTTAGAAAGGTATACTATTCAGCTGGGCGTAGTGGCTCACACCTGTAATCCCAGCGCTTTGGGAGGCCGAGGTGGGTGGATCACCAGGTCAGGAGATCGAGACCATCGTGGCTAACACAGTGAAACCCTGTCTCTGCTAAAAATAACAAAAAATTAGCCGGCGTGGTGGCAAGCGCCTGTAGTCCCAGCTACTCTTGAGGCTGAGGCAGGAGAATCACTTGAACCCAGGAGGCAGAGGTTGCAGTGAGCCGAGATCATGCCACTGCACTCCAGCCTGGGTGACAGAGCGAGACTCTGTCTCAAAAAAAAAAAAAAAAAAAGACTATTCATACCCTGGAAATGCAAATGGGAAAATAATCCAAGTGTGTAGTTACTTCTATCACACAAATTCAGCTGCACCCCTAAAGGTCTTCAGAAGAATTATCTTATGTGGACTATTCCAAGATGATCTTAACCATTTCCAAATTGTTCTCTGAGAGAAGCCACTTTGTTTGCAGGCATCAGTAATTTTGTGTTTTGTTTTAAATCTACCCTTGGCTCCACTCCTGTCTGCCTGAGGCTATTCCTGCACCCACAAGCTGTCTGGGGTGTGCGCCCTCATTCTCTCCAGCCCTGGCTGCCTTGCAGAGCCCCAGTTCTCAGATGCTCAGGAAACAAAGCCTTATTCTCAGTCCAGCTCTGGCTCAAGGCAGGTAGCTGGTCAGAGTCTGGGCTATGAGAGGGGAGTCCTGAGGCTGGAGGCATTGGCCCTGCACCCTGAGGACAGGTGCAGGCCCCCAAACTGTGTCCGAGAGAATCATCCAAAGAGAGCCCTGTCATCCCACCAGCCAGGGCCGAGGCTTCTGTTGATGAGAAAAGGGGGCCAGGTGCAGTGGCTCATGCCTGTAATCCCAGCACTTTGGGAGGCCGAGGCAGGTAGCCATGGCTTGAGCCCAGGAGTTAGAGACCAGCAACATGGCAAAACACCATCTCTACAAAAATACAAAAAATTAGCTGGGTGTGGTGGTGTGCGCGTGTGGTCCCAACTACTCTGGAGGCTGAGGTGGGGGGATCACTTGCCACCTGGGATGTTGAAATTGCAGTGAGTCGAGATTGCACCACTGCGCTCCATCCTGGGTGACAGAGCAAGACTCTGCCTCAAAAAAAAAAAAAAAAAAAAAAAAACACACAGGGAAAAAGAAAGGTGTGTTTTAGAGGAGCCAGGGAGCACCTGCCCACTATGATGCTCTGTCTCTGGGTCTGGTTGGTGGTCACAGAGTCGCCATTTATGTTTGGTCCACTTTTCTGTATATATGTAATGCTCGAATAAAAATGTTTATTTAAAAAAAAGAAAAAAAAAACACCAAGCCCTTTCAGTTAAAAAAAGAAGAAAAAATATTTTTATGTAAATAATAGTCCAATATTTCTTAATGTGAGTTGGTAGATGCTTCAAATCTGCCTAGTGAAATAATTTTATTTTTATTAATGCTTCTCTCTCAGTACTCCTTCACCTGCAAGGTCAGAATTAACCTTACCATTTATAAAGCACTTTAAAGGGGTGCAAATGTGCCAGCATTAACAAAAAAAGACTGCAGAACAAAACGTAGCCTTTGGTTTAAGTGATTGACGTGAAATTATTGCTTCTCGTGTGTCCTTCAGTGAAGATTTGAGGCTTTGTGTGTGCCAGGCATTCTTCTGGTTTCTGGGAGGCTGCAGAGGTGGATCAGACACGGGTTCACTTGTAGTCATGTAGCGGTCAGCAGTACTCCTGTGACAACAGTGCTAGCTGGCAGCACATGGCATCCACCAGGACTGCCCACTGCTATGTGAGGAGATGATTTCCAGCCATGAGTGAGTCAGGGAAGGCACATGGAGGAGGTGGCCACCACCCCAGGGAGCCCAATTAGACAAGTCAGCTTGGATTGGACATGGTTTAAGGAAACGCATTCCCAGTGACAACCTGGGGAGAGGTGAGGAAGCCCACGTGAAGATAGGGATGGGCAGATGCTCGGCCTGGGCTGGACTGCAGGTCAGGTGAGCGGGCCGAAAGAGGGGAGAGGAAACTAAGTGGGGAGAGGAGGCTGGATGAGTGGGGTCGGGAGGGCCAGGCTCCCGTGGAGGCCTAGAATCACAGTGGCAGCTGTGCTTCCCAGGGGCTGCCTGGCAGCAGGACCACGTGGGGCTCCCCCACTTAGTGCTTCTTTTCACAGGAAGACTCTTGAAAGGATGCTTTCTGTTCCTGTGGACATGTACACAGGGTTCATTACTCACAGGTGATTTACAGTTGGCACTTTTATAATAAAATCCTCTTTGTAGTGTATTTATGATTCATTAACCATGTAAAACCCTGTGGACGTTAAGTAAATACTGTGGACTCTTGATCTCTCACGGCTGTGAAAGGAGGCGTGGGGAGGAGAGAGCAACTTAGCCTCGAGGTGGTGCGGCCAGGTGAACGGGGAGGACCATCTGTAGCAGTGCTGTCCAATAGAAGCAAAAAGAGGCCACATATGCAAGTTTAGATTTTTCTAGTAAACACATTTTAAAAATAAAAGTAAAAGCAGTTTTTACTAACATGTATTTAATTTAATGAAATACATCCAAAGTATTAGATTTCAACATGAAATCAATATTTGAAAAATCATTAGTGAACTATTTTGCATTCTTCCTTCACACTAAGCCCCAGTGTCTGTGTGTCCTTTATGCAGCCACCACATCTCCACTCGCATGAGCCGTGTGGCAGGTGCCCGGTGGCCACGCGCAGCTGCTGTGAGGGACAGTGCGTGGCGATAGCCTTCTTACCCAAGAAGCTCCACGGGAAACAAGCTCAGGCAGGTGCTGTTCTTCTTGCAGGTCCAGGGATGGATGGGATCATGGTGACCTGGAAAGACAACTTTGACTCCTTCTACAGTGAAGTGGCTGAGCTTGGCAGGTATGATGCACAACCCAGAACGCCTTCCGAAAGAGCAGAGCGTGGGGAAGACATACCAGAGAGTGCAGGGATAAAGCTAAGCAGTGTTATCTTGCCAGCAATTGGAAGCTGTGTGTCTTGCATTTGAATCGTAACTCTCATTGCCTTTAGACGCTAAACACTGGGGAAGTAAGGAAGCCATTTTCCACTCGGGTTCCAGCAGAGAGGGCCGAATGCCACCAGTCACCCCTCAATGGGGAGAAATTGCTTCCCTCTGTGAATGTGGAATAGTGGTAGCTCTGTGCCGTCCTTGGGAGAGTTCAGGAGTCTTTCAAACGCTTCTTGTAGTTCTTAATCCTCTTGTGCCCTTCACGTTTCATTTGTGCATGGAGACTTCAAGGAGTGACAGTAAAATTAGATGCACAAACTAAGAGAGAGGTTTCCCCATCAAAGGGGTTCTTTCTCTTCATGAGGGGCAGCCGAGTCAGGGGTGGCCCAGCAGTGCCATCAGACAGCCCGGCTTCTCTTGGCTCTGCCTCCAGGGCCACACAGCACACACATTCAGGTGTTGTGTCCCATGTGGCAGGAAGAGCAAGGTCAGAGGAGCATGACAGCTGTCCTTTGTCCCTTGGTAAGAACTCCCCCAGAAACTCCAGCCAGCAGCACCCTCTGGCATTCATTCCTGAGGTCATAACTAGTCACATGGCTCCTGTTGCTGTCTCTGTCAGCTGTCTGTGGCTGCATAAAAAGTCACACCAGCACATGCTGTCTTAGGACAGTGGTGACATGTGCCTTCTTCCAGTGCAGTGGGCAGATGGGACCATTATTCTGTTGGCCTCTCCTGGCCTGGTCAGCTGGTGCACCATGCCCCATGCGTGTCAGAGGCGTTGTCTGGGACACTGGCCTCTTTCCACATCGACTTTCACCCTGGGCTCCCCCACGTGAGGGCAGTGGCATCCCAGAACAGCAGGAGCAGGAGCGTCAAGGCCTCTGAAGGCCCAGCCTCAGAACGACCAACGTCCTCCACATCCTGTGGGCCAGAGCCAGCCCCAGGCAGCCCTGATTCAAGGGGACGAATAGCCCCCGCCTCCGAGTGACAGAAGTAGCAAAACCGTGGCCTTTAACCACACAGTCTGCCCGCCACAGGCGCATCTCTGGTCCTCACATGTGCAGAATGCACTCACCCACCTCAGGCCCCCAGCCCAGGCCCCCACCTGAGGTCCAAGGCCTCGTCCAGATCGCGTTGAGTTGTGGCCAGTCCCCAGGAGTGGGTCATCAGGGGCAGCTCCAGGGTCCTCGTGCCTGCCCCACACACCCCCACAGGGGCGAGGCTGAGGCAGTGACCACAGCAGACGCACCTTTCAAACGTGCAGGGAAAGGTGGCTGACGGGAGGCGTGAGCAGCCATCCCAGCTTCTGCTCGTCGTGGGAAGCAGAAGGGAGTCGCCCGGCAAGGCCAAGGCTCAGAGGTCTTCCTCTGTCACTTCCACCACACGCAGTGCTGGGAAAGCAGCCACCGACGTGAGGAGACCAAGGCTGCCTGGGAGGAAGGACCAGCAGAACCGCGTGGCTGCGGGGACAAGGGCAGATTTGGGGGACAGCCATGGCACCACAGCCCCTCCGTGGAGTGGCCGGGAGAGCAGGGCCTCTGGACAGGGCTGGGCCACCACACAGCCAGTCCATTTAGGATAACAGAGTCTTTCTCGGTGCCAGACCTCAGCAGCCTCTGCAAATGGTCCCCCTGACATATTTTACAGGGGCAGATTCTCTGTCGTTAAGAAATGTGATCAGAAAGGAACCAAGCGAGCAGTGGCCACTAAGTTTGTGAACAAGAAGTTGATGAAGCGCGACCAGGTCACCCATGAGCTTGGCATCCTGCAGAGCCTCCAGCACCCCCTGCTTGTCGGCCTCCTCGACACCTTTGAGACCCCCACCAGCTACATCCTGGTCTTAGAAATGTGCGTACACACCTGGCCTTCCCTCTGCCCAGCCCTCTGCCTCCACCTCAGGGGGTTTTGTTGTTCCTGTTTGTTCTCTAAGAAGGATAGAAATTGGGTTTGTAGAATTTACAGAACTAAAAAACATCTTCACTGTCAGAGCCCGCAGTTTTCAAGCCTTCCAGTAATGGCAGAAAGCAGTGTGGTCTTCCACAGGGCGGTTGCCTGATGAAGGGCAGTCACTGCTGGGATGGAACACCTGATATGCTCAGCCAACCCGGAGATGCACCCCCCCCACCCCTTTTCTGAAGGTCCCATGAGGCCAGGCTGTCTCTGGTGCTGAACCCAAGCCCCCATTAGTGGTTGGAGGCTGACCTGATACCCCAAGCCTGTGCAGGGCCAGCTCACCCCGGATCAGCGGGGTGCCCCTCAGGCCTCCTGCCAAGTGAAGGCCAGTTGGATGGGAGGGTAAGACGCACCTCCCCGCAGAATGTCCTCCGAAGAGGGGGCGCGGGCACACCAACCAGAGCTGCCCCTCTGGTCCCCGTTGTACTTACTGGGCTCCTGTGTAAGATCAGAAAATAATTTAGTCACGTCAAGAAAAGAGTTTGAAACCTGTGTCCCACAGGAGCGGTTCTCATCTAGGGGTGGGTTCTCGTGGAAATGTCAGGAGAGCTCAGGCTGGGGGTGAGTCCGGCAGGGAGCGGCCGGAGGCCAGGGATGCCACCCAACCTCCTGCAAGGCAGGGACAACCCCCATGGATTCATCCACCCCAAACATCTGTGCATTTAGCTTTGAAAAATGTCGATTCCTCCTTTTTAGGGGGAGTCATTTTATACATTTACTTGCATTTACAGCTGCTTTTCCATGGGGAAGGGTAAAACCTTTTGTCACCATTTGGGAAGTTTGCATAGCTTCTTCAGTGGGAAGGATAGGATTAGCAGGGCGCCCCCATGGGGTCATGTAGGGGCAGACTCAAGCTCGGGGCCCCTCGCCGGCAGGAACTCCCTCCAGGCCCTGTACCTGATGTTGTAGTTATTGTCATTTTTTTCTTAAAGAAACTATAAATGCCTCCCCATACCCTTCCTAGGGCAAGGCTGCCACAGCGTCCCACATGGCCCCACATGCAGCCTTACCAGCTTCCTCGGGCCGCCCATGTGCCATGGGTGACAGTGGGTGTCTCAGGAAGGCCTCCCACCCATGGCTGCACAGCTAGAACCTCCCCCAGCACATGGGGACGTGCTTCCAGCCCGTCTTTCAAGAATAGAAAACACATCTCATGGCAGAAGGGCAGACGGTGGGGCGCAGTGAGGCTGAGCAGTGTGTATGGAGAGGAGGTCCACTGGCCTCGCCTGGCCTCAGTCCCCGCCCTCCCTCTCATCGGCTCATTTCTCACCCTGGTGTCCTTAAAAGTCACACTGGCTTTGGAGGGTTGTCGTGGGGCCGAGATGGGGCGATGTGTGTGGAAGAGCCGAGCCGACATCCAAGCCGAGGCCTGGCCTGGGAGCCTCAGGACCCGGGAGGTCTCCTTTCTGGCTCCAGACGCTGGTGACCAATGGCCACTGCTCACCTTCCCTGGGGAGTTTTAACAAAACTGTGGCTTGAGTGCTTGTCACAAATCTCCTAAAGGCCTTCGTTTCTGGACTGACATTTCAGTGCTTTCAGCTGTCATTTCTGGGAAACAAAATGGTTTGGCCTCACCATCCTGTTAATAGGATCCGTTTTCATGACAGATTACTCCTGTTCTCACCGGCGACTCCCCATTGCTAGACAGGCAGCTGATCTTCCTACAGATTTCTGTTTTGCAAAGAGAGCAGCATAGGCCGGTGTTGAGAGAGGTGGGGGCCAGACCACCTCAGTCCAATCCTGGCTTCTCCACTCTGGAGCTGTGGGACCTTGGGAACGTTTCATGCTTTCTCTGTCCTGAGTTTCCTCGTGTATCAAATGGGTACACTAAGGCCCACTTCACAGAGAGTCATAAGGATTAAATGAGTTGTTAGAAGGCATTGAGCCCCTGGCACTTGGCAGTGCTGGGTAAGTGTTTTTTTAGTATGAACAGTAGTTTCAGAGGAGGAAGTCTTCTGAGTCCAACACTGAGCACTCAGTGTGTCACCTCCTGCCCAGCCTGTGGTTACATGATCTCGGTGAGTCTTCCCGTGGCCCATTCTACAGGTGAGGAAACTACAGCTCCGAGAAGCATGAGCTACTTGCCTTCCTTCAGCAGATACCGCAGGATGCCTGCTGCACCTGGCACTGCCGGCAGCCGGGCCACGCCATCCCCCGCAACAGGCGGGTTTGGACCCTTGACTGTGCCGCTCTACCACCGGCTTCCCTCTTAAGATGGAGACACCCTGTACCCCACTCGCATCTTCCCAACAGAGCTTTACAAAATCCCCCTCCTTGTCTAGTCACGCCTTAGAGGCACGGCCCTGAGATCCCGATGACACATTCATAACAGGTGACAGGTCCGACATGTTTACTTCTTACTAGCCCAAAGAGGTCTTCAAAGCAAATCGCATCATAACAGTCACCCGCTCCTGCCTCTTTAGGGCTGACCAGGGTCGCCTCCTGGACTGCGTGGTGCGATGGGGAAGCCTCACTGAAGGGAAGATCAGGGCGCACCTGGGGGAGGTTCTGGAAGCTGTCCGGTACCTGCACAACTGCAGGATAGCACACCTGGACCTAAAGGTTGGTGAGGCCCCGGGCAGGTGAAGGGGGGTCTGAGCACACCGGCTTGGCCATGCGGGACACAGAGCCCCCTCTGAAGCCAGGCCAGGAGCCCCCAAGTGACTAGGGACAAAAAGGGTGGGTGGGGCAGCGCAGACACTGATTGCTAATCTCTCTCTCTAAGCGTTTGCGTTCAGTGATGCACACGGTCAGGAGCACACTGGGTAAAACGCCGGAGCCCTCCCAGCCTTCCACGACTTTCAGAAAGTCCCCATGAGTTTTGCCCGGTGGGTGTGGCGGGTGCAGTGGTAGCTTAGGCGGGAAAGAGAGCATTCCCCTTGGTGCTGGGAGGGAAAATGAACACCCAGCTTCATAAAGCAGCCTGGTTTCATTAGGCTACTTGGCACTTAGATCTCCAAAGAGAGCTGCCCTGTGTGGATCTGGGTCCCAGCTCCGCTGTGTCATCTCTTCCTCCTCACCCTCGGCTGCCAGCTGAGTGGTCCGGCCTGCTTTGCACATGCATGGCTTGTCCTAGTTGACATCCTAGATTCCTTCCACCTCACCATAGAGTCCCGCCCATCATCACGAGTAAGCTTAAGATTGGATGGTCTGAAAATGACAGTTGTATTCTGATTTCCAGCCTGAGAATATCCTGGTGGATGAGAGTTTAGCCAAGCCAACCATCAAACTGGCTGACTTTGGAGATGCTGTTCAGCTCAACACGACCTACTACATCCACCAGTTACTGGGGAACCCTGAATTCGCAGCCCCTGAAATCATCCTCGGGAACCCTGTCTCCCTGACCTCGGATACGTGGAGTGTTGGAGTGCTCACATACGTACTTCTTAGTGGCGTGTCCCCCTTCCTGGATGACAGTGTGGAAGAGACCTGCCTGAACATTTGCCGCTTAGACTTTAGCTTCCCAGATGACTACTTTAAAGGAGTGAGCCAGAAGGCCAAGGAGTTCGTGTGCTTCCTCCTGCAGGAGGACCCCGCCAAGCGTCCCTCGGCTGCGCTGGCCCTCCAGGAGCAGTGGCTGCAGGCCGGCAACGGCAGAAGCACGGGCGTCCTCGACACGTCCAGACTGACTTCCTTCATTGAGCGGCGCAAACACCAGAATGATGTTCGACCTATCCGTAGCATTAAAAACTTTCTGCAGAGCAGGCTTCTGCCTAGAGTTTGACCTATCCAGAAGTTCTTTCTCATTCTCTTTCACCTGCCAATCAGCTGTTAATCTGAATTTTCAAGAGAAAACAAGCAAACATAACTGATCAGCTGCCGGTATGTTCATCGTGTGAAATTGCATTCCAAGTGAGCTGTGCTCAGCAGTGCTTGGACACAGAGCTGCAAGCTGCGCTGGGGTGGAGGACCGTCACTTACACTCTGCCCAAGGCAGAGGTCGCATTGCTGTATCACAGTATTTTATTCAGGTTTCTGCAAAAAAATAAAAAGATAACTTTTTTAAACAAACATGAATAGAATTTTGCAAATTTAACGTTTTCAAGATTTATTCAAGGAAACAAAATGCCTATGTTCAACCACTGGTGTTAATGAACAAAGATACTGTGCGTCTCTGGGGAAGACGCACCTAGGTGGCGGCCACTCCCATGGCCTTGTCTAGGACTCAGAGACCACTCGGCTCTGAGCTTCCAGGCGCCTCGTCTGTGTGCATCTCACGCCCGACGTGGCTTCTGAAACGTGCATTCAACCTCAAACTTTTGCATAAAATAGAATGAATCGTTTTGCTCTGATGAAATGTAGGCCTTACTTGTATATAAGACTGTTCCTGCCTTCGGTCTGTCATTTTCCCACCTGCCTCCCCTACCCACCCCCCACCCACCACCTGGGGCTTCCTCTGGGGGTCCGAGGGTCTTCCCATCACATGAAGACATCAGGTTGGGTCCTGCCCCACTGCCCCTCCCCCTGTTCCTGCCCCAAGCCGTCAATCAGATTGTGGAGCAGTACACAGTCAGATGAAAATACTGTAAATGCACTCATTGGGGGTTTTTTGGTTTTACTTCATATCATGTGCAATGTTGTGGCTTTAACATTTTATGCAACTATTTATGAAGACCTCTGTTGTACCTGTAATAAATATATAGAAAAAGCACATACTTCGTATGGTGAGCTTTATGGTTTTGTGTGTGTGTTGGGGTTGGCGGGTGGGTGGGTAGGGTCGTAGCCCTGTGCCATCGGTTCAAAGAGACTTTTCGTGAAATTTGTTGGTTTTGAGGACTGTAAAAGTGATTTCATACTCTGAATATAAAACTGGATAATAGGGTAATGTTTTAAAATTTATTATGCTATTATTCAGAATGCCAAAGTATTATTTTTTTTCCCAAAATCAGTCTGGACATTTACTACTTTTTAGACTTTTTGACGTTGAACTTTCTGTATAAAAATTGGCTGGGTTTTGAGCTTTTGGTAAGAAATAAAAGCCGATTAAGCACTGGCCGCCCCGCGGCTGGTACCCAATGCCCGAGTCACTGTGGCAGCATTCGCACTGGTGTGGGGAGTCCTTTCAACTCAAGGAGGCTGGGTTTCTGGGCACCCTCGAAGTTTTCTGGATGTCTTTTTATCTTTCTCGTGTGAACTGCACTACAAAAGAGACCAGCCCGCTTCCCAAGCCAGCCAGACACCTGGGTCTTGAGCCATAAACTGGCGTAGTTAAGCTTTGCAGCTTCCAGTGTATTTTATTTATTCTTTTGTTGGGTTTTTGTTTGTTTCTTCTTGTAAAATTGTACAGAAACTTTTTAAAAGAAATTGGATTCGAAACTGGATGTGTATTCGTAACCTCATAATTTTTATTTGTGTATTGTTTCTTTTATTATTTCAGTTAAATTTTTACATTATTTTGCATGTATATTTCTTTGTACAGAGACCTTACATGTTTACACAGTATGATGTGATGTAAATATTTTATTTTGCCATCAGTTATTTTAAAAAATTAAACATATTTGCCTGATTTTTGTGTTAGGCTTTTTATTTAAATTGGTCACTGTTGAATCAGAAAGACAGATGGCTGAGGGAGAGACTGATGCAGAGACTTCTCGTGGGCGGGAGGTGGCAGAATGTACTGGATTGAGAACCCTCTGTACACACTCAGAAATGGGAGTTGCTCAGCCTCCTGCAGACTGGTTCACAGACACCACACTCGAGACCCTGGTATGTGCCAGAATGTCGACTGACCGTGCACAGCGAGGCTGTAGCTTGTCCTGGTTAGAATAGCTAAGGCACCCTGTTGCCTGATGAACACAGAATTAAGCGAGGGAAGAGCTCGTTCATGCTGGCCTCAGAAAAGCAAAGGTAATGTCCAGATAGATTCAAGAAAATGAAACAGTTTCATTTGGTTGAGAATAAACCAAAGATCCTGCACCTGGGAGAAGACTCGCCAGTGGTGGCCCTGCCTCGGCCTCGGCCCTGGGCCCACCCAGTCCAAGGGGACTTGCAGCCAAGTGGCTTCCACAGCTCTGCCACCCTGCTGACAGTAGCTTATTTTTTCCAATGACCGTATCTTCTCTCTTGATTCTTTCTGGCTTTCCTTCTGGGCTGATGACTTTCATTGTTCAGCACACCATCAGTAACAGGTATTCTTTCTCATCTGTTTGCTGAAGTCCTGAATAGAAGGCTGACGTGAAAGGACACTTGTGCAGTCTCTAAGTCAGGACATGGGAAGCTAACTCCCTGAGGTGTGTGCCCGCCCAAGTCCCAGCGGTACCTATGGCTCGGTGGGCTCTGGAGGGGGCGGAAATTCAAGGTTGGTTCTAATCTACCTGCCCAGCACAGCATCCTGCCCCAGGGGAGTTGCCTGGCCCACCACAGTGCCACACCTGAGCAACACGAAGGAGGCGAGGGGTGTGTGGTGGTGTCCTTTAAATGGGACACTTGCTGAATGACCCAATGGAGTGGTTCTGCCTGTAAGATTAGCAGAACTCACTGTGCCCAGTGAAAGAGCCTCAGATGTTTGGTCTGTCATGATCATTAGATTTTTTTTTCTCAGATACCAAGATGTTTTACATTCTGCAAGTTATTCTAATATTTTAAATACTCGGATTTTCTTTAGCCCTAACAAGTCAGGGAAGTCAGTATTTTAGCAGAATTATGAACCTCATCTTAGAGGAAGCAATAATCTATTAGATTAGATTAGTTCTTTGATTACTGTAGCTATACAGTAAGTCTTGAAAGCAAGTAGACATCCCCCCCCACTTTATTTTTTTTCCAAATTGTTTCTGCTAATCTAGTTCCTTTGCCTTTATGAATTTTGGAATAGCCTTGTTTATAACTACAAATATTAGACCATCTTAGACCACTAGGAGGAAAGATCCTTTCTCCTGTACATTTTTGAGACAATTGTAGAGAAAGGAGTAATTCTTGGAACTAATCAATTCTCTCTCTCTCTCTCTCTCTCTCTCTCTCTCTCTCTCTCTCTCTCTCTCTCTATATATATATATATATATATATATATATATATATATATATATATATATATATTTTGAGACTGAGTCTCACTCTGTCACCCAGGCTGGAGTGCAGTGGCGTGATCTCGGCTCACTGCAAACTCCGCCTCCGGGGTTCACGCCATTCTCCTGCCTCAGCCTCCCGAGTAGCTGGGACTACGGGCATCCACCACCGCACCCAGCTAATTTTTTGTATTTTTTTTTTAGTAGAGATGGGGTTTCACAGTAGCCAGGATGGTCTTGATCTCCTGACCTCGTGATCTGCCTGCCTTGGCCTCCCAAAGTGCTGGGATTACAGGCTGTGAGCCACCGTGCCCGGCTATATTATATTTATTTATGTGAAATTTAACTTACAGAAAATACATACGTCAATAAATTTTTATACATGTATATATCTGTGATCACCACCCAAAGCAAACTATAAAACGTTTCTGTTATCCATTATCCTCCCCCCCAGGAGGGTCTGTCTCACCCCTTCCCAGTCAATCTCTCCCTCCCAAGGTAATCACTGTTCTGATTTCTATCATTCATAGATATGTTTGCCTTTTAAGTAAAACTCATATATTACATGCTTTTTTAAAGTAGGTTGTACCTTTTATTTTGAGGCCATTGTAGATTCACATCCAATTGTTATGAAATGTACCCTTAGGCTGGGTGTGGTGGCTCACGCCTGTAATCCCAGCACTTTGGGAGGCCAAGGTAGGCAGATCACCTGAGGTTAGGAGTTCAAGACCAGCCTGACCAACATGGAGAAACTCTGTCTCTACTAAAAATACAAAAAATTAGCCGGGCTTGGTAGTACATACCTGTAATTCCAGCTACTCAGGGGGCCGAGGCAGGAGAATCGCTTGAACCCAGGAGGCGGAGGTTGCGGTGAGCCAAGATCGCACCACTGCACTCCAGCCTGGGCAAGAAGAGCAAAACTCCATCTCAAAAAAAAAAAAAAAAAAAAGAAATGTACCCTTTGCCTGTGATAACATACACGATCGTACATCATCACAACCAGGATACTGACACTAACACTGTCAAGATGCAGAATATTTCCACGACTACCAGGGCCCTCCTGTTGCCCTTTTATGGCCACACTTACTTCCCTTCTGCCACCACACCCTTCTTTAACCCCTGCCAACCACTTACATGTGCTCCATTTCTATAACTTTGGCACGTTGAGAATGTTATTTAAACGAAATCACACAGTATGTAGCCTTTTGAAACAGGTGTTTTCTACGAGCATCATTATCTGGAAATTAATCCAGATTGTTGTATCAAGAGGTTTTTTTTTCTTTTTATTACTGAGTAGTAGTTCACAGTGTGGATGGGCCACAACTGAACCATTCACCCATTGAAGGACATCTGAGGTTTTTTTTAGCTTTGGGTTGTTAAGAAATAGTTTGCATGAACATTCATTGTACAGATTTTCATATGAACATAAGTTTTCATTTCTCTGGGATAAGACAATTGGAAGATCATATTGTAGTCACATATTACATGTTTTAGGGTGCTGCCAAACTGTTTCCTAGACCCGTGGTCCCCAACCTTTTTGGCGCCAGGGACCAACCAGTTTTGTGGAAGACAGTTTTTCCATGGATGGGGAAGGAGTGGGGGGATGGTTTCGGGATGAAACTGTCCCACCTCACATTATCAGGCATTAGATTCTCATGAGCGTGCAACCTGGATCCCTCGCATACACAGTTCACAGTAGGGTTTGCATTCCTATGAGATTCTAACGCCCAGGCTGATCTGACAGGAGGCGGAGCTCAGGCAGTAATACAAGCAATAGGGAGTGGCTGTAAATACAGAAGAAGCTTCACTCATCGCCTGCCGCTCCCCTCCTGCTGTGTGGCCTGGTTCCCAACAGACTGCGGACCAGTAATTTTTACGGATCAGTACTGGTCCACGGCCTGGGGTTGGGGACCCCTGTTCTAGACTGTACCATTTCACATTCCCACCAGCAACGTATGCGTAATCCAGTTTCTTTGTCTCCTTACCAGCATTTGGTGGTGTCACTTTTTTAATGTGGCCAAACTGACAAGCGTGAAGTGATATCTTATTGTGGTTTTAATTTGTATTTCCCTGTTGGCGAATGATGTTGAATCTCTTTTCATGTGCTTATATGCACATCTTTATATTCTCTTCCCTGAAATGTCTCATCACATCTTTGGCCCATTTTCTTGTTGGATTGTTTGGTTTTTACTCGTTGAGTTCTGAGTGTTTGTTACATATTCTAGATACTAGTCCTTTGTCAGAGATATGGTTTGCAGATGTTCTCTCCTACTCTGTAGTGTCTTTTCTTCATCTTAACAGGATCTTTCACAGAGAAAAATTTTGATGAAGTCCGATTTAATACTTTTGCCTTTTATGGATCAAGCTTTTGGTGTCAAGTCTAAGAACTCTACCTAGTTCTATATTAAAGATTTTTTCCCTAAGCTGCTTTTCCTAACAGTTTTTAAGTTTCACGTTTTACACTTTAGTCTATGATTCATTTTGAGCTAATTTTTATATGAAGTGTAAGGTTTAGGCTGAGGGTTTTGTTGTTTGCATATGGATGTCCAATTGTTACAGCAACATTTGTTTTAAAAAGGCTTCCTTTTGGCTGGCTGCGGTGGCTCACGCCTGTAATCCCAGCACTTTGGGAAGCCAAGGTGGGCAGATCATGAAGTCAGGAGATTGAGACCATCCTGGCTAACACGGTAAAACCCCATCTCTACTAAAAATACAAAAAATTAGCTGGCCATAGTGGTGCATGCCTGTAGTCCCAGCTACGCGGGAGGCTGAGGCAGGAGAATCGCTTGAACCGGGGAGGTGGAGGTTGCAGTGAGCCGAGAGTGCTCCACTGCACTCCAGCCTGGGTGACAGAGCAAGACTCCATCTCAAAAAAAAAAAAAAAACTTCCTTTTTATATTTTGTCAAAAATCAGCTGGGACTATTTATGTAGGCCTATTCCTGGTTTCTCTACTCTGTTCCATTGATCTATTTATCCCTCCACCAATATCACACACACAGTCTTGATTACTGTAGCTATATAGTAAGTCTTGAAAGCAAGTAGACATCCCCCCACTTTATTTTTTTTCAAAATTGTTTCTGCTAATCTAGTTCCTTTGCCTTTATAAATTTTACAATAGCCTTATTTATATCTACAAAATATCTTTCTGAGATTTTTATATGCATTGCATTAAATCTGTGTATCCATCTGGGGAGACCTGACATCTTTACTATGTTGACCCTTCCAATCCATGAATAGGGTATGTCTCCATTTATTCATATTTCCCTTGATTTCTTTCATCAGTAGTTCTACAAGTTCATATATTGTATATGTTTTATTAGAATTCTGCCTAAGTACTTCTTCTTTTAAACAATTATAAATATTTATTTTGAATTTTGGTGTGCATGCATTTATTGCTACTATATAGAAATACAGAATACAGTTGATTTTTGAATGCTCATCTCTTATCCCACATATTTGCTGAACTGAATTACTAGTTCTGAGTATTTTTTGTAGATTCTTTTTGGATTTTCCTTTTTCTTTTTTTTTTTTTTTTTTTTTTTTTTTTTTTTTTTTTTAGAGATAGAGTCTTGCTCTTGTCACCCAGGCTGGAGCGCAGTGGCATGATCTAAGCTCACTCAGCCTCTGCCTCCCGGGTTCAAGTGATTCTCATGCCTTAGCCTCCCCAGTAGCTGGGATTAAAGGTGTGCACCACCACGCCCAGCTAATTTTTTTATATTTTTAGTGAAACAGGGTTTCACCATTTTAGCCAGGCTGGTCTCAAACTCCTGACCTCAGGTGATCCTCCCACCTTGGCCTCCCAAAGTGCTGGGATTACAGGCATGAGCCACCGCACCCAGCCAACTTAGTATTTTTTGACTTTGCAAAGGGTTTATTGGAGCATTAAATGCATTTTCAACTTATAATGTTTTTGACGTACTGTGTTTACCGGGATGTAACCGCATCATAAGTTGAGGAGCATTTGTATTTTCTCCGCATACATTTAGAAACACATCACACAATGTTGTATGTTTTCACCTCAACCATCAAACTTAATTTAGAAAACTAAAGAGGAAAAAGAAAATGTATTTACCCATACATTTCCTCTTTCCATTGTTCTCTCGTCCTGATTTTCTGAGATTGATTCCTTTATCCTTTCCTTTCTACTTAGAGAACTTACTCTAGTCATTCTTTTAAGGCAGTCCTCCTAGCAACAAATTCTCTTAGTGTTCCTTCCTCTGAGAGCATCTTGACTCCCCCTTCATTTTTGAAGGATATATTTTGCTGGGTATAAAATTCTGACAGTTGTAGGGGAGGCAGAGATTACCTCCAATCCTCCCTCTCCTTTTAGCTGTTAGTGAACTCTTCAGCTGGCTCTAGAAACCACATTGACACCAGGAAGATTAACAAGACAAAAGTATACAAATTTTATTAGTTTTACATATATGTGAGGACTTTTGCAAGAGAGTTAAGTCCAAAGATATGGCCAAAGCAAGATGCTTTTATACTTTTTAGACAAAGAATGATAAATTTGAGAAGAAATGACAGACAGGATAAAGAAAATCTGGGCTGGGCATCGTGATTCATGCCTGTAAGTCCAGCACTTTGGGAGGTTGAGGCAAGAGGATGACTTGAGGCCAAGAGTCCGAGACCAGCCTGAGCAACATAGCAAGACCCCATCTCTAAATATATATATATATATAAGCTGTGTGTTGGCACATGTCTTGTTCCTAGCTTCTTGGGAGGCTGTGGTGGGAGGATCACTTGAGCCCAGGTGCTCAAGGCTATAGTAAGGTATCTTAACCTCCTGACCTCAGGTGATCCACCCACCTTGGCATACCAAAGTGCTGGGATTTCAGGCATGGCCACCATGCCCAGGCTTTTTTTTTTTTTTTTTTTTCCTGAGATGGAGTCTTGCTCTGTCGCCTGAGCTGGAGTGCAGTGGCAGATCTTGAAGGCTGTGGTGAACTAGGATTGCACCACTGTGCTCCAGCCTGGGTGACAGAGCAAGACCCTGTCTCAAAAAGAAAATCTGGTAGAGGCAGTAAATTTTCTAGGGGAGTCGCTAGGAGATATATGTGGAGGGGTATGGGTATAAGACAGGTGGAAGGTGACGGTTACTTCATTAAGTATGTTTATTCAGGTTCCTTGCAGCCTCCAATTCCAAGCCTCTATTGATAAGGGCTATTTTCTTGCTCTGGCATGGTGACTGTACCCCTCCCAGAGGAATCTTTATGGCTTACTACATGCAGAAAGAGAAAGATCAGCTCGTCCTTTCTGAAACTACGATCCCTCCAATAACAAAGAGGATGGAGAGTCTTGTTACTGTTCAGCAGAGGTGAAAGTTCTGCTTCCCCCATTTGGGCTTCTCTAACACCACGTTGGCAGAGGTGCCCCATTACAGCTGGGTGGGGGTGGAAGTCTGGGCTCTGCACTAGTCTTTGCTGGTGGGGTGAAGGTGGGAGCCACTGTTTTTTCTGTGATGAGTGGCTGGAGAAGAGCAGTTAATGTCTAAAGGTTTTCTGTCCTGCAGGCTGCCCCTTTCCTGTGCTCTTGTCTGAAGAGAGTAAGGTTTTGTTGGGACCTTTTCTGTCTGCAGCTATGGCATTTCCACATTGCTGGCTTCTTTAGCTCCATGTCTGGGATACATGAGGCAAAAAGAAATCCCAGGGAACCCACCATCCTTAGGATTCCTCATTCCTGAAGCCCCACACGAGTCTGCTGTCTTCACCTTGCAGAGTCTTCTTATGTTTGTTTCATAGGTAACATCGAGCTGTTTCCTGTAGGTAGTGGGAAGAATAGGAGAGAATATGTCTGCTCCATTTCCCAGAAGCAGAAATCCAGTATCAGTGCTTCTTTTTCTATTTGCTAGTTTTAGGATTATGTGACGTTGGTTTCCTGAGATAGGTATAAAACAACTGCTTGATCTTATTTTCAAAAGGGATCAATTGTATCAGTTATAGAAAGGGGAACCTACACAACCAATAACTGTCAGAATGTAAGCTCTTTGCACATTTCACTGTCTTGTACATTTTCTGCAGATTCATTTCTTGCCGACGTCTTACTTAACTACCAGTAGTAATATTCTTCTACTATTCCACAGTAACCGAACCAGAATATCCAGAAAAAGGTAACTGATGACAGATGGTAAGTAAGAGACTGGCCAGGCTACAAGAGCCATTGGCCTGGGCAGGCTCTAACCACTCATTGCAGAGCGGTTCATGAGGCAGGATCAGAGGGGATGCAAAGGCCAGAGGGGAAAAGAATGGACCCAAATAACTTCTGAAAGATGGGATTCAATGAATTGTCTAACAGAAGTTCTGAAAGAACCAAAGAAAGCAAAGAGAGAGCAGGCTTTCCAGGCAGTGAGCGCAGGTTAGGTCCAGGTGTCAATTGCTCTGGCAACGGCAAATGGTGGCGGAGGACAGCATAATTCTCATGTAATTTGAAGCAACAGAACATTTGCTTCCACGAATATCTTTCTCCATTGGCCATTTCTTATTTACAATTCAAAAATTGTACCAGGGTTTCTCTTTCAGGATGTGTCCGCCATCCTATTGAAGTTCAGGGGCTTGCATTCGGGACTGCTGAGATTCCCAGAGCATTTTCCTGCTCTAGGAAAGTTAGACGGTTTGCAAGGCAAAGTCTCTTGTGAAAGTCCAAGAAGAGTAGAGGCTTTAAAACTAGTTGCCTCGTTTATAATTACTGCATATTTAATAGAAAACATATGCCTGTCTGCTCCATTTTTGAAGGTTAGAAACCTCTTTTACTCAGCTTTATCCAATCCATCCATTTCTTTATGATTACATTTTTAAACTTTTATTTTAGGTTCAGGGATTCATGTGCAGGTTTGTTAATACAGGCAAACTCGTGTCAGGTGGGGTTTGTTGTACAGACCATTTCGCCTCCCAGGTACTAAGCATAGTACCCAATAGTTATTTTTCCTGATCCTCTCCCTCCTCCCACCCTTCTCCCTCAAGTAGGCGCCAGTGTTTGTTCAAATTCCCTCTTTGTGCCCATTGGCTCTCATTATTTTGCTCCCACTTATAAGTGAGAACATGCGGTATTTGGTTTTCTGTTCCTGGGTTAGTTTGCAAAGAATATGGCCTCCAGCTCCACCCATGTTCCTGCAAAAGACACGATCTTATTCTTTTTTACGGCTGCATAGTATTCCATGGTATATATGTACCATATTATCTTTATCCAATCTGTCATTGGTGGGCATTTAGCTTGAGTCCATGTCTTTGCTATTGTGAATAGTGCTGGAGTGAACATTCACGTGCATGTGTCTTTATGGTAGAACAATTTATATTCCTCTGGGTAAACACCCAGTAAATGGGGTTGCTGCGTCGAGTGGTAGTTCTGTTTTTTAGTTATTTGAGGAATCGCCAAACTGCTTTCCACAGTGTTTGAACTAATTTAGACTAATTTACACTCCCACCAACAGTGTATAAATGTTCCCTTGTCTCCACAGCCTCACCAGCACCTGTTATTTATTGATTTTTTATTTTTTTTTTTTGAGACACAGTCTCGCTCTGTCGCCCAGGCTGGAATGCAGTGGTGCGATCTCGGCTCCCTGCAACCTCCACTTCCTGGGTTGAAGCGATTCTCCTGCCTCAGCCTCCTGAGTAGCTGGGACTACAGGCGTGTGCCACCACACCCGGCTAATTTTTGTATTTTTAGTAGAGATGGGGTTTCACCATGTTGGCCAGGCTGGTCTCGAACTCCTGACCTCAGGCAATCTGCCCATCTCGGCCTCCCAAAGTGCTGGGATTACAAGCATGAGCCACCATGCCCAGACTATTTATTGACTTTTTAATAATGGCTATTCTGACTGGTGTGAGATAGGATCTCATTGTGGTTTTAATTTGCATTTCTCTAATGATTAGTGATATTGAGCATTTTTTCATATGCTTGTTGGCCGCATATATGCCTTCTTTTGAAAAGTATTCTGTCTTTTGCCCACTTTTTAATGACGTCGTTTGGTTTTGGTTTGTACATTTGTTTAATTTCCTTATAGATTCTGGATGTTTATTAGACCTTTGCCAGGTCTGCTATATATTAGCACAGTTTGCAAATATTTGTATAGTTTGCAAATATTTTCTTCCATTGTGTAGGTTGTCTGTTTACTCTGCTGATAGTTTCTTTTGCTGTGCAGAAACTCTTTAGTTTAATTAAATCCCATTTGTCAGTTTTTGCTTTTGTTGCCATTGCTTTTGGCATCTTTGTCATGAAATCTTTGCCAGTTCCTGTGATCAGAATGGCATTTTCTAGGTTGTCTCCCAGAGTTTTTATAGTTTTAGGTTTTACATTTGGGTCTTAAATCCATCTTGAGTTAATTTTTCTATATGCTATAAGGAAGGGGTCCAGTTTCAATCTTCTGCATATGGCGAGCCCATTATCCCAGCACCATTTATTGAATAGGGAGTCCTTCCCCATTGCTTGTTTTTGTCAGTTTTGTCAAAGATCAGATGGTTGTAGGTGTGTGGCTTTATTTCTGGGCTCTCTATTCTGTTCCACTGGCCTTTATGACTACATTTATCTTCTATTCATGTGCATCTACAGGAAAGTGTATGTCAGAACAAGTGGCATTAAAACAGGCTTCCGAGACACGCCCTGTTGATAATTTGAGAATTGCCTACACTGCTGGATTGTTAAGATATGCTAATGACCTGGTTTCCATATTTATTTATAAATGTTTACACCAAAAGAGAAAAGATGCAAAGTATCACTTTTTTTTTGCAAACATGAAAATTATCTCCAGCACTAAGCTCTCCCAAGCAGTTATCACAGGGGGTAATCCAAAGGCATGAGAATGTCAGTGTTCCTTGATTTCCTTTCTCAATTTTATGGCCGAATGCACAAAATAGGAAACAGACATGAGAGGAGGCCTTAGAACGGTGCAGGTGTGACTGGGCATGGTGGCTCATGCCTGTACTCCCAGCACTTGGGAGACTGAGGCGGGCGGACCACCTGAGGTCAGGAGTTTGAGACCAGCCTGGCCAACATGGTGAAACCCCGTCTCTACTAAAAATATAAAAATTAGCTGGGCATGGTGGCGGGCGCCTGTAATCCCAGCTACTTGGAGGCTGAGGCACGAGAATCACTTGAACCTAGGAGGCAGAGGTTGCCGTGAGCCAAGATTGCACCACTGCACTCCAGCCTAGGCAATAGAGTGAGACTCTGTCTCAAAAAAAAAAAAAAAAAAAAAAAAGAACTGCAACGGCACAGGTGTTGATTCACTTTCCGGTACTCTCTGGAGCACTCTATATTTCTTTGAGACCTCTTCTCCCCTGGGACTTCCTTAGGCAGAAACCCTTGGTCGCCTTCTCTAACAACATGAGCTCCTTCCCTAGGTGACCTCAGCTGGTCTGGTGCCTTTGTATTTGCATTAGTTGCCTGTGGAACTGTTACAAATCACCACAAATGTGGTGGCTTAAAACAAAAGAAACTCCCTAACAGATGTGGAGGCCAGTACCCAAAATCAGTATCAGGAGGCAGAAAGCAAGGTGTCTGCACAGCCATGGCCCCCAACTCCCTTCCTCTTTCAGTGCCCGGTAGCTGCTGTGGCTCCTTGCCATGTGGCCACATCAGGTCAGTCTTCAAGGCCAGCATCTTCAGTCTCCCTCTGTTCCTCTTCACATTGTCTTCTGTGTTAAATTCCCCTCTGACTCCCTCCTCTAAGGACACTTGTGATGACATTTAGGGCCTAGCCGGATAGTCCAGTGTCATCTCCCTGTCTCGAGATCCTTACACACATCCACAGACTCTTTCTTGCCACAGAAGGTAAGTAACCTTCACGGGTTCCAGGGACTCGGCTGTGGATATCTTCTGGGGCCTCCCAAGCCATCTCTGTGCCAACAATTCCTAACTCGATGGCTCTAGCACACGCTCCTGTGCTCCAGGTCACTACCTGCTCTACATGGACGTCCCAAATGCTACTCTCCTGATTCCCAGAGGGCAGCCATTTACCCAGATGCTGGGCCAGAAATTTAGTAGCCATCGTCTTGCCTCTCCCCTACCTTCTGCCTTTCATCCAGCTCTAGGTCCACCTTCAAAACGACCCCTTCCCCACACCTCCACACTCCAGGGCCCCATGTGTCTGCAGAAGCGTCTGACTGGGCTCCCTTCTCCCACTTCTGCACATTTTCACTCCGTTACCCACTCAGCAGCAGGGTCAGCATGAGAAAGGGGAAACTAGATCACGTCCCTTTCTGCCTAAACCTCATGGGGCCCAGCGTGGCTGCGAGGACCCCAGCGGGGCCCTGAGGATGTGGCTGTGCTGTGCCTGCCCCGCCCCATGTGTTCTCTCCTCAGTCATCCACTTTACACTGCTGTCTCCTCTCCACGTGATCCCCTGTCTACCCAGACACCCTGCACCCCCAGTCTTGACCCAACCGCCTCCTTATCCTTCGATGTTCCTTATCCTCAAATGTCCTTGAAACAAAGGCCCCCCTGACTCCTCACCCCCAAGGAGCGCCCCTTTAGTCTCTCTGACAATCCCCCTCTTTACCTGAGTTGCATTCCCTACTTTCAGTGATGCGTTTGTGGCTTGCTAGTTTCCTGTCTGTGTCCCTCCTAGACTATAAGCTCCATGAGGGAAGGAATCTTGCTTGTCATACTTATCACTCTTCCCAGCACCTCTTGCCCAATAGATGATGACTCCCTCACAGCTTCAAGAAGCCCACAGTATGAAAGGAGAACTTTTTTGTTTGGTTGGTTTTTTTTTTTTTGAGAGGGAGTCTTGCTCTGTCACCCAGGCTGGAGTGCAGTGGCACAATCTTGGCTCACTGCAACCTCTGCCTCCTGGGTTCAAGCAATTCTCCTGCCTCACCCTCCCAAGTAGCTGGAATTACAAGCGCCTGCCACCACAGCCAGCTAATTTTTGTATTTTTAGTAGAGATGGGGTTTCAACATGTTGGCCAGGCTGGTCTCGAAGTCCTGACCTCAAGTGATCCACCTGCCTCAGCCTCCCAAAGTGCTGGGATTACAGATGTGAGCCACCAAGCTGGCTGAAAGGAGGTTTTAAAGGAGCCTACAGAGGAATGTACCAATGGCCAAGCAGCAAATGTTAGTGCATAATCAATAAGGTCTCTTCTTGTGGGTTCCTCTGCCCTTCTTGAGACCCCATGACATCCTTCCTGGGCACTCAGCCTGAGCTCCACGATTTCCCAGAAACTCCTTTTGTCCACCTGGACTCCTTCAGTCCTGTCCTTTCATCCACCTGGGGCAGAGCTCTTCATCTGTTGTCTGCCCCGGACTCTTTCAGGTGGTCAGGGGCCATGGGGGACCCAGCAGAGACAGGGCAGGCTGACCCCATCAGGGATAGAAGACAATAATTCCTGCTCTGCCTCTGTGCTCAGTTCCCAACACACAGATACATACATCTGAATACCCACTGCTGCCAAAGGGAAATGCATTTCATTCCATATTTTTAAAGTGAATGAATGAATGGAGTCCACTGTTAGAAATGAAATTTTAAAATGACCATATGGAGGAATGTACCAACTGGCCAAACACCAAAAGTTAGTTATTAATATACAAAATCCTTTCTTGGATGGTGGGGGTGAGGGGTGCAGGGATTGCCACCTGTCAATCAGGGTCCTTTTGGAAACAGATGGCCCACTCACCTTGGGGAAGTTGAGAGTTTTAGAAAGGGCCATTGAAAGGTATGGACAGGGATATCAGGGTTGGCTCCTCCCATGTGCTGAGGGCAATACATTTTATAATCCTCCCTTCCTCCCTCCCTCCGTCCCTCCCTCCTTCCTCCTGCTGGTGCTCCCATTGGCCAATTCCAACCAAAAGCCAGAGGACAGGAGAGTCCCTTGATGAAGCCCTCAGATTTCAGCCTCTACGGCAGGGAGAGGTACGCAGAGTGCATCTGAGGGACACCAGGAAAACAGGAAAGAGCAGACAGATGCAAGTATGACACCTATTAGAATAACCGCATCCAGAACCCTGATACCACCAGACGCTGGTGAGAATGTGGAGCCACGGGCACTCTCACCCATTGCTGGTGGAAATGCAAAAGGGTACCGTCACTTTGGAAGACAGTTTGGCAGTTTCCTACCAAACTAAACATACTCTTACCGTACAATCCAGCAATCACCCTCCTTAGTATTTACCCAAAGGAGCTGAAAGCTTATGTCCACACAACCTGCACATGAATGTTTATAGACTTTATTCTAGTTGCCAAAACTTAGAAGCAACCAAGATGTCCTTCAGTGAGTAAATGAATAAATCAACTGTAGTACATCCAGACTCCAGACAATGAAATATTATTTGGCACTAAAAAGAAATCAGCGTCAAGTCCAGGCGCAGTGGCACACGCCTATAATCCCGACACTTTGGGAGGCCAAGACGGGTGGATCACCTCAGGTTAGGAGTTTGAGACGAGCCTGGCCAAAATGGTGAAACCCCGTCTCTACTAAAAATACAAAGATTAACTGGGTGTGGTTGCACGCGCCTGTCGTCCCAACTACTCAGGAGGCTGAGGCAGGAGAATCACTTGAACCCAGGAGGTGGAGGCTGCAGTGAGCTAAGATCGTGCCACTGCACTCCAGCCTGGGCGACAGAGTGAGACACTGTCTTAAAAACAAACAAACAAAAGAGATGAGCTATCAAGGAAGGAAACTTACTATTACTAAGAAAAAAAAGCAATCTGATAAGCCTACATATTGTATGATTCCAACTATATGACACTCTGGGAAAAGCAACACTGTGGGGATAGTACAGGGGTCAGTGATTGCCTGGGCTGGGGGGATGGAAGGGTGAATGGACAGAGGACAGGATTTTCAGGACGGTGAAACTACTCTGTAAGATACTATAATGATGATTATGCTTAACGTTGTACATTTGTCAATTTGTCATTATACATTTGTCAAAAACCATAGAATGTACAACACCAAGAGTGAACCCTAATGTAAGCTATGAACTTTGAGTGATAACGATGTGTTAACGTAGGTTTATTGATTCTAATAAATGTGCCTCTCTGGTGTTGCATGTCGACCATGGGGGAGGCCGTGCATGTCGGGGAGAGGGCAGGGAGCATTTGGAAATTCTCTGTATATTCTGCTCAATTTTGCTGCTCTAAAAAATAGTCTTGTCCAGGCGCAGTGGCTCACACCTGTAATCTCAGCAATTTGGGAGGCTGAGGCAGGCAGATCACTTGAGGTCAGGAGTTCGAGACCAGCCTGGCCAATATGGTGAAACCTTGTCTCCACTAAAAATACAAAAATTAGCCGGGCATGGTGGCAGGCACCTGTAATCCCAGCTACTCAAGAGGCTCAGGCAGGAGAATCGCTTGATCCCGGAAGGCGGAGGCTGCAGTGAGTCAAGATGGCGCCACTGCACTCCAGCATAGGCGACAGAGCGAGACACCATCTCAAAAAAATATAAATAAATAAATAAATAAATAAATACATAAAATCTCTTTTTAGAAAAAAATAATGCAAGCATGAGCATATTGGATCCCAGAAATAGCAAGCAAAAGTAGAAACAGACGGCACTCCAAAGCTCTTCACGATGCAAAGTCAGGGAATTCTACTAAATGGAATGATCCTCTGTGCCTGTAATTCTTACCCGGATACAGTTCTAGGCCACGTTCATCTTAGTTCTGGGAGCGGCCCTCTCTCTCCAAGCTTCCTGAAACTGATGAAAACTCCACAAAGGGCTGCCAGGACTGGCACAGCAGGCATAGCCTCCCTCTCCTTCCCCCTGGGGCTCACCTTAAAGCCCACAGCACCTCCTTGTTCAATGCCAGTTCCTTCCTGCCTCATCCTTCTTCCCATGGCTAGGCCAGTATGAGTCCAGCACAGGGTGTCTGTCCCCAGGAGCTGCGGGGCCTCTGCTCTCTCTGTGCCAGCGCACACCAGCCTCTGCCCCAGGCTGCAACCCACCCCTCCGTGATCCCTTGCACTTCACACCCGGAGGCCTATTTCAGACCCAACTCCAGCAAAGCCCAGCCAAGACAAACTTTTTCAATGGAAAAAGAAGACAAACTTCAGCAGGCTGAGTTCAAACCTGTGGTTCACAAAGACTTCCACCCACCTCCCCCTAGCTGGCTAGAAAGGGCATTCCAGGTCCTTTGACTTCAGCAGATGTAGACCTCTGGGAAAATCTCCCCCATCCCTATATCATTGCTTGAACAGGACAGTTTGTTCACAGCTCCCAGTTTCCCTTGGGACCACAACCCAGCTTAGAAGTTGGGATCTGCTGTGCTCTGCTGAGGTGGAAGAATCATGGGTCTTGTACTCATCCTAACCCTGCCAGTAAACCTCCTGAAACTGCCTTCCAAGAGTCAGAGCAGCCCCAGCCATGTATCACATGTTGATCCTGCAGGCACAGTGGTTCTGTAGGTTGTTTTTAATGAGGATACCAGCTTTGAATGTTGTATTTGTGTTTGCGTTTTATTACTTTTTTTTTTTTTTTTGAGATGGAGTCTCACTCTGTCACCCAGGCTGGAGTACAATGGCAAGATCTTGGCTCACTGCAACCTCCACCACCCGGGTTCAAGAGATTCTCCTGCCTCAGCCTCCCAAGTAGCTGGGATTACAGGTGCACACCACCACACCTGGCTAATTTTTGTATTTTTAGTAAAGACGGAGTTTCACCATGTTGGCCAGGCTGGTCTCAACCTCCTGACCTCAGGTGATCCGACCGCCTCGGCCTCCCAAAGTGCTGGGATTACATCCGTGAGCCACCATACCCGGCCTGTTTGTTACTTGCTTCTATGAGTAATCTAAAATTCTTAAATGTTTGCTTTAAAAATCGCCATGTTTGAAAAAAGATTTTTTATAGAGCTAGTCATTGTTTTGCAGGTGCTGGGAAATAAGAGCATGAGTTTATTAATTTTAAAAAATTAAGATCCATAACACCAAATGGAAAAGACCATCTCCTTGCAGTGGGATCCACATGCATTTTAATACATAACACTGCCCTTCCCTTTGACATGGCATTCAGGAGAACCAATCTGTCCTAGCATCAACTTTAGTTGGCTTTTGGTCTTTTGCCAGGAAGGCTGGCAGTCATCTCTTAGTTAAATGACTGATATTATCCAGGCCATGAGTGAAGACAATGCCTGGAATATAAGCAAATTAATTCCAAGAAAAAAAAGCTTGAGCAAATAGCTTCAGTTTCTAAAACAGACCTGGAAATAAGTTTTCATCCATTAGAAGTTTCCGGCACCTACTCTTTTCTAGCCTCGTCTCACCCCAGGGGGAAATTTTTGCTCGCTCCACCCAGCAATAATCACCCAGCAATAGTCACAGTGATTGAGCTCTGCTCCATGATCGGGACAGATCCTGGGCTTGACGTTGGGGACAGTGGCATTAATGTCCTAACTCTGGGCAAGAATTTCCAACTCCCTAGCATTGATTTCCTATTTGCTCCTCACATCCCAAAGTGCTCCCAAGTTTGCTTGCCAGGCAAATCTAAAGATGTTTCTATAGAATAATTTTTTTTCTTTTTTTGAGATGGAGTCTCACTCTGTCGCCCAGGCTGGAGTGCAGTGGCATGATCTCGGCTCACTGCAACCTCCGCCTCCTGGGTTCAAGTGATTCTCCTGCCTCAGCCTCCTGAGTAACTGGTACTACAGGCTCACGCCACCACACCCAGCTAATTTTTCTATTTTAGTGGAGACGAGGTTTCACCATGTTGGCCAGGATGGTCTCGATCTCTTGACCTCGTGATCTGCGTGCCTCGGCCTCCCAAAGTGCTGGGATTATAGGCGTGAGTCACTGCGCCCGGCCTATAGAATAATTTCTAAGAAGGACTGAGACGTTGAGGCTAAGGAAATATCATGAAATATCTTCTCTGTCAGTGATTCCTGGTGTTCCAAGGCAGTCGTGTTTTAAGGAGGGTGAGTAAGCCCAAACTAAGGAATATATTGCTCATTTTAACCAAAACATGTTTTAAGTCAATAGAAATGATAATCGTGAAGGCAACGCTTTTGGGAGTAGTAGCTAGGGTACTTCATAAAAGAAAACTGGCTCAATTCTAATAATGTTTTTAAGAAATAAAATACCTAGGAAAATATAACAAAAACATAAAGTGTAATCTAACAAAAGTGTAAGAGCTCTTCACTAAAAACTACAACATGTTGTTGAAAACAAAAATTGTTTTTTTTTTTTTGAGATAGAATCTCACACTGTTGCCCAGGCTGGAGTGCAATGGCACGATCTCCACTCACTGCAACCTCCGCCTCCCATGTTCAAGCAATTCTTCTGCCTCAGCCTCCCAAGTAGCTGGGATTACAGGTGCGTGCCACCATGCCTGGCTAATTTTTTCTATTTTTAGTAGAGACAGGGTTTCACTATGTTGGCCAGGCTGGTCTCAAACTCCTGACCTCGTGATCTGCCCGCCTCAGCCTCCCAAAGTGCTGGGATTACAGACGTGAGCCACTACGCCCAGCTGAGAAATTTTTAAAGTATTAAATAAATGGAGGGAAATACTGTGTTCATAGATTGAATGGCTCGATGTTATAAAGATGTCAAATCTCCTTAAATTCACCTACAGACTCAACACAATTGCAATCAAAACCCTCACAGGATTTCTTGTGGAAATTGGCAAGCTGATTCTAAAATTGAACGGAAATGCAAAGAGCATGAAAAGCCAAAGCAATCTTGAAGAACAATGAAGCTGGAAGCAATTATATAACCAGTTATCAAGACCTATTATAAACTTTCAGTCATCAGGACATGGCGTTGATACAAGGACAGACAACCCCATGGGACAGCATAATTTGTCTTTGTTTTTTTCCGGGTTGTATTAAAATTTATTTATTTATTTTTAGAGACGGGGTCTCTGTCGCCCAGGCTGGAGTGCAGTGGCATGATCTTGGCTCACTGCCACCTCTGCCTCCTGGGTTCAAGCCATTCTCCTGCCTCAACCTCCTGAGTAGCTGGGATTATAGGCACCCGCCGCCACGCCTGGGTAATTTTTTGTATTTTTAGTAGAGTCAGGGTTTCACCATATTGGTCAGGCTGGTCTCAAACTCTTGACCTCAAGTGATCCACCTGCCTCAGCCTCCCAAAGTGCTGGGATTACAGGCATGAGCCACTGTGCCCAGCCCAGGTTGTATTAGAATTTAAAGAAGTCATGATTGCTTGGAAGAAGATCCTAGAATTAACATCACCCTGCAAATGACTGCCACTTGGAAGAAAGGCCTGGGCTGCAGCCATAGGTCAGTGAACCATCAGGATGTTGAAGCCAGGGATGGTTAAACTTTCCTGTTAAGAAAGAAGGCAGAGAGAGTGGTAGGCAGTGGAGAGAGAGAGAGGGCTGAAGCCATAAGCTTGTTCAGAAAGTGATATCACTATTACTTTAAGAATATTTGTTCTATTTTTTTTCATTAACTTCCTCTTGGAAGATGATGTATGGTTTGTACCAGCTGACTAGATTAGCATTGATTTGTGTGATCCCAGCACTAGGCCAATACTCAAGTGTTCCTTATGCTTCCTAGATAAGAGGGCCCGATGAGCCCAGGCTGTCACTGATTGGACACTGATAATGCTAATGAAAACCTCCAAAGGTAAATCAAAAACAAACTAAAGGATCACTCAGATAGGATCAGTTAAATAAATCAAGGTACATTCACACAAGGAAATACTGTACTATTTATTTATCAAATCAGTAAAGTCATCTCTCTGCATGGATTGGAAAAATCACTAAGATAAATAAAATAATTTTTTTAAGGCAGAGCACAAGACAGTTTGTATGGAACCCTGAATGTAGGGAAGGAGTTCAAATGTTTATTTTTTATTTAACCTTCATAATGACATATAATTAATCCCGTGAATTGGTGAACAAATGGAAGCTCATGGGTTGTAGAATCTATGGCCTAAAGAGTGATTATAGGTGTTTTATTCTATTGGAGTCTTATGAAGAATTTGACTGTTAACATCATCCTGCCCCTCACCCTGCCCCCCCAATCCTAGACATCTGTCATCCTCTACTCCTTCCCCTGCCCAGAATGTGGTCCCTGGACCAGCAGCATCGGCCTCCCTGTGGAGCTTGTTAAAGATGCAGAAGATCATTTCCTACCTAGATTATTAATTCCAGCCATTGTTTTCTTCTTTCAACTGAAGTAAAGATCACTGTGCTGTCTTTTTGTTGTTGTTGTTGTTGAGATGGAGTTTCACTCTGTTGCCCAGGCTGGAGTGCAGTGGCGCGATCTCGGCTCACTGCAACCTCCACCTCCCAGGTCCAAGCGATTCTCCTGCCTCGGCCTCCTGAGTAGCTGGGATTACAGGCATGCGCCACCACACTCGGCTAATTTTGTATTTTAAGTAGAGATGGGGTTTCTCAATGTTGGTCAGGCTGGTCTCAAACTCCTGACCTCAGGTGATCCGCAGGTGTGAGCCACCGTACCCGGCCCCACTGTGCTGTCTTTAACCCATAGGATACCTGCAGAAAGCTTAGTGGTCAATGTAAAAATCAATGTGGTGAAAAAGAATTTAGGATTTCAGACTGCAGGAGACCTATCATCCATCAAACCCATGGAGATGGAAGAGAGCCACACACAAAAGGATCTATCTGCATTTGATCTTTTCATTACTTCATTCATGACCTTGTATTTCTGTCCACACATATCTACAGTAAATAAAGAAATAAAATGTATTTCAACCTGAAAAAAAAATACAGATGCCAGACTCACCCCAGACCTAGTGAATCAGAATCTGCATTTTATCAAGATCTGCAGGTGATGCGTATGCTTATTAAAGTCTCAGAAAGGCACAATGTGGGTGAAAGGCAACTCCACTGGCATTTATGTTGCTCTGTCTCACAAGACTCAGGATCAGGTCATTATCATCAAAAAGAAACACAAAGATGAAACCTTACTTTTGGCAATGCAGTTTTAAAAATGACAAAGACCGCCGGGTGCAGAAGTTCACGCCTGTAGTCCCAGCACTCTGGGAGGCCCAGGCCGATGGATCACTTGACGTCAGGAGTTCAAGACCAGCCTGACCAACATGGTGAAACCCTGTCTTTACTAAAAATACAAAATTAGCTGGGCCTGGTGGCGCATATCTGTAATCCCAGCTACTTGGTAGGCTGAGGCAGGAGAATCACTTGAATCCGGGAGGTGGAGGTTGCGGTGAGCCGAGATCATGCCATTGCTCTCCAGCCTGGGCAAAAGAGCAAAACTCTGCCAAAAAAAAAAAAAAAAAAAAAAAAAAGACAAAGCTAAGGGTGGAAAGTTAGTCAGCTGGGCATAACACAAAGCATCCCTAGTGTACACATCTGGGGATAAATCGTTGAGATTTTTTTTTAAAACAGGGGTTAGAAATAGAACAAAGTCAGAGTTTGTGGGAGCAGAGGTGAGTCAGGATGGACTTGGAGCCCCTCTCCCTTTGTCCTGTCTCTGTAAAGCCATGTTTCTTCAAGTGAGGTAAACACGCCACGCTCTGTTAGTCTTGAATGATAAACAAACCTGAAGACTTGTACATAGCACATCGAACAATGTCTTACAAGAGGAAGGAGTTTTTAATCCATAAATGACAGCAACAACTTGGGAGCAAATTGAGGTCTTTAGCCAGGGACAAGACTCTCAAGAATGATGTTACCAGAATATACAGACAGCCAGGACCTTGGAAGTTAATCATAAGATGCTGGCATTCACTCCCAAAACACAGCAAAAGGCTTCTTACCCCTTCTGTTTCTCTATCCCTTCTCTCTAGAACTGGTGATCAAGTTGCTATTAAATGTTCGAAAATGAAAGCCAAGTGCATAATCAAATTAAAACATCTAATGTTGAAATATCTCATTTATCAATTAGAATTGGAGCTTTGTGTTCTTATTTGTCAGGAAGTCCCACTAGCAGCAAGGTGTAATCTGGCAGAGGAAGTTTCTTAGAGTTAAGACAGTGAAGGAATTGAGAGACCAGGATGTCAAAAGGGGCATCAGTGTTCTTGATCAAGTCATACAGGTGGGTCGAGCGGATGGAACAGACAAGAGGAAAGGGAGAAAGTCATTCCTGTCTCCATCTCATGTTAGGGTGATCAATTCATCCTACTTTCTTTGGTACTTTGTCAGTTTTAATGCCCCAGAAACCTTTCATTTCAGGGCAAACTGGAACAACTGGTCACCCTACTAACCTGTAAACTGGGAATAACTGGCATTTGTGCAGAATGGCTCCCAGGTTCCTGATGCCCAGCGGCACTCTACAGACATTGCCAGGTCTGTCTGCAAATCCACGGTGCTTGGCCGGATGCTGTTTGAAGTGTGCACTTTAGAGAAGAAAAGGGGCGGGGTGTCATTTCCCACACACAAGCCGCTAGTCCTTATGGAAACTCTTCCAACGAAGGTGGATGGAAACTTTTCCAACGAAGGTGATGTTTTTGAAACCCAGCTTTTATTTGGACAAAGCCTTCTTGAAAAATCCTTGAAAATGCTTTCTGTTTTTAATAAAGGAGATCTCTGGAACATTTCCATGAGCTTTCATAGCACTTGTTTTAGTTGAGTTTTTTTTTTTTTTCTTTTATCCTCATACCACATTAAAAATGGAACAAAAACCAAGACATCACCCCGGCCCTGTAGGTTGTATTCTTGAGTTCAGCTTGAGACCTTTCCACTAAAGAACAGAATGAGCTCAGCCCAGCCTCAGGCTACCTGGCCTGTGGTCCCTCCCAGTCTCAACAAAGGCCACACCTGGGATTGTGTGAGCCACATGCTTTTGCATGCAGGGAAGTCAAGTCTTCCCATGCAAGGAGGGCTCCAGCATGGCGGCACTGCCTGGTAATCTATGGAGATGGGCCAGGTGGAGACTGGAATTAGAACCTGCCTGGAACCCCTGGCAGCTCTAAGACCTGAGCAGTGAGACCTTGGGACCTCCTCTCTGGGACTCTGCAGCTGATGCAATTTCCTGAGGCCCCCTATTCTGCCCGTGGGCTTTTCTTTTCCACAGGTTGGTCACCCAATCTTAGCTGCACAAATTCTATTGGCTCACTCCCAGACCTTCAAGCTTGTTGGAGAAGCTGCTGCCCCACCTCTAACTGCCTCAGTCTCCCGACATTGCCCATGTTAAAGTTTCCAAGAGCAAGAGAATGTGGTTGAAGCCTCACATCTGTTCACATCTGGCCACATCACTGGTTGCCCTTGAGTCAGGAGATTCCTGATCCAGTCAGCAGAGGACAGGGGAGGGTGGGATGAAGATCCTGGCCTAGCCAGGGGTCTCTCCATCTCCTTAGAGGTGGAGCAACTCTATCTCTAAGGTTAAGCTCCATCCTTAACCTCTTTAAAACTGTCAGGCACGTAGTGTCAGCCTGGAACCCAATGGCTGGCCTCAATGTGATTTCTCTATAAAATATGCACACCATGTTCACTATCCCACCCTGGGAAGGAACAACTGCTACTCGTATTACCTTAGGGAATGCCAGAAACTCTGCCTATAGTTCTTAGCATTAGTTCAAGGCATTTCTTTTTTTTTTTTTTTTTTTTTTGAGAGGGAGTCTTGCTCTGTCGCCCAGGCTGGAGTGTGGTAGCGCAATCTCGGCTCACTGCAAGCTCCGCCTCCCGGGTTCACGCCATTCTCCTGCCTCAGCCTCCCAAGTAGCTGGGACTACAGGCGCCTGCCACCATGCCTGGCTAATTGTTTGTATTTTTTTTTTTTTTAGTAGAGATGGGGTTTCACCGTGTTAGCCAAGATGGTCTCTATCTCCTGACCTCGTGCTCGCCCGCCTCGGCCTCCCAAAGTGCTGGGATTATAGGCGTGAGCCACCACGCCCGGCCAGTTCAAGGCAGTTCTATATAACAACCTGGGAGTGCAGGGAGACGTCTTTCCTCATGACTGAGATTTTCTTGCCATTTCTCTTATAGGGGTTGATATGGTTTGGCTGTGTCCCCACCAAAATCTCACCTTGAATTGTAATAATCCCCATGTGTCAAAGGTGGGGCCAGGTGGAGATAACTGAATCATGCGGGCGGTTTCACCCACACAGTTCTTGTAAATAAGTCTCATGAGATCTGATGGTTTGTGCAGGGTAGTTCCCCTGCACAAGCTCTCTTGCCTGCCACTATGTAAGATGTGACTGCTCCTCATTCACCTTCGGCCATGATTGTGAGGCCTCCCCAGCCATGTGGAACTATGAGTCTATTAAACCCTTTTTTTTTTTTTTTTAATATATATTACCCAGTCTCGGGTATGTCTCTTTTTTTTTTTTTTTTTTTTTTTTTTTTGAGACGGAGTCTCGCTCTGTCGCCCAGGCTGGAGTGCAGTGGTGCAATCTCAGCTCACTGCAAGCTCCGCCTCCCGGGTTCACACCATTTCCCTGCCTCAGCCTCCTGAGTAGCTGGGACTATACAGGTGCCCACCACCACTCCTGGCTAATTTTCTGTATTTTTAGTAGAGATGGGGTTTCACTGTGTTAGCCAGGATGGTCTCAATCTCCTGACCTCATGATCCACCCGCCTCGGCCTCCCAAAGTGCTGGGATTACAGGTGTGAGCCACTGCGCTCGGCCTCGGGTCTGTCTTTATTAGCAGCGTGAGAACAGACTAATACAGGGGTGGACCAAATTAGTCATATGATTTAGAAAATCAAGAGCAGCATTTATTGCAGCTGAGTGTGTGTGGGCAGCTGTATATTATCTATACAACTATATCCATATGCATACAGCACACATGCCTTCCTTCAAGTAAGAGTACACTTTGTAAAGAATAGGTGATTTGGTTACTAAAGTCCTTGCAAGGGCACACAAATTCCCTTCAGAATTGTAAAAGAAAACATGTTTTGCCGTTTACTTCTGCCATTTACTTTCTCCATTAATTCATCCCATCGTTCTTCAAACATGCGGATTTCAGAGAAAGAGACAAAGATGAGTTGTCCTGTTTTATTACTCTCCTGTTTCCTTACTGGCCTTTTCCATGGCAAGGACACCCCATGGCCTGCGTTCAGCTCCAGGTGGGGTAAGTAGACGTCTGTGGGCTCCTTGGGTCCCAGTGGCTGGCCACAACATTATTTTTCTGGTAAAATGTGCTCAGAATGTTAAATATCTAGCTCTGGGAAGGTTGTAAGTTAGAGATCTCCTTTGTCCCAGTGGATTTTTAAAATGCTTATTTGCATTTCCTGTGGTGTGCTGCTGGTTTAAAAGCCAAACTCACCAAGCATAACACGGGGGAAGCTTGGGCCAGCCAAGCCCCAAAGTTCACAGATTGGGTTATTTACAACGCGTTCCCCTTAACATACCCAGACAGGACTTGTCCTCACGTACTAATGTCAACAAGATAGCTCATGTGGCTTTCCTTTCCTGGCATTTGACATAGAAGGGAAATCTCAGGGTTATATTATCCTCTCACTGGGGAAGTTCGAAGAGAACGTTTCCTTGCTGTGCCTGGCACACCCTCTAAACACAGCTGTCTCCAGAACACGACACCATGGCTCACATTCCCCTCCCCATGCTCTGGAGTCTGGTTCAAGCACAGCTGCTTACCTGGTTCCTACCACATGCTTGTTTTCACTTCCAAAGAGTCCTGGTTCCTACCACATGCTTGTTTTCACTTCCAAAGAGTCGTCTTCTTTTTTTTTTTTTTTTTTTTTTTCTTTGAGATGATATTTTGCTCTTGTCACCCAGGCTGGAGTGCGGTGGCAGGATCTCAGCTCACTGCAACCTCCGCCTCCGAGTTCAAGTGATTCTCCTGCCTCAGCCTCCCGAGTAGCTGGGATTACAGGCGCCCACCACTATGCCCGCCTAATGTTTTTTGTATCTTTAGTAGAGATGGGATTTTGCCGTGTTGGCCAGGCTGGTCTCGAACTCCTGACCTCAGGTGATCCGCCCATCTCGGCCTCCCAAAGTGCTGGGATTACAGGTGTGAGCCACTGCACCCGGCCCAAAGATTCTTTATGATAAAAAACTACACCCTCAAAGTGGAGCAACACCCGGTGTGCTGGCATGTGCCTACAGTTTCAGCTTCCTGGGAGGCTGAGATGGGAGGATCACTTGAGCCCAGAGTTTAAGGCTAGCCTGGGCAACATAGTAAGACTCCATCTCTAAAAAATAAAAGCAATAAAGTGGAGTGGTGCCCATCTGTACAATTATAAGGATGGCAGTTTTCAGAGGTGATACTAAAGACTGTTGCGGTTCCTTGGAATGTCATATGGAGAGACGTAAATTTAGACTCTGAAGTTTGCAGTGTGAAGAAATTATAGATAAATGTGTCTTAAGCAAATCTCCAACAAGAAAATCTATAGTTTTAAAAGACATTAGAGGGTGATTATTTGCATGTTAATCTTGATAAAAACTATGCAAAAAGAATACAACATTATGGAAACCAGGAAATAATTCTGCCAGTAACATGACCACACTTGACATTTTGAATATTTATGACCATTCCCTATTAATCATATGTATATTTATATAGATAGATGTACAGTTTGGAAACCTGGTTTATTTTTTCTCACTCAATGTAAATTATTTCCACGTGTTTTAAAATGTTAATATTTATGGCCAGGAGTGGTGGTTCATACCTGTAATCCCAACACTTTGGGAGGCTAAGGAGGGAGGATCACTTGAGCCCAGGAGTTTAAGGCTGCAGTGAGCTAGGATTGTGCCCCTGCACTCCTGGACAACAGAGTGAGACACTGTCTCTACAAATAAATACATAAAATGTTGGTCAATATAATTATAGTGACTGCTTATTGTATTGCCATTGAACATACCCTAATTTGCTGCTCAGATTGTCCCAGCTTTGTTCATGCAGAGCTCTTTCTGGCTGGCTTCTGCCTCCCTTTGGCACGTGCCCATTCTTTTGTTTTTGAGCACTTCCTTGCTTCCTGGTACTACAAGATGCTCCAAAGACATATGCTCCATCATATATTTTTCCCTCCCCAGCCCTAGAATTAGCTTTTCTCCAAGGAGCCCTGATTCCTATTATTGAAGACTGGTGTTTAGAAACAAGAATCTAGGCCAGGTGTGGTGGATCAAGCCTGTAATCCCAGCTCTTTGGGAGGCCAAGGCGGGTGGATCACCTGAGGTCAGGAGTTCCAGACAAGCCTGGCTAACATAGCAAAACCTTGTCTCTACTAAAAATACAAAAATTAGCGGGGCATAGTGGTGCGCACCTGTAATCCTAGCTACTAGTGGGGGCTGAGGCAGGAGAATTTGCTTGAACCCGGAGGCGGAGGTTGCAGTGAGCCGAGATTGTGCCACTGCACTCCGTCCTGGGCAACAGAGCAAGACTCCATCTCAAAAACAACAACAACAACAACAAAACTAGTTGCTGGTTTCTTGATTTTTCTCTACATGATATTTCCTATTCTCAGCTTTATGGATTTATTCTGCTTATTATACTATATATGAAAAGTTGTCTTTTTTTTTTTTTTTTAGACGGAGTCTCACTCTGTCGCCCAGGCTGGAGTGCAGTGGCACAATCTCGGCTCACTGCAAGCTCCACCTCCTGGGTTCACGCCATTCTCCTGCCTCAGCCTCCCGAGTAACTGGGACTACAGGTGCCTGCTACCACGCCCAGCTAATTTTTTGTATTTTTTTAGTAGAGATGGGGGTTTCACCGTGTTAGCCAGGATGGTCTCGATCTCCTGACCTTGTGATCCACCCGCCTCGGCCTCCCAAAGTGCTGGGATTACAGGCGTGAGCCACCGCGTCCAGCCAGGATTGCATTCTTGATTTATTTGTCAGCTAGTTCATTATTGGCGTATAGAAACATTACTAATTTTTCTTAATGTTAGGTAATATTGATTTCATACCGTAAAAACCTAAAGGCTCCACCAAAAACACTCTCAGACTTGACAAACTTTACTGAATTTGTTAGAAGTAAGAGTTTTTTTGGTAGAGCCTTTAGGTTTCTCTGAATATAAGATTATGTCATCTGCAAAGAAGGACAATTTCCTCCTTTCCAATTCAGATGCCGTTTATTTCTTTCTCTTGTCTAATTGCTCTGTCTAGGACTTCTAGTACTATGTGGAGTAAGAGTGGTGAAAATGAGCATCCAGTTGTATTGTTCCAGTTTAGAGGAAAAGCATTCAATTTTTCCCCATTCAGTATAATGTTAGCTGTAGATTAGTCACATACGGCCCTTATTGTGTTGAGGTATGTTCTTGCTATAACTAATTTGTTGAGAGTTTTATCCTGAAGGGATGTTGAATTTTATCAAGTGATTTTTCTGTATCTGTTGAGATGGTCATATGATTTTGGTTCTTCATTCTACTGATGTGATGTGTCATGTTTATGGGTTTGTATATGTTGAACCATCCTTGCATCCCTTGGATTAATCCCACTTGATCTTGGTGTATAATGTTGTTGATGTGCTATTGGATTCAGTGTGCTGATATTTTGTTGAAGATTTTTGCACCTGTGTTCATCAGTATTATTGACCTGTAGTTTTCTTTTTTGTTATGTCTTTGTCTAGTTTTGGTACCAGGGTGATGCTGGTCTCATACAATGAGTCTGGAAGAATTCCTTCCTTCAATGTTTTTGAAAAATTTAAGAATTGGTGTTATTTTTTCTTTAAAAACTTGGTAGAATACAACATTGAAACCATCTAGTCCTGGGTTTGTCTTTTTTGGGAGACTTTTTCTTACTCGTTCAATCTTCTTACTCATTATAGACTTGTTGAGGCTTTGTCTCTTCCCAGTTGAATCTTCTTTCTTTCTTTCTCTTTCTTTCTTTTTCTCTCTTTCTTTCTCTCTCTCTCTCTTTCTCTTTCCTTCCTTCCTTCCTTCCTTCCTTTCTCTCTCTTTCTTTCTTTCTTTCTTCTTCTCTCTTTCTTCTTTTTGAGATGGAGTCTCAGTCTGTCACCCAGGCTGGAGTGCAGTGGTGCAATCTCAGCTCACTGCAACCTCTGCCTCCCAGGTTCAAGCGATTCTCATGCCTCAGCCTCCCAGGTAGCTGGGACTACAGGCGTGTGCCACCACACCTGACTAATTTTTGTTAGTAGAGACAGGGTTTCACCATGTTGGGCAGGCTGGTCTCGAACTCTGACCTCAAGTAATCCGCCCACCTTGGCCTCCTAAAGTGTTGGGATTACAGGTGTGAGCCACTGCACCCGATCCCCAGTTGAATTTTGGTAGGTTGTATGTATCCAGGAATTTACCCATTTCCTCTAGGTTTTCCAATTTGTTGGTGTATAGTTGCTCATAAAGTCTCTAATAATCCTTTGTATTCTCTGGTATCAGTTGTAATGTCTCCTTTTTATTTCCGATTTTATTTATTTGGGTCTTCTCTCTTTTTCATTTAGTTATTCTAATTAATGGTTTGTTGATTTTATCTTTTCAAAAACAAACTTTATTTCATTGATCTTTTGTACTTTTTTAGTCTTTATTTATCTCTGCTCAGATCTTTATTATTTCTTTTCTTCTACTAATTTTGGGTTCGGTTTGTTTTTTGCTTTTCTAGTTCCTTAAGGTGCATTAGTAGGTTGTTTATTTGAAATCTTTATATTTCAATGTAGACATGTATTGCTATAAACCTTCCATTAGTACTACTTTTGCTGTATTCCATAGATTTGGGTATGTTGTGTTTCTGTTTTCATTTGTCAGAAAATTTTTTTGATTTTTTTTTTTTTTTTTTTTTTTTGAGATGGGGTCTTGCTCTATCACCCAGGCTAGAGTGCAGTAGTGCCATCTCAGCTCACTGCAACCTCCAACTCCTGGGTTCAAGAGACTCTCCTGCCTCAGCCTCCTGAGTAGCTGGGATTACAGGGAAGTGCCACCATGCCCAGCTAATTTTTGTATTTCTAGTAAAGATGGGGTTTCACCATGCTGGCCAGGCTGGTCTCAAACTGCTGACCTCAGGTGATCCACCTGCCTAGGCCTCCCAAAGTGCTGGGATTATAAGTGTGAGCCACTGTGCCTGGCCTAAATTTCTGTCTTAATTTATTCGTTGAACAATTGGTTTTTCAGAAGCATGTTGTTTAAATTTCATGTATTTGTACCATTTGCAAAATTCCTCTTGTTCTTAATTTATAGTTTTATCTCACTGTGGGCAGAAAAGATACTTGATATGATTTCAATATTTTAAACTTTGTTGAGACTTGTGTTGTACTCTAACATGAAGTCTATCCTGGAGAATATTCTGTGCGCTAATGAGAAAATGTTTATTCTGCAGCTGTTGGATGAAAAGTTCTGTAAATGTCTGTTAGGGCCATTTGAGTCTATAGTGCAAATTAAATCTGATGTTTCTTTCTTCCTTTTTTTTTTGTAATGGAGTCTTGCTCTGTCACCCAGGCTGGAGTGCAGTGGCACAATCTCGGTTCACTGCAACCTCCACCTCCTGGGATGAAGCAATTCTCCTGCCTCAGCCTCCTGAGTAGCTGGGACTACAGGCACACACCACCACGCCCAGCTAATTTTTGTATTTTTAGTAGAGATGGGGTTTCACCATGTTAGCCAGGCTGGTCTTGAATAAATCTGATGTTTCTTTGTTGGTTTTCTATCTAGATGATCTGTTCAATGATGAGTGGGATGTTGAAGTCTGCAACGATTATTATATTGGAATGTATTACTCCCTTGAGGTCTAATAATATTTGGTTTATATATCTGGGTGTTCCAGTGTTGGATGCATATATATTTATAATTGTTATATCTTCTTGCTGTATTGATCTATTTTCATTATATAATGATCAGCTGTATTAGTCCATTCTCACATTGCTATAAAAAACTACCTGAGGTAATTTATAAAGAAAAGAGGTTTAATTGACTTACAGTTCTGCAGGCTAAACAGGAAGCATGGCTGGGGAGGCCTCAGGAAACCTACAATCATGGCAGAAGGCAAAGAGGAAGGATCCGCATCTTATATGGCTAGAGAAGGAGGAAAAGAGCTAAGGAGGAGGTGCTACACAGTTTTAAACAACCAGATTTCTCGAGAACTCTATCACGAAACAGCACCAGTGGGATGGTGCTAAACTATCAGAAACCACCCCCATGATCCTATTACCTCCCACCAGACGTCACCTCCAGCATTGGGAATTATAATTCAACATTCAACATGAGATTTGAGTGGGGACATGGAGCCGAACCAACACCATCTTTTTCTTTATAACAATTTTTTACTTAAAGTCCATTTTATCTCATTTTATCTCATTTTATCTGATATAAGCATAGCTAGTCCTTCTCCCTTTTTGTTTCCGTTTCTGTAGATTATCTTTTTCCATCTCTTTACTTTCAGTCTCTGTGTATCCTTATAGGTGAAGTGAGTTTCTTATAGGCAGGATATAATTGGGTCTTTTTTTTTTAATGCATTCATCCAGTCTATATCTTTTTAATTGGGGAATTTAATCCATTTACACTCAGAGTTATTACTGATAGGTGAAGATGTACTCTTTTCATTTTGTGAATTGTGTTCTGGTTGTTTTGTATCTCTGGTCTACAATGAGTTTTATAGTTTTATATTTTTGTCATGGTAGTAATTGTCCTTTCACTTCCAGATGTAGGCCTCCCTTAAAGATTTCTTATAAAGCCAATCTAGTGGTGATGAATTCCCTCAGTTTTTGCTTGTCTGTGAAAGACTTCATTTCTTCATATCTAAAGGATAGATTTGTTGGGTATAATATTCTTTCATGGCAGATTTTTTTTCTTTCAGTATTTTGAATATATCATCCTATTCTCTTCTAGCCTATAAGGTTTCTGCTGACAAATCTGTTGTTAGTCTAATAGAGAGCCCCTTACATGTGACTTAACATATTTCCTTTGCTCTTTTTAGTATTCTGTTTTGCTTTGACTTTTGGCAGTTTCACTATAATGTACCTTAGAGAGGACCTTTTTGGGTGGAATCTATTTAGAGACTGTTGAATTTTCTGGATCTGGATGTCCATATCTCTCCCACGACTTGAGAAGTTTTCAGCTATTATTTCATTAATTAGGTCTTCTATGCCTGTTTCCATCTCCTCTTCTGTAATTCCTGTACTCCAAATATTAATTTGCTTAATGGTATCCCTTAAGCCCCATAGGCTTTCTTCATTCTTTTTTATTCTTTTTTCTTTTCTTTTTCTTTCTTTCCTTTTTTCTAACTGGGTTATTTCAAAAGACTATCTTTGAGTTCTAAAACTCCTTTGCTTGATCTAGTCTGTTGAAGCTTTGGATTGTATTTTTCATTTTATCCATTGAATTCATCAGCTTCAAAATTTATGTTTGATTCTTTTTAATGGTATCTCCATCCTTGTTGAATTTCTCTTTCAGTTTAGAAATTGTTTTTCTGATTTTGTTGAATTGTTATTCTGTATTCTCTTATATCTTACTGAGTTTCCTTAAGATCATTATTTTCAAGTTCTTCTTAGTATTTCATAGATTTTCTTTTCTTTAGGGTCTGTAACAGGAGAATTATTATGTTCATTTGGAAGTGTTGTGTTTCGTTTCATTTGTTTGTGTGTTTTTTGTTTCGTTTTGTTTTTGCTTCTTTGTGTTTCTTGGGTCTTTATGTTGATATCTGTGCATCTGGTGGAACAGTCACCTCTTCTAGTTTAAGGGAGTAGCTTCCATAGGGAAAGACTTTTTCCTATAGATGTGTCCTATAGCGTTGGCTGTGAGTGAGAGAGACATAGAGACTCAGACTGGAATAAACAAAAACAAAAAGGGAATTTATCAGCTCTTGTTACTACCACGTCTGGGTTACTTCCAGCTTTCTATAGGCCTGGATCTAGTGTTTGAACTGTGTTATCACAACTCTCATCCCTCCCTTTGGCTTTTGTTCTGGTAGTGCAGTAGCATTGTCTCCATGTGATTTCCACTGCTGTAATCAATCACTGGTGTGTGGTCTCATTGGCCTAGACTGCAGATGTTTGTGGTGGCAGTAGTGTGTTTTTACTGGAGATGGGGACTGCTGGGCAAGCTAGTTCTCAGAATCTAGGGGAACATGCACCAGGTGTGGCAGCTCTGCTGGTCATGGGGGTGATGTTGCCAGCAACAGTTAGTGCTGGGTAGGGCAGTACCTGTTCCCTGGGTAGTTCTGCTCTGCCAGTCAAAGGGACAGGGTCGCTGGTTGTGGCAGGTGCCAGGTATGCTGGTCCCTGCCCTGGGAGTACATGTGGCAGCTCTGCTGGTTGAGGGTGTGGGATCACCAGGAAGCTGGTTCTCAGGCCCTGATGAGCACATATATTGGCTCCCCACACCTCAGGGGTGGCCTCCCTGCTGTGCTAGACCTCCTGTTCCTTGTGGTGTGCATGGTCTCAGGTGGCAGACATGGCTATACCACTGTGTCTAGCTGTGGTTGTAGCACCACAACACTTTGTGTGAGCATGGTGGGATAACAGTGGGACCCCAGGTATGTGGAGATACAGGGGTTATTAGGCCCCAGGACATGATGCAGTCTAGCATAGATCTGTTCTCAAAATGGCATCTTGGGTCTCAGGGAGTGGGAGGGACGTAGCATGAGTTCCTTCTTAGAGCAGTGCAGCCTCATGGACTCCAGGCAGCTCATTCTAATGGGCTCAGGGACTGTGAGGACTGTGGTGCTCTCCTGTAGCTAGTATTTTAACCATTCATGTTGGTAATGAGGACTGCTGGGTAACTCTCACTTACCTTTGTGCAATAGGGAGTCCCTCTTGACTCTGAGTCAATCCTGGCTGAGTGCTTTGCTTCCCTCTCTATGCTTCTACCATCCCAACTTTCTGTGTTTCAGACAGTTTTTATCACTTCCTTGATGAATTCCAGGATTCTCCCTTAGACACTCTACTCAAAGTGCAGTTATTTATTTGTTGTTTTGGTCTTTCTCTCTTTTTTTTTTTTTTTTTTTTGAGATGGAGTCTCTCTGTCTCCCAGGCTGCAGTGCAGTGGCACGATCTTGGTTGACTGCAACCTCTGCCTTCCAGTTGCCAGAGATTCTCCTGCCTCAGCCTCCCAAGTAGCTGGGATTACAGGTGCATACCACCACACCTGGCTAATTTGTTTTTTTCTTTCTTTGTGGAGGAGACAAGCACTGGGCACTGCTAGTCAGCCATCTTTGAGGATTTCCCTGATGCATATTTTAAAATAACAGTTTCTCAATGGAGTCTTCATAAAGCACATAAATAAATAAGAAAATAAACAAAATGGATTAGCTGAGACTATCTGTACCCAGAACCTAGAATTGTAAACAAATAATTTTATATAGACATTTGTAGTGAGTATGTTGTCCCTGTTTGCCCAGTGTGCCATCTCTACTTATTCTAGAAACAGAACCCTTCATTACTATGGGAAGCCTACTGCATGTGACTAGAGCTCCCTTCTCCACCTAGCCAATGAGGGTATTCTATCTTTGCAACCACAGGATACGTATGGAAACTGAAATAGGCCCGCCTCTTCCTGGGATTTCTGTACCAGAGCTAATAGGCACAGTTCTTTCTATGCAGTTGCTAAACCAGGGGAATTGAGTCTAGAGCAGCCATATGGAGAGTCCCCAACTATTTGAAAACTGAGGCCAAGAAGAGACATGTGAGATGTGAAGTGGAGAAAAACAGAGAGAGAGAAGGAGAGAGCTAAAGAGGGAGGGATGAGGGTGGCGATAACACAGTTCAAATTCTAGATCCACCTCTGTCTAAAGCCAGAAGTAACCCAGACGTGGTAGTAACAGGAGCTGATAAATTCCCTTTTAGTTTTAGTTTATGCCAGTCTGAGTTATGTCTCTATGTCTCTCTCACTCACAGCTGCAAGAATCCTGAGTAGTTCACACACATGCGTAAACAATAACTTGCACAAGTGATTTAGTGGGTTCTGTTAGAAATCAACCTGGAAGGCTGATGATAACCAGTGTGCCCAGAAAAAGACAGACTCTATTCTAGTCCTGTTTGTACCTTCTTCTGTGTGCCTAAGACCACACGGGTTTGCAGGACCACTTTCTCCTTAATGTTTGTGCAGAAAATGGCTCTCCCATTGGGCTATTTTGTGTCATATTCTAGGTAACACTTCTAAGCATCCTCTCAACAGCAGGGGCAAAGAAGTCAACTTTCATTGCTATATACCCAGTGTTCTGTGGGCTATAATATTATATAAAATTACAAATGCATTTTCCCATCACATACAAATTGTTAAGCTATGAATGAGCATCCCTAAAGATGCTAGGGACGCTCATTCATAGCTAGAAATTTTATTATTTTCCCCCTTTTACAGATATTTTATAGCATAATAAAATGCTATCTATAATAGCACAATAAATTGCTATCCATAGCAATGGCCGTCTAGATAAGTTAGGTAGGGACACTTGGAAAGGTACGAACAGCACCATGAGCTTCTCCTTGTACTGCTACTGCCTATCAATGGCAGCAGCCCCTCAAAGAGGACATTCAACAAAGATAACATTACATAATACTTTTCAATTTTCTTTTGGTGGGACACTTGCCAGGAGGCTGAAGGTGGAGAATACCCTAGAAAATCTGGAGAGAGATCTTGCTTTGGCCACAGGAATAAACCAGAGACATCTAATTAGAAGAAGAGTTCAGAGCAGGTTGAGGTCAGAGCAATGATGCTTTACTATTTACAGTTGTTGAAGCTTCACACAAAACTTACTTCTGATCATTAGCTGAGAAAGAAAGATCTGGATTCAGTGACTTCCCTTCTCATTTAAACACACATGGTTCATGGTGGAATTCCATGCCTTATTCTGGGTCTCGGGTGACTGAGGGCCATAGCTGGTCAGTGGCTGATGCTTCCAGGTGTTGGAAGTGGGACATTCATAATTTCCCTAATACTGGGGTGGTCAGAATGGCTGATGGTGCCTGATCTCCCTGCTTGAGCTGCCCGTGAAACCTTCCTGGGTCCACAAGAGAAAGATACAGAAGTAGCTCAGGGCTCTTGCACTTCTTCCTTACCAACTTCTCTCTCCCAATTAGGAAAGTTTCCATCATTGTGATGAAACAAGGAAGCAATTTTTGAAATGCCTACTGAAGAATTTTCCTCTTGGTGTTCCTCCCCCTCTGCCCCTCCCTCCTTCCCCTTCTTGCGCTTCCTCTTTTCCTTCTCCTTCTTCCACTCCTCTTTCTCCTCCTCCTGTTTCTCTTAATCCACATCCTCCTCCCCTTCCTCCTCCTCCTCCTTCTCTTCTGGTAGCCTCTCCTCTACCGAGAGCATGCTGTGAGGCTGAAGCAGGGAACAAGGAGGATCTGGTGTGAGGGAAGTCCCAACAGATAGAAGGGGAAGGAGAGAGACTTCATTGCTTGTTAAGGTCAAATTCCCAGGGGCATCAGGATGAACAGAAACTCCGAAGTATGCCAGAAAGGTGGGGAAGGCAATCCCTGAGCAGAAAGCTTGTTTCTGGCTTTCCAGGTTCAGCCTAGGGAGAGCAGAAGGAAGCATTCAGACAGAAAGTTCTTGGGGAGTGCACCAACCCTGAGGGACACATACATCAGCCCAGGCTCTTTTGCATGCCACCACAGGAGGACACTGAGGGCTGACAGAGTAGTGGGCCACCAGATGAGTAGGGCAGGAGGCTGCAGAATGCAGAAATGTCCAACCCAAAGCAAGAGGCAGGGACCAGAGCCATCAGCAACACATGCCAGCACCACTCCACACACATCAGGCAGATCTGGACATGAGTGGGGAAGTTCCAGTATTAAGCTAGATTAACCATTTGTAGTCAAATGAGAAGAACCTGGATCCCTTTAATTCACTGTTTAGTCCTTCAACAAATATGCATTGAGTGCCTAGTGTGTGCGTGTGTGTGTGTGTGTGTGTGTGTGTGGTGGGGGGTGGGTGTTGGACCCTATTCTAGGCACTGGAGATTCAGCAATGAGAGAGACCAAATCCCTGTCCCTGTGTGGCCCATATCCCTGCAGGGGAGATGATAATATATTTGGAAAGATGAAAGAAGAGTGTTCTGGGCTGAATTGTGTCCCCCCAAATTTATATGTTGAAGCCTTAATTCCCAGTACCTCCAATGGGACTATGTGGAGATGGGCCCTTTAAAGTGGTGATTGTGTGAAAATGAGGCTATTAAGTTGGGCCCTAATCCAATATGACTGGTGTCCTTACAAGAAGAGAAGATAAGGACATGGAGAGACACCAGGGGTATGCTCACACAGAGGAAAGGCCAGGTGAAGACACAGCCAGAAGGCTGCCACCTGCAAGCCCAGGAGAGAGGCCCCAGGAGAAACCAGCCCTGCAGATGCCTTGATCTTGGACTTCCAGCCTCCAGAACTGGAGAAAATAAGTTTACATTGTTTATGCACCCACACTGTGGTATTTTGTTATGGAAGCCCTAGCAAATGGATACAAAGAATCATTGTATTATGAGACTATGGGCAAATGAATAAGAAAATATGGTTCAGGTGATTGTAAGTAGGGTAAGGGGGTAAGAAATGGCAGTGGGGTGGGGTTATTTTAGATAGGATGATGGGGCAAGATTTCTCTGAGCGGGTGATGTCTCAGCAGATGTCTAAATATTACAACTCAGCAAGCCACAGGAGCTTTTGGAGGAGAGATCCCAGTAAACAAAGGCTTGAGGTGTTCAGGTGACAGCATTAGACTGGGGGTAATACTTCTCCCTTCTTCCTGGAGGAATGCCTATAACCCTCACCTCACCTGTGCAAACAACTGAATTCTAACTCTTTCTTCAAGGCATATCTCAAATGCTACTTACTTTATTCTAGACTGACCACTGCAGCCAAGATTAAACTCTCCAGCTTTGGAATTTCAATGACTTTTTAAAAATACAGATATATCTTGTAGATATTGCAGGTCTGGTTCCAGAACACCACAGTAAGGTGAATATCACAATACAGTGAGTCACAATTTTTTAAAATTTCCCAGTGCATATAAAAGTTATGTTTATATTATACTGCAGTCTGTTAAATGTGCAATATCATTATGTCTAAAAAGATATACATACCGGCCAGGCATGGTGGCTCACGCCTGTAATCCCAGCACTTTGGGAGGCCAAGGCAGACAGATCACGAGGTCAAGAGATCAAGACAAGCCTGGCCAACGTGGTGAAACTCCATCTCTACTAAAAATACAAAAATTAGCTGGACCTGGTGGTATGTGCCTGCAGTCCCAGCTATCTGGGAGGCTGATACAGGAGAATTGCTTAAACCCAGGAGTTGGACGTTGCAGTGAGCCGAGATCGCACCACTGTACTACAGCCTGGCGACAGAGAGACTCCATCTCAAAAAAAAAAAAAAAAAAAAGATGTACATACCTTGATTAAAAATCCTTTATTGCTAAAAAATGCTAACAATTATCTGAGCCTTCAGTGGGTCATGATCTTTTTGCTGGTGAAGGGTCTTGCCTTGATGCCAATAGCTGCTGACTCATCAGGGTGGTGGTTGCTAAAGGCTGGGGTGACTGTGGCAATTTCTTAAAATAAGACAACAGTGAAGTTTGTCACATCAATGGACTCTTCCTTTTAGGGAAGATTTCTTTGTAGTATGCAGTGCTACTAGTTTTACCCACAGTAGAACTTCTTTCAAAACTGGAGTCAATCCTCTCAAACCCTGCTGCTGCTGCTTTATCAACTAAGTCTATGTAATAATCTAACTCATTTATTGTCATTTCAATAATGTTCACAGAATCTTCATAGGGAGTAGATTCCATCTCAAAAAAGTCACTTTCTGGCCGGGCACGGTGGCTCACGCCTGTAATCTCAGCACTTTGGGAGGCCGAGGTGGGCGGATCACAAGGTCAGGAGTTCGAGACAAGCCTGGCCAATATGGTGAAACCCCGTCTCTACTAAAAATACAAAAATTAGCCAGGCGTGGTAGTGAACGCCTGTAGTCCCAGCTACTTGGGAGGCTGAGGCAGGAGAATTGACTGAACCCAGGCGGCGGATGTTGCAGTGAGCCAAGATCAGGCCACTGCACTCTAGCCTGGGAGACTGAGCGAGACTCTGTCTCAAAAAAAAAAAAAAAAAGAAAAAGAAAAAGAAAAAGAAAAAAAAGTCACTTTCTTTGTTAGTCCATAACCCTCATCCTTCAAATTTTATGAGATTGCAGCAGTTTTGCCCCATCTTCAAGCTCTGTTTCTAATTCTAGTGCTCTTGCTGTTCCCACCATATCTGCAGTTCTTTCCTTCAGTGGAGTCTTGAAACCCTCAAAATCATCCCTGAGGGTTGAAATCAATTTCCTCCAAACTCTTGTTAATATTTATATTTTGACTTCTTCCCATGAATCAGGGATGTTCTTAATGACATCTAAAGTAATGAATGCTTTCAGAGATTTTCAATTTACTTTGCTGAAAACCATTAGAGGAATCACTATCTGTGGCAGCTATAGTGTTACAAAATGTATTTCTTATATAATAAGACTTCAAAGTTGAAATTACTCCTCGATCTATGGTCTGCAGAATGGATGCAACCCTCACCTCCCTGTGCATCTCCATCAGAATTCTTGGGTGACCAGGTGCCTTGTCAATGAGCAGTAATATTTTGAAAGAGAATTTTTTTTTCTGAGCAGGTCTAAACAGTTGGCTTAAAATATTCATGCTGTAAGCCGATATGCTGTCAGCTAGGCTTTGTTGTTCCATTTCTAGAGCATAGCAGAGTTAATTTAGTATAATTCTTAAGGACTCCAGGATTTTCAGAATGGTAAATGAGCATTGATTTTAACTTCAAGTCACCAGCTGCATTAGTCCCTAAGAAAAAATCAGCCTGCCCTTTGAAGCTTTGAAGCCAGGCACTGACTTCTGTCTAGCTATGAAAGTCCTAGATGGCATCTTCTTCCAATAGAAGGCTGTTTCATCTGTATTGAAAATCTGCTGCTTAGTGTAGCCACATCCACCAGTGATCTTAGCTTGGTCTTCTGAATAACTTGCTGCAGCTTCGACATCAGCACTTGCTGTGTCTCCTTGCACTTTTATGTTATGGAGACAGATTGTTTTCCTTAAACCTCATGAATCAACCTCTGCTAGCTTCCAACTTTCCTTCTGCTGCTTCCTTGCCTCTCTCAGCCTTCATAGAAGGCTTTGCTCTTCATTTAGGGCTTTGCTCTGGACTAGGCTTTGTCTCAAGGGAATGTTGTGGCTAGTTTGATCTTCTATCCAGACCACTCAAACTTCCTCCACATCAGCAATAAGGCTCTTTCACTTTCTCATCATTTGTGTGTTCACTGCAGTCGCACTTTTAATTTCCTTCAAGAATTTTTCCTTTGCATTCACAACTTGGCTATTTGGCGCAAGAGATCTAGCTTTTGGTTTAACTCAGCTTTTGACTGACCTTGGCTCTCGCCATGCCTTTTTCACTAAGCTCAATCATCTCTAGCTTTTGATTTAAAGTGAGAGACGTGTGACTCTTCCTTTTTCTTGAACAGTTAGAGGCCATTGCGGGGTTACTAATTGGTCTAATTTCAACATTGTCATGTCTTAGGGAATAAGGAGGCCCAAGGAGAGGGAGGGAGACAGGGAAATGGCTGGTCAGTGGAGCAGTTAAACACATACAACATTTATTAGGTTTGCCATCCTATATAAGTATGGTTCATGGTGTCCCCAAAATAATCACAATAGTAAGTAATATCAAAGATCACTGATCACAGATGACCATAACATGACCATAAAATAAGAACATGGCAGTCTTATTTTAACATATAAAGTAAGAATGGGATAATTAAAAATACTGCAAGTATTACTAAAATGTGACACAGAGAAGACATGAAGAGAGCAAACGCTATTGGAAAAATGTGTGCCAAGAGACTTGATGCAGGGTTTCCACAAACCTTCAATTTGTTAAAAAAAAAAAAAAAAAGAACTAGCTGAGAAGTGTAACAAAGCAAAGCATAATAAAATAAGGTATCCTTGTATCTCTTCTTATGCTCTTTTTGTTTGCAAGTAAATGCAGTATAGTAATTGTATTGTTGGCCACCTATAGTACCAGGTATTTTGCTAAATATTTCTGGGTTCAAAGAAAATTAAAATGGTTCTGTGGTAAATAGTTTCTAAAAATCTTCAACAGCAGGTGAGAGAGGACACTGGAGGCAAACTCACTGTTTTGAGTTTTGGGGAGAGAGTCTCTATCATAAGGAAATATTATGAGCAGAACAATTTTTAACTCTACATAATCTTTCTTGCCTGAGGTCTCTTAGGGGAGGACTTGATACCTAATGCTCTGTAAGCCATTGTGCAGCTAAGGAGGAGAACCCAAAAGAATGACAGATGCCATCACAAAACCTTGGTATTACAGACCCCCTGAACAAAACTTGGACCCCAAGCATCTACATGTTGCTATCCTTAAAGGAATGTATAAACTCTTGAAGAAAGGGCATAAGGTACAGATAATCAACCACAATGAATGCAAAGTAAGGGTCTTAAGAGAGATACAAAGTGATTTGGAGGTGCAGTGATGGAAAAGAATATCTGGTTGCAGTGGGGCTATCAGAGAGGTCTTCATGAAGGAGGTAGCATATAAGTGAGTTTGAAGGGCTGCATAAGGTTTCATCAAGCTGAAATGGGGTGTGGACATAAAAGAATTGGAAACACTGAGAATGCATTTCAGGTGGGTAGGGCTGGAGAGACAGGTGAAAGGCATGTTGTGGAAAGCATTGCATGTGTGATAAGGAGATCACATTCCAGTTATTTGCCTACATACTTCACTACACAACATGCCACAGTTACCACAAGGCTTAGGACAATGTCTTTGAGACCAAGATGACAAACACAGCCTGTACATTGTTGGGTGGCTGCATCCTATGGTGTTTCTACATGTTTCATGATAGCTTTTATCTTGAATAATCTTTTCCGGCATGTTGGTATAGTGAACAGCCTTGGAAAATAAAGATAGTGTTTCCTATTGTGTCAGAAGGCAAATTTTTTCCTGACCAGGCTTATAAAGATAACATCTTCCGCTGGAGCAAAGGTTGGGCAGATTTGTTAGCAGTCCCCTCATAAAAATCAAGGTTTTTCAAGCTCAAAGTCCTTCAGCTATGACATAGATCTACTGTGTATATGACATCCACCTGGCCCTGCCATCATCATCCCCATGAGACTAGGAGGGACAAGAACCAGCGTGAACATAAAGCTCATAGTTCCTGCAGTGCTGTGAATAATAAAGTCCTTTGTCTCTGACCCAGGAGCATTGTGTCTTCTGCCAGCATCTATGAAACTATGGCAGACTAATTTGTTAGCTTGCAAGTAGCATAAAATCTCAGACCCTTCTTAGTTCCTGACATGCACATTTGGTTATATGTATAATAATATTAATAAACAATAATCAATAATTATTGGGATTATTGATAATAATACTTTATAATAGGTCATTGGATTATTAATAATTAAAGATCTTTTTTTTTGAGATGGAGTCTCACTCTATTGCCAGGCTGGAGTGCAGTGGCGCGATCTCGGCTCACTGCAACCTCCGCCTCCCAGGTTCAAGCAATTCTCCTGCCTCAGCCTCCCAAGTAGCTGGGACTACAGGTGTGCACCACCATGCCCAGCTAATTTTTGTATTTTTAGTAGATACAGGGTTTCACCATATTGACTAGTATGGTCTCAATCTCTTGACCTCATGAAGATAATATTTTTAATATGAATTAGTAGTTCATTATTTTTATAACTGACATATATTAGGCACTTACAGGGTGCTGGGCACTTCTGAACACTACCCACACCATTTCATTTAGTTTTCACAAGAATACAATGAAGTAGGAACCGTTATTACTCTCACTGTCCTGATGAAGAAGTTGAGATTTAGAGAAGTGAGTAAATGGCCCACAGCCATGCAACTGGGAATGATGAAACCTGGATAGAAGCCATGTCTGTCTGATTGTAAAAGGGCAACTATTAATACTATCTGCCTCCCATTCAAACCCATAGTGAGTTAGCTTTGAGGTGGTCTTAGTGGTGTTGGAAATACCAAACAGGAGATCAGGTGAGAACAGAGCTAGAGAAGAGTCTTGGAACCTGCTCTTCAATGAATGTTTGGGTCCCCAAAAAATCTGTATGTTGAAACCCAATTCCCATTTGATGCTATTAGGAGATTGGGATTTGGGGAGGTAATTAGGTCATGAGGATGGAGCCCTTGTGAATGGGATTAGTGCCTTTATAAAAGAAGCCCCAGAGAGCTCCCTCACCCCTTCTGCCACGTGAGGACACAGGGAAGATGGCTGTCTATGAACCATGAAGTGGGCCCTCAACAGGCACCAAACGTGCTGATGCTTTGATCTTGGACTTTCAAGCTTCCAGAACTTGGCAAATAAATGTTTGTTCATGAGCCACCCAGTCTGGGTATTCTATTATAGGGGCCTAAATGGACTAAGACAGAATTACAAGAGTAGCCATTTCCTATTGTAAAAGCTAGTTAAAGCACGGAATTGAAACAAAGAAAGATGTATCCGTGGCTTATACATTTTACATTAACTAATGTAAATATCTATTTATTCTCCCATTTTGTGACGTGAGACCAAAGGCCTTTCTTTGCACCTGGGTCTGCTAATTGGACTTCTAAATCACTGTTCCCAAATAGCCACACCTGAAATGCACTGTCTTCCATTTTCAGACTTTCAGCAGAATCTGAATTTATCAAGCAGTCTAAGTATAGCATCATTATAGATTTGTTGGACTCTCCCCTCCAACCCTTCATCCCATTGCCTTTACCATCCCAAATTAATAGCCCTGTTAATTGACTCATTCATTTGTAGCAACAGCATCCAACTTAATTGCCATAGAAGCAACTCTTTTTTTGTAATCACCTTTCAGTGGCTCTGTAATATTGAATTATAGGCTGGGCACAGTAGTTCATGCCTGTAATCTCAACACTTTGGGAGGCTGAGGTGGGCGGATCACTTGAGATCAGGAGTTCGAGACGAGCATGGTGAAACTCCATCTCTACCAAAAATACAAAAATTAGCCAGGCATGGTGGCGGGTGCCTGTAGTCCCAGCTACTCATGAGGCTGAGACAGGAGAATTGCTTGAACCCAGGAGGTGGAGGCTGCAGTGAGCCAAGATGGCGCCACTGCACCGCAGCCTGGGCAACAGTTCAAGAAGACTCCATCAAAAAAAATTAATTATAAAATTACGATAATCAGAACTGATGCTGACCGTTGGGAAGTGTGTGACTCAACTCCTTTGGTAGGGACAGAAGTGCCTGGTGTTCTGGAGGGTGGCAAGCCAGTGCGAGTGTGTGGCACACTGTGAGCAGCATCTGTGTGTCTTAAAAGGAATGAGAGTACTGGCTATTCCAGTAAGTCACTCACGAGAGGGCTTGTACTGTACTGGGCTGGAGATGGTGACCAAGTTCACAAAGAAACTGGAAAGAAGAGGTGAATTACCCAAACTTGGTCTTAAAATTCTGCCCTCACATGATGCTGCTCCTGCAGCGTAGCCAATACAAAGTCTAAAAGATGCATTCTGTTAGAAGCGGGTTCAAGATGGGCAGTGCCTGCCTGCTTTTTTTTTTCCGATATATTTGCCTAGAATATTTACACTCACATATCTGTATTTGAAAATTCATTTAGCCAATGTGAAAATTAAGGAGGATATTACTGAAAAAAACCAAGAACAAACAGCAAGTTCAGTTAAAAAAATTCCTTTGTCCTAATTCAGTGTGATCTTAAATTTGGGCAGTGCAGCTATCCATACTCTCTTGTCTGTTAAGGGGGAAGGGAACGGGGTCTCTTTAGCCCCCATAATCAAAATTAATCAAAATTAAATTGATTTTTATGAACTCTCACTTTTTGAAAAGTAACATCCAGCACAATGTTGGATACATGATTTTGTTCTTTATTGTGAGGATTTTGCTTTTCAAAAACAGTTGTGTTCTCATCATCTTGACTGGTGATATGGTTTGGCTGTGTTCCACCCAAATCTCATCTTGAATTGTAGCTGTCATAATTCCCACATGTTTCGGGAGGGACCCTGTGGGAGATAATTGAATCATGGGGACGGTTTCCCCCATACTATTCTTGTGGTGGAGAATAAGTCTCATGAGATCTGATGGTTTTATAAGGGGAAACCCCTTTCACCTGGTTCTCATTCTCTCTTTGACAGCTGCCATATAAAATGTGCCTTTCGCCTTCTGCCATGATTGTGAGGCATCCCCAGCCACATGGAACTGTGAGTCCATCAAATCTCTTTTCCTTTATAAATTACCTAGTCTTGGGTACATCTTTATCAGCAGTGTGAAAACAGACTAATACAGCTGGTATGACAAACTCCACAAGCATCTGTGTAAACAATCTTACCTTTTTAAGAGGAATATCAGCCCCTAAAAAATTGATTTTAAATCTCCTGAACATAAATACTCTTATTTATGAGAATGAAATTATACCCAAATGCCATATCCCAACTTAATAAAATCTCCTTTTTGAGGATACTGTACTGTCTTATTTGTTGCATGTTATGTCTGTAACTTCTGGTCAATGAAAAAGAATGTACATTTATGAAGGTTTTTCATTGAATTTCATTGTTGTGTTGATGAGTAAATTATAATCCTCAGGGGGATGGCAGATCTATAGTAGTTGTGAGGGAAATAGCCTGTGTGATGTGGTAAATTTGAGTTTTCTGGTTTGTTCATCCTCCTTACACAGGCCAGCTTGTGTGTACATCTTTATTAATATTGATATGATCCTCTCAGAAGTGTTGGCCGTCTCAAAAGGATTAGTCACCTGATTGACATTTACCCCACCCCACCCTAGCCATTAATCTGAAGCTGCCTGAAAAATAAGCCTAAAGAATATGAATTACAACTAACCTTTGGTTCACACTTTCTTTCTTTTTTTTTTTTTTTTTGAGACGGAGTCTCGCTCTGTTGCCCAGGCTGGAGGGCAGTGGCGCGATCTCGGCTCACTGCAAGCTCCGGCTCCCGGGTTCATGTCATTCTCCTGCCTCAGCCTCCTGAGCAGCTGGGACTATAGGTGCCCGCCACCACGCCTGGCTAATTTTTTGTATTTTTAGTAGAGATGGGGTTTCACTGTGTTAGCCAGGGTGATCTCGATCTCCTGACCACGTGATCCACCCACCTTGGCCTCCCAAAGTGTTGGGATTACAGGTGTGAGCCACCGTGCCCGGTCTGGTTCACACTTTCTAAACAGAGAATCTGCCTATCACAATAACCTAGAAACTTAAAACCACAGAAACCCTGGTACCACTCCAATCTCTACCTTAGAATCTCTGGGGCTGGAATCTGGTTTTGGTTTTCCAAAGCTTGCCCAACCTCCAAATGATTCCAGTTTGGGAAGCACTTAGACTGGAAGACTTTGTAAAACAGAGGCCAGTCCTTGTGGGGTGCCTTCAAAGTCTGCAGCATTAAAGCTGCTTTAAGGCTATCCAGCTGGGGTTTCCTTGACACTGAAAGGCGGTGCTGAGGATGTACCCAGACACCCGAAGGGCACAGGAACGGATCCATCATGGGTGTCGTAAACCAAGAAGTATCCCAGACAGGTCTCAATCAATGTGGAAGTTTATTTTGCCAAGGTTAAGGACATGTCAATGACACAGTCTCAGGAGGTCCTGAGAAAGTGTGCCCAAGGTAGTTGGGCTACAACTTGGTTTATACATTTTAGGGAGACATAAGACATCAATCAATACACATAAGATGAAGACTGGCTCGGTCCAGGAAGGTGGGATAACTCAAAGTGGGGGAAGCGGGGGGGTGGGGAGAGGGTGGGGGAGGAGCTTCCATGTCATAGGTGGATTATAAGATTTCCTGACTGGCAATTGGTTCAAAGATTTTATCTAAAGACCTGGAGTCAATAAAAGGGAGTGTCTGGGTTAAGATAAAAAGATGTAGACACCAAGGTTTTATTATGCACATGAAGGTAGCAGGCTTCCAAGAGAATAGATTGTAAAATGTTTCTTATCAGACTTAAAAAGGTGCCACACTCTTAGTTAATTCTCTCCTGGATCAGAAAAAGGACCTGGAAAGGGAAGGGGATCCTCTACAGAATGTAGATTTTTCCCCACAAGAGAAAGCTTTGCAGAGCCATTTCAAAGTATGTCAAAGAAATATATTTTGGGGGCTGGGTGTGGTGGCTTACACCTGTAATCCCAGCACTTTGGCAGGCCGAGGCAGGTGGATCACTTAAGGTCAAGAGTTCAAGACCAGCCTGGCCAACATGGTGAAACCCCATCTCTACTAAAAATACAAAAATTAGCTGGGTGTGGTGGCGGGCACTTGTAATCCCAGCTACTTGGGAGGCTGAGGCAGGAGAATCACTTGACCCTGGGAGGCGGAGGCTGCAGTGAGCCAAGATTGCACCATTGCACTCCAGCCTGGGCGATGGAGTGAGACTCTGTCTCAAGAATAAATAAATAAATAATCATAATGTTACAGTAGGTAGTCAGTCAGACATAAGCAAGGCAGAAGGGGCCCCTGCTCCCACCAGGAATGTCAGGCAACCATCAGGTGATGGTAAGGTAGTTGTTAAACTATCTCTCTAAAATAATATTTGGTCACAGCCAGTGCCAGAGAAAGGCAGTATCCCAATAAATGGAAAACATCTGAAGCTGGTAATCAGCAGCTTTCAGATAAGATCGCAGGAGTTGGGCAAGTGGGCTCAAGTATATGCAGTAAAGGCACAATGGCGGAGTTTAACTGGTATACGACTTTCTTTTTTTTTTCTTTTTTTTTTTTTTTGAGACGGAGTCTCCCTCTGTCGCCGGGCTGGGGTGCAGTGGCGTGATCTCGGCTCACTGGAACCTCCGCCTCCCTGGTTCAAGTGTTTCTGCTGCCTCAGCCTCCTGAGTAGCTGGGACAACAGGCACACACGATGCATGTCCAGCTAATTTTTGTATTTTTTAGTGGAGAAGGGGTTTCACCATGTTGGCCAGGCTGGTGTCGATCTCTTGACCTGGTGATCTGCCCACCTTGGCCTCCCAAAATGCCCGGCTGGTATATGATTTTCTAGGGACATTTGGCTGGTAAGGGAAGAACGCCTCAAGGGAGCCTGTGTACTACACACAGCACATGCGGCCCCTCCCAAGTGCTAGCAGGTCACTGTGCATGCAGACAGCCCACCCCAAGGGAAGAATCAGAGGAGAAGGGACTCAAGACCCTGGAAGCATGCCAACATAAAAAACCCCAAGTCAAAGTCGCATTTGAATCTCTCAAGTTGCCTGCTTGGCCCTCCTCCAAGTGTACTTTACTTCCTTTTGTTACTGTTCTAAAACATTTTAATAAACATTCACTCCTGCTCTAAAACTTGCCTCTGTCTCTCACTCTGCCTTATGCTCCTCGGTGGAATTCCTTCTTCTGAGGAAGCAAGAATTAAGGTGGCCATATGGATTTGCCACTGCTAACAATAAGGACGACTGAACAGACTCTTTGTAAGAATAAGATTCCAAATTATAAACAGGACCTAAGGCCATGCCAGGCAAGGGTTAAGTCACGCACCCCTACACTTAAACAGTCAACTATGTTCTAACTGCTCCAAGGTTTTTCTTTTTTTCTAGCAGCTAAACAAGCACCAGCCTCGAGATAAGCAACATTAGAATAATCACAGCTCCTCAGTTCAGAGACGCTGACTGACCGACTCCTGTTCCACCAGCCAGAACTCCAGTTTTGATTGAGCAAGAGACTGATTTCAGAAACTTTCATCTGATAAGAGACCACCGACATGACTGGTCCTAGCTGGGTTACAGATATGGTGTTCTTGCACATCTTCATGTCCTGAAAAGACCTTTTGACGTACACAGCCTAATTGTAATACATTTAAATGTTAAGTCTCCACCACCAAGTGAACATGGGCCATCTGTTACATGCATGTTTGTTCAATACACATATGCCAGGACCACCGTCATGAATATTCATAGCTCCCATTGAATATGTATGGTTAGCCAACTTGTTCAGCATAAAGCTCCTACCCCAACCCCTCCTCCTTGAAAGTACCTGTCTCTGGTCTTGGCCCAACGCTGTGCTTCCTAGCCTGTGGGATGGCCACCTTGCAGGCTGTAACCCCTTATAAGAAATACAGAAACACAGTCTCTGGCCAGGCGTGGTGGCTCATGTCTGTAATCCCAGCACTTTGGGAGGCCAACGCAGGTGAATCACTTGAGGTCAGGAGTTCGAGACCAGCTTGGCCAACATGGTGAAACCCTGTCTGTACCAAAAAAACCCCACAAAAATTAGCCAGGTGTGGTGGTGCACACCTGTAGTCCCAGCTTCTTGGGAGGTGAAGGCATGAGAATTGCTTGAACCAAGGAGGTGGAGGTTGCAGTGAGCCGAGATTGCACCACTGCCAGACTCCAGCCTGGGCAACAGAATGAGATTCTGTCTCAAGATAAAAAAAAAAAAAGAGAGAGAGAGAGAGAGAGAGAAAGATAAATATAGTCTCCTCTTCTTTCTAAATTTATAGATGTCGTTTTTTAAGTTAACATGGCAGACTCCTTTTAGGACCCTCCTTCCCTCACATCTGTTCCTTTCCACCTTGGATATTTAAGGGAGCAGCTGGAGCAGCAGAAGGCCAGGCAGCTATCACAAATGCCATCACTGGTTATGGACACAGTGGGCTCACAAAACCCTCATCGTTTCCAAGATGGGGCTGGTCTCCTCACTCCTTTTCCCGTATACCAGCCTCAGTTTACACTTAAAGATCCCCTTTCCCCTTCAACTGCTGAATATATTCTGACCAACTGCAGTTGTGTAACACTGGCTTGGGGGAAGGAGAGGGGGCACTCACGTGTCGGGACCCCGCCCCTCTCCTTGCCTGGGATTGAAGACCTGGAGCCTCTCCTCTTTCTTTCTCTTCCCCAGCAGAGATCAAAGATGGCAGCCCTAGATGCTGGGCACAGTGGCTTATGTCTGTAATCTCAGCACTTTGGGAGGCCGAGGTGGGCGAATCACTTGAGGTCAGGAGTTCGAGACCAGCCTAGCCAACATGGCGGAAACCCCATCTCTACTAAAAATACAAAAAATTAGCCAGTTGTGGTGGCATGTGCCTGTAATCCCAGCTACTCAGGAGGCTGAGGCAGGAGAATTGCTTGAGTCTGGGAGATGGAGGTTGCAGTGAGCCGAGATCACGTCACTGCGCTCCAGCCTGGGTGACAGAGCGAGACTCCGTCTCAAAAAAAAAAAAAAAAAAAGATGGCAGCCCTAGCTGAAGTGGAAGGTCTGTGCATTTCTCTGAGGAAATTCTAACCACATGAGGCATTACGTGGTACCCGGACTCTCCCTGTTACATTGAAAGTCTGTAAGTTACAGAAGTTGCCCATTTACCTCTGACCTTTCAAGTTGCATGAGTGGATTTCCACCAAAAAAAAAAAAAATCCTCAGATTGTAGTTTTCAAACTTAGTACAATCACGGTGGTTCTCATTCTTTTCACCTGTTGAGGTTTGGAGGAAGATCTTCAAAAAGAAAAGAGGCCTTTAGAATACATTTCCTCCTGTGCAAGTGGATGCTGTGAGTTTTGTCTTTGTACATAGAGGGCTCCAACTGACTGGAGGAGGCAGCCATAGGAGGGACTTCTGGGATTGTGCCCAGTTTGCCAAAACAAGCCCGAAATCCACCCCCAAAACAAAGTTGAATTTCTATGGTCACTGACAGTTAGTTGTCTTTTTTTGTTTTTTTTGGAAGCAAAGAAAGAAAAAAAAAAAAAAACCTTTGTGCATAACTAGGATATTCGGCAACAGGACATAGTAATACTCCAAAACTTACACTGTTTTTCTTCTCTTTTTGTCATTGCTGCAATGTTTTATAAGACTTTGCTTCAGAGCAAACCAGTTAGAGCCAACCGTGCCCAGTGTGGTAAATTCAGTTCCTCTCTGGTTTCCTGTCGGCCCTACAGGGAGAGACCCCTGTCGCCCCTGCTCCCTCCCATCAGCAACGCTCTTATCCTATTATAAACCCAGCCTGAAGTCCTTCATCTTTGCCCTGTGTTTTCTATTAGGGGGGTAATTAGGTCTCTTTTCCTGCCCCACCTGCTATCTCTTTTGTTTGCCCAAGCTGTTCCCTTGGAAAACAGCAGATGGTCGGGGCCAGAACAATAGCTTCGTGCTGCAAAGGTGGCAATGAGGAGAGGAACGAACTGTAAAGTATAATCCGGAATGGGCGTGGACAGACTTACTTACCAGAAGATAGAAGTTCACGCTGCCACCTTAGAGTAGAAACCACATGAAGCCTAGATTCTACACCCTCCTCATTCACAATCTGCTCAGGAGTGCCCGTGTCGGGGGTGAGGTTGCTGTCACCCACTCTCAGTCTCCCCAGTAGCTGAGACTGATGTCTCTTGCATCCTAAAACTTCTGTGAAATGTGAGCTGGTGAGAAACACATGGGATAAGGAAGCAATGATCTAATTTAAACGTAGGAAGGTTGAAAAGAAGCAGGGCAGCCCGGCTTGGTGGTTCACACCTGTCATCCCGGCACTTTGGGAGGCCAAGGTGGGCGGCTCACCTGAGGTCGGGAGTTCGAGACCAGCCTGACCAACATGGAGAAACCCCATCTCTACTAAAAATACAAAATTAGCTGGGCATGGTGGCGCATGCCTATAATCCCAGCTACTCAGGAGCCTGAGGCAGGAGAATTTCTTGAACCCAGGCACTGGAGGTTGCAGTGAGCCGAGAACACGCCATTGCACTCCAGCCTGGGCAACAAGAGCGAAACTCCATCTCAAAAAAGAAAAGAAGCAGGGCCAGGGTATTGATTTTGTGAGCTAAGAGGGGAGATGGGCACAGGAGTGTGGCATGGGGAATGGGAGGATGTCAATTGGGCAACCTCACCTCCCTCAAGGGTCAAGAGTCTGGACTTCTTTGAGCCTTGCTTTATGGTATGTGGCACCAGTTTAAATATTGAGATTGTGTGTAACTGTTTTTTGAGATTATTGAATGGAAACGTGCGTGATTTGAGTCCATTCCAATGCTCTAAAAGGATCCAAGCATTGACACTACAGACTGCAGACTTCAGTGGCAGCATCTGGGAGGGCATAAAGTGTCCCTGAAGCCTCATGACCTCACACCTATAGGATGGAAACCAGGGCCACACCCTCACTACTCTAACATTTAGCCTTAAATTTAAACCAATTCCTTTAGATTTAGCAGCAATATCTGAGTTATCAAGAGCCAGGAAAGGCTTCAACATGTAAAACATAGGACTTGTTTATAGTAAAAACAGCTAACAATTACACAGTTGAATGATGATCATGTGCCAGTCATAAGTTTACGTAAGTTAACTCCCAACTATCCTATAAGTAGGTATTGCTATTATCCCCATTTTGTGGAGTTAGAAACTGAGGCAATAAGAAGGTAGAAGGGGCAAAGAAGCTCCCTCTGGCTTCCTTTATAGGAGCACAGTCCCATTCATGAGGGCTCCCCACTCCATGACCTAGTCACCTCCCAAAGGGCCAGCCCCTTAATACCATCGCTTTGAGGGTTAGGTTTCAACATGGATTGGGGACAGACACAAATATTCAGACTATAGGAAGGTGTCTGGCACATGGCATGGTCGGGGTGGCAGGGGTAGTTTCCAAAGACTAAGGCCTACTAACTGGAGTGCTTACATGAGCCTCTCCAAGTAACCCAGCCTACTCCCAGCATGCTAGCTGCAGGTTGGTCAGACTTCTTACAATATGGCTCAGCAACCCAAGTGCCAGTATTCCAGAAAACAAGGTGAAACCGTATCACCTTTTATGACAGCCTCAGAAGTCACATGGCATCACTTCCTCAATACTGTGTGTATTGTCAACATAGTCACCAGCCCACCCAGATGAAAGAAGTGGGATTAGACTACACTTCTTGCTGGGGGGATGGAGGGGAGATGGCAAGGTGGCATCATAGAATGGCATTGGGATGGGAGATAATGTTGCACCATTGGAAATGTGCCATGGGTCCAAGAAAATAAGTGAGAAATCACAGGATCTACTTGCCTGCTAAGAAAACCAATGGCCTCATTACCAAAAACAAACAAAATCATTCATTAAAATATTTGGGAAAAAGCCAGCTTTCCTATATTCTGATCTCTGTAAGGTTTTTTGTGAAAGCTCATAGAATAGGTAGAACAAGAGTTACAGAAATACAGCAAATGAGGCCCTAAAATATGTACTTCAAGCAATTGCAGACAGAGAAACTGAGAAATCTCAGGCCACAGTATTGGTAGGAGAGAGCTCTGTAGATGGCCTGGAACATGGTTGTGTGAGAATGACTAGGAAATCAGAAAACGCCACCAGGTCAGAATGACAAAAGATGACAATCTGAACAGACCCAGGATAGAGGTGTGTTCCTGGCCATGGATTTCACTGATTGTCTAGTAAGGAGTAATTATTACTTAATACAAGAATAACACTCTATTAAACATGTAATTATGCTGACTTCATAAGTATGCTTAAGTTATATTTTTTAGGACTACATGGATTTCTGTAGTTTCTGCCTGCCTGTGATACCTCCCTCTTTCTTCTGGTAACAAACTGGGCTGTCCACTTGGGAATTGTTGATTGGTGAGTTGTCAAATGCAGGGCCCACCACTCTCCTCCTCTGGGTTCACGATCCAGGCTAGCTTCATACAATGGTATATGCAATGATTAGTTCAGAATTTTGTGTGTGTGTGTGAGTGTGTGTGTGTGTGTGTGTGTGTGTGTGCGTGTGTATGTGATGTTTAATGGGGGACCAGAATCCTTTCTTGGAGATTACCATGGTTGCTTGGAGAGAGAATCTTCTTTTTTTGAGAGTGTGTGTGCTAAGGATCACAGGAACCTGGATGTGTTGAGAGACAGAGACTGCAAGAGTAATGACATGACATTGTCTGAACTTTGGGAAACAATTATGTTTGGAGCCAGAGCTACCCCTTGGACTTTCCAGTTAATCGAATCAATCCATTGTCTTTTTAACCTAGACTAGTTCCAACTGGGATTCTGTCACTAGTATCTGCATGGTCCTAATTTCCACATTACTATATAAGCAACACTCCACAGTGTGGATTCTGTAATTCTCATTCAAATCATTTGCCCTCATTGGATTCTCCTCCTGGTGTAGTGAGACACGGTGCCCTAGACCAGTGAGTTCCCATGTCCTAATGCCCGCATGATTCTGGAGTTCAGCCTCAGTAGAAAGGCAAGTGGCGGTCCTCTCTGAGGGTTCAAGCAACTCGAGAATATGCTCTTGGCCTTCAGGGCTGAGCTGATAGCATTACAAATGTCCCTTGCATTACTAGCAGGACTCTAGAGGGCTGGGATGATAAAGGGTTATGGGAAATGGTGGCAAGGAAAAAAGACTTGAGAATATCAAGTTCCTTCAAAATGGAAACTGTTTTCCCTGGTGTAGATTTATGCACTCACATTCATAGTCATTATTTTAAAGATGTTTAAATTTTTATGTAATGAGGTCTCAGCCCTGGTCTGAACATGATGTATAGGGTATGAGGCTGACACCTGCCTCGGCCACCTCCCAGGCTGCCTCCCCATCAGTTGGAAGTTCCAGGGCCACCCTCGCCATAAAGACCTCTCCTTGCATTTCTATGAAGCTGCAAATAAGTGGCTTTTAATAAAAGCGCTTTATTTCTTGCCTTTTCTTTCCTCCGTATCATTAAGTTTCACTGTATTTGCAGAGCCTGGTGCTCGAGGGAGGCATATTTTGGTTCTTATGCTTATCTGCTGACTTATTTTAATGGAGGAATAAAATAATTGATTTATTCTTAAGGTCATGGAGGCCACTCCTAATTATCTGTTATGTTTTTTCAAAATACATACTTTTTGAAATTTTTATATATGCCATATATTTATATATACATAATTTTATACATGTAAAATAATAGTTCATATGATTTTTAAAACCACAGCATTTTTAAAAAGCTTATAACAAGAAAACCCCTGAGCTTCTTGCTCTAAAATTTCACCTGTTTTACCTAGTTCTTATGGTATTTCTTTTCGTATTTCTACATAATATACCCAATTTCTTATCATTTAAAAATAATTATTTTATTTATTTAATTATTTATTTTGTTTTGAGACGGTGTCTCGGTGTGTCACCCAGGCTGGAGTGCAATGGCGTGATCTAAGTTCACTGCAACCTCTGCCTTCCAGATTCAAGCGATTCTCCTGCTTCAGGCTCCCGAGTAGCTGGGATTACAGGCGTGCACCACCACACCGGCTATTTTTTGTATTTTTAGTAGAGACGGGGTTTCACCATGTCAGTCAGGCTGGTCTTGAATTCCTGACCTCAGTGATCGTCTGTCTTTGCCTCTCAAAGTGCTGGGATTACAGGCATGAGGCACCGCACCCAGCCCTATTCCGTATCATTTTAAACAGTATCTTTTGACTTCCTATTACAATAGATGAAAATTTGTCTCTGTTACTCTTCCCTTCCCACATTTGTCTCCTTTCATCTGACCAACGTAGTATGTCACAAGTTTTTTAACCTTATTATGACTATGTCAATATTGTCCATTGGTGAGCCAAGAAGCATAATGTAATGTTTCCCTTTTTGTACAACGGTTTGTTCTTCCTGGAGTTCATTGTCTCATTTTGTTCCCATGTTGGGTTTTCTATGTACCCATATTTAATTTTTTTCCCAGGTGTGTCATCAGCTCTACCAGATACCCAGGATATTATTTTCCAAATGTTCAAATGTATTAATAAATAATCAACTTTATTTTTCTCCCTGAAGCCCTCCCTTCCAGACTCTTCTGGTTTCCTGTACCAATTGCACCACTGTCATCTGTGGACTCCCTTTGTCCATCCTCTGTGCATTATCAAGGTTCTCTGTCTCTCTCTCTTCATTACCTGGGTCTGCCTGGTGTCACACTAAACACAATAGGATGGCTGTGGCCATTTTGGCCAAACATTCTCCGTAACTAGCAACCCCAGTGAAAAGTGACTTCTCACTTCTTTTTTTTTTTTTTTTAAGACTGAGTCTTGCTCTGTCACCAAGACTAGAGTGCAGTGGCGTGATCTTGGCTCACTGCAACCTCTGCCTCCTGGATTCAACCATGTCCCACTATGTATTACTCTGTTTTCACCCTGTGGACAAAGACATACCTGAGACTGGGAAGAAAAAAAGGTTTAATTGAACTTACAGTTCCACATGGCTGGGGAGGCCTCAGAATCATGGAGGGAGGTGAAAGTCACTTCTTACATGGTGGTGGCATGAGGAAAATGAGGAAGACGCAAAAGCGGAAACCCTGATAAAACCATCAGATATCATGAGACTTATTCATTACCATGAGAACAGTAAGGGGGAAACTGCCCCCATGATTCAATTACCTCCCACTGGGTCCCTCCCACAACACAAAGGAATTATGGGAGTACAATTCAAGATGAGATTTGGGTGGGGACACAGAGCCAAACCATATCATTTCAACCTTGGACCCTTCAAATCTCATGTCCTCACATTTCAAAACTAATCATTCCTTCCCAGCAGTCCCCCAAAGTCTTATTTCAGCATTAACCCAAAAGTCTACAGTCCAAAGTCTTATCTGAGACAAGTCCAGTCCCTTTCATCTATGAGCCTGTAAAATCAAAGACAAGTTAGTTACTTCCTAGATACAATGGGGGGTACAGGTATTGGGTAAATACAGCCATTCCAAATGGGAGAAATTGACCAAAACAAAGGGGTTACAGGGCCTATGAAAGTCCGAAATCCAGCAGGGCTGTCAATTTTAAAGCTCCAATATGATCTCCTTTGACTCCATGTCTCACATCCAGGTCATGCTGATGCAAAAGATTGGTTCCCATAGTCTTGGGCAGCTCTGCTCCTGTGGCTTCACAGGGTATAGCCCCCCTCCTGGCTGCTTTCATGGGCTGGTGTTGAATGTCTGTTGCATTTCCAGGTTCACTGTGCAAGCTGTTGGTGGATCTACCATTCTGGAGTCTGGAGGATGGTGGCCCTCTTCTCACATCTCCATTAGGTGGTGCCCCAGTAGGGACTCTGTGTGGGGGCTCTGACCCCACATTTCCCTTCTGCACTGCCCTAGCTGAGGTTCTCCATGAAGGCCCTGCCCCTGCAGCAAACTTTTGCCTGGGCATCCAGGCATTTGCATACATCTTCTGAAATCTAGGTGGAGCTTTCCAAACTTCAATGTTTGACTTCTGTGCACCTGCAGGCTCAACACCACATGGAGGCTGTCAAGGTTGGGGGCCTGCACCCTCTGGAATCATGGGCCGAGCTGTACCTTGGCCCCTTTTAACAATGGCTGGAGTGGCTGGGACACAGGGCACCAAGTCTCTAGGCTGCACACAGCATGGGGACCCTGGGCCCAGCCCACAAAACCATTTTTTCCTCCTGGGCTTCTGGGTCTGTGATGGGAGGGGCTGACATGAAGACCTATGAAATGCCCTGGAGACATTTTCCCCAGTGCTTTAGGGATTGACCTTCTGCTCCTTGTTACTTATGAAAATTCTGCAGCCAGCTTGAATTTCTCCTCAAAAAATGAGTTTTTCTTTTCTACTGCATCACCAGGCTGCACATTTTCTGAACTTTTATGGTCTGTTTCCCTTTTAAAATGGAATGCTTTTAACAGCACCCAAGTTGCCTCCTGAATGCTTTTCTGCTTAGAAACTTCTTCTTCCAGATACCCTAAATCATCTCTCTCTAGTTGAAAGTTCCACAGATCTCTAGGGCAGGGGCAAAATGCCGCCCGTCTCTTTGCTAAAACATAAGAAGAGTCACCTTTGCTCCAGTTCCCAACAAGTTCCTCATCTCCATCTGAAATCACCTCAGCCTGGACCTTATTGTTCATATCACTGTCAGCATTTTTGTCAAAGCCATTCAACAAGTCTCTAGGAGGTTCCAAACTTTCGCACCTCTTCCTGTCTTCTTCTGAGGCCTCCAAGCTGTTTCAACTTCTGTCTGTTACCCAGTTCCGAAGTCGATTCCACATTTTCGGATATCTTTTTGGCAATGCCCCACTCTACTGGTACCGATTTACTGTATTAGTCCATTTTCATGCTGCTGATAAAGACTTACCTGAGACTGGGAAGAAAAAGAGGCTTAATTGGACTTACAGTTCCACATGGCTGGGGAGGCCTCAGAATCATGGTGGGAGCTGAAAGGCACTTCTTACATGGTGGTGGCAAGAGAAAAATGAGGAAGATGCAAAAGTGAAAACCCTCAATAAAACCATCAGATCTTGTGAGACTTATTCACTACCACAAGAACAATATGAGGGAAACTGCCCCCATGATTCAAATTATATCCCACTGGTCCCTCCCACAATATGTGGGAATTATGGGAGTACAATTCAAGATGAGATTTGGGTGGGGACACAGAGCCAAACTATATCACGCTAATTTTTGTATTTTTAGAAGAGACGAGGTTTCACCATGTAGGCCAGGCTGGTCTCAAACTCCTGACCCCAAGAGATCCACCCACCTTGGGCTCCCAAAGTGCTGGGATTACAAGCATGAGCCACCATGCCCGGCCATAACTTCTGTCTTCTAACATCCATATTCCAACCCCAGGGAAGGATCCAATTGGCCCTGTGTGGGTCAGTGACCCCTTCTTGACCAGAAGAAATAGGGGTGCTCTGGTGAACCCATGACTGGCATCACCTGTAAGAAGACATGGAACTAGGGAGAGATGGGCATTCCCTGAAAGAAAGAGGCTGAACAGACTCCCCCTGCATGGCCACTTCAGGGCTGGACGAAGAAAAGACAGATAGAGGGCCATTCTCTTGGGAACCAGACAGCCAGTGTTCTACTCTTGGTTGCACCTACTGAGTTGTTGCATGACCTTAGGAAAATTAATTGGCCTCATTGCCTCAGTGTTAATTCCTTTCAAAGGAAGGATCTAGATTCAAGTTTGTAATAGAATTGAAGATTCTCAGGTCCTACACTCTGTCCAATAAGAGACTGTAATATGAGGGCTGCTCTGATTTAGACGTAGGCATAGGTCACAAAAAAATGATGGAAGTTGTTTTGTTGGAAGCTTGTCCAACTCACAGTAGGCATAGGTCACAAAACAATGATGGAAAATAAAAGTGGAACCAGAAAGTAAATGGTCCAATACAATAGTTAATATTGATTAAATTTTTACTGTGGATGGGCCAGGCATTGTTAAAGGCTTCAGTTGAATTAACACATTTTTAATTTTTAAGAACTCATTCTTGTTTTTTTCTTTTCTCCTTTCCTTTCCTTTCCCTTTCTTTCTTTCTTTCTTTTTTTCTTTCTTTTTCTTTCTTTCTTTCCTTTCTTTCTCTTTCTTTCTCTCTGTCTCTCTCTCTCTTTCTCTCTCTCTCTCTTTTTCTTTTTTCTTTTTTTTGACAGAATCTGGCTCTGTTGCCCAGGCTGGAATGCAGTGGTGACATCTTGGCTCACTGCAACCCCCACCTCCCAAGTTCAAGCGATCCTCCAATCTCAGCCTTCCGAGTAGCTGGGACTATAGGCGCATGCCACCATGCCCTGGTAATTTTTGTATTTTTAGTAGAGACAGGGTTTCACCATGTTGGTCAGGCTGGTCTCAAACTCCTAACCTCAGTAATCTGCCTGTCTTGGCCTCCCAAAGTGCTGGAATTACAGGCATGAGCCTCCATGCCTGGCCTCTTTCTTGTTTTCTAATGGGTCCATTTCAAAGCATTCTATTACAACTCTGTACCTTGGTTTCCTCATCTATAAAATGGAGACAATAAACTTATCTATATCTCACAGATTAAATGAGATGATGCATATTAAGCATTGAGAAGTGCCAGGAATATAATAACCATCCAATAAATATTATCATGATTATTATTAGCTATTCTTCTTGTTGGTTTTCTCTATAGTGGCCACTTCAGTGAGGAAGCTTTCTCTCTCTGCTCAGTTACTCTTTCTCTATCTTCTCTCATCCAAAAATGTGTTGCAATTTTTTTTTCCTACTGATGTTTCTTCTTTGACTTTCCATGTCCTTCTTTTTTAATTGCTTTGGTTGTTTGGGGTAGAAAAGGTAATTAATGCACTCTTAATGCACTGTTAAGCATTTTCTACCAGTTTTTAGTATTTGGTAATTAAACATTTTCCTAATCTTGTTTTATTTAACTTATGACATTTCTAAAAGACTCACAGTTCATTGTGTGAGCTTTTTCTTCCTCTTCAGTAATTTTGAATAATCACATATAATCTCCAGCATGGTGTCTGGAACATAGGAAAGGCTAAATGAATATTTGTTCTGCACCTCCCTACCTTTATCTTTATCTTCTTAATACATCTTATGATTTTAGTGCATCTTATGATCATCTTATGATCTTAATACATCTCATGATTTCTGGCTCTAGGTAGCCACTAAATAAGCTTCATTCTGAACTGGGCAACGTGATGGAAGCAGTGCATCTCCTCTTAGCCCCCCAGAAAGGCACTAGGGAACAGGTGGCATTTCACAAGGGTTTAAACTAAGTTTGTCCAACTCATGGCCCATGGGCCACAATGGCTTGGAATGCGGCCTAACACAAATTCATAAACTTTCTTAAACATTATGAGATTTTTTTTTTTTTGCAATTTTGTTTTTAGCTCATGAGCTATCGTTAGTGTTAGTATATTTTATGTGTGGCCCAAGACAATTCTTCTTCTCCCAATGTGGCCCAGGGAAGCCAAAAGTTTGGACACCCCTGGTTTAAGCCATGGGGCAGAGACCACTGGTGGGGCTGTGTGTAAGGGCATTCTGTCATATGGTGCAGCATTAAACCATAGGTGAAAGCAGGAGGGAGCTGAGTGAACCAAAGGACTCTTTGTTAGTGCATTGTCCTAGAAAGGGTAGGTCACATCATGACCTGATAATGTCAACAATGAGTTTCCCAGGGATCTTGTCATTGACTCACTCATTCATTCAATCAGCAAATATTTATTGAGTGACTGCAACGTGCCAGGAGCTGGACAGTCAGCAAGACAGATGAAGTCTGTGCATTCCATGGTATAGGGTAAAAAAGCTTTGCGTGACATGGGGAATTTTATTCAGTATCATATAAATGTTATATCAACCCAACAACTCTTCCTAACTCCCTTCTCTATTGCCAGCTTCCGCCCCCACCTACCACCATGGAGCCTGAAAAAGCTAAATGCTGCTTTTTCATCTTCCCTTGCAGCCCGAATAGTCACATGATACCATTCTGTGTAATGTTACTTAATCAGTTGTCTGCTGAGGGCTTTTGGGAAGGAATTTGCTCTATCTGATGGAAGGATGCATGTAGCCAATGCTGACTCTTCCCCTTCTTCCTTCCCTGGCTTCAACAGCCATCATGTTGGAAGGACCAAGAGTCACAGGGTTGAAAAGCAGGAGCAACACCAGAATGCCTGCCTCTTGACTTTCTGTGACCTGAAACCCATATTTGTTTATCCACCTTAATTTAAGTTTGTTGTTAGTCATAGCTGAAAATGGGCTGGGTGTGGTGGCTCACACCTGTAATTCCGGCATTTTGGGAGGCCCAGGCAAGTGGATCACTTGAGCTCAGGAGTCTGAAACCAGCCTAGGCAACATAGTGGGACTCCCATCTCTACAAAAAATACAAAAATTAGATGGGTATGGTGGTGCACACCTGTAGTCTCTGCTACTTGGAAGGCTGAGGCAGGAGGATTGCTTGAGCCTAAGAGGTTGAGGTTGCAGTGAGCGGAGATCGCACCATTGCACTCCAGCCTGGGCAACAGGGCCAGACCCTGTCTCGAAAAATAAAAGTAAAAAGTCAGAGCTGAAAACATTATTAACTGACACAAGATAGCAACCAAAATAAACTCTTTCACTCTTCTTTTCCTTCTTAAAATGAAACTTCAAAAGTATTCTGAAATTGAATATTTTCTAAAAATGTAAATTGTCATTGACTTGTCATTTACTTAATATTTTTGGCAGAGCAATAAACTTCTCTCACCTAGGGGTCATTATAGAGAAGAAAGCCAGTCTGGCAGCAATTAACAAAACATCCTTTAAAGTTCTTCAAAATAGGAATATTCAACCTTAGATGCCAAAATAGGGCTTTGACAACTTTGAGAATTGACTATGGCTGCTGTCTTGAGCAAAGGTATAGGGATGCTAACTCTAACATAAAGGTTGAAAAAGAGGAAGATCCTATAAGCATCTCAGTAAAAGGAAGCACAAATCCAGAGGAGACACAGACATCATAAACAACCCCCAAGTCCATGAGGCTTGCTGAAAAACCATGCCAGATTTCCTGTTGGAGACTCAACCCAGAAGGTCATGGAAATTTGAAATGCAGTGATGGCTGATACAATGAGACATCCTTGTAGTATAGAATAGGCCTTAGCAAACTATGGCTAGAGGACAAAATGTGGCCTGGCATCTGCCCTTGTATGGCTCATGAGCTAAGAATTGTTTTTACTTTTATAAATGGTTGAAAAGTAATCACAAGAAGAAGAATATCTGATGACATGTGAACATTATATAAAATTAGAATTAAGCTGGGCACAGTGACTTATGCCTATAATCCCAGCTACTACAGAGGCTGAGGCATGAAGACTGCTTGAGCCCAGGAGTTTGAGGGTGCAGTGAGCTATGATCACACCACTGCACTCCAGCCTAGGCAACAAAGCAAGACCGTGTCTCAAAAAAAAATTAATTTCAGTATTCCTAAGTAAAGTTAGGAATAAACTTTCCTTAGTTATGTTCATTCATTTACAAACTTTACTTAGCCATGTTCATTCATTTACAAATTATCTACAACTACTTTTGTGCCACAACAACAGCAAAGTTGACTGCTTGTCACAGACAGTATATGGCCTGCAAAGCCTCAAATATTTACAACCTGGCCCTTTACAGAAAGTTTGCCAACACCATTATAGCATTTAGGGGCTGAACAAAGACCCACTTCACAAGATACAATAGTGTATCAAATCTTAACTGTTACTCAGTGAAAAGGGTCAAACCAGAGGAGGCAGGATTCTCTACAACACAGCAAAGTTCCCACAGTTTCTTAGGGGACAGCGCATTAAAATAACATTTAAAAATTAGGCCAGTAGTAAATAATTTGGGAAAGTTTGGAAAATGCTGAAAAGTACGCAGAAGAAAGCAAAAGTAGCCTTTTACCCCATTACCCATAGATAATAATTAATATTTAGGGGCTTATTCTTCCAAGTTTTTTTGTACAGAAATATTTTTGTATGAAATTTGTCTGCTCACACTATATTAGTATTATGTCAGTTGCAACTGAAAGAGTAATACTGCTTCAGGTATGGCTAAATCCAGGAGCTCAAACAATGTACCAAGGCCATTTCCCCATCTCTTGTTTCTACTTCCTCCATGCACATTTCCTCATTAGGCAGACTCTTTTCCTCATAATGACCAAAGGCTGCAGAAGTCCCTGTTGTTTACACAGCAGCAATACTAATGGAAGAAAATAGCATTTCTTCTTAAAAGGAAACAAACAAAATGTCTTTCCAATGTGTCTCAGTCTGTTCAGGCTGCTATAACAAAATACCTCAGATGGGGCAATTTATAAATAATAGGAAAATATCTCTCACAGTTCTGGAGGCTGGGAAGTCCAAGATCAAGGTGTTAGTAGATTTGGTGTCCAGTGAAGGCCCACTCTCTGCTTCATAGATAGAGCCTTGTTGCTGTGTCCTCACATGGCAAAAAGGGCTGAAGGGACTAGGCCACTCTCTTCAACCTCTTAAAGACTGAGTCCCACTCATGAGGGCAGAGCGCTTATGACCTAATCATTTCCCAAATACCCCACCCCTTAACACTATTGCATTGGAGATGAAGTTTCAACATATGAATTACGGGAGCGAGGACACCAATGTTCAGACCATAGCACAGTGTTACTCAATATTTTTGAGACTATGAGTTTTCATTGTTGCTTGGTACTTATTCATTTAAATGCACCACAAGTTTTTAAAGCAACCTGTTTGAGAAAATGTTCATCTCAGAATCGTAATTGTTGGATTAGACGGAGTCTGAGAAATCATCCAGGACATTCTATTCTTTTTACAGATAAAGAAATGGAGGCCCCCATAGGATAAGTGATTTTCCACTGTCCTTCAAGTAGTTGATGGTGGAGGGCCAGAACTAATCGTTTCCAAGATTTACTCTCCTCAGCCAGCTGTCTTTCACAGATCAAACCTGAAGCAAAATTTTAGACTAGAAAAGCAGTCAACTAATGAAGAGTGCCAGCCCCTGGGATCCTCAAAAATAAATGAGTTTAACTGGGTGCAGAGGGTCACGTCTCTAATCTCAGTGATTCTGGAGGCTGAGGCAGGAGGATCTCTTGAGGCTAGAAGTTCAAGACCAGTCTGGGTAACATAGTGAGACTCAGTCACTACAAAAAATAAACAAACAGGCCAGGCACAGTGGCTCATGCCTGTAATCCCAGAACTTTGGGAGGCCGAGGCGGGCAGATTATGAGGTCAAGAGATCGAGACCATCCTGGCTAACACAGTGAAACCCTGTCTCTACTAAAAATAGAAAAATTAGCCAGGCGTGGTGGTGGGCACCTGTAGTCCCAGTTACTTGGGAGGCTGAGGCAGGAGAATGGCGTGAACCCAGGAGGCGGAGCTTGCAGTGAGCTGAGATCACACCACTGTACTCCAGCCTGGGGGACAGAGTGAGACTCCATCTCAAAAAAAAAATAAAAATAAAAATAAAAAATAAACAAACAAATGGACAACTCAGAGAAAAAAGAGCAATCTGGTTTTCTTTCCCACTCTTGGCTTTATTTTTAAAAATGGGTGGGGTGGGGGTGGCAAAGCCAGAAAGACTGCTGCTTGTTCTGCTTTGACAAAAACATAAGAAATTTGTTTTGTTGGTTAACTGGAGCTGCAAGCCCAGTAAAGTAACCAAAAGATTTTAGAGATTGTATCTCTCCATGTATTTTTACTTAGTTGTCAGATTATTTGGCAAAATTGTCTTTTCATTTGTACATTTCATTTGGCAAGGGTCCTGCTGTCCCTGAAATCTTAACAAGCTTACCAAGCATGAAAGAGGAAGTGTCATCCTTCAGAAGGCGAATTTGTTGACAAGGATGTCTGTATACCGAGTCCACTTGTAAAGGAAGCCAAGGAATGTATTTGCAGACTCAAGAGCACGGTGAGGAGGAGGAAAGTGGGCAGTGGGACCTTGAAGAGACCTCATTCCTGGTTCAGCAAGCACTCATTAAATGGCTACCAAGCATTGTGCAGAACACCCAGGGAGGCTGAGATCTTTGTCCTTGCCCTCTAGGAGCTCACAGTCAAGCATGGAGTATTTTTGTTTTTAATTTTAATTTTTTTTGAGACAGAGTCTCAGCCTGTCACCCAGGCTGGAGTGCAGTGGTACAATCTCGGCTCACTGCAACATCCGCCTCCCAGGTTAAAGCAATTCTCCCACCTCAGCCTCCCAAGTAGCTGGGATTACAGGCACCCGCCACCAATCCCAGCTAATTTTTGTATTTTTAGTAGAGATGGGGTTTCACTATGTTGGCCAGGCTGGTCTCAAACTCCTGATCTCAAGTGATCAGCCTGCCTTGGCCTCACCAAGTGCTGGGATTACAGGCATAAGCCACCAAGCTCGGCCAAGAATTTGAACAAGTTATGTCTCAGAGTACTAGGTGCAGGGCACTAGGTGCAGTGAGAATAGTGGGCAGAGCTGGGAGGGCAGAGAAGCCAGCTTGTGAACTCCAGCTTGTCTTGGGTGGTCCAGAATTGCCTCCCCAAGGAGAGCAGGTTGAGGAAGGACCAATGGGAGCCAGCCAGGTAAGCGGAGAGAAAAGCACAGCCCAGGCAGTGCAAACACAAGGTCAAAAGTCAGAGGTGGTGAGTGAGCACAGCTCTATGCAAACTGCAGGTGGTATAGGTGTCAAGAATGTGAGAAGGAGCGAAGCCATCTAATTTGCTAAAATTATTTTTGAAAAATTAAGGAAATGCTAAGTTCTGGTCTGGACCTACTCAAAATCATGAAGTTCTTTTCCACACACACCACCCCCACATCTTTCAGTTCCCTTTATGGCTCTAAGCTGACCTCCTCAATCCCTCTGGCAGCTCCTAAGCCCTCTTGGCACTCCTCCAGTCAACATCTGCTCTTAGAAAGTGCCAAGGTTGGGTGGCACTGAGGTGTGAATGACTAAGAGGACAGTGTTGTAATTTAGTTGACTAAGATTATGGTACACATTCAAAACACATTTTACAGTTATTTTATTATAATAAAATTCAAAGCATATTTATTTATTTGTTTGTTTGTTTGAGACAGAGTCTCCCTCTGTCGCCCAGGCTGGAGTACCAGATCATATGGTTATTCTACATTTAACTTTTTGAGGAGCCACTATACTGTTTTTCACAGTGGAAAACATTCTCAATCTATGAGTGAGGGTTCCAATTTGTCCACATCCTCTCTAACACTTGCCATTTTCTTTATTGTTGTTGTTTTTTGTTTTTATAGTAGCCATTCTAATGGGTGTGAAGTGGTATCTCATTGTGGTTTTAACTTGCATTTCTTTAATGATTAGAGGTGTTGAACATCTTTTTATGTGCTCCTTATCAATTTACATAATTTCTTTAGAAAAATGTCTTAATTTTTTATTATTATTTTTACTTTTAGAGACAAGGTCTTAGTCTATTGCCCAGACCAGAGTGCAGTGGCATGATCATAGCTCACTGCAGCCTCAAACTCCTGGGCTCAAGTAATCCTTCTGCCTCAGCCTTCTGAGTAGCTGGTACTACAGGTCCCTGCTACCATGCCTATTTAAGGTTTTTTAGTTTCCATAGAGACAGGGTCTTGCTATGTTGACCAGGCTGCTGGCTAGTTTTTAAATTCTTGTTTAGGGATAGGACCTGGCTGTATTGCACAAGCTGGTCTCAAACTCTTGGCTTCAAGTGATCCTCCTATCTGAGCTTTCCAAGTACCTAGGACTACAGATGCATGCCACCATGCCTGGATAATTTTAATTTTTTTTTTTGGAGATAGGGTCTGACTGTACCACCCAAGGTGACCTCGAACTCCTGGACTCAAGTGATCCTCCTGTGGCAGACTTCTGAGTAGCTGGGATTACAGGTTTGAGCCACCTTGCCCAGCTATGCAGGGTATTTGACCATCCATTGTCTTTAAAACATTACGCCATCATTGTCGATATCCATAAAAGTTAGAATTTGAGAAATCCTTATCTTTCCACTTCCTTCTTGCATTGTATCTAAGCATACACTGCTGCTTATTCACACGAAGCCCCTGAATAACTACAAAAACGTTAATACCAAAATCAGTCAGCGTCAACTTTTCTAATAGAGGACAGTATATAGACGTCAATAGGTGCCAATGACAGCACTTAACTGAGCACTTAAAAAGGGCCAGCCTCTACATGTTGTCATTGAATCAACTCTACAAGCCCCATTTTAGGTAAGTACTATTATTATTCCTAATATATAAGTAAGGACATGGAAGCAAAAAGGGTTTAAAGTATCTTGCTCCAGGTCATCCAGCTAATAAATGACATTCTACGATTTGAACCCAGCTTCCAGGGCCACTTGGAAACCAACCCCTAAAAAAAATCACCGCCCAGGAACTCTGATTTTTTGTTTTTCTTTTTCTGAGACAGGGTCTCACTGTGTCGCCCAGGCTGGAGTGCAGTGGCACAGCTTGGCTCACTGCAACCTCTGCCTCCCAGGTTCAAGCAATTCTTGTGCTTCTGCCTCCAGAATAGCTGGGATTCACCATGCTGGCCAGGCTGGTCTTAAACTCCTGACTTCAGGTGATCCGCACACCTTGGCCTCCCAAAGTGCTGGGATTATAGGCGTGAACCACTGTGCCCAGCTAGAACCCAGCGATTTTTGAAAGGCCACGTATTGAGAGGTGACAGCGTGCCAGCAGCCTTCCCTCGCTCTCGGCGCCTCCTCAGCCTTGGTGCCCACTCTGGCCGCGCTTGAGGAGGCCTTCAGCCTGCCGCTGCACTGTGGGAGTCCCTCTCTGGGCTGGCAGAGGCCGGAGCTGACTCCTTCTGCTTGCCGGAGGTGTGGAGGGAGAGGCACCAGCGGGAACTGGGGCTGCACGCTAGTTCCGGGTGGATGCGGGCTCAGCGGCCCCACACTCGGAGCGGCCGGCCAGCGCCACCAGCCCCGCCAGCCCTGGCAGTGAGGGGCTTAGCACCAGCAGCTGCGGAGGGTGCACGGGGTCCCCCAGCACTGCGGGCCGCCCACGCTGCGCTTGAATTCCCGGGGGGACCTCAGCCGCCTACCCACGGGGGCAGGGCTTGGGACCTGCAGCCCACCATGCCCCAACCCTGCCCCACACATGGGCTCCCCAGCGGCTGGAGCCTCCCACAAGGGGCGCCGTCCCCTGTCCGTGGCGCCGGGTCCCATCGACTGCTCAAGAGCTGAGGACTGCCGGCTCGCTACTTGGGACTGGCAGGCAGCTCCGCCCACGGCCAGAGCTCAGGATTCACTCACTAGGGAAGCCAACTAGGCTCCTCAGTCTGCTGGAGACTTGGAGAACTTTTATATCTGGAGGATTGTCTATGCACCAATCAGCACTCTGTGTCTAGCTCAGGGGTTGTAAATGCCCTAATCAGCACTCTGTGTCCAGCTCAAGGTTGGTAAACGCACCAATCAGTGTTCTCTGTCTAGCTAACCTAGTGGGGACTTGGAGAGCTTTTGCGTCTAGCTAAAGGATTGTAAACACACCAATCAGCACCCTGTGTGTAGCTCAAGGTTTCTAAACACACCAATCAGTGCTCTGTGTCTAGTTAATATAGTGGGGACTTGGCGAACTTTTAGGTCTAGCTAGAGAATTGTAAATACACCAATCAGCATTCTGTGTCTAGCTCAGGGGTTGTAAATGCACCAATTAGCACCCTGTCAAAACAGACCAATCAGCTCTCTGTAAAACGGACCAATCAGTGCTCTATAAAATGGACCAATCAGCTCTCTGTAAAATGGGCCAATCAGCAGGATGTGGGTGGAGTCCGATAAGGGAATAAAAGCAGGCTGCCCAAGCTGTAGTGGTAAGCTGCTTGGGTCGTGTTCAGCAGTGTGGAAGTGTTGTTCTTTTGCTTTTTGCAGTAAATCTTGTTGTTCACTCTTTAGGTCCACACTGCTTTTATGAGTTGTAACAGTTACTGGGAAGGTCTGTAGCCTCACTCCTGAGGCCAGTGAAATCAAGAACCCCCCAGAAGAAATGGATAACTCTGGACGCAGTGCCTTAAGAGCTGCAACAATCGCTACAAAGATCTGCAGCTTGACTCCTGAAACCAGGGGGACCACGAACCCACCAGAAGAAAGAAACTCTGAATGCTTCAAACATCAGAAGGAACAAATTCCAGACACACCATCTTTAAAAACTGTAACAGTCACTGCGAAGGTCCGTGGCTTCATTCTTGAAGTCAGTGAAACCAAGAACCCGCCAATTCTGGACACAGTATGATCTTTTTCTTGGATGAGCAGAGTCTGTAGAAGTGTGGACCACCCTGCTACATGCCAGTCCAGGGCATGGGTGAGATGCCACACTTACAGCATCCCATTGTGAAGGTGAACAAATGCTGCAAGTGGCGTGAGGCTAAGATAAGTTGACATTTCACAGGCAATGCTAAGAAATTAAGTGGGACAAGGCTGGAATGGTTAGGGGCAAGGTGTGAAGCCTCAACAGGGAGAAACAGGAGAACCCTGAAGAAGGGGGCTGGCACAGCAGGCACAGAAGTAGCGCAAAGAGCCCTGAAGCTTCCAGCGGGCACTGGCAGGGGCTTCTGTCTATCCCCACACTGGGACCTTCAGGCTGCCACTAAACTGTACTTTAAAAAATGGTTAAAATGGGCTGGGCATGGTGGCTTACACCTGTAACCCTAGCACTTTGGGAGGCCGAGGTGGGCAGATCACCTGAGTTCAGGAGTTCGAGACCAGCCTGGCCAACATGGTGAAACCCTGCCTCTACTAAAAATACAAAAATTAGCTGGGCATGGTGGTAGAAACCTGTAATTCCGGCTGCTCTGGAGGCTGAGACAGGAGAACCGCTTGAACCTGGGGCGGAGGTTGCAGTGAGCTGAGATAGTGCTACTGTACTCCAGCCTGGGCGACAGAGCAAGACTCTGTACCCCTCCAAAAAAAATGCATTTTGCAATGTGAACCTTAAAAGGCTCTGAATGTTCACGTTCCATTTTCAGAGTTCAAATGGTCAAGAAAACCTCATAAAAACAAAAACTCCAATTAAATACTTGCTGGGAACTACTGGCCAGTTTTTCTTCTGATTTGGGTCATACCACAACCCTCATGCAACTAGCTGGAGTAACCCTTGTCCGTAGTTTAAATCACTCTGAGCTTTCCAGAGTCGCAATCAGGTGGCTTTTGGGCACAACGCTAGGCACTGCCTGTTTCTGGTAGTTCTAAGGTGGATGTTTTGGCAAGTGTGATGATTTGCGTCCACATTTCAGCTGAGACTGTTGCTGCAGGGGTCTTTGTTCAGCATGACTTTCAGCTGGCATCACACCACACTCTCAAGTTACCCATTCATACATATTTAAGCTCTGAGCTAGGTTCTAGGGATTCTAGGTCAGAGTTCCTGCCCTCAAAGAGCTCATGAACTAGGTATTTTTAAAAAATAACTTCGTAATTGTGCAGACATGTAATCACTCATGTAATCACCAGAAAGCCAATTAGAAATCTCCATGTATATACGTCTTTATATGATGCTTATGTGCCAAGTATTGTAAGAGTTTTGCACATATTTAGTAATTTAACCCCCATAAAAATCCCATGGGGTAGATACTCTTAGGCGCTCCATTTTACAGATAAGGAAACAGGAACAAAAAGGTTAACTAACTTATGTAAGACCATGTGGCTTGTATGAAGGCACACTAGGCAGTCTGGCTCCAAGGTTTGGTCACTAAGTACCACACTAAGAGGCCTCTCATTCAGCTTTTGGAGTAACAATGAACATTACAGGCAACCAAAATCCTAAATGTGAATTAATTGACAGGATTTTAGGCCAAGAACAAACAGCTGTATTCATAAATATTGTCTTGTGGGAGGAGGGAAGGGGAACTGGCTAATTTGTTTTGTGGTTAAAGGACTAAGTAAATTTTGTTTTATTATACCGCAAGAAATTAGTCCTGGTATTTCTAGTTTGTAGAATAGACAATTTGTACTTGTCACTGCTCATACCCTTGTTTAGGTTAATTAGGCGCAACAATTTTAAGTCATTTATTTTGTATGAGTAACGTGGCTCTATACACGCAAGCGATGGTTTATGGTTGTAGAAAACTACCCATCAATGTCAAAGATCTGATTTAGATAAAAGGGATTATTTTCTAAACATGCAGTAGAGTTTGGGAACATTTTTATTATCTTCTGTGAATCATGCATTGAAGAATGGTTGGGTGGTTGAGGGTTCAGACTTAGGTTCAAACTATGCACTAGCACTTCCTGAACCTCAGTCTCCTGGTCTGTAAATTGGAGATAATAACAGTGCCTACCTCATGGGCAAGTGAGGATTAAATGAAGCAATGCATGTAAAAGACATATATCAAAGCATGTGGCTGGATGCCAGCTGTCAGTAAATGCTTGGCATTAAGTTAACTGTTGTTGCTGGGATAAAGAATCTCACTGGAGTGGCCAAAGACCTGTGTTCTGAGACTAGGCGAAGGGAGGAAAGCGATCCAATTACTTGTGGACATTGCCCTCAGGCTACTGAAGCCACACAAGATTCCAGGCTGTTTCTCACATCTTTTTTTAGTTATGGAACTTCTCTTTCAAAAGATGCCAAAACATTTCCCATGCAGTCAGTTTGTCTCTGGAACTGTGTATATTGGAGAAAAAGGAAGTGTTCAACAGGATTTTCATTTTCTTCATTTTTCTTCTGGAAAAGGCCCATCTGACCGGCAGAGTGCGGGGGAGAACAACAAGGTGAGCGCCTTTTCATTTTTGGGCTGTTTATTCTACTGTAAACTACTCCCCATATTTTTTCCTTTGGATAAATCATTCTATAAGAGGACAGTTTTGTCAATAATGCACATATTTGCGCTCCCAAAGTAAACTGTGAGTTCTCAGTAAGTGTAACCCCGTTCTGCTGACCCAGCGGGGGAAGAAAAATTAGAAAATCTCCCCAGTCAAGTGAACAGGTCCTGGGCCGACAGCTGCATCTGGACTCCAGGCTCGCCCACCCCGGCAGTAACAGAGCAGCATCGCGCAGCAACCTGCCCGCGGGGGGAAACAGCACTGGTTCCTCGCCCTCATCAGCCGGCCCTCCGCGATTGTGCTTCCCAATCAACGGGCCTTCGATGAAAAGTGCCAAGGAGGTCGCCGGATCCGCCCAAGTGGAATTCCCAAGATGTTTCCCGGGGAGCAGCCTCAGGAACGCGCCTGGACCCCAGGAGTAGCTTCCCGCCCCGCTGCCGAGCCTCGGAGGTCTCCGCAGTTCTGGGGCCCGCGACCCCGACAGCGCGCGGAGGCCCCGCCCCTCTAGGGCCCGCTCCTCCCCTGCCCGGCCTCTGATTGGCTGCCCGGCGCGTCAGTCGGTACCCATCCCCGCCCTACGCCTCCCCCGCCCTCCCCAGCCCGCCTCAGGGAAGCGAGCCCGGGCGCCGGCGGGCGGCCGTCGCGTCTGACAGACCACTGCAGACCACGGGCCGAGGCCCAGCGCCCGTCCGCAGCGCGGCCGGCATGGCGGCGACAAGGAGCCCCACGCGGGCAAGGGAGCGGGAGCGGTCTGGCGCTCCCGCCGCAGGTGAGCCTGGGGCCGGGCGGGGCGGGGCGGGGGGCGCGAGCAGGGACCGTCAAGGCGGGCGGGGTCGCAGGCAGCCAGGGACGCGCCCTCCTCGGCGGCCACCTTCGCTGCCTGTTGGGGGCTGGGAATCCTGGAGCCCGGGAGCTGGAGCGCGCCCCTGAGCCGGGCGGGAGTGGGGCGGGGCTGCACCCCCACTCGGGGTCGAGCCGCTGTCGGGGACGGGGTAGCACTTGAATAAGGGAGGCCAAGCTGCTTAGGTCGCCTGCCCGGGCAGGAAACGCAGGTTCCTGGAAGAAAGCCGGTCTTTGGGGTCGGGGTCCCCTCAGAGCCGCGCGGGGAGCCCAGGCAGCGGCGGAGGTCGCGCCCTGCGCCTGGGAGCGAGCCCGGGGCGCGTGGACCCGCGGGGCCCCGTGTCCTCTCGGGGAGCTCGACTCGCTGACGGAGGGAGTTGCGTTTCGCGCCCTGCTGGCAGAGGATGTGGCGCACACCTTCGCGGCAGTCGAGACTTGCTAACAACACAGAATACTCTGGCTGAAAAAAAATTCACCCAGACGGGGCCGGGCGCGGTGGTTCACGCCTGTAATCCCAACACTTTGGGAGGCCGAGGCTGGCGGATCACGCGGTCAGGAGTTCGAGACCAGCCTAGCCAGCATAGCGAAACCCTGGCCAGCATAGTGAAACCTTGTCTCTACTAAAAATACAAAAAATTATCCGGGCATAGTGGCGAGTAGCTGTAGTCCCAGCTACTCGGAAGGCTGAGGCCGGAGAATTGCTTGAACCCGGCGGGCGGAGGTTGCAGTGAGCCGAGATTGCACCACTGCACTCTCAGCCAGGGAGACAGAGCCTTGCTCTGTCCAAAAAAAAAAAAAAAAAAAAAAAAATCACCCGACAAGGGCAGCAGCACAGCCTGGGAGTTCAGTCAGGTGCTGGGTCTCGACGTCTCCACCCGCTGGCTCGGTAGCGGGGTCCTCTCCTAACCAGCCCCGAGAAAGATGAGCATAGCTGCTGCTTGGTTTTGAAGGAACACATTCCTGTGTCTATATTTGTCTGGAGCCCACTAGTGGATTTTGGGAGGATTCCGTTTCCCAAACACACAGTTTGGGCTGCAGGAACTGCAGTGATTATGGCAAATTGGCAGGTGCGGGGATTGTTTATGAATTGCTGTTTTTGGTCCCAGCTTGAGCTTTTAATTCACAGAGCAAACTGTTGGGTGCAGTGGAAACAGCACCTTTCTGGGAGTCAGAGGACATCATTCTGATGTGTCCTCATCCATAAAATGAGAGCCTCCAGTTAGCTGATCCAGGCAGCCCCTCCCAGTGGAGAAGAACTCTGTCCTACCTCCCACTCTCAAAAGTTTGGAGAATGAACTCATTTTTTTCAACCTTTCTGCACCTTGGGTTATTATAAAATTAGCCACATATTTCCTATGGGTGTATTCATTTGAACTTTTTATTATGTTATTTTCTTTTCTCCTCCCTGCCTTAGTTTGGCAGAGAAACAAAAATTGGAAATAGAGGCAGGAGCACAGCTGGAAAGGCTGGTTTAGGAGGCAGAAAGGTGCCTTCTCCAGGCTTAACATCATCACCCGGAATTTTTCCTTTCTTTGCACCAAATTCAATGCATGCCAGCGCTGCGAGCCCAGGGAGAGATTCTTTCCTCTGCTCCAATTGTGGGATCTGCAGTTGGTGTGCAGCAGAGGAAGAATGTGATTCAAGGATCAGATTATGGAAAACTTTTTTCTCCAAAACATAACTTCTGATGACTTACAAGCATAGTTTCCCTTCTTTGCCAGTGGTGTTTGGCAAAACAAAAATAAAACCAGTTTTAAAATCAGTTGTCAAAGCTAGTATAGGGACAACTTTTTTAGCATTCGAAATAACAGCAAGTAACACTTGACAGTAAAACCAGACAACAGAAGAAAACCCACAGAAGAGGTTTTTTTTTGTTTGATTTTTACTATTTCTTCTTTAAAGTGTTAGGGTATGTTAGGATATTGAAAATCATGGACTAAGCATCTCTGCATAATATTATCGGAAAGACTGTCTGAATCAGAATGTTAGATGCATCGAAGAAACATTGGAAGATCACTTAGTGGAGTGCCCAGAGAAGATGCTGTCATCTATTAGGAAGGCAGGGAGAAGTGGTCATAGAGTGGAATAAGCTCACAGTCGCCAGCACACCTTAGGCAAACCACTGTGTTTGCAGGGAGAATGTGTGCACCCCACACTCTTCCTTGCTCTTCCCACATCTGGCCAGACTCGGGCCATTAACTGTCTTTATTGGCTCAGCTCTGCTGTGGTTCTCTCCACCACTGTCCATCTGTTCAGTGGTAACATTCACATTTCAGCCATGATTTCAGGAACCACAGGACTCATTGGAGGTTCTTAGGGGCCGGTGTTGGGGGAATAGGAATGCCCAGTGTGGAACGGCGCACCCACTCCAGCTATACTTGGAGTTGCTCTGCTTTTTTTGTTTCTGTATACTTTTATGTTTGTTTTGTTGTTTTTTGCTGTTCTAGGTGAGGTTTTGTTTGGAGGAAAGAGTTTAATGCTAAATCAGAAATGTAAAAATAATGGTAATGGCTAATGTTTTTTGGTGCTTCTTGTGTCTTCGTTCATTTATTACACGGAAAATGCTTAGAACTGGTTGGTTGTGGTTCTGAGTAAGCACTCAAATGTTAGCTGCCACTACTATTATTAATATTACCTTCTACTATGAAGTAGCTGTTATTTTTTAACCTTATTTGAAGAAACCAAGTCACACACAAACTTGTACAAGGTTACCCACCTCCTATGTAGATGTGTCTGCTAAATGAAAGATATATTCCTCGATATCCTGGATTTTGTTAATCCAAAGCCATTCAAGTAGGCACAACTGTATGTATGAAGCAGATGTTTCTGAGCCACCATAAGCAGGCTTTGTTGTGTTCCCATGGGCAGTGGCAGGTAATCACTAGGCAGGCAGGTGAATTTACCTGGTGGAACTTCTGTGATCAAAAGGTGAGTAGGCAGATGGAACTGTTAATAACCCAGTGATTGGTCGGGTGGCAAAAGGAGCGATGAGAAGTGTGGGCGCAAACATTCCCTCCGCATGCACTGCCAAAAGTGTGCTGAGAATCGTGACCTTATTCTAGAACAAGTGCCTTCAAGGTCTTTACTCTCTAGGAGGAGAAGGAGGAGTAGAGGGGGCGCTGGTGGTAGAAAGTGTGTGCCAAGGAAAAGAGGCCTGAGAGCTGCTAGTTACAACTAGCAGCTGCTAGTTGTAACTGTCGAGAGAAATATTTCCCTTCTTTAAAAAATAGTTTGAGGGCTGTGGGGGAAAAAAAGCATTGCAGTTAAAGGCACCCACAATAGAATGCTTAAAACCAAATGGTCCATAGTTGATTTTGTTGTTGTTGTTTTGCCACCCATTTGTCCTATTGTACTTCTACTCTTACATTTCTATGAGATGAATAAATATCAAATAGAATGTAACTTTTTTGGTACCAAGTATTTTATCTCAGTAGAAAGTCTTGACTGGGTATAATTATTAACTTGAAAATGACCTTTTCTCTGGCTCGGGTCTCAAGGTAGACTTAGCTTCATCTGGGAGGCCTTGGCTGGCTCCCTGGCCTGGAGTGGTGTGCTCTCCTGTGTGCCTGTAGCACCCAGTGCTTGTCCCTGTCACAAAAACAGTTGGCATTTGGATTTTCTTTAGGGTGCTAGATGCGGAGACACTGACCATAGATAATGTTATATAATCTTTACAATCACCACTCTGTGACGCTCACAACGGCTGCAGAATTTGCTCAAGGCTTCCGCTAGTAAGTGGTGGCCAGGGTAAGCCCTGGCATGGGACTCCACTCATAACAGATTCTTAACAATCTGTCTGCTTCTGTCACGTGAAACAGAGTTCTAGCTTCTACCTGAGAGCTCGCCATAGTTTCCAAGGTTACCTTATTACATTTAAGCTGTTCTGAATTAAGATTGGGTTAACATTTGTATACTGTTGTTATTGTTTGAGACAACTCTTGCAGGTCTGGGTACAGGAGGAGAGAGATTATGAAAAAGTTTTTATTACTGGGCTAAAACCTCCTAGCTTAGTGGTTCCCCATACATGGCTATTAAAGTCTCTACTTAATTTTTAGAGGAATTATTGGATTAATATGTTTGGTTAGTAAATCCTTCCATTCTCTTCTGTCCATGTGTGTCCTCTGGTACATGTTCAGCTACTTGGTAAGACAATCTGTTTTCAAAATGAGGTTGCATACACATTTATCTGATTTGTAATTAATTTAATGGAAGAACATTTAAATGGTGCTTCTAAATAAATCAACAGAAAGTTTTTGTATATGTTCTCATTTTTCTAGTAACTTTTTATGCTAGTAATAGTCCATTTTTCTACTTTCCCATTTAGTTGGAGCCAGAATAGACAGGTGGCCTCATGTTTAAATTAAGAGGATGATAAAATGCTTATGTTCATTTCTAGGAGACAAAAGCCTGTTGCCTGTTAGTACTGTTGCTGGGATTCCTAGGTAATAAACAAAAATCCCAGAAACTGTAGCACATAAAATGCTATGCTTGATGAATCTCTAAATTAAGAATTTAATAGTAAATCTTTTGTTGTTGATTTAACCATGTTACTATGACATCAAGTCTGTAGAATTATTGGATAGACACAAAGTTACCTAAAATACCTCAGCTCTTTCTCCTCTTGCCATATTATTGGTTATTAATGAATATTAGGGTGAGTCTTCTAACAGTGGGAGTGATAAATACCTCAGCTCTTTCTCCTCTTGCCATATTATTGGTTGTTAATGAATATTAGGGTTAGTCTTCTAGGAGAGGGAGTGATAATGTAGTTGGAAGTCATTCTCAAGAGAGTCTTCCCTCAAATCGGAAGTGAAAATCTCATTAAACATCAAGCGTTCACTGTTTCAAAAAAAAAAAAAGAAGCATACCTCCCTGTCCTGTACCCACGACAGTGGAGATGAGCTCTCATCTCTTTCTAGGCTTGGGACAGCCTCGGTGGGTACAAACCAGTTCCAAATGGCTCAGGAATGGAGGTGGGCAGTGGAGCTGATGATGGTGGAAGCTCATCGGAGCGTGTACTTTGAACAGTCTGTGTCTGTCCTCTAAGCCAGGGCATAGACTGTTCTCTGTAGCATTTAGTCTCCAAGTTTAAGAGAAGTGAACTAAATTCCTTCTTGCCTGGTAATGAGAGAATCGGTCCCTAGGTCTTAGAATAACACCTGATACTTTGGGGTTGTATTTTTTGACCTGTGACGAGAAGGCCTCAACTTGCTTGTGAACTCTCTAGAGTTAAGAAAGACTGGGTGCTGTGTGTCTTCCGAATGCACCACGTGGACAGGTCGAAATGCTGCGGAGCAAGCAGAATGGCTGATAGGAAGGGGAAGTGGAAGAGATGGCAAGCCAGTGCCAGCATGGGCTGAATGTAACCAGTCACTGTCTAGATAGGAAGGGCTGGTGGCACTCATGTCAGTGGATGAGATCAGCAATTTGTCATTTTACTTGGCATTTACAAAATGAACTTGGAGTTTGGTTTGTAGCTAAAGTTAGGTTGGCTGCTCAGCTTGAAATGGAAACATAGCCAATGAAATGATTAATATACATGTTGGGTCCCACAGTTTTGTACCTGAAGCAGTGCAAGGCTTGGGCATATTGATTCCTTCCTAGGAGATCTAAAGAAAAATCCCTTGAATCAAGAGAGAGCTTATTAGATCAGTTTTATCCATGGTATATCCCTCTATTTTTGTTTTTTAAGTATTAAATATTTGTTAGACTCAATTTTGGTTTGTTGACTGTCATGATAGAGGACTTGCAGAGTCTGTGCTTGGTGACCTACCTTGTACTGTCTTGTTCTTCACACTTTGCTGCATCTTCTCCCATATGTAATTGATTCATTTGTTTGAATTTTGAATTTTGGAGCCTATTACATCTCCCTTTCCCTCCCAGTCTCCTTGATATTCCCTTTTCCTCCCCATTTAGCAGCCTTTTTGAAGCTGATTACCACCATGGAGGCCCTTGTGGAAAAGGCTCTTTATTAGAACTAGCCTTTGGGTCGACAGGTTTAATAGATCTGTAGGACCCAGCATGAACTTCCAAGGGTCGGGGTATTTGCTGGCATTTGTCAAGATCTTATGTATCTTCCATACACACTTAGGGCATCTTTTCTGTGGTGCAAGCTTTGAGTAATGTTTTGAGTTTAGTTGAATGTCAGTTATTTCACAACTATTTCCAATCCTGGCCCCAACGTGACTATTCCTCCAACATAACTCTGAAACATATTAAAATAAGGAGGCCTTTGGAGAATGAAGGGAAATGGCAGTTAATGGCCTGGCTTCCTTATGTTTGCTCACAGGGGAGGAAGCTGAGGTCCAGATGGCTCAGCTGTCTAGGACCGGACCCTGAGTTCCTGACTCCCTCAGTTCCCTCCTCATTTCACTACCTTGAAACCATCCTACTAGATGACCACTTCACATTCTCACTTCCTGCTTTATATTTACATGGTGTAATTAAGGGAAGAGAAAACACACTGGTGGTTCATTATTTCTGACATACATATTAAAAGTCAGAAGGGACCACCAGGATAGAGGCTCTTAGTTAGCATAAGTGTGGTGGAGTAACAGAACAGCCCCAAATAGGTGAATACATTTATTTCTCTCACATCAAAGAGAGGTAGCTCCCCAGGGCTGGGATGATCTCCATGGTGTCAGGGCCCCAGGCTCCTTCCACTTTGTTTCTCCACTATGCCTGGCTTCAATGCTCACTGTCTCTTTTGGGTACAAGATGGCTGCTGGAGCATCAGCCATCACATTTACATTCCAGCTAATAGGGAGGAAAAAGGGCAAGGAACACACCCCTCTTAACAAGCCCTTCTGAAAGTTGCACATTCAACAACTTCTTGGCCAGAATTCACTCACACAGCAGTACCCAGCACCCAGGGACGATGGAATGAGCCTTTATCTGAGTAGCCATGTGCCCAGCCCAAAGTCAGGGCTTAATCTCGATGGGAGGAGAGAACGGACCCTGGGGGAAGCTGGCAGTCTCTCTCATGGAGACACATGGACGGGATCCTGATTACATGATACATTTCGTTCATTCAAGAAATATGTATTAACTGTCTATTGTGTACTTAGGCACTCAGAAAGCAGAGTGAAAACAGTCAGTCCCAGTCCTTAAGGCATTTACTGTCTACGCAGGGAGACAGACGCTAATCAAACACAAACACAATTGTGTAAACTGTGACAAGTGCTGTGAAAAGGACACCGTGTGCTATGAGAGAGGAAAACAGGGATTTGCTCAAGCCTGGAGGTTGGAAACAGAGAAGTGATGTTTGAGCTGAGAGCTGGAGAATGAGTGGAATGAACTAGGGCATGGTTAGAAGGAAGAATGTTTCAGACAGAGGGAAGAGTACAGGCAAAGCAAGGTAGGGAGGCAGGCGTGAGCTCTAGGAGGAAGTGAAGGCACTCCTCCTATTGGAGCAAGGGGAGGAGGTGAGAGAAGAGGGAGGGGTCAGGGTCAGACCATGAGGGGGACTGGGCGTGGGTGACCAACTGTCCCAGCTTGCCTGGACTGAGAGATGTGCCAGTATGTGGGGCTTTCAGTGCTAAAACTGGGAGAGTCCCAGGCAAACCAGGAGGAGTTGGCCACCTTCCCTGGAGGCCAGGGTAATGGTCAGGTTCCTTTCTTTATTAATTTCAGAGAAGTTGGCCAAGCACGGTGGCTCATGCCTGTCATCCCAGCACTTTGGGAGGCCGAGGTGGGTGGATCACTTGAAGTCAGGGGTTCGAGACCAGCCTGGCCAACATGGTAAAACCCCTATTTCTACTGAAAATACAAAAATTAGCCAGGTGTGGTGGCAGGTGCCTGCAATCCCAACTATTGGGGGGCTGAGGCAGGAGACTCACTTGAACTTTGGAGGCAGAGGTTGCGGATCATGCCACTGCACTCCAGCCTGGGCGACAGAGTGAGAATCAATCTGAAAAAAAAAAATTTTTTTTCAGAAAAGTTCCTTTTTAGATAGGCATAGCTTCCAGCCATAGAAAAACAACAGCTGTGACTAGTAAAAGTAACCGCTTACTTTGGCCAAAGGGAAATGGGCACAAAACAGACACACAAAACAGACACAACACTTACTTTTAGTTGGATTACTTGACCAGTAAGATTTTTCTTTATCTGGACTGATTTCTCCTAATGGTAACTTTGGAAATTGATTGGCATCTGATGATGTATTTGAGATAACAGAAGCAGCTAAGGGTAGGGGATGCTATTACTCTACAGCAGGATTTCTCAACACTGGCAATGTTGGAATTACTGGGGAGCTTAAAAAAGATACCTGGGCCCCAGCCTAATAAATCTGAAAATCCACTGGAGCCAGGGCCAGGGTCCTGGGGGTCTTGATGGAATGCAGATTATGTTTCCAAGGGGTTTGAGAATCTATAGTTCTAAGAAGTCCCAGATGGTATTGATGTTGCTGTCCTGTGGACTTTGAGTAGCAATGTTCTATAAAGTTTGATGAGGTTATTTTTGAAGCCACTGGTCTCCCTTTAGGAGAGCAGATCTATAGGCCCATGTAAAGGTATATGAGTCCATGATAGGAGACAGGGGTTAAAGACTTAGGGCGGGGAGGTGGCCAAGGAGGCTTCTGCAGTGTGGTCCCATCAGCAAGATCACACTGAACCCAGGGGGACAAATCTTGACTTCTCAGTTGGTCCCAGGGGATGGGTGAGAGGTTATGGGTTGAGTTGTGGCTTTATAAGCCACTGACTGTCACTACTATTCTTGGTTACAGAAGAACCAGCTCCTGAGGTCTCTGGCTAGGATGCTACTATAGGTAATGACCATTTTTTACCTTTCTGACAATTTGTTAGGGTCCTTTCCAGCTGACATCAGGGGCTAGCAGGATGTGGGTCTTTCCTACAAATGAGAAAAGCCATGGAAAGAGTTTTACATTGTAAAGAGTTTTGCATTGTAAAGAGTTTTGCACAGGAGATGATACATCCATCGAATGTTTAAAAAACAAACCCACACTGGCTGTGGAGTAGAAAACAGAACTGGGGAAGGGAGACCAATCAAAAGGATTAGTAACTATTAGTGATGGTGCCCAAATGATTCTGAGTAATGGAAAAGTCACCCCCAGGGCAAAAGGCCTGAGAGTTGAACCAGACCACGTGCCACCAAAGCCCTGGCAGGTCAAAGCAGTGAGCCAAATCAGTAATGAAATCTAGCAGAGATAAATGTCAGGTCCTGCCTGGGTCTAAAGATCCCAGAACTGGCCCACATGATCTGGATAATCCTTTGTTTCCCTTCCCATGTTCTGGACTGAAAGGTAGATACAGATGTCAGAGATTAAAAATATATTTTTCTAAGTCAGCTCAGTGACATAAAATCCACGTGTCTTAGTTGTGTGGCCAGTTGGGCTTGCTAGCAGTGCCCAAGCTGAACTCCATCCTAAAGTTCTAGGCCTCCCTCCCAAGGAGAGGGCAGGCCCAAGGATTCCTTCTGTGCGGGCAGGTCTGTGGGGTGAAAGGGGCTGAGCTGGGCATGCCATTTTAAAAAAATCTGCCACTCAGATCAATCTCTCACCTTCAGGAAGGAGTAAAGGCGGTAGTAGGGGAGCCAGAACCCCACCTCCAGGAAGGCCTCTCCACCGGGAAACTTGAGAGTGAGTGAAACCCCTGGCCCTCTCTTCCCTTCAGAAGATGGGGAAACACACCCCAGCACAGGTCCAAAGGGCTTTAAGCTGACAGCAGGTTGAATGTGAGTCAGTAGCTTTTGGGTTGTTTGTAGCTGTGCAGTACAATCACAGGCTGCATTGCTGTGAATGTATCATCTAAAACAGGGTCAGCAAGCCACAGCCCATGGGTCATATCTGGCCTGCTGTTTGTTTTTACATGGCCTATGACCTCAGAGTGGTTTTTCCATTTTTAAATGGTTGGGAAAAAAATAAAAAGAATACCACTTCCTGACATGTGAAAATTAGATGGAATATAAATTTCAATGTCCATACATAAAGCTTTATTGGATTGGAGCCCTGTGTGTATTGTCTGTGGCTGCTTTCCCTGTGTAAGGGCAGAGCTGAGTAGTTGAGACAGAGACCACATGGCCGATGAGACCTAAAATATGTACTCTCTGACCCTTTTCAGAAGACTTACCCCTGATGTAGAATGAAGAATGTGGTCACCTTGTTGAATTCTGTCCTGGGGATCACACCCAGGACATTGTGTTTGACCTGGGGTCTCACATTAAGTGTGGAATGAGTTTAGAGAAGACTGACCAGGACCACGAAGAGACTCCCCAAAGATATCATGTAGGGACTGGTTGAGAAAACAGGAGCTGTCTAAACTATAAGAGAGAAAGATGCAGAGTGGAAATGATGGAAATGATAGAACTTCGAAGAGAATTACTCAGGGGAAGGCAGTAATGTACAGTGGTTAGTTCAGAGGGCACAGCTCTACATCAAAACCTGGGTGTTCAAGTTCAGACTTCTACTTCTTTTCTGTGCTTCAGTTTCTTCACCTCAAAAAGTGAAGCATTCCTGTTAGAGCTCATCAGATGACCAGATCCACAGTGAATTAAGATTCAGCATTTGCCTTAGAGGTGTTAGTGGGAAACAGTCATGAATACACTGAACTAGCCTGCAGTGTGGACATATTGCTGAGGGAGCACTCTGGGAAGCCTAAAAAACAAGTAGAATTCTGCCTTTAGCCCAAAGCATTCTGCAATCCCATGAAAAATGTAAAAGGTCGTCATATGGAAGAGGAATCAGACTGGTTCTTCATAACCCCAAGCAATAGATTCCAGGGTGGTTACAGATCTGAACACCTCAATCTCTTGCTTAAAACTCTCAGAGCCTTCCCTTGCTCTTCAGTTAAACATCAGCCTCTTGAACGGGACCTTCAGGCTTCTCCAGCCTCCCCTCACTTTCCTTGCCTTGCAAGCCCCTGTCCAACCTTGGATCTCAGCTCAGTCTCATGTCCTAGGGAAGCATTCTCCAACTTCGTTTAGCTCAGATTCCCTTCTTACAGTGCTTGTGGACCTGCATTCCTTTCCTCTGGAGCGTTGCCTCAGTGGTGCTCTGTTCCCACTAGGAGTCTGTCTGTTAGTCCCTGCCAGGAGAATCCAGTCGGTTGCATTTATAATTGTAGCATCAGCTCTTGACACTGTGCCTGGCCTGCGGGAGGAGCTTAATCTATGTTCGTAGAATAATGATCAAAGTTGATCAATAAAGAGAGAAACATTCCAAAAAAGGGAAAAAGGAAATGGACTCCCACAGGATGGAGCGAGTTGCCAGCCGAGAGGTATGTAAGCAGTGGTTGGATGACAGATGGTGGGAGATGGTAGCCAAATGGTTTATATTCAGATAGTGCTTTTTTGTTTAATTTTGTTCCAACCCTGTGCTATCACCACTTTTTGGCCATTGGAGTACCTTCTTGGGGTCATCAAGGCTAAGTGATTAGTCCTCTAGCTAGAAAATGACAGAATGAAGACAAGAGTCCTTTGCTCATTTTTGTCGAATGAGTTGTCTCTCCCAGGCTGAGGAGGCCTGTGTGGTTGGATAAAGCAGTGGCAGTGCTGGAGTTCTGTGACTCCACGGGGAAGGAATTACAACTTCCTCTTTAGTAGTAGCCTATCCCATCTATAGCTTTTGTGGTTTTATAGTTGGGTGGATTTTTAAAATGCAATGATTAGAAAATGAAACTTACCTTTAAAATGATGGGTTGCATTCAACATCTCTAGAAGATGTGCCCAGTCAAGAGATGTGCCCGACTCTCAGCTGTGATGTTACTAAAGAAAACACACACACAATCCTCTCAGTGTTTGGCCAGGAGCAGCTTCCTGTCATATTTATTGATACTTTCAGTTTAGTGGGCGCCTTGGGGGCAGTGTGCCCCATCCTGGGGGGATGGTGCTGATAGCATAAGTGGGTTGCATGACAGCCTACAGTTGAATGTCTTAGTGGTCATGACTTTCAAGATAAAATCCTCCCACTTGGTGGTTCTCTTTCTCAGTGATATTGATCTTGTAGTTGTTGGTTATTGTATTCTACTAAGTGGAAGACTGTCATTTCTTATTGAGCAGAATTAATAACTGAAATACAAAAGTTCAGATGGTCCTTTGAGTTTAAGGATTTATTAAGAGGGTGTTTTTTTTCTGAATATCTCCCCCGTAACTGGTAGAAAAACAACCAACTAATCTATGATTTTGCAAGAACCAACACAATTTAAACTTACTCTTTCACACTGCTGTGCTAACTTCTAGAAATCTCTTGAATCTCCATGTGCTCCAAATTATTTAGAAAACTTGATGGCCTAACAGGATTTGTTCTGTGTGTTTTTCCTTCTGTTTGTGTAGTGCTTAATTTATTTGTTTAGACTAATGTACAATATTTTGCTTTATTCTGGAGCTGAGTTTCTCAGAATTAAACAATCAGTTCCCACACTGAAGGCTCCCAGCTTTTCCCTGCAGTCACACTGAGGCCTAAGGAGAAACTAAAAGCCTATGAGAGAGGTGACCTACTGGGGAATGGAGGTGCTCACCCAACCAGCTGACAGGAGGACACTGTGTCCCCAGGCCAGGGGGTCCCTGTGGGCAGGGACCGTGTCTTGCACTTCACTGCCTCCCTGCCTGGCATCCAGCCCAGGGGGGAAGAAGTGTGAGGAATTGGTGAGGGGTCTGGGGAAGGGAGCGGGCAGCCCTTCCCAGCCCGTCCCTGTCTGCCTGTTCCATTGGCTTCAGTTTATTCCTCTGTACAGCACTTCCTGCCCTTGATTACAAATGACCTAAAAGCCATATTCACCTTTTCAAAGGGAGCAGGGTTCCATGGCACAGCTCAGAAAAGTGTGAAGTTTCCCCAGCACCTCAGGAGTCTCTGTGTCCTCTGCTTGCTCACCCACCCCCATCTTCCTACCTCTCTTGCCACAGAGTGTCCTTTCTCACCCCTCCCTTGAGTTCCTTCCTATTCCATCAGCCTCTCTTCACCACTCTCTCTTCCATCGTCTGCTAACTAACCATAATAGGACATTGAAGCAGATAGAAATACCTGTTGTGTTTATTAAATGTAGTACTTCTACCTTAAGTTCTTTTAGCCAGGTGATTTCACTGTATGTATATTTCTTCACTTTCTCTGCGACCTCAGACATCTAAATTAAATTGCCTTTATGTCCTCCCAGCTCAGAGTTGATGTCCCTGCTCCCTGGCCTGCTCAGTAGCCCTTGAAAGACCACCTCTGCTTCAGGAGAAAGTCAGTGGGCTAGATGCAGGTGACAGAGTCTGTGTGTAGAGAGAAAGTGTGGAGGTACTGATATTGTATATACCATGAATAAGATCAGGAGAGGAAGTAGACAAGGTTGAGGACTATGCAGCTGGCCCATGAGGAAGTAGAGATAGTACAGATTCTGGAAGTTTGAGGCAAACCAGACGCTGCTGAGTTTCCATGAGATAGAGAGACTGTGATGTCCAGGACAGTAGGAGCCTCAGGCTCCTGGGGTAGAACTGCTGTTTGCACGATCACTTGGTTTCCGGCTCTTCAGTGTCTTTTAGTTTTGTTTTCAGGGTTTTGGGGTATGTGTGTGTGTATTTGGTTTCCTGTTTTAATGTTTGAATTACTTCAGCTTTGGTATATTGTAGAGAATGGAAAAAAAAAAACACTAAGTAGAATTTTACCACCAAAAACGGTGCTTTTTTTTTTTTTTTTTTTTTTTTTTTGTGTAGTTCTGACCAACAGTCTCATCTGCCATATATCGTTTGAGTGATCACAGATCAGATTTTAGTTTCTGATATTCACTTTGTTGATTTCAGGAGGTCCTGGTATAATTCCTCTAGGACATGTTCACTGCTGAAGCATTACTTCTGCTTGTGTGGGTCGGGGTCCCAACATGCATTAATGCTGATGACTAGGGGGATGTATGAGACCTAGGTAATACACTTTGCAATATAACAGACATGCATTGTGCTGTATGTATGGTCTCATTTCAGCCACCACCCAAGTGGTTCAGCCCAAAAATATTGAAAAGAAATTTCATGTTTTTGTGTATCTTCACAGGCATTAAAGAGGATCAAATCCATAATTTCTGGCAACACTGCTCTTTTCCACTTCCCCTTGCAACTTCCTTGTGGACTTGTGAAACTTCACTGTGGACCTGAGGCTCCTACTGTCCTGGAAGTCCCCTTGTGGACTTTCTGGAGATTTTTTTTGCCAAAACTTGTCCCCTCCCAACACACTCCTTTTTGTTCTTTTTTTATGTAGAATGACTGAATTCGTGGAGGTGAAACCTTTTCTCCCTTCCTGTTTCTCTGAGTCCCAATCACCAAGCCTTCCACAGGCATCCCTCTCCAGGGATGAGGCGGGAAAGCTGGGCCAGGGACTGCAGAATTCTCCTTGGCAGGCTGGTGGAAGGGGGACCCCTATGAACCTTCTGATATCCACAATTTTATCTCAGTTGTATTTGGGGAAATGAGATTTGATGCTGGAGGTCATCAGAACTGTCATTATGACACTGTTTTGCAAGATGTCTCATTACGGTGTTTTCTTCTGTATCATTTTTTAGTTGTAATTCAGTTATTAGCCCAGGAAGGATAATTTTTTTTAAATTTTCCTTTTAAAGAGTCTTAATTTACTTGCTATAGCAATATTAATTTGAAGATTTCCTTGGTTCCCTAATTCAGAAGCAGGACAGCCAAGTGGTAAAGGAGGCAACTTCTGGCATCATGTTTTTGTTCATTTTCTGTTGTTATAACAGAATACCACAGACTGGGTGATTTATAAGGAAAACAAGTTTATTCCTGCAGTTCTGGGGACTGGGGAGTCCAAGAGCACAGCAGGCACCAGATCTGGTGAGGGCCTTCTTGCTGCATTGTAATGTGGTGGAGGGCGTCACGTGGTGAGAGGGTATTAGCATGCAGGTCAGCCACCAGTCCTGTCATGGGGGCCCCATGCTGATGGCCTTATCTAATCCTAATTATTTCCCAAAGGCCCCACCTCCAATCATCATATGAATTTTGTGATTAAGTTTCCAACACATAAAACTAACATGTAGGACACATTGGGGACACATTCATACCATAGTATATCACATTGCTCCTGTTTTTGAATTCTGGCTCTTCTACTTACTGGCCGAGTCCCATTGGGCAATTATTTAATGTTTTCCCCCTCAAAGTTTTCTCTGCAAAATAAGGGTTACTAGAGTAATAACAATAAAAACAATAATTCGTGTTTATTGGGTACTTATGGTGTGTGTCAGGTATGGTGCCAGGTGCTTTCCCAACATTTACTTTCAGTCTCACAGCAGCCCTGAGAGGTGGATCCTGCTGTGCCTCCTGTGTTGTGATGCAGTGATGATAGTAAGAGTGACCATGCACTGAGCACTCACTGTGCACCAGGCTCTACTATGTGCTGTCTTCATTCCTAGGTTCAGAAACTGAGGCTTAGGGAGGGGAAATCACTTGCCCCATATCACATGCTGCAGTATGCAGGGCCAGCATGGGGACCATGTTGTTAGACTCTAGAGACTTCTTACTGCCTGCTCCATGGCATGGTCATAGGAGTAAATGAATTAATTCCTGTAGAACACTTAACATAGGGGCTGGCACATAATAAAAGCTTAAACTGTAGCTATTGTAGCTATTGGTGAAGTCATACTCTTTCCTACTAAAACGCATTTCTCCTTTGATAGAGAAGGCTCACTCCTAATGTCATCAGTGAACAGCTCGTATAGATCCTATACATGGCTATACGGCCATGGCCTGCTTCCATGTGACTTCACAAGTCCAACAGAGTACCCTTCCATCCACCTCCAGATGGTTCTCTGGTACCCACACCAGCACCCCCATGAATAGGCTCCCTGGCCCTTCTTGGCTGCAGTTACTTGACAAAACAATGTGGACACATTGGGTAGAGGGAGACCAGGAGTACAGGCATGTGTTCTAGGTTTTTTTTTCTGACGGGTTGATCATATCACAATCTCTTGGATTGTAGGTGGGGTTGAGATTTGAGGGTAAGGGCATGTGGTAGGAAGAGTATATGTGAGTGGGGAGAGCCATGGTCTGTAGCGGGTCCCCATGGAGGCCTGGGAGCTACAAGAGAGGCCCTGTGCTCAAGAGAGATGGCCCAGCTTCAGGGTCTCACCTCAAATTCCACAGGGGCTAGTTGGTAACTGCCAACTAGTAGGTTCCTGGGTTGTAACTGCAGCAGGTTGGGTGGAGCCTGCGACAGACGAGAGCATGTGTCCGTGGAGGGGGCAGCAGCCATCCCCACTTCAGTGACTGCAAGCCCTTCACATCCACCCACAAGTGAGCACCACCCTGTGGGAAATAGGCAGATGCTTTCAAAAGGCCTTCAGAGAAGAAGAGATGTGAACAGCCAGTATGTACAGGAGAGCTTTCCTTGTAAATGGAGCCTAAAGTGAGAAATCACACCAGTACTGGGGTTTAGGGAAGTAGGTGCTCTCGTGTATGTGATGAGAGTCTGTGGTAGTGTCTGTCAAAACTGAAAATGTGCACACCCTGTGACCTAGAATTTTCTTTTCTTGAAATTATCCTATTAAAAATCTACCACAAGGACTGTTAGAAAAGCATATTTGCCACAGCATTGTTTGTAAAAGTGAGAAATGGGAAATGATCCAAGTGTTTATCAATAAGGCAGTGTTAGGCTGAGGCGGGAGGATGGCTTGAATCTAAGAGTTTGAGGTTGCAGTGAGCTGTGATCATGCCACTGTGCTCCATGCTCCAGCCTGGGCAACGGCACAAGACCCTGTCTCAAAAAAAGGCAATGCTTACATTTAGGACAGTTTATACTGAAATATTATGCATCATTAAAAAGAATAATGTAGATTTATGTGTGCTGATATGAAAAGATGTCCAACTTTTATAATGAGGAAAAAACTAAAATCATGTTATAGTCCATTTTTCTAAAAAACATTTGTACCTACAGTAAAAGAAAGTATGTATCACCTGTGTAAAATTCTAGTTCTTCCATGAATTTAAAGCTTCACTAAAAATATTTGCTTGTGTCAGAATTTTTAAAGTTGAAAAATCAAGCTAAATTAATAAAAATCTAAATTATAGATGTAAAAGGCAATATAGCATTACATTTTTAAGCTTTCATAAAAAGTTTTACTAAATGTCTAGGTAAGAATAAATATATAATGATTTGAATAGCTAATTAACTGTTCTAAACAGATAAGCACTTGTTTTTGAAAATATCCTTTTAAGTAATTGTAAATGTATCTTTAAAATTTGCTATTGTTGGCCAGGCGCCATGGCTCACGCCTGTAATCCCAGCACTTTGGGAGGCTGAGGTGGGCGGGTTGCCTGCGGTTGGGAGCTCGAGACCAGCCTGACCAGCATGGAGAAACCCCATCTCTACTAAAAGTAAAAAACTAGTCGGGCATGGTGGTGCATGCCTGTAATCCCAGCAACTGGGGAGGCTGAGACAGGAGAAGCACTTGAACCCGGGAGGCAGAGGTTATGGTGAGCCAAGATCACACCATTGCTACTCCATCCTGGGCAACAAGAACGAGATTTCATCTCAAAAAAAAAAAAAATTGCTAGTGTTTTTTTCTTTATTTGCTGGCAAATTATTTCTTTATAAGTGTAAATATCACATCAAATATCCAGATGATAAAAACTGTCAAAATTTTAGATTCTACATTGATGAGTCTTTTACTGGAGTTAATCACTGGAATTTTACTAAATTATGTACTGTGGAGGAAATTATTTTGCAATGAACCCCAGAGGTTTGGTCATTATTCAAAGTCCTCTTTCTCATTTGTACTTCAGCATTTTATGTGCTCAAACATAATAAGGAATCTACTGAACATAGCAAAATATTACAAGTGCACTGTTTGAACTCTCTAGTCCTGTTAGTTTTCTCTTTTGTCAAATCAGGAATCACAGTGTATATCATATGCAGCATCACTAAATAGATCTCATGACTCCTTTTAAGTGGTCTACTTTCTGGAAATGATATCTATGTGCCTGCTGTCTGAGTTACTTGCTCTGTGCTGCTAAAGTGATGCCATATGTTATGGCATGCAATGTTTCAAAAATATATAAATGGGCAGAAGTGGATATTGGAGACTGATATGGTTTGGCTCTGTCCCTACACAAATCTCATCTTGAATTATATAATCCCCAAGTGTCATGGGAGGGACCCAGTGGGAGGTAATTGAATCATGGGGGTGGTTACCCTCATGTTGTTCTCATGCTAGTGAGTTCTCACGAGATCTGATGGGTTTTATAAGGGGCTTTCCCCCCTTTTGCTTGACACTTCTCCTACCTGCTGCCATATGAAGAAGGATGTGTTTGCTTCCCCTTCTGCCATGATTGTAAGTTTCCTGAGACATCCTCAGCCATGCTGAACTGTGAGTCAATTAAACCTCTTTCCTTTATAAATTACCCAGTCTCGGGTATGTCTTTATTAGCAGCATGAGAATGGACGAACACAGAGGCGTCTCTGGAGGCATCGCTAGACGTCACCTGGTTTGACTGCCTGCAGTGTATTTGGGTCTGGATTGAATCCCTGTAATTGTGTATGGGATCCAATTCAGATATTCAGCAAGAACCAAGTGTGTGGCAGGCATTGTGCTAGTGCTTAAAAATTTTGTTCCACCTTTCCCTAGCCAAGTCAGTGTTTTCACACTCATTGTACAGTCAAGAAAATTCAGAAGAGGAGTTAGGTTGCCATAGTCACACATCAAATAGTAGAGGCAGGTTTTGAGTTCAAGTCTGAGAGATTCTGAAGCCCATACTCTTTATTCTTCTTAATTTTGTGGAACAAAGATGGTCTTGTATATGGTGCTGATTATGGGAGAACCATAAAGAAATTAAAAATTTCTTTAATTTTTGGATTGAATTTTTAAATACTTTAAAAATATTTATGTAAATCAGTGATAGATACTTTGCAGGTAAAATTATGCAATCTCTCTCTGCATTTTTTTTCTCTTAAAGCAAACTTGTGTAATTGTGATGTGCTTTTTTTTTTTTTTTTTTTGTAATTTTCATAGGAAGTGACCAAGTTCACTCCTGGATGCTAGCTACAAGCCAAGCCTTAGACACTGTCTGGAGAATGGCAAAAGGCTTTGTGATGTTGGCAGTTTCATTTCTGGTGGCTGCCATCTGCTACTTCCGGAGGCTACATTTATATTCAGGGCACAAGCTGAAATGGTAGGTCACTGTATCATCCTTAAATTTCAAATGTATCTTTACTATTCAAAGCAGAATTCTGATATTATTGTTCCCTTTTATCTTTCAGGTGGATTGGATATCTGCAGAGAAAATTCAAAAGTAAATATTTTCATTCATTTATTTCTTTATTTTTAAGGTGCAGAGAGGGTTCAAGAAGGGAGAAGAAAGGGAGAATTAACAGCTTTTTATTTTTTATTTGGTCCAGGGAACCTCAGTGTGGAGGCAGAGGTTGATTTACTCAGTTATTGTGCAAGAGAATGGAAAGGAGAGACACCCCGTAACAAGCTGATGAGGAAGGTGTGTCTGTTTTTAGAGGGTATGGGAGAAATAGAGTTTGTCTGTCAAAATCAGGAAACAAACATTCCCTTCTGCTTTACTAAATCCAGATATCCATCAGTACCAAAATGTGAGTCAAGTAACAACTGTGGCTCTAACTCAAAAGCCAAATGGCTGTTAGACCTTGGCTTTGGGCTTTTACCTGGAGCTCGTGCCCTCAAGGGCTCAGGTCGATGAGGTCTGTAATTCCAGGAAACTCAGGCATTGTGCCTTTTCAGCACCCTCCTGGCCAGGCCTATTAAACATCCGCATGTGCAGTGGAGACTGTCTTTGAAAAGATCAGGCACCCTGATGTAAAATATTTTGAGGATTTTTAGAATTTTTATTGGACCAATCTTGGTAAATATCCCCAGCAGTGCTGCCCAATCTTGCCACTAGCAAAAGCAAAAAAGGGTGGAGGGAGTACATATAAAGTACTTAGCATGGTCCTAAAAGTATACAGAGTTTTTCACTGTGGTTAGGTCGCATCCCTTATCTGCCCAAGGTGACCTTCCCTGGCTCTGCTTCCAGGATTTATCATCTAAAATACACTTGTACAAATGAGAGTCACTTTAAAATTACATGCGGTCATATTCGTAATTTATCATTGTTTCTGTTGTCCACTTTAGTTGGGAGGAACACCTCACTGAAAATACAGTGAATTCACTTTATTTTCTTGTCCAGTGGAATTAATAAACAACTTTCTCTTTTTATTTTATTAGGCTTATGAGGAGCTATTTTGGCGGCATCACATTAAATGTGTTCGACAAGTAAGGAGAGATAACTATGATGCTCTCAGATCAGTGTTATTTCAGATATTCAGCCAGGGCATCTCTTTTCCATCATGGATGAAAGAAAAGGACATTGTTAAGGTATGTCTTCCCCCTGGAAATGTGGGAAATGTCATGTTGACAATAACTGCAACTCAGACTCCTAGTCTTTGGGGGCTTTGTACTCAGATGACCATGAGATTGAAGAGATTTTTTTGTTTTTTTGAGACAAGATCTCACTGTCACCCAGGATTGAGTGTAGTGGGGTGATCATGGCTCAATGCAGCCTTGACCTTCTGGGCTCAAGTGATTCTCCTATCTCAGCCTCCTGAGTAGCTGGGACCACAGGTGCATGCCACCACGCCCATGTAATTTCTGTATTTTTTTGTAGAGACAGGGTTTTCCGTGTTGCCCAGGCTGGTCTTGAACTTCTGGGCTCAAGCAGTCTGTCCACTTCCTCCTCCTAGAGTGCTTGGATTATAGGTGTGAGCCATCATGTCTGGCCAGAGGAATTTTAAGAGGCCATTTAATCCAGTCCTCTGTCTCTCATGTCAGTTGCAAATAAACCATCTCAGAAGATAGTCATTATCTGTGTTTGTTTTTAATGCCACCATCTTTTCTTGAGGGGCATCTGTTCTTTTATAAGTAAGGTGATCAAGCAAAATTCACTTTTTTACTCTATAGTTAATGAGAGTTTTAATAAATGCATAGTTTGTGACCACCCCAAAGATTCTCTTGTATACTTTGGTAGTCCATCCTCCTCCTACCCCAGCCCCTGAAAACCACTGATCTATTTTCTGTCCCTATAGTTTTGCTTTTTCCAGAATGTCATATAAATGGAATCATTCAGTATGTAGCTTTTTGAATCTGGTTTCTTTCACTTAGCACAATGCATGTTCAATTGAATGTGTCTGTGAATTTGTATTTCATCCTTTTTTATTGTTGAGTGGTATTCCTTTACATGAATGTACTACAGTTTGTTTATCCATTCACCAGTTGAAGGACATCTGGATTGTTTTTAGTTTGGGGCAACTATAAATAAAGTGGTTATAAATAGTCTCATACAGGATGTTGTATGAACAATAGGTTTCATATTGAGGGGATAAGTAGCTAGGAGTGAGACTGCCTGCTTGTATGCTAGGTGCATGTTTAACTTCATAAGAAACTGCCAAGCTGCGTTCCAAAGTGGCCCAGCCATTTTGTATTCCCACCAACAATGTATAAGCAATGTTTCAGTTGTTTCACATTCTCACCAGCACTTGATATTGTCAGGTTTTTGTTTTTAGCCATTCTAATAGTTGTGAATTGGTATCATTGTGCTTTTAGTGTGCATTCCCCAATGAGTAATGATGTTGAGCATTTTTCATGTGCTTATTTGTCATCCCTGTTATCTTCTTGGAGAAATGGCTATTCAAATCTTTTGCTCATTTTTTATGTTTTTTTTTAAATTATTGAGTCTTGAGAGTTCTTTATTCTGAATACAGTGCTTTGTCAGATATATGATTTACATATATTTTCTCCAGTCTGTGGCTTCTGATTTTCTTAACAATGTAAGGCAGTGCATTCTTGATAAGTAACCTGAGTTTTTATTTTAAATGCAGTATGTCTAATATAGGAACTACATTTAAGGATAGAGGTGCAAAGAAATATAAAATATGTGTGTGTGTGCGCACGTGTGTGTGTGTTCAATTTTCTTAATATCTTTTATTTAAACTTGTTTCTATTAGTTCCATTTCATCTAGCAAATGCTTGTCAAATATATGCAATGTGCTAGCCCAGTTGCTAATTGCTGAGGACAAAGATATAAAAATACAACAGAGGCCAGGAGCCGTGGCTTATGCCTGTAATCCCAGCACTTTGGGAGGCCAAGTTGGGAGTATCTCTGGAGGCCAGTAGTTTAAGACCAACCTGGGCAACAGAGCAAGACTCCATCTTGCCAAAAAATAAAAAAATGTAGCCAGACATGGTGGTCATGCCTATGGTCATAGTTACTTTTGGGAGACTATGATGGGAGGATTGCTTGACCCTAGGAGTTTAAGGTTACACTGAGCTATGATTGCACCACTGTACTCCAGCCTGGGTGATAGAGTGTGTATTAGTCTGTTTTCATGCTGCTGATAAAGACAATCAAGATGATATTTGGGTGGGGACACGGCCAAACCATATTATTCCACCCCTGGCCCCTCCCAAATCTCACATCTTCACATTTCAAAACCAATCATGCCTTCCCAGCAGTCCCCCAAAGTCTTAAATCATTTCAGCATTAACTCAAAAGTTCACAGTACAAAGTCTCATCCAAAACAAGGCAAGTCCCTTCTTAAGGTATGTCTTCCCCCTGGAAATGTGGGAAATGTCATGTTGACAATAACTGCAACTGTAATCAAAAGCAGTTTAGTTACTACCTAGATGCAGTGGGGATACTGGGTAAATACAGCCATTCCAAATGGGAGAAATTGGCCTAAACAAAGGGACTACAGGCCATGCAAGTCCAAAATCCAGCAGGGCAGTCAAATCTTAAAGCTCCAAAATGATCTCCTTCGATTCTGTCTCATATCCAGGTCACACTGATGCAAGAGGTGGGTTCCCATGGTCTTGGGCAGCTCCGCCCCTGTGGCTTTGCAGGGTACAGCCTCCCTCCTGGCTGCTTTCACAGGCTAGTGTCAAGTGCCTGTGGCTTTCCCAGGTGCATGGTGCAAGGTGTTGGTGGTTCTACCATTCTGGGGTCTGGGGAACGGTGGCCCTCTTCTCACAGCTCCACTAGGCAGCACCCCAGTGGGGATGGGGTCTCAGTGTGGGGGCTCCCACCCCACATTTCCCTTTCACGCTGCCCTAGCAGAGGTTCTCCATGAGTGCCCTTCCCCTGCAGCAAACTTCTGCCTGGACATCAAGGCATTTCTGTATATCCTCTGAAACCTGGGTGGAGGTTCCCAACCCTCAGTTCTTGACTTCTGTGTACCCACAGGCCCAACACCACGTGGAAGCTGTTAAGGCTTGGGGCTTGCACCCTCTGAAGGCATGGCCCTAGCTATACCTTGCTTGGCCCCTTTTAGTCATGGCTGGAGTGGCCGAGATGCAGAGCACCAAGTCCCCAGACTGTACACAGCAGAGGGACCCTGGACCTGGCCCATGGAACTGCTTTTTGCTCCTAGGTGTCTGGGCCTGTAATGGGGCGGGTGGGGGGGCGTGGTGCGGGTGCTGCTGTAAAGGTTTCTGACGTGTCCTGGAGACATTTTCCTCATTGTCTTGGTGATTAACATTTGGCTTCTCATTAGTTACGCAAATATCTGCAGCCAGCTTGTATTTCTCCTCAGAAAATGAGATTTTCTTTCCTATAGCATTGTGAGGCTGCACATTTTCTGAACTTTTACGCTCTCTCTTTCAAAACTGAATGCCTTTAACAGCATCCAAGTCACTTCTGAATGCTTTGCTGCTTAGAAATTTCTTTCACCAGATACTCTAAATCATCTCTCTCAAGTTCAGAGTTCCGTAAATCTCTAGGGCAGGGGCAAAATGCCACCAGTCTCTTCGTTAAAACATAACAAGAGTCATCTTTGCTCCAGTTTCCAAGTTCCTCATCTCCACCTGAGACTACCTCAGCCTGGATTTCATTATCCATATCATTATCAGCATTTTGGTCAAAGCCATTCAACAAGTCTCTAGGGTCTTCCAAACTTTTCCACGTTTTCCTGTCCTCTTCTGAGCACTCCAAATTGTTCCAACCTCTGCTTGTTACCCAATTCCAAAGTCGCTTTCATGTTTTCGGGTATCTTTTCAGCAGCACCCCAGTCCTGGTACCAGTTTACTGTATTAGTCTGTTTTCACACTGCTGATAAAGACATAACTGAGACTGAGCAATTTACAAAAGAAAGAGGTTTAACTGGACTTAGAGACAGTTCCATGTGGCTGGGGAAGCCTCACAATCATGGCGGAAGTCAGAGGAGCAAGTCACATTTTATGTGGTTGGTGGCAGGCAAAAAGAGAGAGCCTGTGCATGGGAACGCTTCTTTTTAAAACCATCAGATCTTGTGAGACTTATTGACTATCATGAGACCAGCACAGGAAAAAGACTTGCCCCCACGATTCAGTCACCTCCCACCAGGTCCCTCCCACAACACATGGGAATTCAAGATGAGATTTGGGTGGGGACACAGTCAAACCATATTAAGTGAGACCTTGTCTTTAAAAAAGAAAACAAAACAAAACAACCACAACAGAGATTCCCAGGCTCAGCAAACTGAGTAGGATGGGAAAATGTATTGGATACCTATGATGGATTAGACTCTTACATACACCATAATCTTATTTAATCCTAACAAGAGTCCTATAAAATGCACAGTATTATTGGTATGTTACAATGGAGGATGAGGCTAAGAAGTTAAGTAATCCATGCCGGTTAAGTAATCTCTCAGCTGGTGAGTGACAGCCAGGTGTGAGCCACAGAGTGCATCATTCTAAAATCCACCTGTTCCCTGATGTAATATACTGCCCTAACATCATTTGGTTAAAAATAATTTCTAAAGGGCTACATATAGTAAGTTTGGTAACTATTTTAACAAAAAAGATTGTTTCTATGGACACAATTCTATGTTTTCATCACTTGTGAAATTGTAAGAATATGATGTAAAAATAACCTGAGGCACAAATCTAAAAGAAGGCAATATACTTAACTGTTGCTATAGTCTTTTAAAATAAAGATTGCTAAATGAGGTAAGTTTGGGCCGGGTGCTGTGGCTCACACCTGTAATTCCAGCACTTTGGGAGGCCAAGGCGGGCAGATTGCTTGAGGTCAGGAGTTCGAGACCAGCCTGACCAACATGGTGCAACCCCGTCTCTACTAAAAATACAAAAAATTAGCTGGGCGTGGTGGCTCATGCCTGTAGTCCTAGCTACTCAGGAGGCTGAGGCAGCAGAAACGCTTGGACCTGGGAGGTGGAGGTTGCAGTAAGCCGAGATCACGCCACTGCACTCCAGCCTGGGCAACAGAGTGAGATTCCATCTCGAAAAAAAAAAAGATAAGGTTGTGTGCTGTGCTATACAGCAAATTGTGTGTAATAAACGTTCATATGCTAATCATAGTTGGCATCTACTTCCTTTTCAAGCTTCCTGAAAAACTGCTGTTTTCACAAGGTTGTAATTGGATTCAGCAGTACAGTTTTGGTCCTGAGAAGTATACAGGCTCGAATGTGTTTGGAAAACTACGGAAATATGTGGAATTATTGAAAACACAGGTAAGTGTTTGCGGGGGAAATAAAAAGACTAGGAATAAAAGCACATATCCCAGATAGAGCCAGTTTTCTCTGATGTCAGGGACATTGCTTCATGTTAGGAAAGTAAGAAGTGCAAGCAGAAATGCTTCTAGTAACTGATGATTTCCCTCCTTATTCTTCCTTCTCCTTCAAGAAGTGAATGAGAGCAACATTGTTCTACACGATAATTAGGCCCTATAGGGTCGGGGGCTTCTATGGGCCGGCCTTTAAACCTTACCAATCATGTACCTTTGTTTCCCCAGAAAAATGTGGTGCAAGTCCAGGCAAGGTGCTCAGAAATGCTCTCCTGGAATGCACCCCATTCATAACTTGGTAATGGCACAGATGTAATAATTTGACTAAGACTTCTTCCTGTCTTTCAATAATGACACAGATTTTGGATGATTGAAATGAATCCTGAGCCTACCACTAGCTTGGTTACCTTGGGAAATAACCTTTCTGGTCCATAGTTTTCTTATGTATTAAAGAGAAACATCAATAGTGTATATCCTGTACCATTATTGTGAGGATTCAATGACGTAATACACAGAGAGCTTTAAACTGTGCAGAATACACAGTGAATGTTAAAGCACACTAGCACTATTCTGTGGAATATCCTTTGTGTAACCCATCCATCCTAAGCAGTTTTGGAAAACTGACTTGCTTTGTATTTAACTAGTAGGTGATACTTTTTGAAAAAAATATTTTATCTAAACTAATTTCTTATTGTAAACATTTTATGGTCAGCTTAGGCTTCTATAACAAAATACCATAAATTGGGTGGCTTAACCCATAAAGATTGATTTTTCACAGTTCTGGAGATTGGAAGTCAGAGATCAGGGTGCCAGCACAGTGGGGTTTTTGGTGAGAGCCCTCTTCCTGTTTTATAGACAGCTGTCTTCTTGGTGTGTCTTCACATAGTGGAAGGAGAACTAGCTAGCTCTTTGGCCTCTTCTTATAAGAGTAGCAGGTCCATTCATGAGGGCTCCACCGTCAGGACCTAATCACGTCCCAAAGGACACACCCTCTAATACCATCACCCTGGGATTAGGGTTTCAACATAGGAAGTTGAGGGAGACATGTTCAGTCCACTGCAGTATACTTTTATGGTTAAAAAAAATCAAACAGTGCCGAAAGATAGAAAGTGAAGAGTTAAAGTTCCACTTTTTTCTATTAATCTTTGGTTTATTTTATAAATACATTAAAAGTTATGGAATGGTATATGTCTTCACCTTTATCCTTCTGAATTTCACTTTTACATCTGTTTTTAGTGGACTGAATTTAATGGCATTAGAGATTATCACAAGAGAGGAAGTATGTGCAACACCCTTTTTTCAGATGCCATTCTGGAATATAAACTTTATGAAGCTTTAAAGTTCATCATGCTGTATCAAGTCACTGAAGTTTATGAACAAATGAAGACTAAAAAGGTCATTCCCAGTCTTTTTAGACTCCTGTTTTCCAGGGAGACATCCTCTGATCCTTTGAGCTTCATGATGAATCACCTGAATTCTGTAGGCGACACATGTGGACTAGAGCAGGTAACCGGGGAGGAAGAACTGCTTGTATTTGATTAAGGATGCTGTGGCACTATTTGAACACAGAGGTGTCTGGGGTGACTTTTCAGTGGTGACATAAGCGATTGCACAGAGGTGGTTGATTGATATTATCGCCCCTCAAATGAGGAAAAGAAGACTAATAAATGCATTATTCTGTGCTGGCTGCTTTGTGTCTCCTCAGACCTCTAGCCAGAGAGCACCAATTCTCGGGGCCTTTCTGACCTCTCACGCTGCTTCCCAGATGCCAACAGGTTCTCTCACATAGACGTTCACCAGGAAAAAGTCCAGGTGGAAAATGAGATAATTTTGGGAAAGCGTTTGGTTACCTATTGCAGATAAATAGAAATTAATTGAAACTTTCTAAAGCCAGAAAATGAAAATGCTTTTATCCCTCTAGAAAAGAGTTTCTTTTTTGTTTTGCTTTCCTAGAGGGCGAACAAAATTATCTGACATTTTTAAACAAATGGATATAAAATGATATAAAACTGATTGAATGATATAAAACTGATTGGAAAATAATGTAGTTTTTATCATGAGTGTTCTTTTATTTTTTCACTAATTTTTTTCAAGTAGCTTTTTCCTGTGATTTTTTTTTTTTTTTTTTTTTTTTTTTGAGACGGAGTCTCGTTCTGTCGCCCAGGCGGGAGTGCTGTGGCGCGATCTCCGCTCACTGCAAGCTCCGCCTTCCGGGTTCACGCCATTCTCCTGCCTCAGCCTCCCGAGTAGCTGGGACTACAGGCGCCCGCCACTGCGCCCGGCTAATTTTTTGTATTTTTAGTAGAGACGGGGTTTCACCGTGTTTTCGATCTCCTGACCTCGTGATCCGCCCGCCTCGGCCTCCCAAAGTGCTGGGATTACAGGCGTGAGCCACCGCGCCTGGCCGTGATTTTTACATGCTAGTCTACAGAGTTGTTCCTATGCTCGTCCCCTTCCTTCCACACAATGAGCATTTGTTCTGAACTCTGTGCCCACTCAGTGGTGTATGGGTGGGTCTGTCAACAAGCAGATTATTTCATAAACTGCAGAGGAACACTTCCCCCCACCGTGGCGGGAGGCAGGAATTTGCAAGTGTGTATCTGTGACCTGTCTTTCATCTCATCCACAGATTGATATGTTTATACTTGGATACTCCCTTGAAGTAAAGATAAAAGTGTTCAGACTGTTCAAGTTTAACTCCAGAGACTTTGAAGTCTGCTACCCAGAGGAGCCTCTCAGGGACTGGCCGGAGATCTCCCTGCTGACCGAGAACGACCGCCACTACCACATTCCAGTCTTTTAAGTCCGCTGGGGGCCGAACAGCAGTGCTCACCAGTGACGGTGGTCACAGTTGCAATAAAGTCTCTCTCTGAAACCAAAGCTAGCATTTCAGCATGGAAGGAATTAGGACCTTTTCTTCAGGATTACAGGTACACTGGATGCAGCCATGCATGGATGGTTTTTCTTTATTTTTCAGTGATTTCCTCTGAAGCAGCTGCACTGATACATTTGGGAGTTGGTGGCTTGACTTTGTCCATAAGGGGCGTGGCCACTTCACATGATGGCGGGCCTTTAAGAGCACAAAGAAGTTTAATATGGACAACAACAGGAAAAAGCAAGAAGAAAACAAGTAGGGAAAAACAGCTAACCTGGAGAGAAAGAATTTCTTTAACCTTTATGTTCTTCATTAAAAATCTTATCTTGGACTGATTTGAGGGATTTTTAGAAACATGGCCTTATTTTATATAAGCATTACCTTCCCAGGAATCTTTGTTGTATATTAATTTTTGATAACCATTTGATTAACTTTAAAATTAAGTATATGTGTGTATATATACATATGTATGTTTATATACACACATGTATCTGTATAGTTTTATATATACATATATACACATAGACATACAGAGAACCACTACTTTGTAATAGTGTACAGTTTGTTTTATATCTCTTTACTTTTTTTGTTACTATTTTATCTGGCCAGCTTAATAGTTTTATTTAGATTTTTTAAAATTCTGTAGATTAAAGCAAATGACAGTTATTGAACTATCACAAAACTATTAAACTGTGGTACATTTAATGTGTATTTAATGTGTGGAATCTCATTATGGTAGGCAGAATAATGCCCTATGCTCCCCAAAGATGTCTGTGTCTGAATCCTCAGAGCCGTAAAGGGCTAAATGGGTTAAATGGGAAAGGAGAATTAAGGTTGCAGGTGGAACTGAGATGCTAATCCAATGATGCTGAAATAGGGAGATTTTTCTAGATTCTCCAGGTGGACGCAGTGTAATCAGAATGGTTCTTAAAAGTGGAAGAGGGAATTGGAAGAGTGTCAGAGTCAGAGGGGAATGTGAAATATGGAAGAACGGTTAGAGAGAGATGCACCATTGCTGGCTTTGAAGATGGAGGAAGGGGCCATAAGCCAGGGAGTTGCAGGCAGCCTGTAGAATTGAGACTGGAAAGGAAACAGAAACTTCCCCATAGCCTCCAGAAGGAACGCAGCCCTGCCAACACCTTGATTTTAGCCCAGTGAAGCCTGTGTTGGACCTCTAATCTGCAGAACTGTAAGATAATAGATTTGTGTTTAAGCCACTAAGTTTGTGGTAATGTGTTGTAGCAACAGAAAACTAGTATTCTCAGGCTAGTTTTTGGTCGTCTTTATTTTGGAAATACTTTTCTAGTTTAATTTGATAGTTTTTTTTTTGGAGGTACTTTGCTAGTCTGTTTTGAGTTTCAGTACATAAGAATAATTTTTAAAATCTTGCTAATTATATATTACTTCAAAGTCACAAATCCCTTTCTAAGAATGACTTACTTCACGAGATATTTAGCACTATCATTTTCCCAGATGTTCATATTATTTCTGCAATAAATTAAAAGGGAGTGTGTCAAATGCTGTCATGTCTGAAATTAGCATTCATATTCTTTTGCAATGGGGATGATCAGTCGTGTGTACTACATGAACCATGTCTGATGGTAGCTTGTTCCCACTGTCATTTTGTTTTCTGGTTGAAGATTAATGAGCTCAGCCACAGAAACAAGAGTTCTTCATTGACCTCTACAGTCCCTGCCTGTTTGGAAACATCTATGGTTTTGTATAACCCCTGTCATTTAACTGACAGTGTTAGAAGATATCCCCCTGATGTGTTACTGTAACCAAGAAAGCATGAACGTTACCCTTTCTGGTGACAGCCTGCCATGGGCTGCTGTGGCTGATACTTATAGAATTGTTGCTCCAAAATTTTGGCTCCACTTGAGCTGTCCAGAAGTGTACCTGACATTTGTGTATTACCACTCACCTTGGATCTCCTTACTAGTGTAATTATTTCCACATCAATCCAGGACTGAAAGGAAAAATTTTTTCACCAGGATTGGCAGCCTGTAGCTCTGTGACCTCAGTCAACCCATCATGTTGTGTTGTGGGCGGGGGGCAAGAATTCTTTAGAGAACCAAGTTGCGAGAAAGATTTCAATCCAGTGAAAGTAAAAAGTAAGAAGACATTTAGATAGTTGCTATATTTTGGGAAGATGTCAAAACAGGTTTTTAGGGAGGAGGTATGAGGTGTTGTGTTGTTTTGTTTGTTTTTATTCAGTTGTATAATGAATATAACAAATTAAGTAGCCAGAAGGAGCTGCATGTAAATTAGCACCACTTTTAAATGTCAACAATAAATTTGAGGTGAGCTTCCTGGGTGATGCCAACATTTAAATGTCTTTCTAACCGTATATGTTTTAAATGGTGAGAGAACTATAGCAAAAATGGAAACATAATGCCCTCGTCGTTTTTTGATTTTAGGATAAGTTTCTCTCTCAAATTTTGGCCTTACGTGTCCATACTGAGGGGTTGTATGCATATTAGTACAAGGCTGACTTTTACTGTGGTAAAATACACATAACATATAGTTTATATTTTAACAATTTTTTTTTTTGAGACGGAGTTTCACTCTTTTTGCTCAGGCTGCAGTGCAGTGGCACAATCTCGGCTCACTGCAACCTCTACCTCCCAGGTTCAAGCGATTCTCCTGCCTCAGCCTCCCGAGTAGCCGGGATTACAGGTGCCCACCACTACGCTCGACTAATTTTTTGTGTTTTTAGTAGAAACGGGGTTTCACCATTTAGCCAGGCTGATCTGAACTCCTGACCTTGGGCGATCCGCCTACCTCGGCATCCCAAAGTGCTGGGATTACGGGTGTGAGCCACTGCGCCCGGCCCTAACAATTTTTAAGTGACAGTGACATTAAGCATATTCACATTGTTGTGCAACCCTCACCACCATCCACCCTCAGAACTTTTTAAAATCTCCAAGACTGACTTTTTTTCAAAGCAGGCAACTTTAATTCCCTACCTGGTATCTGGATTCCTTTTCCTTTTCATGCTATCTTTTCATCATACCTCTTCTAATCTGAGTATTTCCTCTGGGCTTAAAAGAGCCTCAGTGGAGAAGTACAACCTAAGAGGGAGTTAGGTACAACCTAGGAGGGAGTCAGGAGGAGAGAGTTAGGTTAGTTAGTACAACCTAAGAGGGAGTTAAATGGATCAGGAAAATCGTGTTTTATCTCCAAAGTAAAATGATAACTATGGGTGGCTTCTGGGCTCAATTTAGAATATTATCATTGAAAAGTCCCCAAGAAACTATTAATTCAGAGCCACCCTGGTGAGTTGAATTTCTTGAATGTCTTCATGGTCTTGAACCAAAGTCATTTCCACCCAAGGGAGAGTCAGGTGAAAGTCCCCAGGGCCCTCTCTAGGGGACCGGAGACCTCCAGACTAAGCTGGTGGAGGATGGGCTCAACCTCCATGAGAGAAGAGCAGCCAGGATCAGGGGGCATTAACGTTAATTTTCCCAGGACTTTTCTGCAAATGGGTATTGGATGGAAATATTTGTTCTCAGTCAGATGAGTTTCTCCTATTTTAGTGAGACCAAAGAAAGACAATTTTAATTGTGTCCAAGCTGACTTTTTTGAATGCTCTGGAAATGTTGGAATTCCACATCAAAGTACGTAACTGTTTTAAACTGATAACTAACCCAATATGTGAAAATATATGCAAGCATGAATAAAGGGTTGACTAATTCCAGAATTAGCAATAATTTTCTCTTAAATAGCAAATTTCTAAAGCTGTATGATTCTCTTTGCAAGAATGTTTTTCACACTGCTTAATAAGACCAGTTAATGTGTAAAACAGAAAAAAGTATATATATATCATATGTCTTTTCATGCATCTGAAACTTTAACTGTCTATAGGGTTGCTTGTCATAGTTGAACATTATTTAATTAACTTATTGACTATATATGGGTATACTTTTCTCTATAGCCATTCACTTTTTTAAAGTTTTAATTATTTAATTGACAAATTAGCTATTCATTTTCCTTCAAATCCTGTTTTTATCACAATGTCCATTTTACAGCTAGACACAAAATTTAGTGGGTCCAAATTGTTCAATCACTTCTATGTTATTTGTTCAGAATAGTGGATCTTTGCTTAATTCACTTCTGTTTTAATCCCATCATATTCCTTTAGGCCAAGAAAAGGAAAGCTGATTTGGATTATATTTATGCTTAATATCAACATGGTTTATAAGTGGACAGAAAAACACTCACTCACGTATTCAGCCACGTATGGTCTGGAGTGCTCTGTAGAACAGCCCGAAGTGTACACCATGTCTCTGCACTTGAAGCTCATGGAATGTGTTGGAGGAGACTCAAGCTCCATGTGGGAACAGTGTGGCCCAAGAGCCAGCATGGAGGAGGGCTGTGTGAGCAGACTGCTATAGAATGCTAAAGTTATAATCCTAGCTGGTGTCTCGTTCTGTTTAAAAAAATCAAATTTCTGTATGTAATTGACGTATTGGTCCTTATAGTCAGTACCATCAGGTCTTAGATTGTTAAGTCATTTTGCTGCCACCAGACCAGTGAGAGTCACTCACTTATTTGTAATGATTCTTGGGAAGTTTAGTCAAGAGAATATCCTTGAATAAAGAAGTACATGTTTTAAGTATTTTCATCGTAGTCTAGATGGGCTGTAAAACCCATTTCCACACGAGTATAAATTTAAAACAGAAACATCAAGGTGTCAGCAATCATGATTTTGTTTTGCTTGTTCACAAGTTTGAAAAGGTGCATGAGGCACCAATCAGTGACACTGGAATGCTTTAAGGATGGTTTGTGACTTTACCCCATTGTGCCTTATCATTTGTCAGCAAACTTACTGGGCCAAACACAAATGGCTGAGACACTCCTGGCCCATTTCTTGTCATCGCTGCCATCCCCAAAGACAGACTCTGGGAAACAACTTGGGAACTGCTTCAAGTCCATGCCAGGTCATGGCTTCGTCCGCCTCCCAGCATGTACCTGGACTTCCTTTGGGTGCCGGCTTTTCTGCTGGACTAAGATTCATGGAAAGAACCCCAGGGCAAGGTGAGGAGAAGCAGCTGGTACAGACTGATGACGAAGGAGAGGACCAGAAAAGCTGCTTGGGTGTGGTGGAAGTTTCAGTGTAATGTGATTCCTAGTAGGCACATCTGTGACTCCCTTAAATAAAAAGGGCCAGAGATGAGGGGACGCCTGGTGAAAATGGTGTTTGTTGTAACATCTTGGTATCATTGTGGGTAAGTAGAACAAATATTTACATCTGTTATGAAAAGCTACCTTTAGCCGTAGATAAACATTAAAAGGAAGACTCAGCCCCAGAGTATATTTGATCTATTGGTTAACTCATCTGTCAGCAAATGGTTAAGTAAGTAAAATTAATTTTTCCATTTGGTGTGTATTTCACAGGGTAACAATGAAGTGCTCCAATCTGCTTGTGAGACCAGTTAGATTAGTAGTTGCAGTTGAGACCATTCCTCCTGTATGTCTTTACAAGCAAATTGAAACGACATGCTCTTCTTTGTACTATACAGAAGGACACACCACAGATCCTCTTTTTAAAGCAGGTAATAAAGTAGCTTTTTCCTTTTGAAACATCATTGTAAAACAGTGCTTTTTAAACTATCCATGGTAAAGGATGAGTTTTAAAAATTCTAATCCTTTGCAGGTTGGTAGTTTTATAAATACGATAAAAATATAGCACCAAGATTAGATTGTTATAAAAGTTTCTAAACACTTTCAGTTTCTGTACTTAATCTTGCAGTGTGGTAATAAAGACTTCTACACTTTAGTAGCACTAAAATACGAGTTTCAGGCAAGATTCAACAGATTCTGTTATTTGGTGGCTGAGATTTTGCCTAGAGCAGGAGGGCAGTGATTTTGGGTTTTCGCTATTATTGTTGGAACTAGGGCCACCATATGGGCTTCTGCACACGCATCTTGCTTAGTGGTCCTCGACTGAGGAGAGGTGAATGAAGCTGAGATCTTCTCTCCAAGCCATGGAGGGCTTGAGGTATCAACTGCCCCAAGGGAAGGATTGTCTTTTTCTACCAATAAGGCTCAGCCTACTGGCCAAGCCCTGCGCCAGTGGGGATGCCTTTTCCTGATTTTCATAAAGGGCTGTATTGGCAGGAGGTCCCTGGATCAGCCAGATAGTCCCACTGCCGAGGTGCACATTGCAGGAAGAGGATACTGTTTTGAGAAGACATTCATGGATTACTCCAGTCCCTCAGAAAAAATCGGCAAGAACCTACCTGAGTTCACATTTCTTTGTGCTTCAGAAAAAGCATCACATTTTATTTCTTTACTGGATTTCAAGTTCCTTGTGGGAACGGATGTGGGTATCATATCATTATGACCAGAACATTGCTCGTATAAATGTCAGAGGAATTCCAAATTGCAAGTTGATGATGAGAGCCAAGCTCAGCTGTTATTTCTCAAAGAGGCAAAGAATCTAACTGTGATTATGTTCCCTGGAAATTTCTTTTTATTGATCCAGGAATTTTTAGATGTAGTCAGGGGACAGAAGCATATGCTGACATATTCATCAAGTCAGGGTGGCCTATAGAATGGACACGAGTCAAACCAAGTTTTGCTAACAATGTATCCCTAGTGAGGTTGAAATTAACCAGGGCCATCAAGTTCACCTAGAAACAGGTTGTTGGACTGATATGCCTGTGAAAGAATGTTATTTAGTGGGATCACAGATCCTAAGAATGGAGAACCTTGAGATGTCCTGGGGCCTGGGTGTGGTGGCTCACACTTGTAATCCCAGCACACTGGGAGGCCGAGGCGGGCAGATCACTTGAGGTGAGGTGTTTGAAACCAGCCTGGCCAACATGGTGAAACCTCATCTCTACTAAAAATACAGAAAATTAGCCGGGCATGGTGGCAGGTGCTTGTAATCACAGCTACTTGGGAGGCTGAGGCAGAAGAATTGCTTGACCCCAGAGGCGAAGGTTGCAGTGAGCTGCGATTACGCCACTGCACTCCAGCCTGCCAACAGAGTGAGACTCCGTCTCAATTGAAGAAAAAAAAAAAAAAAAAAAAAGATGTCCTGGGAATGCACACACCGTGTTCCACTGCCTGTGGAAGAGGCCTCACCCTGACCTGCCAGCTGCCCTTTCTGGGCTCAGTGGAGCCTCCATGCAGATTCCAGGTTGGAGGCGCAATGTACAGTTGAGCTGGTGTGGCAAATAGGAAGCAAGAGCAGAGACATGGGTGGCCTGGATTAGCAGAGCCATGGCAGGGACACTCAAGTCCATTCAAATAATTATCATATTGGAAACACAGGCACGCGGCCAACATGCACAACTGAAACCAGAAAAAATTGAGGGCCTAGGGGCATACCACTAACAGAGAGGAAACTTTCTTTTGATGCCAAGTGGGATTGGAGGGAGTTCTTAAACAGCAGGAGGCATTGGATGGTCTCTTCTCCACCAAACTCTGTATTAACCTGGACATATCCAGGTTGTTGGTTTCCTAACAGTTTTGACACTCTCTAAAAGACAAACAGCTTGCTTGGCATTTGCAGGCCTCAAGTATGGTGTGGCTGAAGAGGAGGCCCAGGTTAAATGTCTGCACTAAGAAGAGCTTTGAGCAAATTCATGAATTCCAATTCTGTGTGTATTTTTATTGTGAATGACAAATGTTTATGAGCTTAAGTTTGTTTTATTAATGTAATTAGTCTGGACATGGTGGCTCACGCCTGTAATCCCAACACTCTGGGAGGCCGAGGTGGCTGGATCACCTGAGGTCAGGAGATCGAGACAAGCCTGGCCAACATGGTGAAACTATGTCTCTACTAAAAATACAAAAATTAGCCAGGCGTGGTGCATGGCGAGTGCCTGTAATCCCAGCTACTTGGAAGGCTGAGGCAGGAGAATCACTTGATCCTGGGAGGCAGAGGTTGCAGTGAGCCAAGATCGCGCCACTGCACTCCAGCCTGGGTTACAAGAACAAAACTCCATCTCAAAAAAAAAAAAAAAAAAAAAAAAAAATATATATATATATATATATATATATATATATACACACACACACACACACACACACATACACATATAATTAGTAGGAAATATTGCCTAAGCCTAAGTCTATCTTGTTAGAAATGCAAGAAATTTAGCTAGTGCATTCCTGTAGTCCCAGCTACTCAGGAGGCTGAGGCAAGAGAATTGCTTGAACCCAGGAGGCAGAGGTTGCAGTGAGCTGAGATTGCACCACTGCACTCCAGCCTGGGCAACAGAGTGAGACTCCGTCTAAAAAAAAAGCAAGAAATAACTTCTAATATTCTTTGGGTTCTGTTGAAGCACTTTAGGTTGTGAGGGTAGAAAACTTCTTAAGTGAGTTGGATAGGGAGAATCCCACACACCGCCAGGGCAGGAAGTATAGCCAGTCCTCACTGGAAGTTGCCTGAAACCTGTAAAGTCAAGAGTTAAGGTTACCAGCTGCATTTCTGCTGATCCATGAGGTCTCACATCTCAAGATTGCTATGCCTTATGCTGTACATTTATCTCTTCTTCCTCCTCACTTTGTGTTTCTTTGTCTTTCTCTGTCTTTCTCTACCTCTGTCCCCACTCCTCATCCCTGGAATGTGAAGTTGCTCCTACTACTGAGCAGAACTGCACCTTAGTTCACTAGTTCAGATTCCTGAGAAGCAAAATCTGATTGGCTAAGATTCTATGGCACTATGGCCCTTGCACTACCTGCCCATCTCTAGACAATCGTCTGTAGCCACAGTGTGGGGAAAGGGAGCCCCCAGAGCAGAACCACAGTTTCTGGAAAATGCCCGAGCAGGACCACATCTGAAACCATATCTAATACATGTTAGGCTTCTCACCTTTCCCCTTTCATGATGGCAGATGAAGCCTGTTCAGATCAGTGCATAACTAAAATTGGCAGTTATCCAACTAGAATCCTCATTCATAAAAATCTTAATCAGTTCATTTGAGAGGAACAAAGACAACTGCTTGGTGACACAAATCTTAGGGTAGCAGTCATGCCAGGTTGCTCGTATGAAGTAGTAGAAGATAGAACAAAAAGTTACAGATACCCAGAATAATTCCCTTCATGGGCAGGTTTGTTGTTTTTGGTTTGTTTAAATAGCTGAAAACATACTCGTTCCTGTGCTGTTTTTAAAATTCAGAAAAAAAAGCTCTGTGAGCATTACTCCAGTATTTTGATGGAAATGGTTTACAGTTCCTTTTGTCCTCTAAACCTGAAACTAGGTACATTTTCAGCCCCACTTTTAGCGGCAGCTGGTTAGCTCTGTTTGCAAAGCATTCTGGCTCCAGTACCTGAACTTAATGGTGCAGATGCTGGATCTGTCATTGTTAGCTTCCTTTGAGTTCCATGATGACTTCCTTAATTTGTTGTTCTCTTTGTGCCATGAGTAGTAAATTCTTACCGGCAGTGAGAAATTAGCTCCTCTGCTCTTAAGCATAAGCACGAAGGTCAAATCTCATGGTCTGAAGCTACATGCACAGAATTCCCAGCAGCTCTATCACGGCTAGTTTTATGTTTACTGTAATGAAATATTTCCCCCCAATCCTATTATGACTTCTACAGGATATTATATTTGTTAAGGTACATCCTGGGGCCAGGGAACAGAACAGAGTGCCCAGACCCTTAAAAAGGTAAACCTGGTGGCTGTTCTTACTAGTCAGAGTTGCATTTGTGGCTTTCTAGACATTGAAGTAAATAAAAACAAGAAATCTTAGTAGGGCTTCATAGTGAATATCAGAAAAGGTAGTTTGGTATTATAAATGGATAATGCTACAAAATATATTTCTGGATCAATGTGTGTTGGAGACATTAAATTTATCTACATTCCAAAGGTTAACAATGGCACTAAACCAAGCCAAGGGGAGAGTTCTAGTTTTTTTGTTTTACTTTGTTTTAAAAATAAATTCAGAAAAGAGAAAATATTTCTTACAAGCTAATGATCAGCAATACCTAGTGGAACGAGTAATGTTGAACAATGCTATGGAAAGACAGTATCAAAAGCAGACGGACTTGCAGTTTCATTCTAATAACCTCAGTCTCCACATTAAATAACTGTGGGAAGGAGCAAGTACCTTATAGGACAGATACTGTTGGTGCTGTACCCATAGTTACTCTAGCTCAGGAAAAAGGAAGTAAATAAATATGGTGAAGTAATTTCAAATGGTTCCAAAGCCATTTCCTTACCTTACTCCTAAACTATCTGTAGATAATTGGACTTTCAAAGTCAGTTATTGTGTTAAACAAGGGGCAGTGATGAAAAACTGTAACCAGACATTTTCAGATGGATGAAACAAAGTAGGCATTTTCAAATATGAACTGGAAAGGGACCTCTCCACATAATGCACTTAAAGAGGTTTATAAAGTCCCAGAATGTAAGCAAAGACACATAATGATGAGGGACAACCTCTTAAAAATTCTAACAAACTGTTCATTGTTTCCCACAGTTCCTCTGTGTAGGCTGATGGTCCTACGGAGGTAAATAGTTAGATTAATCTGATCTTTGGTATCACTGTATCCCAACAGGGACCAGGAAGATCATCATCATCTATGTGGCAGACTAAAAGGCTGTTAAATATTTGTATATAGAGAGAATTAAGTATCATACTAAAATACAAACTTTGTGATTAATGAGTGACCCTCTGATAGCTACTTTACAGGAGCATCCTAAACATTTCTCAGCATTCATCTCATCACACTTTCGTTCATTCTATGTAACTGCAGCCAATCTTATATTCCACAGTCCTTTACAACAACTCTTTGTTTTGAGCTTTATTATAGTGGAGGTAGACTTTTATGAGTATTTTGTCAAGAGCGAGCCAGGGAACTTCCATATTATCCTTTCAAGAGAATTGGCTTCCAAAGTGACTTTTCAAGAGAACCAGAAGGGTCATCCCATGCCTTAGTAGTAGAGCTAAACTATCCCAGAATAGAGGCTACTTCAAACCTACCCTAAACACGTTTAAAAAGAAGCCATGAAAGGATCAAACAAATCTGATTTTCCAGTAACTTAACTGTCTTCTAACGAAGCCATTCTTTAAGGGAACATGGCAAAGTTCAGATACTTAACTCAATGTCCACCAGCCAATAAAAAATTACTAGACATGCCAAGAAGCAGGAAAATGTGACCCATAACCTAGAGTAAAAAAAAAAAACAAAAAAACCGTCAATAGGAAAAGACCCAACAATGGCAGACAATGGAATTAGTAGGCAAGGACTTTGAAATGGCTATTACATATATGCTCGATGTGTTTAAATATCGTTAAAATATAATCAGGAGAGATAGTGAAGATATTTAAAAACCAAATGGAAATTCTAGAGGTGAAAAATACAATATCTGAAATGAAAAATACATTGGATGGGATTAACTGCATCTTCTTTATGGAAAAACAAAAGATCAATGAACTTGAAGTTGTAGCAATAGAAACTATTCAAAGTGAAACAGAAAAGCAATGGAAAAAAATGGGGCCTCAGTTACTTGGGGGTAATTATTCATGTAATTGCAGTCCCAGTAAAGTGTTTGTTTGGCTGGGGGGTCGGGGGCAGGAAGGAGGCCGGGTGCCATGGCTCATGCCTGTAATCCGAACACTTTGGGAGGCTGAGGTGGCAGTATACCTTGAGCTCAGGAGTTTGAGACTAGCCTGGGTAACATACCGGGACCTCATCTCTATTGAAAAAAAAAAATAGCTGAGCATGATGGCATATGCCTGTAGTCCCAGCTACTCGGGAGGCTGAGGCAGGAGGAATACTTGAGCCCTGGAGTTTGAGGCTGCAGCGAGCTGTGATTGCATCACTGCACTCCAGCCTACATGACAGGGTGAGATCCTGTCTCAAAAACAAAAACAAAACACAAAAACATTGAAGAAATAATGGCTGAAAAAAATTCAAATTTGATAAAAACTATGATGAACACACAGATTCAAGAACTTTCATAAAACTCAAGTAGGATAAACACAAAAACATCACATTGAACCACATCATACCCAAATTGCTGAGAAACAGTGATAAATCTTAAAATCAGCCAGAGGAGAAAAAGCATATGAGATACAGAAGAACAAAGATAAGAATGAGACAGATTTCTTTTTAGAAATGATGCAAATCAGAAGATAATGGTATGACACCTTTACTGAATAAAACATTTTTTGGGGTCAATGTAGAATTCCACATCTAGCAAAACATCCTTTAAAATTTTTACCCTAGGCTGGGCATGGTGGTGGCTGAAGCAGGAGGATCACTTATGTCTAGAAGTTCAGGGTTATAGTGTGCTATGATTGTGCCTGTGAATAGCCATTGCATTTCAGCCTGGACAACATAGTGAGACCCCATCTATTAAAATAAAATTTCACCTTAAGATAAAATAAAGGCTTTTAGGCTGGGCGCGGTGGCTCATGCTTGTAATCCTAGCACTTTGGGAGTCCGAGGTGGGCAGATCACCGGAGGTCATGAGTTTGAGACCAGCGGCCAACATGACCAAACCCCATCTCTACTAAAAATACAAGAATTGGCCAGGCCTGGTGGTGCATGGCTGTACTCGCAGCTACTCAGAAGGCTGAGGCAGGAGAATCACTTGAACCCAGGAGGTGGAGGTTGCAGTAAGCCGAGATCACACCACTGCACTCCAGTTTGGGCAACAGAGTGGAACTCCGTCTCAAAATAATAATAATAAATAAATTTAAAAAAAGACTTTTAAAGACAAAAGCTGAGAGACTTTGTTACCACCAGATCTGCACTATATGTAATATTAAGGAAAGTTCTTTAGGCAGAAGAAAAATAAAACCAGATGGAAACTTAGATCTATGCAAAGGGATGGAGAGCATAAGGAATGCTAAGTATAAATGTATTTCATTCTTATTTAAAAATGTATTTTAAAAGTAATTGACTGGCTAGGTTTGGTGGCTCATGCCTGTAACCCCAGCACTTTGGGAGGCTGAGGCGGGCAGATCACCTGAGGTCAGGAGTTCAAGACCAGCCTGGCCAACATGCTGAAACCCTGTCTCTACCAAAAATACAAAAAGTAGCCGGGTGTGATGGCGCATGCCTGTAATCCCAGCTGCTCGGGAGGCTGAGGCAGGAGAATGGCTTGAACCCGGGAGGCGGAGGTTGCAGTGAGCCAAGATCATGCCATTGCACTCCAGCCTGGGTGACAGAGCAAGACTCCATCTCAAAAAATAAAAAAGTAATTGACTATATAAAGCAAAATTAACAAATGCATAATGGGGTTCATTACTTATGCTGAAATAAAGTGTGGGATAACAATAGCACAAAAGATGAGGCCAAGCGTGGTAGCTCATGCCTGTAATCCCAGCACTTTGGGAGGCTGAGGTGGGCGGATCATGAGATCAAGAGATAGAGACCATCCTGGCCAACATGGTGAAACCCTGTCTGTATTAAAAATACAAAAATTAGCTGGGCATGGTGGTACGTGCCTGTAGTCCCAGCTACTTGGGAGGCTGAAGCAGGAGAATCGGTTGAACTTGGGAGGTGGAGGTTGCAGTGAGCCGAGAGCTGAGATCGCGCCACTGCACTCCAGCCTGGCAATGGAGTGAGACTTCATCTAAAAAAAAAAAAAAAAAAAAAGATGAATAGGGAAAAATGGAAGTCTACTGTTATAAAATTATAACATTTAAATATTATTATTTAAAGTAGGCTTGGTAAGTTAGGGATATGTATTATAAACATTGGCACAACCACTGAAAACTAAAATGTAGACGTATAGCTAACGAATAGCAGGAAATAAGGGAAGAAATGAACAAAGAACAGATGAGGTGAATAGAGAACAAATAGCAAGATGGTGGATCTAATCTCAACCATATCGTTAAGTGTAAATTATATAAATCCTCAAATTAAAATGAATGAATTTGATCCAGCTGACCGGCGAGAATTTTATAATGTATTATGAAGTGAAAAAAGCAATATGCAGTTATGTATAGAGTATGATTCCATTTTGATTCAATGTTTAGAAAGCAACAACTAAAACTTAAGCATACCTATATATCTCTGTATATATGTATGTGTGTACATATATATACATATGTACATATATACATACACAATAGCTTGAGAATGGAGAAAGTGTAGAAGGAGAAACATTGGACTGCTAGCATTATCTATGGGTGGTGGGATAGGGAGGGGAAGGAAAAAATAAAGGAGACTGGCAAAATGGAAACATGCATGAGAAAATGTTACCCAAAAGTGTTAACTATAATATCTCTGTGACAATATGGCTAATACTAAAAATGAGTTCAGAACATAGACCAGGAGTAGAACTTGACATGAACATGTGAAAACATTGAATTGACTTAGGATGGGGTTGTGGCTAATTTTAGTCTTATATTCTAGAACTTCAGAATAGTTTCAATAATATTTTATTAAAATTAAAACTAAAAATATGAGGTTTGAAGATACAGAAAATTATGACCCAAATTCCTTTTATGTAGTGTTTTATAGTGTTCTTTGAATCTCTTAGTTTTCTGGAGAGAAGGCAGAGACTCTTTGTGTAATAATTCTCCTAAGAGAGTGTTTCTGGCCTGTTAAAAATGCTTTAGCATTTTAGCTGCTATTGGCACACAACACTGGCTCCTATAAGTGGTCATTAAACATGGCGAGATACTCCACTGGAAGTGAGAAATGAATTGGTCAGGGCTCTTTGGTTGTAAGCAGCAGGAACTGACTTTGACTGACTGAAAAAAAAAAAATTATTGGGAAGATGAATTCAGGCAACTCCAGCAGGGAAGCAGCAACTCCAGGAATGGCCTATTGCTGGAGAATTCTGGGCAGGTTGCTGCCACTGGCATGAATGAATTCCAGTCTTCCAAATTTACAATGGCTCAGATGTCAAAGCTCTGGAAGACGGCACTGGACTCATCACATGTTCATTCTGTAGATAGGCCAGGACCTACTGGGAGGTGCTCAGGACCCCTTAGGGTTTCAGTAGCAGGAGGGCTGCTACCTGTAAGTACAGTCCCACCAAGATTGCAGAGGGGGAAAGTTATTTCCCGAAAATAAAAATCTGAGTGTGCCCAAGATACACCTTTCTTAGTACTGCAAAGCAGAAGAGAAACCACAGAGAAAAATGTGCACAGAGCTGAGTGTCTACCTGCAGCACACGATCCAGTTGCATTCCTGAGTCTGGATCCCAAATTGAAGAAGGCATGGCTTGCAAATGCTTTCATGCTATGAATCTGTGGGAATTGAATTTATGGTCCTAAGTCCAATGTAATAGACATATTATGGTTTGTTTTTATCTTGAAGGAAGTTGATATAGTAATTTGTGTTGATGGCTTATATATAGATAGTTTTAGGTATTAGGTATTTTTTAAATAAATTCTCATTTCATTTTCCATCTCTCAAGTGTTACTATAGTATAAAATAATTGTTTTCTGATGTGGGCCTAAAACCAGAAAAAAAAATTAATACATTAGTAAAATTGGGAAATTTTACTAACATATAATAAATGTTGCTGAGTGATGTGAGATGAAATGGCATGTTTAAGCCTCAGAGGAAGATATAGCAAATGGGCAAGTTGGGGGAAGTCATTAAAGGAAAGATGTGCAGACTGCTGAGATTCTGTGCACTGCAAAAGGAGAATAGCGATCTTTCAGATAGGCTTAGAGTTTAAGAAAATAATAAATTCATCACTGAAATAAAAGGTAAGGATTAAAAAATTGGTATGGAGTGGAAATGGAAAGCCTTGCTTTTTGAAACATTTGGACTCAAGATCCATCTTCCAGCCTTCCAAAATGTTAAGGGCTCCTGTTTGCACCTTCTCAGAATGATGTGCTTGCTTTCTTCAGAAAGACAAGTGTTATTTACTACTGTTTACAGCTTTTGTGATACTGAATCCCAGGACTCCCACGGACGTGTGCTCTGACTTCTTACGCAGTGTTCTTTCTTAAGCCACAGCAAAGGAAATAATGGACATTGAGAGGTCAAGTGTGTGCCTTTCACCCTGTGCCCTTTAAATATCAATAATTATTGTTTTTCTTCTTGAAGAAGCAGCATCTGGTTGTATGGAATTTGGCAGAAGTGGGCATCCTGTGCTAGTTCTTTTGATATTTAAATATGAGCAAGATAGGTAAATGGCAACTAAATCTGAGCCATCTGAGGAGGAATGAGAGTAATAAAAACAACGAAACTGAACCACACGCATTGAGTTAGATGTTTGTAGATTGTCTTGTTGACCTGCCTACCCCAGTCACATGGAGGAGAATGTGAGGATCGAAGAGACTACATGATTTGACACAATTTCACTGTTCAAACACTTCTGGGACTTTTCTATACAATTTCTTGTTTTGAAGAAATACATAATTATTTTACAACAGTGTTATGTGGGGAATCCTCCTTACAGACAAATCCTGTTATGACAAGACTGATCATATAGAAATATATGTAGGGACATGTATCTGCAATTTTGTGTTGAACTTCAACATTGGACTGAATTTAGGAAGGTGATGGATTAGATACATAGCTTGCAATTCTTTCATCATCCTTAAAAATGGGCCCATTTCCAGGCCAGATCCACAGCTATCTCGGGAATTTGCACCCATCTGAAGCATGCTCAAGAAGGGCAGGTATACGAAAAGATGCTCAGCATCACCAATCATCAGGGAAATGCAAATCAAATCACTATGAAATATCACCTCATACTTATTAGGATGGCTGTTATCAAAAAGGCAAGAGATAAATGTTGGAGAAAATGCAGAGAGAAGGGACCCCTGGTACAATGGTGGTGGGAATATAGATTGATGAAGCCACTGTGGAAAATAGTATGGAGGTTCCTAAATTAAAAATAGAACTATCATATAACCGAACAATTCCTCTTCTGGATATATACCCAAAGGAGATGAACTCACCACCTCATAAATATATCTGCACTGTTGTGTTCATTGCAGCATTAGTTAAGTTTTCATGGTAAGAATGGCCTTCTAAAAAATAAATTTTATTGCATATATTTAAGGTGTACAACATGTTCTGAGACAAATACAGTAAAATAGTTACTACAGTCAAGCAAATTAACATATGAATCATCTCATATAGTTACCCCAACCCCATCCCCCATTTTTTCTGGCAAGAGTTCAGTTAAGTTTATATATCTGCACTGTTGTGTTCATTGCAGCATTAGTCACAATAGCCAAGATAAGGAAACAACCAAGGTGTCCATTGATAGGTGAGCAGATAAATCACACACACAGACACACACACACACACACACACACACACACAGAGATTATTCAGCCTTAAAAAAGGAAATCCTGGCATTTGCCACAACATGGATGAATCTGGAGGACATTATGCTAAGTGAAATAAGCCAGACACAGAAAAATACTGCATGATCTCATACGTGAAATCTTAAAAAACCAGTCAAATACACAGCAAATAAAATGGCAGTTATCAGGGGTGTGGTGGAGTACAAATGGGGAGATGTAGGTCACAGGCTAAAAAGTACCAGATATGTAGGATGTACAATAGGACCGTCGTTAATAATACTGTAATTAGGATTTTTGCTTAAAGTGTAGATTTCAGGAACTCTTGCCAGAAAAAATGGGGGGGTGGGGTGGCGGGTAACTATATGAGATGATTCATATGTTAATTTGTTTGACTATAGTAACTATTTTACTATATGTATCTTAGAACATGTTGTACCCCTTAAATATACGCAATAAAATTTATTTTTTAAAAGGCCATTCTTACTATGAAAACTTGAATGAATGAATCCTAAGCCTGAGTATATCCAGAACACTCATCTAGGCTTCTAATGTAACAGGATGTTCTGTGTTCCCAGAATAAAATAAATTTCGTAATAATGCAATGGGATAATGTGTTCAAATGAATACAAGCGATATGGATTATTTCACAAATACTTTCCTAGTTTATCAAACATGTATAATGATCCACAAGTTTTGGGTAAGGAAATGAAGCTAATGGGGTAAGTGACTTGTCTAAGAGTATCTGGCACATAACAATGTATTTTATTGAATGAATGGATTAATGGGGTAGTGTAGCAGATTGATGATGTATCACAAAATGTACACAACGCAATAATGCATACCATTACATATGACAGTGCTGAAAAGAAGAAATGTGTAATAGAAATGTCACTTTTAGAAAATCTGCAGAATCTCAGTAGCTGTCTTCTGTATGGTACCTTTTGAAAGGATGGCATTTGCGAGGGAGCTGTCTGTGGTGCTGAACAGGATGCAACTGCTAGGTCTGGTGATGGCCTTCACCAATTTTTGTTCATATTTTCTCCTGGGCCTCTGTTACCAACGACAACAATATTAATAAAAATTAGTGTAATGTTATCAAGTTTTCCTTTTTAAGCATTCAAAGATTGATTTTAAAAATAGCTTTATTGAGTTATTTACATATCATTAAATTCACCTTTTAAAATGTATAATTCAGTGGATTGTAATATATTCACAAAGTTGTGGAACCTTCACCACGATCTAAATTTGGAACATTTTTATTACCATCAAATAAAGCTCTGTATCCACTAGCAGTCACTCCCCATTCCCCAAACCCTCAGCCTCCAGCAACCACAAATTTACTTTGTCTTTATAGATTTGCCTATTCTGAACACTTCATATAGATGGGAATCATACACTATATGGTCCTTCGTGACTGGCTTCTTTCAGGTAGCATAATGTTTCCAAGGATTATCCATGTAGTAATATGCATCAGTACTTCATTTCTTTTTATTGACAAATAATAGTACATTGTTTGGACCTGTTTTGTTTGTTTTGAGACAGGATCTCACTCCACCACCCAGGCTGGAGTACAGTGGTGCAATCATGGCTCACGGCAGCCTAAACCTTTGCGCTCAAATGATCCTCTCACTTCAGCCTCCCAGGTAGCTGGGACTACAGGCATGCACCACCACACCCGGCTAATTTTTTGTAGCAACGAGGTTTTGCCATGTGGGTCAGTCTGGAATTGAACTCCTGGACTGAAGTGATCCACCTGCCTCAGGCTCCCAAAGTGATGGGATTAGAGGCATGAGCCACCATGTCCAACTGATATACTACATTTTATTTATCTATTCATCAGTTGATGGATATTGAGTTGTTTCTATTTTTTGGCTATTACAAATAATGTTGCTGTGAGCATCCATGTATAAGTTTTCTGTATGGGGATGTTTTCAGGTCTCTTGGGTATACATCTAGGAGTGGAATTGCTGGGCTATAGCATTTCTTTGTTTAACATTTTGAGGAACTGCAGATACTTTTCCAAAGCAGTGGCACTATTTTACATTCTCACATGTATAAGGCTTCTAATTTCTCTACATCCTCTCCAACATTTGTTATTGTCTGTGTTCTTAATTGTAGTCATTCTAGTGGGTGTGAAGTTGTATCTCATTATGGTTTTGATTTGCACTTACATATTCCTGATAACTAATAATGTTGAGCATTTTTTCATATATTTATTGGCCACTTGTTATCTTCTTTGGAGAAATGTCTATTTGAATTATTTGCCCCCCCTTTTTGAGACAGTATATTTGTCTATTTTCATGCTGCTGGTAAAGACATCCCCAAGACTGGGTGATTTATAGAGAAAAAGAGGTTTAATGGACTCAGTTCCACTTGGCTGGGGTGGGCCTCACAATTATGGCAGAAGGTGAAAGGCACATCTTACATGGTGGCAGGCAAAAGGAAAAATGAGAGCCAAGTGAAAGGCGCAACCCTTATAAAACCATCAGATCTTGTGAGATTTATTCACTACCACGAGAACAGTATGAGAGAGACCACCCCCATGATTCAATTATCTCCCACCAGGTCCCTCCCACAACATGTGGGAATTACGAGAGCTACAATTTGAGATGACACTTGGGTGGGGACACAGCCAAACCATATCAGACGGAGTCTCACTTTGTTACCCAGGTTGTAGTTCAGTGGCACGATCTCAGCTCACTGCAACCACTCCGCCTCCTGGGTTCAAGTGATTTTCCTGCCTCAGCCTCTTGAGTAGCTGGGATTACAGGCATGTGCCACTACCGAGCTAATTTTTGTATTTTAAGTAGAGATGGGGTTTCACCATGTTAGCCAGGCTGGTCTTGAAATCCTGACCTCAGATGATCAGCCTGCCTCAGCCTCCCAAAGTGCTGGGATTACAGGCATGAGCCACCATGCCCAGCCTCTTTGCCCATGTTTTAAAAGTTGGGTTATTTTTCTTTTTACTGTTGAGGTAAAAGAGTTATTTATGTATTCTGATACAAGTCCTTTATTAGTATATGATTTGCAAATGTTTTCTCCCATTCTGTGGGTCGTCTTTTCACTTTCTTCATTGTGTAAAGGACTATTTTCAAAGGCGATCTTTCTCTGATTCTTCCCAATCCTTTCCTCAGCAACTCTTCAAGGGTTCGTTAATATTAACATAGTGAGAATTTCAGTATCTATGCTCTGAGTAGCTCATTATGAAACAGGGAAGTCATTTCACTACATAATCATTGGGAAATACCATATGAAATAAAACTCTTAGTTTCTCTCTGGCAAAATACTTGTTTATGAAACTGGATGACACAGCATAAGTGACATCTGTACCTGCAGAAGAGCCATGCCCCCAGTGCTGCACCTGTCTCATTATCTTGAGCCTACTTTCTTCTCAATAAAACAAACTCTGCTTGGAAATGATAGCCAGAAAAAAAGTAAATGGAAGCACAGAACTGTTTCCTATCCTAACAGGTATTAAGCTCCTGTTTTCAAAATCTGTTACTTGGTAAGAAAATGTATTCCTTTCACATAGATAGAAATTAAATTATTTTTAAAATGTAAACTATTATCTTCTGCAAAAGCTTTTCCCCCTTAGTGAAAAGCAGAATTAAAAAAACACTAGTGAGTTAACCAAGATCAGATTTATTCTCTTAAAACGTTCCCATACAGTATTTACCCAGCACCTACATTAAGTTGAAAAATATCTTCTAATTCTCGTAGTGCTGAGTTGAAAATATATCTCCCCTATACTGGCTGTTCTCTACTATGGGCTTAAGGGAATGTTCTTCCTGCTAAAAACAAAAATTGGTATCAATGTAATTGAAGAATTATTTAAACTTCTTTTTTTTGTTTTGTTTTTTGATGGAGTCTCCCTCTGTTGCCCAGGTTATACAGTGCAGTGGCATGATCACAGCTCACTGCAGTCTCGACGTCCCAGGCTTAGGTGATCCTCCTACCTCAGCCTCCCAAGTAGCTGGGACTACAGGTACACAGCACCACACCCGGCTAATTTTTGTATTTTTAGTAGAGACGGGGTTTCACCTTGTTGGCCAGGCTGGTCTTGAACTCCTGACCTCAAGTGATCCATCTTCCTCAGCCTCCCAAAGTGCTGGGATTACAGGCATAAGCCACCGTGCCCAGCCTTAAACATTTAAAATTAAGATTTTAATTTGTTCAAAAGGGTAAATAATATTTTCCAAATGGTTATTAGACAGAAATGATTTTCAAATGGTTACTTTATTAGACAGAAATGATGATATAATAGTTCATGGACCATTTCATTTACAAAGATCTGAAATTCCCATTCAACATTTAAAACTTCAAATTATTTTGCCCTAGTTTATTACAGTCAAAACAGCATCATCTGAAGTACTTTTTATATTTTATCCAAATAATTCCTGGGTAGGTTTATTTTTTAAAATAAATACATAGTGGAAGTCAGAAGACCTGAGTTCTATTTTTGATATCACTAGAAGATAATTGAACTGCTGCTCTAATTTTCTCTTTTTTTTCTCTTTTTTTTTGAGACAGAGTCTTGCTCTGTCGCCCAGACTGGAATGCAGTAGCACAATCTCGGCTCACTGCAACCTCCACCTCCCAGGTTCAAGCGATTCTCCTGCCTTAGCCTCCTGAGTAGCTGGGACTACAGGTGCCCGCCACCATGCCTGGCTAATTTTTGTAGTTTAGTAGAGACGGGGCTTCACCATGTTGGCCAGGCTGGTCTCGAACTCCTGACCTCAAATGATCCACCCGCCTCAGCCTCCCAAAGTGCTGGGATTACAGGCGTGAGCCACTGCACCTGGTCTAATTTTCTGTCTCTTGAGGATGCTACATGAAGGATTAAATAAAGCTGGCCTTGAGCTTTTCTCTGGTGGTATCACCAGAATCACAGTTTTTGCTTTTGTTTTGCTTTATGTGTTTTGTTAGTTTAACCATTATTAACTGCTGGGTTATGAGAATTGACAATCTTCAACAAAAACCTTTATATAACAGGGTAAGAGAAAGGCAGGTTTAAAAGGTTTCTTTAGTTGCTACTTTTGTCATTACCCTGCCATACATTATTTCAGATATGAGAGCATTTCAGAAACATGGGCTCTGCCAGCCTTCGTCTCTTATTTGTCAAAGATCTTAGAGCAGGCACACAGCTGACCATGTTTACCTGGACTTCACAAAGCTTTTGGGAAACTCACTAGCAATTATGATGACACCTGGGGAAAAAAAAAATTCCTATCAGCTGAGTGGTCTCCATAACTTCACACTGCTGGGATGTCTCCAAGGGAAATAGTCATAAAGACACTCTGAAATTTTTACAGAGCTAACTTTCATTGAAAGAAAAAGGAGGAAATAGGCCAGGCATGGTGGCTCACACCTGTAATCAGCACTTTGGGACACGGAGGCGGGCAGATCACGAGGTCAAGAGATGGAGACCATCCTGGCCAACATGGTGAAACCCCGTCTCTACTAAAAATACAAAAATTAGTTGGGCTTGGTAGCGCTTGCCTGTAGTCCCAGTTACTCAGGAGGCTGAGGCAGGAGAACCGCTTGAACCTGAGAGGCGGAGACTGCAGTGAGCTGAGATTATGCCACTGCACTCCAGGCTGGCAACAGAGCGAGACTCTGTCTCAAACAAAAACAAAAACAAAACAAAACAAAACCGCAAAGAACAAGGAGGAAATAAACTTCAATAAATTTTTATTAATTTCAAATGAAGCAAGCAAACATTTACTTGTTACTAAACTGCATGCGAGGGACTGGGCTAGATGTGGGGATGTAAAGATGAATGATACAGTCTGTACTCAAGAGGAGATCACATTATAATAGGAGCCTAATGAAAAACAAATACTAATAAAGCAGTTTTACACCAATCTGCATTGGGAACCAATGGAGATGTAAAAAAAAAATCGTCATAGGCAACTGGGGAGTGGTAGAAGTTAGAGTTTAAAATGTAGCCTGGCATTTTGGGAGGCCGAGGCAGGAGGATTACCTGAGGTCAGGAGTTCGAGATCAGCCTGGCCAACATGGTGAAACCTTGTCTCTACTAAAAATACAAAAATTAGCCAGGCATGATGGCACACACCTGTAGTCCCAGCTACTTGGGAGGCTGAGGCAGGAGAATTGCTTGAGACTGGAGGTGGAGGTTGCAGTGAACTGAGATCGTGCCACTCTACTCCAACCTGGCCTGGCTGACAGAGCAAGACTCTGTCTCAAAAAAAAAAAAAATAATAATAATAAAAATAAAAAAAGATAGTCTGGACCAAATTGTGAAGAGCATTACTGATAGTGAATGGGGAATAGTCATTTGAATTTAAAAGAATGACTTCAGTTGGAATTATGAGAGATAGAATGAGATAAAATGAGAGGGTTGAGTGATCAGTTGGACATGGGAGGCAAAGAAGAAAGAAGAATTAAATACAAATCTGGAATGTATGAGGCCTTCTCTGATAATCTATGTAAAACAGAAAATCTGGGGGGCAGGGAGGGGAGAGAACTTAGAGGATAGGTCAGTAGGTGCAGCAAACCACCACAGCACACACACCCCTATGTAATAAACCACCACAGCACACACACCCCTATGTAATAAACCACCACAGCACACACACCCCTATGTAATAAACCACCACAGCACACACACCCCTATGTAATAAACCACCACAGCACACACACCCCTATGTAATAAACCACCACAGCACACACACCCCTATGTAATAAACCACCACAGCACACACACCCCTATGTAATAAACCACCACAGCACACACACCCCTATGTAATAAACCACCACAGCACACACACCCCTATGTAATAAACCACCACAGCACACACACCCCTATGTAATAAACCACCACAGCACACACACCCCTATGTAATAAACCACCACAGCACACACACCCCTATGTAATAAACCACCACAGCACACACACCCCTATGTAATAAACCACCACAGCACACACACCCCTATGTAATAAACCACCACAGCACACACACCCCTATGTAATAAACCACCACAGCACACACACCCCTATGTAATAAACCACCACAGCACACACACACGCCTATGTAATAAGCCACCACAGCACACACACCTATGTAACAAACCGCCACAGCACACACACCTATGTAATAAACCACCACAGCACACACACACCCCTATGTAATAAACCACCACAGCACACACACCTATGTAATAAACCACCACAGCGCACACACACGCCTATGTAATAAACCACCACAGTGCACCCACCCCTATGTAATAAACCACCACAGCACACACACCCCTATGTAATAAACCACCACAGCACACACACACGCCTATGTAATAAACCACCACAGCACACACACCTATGTAACAAACCGCCACAGCACACACACCCCTATGTAATAAACCACCACAGCACACACACACGCCTATGTAATAAACCACCACAGCACACACACCTATGTAACAAACCGCCACAGCACACACCCCTATGTAATAAACCACCACAGCACACACACCCCTATGTAATAAACCACCACAGCACACACACACCCCTATGTAATAAACCACCACAGCACACACACCCCTATGTAATAAACCACCACAGCACACACACACGCCTATGTAATAAACCACCACAGCACACACACCTATGTAACAAACCGCCACAGCACACACACCTATGTAATAAACCACCACAGCGCACACACACACCTATGTAATAAACCACCACAGTGCACCCACCCCTATGTAATAAACCACCACAGCACACACACACCTATGTGACAAACCACCACAGCACACACACACACCTATGTGACAAACTGCCACAGTGCACATACCCCTATGTGACAAACCGCCACAGCACGCACACACACCCCTATGTGACAAACCACCACAGCACACACACACACCTATGTGACAAACCACCACAGCACACACACCCCATGTGACAAACTGCCACAGCACACATACACACCTATGTAACAAACCTGTGAGTTCTGCACATGTATCCCGGAACTCAAAAACAACAACAACAAACAGAATATCTGTCAGTCACTACCCCTTTATTCTCCTTCATTTTTTTCCACTGAACTTGACACACACATACACACACACACACACAATTTATTGTCTATTTCACTGGAATGTAAGATCCATGAGGAAAGGGATTTTGCTTTGTTTACTGTTGTATCCTCAGGGCCTACTATACGAAAAAATATTTTTGAAGGGATGCATGAAATGACTAGCTTAAGAGAGTAAGTGGTTTGCAATATGATCAACTAAAATAGAAAATATAGAAAGGAAGGTAGACTTGCAAGGATAGGTGATAGATTCTTTTTGAGTCATGATGATTTTGAGGTCCCACTGTGAATATATGGTCTGGAACTTGTAGAGACGCTGGGATTGGAGATTAATATTTGAAAGTCATGGGTGTTTAGGTATCAGCAAAAGAATGAATTTTGAATCAGGGGGACATGATAAACTGTGTGGATCTTAGAGAGCTGCATGAGAAAGAGTTTGGTGTGACTTCTGGCCATTAGAAGTACATTCTCCATTATCTGCCTCCACTTCATGGGATTTGTAGGTAATGCTTTACCTCTGGTAAGGCCTTGGGGAATGCTATTCCTGCAGCCATGCCTAATATATTTTGTCTTGTTCAGCTGAAAGACTCCAGTTTGCTTTAAAGGTGACAACTTATATATACATTCTCAATTGTTGACACCGTTTTGGTATTGTTTGCTGAGGATTTCTGCTCTTCCACAAGCCACTTGAAATAACTACTCTTTAAACACACACATACACACACCCATGGCAAGTCATGTGATAAACCTTGAAAGTCACAATGAATACAACAGGAATAAGTAACTTGAAATCTCAAGAGAGATTCAATGGAAACAAAGATGTTCCGTAGTTCAATATTTAAGACCGTTAGCAGGAAGCAATGATTTTCCTTGTTTTTGAGTATTAACTAGTAGAGCTCATACTTTTTGTTCTTCAAAATAACAAGTACAAAATGGTCTTGTAATAAGCAAAACCCATGCCAGCTTCCATCTCAAGCCATTTTCCAGTGTTAACTTTAGTGAAACATTATCTGGAAGAGCTATCTCTCAATTGACCGCCATTATGAATGTATCTCGAGTTTTCATTCTTTTCACAGTGATTTGAAAGCTTTTACATATTTCATTAGCAAAACAAACTGTAGGATAATTCACTCCAACTGATTTTTAAGCAAACTGGAGTCTGAATAATACAGTGTATTAAATAGCATTGAGAGTTGGATACAATGAATATCAAGCATACTATCCGTTGCATCATATTTGTTATAGGCTAAGACTAGTTGCTATAGGCTAAGACTCATCTGTCAAGGTTCAAGTTGGATAAATTATGTTATTCAGTTACTACATATGTTCATTATATTTCATTTAAAATGTGATTATTTATATGACTATTAAAATGTACTCTCCCAATGATCTTCGTAGATTATATTCCTTTCAAGAAATGTTACCACTTTAGGAGAGCCACCTCTGTACTTAGAGCAGTAGTTCTGAGCATTATACAAATGTCAGTTACAGTGTTAGACACTTTCAGACTGTTTCCCTTGACCGCCCTGCAGCCTTTTAAAGTTTTTAAATTTTTGGTAGAGTTAGGGTCTTGCCATGTTGCCCAAGCGAATCTGAAACTCCTGGGCTCAAGCAATCCTCCTGCCTTGGCTTCCCAAAGTGCTAGGATTATAGGCATGAACCACTGCGCCCAGCCTCTCTTTCCTTCTGAAGGTTTCACCCACTTCCCAGACCGAGCCTTCTCTACCATCTTTGTCAGGCTGGCTGAAATCCGAGTAGAATGCCCAGGCTTGAAAAGGGATAATCTGACTTCTTTTCCAATTCATATGCCCTATGTACTGCATCACGCCCCAACTCTGGGCTTGGATGAAACACTGCATACACCATGCAGAATTGAGTTTGGCCTCCTGAGTGGCTGCTGAAGGGCTTGATGAAACTACTCAAAAATGTCGATGAGTTAGCTTTCTGTGGGGAGATTCTTGATTAATAGGAACTAGGAAACAGAGGGAGGCAGGCAGCAAGATTCTCCCTCCCATGGAAACTCTGAGATGCAGTTCTTCCTTGCAGCCCTTCTGGAGAATTCTCATGTGCTAGGCAGCACGTGGCTGAATGACCTGCCATATCTGTGTGTTTTTTGAAGTTTTGTGTGAAGTGATAGCCAACACAGTAGCACATTGTGTCACTTTGCTCCAGCTCTTTTCCTTGCCTCAAATCTCTTTTCTCTCACTCTTTGTTCTGGGTTTTCACCTCTCAAAGTATAATGCTCTGTTTTCTAGAGGACCTAATGACCATTCAAAAAATGAAGAAGACTATCTTTTTTTTTTTTTTTTTTTTTTTTTGAGACAGAGTTTCGCTCTTGTTGCCCAGGCTGGAGTGCAATGGCACGATCTCGGCTCACCGCAACCTCCGTCTCCCAGGTTCAAGCAATTCTCCTGTCTCAGCCTCCCGAGTAGCTGGGATTACAGGCATGTGCCACCACGCCTGGCTAACTTTGTATTTTTATTAGAGACGGGGTTTCTCCATGTTGGTCAGGCTGGTCTCGAACTCCTGACCTCAGGTGATCCACCTGCCTTGGCCTCCCAAAGTGCTGGGATTACAGGCGTGAGCCACCATGCCCAGCCAAAGAAGACAATCTTTAAAAAAATTTTTTAAATATATTTAGGGGACAAAAGTACAGATTTTGCATAGTAGTGAAGTCTGGGTTTTTAGTGTACCCATCATCTGAATAGCGAACACTGTGCTCAATAGCTGATTTAACAACCCTCATTCGCCTCCCACACTCCCACCTTGTGCAGTCTTCAGTGTCTATTATTCTACTCTGTGTGTCCATATGTTCCTACTGTTTAGCTCCCACTTATAAGTGAGAACATGCAATATTTGACTTTCTGAGTTATTTCAGTTAGGATAATGTCCTGCAGTTCTATCCATGTTGCTGCAAAATATATGACTTCATTCTTTTTTATGGCAGAGTAGTATTCCATGATGAGTGTGTGTGTGTGTGTATATATATACAAACATCACATATTCTTGATCCAATCTTCGGCTGATGGACACTTAGCTTAAGTATATATCTTTGCTATTGTGAATAGTGCTGTGATAAACATGTGAGTGCAAGTATCTTTTTGATATGTTGATTTCTGTCCCTTCAGGTATATACCTACTGGTGAGATTGCTGGGTGAAATGGTAGTTCTATTTTAGTTCTTTGAGAAATCTCCATATTGTTTTCCATAAAGGTTGTGCTAATTTACATTCCCACCAACAATGCGTAAAACATTCCCTTTTCTCCACATCTTTGCCAACATCTTTCGTTTTCTGACATTTTAATGATAGCCATTCTGGGTGGCATAAGATGGTATCTCATTATGATTTTAATTTGCATTTCTCTGATGATTAGTGATGTTGAGCATTTTTTCATATGCTTGTTGGTCACTTGCATGTCTGCTTTTGAGAAATGTCTGTTCCTGTCCTTTGCCCATTTTTTTTTTCAAGGAATATTTCATAACAAGGTAGGTAACATGTTTATCTAACAGGAATTTTATGTCACTGCCACTAAATCAAAATATCCTGTTCACTGGGTAAAAGACCTGCTTTATGTGTGTACACTTCAGTACAATTAAAAGAATACTGTAATTATAATTCAGAACTTCTGAATTTCAACTGATGCCAGTGTTCTCTCCTTTTTTCATATGGGAAAATTCCTCTGAAAATTATTTGAAGCTTGGACAAAAATTCCACAGCTGTATTCCTCCGGATCACTTTGCAGAGTCTTCAAGATTCAGATAGAGGGGAAGCTTCAATTCAACCTTTCAGAGAAAACATTCCAGCTTGCATGATCTCATCAACCAAGAGAATGTTGGTGGCAATCACAGTGCAGGAGTGAAGAAGCTGTTTCTTTACACAATAGTTATCCCATATGCCTACTTCTGCTGCTACCATTGGCTCACCTGTATCCAGGTCCACACCCACAAGCTGACCTGATTCTGAACATTCTGCTTGAATTTTAACTAATGTTTCCTGAAGGTCAAAACCAGAGTTCTGATCAAGAACCTTTGGAATAATGAGCAACACATCAGCAAATGCTTGGACTCCAAGCTGTGCCCTGCCCTTTACACTGGGCTTATATTTAATCAGGGCTTCTGCCATTGCTACTTCCACAGCACCAGCACCTGGAAACACACAGCCCTCATCAATAGGATTTTTGACAGCCCTCAAGCCATCCCTTACTGCATCTTTGGAGCTGAGTGAGTGTGTACTTATTTGGTCCTTTGTTTAATAATGTGACAGAGCGAGTATTGTTACATTTCTCAATAAAGGTGAACTTCTCTTCTCCCAATATATATTTATATACAAGTCCTGCATGTCCCAAGCAGTCAGGATTTAGGTTTTCAAAAGAATTCAGGGCTACCTCACCAGAAGCAAGAGTCAGCCCCTCGATATTTCTCCTTTTAGCTCTGTGAAGAGTGACTATGTGTTCTTTTGCAAGAGCATCTAAGGAAAGGGGGTCAATTCCCTCTTGATTAATAGCAACAAATCCTTTATCTGAATCACCACAGACTTTCCTTTTCAGTTCTATTTTTTAACTCTTATCTTCAATGAATTTTCTTTCAGCTTTTATGAGTTTTTCTCTCATTTCTGCAGTCTTGTAAAAAAAGCCAGAATTCACTTATGTTTTTTCATATTCTAATGACACGTTACACTTGAGAATGTATACATCCTCCACCCTTTTCTTCATATCAGGATGCCATGCTCCGTGGTCCAAAACAAGCCCTCTGATTAAGCTTGTATCAGTTTCAGATTTATGTTTCATCTCCATGATCACAACCATGAAGAGATCAATAGGTTCATCTTGTCTTTTAATGGCCAAAATGGAGTCCACTACAGCCTCTGTTAAGGCATCTGCAAGTTCAGCATGAACTTTAGTATGAAGAGATGTTCTGGCCACATTTATAAGTGTTTCCCTGTCCATCTCTTTCCTTATTTTGACTTCTTCCAAAAACCGAAGGGCCTTTTCCTTTGCAGCTTCAAATCCTTCAGTAATTATTCTGAGATGAAGGCCTTCAGAAATGTAGAGATCCTCCTGTTTCAGTAGCTTTTCAATGATTAGGACATTGGAAGTTGTACTATCACCAGTTATATCATCCTGGGCTGTTGCTACCTTTGCTATTAAGGAAGCTGTTGTGTGTTGAATTTGCATTTCGTGAAACAGCACATTGCCATCTTTTTAGTAAGCTTGATGTCTCCAGCGCCAGAAACAAGCATATTCATTGTGCCCTTGGGCCCCAGGTTGGTTCCCAGCACGTCCTGCAGACCCTGCATTATGCTGATGTTGACCGCTAGCGCCACCTCCGTTCGGGCCACCTCAGCCTTGGGGTTTAGGGTCTTCACCACTGCCATAGCTGCTGCAGTAGAGGAAAAGGAAGCGATGCGGCATGGACAGCCTAGAGCCGGTGTGGCCCTTTGCCTATTTTTTAATGGGGTTACTTTCTTCTAGGATTTTTAGTTTCTGCTCTTGTGTTTGGGTCTTGAATCCAACTTGAGTTACTAATTTTTGCATATGGTGAGATGTATGGCTCCAGTTTCATTCTTCTATATATGGCTATCCAGTTTTCTCAGCACCAGTTAGTGAATAGCGTGTCCTTTCCCCAGCGTATATTTTTGTTGACTTTGTCAAAGATCAGTTGCTTGTAAGTATGTGGCTTTATTTCTGGGTTATCTATTCTGCTCCATTGATCTATGTGTTTATTTTTTATACCACACCATGCTGTTTTTGTTACTACAGCCTTGTTATATAATTTGAAGTCAGGTAATGTCATGCCTCCAGCTTTTTTTTTGAGATGGAGTCTCACTCGTTGCCAGGGCTGCTGTCACAGCTGGCTAATTTTTTTTTTTTTTTTTTTTTTTGTATTTTTAGTAGAGATGAGGTTTCACCATGTTGGCCAGGTTGATCTCAAACTCCTGACCTCAGGTGATCCTCTCGCCTCGGCCTCCCAAAAAGTCCTGGGATTACAGCTGTGAGCCACCACGTTTGGCCACACTCAGCTAGTTTTTGTATTTTTAGTGGAGACGGGGTTTCACCATGTTAGTTGGCCAGGCTGGTCTTGAACTCCTGACGTCAGGTGATCTGCCCACCTTGGCCTTCCAAAGTGCTGGGATTATAGGAGTGAACCACCACACCTGGACCAGCTTTGTTCTTTTTGCTTAGGATTGCCTTGGCTGTTCAGGCTCTTTTTAGATTCCATATGAATTTTAGGATAGTTTTTTATTTATTTTATTTTTTTTTAGTTTTTTCTAATTCTGTGAAAAATGTATGTTTTTGATAGGGATTGCAGTGAATCTATAGATTGCATTGGGCAATACAGTCTTTTTTTTTTTTTTTTTTTTTTTTTTTCTGAGACAGAGTCTCGCTCTGTCGCCCAGGCCAGAGTGCAGTGGCGCAATCTGGGATCACTGCAAGCTCCGCCTCCTGGGTTCACACTATTCTCCTGCCTCAGCCTCCCAAGTAGCTGGGACTACAGGTGCCCACCACCACACCTGGCTAATTTTTTGTATTTTTTGTAGAGAAAGGGTTTCACCATGCTAGCTAGGTGGTACAGTCATTTTAATGATATTGATTCTTCTAATCCATGAGCATGGGATATTTTTCCATTTGTTTGTGTCATCTACAATTTCATTTATCAGTATTTTGTAGTTCTCCTTATAGAAATTATTCACCTCACTTGTTAAACATATTCCTAGGTATTTTATTTTGTTTGTAGCTATTGTAAATAGAGTTGCCTCCTTAACTTGGTCCTCAGCTAAATCACTGATGTAGACAAACACTACTGATTTCTGTACATTAATTTTGTACCCTGAAGCTTTACTGAATTCATTTATCAAATCTAAGAGGTTTTTTGGTGAAGTCTTTAGGGTTTTCCAGATATAAAATCATATCATCAGGCCAGATGTGGTGGCTTACACCTGTAATCCCAGCACTTTGGGAGGCTGAGACCAGTGGATCACCTGAGGTCAGGAGTTTGAGACCAGCCTGGCCAACATGGTGAAATCCTGTCTCTCCTAAAAATACAAAAATTAGCCAGGCATTGTGGCTGGTGCCTGTAATCCCAGCTACTTGAGAGGCTGAGGCAGGAGAATCGCTTGAGCCTGGGAGGCGGAGGTTGCAGTGAGTCGAGATCGCACCACTGCACTCCAGCGTGGGTGACAGGTGAGACTCCATCTCAAAAAGAAAAAACAAAACAAAACAAAAACCATATCATCAGCCAATAGGAATAATTTGACTTCCTCTTTTCCAAATTGGATGCCTTTTTTTTCTCTTGCCTGACTGCTCTGGCAACGACTTACAGTACTATATTGAATAAGATTTGGTGAAAGAGGATATCCCTGTCTTGTTCCAGTTCTTGGAGGGAACGCTTTCAAGTTTTCCTTGTTAAGTACGATGCTGGCTATAGGTTTGTTATATACTGCCTTTATTAAGGTGAGGTATGCTCCTTCTATGCCTAGTTTGTTGAGGATTTTTATCATGAAGGGATGTTGAATTTTATCAAATGCTTTTTCTGTATCTATTGAGATGATCATTTGGTATTTGTCCATTTGTATATGTGATGTATCACATTTATTGATTTGCATATGTTTGAACCATCCCTGCATCCCTGGGATAAATTCTATGTAATCCTGGTGTATTATCTTTTTGCTGTGCTGTTGGATTCAATTTGCTGGTATTTTGTTGAGGGTTTTTTTTTTTTTTTTGCATCTAATTTCATCAGGGATATTGGTCTATAGTTCTTTTTCTTATTGTGTCCTTGTCCGTTTCTTCATATCAGAGTGATACTGGCCTCATAGAATGAGTTAGGGAGAATTCTTTCCTCCTTTTATGGAATAGTTTCATGAAGATTGGTATTAACTCCTCTTGGTATCTATCTTTGTGTGTTTGGTAGAATTTGGCTCAGTTAATAAAAATCTTACCCCCACAAAAAAAGCCCAAAACCAGATGGTGAATCCGTCTGGTTTTGGGCTTTTCTGGGGTTGGGGGAGATTTTTTATTACTGATTCAATCTTGTTACTCATTATTGGTATGTTTGGGGGTTTTTTTTCCTTCTTTATTTTTAAAATTTGTGTGGGTACATAGTAGGTGTCTATATTTATGGGATACATGAGATGTTTTGATACAGGCATGCAATGTGAAATAAATACATCATGGGGAATGGGATATCCATCCCCTCAAGCATTTATTCTTTGAGTTACAAGCAATCCAAATTACACTCTAAGTTATTTTAATATTCCAGGATTTAATTTCTTCCTAGTTCAATCTTGGGAGGTTGCTTGTTTCCAGGAATTTAACCACTGGAAAATAATTTTTTTTTTTTTTTGAGACGGAGTTTTGCTTTTGTTGCCCAAGGTAGAGTGCAATGGCGCAATCTTGATTCACTGCAACCTCCGCCTCCTGGGTTCAAGTCATTCTGCCTCAGCCTCCTGAGTAGCTGGGATTATAGGTGTGCGCCACCACGCCTGGCTAATTTTTTGTATTTTTAGTAGAAATGGGGTTTCACCATGTTAGCCAGGCTGGTCTCGAACTCCTGGCCTCAGGTGATCTGCCCGTCTCAGCCTCCCAAAGTGCTAGGATTACAGGCGTGAGCTACCACACCTGGCCAAGAAAATCTTAAATGTGGTCTGGCAATCCTTCAGTGGATCTATGAGGTCAAAACCAATTTCTTAATAATACTAAATGTTATTTGTCTTATTCACTCTCAATCTCTCATGAATATATTGTGGAGTTTTCCAGAGTATGATATTGCAGCTGTTTGAATACAGAAGCAGACCTGAAAAATCTAGCTTCATTCTGTTAAGGCAGATATTAAAGAGATTTGCAGAAGTTGAAACAATGTTACTTTTCTCACCACTTTTCAGTTTTGGAAAATACAGGTTTTCAATATAAAAAAGTTACTTATGGTAACGTGACATGAGTTATTTTTTTAAAAATTAGTATCTATTAAAAATTTCCCCAATTTTAATATATAATCCAATAAATATCAATATGTAGAACCCACATAAACAAAAACACATTAAGGTCCTGTTTTAAAATGCAGGTTTTATTATCATTCAGGTATAGTGAGGCCAATAGATCAGGAGATGACTGCCATTGAAAGGATAGTTTGTTACTCACAGTTCCCAAAAGGAAGGAGCACACACCACAGCATTCAGGGCCACACAAGGAAGCACCAGGGTCTGCTGGGAGGCAGGAATGAGGGGAAAGCATGGGCAAGAGCCTTGATTGTGATGTGTGCATTCAGGAATGGGTGAGAAAGGGTAAGCAGGCTTAGAATCAGCTAATTTGAATAATTTCAGCGGGCTCCAGGGTTGTCTCAGAGTGGTCTGGTACCTTGCCCTCAGGTGATTAAGACAGGGGAATAGTGCTCTGAAGTTGAGTAGCCCTGTGAGAGTCTGAGAAAGGGAACAGCTGGGGGTATGGGCTTTTGATTGGATGGTTTGCATATACAAGTTTGGTCACAGGATAATTGTTTTCCATCTCTAGGAATAATTAGCTACCTCTGGGAGGGGTAGCCTTTGCCTGGTCAGCAAGGCCCCAGACACCAAAGCATACAAAGGATACAGAAATGTAAAACATACAGTTACTACAAGTCCTTAATAATTTTTAAGAGTATAAATAATGTAGGGATGTTCTGAGACTAAAATGCTTGTGAGCTTCTGGGCTAGGTCATGCACGGTAACAGAGAAGCCCCAAATCCCAATGGCTTAACATGGCAAAGAGGTTTTTTTCTTTTCTCTGCAAAGTCTTCACACTTCCAAAAGGCAGTATAAAAAATATTTTAAAAGTGAAAAAAAAAAAGGCCATAATGTCAGAACAAAGGAAAATCATTTTAATTACTTTAGCTTAATGAAAAATTCCATTATGATTTTTCTCTTTTTTCTTCATAAATTAGTGAAATTTCAGCACTACTTAGGACGGGTTCAGGGACTGGTGCTTGGCAGTTTCTGACGTCTAGGACAATTATGGATAGAAACGATGCGAAAGGAAGAAAAGACTTTGTTTATGCTGGGAGAATTTAGCAGAGAGAGAGAGAGGCTGAAGATACTGGAAAAAGAGGCACTCAGTGGAAACCCTGGAGGATGTGAAAGGGAAAGAGGGGGGATGGTCTGAAATAGGAAAGACAGCTCTTCCTCAGAAACTGGCTGGAAAGGAGGTTGAGACAGCGCCCTTGAAGATAATTTAGTTGGGGGAAAGAGAAAAGCTAAGAGTTCGCCCTCAATGGCACTGATTTTCTCTATGACTCACAGGCAAATTCACTGCATAAAGTCAAGAGGGCACTGAACGATGAGGGCTTCAGAGACCCACTGCAGGACTTGCGGAAGGGAGCAGGGCAAGAACATAAGATGATGGCGCAGAACCGAAAGCCCAGCTGAGTTTAGGCTTTAAATAGTAATAGCATGAAGCACACAGTAGCCTAATTTTTCTAACTGTGCTCCTTCATCCTGGCTTTTAATAGAGGAGGAGTTGGAGGTGGGGATAGAGAATTGATGCTTATCAAGAGGTAGCGTGGTATGGCGCTTAAGAACATGGCTGTTGAAGCCAGCTGCCTGGGTTAAAATCCTCTCTGCCACTTACTTTCCTATTCAGTAAAATGGGGCTAATAATAGTCTTGTGGTGTTTTAATGAGGACAGTAGTTGGTTTGAGGATGACACAAATATCTGCTGTGGATTGTCCTTCCACATCCTCACTGTTGGGGGGTCAAGGGATCTACCTTGGTTTCTTGGGCTTCTGTGCATGATGGACTCTTGAAAAGGGACAAGCCCAGTTCCTCTCCTCTCCCTGCCCATTTTCTTTGTGGTGTGCCCTGCTCAGTCTCCTCATCGTTGGTCCTCATTATCCTCTCTGATTGTGGTGGGTTTTCCCCTATTCTCTTTCCAAACTGTTTTCTGGCATAATCTGTAAGCCTTACAGATCAGAACTTTAGTTTTGAGTCTCAAAGTCTTTTCTTCCTTTCGCATCGTTTCTTACCTATATTAGAAGTAAACTATACTAACTTTTTGTATATTTTTACTTTAATAATCCTAGCCTACACATTCACCTCCTGGCTCTCCAGAGACCTCTGGATCACTGAGAAAAGGTCACATATGGATGATGTAAAAGGTAAAAGCATAAACATACACTTCAAAAAATCTCTTTTTACTTGTTACCTCTCTTAATTCTCCTATAGGTAGATGTTCTCTTCCTTCTACATACCCAAGACTGATGCTCAGAGGATTAATAACCTGCTCAGAATTGCACAGCCAGTTGCTGCAGAGTAGCAATTCAATTCTATGCCGTGCACTTACAGTTCAATAATCCACATTCCCTCAAACAAACGGCTGAACTGGTCCAGGGTTGAGGGGTAGAGGGATGGTGGCACTTAGGACAAAGAGGTGAGAGAGTTGTAGGTGTTCACGAGAGTAGCTGCTTACCGTAACCAGCAAAGGCAAGAGGGTACAGGGGTGTGTGCAGAGAGGGGGGCTGACAAACAGGGAGAAAGGGAAGGAGCAAAGGAGCTGCAAGTCACAGTGCAATTGATGAACAAATGGGAGAGATGAAAGGAGAGGTGACCTGACGGAGAGTGGAATCCAAAGTTGACTATTTTAAGGGTATTGGTCCACTTCTGGATGATGACAAGGTCTAGAGTGTAGCCACTGGACTAAGCTGATGAAGAGAAGTTAAAGCCAGTGGTGTGGACATTACGGATTGTTTCAGTTGTTTGTTTGAGTGAATGCTGAAATTAATAGATCTGTTGCTGAAGTCCTTTATAAATGTTTGAGAGTGATCTTGAAAAGTAGGCAGGGACCAAGGCAGCAGAGGGGCCCACAGATGGTCCAAGGGTGGGGCCTCCCACAAAGAGGAGAGTTTTGGAGGCAGGAAGAATCAGTGTTTTTCGTTGTTGTTGTTGTTTTCTGAGGCGGAGTCTCCCTGTATTGCCCAGGCTGGAGTGCCGTGCAGTGGTGCAATCTCGGCTTACTGCAACCTCCTCCTCCCGGGTTCAAGAGTTTTTCCTGCCTCACCCTCCTGAGTAGCTGGGACTACAGGCGCACGCTAGTAGTCCCATGCCCAGCTAGTTTTTTTGTGTATGTATACATTTTTTAGTAGAGGCGGGGTTTCATCATATTGGCCAGGCTGGTCTGGAACCATGCCCAGCTAGTTTTTTTTGTATATATATATATATATATATTTTTTTTTTAGTAGAGATGGGGTTTCACCATATTGGCCAGGCTGGTTTGGAACCATGCCCAGCTAGTTTTTTTTGTATATATATATATTTATTTTAGTAGAGACGGGGTTTCACCATATTGGCCAGGCTGGTCTTGAACTCCTGACCTCGTGATCCGCCCACCTCGGCCTCCCAAAGTGCTGGGATTACAAGCGTGAGCCACTGCACCCAGCTGAATCAGTGTTTTTGTTTGTTTGTTTTTTTAATTTGAATTTTATTTTATTTTTTTGAGACAGAGTCTTGCTCTGTCGCCCAGGCTGGAGTGCAGTGGCGCAATCTCGGCTCACTGCAAGCTCCACCTCCTGGGTTCACACCATTCTCCTGCCTCAGCCTCCCAAGCAGCTGGGACTACAGGCGCCCACCACCACGCCCGGCTAATTTTTTGTATTTTTAGTAGAGATGGGTTTTCACCGTGTTAGCCAGGATGGTCTTGATCTCCTGACCTCGTGATCCGCCTGCCTCGGCCTCCCAAAGTGCTGGGATTACAGGCGTGAGCCACCGCGCCCGGCCCGAATCAGTGTTTTTAACTGTAGTACTTGGCAGTTCTCACATGCAACTTCATTTGGTCCTCCCAGTAATCCAGAGAGATGCACACAGGACAGGAAATATACTTTTTCCAAGAAAGCCAGCTGTTAAGTAGCAGCATTTGGACTCAGTTCAACTCTCCTGGCTGTAGTTTGTTGTGAGAGCCTTATTCCTCTACATAATATTCACAGTAGGAAATCAATCCCTTAGAAAGAAAACTTCTTTATAGATTCTTTCTACACAGAAAAGGAAGATTTCTCTACGTTTTCTTCATTCCAGACTGCTAAAAAACTAGGCTGTAATGGTGGGGAAGAGCTATCGGGCTGACAGGAACTGGCTCAGGGCAAGGTCTTGTGGTGCCACCTAGTGTCCATGATTGGGTTTATCCACAAAGCTTTGACTAAATTATATGAAAAATAATGTAAGGAAATTGCAAGTAGCTGATTAATTTTGCAGGAGAATAGCTATTAAAACACCTAACAGTTTTCTCTCTCTACCAGGAAGATTTCTTATTCTGGCCTCTTGACTACCCCAAGGACCAGACCAATTCACTAAGTTACTTTGTTGGATAAAACAGAAATTATGACCTAGTGAAGTCTAAGGTTACTTAAAATTAACATGTTCCATGAGGTCTTAGATCATTCTGTACAGTGGAAAGAACACTAGGCTTGGTGCTCTGACCAGTTCAGGTCTTAACTCAGTGGGATGGTGTATGAAAAGTGCTTCATAAACTATAAAGTGCTAAGCAAGTGTTAGATATAGTGATAATTTCACAAGCAGTGTTCTGGACCTTTGACACACCTCCCTTCTAATCCTCATATTTATAAGACAGCAGGTACTATCCAGATTTTGCATCAAAGAAACTGAGGCTCAGAAATGTTAAATAACTTGCCTAAGGTTACATAGCTATTTTTTTCTCTGCCATACTATATGGTCATTATAATACTGACATAAGGAATTAATATTAAATCATGTAACAAAAATTTATTAAGGAGCAGTGTATACTATACACTGGGTTAAGAATAAGGTATATACAGATCAATAAATATTATGGACTGAATGTTTGTGCCCCTCCCCCACCATTCATATGTTGAAGCTCTGACCCCCAATGTGACTGTATTTGGAGATTAGGCCTCTAAGGAAAAGCAGTTAAGGTTAAATGAGATCATAAGGGTAGGACCCTAATCCGTGGGATTACAGTCAGCTCTCTGTATCTGCCGGTTCTACATCTGTGGATTCAACCAACTGAAGATTTTTTTTTTAATTCAGAAAAAAATAATTAAAAATAATACAACAAAAAATAATACAAATAAAAAGTTTAACAACTATTTACATAACATTTACACTACATTAGGTATTATAAGTAATCTGGAGATGATTTAAACTATATGGGAGGATATGCATAGGTTATATGCAAATGCTACACCACTTTATATGAGGAACTGAACATCCTCAGATTTTGGTATTCATGAGGGGTCCTGGAATCAATCCCCCATGGATACTGAGGGACAACTGTATGTCCTTATAAGAAGAAAAGCTGGCCAAGCACAGTGGTTCATGCCTGTAATCCTAGCTCTTTGAGAGGCCAAGACAGTAGGATTTGCTTGAGGCTAGTAGTCTGAGACCAGCCTGGGCAACACAGTGAGACTCTGTCACTACAAGAAATTAAAAAGAAAATTAGCTGGGCATGGTAGCATGTGCCTGTAGTCCTAACTACTCAGGAGGCTAAGCCAAGAGGATCGTCTGAGCCCTGGACTTTAAGGCTGTAGTAAACTATGCCACCGCACTCCAGCCTGGGTAGCAGAACAAGACACTTAAGAAAAAAAAAAAAAAAGGAAGAACAAAGCTGAACAAAGCTGGAGGCATCACATTGCTTGATTTCAAAATACGCTACAGAATGACAGTAATCAAAATCAGCATGCTACTGGCATGAAAACAGACACATAGACCAGTGAAACAGAAGAGAGAACCCAGATATAAATGCATACATTTACAGTCAACTCATTTTTGGTACAGGTGCTAAGAATGTACAATTGGGAAAGGAGTGTCTCTTCAATAAATGGTAATGGGAAAACGGAATAACCATATGCAGAAGAATAAAACTAGATCCCTCTTACCACATACAGAAATAAAATCAAAATAGAGTAAAGACTTACATCTAAGACCTGAAACTATGAAAACTACTAGAAGAAAAAAATGGGGAAATGCTCCAGGACATTGGTCTGGACAAAGATTTTTTTGTGTAAGACCTCAAAAGCACAGGCAACCAAAGCAAAAACAGAATGGGATTACATAAAACTAAAAAGCTTCTGCACGGCAAAGGAAACAATCAACAAAGTGAAGAGTTCGAGACCAGCCTGGGCAACACAAGGAGACCTCGTCTCTACAAAACATAAAAAATTAGCTGGGCGTGGTGGTGCGTGCCTGTGTTTCCAGCTACTCTGGAGGCTGAGGGAGGAAAATCACTTGAGGCCAGGAGTTCAAGACCAGCAGCCTGGGTAACATAAATGAGACCCTGTCAAAAGAAAGAAAGAAAGAGAGAATGAGAGAGAGAGAGACAGACAGAAAAAAAGAAAGAAAGAAAAAAAAAGAAAGAAAGTGATATATATACACAATAGAATGTTATTCAGCCACAAAAAAGAATGAAATCCTGTCATTTGCAGCAACATGAAAAAAAACTGGAGGTCATTATGCTAACTGAAATAAGTCAAGCACAGAAAGCCACACATTTCATGTTCTCAATCATATGTGGGAGACAAAAAAAAGTGGATCTCATGAGAGTAGACTGGTGATTACTAGAGGTTGAGAAGAGTAGGGAGGAGGAGGGATGAAGAAATGTTGATTAATGGGTAAAAATATATAGTTTGATGGAAGAAATGAGACATAGTGTTTGATAGATCAGTAGTTACAATAATCTATATTGTACAGTCCAAAATAGCTAAAAGAGAATTTGAATGTTTCTAGCATTAAAAAAAACAAATATTTAAGGTGATGGACATCCCAATTACACTAAGTTGATCTTTACTATATGAATGTATTATCACATGTCCCCCAAAATATGTACATTATATATAAAATAAAATAAAATTTTCTATGAGAAACTTAGTTTTAAAGGATATAATTTCCATTGTATTATAGATATTTTAAAATAATCATGACTTATTTCCGATAGAATCTAACACACTAGAAATTCATTATCATTCATAAAAAACTATAATTTTACATCATTCCTTTTTTCTTTTTTTTTCTCATTAAACTTTTTTAATGGGTCTCAAAATTCTGTGACAAATTTTTGGTCAAGTTGTTTCCATTAAAAAGTACTGATTTTAAAAACTAATAACTTAAAACTGCCACATGCAAAAAAGAAAACCAAAGTGGTCCACAAAACATTCTCCTTTCCTTCTGAAGGTTTTACGATGCATTGTTATCATTAACCAGTCTTTTACTACTAAACTTAAATGGCCAATTGAAACAAACAGTTCTGAGACCGTTCTTCCACCACTGATTAAGAGTGGGGTGGCAGGTATTAGGGATAATATTCATTTAGCCATCTGAGCTTTCTGGGCAGAGTTGGTGACCTTGCCAGCTCCAGCAGCCTTCTTGTCCACTGCTTTGATGACACCCACCGCAACTGTGTGTCTCATATCACGAACAGCAAAGCGACCCAAAGGTGGATAGTCTGAGAAGCTCTCAGCACACATGGGCTTGCCAGGAACCATATCAACAATGGCAGCATCACCGGACTTCAAGAATTTAGGGCCATCTTCCAGCTTTTTACCAGAACGGCGATCAATCTTTTCCTTCAGCTCAGCAAACTTGCATGCAATATGAGCCGTGTGGCAATCCAATACAGGGGCATAGCCAGCGCTTATTTGGCCTGGATGGTTCAGGATAATCACCTGAGCAGTGAAGCCAGCTGCTTCCATTGGTGGGTCATTTTTGCTGTCACCAGCAACGTTGCCACGACGAACATCCTTGACAGACACATTCTTGACATGGAAGCCCACACTGTCCCCAGGAAGAGCTTCACCCAAAGCTTCATGGTGCATTTCGACAGATTTTACTTCTGTTGTAACGTTGACTGGAGCAAAGGTGACCACCATACCGGGTTTGAGAATACCAGTCTCCACTCGGCCAACAGGAACACTACCAATACCACCAATTTTGTAGACATCCTGGAGAGGCAGGCGCAAGGGCTTGTCAGTTGGACGAGTTGGTGGTAGGATGCAGTCCAGAGCCTCAAGCAGCATGGTTCCACTGGCATTGCCATCCTTACGGGTGACTTTCCATCCCTTGAACCAAGGCATGTTAGCACTTGGCTCCAGCATGTTGTTACCATTCCAACCAGAAATTGGCACAAATGCTACTGTGTCGGGGTTGTAGCCAATTTTCTTAATGTAAGTGCTGACTTCCTTAACAATTTCCTCATATCTCTTCTGGCTGTAGGGTGGCTCAGTGGAATCCATTTTGTTAACACCAACAATTAGTTGTTTCACACCCAGTGTGTAAGCCAGAAGGGCATGCTCTCGGGTCTGCCCATTCTTAGAGATACCAGCTTCAAATTCACCAACACCAGCAGCAACAATCGGGACAGCACAGTCAGCCTGAGATGTCCCTGTAATCATGTTTTTGATGAAGTCTCTGTGTCCTGGAGCATCAGTGATAGTCACATAGTACTTGCTGGTCTCAAATTTCCACAAGGAGATATCAATGGTGATACCACGTTCACGCTCAGCTTTCAGTTTATCCAAGACCCAGCCATACTTGAAAGAGCCCTTTCCCATCTCAGCAGTCTCCTTCTCAAATTTTTCAATGGTTCTTTTGTCGATGCTACTGCATTTATAGATCAGATGGCCAGTAGTGGTGGACTTGCCCGAATCTACGTGTCCAATGACGACAATGTTGATATGAGTCTTTTCCTTTCCCATTTTGGCTTTTAGGGGTAGTTTTCATGACACCTGTGTTCTGGCGGCAAACCCGTTGCGAAAAAGCCATCATTCCTTTTTCTTATTGAATTTCCTTTCTGTTTCCCATTCGCAGAATTCTACTTAATGCAATATATTTTTATGTTTGAAGGTCTTTTATTACTTAAATTTACTTGAAAGTTTCATTGTAACATTAGCCATAAAAATCTGATCAAAACAGCATATTTAAATGTTGGTAATTGTTACATATACTTAGTAAAATTTGATTATAAACATCTCTTTCAAAATCTATTGATGAAAGCTGGGCATGGTTGCTCATGCCTGCCATCCCAGCACTTTGGGAAGCCAAGGCAGGGGAATTACTTGAAACCAGGAATTCAAGACCAGCTTGGACAACATGGTGAGACTCTGTCTTTATAAAAAAAATTAGCTGGGTGTGGTAGCATGTGCCTGTAGCCTCAGCTACTCAGGAGGCTGAGGCGGGAGGATTGCTTGAGCCCAGGAGTTTGAGGCTGCAGTGAGCTATGACTGCACCACTGTACTCCAGATCTATTGATGAATATGATTTACTGTTAGAAAGAGATAGGATTTAATTCAATTCTATTCCTATTTTTGGATTTTATAAACACTATGAAACACTGTCCTTATAAATAGGTGGAAATAGTTTTGTTATCACAAAATCAAATCCTTGAGCTTCTGAATTGCATGGCAAAAATATCTTAGTAATCTCTCATGAAATATTATTTTTAATCATCAGCTAATAACTTTAGGCTGTCCCTCAAATTTGTTCAAAGCAAGGAATTAGAAATCACCTGAATTTCAAAGGAATGATTATCTAATTATTAAGAGTAGATCTCCTTTTCCATTTCTGGGATGTACAGTAAGGCAGCCATCCCACTTTAAATCTTCATTCTAAGGTGAACATTAGGTAAGGCAGAGAGCTTTACCATGAGTCTGTCACCTTGATGACATAAGATGCCACCAATACTTTTTACCAATACTCTCTGCTTTGTTCTTCCAAGACTCCCTCAAGAGCAAGTCATCTTTTAGGGAAACTAAAAGCTTGAAAGTTGAGTCTCAGAGAAGTTAAATACTTGCCCAAGGTCACATAGCTAGTTTTCTGTTTGCTACACTACATCACCCTTACTAACCCACTCTATGATACATCTGAGTTAACATACTGGCAAAAATACTCCGCTTAAATATCAAAATACCCACTCTTAAGGGAAGAAAAGGAAAGACTTGAAAGAAAGAAACCAAATGCAAGTTTCCGGTGCCTTATTGTAGGCTTGTCTGAAAGAAGTATTTAAGTTGTCCATCTGATTTGAAGCTCTAGAACACCACCATGCAATAGAAATATAATGTGAGCTGCATCATACATAACTTAAGATTTTCTAGTAGCCATATTAAAAAAGCTAAAAGCAACAGTTGAAATTAGTATCTTATATAATGCAGTATTTCCAAAATTTTGCCAACATATAATCAATATTTTAAAATTATAGGCTGGGTGTGGTGGTTCATGCCTGTAATCCCAGTACTTTGTGAGGCTGAGGCAGGAGGATCGCTTGAGCCCAGGAGTTTGAGACCATCCTGGACAACATAGTGAAACCCTCTGTCTACAAATATAAAAAATTAGCTGGGCATGGTGCTGTGCATCTGTAGTCCCAGCTACTTGGGAGGCTGAGATGGGAGGATCACTTAAGTCTGGGAGGTCGAGACTGCAGTGAGCTATGATCATTCCATTGCACTCCAGCTTGGGCAACAGAGTGAGACCCTGTCTCAAAAAAAATTATGTGATTATTTTACATTCTTTTTAGGGGGTGTACTAAGTCCTTAAAATCCTGTGTTTTTCACAAACAGCAAATCTTAATTCTGACCAGCTACATTTCAAGTGCTCAGGAGGCACTCTTGCCTACTGGCTACTGTATTGGACAATGTAGCTCTTGAGGCACACACTGTAGAAAGGTTTGGCATGGCTGAGAACCTTTTGTTATTTCGTTAAGCAGGGATATGGTAAACATGAAGGAAGTGGTTAGAAAGGAGCACAGGCCTATTTACGCCCTCAGGCACCTGTAAAGCGTATCTTCTACTCCAGGGCCTTTGCTGCACAGCTGTATAAAATTGGTGTTGCTGCACCTCAGGAGATACAAGTGCCTCAGTTTGAAGACCACTATTTTAAGATGGATTCTGGCTGCCAAGGTCTATAGGAATGATGCAATAGTGATGAAATTCTATACATTCTTATTCCTAAATTCTGGACCAAGACGAAAGAAAAATGTGTGAGACAAAATATTAGCAGAAGATCCAGAAAGCCCTTGTGACTTTGCCAGTAATATCCTGGTATGATTTTTAAAGATAAGGTTGACAACCTACCTTCTCACAAGTAGAGTTTTTGGTAATAGTAGGTATATTAGTTATGGTTCTCTAAAGAGACAAAACTAATAGGATTGATGTATATATAAAGGGGAGTTTATTAAGGAGTATTGACCCCCATGATCACAAGGTGACGTCCCACAATAGGCTGTCTGCAAGCTGAGGAGCAAGGAAGCCAGTCCGAGTCCCAAAGCTGAAGAACTTGGAGTCCAATGTTTGAGGGCAGGAAGCATCCAGCACAGGAGAAAGATGTAGGTCAGAAGACTAAACCAGTCTAGTCTTTTCACGTTCTGCCTGCTTTTATTTTAGCTTTTTTTCATGTTCTTCTGCCTGCTTTTATTCTAGCTTTTTTTAATTCTAGCCACCTAGATTGAGGGTGGCTCTGCCTTTCCCAGTCCACTGACTCAAATGTTCATCTCCTTTGGCAACAAACACCCTCACAGACACACCCAGGAACAATACTTTGCATCCTTCAATCCAATCAAGTTAACACTAAATATTAACCATCACAGTAGGGTGATGCTTTTCCTTGTGACTACCATGGAGACAAGGTCAGGCTGTGAGAGAATCATCAACCTAACATCAGACTACTTGAGGAGGTGAAGGTTTCCTGTAAGTGACAAAGGGTCTCTTCCTTACCTTTATTTTCTTAGGAAACATCTATGATTTGTCCCTCTAGCTCTTTTTAAGTTCCACTATGTGACATCAATGATGGGCTTCCTTTCCAAAGAAACCCATATGCTTGTCCTAAAAGGTAAGTGTAGGGAATTACTCTGTAGGGAATTACCTGGCCCTAGCAGACCAAGATACCAAGACTAGATGGCTTAAATAACAGATATTTTCTCACAGTACCGGAGGCCGGAAAGTAAGATTGAGGTGCCAGCTGATTCAGTTTCTGGTAATGGCTTTCTTCCTGGTTTTCAGATGGCTGTCTTCTTGCTGTGTCCTCACACAGTGAGCTCTGGCATCTCTTCTTCTTATAAGGACACCAGCCCCTTCATATTAGGGCCCAACCCTTTTGACCTCATTTAATCTTTATTTTGACCTCATTTAACCTGTAATCCTTGTAGGCCCTATCTCCAAATATAGTCACATTGGGGGTTAGGACTTCAACATATGAATTTTGGGGAGACACAATTCAGTAATTCAATCTATAGCAGAAACTAAGCTACCAAGAGTATGGAATTCCATTTCAGAAGCTCTCCAAAAAAGTTAAGATTATCATCTGCCTGGATGATTCTTAAGGGTGAAATTCCGTTTAGCTAGAGGCAAATGACTGATTTAATATTTTCCAGAACTCCAAGTCTGTGAATTATAATGGCATCATTCTCTCTCCTCCTTATATATAAAATGGTTTCATTTTCATGATAAAATAAATTTCATTATGACCCATACTTCTCCCAATAAAAACTCCTGGGGAAAGTTTTGGGGGTTTCCAGGTAAACTAATTTTACAGCAAGATATTTTTTCTATTGAGCGATTTCCTCTATTTTTTCTCTATAAAGTTATTTCCTTTAGCTTCAAAACTACAAAAGCATAGTAGGTTTTTTCCCCCTCTAATTCTGTTTTTTAAAAATGGGCATTCAATTAAAACCTAGATGATGGGTTGACAGGTGCAGGAAACCACCATGGCACATGTATACCTATGTAACAAACCTGCATGCTCTGCACATGTATCCCAGAACTTAAAGTAAAATGAAAAAAATAAAAAATACAGAAATGGGCATTCAATAATCAAGAGGCATTTTGAATAAGTCTTTAAAATTAATACTTGAGTATTCCTAGAGTAGTTAATTTCTAAGTGAAACTGACAATAGTTTCTTCCAAAGCTTGGTTACAGTCCATGAACCTATAAAACTAGAATAAACTAAAAAGTACCTTTCCTGTGAGTACTTTAGAGATTGATGTACAGAATACACTTCAAATCTAATTTTTATTGCTGTGGCACTGGGAAATTCCAGAGAGTATAAAAATATAGGGTATTTTAACCTGACTGTAAATTATGAGTTTATAGTATTGAAAAGGGGGAATATGCATCCAACTTGTGTTAAGCTCCTTAAAGAAAATTTTTAAAAATAAGAACACTGTAATGGCTTAGCATTGTTCTTTGGGAACAGTTATTACAAGTAAGGACTACAGCATTCAGTGAAAAGGAATGTGGAATCTTTCACATATTAAATATTCTAGGCATGGCCACTGAAGCAGATATATAAATTCAAGGTGATTGATTGAAAATGTAAGTTACCAAATATTTGCAAATTACAATACCGTATTTATCTAATGTTTGATTCTAAGAAGAAACTGAAAACTGACGCATTGTTTGTAAGTGATTACATAGACTTTTACTTAAGCTTATGGGTTTTTATGTTATTTATCTTGACATAAGCATAGGCTGTTATAATTATATCACAGTTCATGGGTTTTATTCTCATGACTGTCTCTAAGAAACCCTAGTGTTTGGCCGGGCGTGGCGGCTCATGCTTGTAATCTCAACACTTTGGGAGGCCATAGCGGACAGATCACTTGAGGTCAGGAGTTGGAGACAAGCCTGGCCAACATGGTGAAACCCTGTCTCTACTAAAAATACAAAAAAAAAAAAAAAATTAGTTGGGCGTGGTGTCAGGCGTCTGTAGTCCCAGCTACTTGGGAGGCTGAGGCAGGAGAATTGCTTGAACCGGGGAGGCAGAGGTTGCAGTGAGCTGAGATCACGCCACCGCACTCCGGCCTGGGAGACAAAGCGAGACTCTATTTCAAAAAAAAAAAAAAAAAGAAAGAAAAAAGGAAAAAAAAAGAAACCCTAGTTTTTGACTTATTTATTTAATACACATATACATCCCTCTAATCATTTTGTTCTGTAATATCAGTAAAAATTAGCATATCCCAAATATGAATATATTAAAAACTCACGCTGCATCTCTGTATTTATTATGTACACCAGAAACATACACACAATAGAAATTTTAAAAGATAAAGACAAAATGATTTAACATTTAATTTTTAATTTTTTTTTTTGAGACGGAGTGTCACTCTGTTGCTCAGGTTGGAGTACAGTGGAGCAATCTCGGCTCACTGCAACCTCCACCTCCCAGGTTCATGTGATTCACCTGCCTCAGCCTCTCGAGTAGCTGGGATTACAGGTGATCACGACCATGCCCAGCTAATTTTTGTATTTTCAGTAGAGACAGGGTTTCACCATGTTGCCCAGGCTGGTTTCAAACTCCTGACCTCAAGTGATCCACCTGCCTTGGCCTCCCAAAGTGCTGGGATTACAGGCATGAGCCACCACGCATGGACAACACTGAATTTTTTAAATTAAAGTACAAAGTTAGAACAATGACTGGATATTCTTATTTTGGAAGGTCTTGGTTTAACATTTTATGATATGATGGTTTGAGTTTATTTATTTATTTGGAGACAGGGTGTCACTCTGTCACTCAGGATGGAGTACAGTGGCACGATCTCAGCTCAGTGAAGCCTCTACCTCCGAGGTTCAAGTGATTCTCCTACCTCAGTCTCCTGAGTAGCTGGGACTACAGGTTTATGCCACCACACCGGGCTAATTTATTTTTTGGTAGAGATGGGTCTTTACCATGTTGGCTAGACTGGTCTCGCACTCCTGATCTCACGTGATCCACCCACCTAGGCCTCCCAAAGTGCTGGGATTATAGGTGTGAGCCACCGCACCCCACCTGGGTTTTATTTTTGATTAAAAAAAAATAGAGACCTTATTTTTTAGAACAGTTTTAGATTTACAGAAAAATTGAGAAGATAGTGCAGAGTTCCTGTATACTCTGCATCCAACTTCCTGTATTACTAACATCTTACGTTATTATGGTAAGTTTGTTACTTTTTTTTTTTTTTTTTGTGAGACAGGGTCTCATTCTGTCACCCAGGCTGGAGTGCAGTGGTGCGATCATGGCTCACTGTTGCCTCAACCTCCCAGGCTCAACAAGTCTTCCCACCTCAGCCTCCTGAGTAGCTGGGACCACAGGTGCACGCCACCACACCTGGCTAATTTTTGTCTTTGTAGAGATAGGGTTTCACCATGTTGCCTAGGCTGATCTTGAACTCCTGGGCTCAAGCAGTCCTCCTGCCTCAGCCACCCAAAGTGCTGGGATTACACCCAAAGTGAACCACTTCATTTGTTACAATTAATGAACTAGTACTGATATATTAACTAAAGTCCATGGTTTATTCAGATTTCCTTGTTTAACCTAATGTCTTTTTTTTGTTGTTGTTACAGGATCCCACCCAGGACACCAGAATTACATTTAGTTGCCATCTCTCCTCTTCGCTGTGAGTTTCTCATACATTTCTTGTTTTTGATGACCTTGACAGTTTTAAGAGTACTGGTAAAGTATTTTGTAGGATGCCCCACTAATGGAATTGTCTAATTTTTTTTTTTTTTCTAATTGGACTGGGGTTGTGGGTTTGGGGGAGGAAAACCACAGAAGTACAATGCCATTTTCATCTGATCATATGAAGGTTACATGCCATCAACATGATTTATCACTGAGCTCAGGTCACGTATTAACTTGGTGGCCTGTTTTTAAGTTTTCAGTTTCTAAGATCCAGTAGCAAACCAAAAGTTGTTCCTTAAAAGTAGAGTAGTTACCCACAATGACAGAGATTTGCTTCAAAATCCTAAGGGTTTGTACTGTGATTCACCTATGGTTGCTTGCCAAAATTCTAAACAGTGTTTACTTATCTTTTGGGAGAAAGGGCCTTGCTCTGTTGCCTAAGCTGGCGTGCAGGGGCATGATCATAGCTCACTCTAACTTGAATTCCTGGGCTCAAGGGATCCTGCCTCAGCCTTGCAAGCAGTTAGGACAGACTACAACTACAGGTATGCACTACCATACCTGGCTAATTACATTTTTTTTTTTTTTTTTTTTTTTGTGGAGGTGGAGCTGGTCTCAAACTCCTGGGCTAAAGTGATCCTCCCCCCTTGGCCTCCTAAAGTGCTGGGATTACAGATGTGAGCCACGGTGCGTGGCCTCTCAATAACATTTAAGTCGGCCATTGACACTTTAAGTACCATCAGATCTGCTGGATCATATGGCCCAAATGGCAGAGCAACTTGCCCAATAGCCTGGACCTGTTGTAGAGCCTTCTCTTCTCCTACTAGGTATTGTGGTGTGTGTGTGTGTGTTTTTTTTTGGTTGTATAAGGGGCCAAATGCAACAACTTATTCTTCAGCTTACAAGTGGTATCTTGACATGTCCTATACTGGTCCCCTAGGAATTTCATGAGGTGGAGGGCCCCAGATGTTTTGTGACACTTATTTCCTGTCTTCAGACATGTAAATATTTTACCAATATGTCTAGAGTAATTGCTACTTCCTGCTCACCATGAGTAATCGGCATAATATCATCAATGTAATGGACCAGTACGAAGTTCTTTGGAAGGGGAAGACTAAATTATGACATAGGGCTAAAAGGTTGATATAGCCCTGTAGTGGGACAGGAAGTTGTACAGTGGTCTTGCCAGTTGAAGGTAAATTCCTTCTGATGGTATTTTCTAATAGGTATAGAGGGAAAAAGCATGTGCCTGATTAACAGCTGCATACCAAGTACTAGGAGATGTGTTGATTTGCTCAAGTAATGAAGCATCTAAATGGCAGTGCAACTGGAGTCACCATGTAATTAGGTTTATAAGAATCTATTGTCATTTTCCAAGATCTATTTCTGTTTTGCACATGCCAAATAGGCGAGGGGAAAAGAAATGTAGTGGTTATCACCACCTCTGCAACTTTCAAGTCTTTGACAGTGGCACTTATCTTTACAATCTCTCCAAGAATGTGGCATTGCTTTTAGTTTGCTATTCTCATAGGTATAAGCAGTTCTAGTGGCTTCCACTTGGCCCTTCCCGTTACAAGTCTTTACAGGTCAGGGAACCAACATGGGGATTCTTCCAGCTGTTGAGCCTATCTCTGTTTGTTTGTTTTTGAGACAGAGTCTTGCTCTGTCGCCCAGGCTGGAGTGCAATGGTGCAATCTCGGCTCACTGCAACCTCCGCCTCCCAGGTTCAAACGATTTTCCTGCCTCAGCCTCCCGAGTAGCTGGGATTACAGGTGTCTGCCACCACGCCCAGCTATTTTTTTTTGTTGTTGTTGTTGTATTTTTAGTAGAAACGGGGTTTCACCATGTTGGCCAGGCTGGTCTTGAACTACTGACTTTGTGATCTGCCCTCCTCGGCCTCCCAAAGTGCTGGTAATACAGGTATGAGCCACCGTGCCCGGCCAAGTATATCTCTTTTAATTATGCATTCTGGAACTGGGGAAATAGCACAGGATGGGTCCAGGGACTCAACGGGTCTAATGAGAGATGAACCTGAGCTGAAACTCCATTGATCACTCGACCTCCATTAAGCCTCTACTCTGACTGGTAGGCCGAGTAAAGCTTTTGGTTTCCCCAGATTAGTATCAGGTCAGAGCCACTGTGTAGTAATCCCTGACAAATCTGATTATTTCTCTTCCCCCAATGCACAGTTACCCTGGTAGATGGCTATTGGTCTCTTCGGGGGAAATAACAATATACATTTTTGGCAATGTAGCAGACTCCTTCCTCAAGAGGATCCAGCCTCTCCTTCATTCAGAGTTCTGAGAGTGTAAACCGGCCCAAGTCTGGGAATTGATTGAGAGGTTGTGACTATTTTGGTGATGCAAGTTAGGATATCTGTTTCCTAGAGACACAACGATTAACTAGCCAACAGCACACGTCTCTGTAAGTAAGACAATATTGTTTTAGCTCTGCTGGTAATTATAGTAATCATGCCCACCTACTTTTTGGCAATTAAGTGCCACCCTGGGGGGACACTTAGGAATCCTAGTTTGATGGTAGCAGTTTCCACTGTAAGATATATGTGACTAAAGAGAAGAGCAGCCGCAGATATCTTCAAGGATGCTAGGATTCTCCTCACAAATTTACTTCTTAGTCATGGTGAAAGGTATGTCTTCTGGACCCTCCTGGGGTGGGTAAGCAGGTCTTAAATGATAAATCCACTCTAATATTCCAATCTCCCCAAGCCTGTGGATACCTTTCTCTACAGATACCTAGGCAGTTCTGTCGCTTCAACTTCATTTAGCATAGGCCCTTCTGGGTGGATGGAGGTTAAACTATCAATGGAGTTTTCACTCAGATCCTTCTCACGGTGGGCTCAGTGGGTCCCCAAACCCATCCTGTGGTTATTTTCCTAGTTTGACATGCATAATTGGAAAAGACATACTCAGCGATTAAACATAGCATTAGAGCTTTTTCTAAGCCTCTGAGATAAAACATTGAATCCAGAATCTCTGGTGGGTCCATATCAATAAATTTGGCCTGACGGAATTTATAACCTTTCCACCTTGATCCCTATATGAGTTTCCTGGGGTGGTCATGACAAAGGACCACAAACTGTGTGTCTTGAAACAACAAAATTTATTCTCTTGCAGTTTTGGGGGCTAGAAGTCTGAAATCAGGTTTTTGGCAGGGCCAACCTTCTTCGGAAGGCACTTTGGAATAATCCTTCTTTGCCTTTTCTTAGCTTCTGCTGGCTCCTGGCATTCTGCGGCGTTTCTTGGCTTCCAGTTGCATCACTCCAATCCCTGCTTCTATCTCCAAATGGCCTTCTTCCCTCTGTGCACATTTATCTATGTGTCCCCTTCTAAGGGCGCCAACCATTCGATTTAGGGCTCATTCTATACCAGTATGACCTCATCTTAACCAATTACATCTGCAAAAACCCTATTTCCAAGTAAGTTAATATCGTGAGGGTCTAGGTGGACGTGAATTTTGGGGGATCCTGTTCAACCCTCCTCAATCCCACACCTTAATAGTCTTTGTATATTCTTTTGTACACTCTGAATTTTTTAGTATGTGCATTTATTACTTTTTCAAGTAAAATTAAAGGAGAAAACAATACCCCCGGAGTTCTGTGGCACTAAATATAAATATTCTTTCTGTCCAGTTTCTCCCTTGGAGGTCACTACTATTTAGTCTCCCTAAGCTGGTCTTCCAAGTCCTGCCCTTCTCCAAACTTTTACCAAACTGAAGACAAAGTGATTTTTCAAAATGATCTCAAGATCTGTCAATGAGGATTAAGCATAAGCGCCACAGTTAGCCTAATATGGCTTTTCATGATCTGGTCTCCACTACCCCTCTTTCAGTTTCATCTTTCAATACAATCCCCTGCTCCCTACCTGTTCCGCCCTGGACTCCTCGCGGGTTTCTGAACTGCCCAGGCCATTCCATCCCGCCCTATTCCGGGGCTGCACTCTGCTTCAGCGCTGCTTCTTGCACCCACGACTGCAACTCAACCGCAGAGGCTACTCCTCTACTCCATCCCAGAGATGAAGCATTTCGCCTTTGGATGCTTGAAAACGGTTAATATTTTCCCTTTTGTTTCTCTTAAATCAAAATGTTTACATGAAATACTATGATCCAAGAACACACACTGCTGCGCTTGCTTAACCGGGTCGAGTTGAACTAGTTCGTCTTCTCCGCCCCAACCCCGGTGCCGTAACTCCCAGCCCCGGAGCAACTAGCCTGGCCCGACAGCGGAGGCCCAAGCCCGCTGGGCTCGGGCGTTGGAACCGTCCCGGCGGGGGGAAGCCCGGGCAGGACGCAGCCGCGCTTCACAGCTGAGGAAAACCCGCTGCGGCGTAGGGCAACGCTCAGAAGCCGAGAGTGGCACCGCGACGCGCCGGAACGCGTCAGCATCCTTCACACCTAAGACCAGACTTCCTCCTCCTCACCCAGGACGCTCCCCGCCGCTCGTCCGGTCGTTTCCCGCTCTCACACCCTCTGCCAGTCCCCACACAGCTGACAAGGGAAGCAAGCCAGCGGCGTCCGGGGACGGAGCAAGCGCAGCAGCCGCAGCGCGCGGTTCCCCCTCCAGGCCCCGGCGACTCAGCCCGCACACGTGTATGCGCATGCGCCGCGTCCGGGCCCTTCAGCCTCCGGCCGCACCTCCTCGCGCAGGGTCAGAGGCCGTGGGGCGGGCCACGGTGACGCGCGCGGAAGCGCTCTGCGGGCCCTCGGAAACCGCCCCGGCGGCTGAGAGGCTGCGGCCACTGCCTGGCACCCCGACGGGAGGGGCTCCGGATCGTTCGGAGCCGGCTGAACCCCTTCGGCCGCGAGCGACCGCATGAGTCGGGGGACTATGCCCCAGCCCGAAGCGTGGCCAGGCGCGAGCTGCGCCGAGACGCCGGCGCGGGAGGCGGCGGCCACGGCGCGGGACGGCGGGAAGGCGGCGGCCAGCGGGCAGCCGCGGCCCGAGATGCAGTGCCCGGCCGAGCAGTGAGTCCGCGGGGGCGCGGGGCGCGGGCCGTGGGCGGCGGGCTCGGTCCCCTCCGGAAGCCGGGCTGGGGTGGGGAGTCGTCAGCGGAGGGTCCTGGGCGTCTTCAATTCTGAGTGAGGCCGTTGGCGACAAGGAGGAATTGGCAGACAGTTTTCCCAGTGTCCGAGTGCAGATTTTTAACCCCAGGGCCCCTCACAATTCTGGTCACACAGTGACTCCCCTCTCGTCTCATTTTTGATATCTGCATGTCTGAAGTTAAAGAAAGTTCCAGAAACTTGGGAAGCAAACCCGAGAAGTGATGTATTTTATTACTGGTTCCCGCTAGATCTTTCCTTCAGCCTGGCACAGGGAGGAAGTGAGGTCGACCCTGCTGCAGCCGCCGGAGAACGGCGCTGCGCGACTTGTTCTTGGAGGCGACGTCCCACCTGTTGGACAGACTTTGGACCCAAAGAGAATCTGACCCATTCTCTCTGACCCTTTAACGGCCTGACTAGTATGCCTTCCCGCTTTTCCTTTTGAAAAGGAAAGTCAGTGCTGGTTAGATCAATTTCTTACTGTACTGTGAAGACGACGATTTGGGAAGAGTTCCTAATTTCTGCAAGGGTCTGGGGGTACGCGTGGAAGCAGAATAGAAACTCGAGTGAAACTTTTCTACACTTTCAAGTTTTAGGCACCTATAAATGCCCTTGGAATTTAAGAAATTATGAAAGCACACAGACAGCCAGTTTGACAGATATTTTAACTGGCTGGAAAGTTAAATTTAAGATGTGTTTAAATGCAAAAAGCACTGCTAGAACTTTTGAAAAAAAAATTCCTAAAAAGGGGTCCTTTGGAGGCCTGTTAGGTAGATATTGTGTTATAATAACATATTTGCATAGTACTTAGACATTCTCATTTGTTGAGAGCCCCCTTGGGATGGTGTTATTCACACTTAATGGGTTAATGGCCACTGGAAAATAAGATTGAAAGTCAGCGGGATTACCTTTTAGCATGAGATTGGAGGGGAGAAATATCCAAATCATATCAGAGACTTAACCTCAGACTCTGCAGAGGGTTAAATAGAGGGTCTCTTGCCCCCAAGCCCTGCTCCACGGCCCGTGCTGGTTCCTAATCGCTGCTTTGCCTGCCTTCTACCCTGGTGGTGAGAACAGTGCGCTTAATTTAATGCCCTGTCTCACGTGCTGCATGCACCTCGGCCCCAGCTGTGTCATGCCTCCTGAGCAATGCAGAAACTTTGAAGCCAGACCATGTTCTCAGAAGTATATGTAGTTATTTGGCAAGTTTTCTGGTGGACATGATTCTCATTCAGAACACCTGTGAAAACAGACAATGATAGGAAGAGTGCTCTTTCTTGAAGAGTTTTTGTGGCACAGGTGCCTCTTCTGTCTGCTGCTAGTAGAACTATATAGACTTAGAGCTGAAAGGAATGTAAAAAAAAAACTAGCCTAGGTTTGTCATTTTACACATTCACAGATTTTTAAAGTGTAGCTTGGCTGGAGAGACCCTGATGCATCAATGGGAACCTCCCCCTACCTCTTCTGGGCTTCCTCAGCAAAACCAGGCAGAGAGACATGATTTATAGTGACAGCCAACTTCACTTTTTTTCCCCCCTTGGTTTGCTTCCCAAGTTTGCTTCCCAGTAGATGTCCCGGTTTGTGTGTGTGGTTTTTAGCAGCTTAATTTTGCTTTTTCCTTATTTTTGTTGCGTTTGATTATCTCATTCTCTTTCACCTCTCATAAGATGGGGCAGAACAAGAGAGGTGAGTTTAAGATGTCACCTTTTAAACATCATGTCTCAAGTTTTGGACTTTCTAGCCTTTTTCCATCTTTCTGACTCGGCAGTATCTGGGTAGTGGGCTGTTTCTCTATGGTATTTTCCTCACGGCCTAGAGAAACTAGTACAGTTGTCATATAAACAAAGTTTCCAATATAAGGTATTCATGTCAATTCCTGCATGATGATATATACAGCTTAATAGTTGAGTATCAATTTAAATAGTGTAATGTGCATTTTTAGTCTGTGTTTTTTTGTCATTGGAGCCAAGGCCTTTCTTTCCGCCCAGATAGTTGGGTTTGCTATGCAGAGGAATTATTTAAAATGTTTACACTTAGAAGTGTGAACACTGTAAGACTGTAGAAGTTTTGAGATATCCTATAGAGTCATTTTTAATACATTCAGTGGACAGTAATTACAAATACAAATCATAGCCCAACTTCTGCAGCTGAATTAGACATTCGGGATGTGACTCTGAAGGCTGTGGTGACGAGTAGAGAAAGAGATGGCTTATTTCCTAGGTAGCACACTAGGTTACTCTTGATTCCTTTCCACTAAGCTCATCGCATTTCACACGTGAGAGAAGTGGGGGAAAAGAAACATTAACCACATGGATAAGCTACATTGTTTTCTTGTTTTGTGAGACAGGGTCGCTCTCTGTTGCCCAGTTTGGAGTGCAGTGACAATCATGGCTCACTGTAGCCTCAACCTTCTGGGCTCAAGCGATCCTCCCACCTCAGCCTCCTAAGTAGCTGGGGCAACAGGTGCACGCCACCATACCCAGCTAATTTTTTTTTACTTTTTGTAGAGACAGAGTCTCACTATGTGGCCCAGGCCGGTCTCTACCTCTTGGGCTCAAGCAATCCTCTTGCCGCAGCTTCCTGAAGTCCTGGGATTACAGGCGTGAGCCACAGTGCCCAGTGATGAACTACTTTGTATATCTCATTGCAGTTTTTCTTTCCCTCCCTCTCTTCCTTCCTTTTTTCCATACACCCAGCAGCTCATTTGAGAGCTGTGGTTGGCTCACATCTCCTGGACAAGTCCTAAGGATGGCTTGAAACATAACTTAGGGTCATATTTGAAGAACTCTTTTGTCAGACCAGATTAGTTTACCTTCAAGCTCCCTCTGCTGCTCTCCTATGCTCTATCCCCTGCTCACTCCACCCCCAATATCTGACTCCTGCTGATCTGGTCCTGGGACATGGTTGCTGGCTAGGCCAGAAATGCTTAGGGAATTGAGAAGAGACTACTCCATGGCCCTTCTCTGCCTGTCTGAGGGTGAGACAGGGTTTGAATCTGTGGAGGCATACTGTCGGTGAACCCCTCTGAAATTGAAAGCAATTTTATGTATGTTTCTGGGCTTAGGTTCTGATGAAATCTGAATTCTCAGAGGGGCTGTGAACAAAAAAAGTGGCACACTGTTGTTCTTGTGGATGTATTTTCTGCCCCACCCCACCCCCAGATGCTGCTACAGTTCGGAGTAGGGATAAAGTCCACTTTCTCCCAACCTCATGAAGAGCCTGCTTTGAGGCCCAGAGCTGGGATGTCTCTAAGAATCAAACCTTATTGAGAGTGGCTGCATTGACCCCGGATACCTCTGGAAGTCACATGGAGTAGCATGAGCCAGTCGTGGAAAGTCCACTTGCAGAAGAGGGGTGGAATTTTGGCCTGGGTGCCGGTACTTTCCTGTATTTGATGTGTTGTTCACCCATCTCTGAACCGCAAAGTGGTGAAGAAAGGCTGGGTTGAGTGGTCTTTGCTTTTCCTGTGCCTGTGTGGGAAGGTGTGTTAGTGTAATATTGGTTGACACTGTCTCACCAACATTGCCTTAGTGTTGACATTAGTCTCATAGGAGAGGCTAAGTTAAGTATGAACTGCAGGGTTCAAGTCCAGAGAGTTGAATTAAAAAAAGCCATACTTAGTTCTTATAGACGACTAAGGGGAACAACTTTTAAAAAGTTCATAATGGTGAGTGATTAAAATTCTGTCTTGTTAGCTTTGCATATACATTAGAATTGATTTTTTTTCTGTACGTATTTACTTGAATCAAAAATTGAAAAACTGGCTTCACAGAAATGCCTTCGGCTTCACTAAGTTCTGCTTTTAACTCACAGCTTTTGCTCTTGGGAATAGTATAATTTTGTGTCTGTACAGTAAGCATGTTTAAAATAAGTTTTCAAAAATTGGTTGGTATGCAGGTCTTTGAACAGAACAAGTGGTACCAGTTATAATTTAGTATGCAACGTTATATAGCTTACTCAGTTGGATATGTTGCCTTAATATCAAAAATAAAATATTTTATCTCCAGGTTAAGAGAAAATAGGTAAATAGGCCGGGCGCGGTGGCTCACACCTGTAATCCCAGCACTTTTGGAGGCTGAGGCAGGCAGATCACCTCAGAGTCAGGAGTTCACGACCAGCCTGGCCAATGTGGTGAAACCCTGTCTCCACTAAAAATACAAAAATTAGCCGGGTGTGGTGGCAGACGCCTGTAATCCCAGTTACTCAGGCGTCTGAGGCAGGAGAATTGCTTGAACCTGGGAGGCAGAGGTTGCAGTGAGCCGAGACTGCGCCGTTGCACTCCAGCCTATGCAATAAGAGCGAAACTCCGTCTCAAAAAAAGAAAATAGGTAAATATTGTTTAATAGGAACTTGAAAATATACACTTTAAAATAATGCCATAGTGCAAAACTAAGTATTTTCTAACTAGGAATTGTTAGCATTTGGTTTTAAAATTTAGGCTGAGCACGGTGGCTCACACCTGTAATCCCAGCTCTTTGGGAGATCAAGGTGGGAGGATCTCTTGAGCCCAGGACTTTGAGACCATCCTGGACAACATAGTGAGACCCTGACTCTATAACAAATTTTAAAAATTAGCCAGATGTGGTGGTGCATGCCTGTGGTCTCAGCTACTTGAGCCTGAGATGGGAAGACTGCTTGAGCCCAGGAGGTCGAAGCTGCAGTGAGCTGTGGTTGCACGGCTGTAGTCTAGTCTGGGCAACAGAGTGAGACCCTTTCTCAAAAAACGTATATATAATTTTTTAAATCGGCTTAATTATTTTTAAGTTGTACATATTTATGGGGCACATAGTGATGTTTTGGTACACATAACTATAGTGATCAGGGTAATTAGCATGTCCATCATCTCAAACATTTATCATTTCTTTGTTTTGGGAACACCTAATATCCTTCTAGCTGTTTGAATCTATATAGTAGATTATTAACTGTAGTTATCCTACAATGGTATAGAACACTAGAACTTACTCCTTCTATCCAGCTGTAGTTTTATCCTTTATTTGTATCCTTTAACAAATTTTAACTGTGGAATTGAGGTTGACTGCCAGAAAATCAAGTCATTTAGACTTTGGCTTAACTTTTCTTTACCACACAAAGAATGTGTGATCTGGTGATCACCTGAGTCACTGAGCTTCAGTGGTTTCTTTTGTGTCAGAGTGGATACCTCTCCACCACCACCCCAACTTGACACACAAAAGGTTGCCAAATCCCTTTTCCTCATTGTTTTATTATCTTCCCATCCCATAACAAAAACGTAAACTTAACCTCTACCTGTTCCAGATTCCTGGCCTTTAGTATCATTTCATTGTGTCATTGTTTTCAGCTTTATTATTTTAATACTTAAAAAATTAAAGCAAAAGTTTATTGAGTGAAGTATTTTTAAAATAAAATTATTATTTTTTGGCTCTGTTTCTTCCTCTCTTTCTGTTTGCTTATCTTTCTATTAGACGGGTAACTATTTCATTCTGCCTGCGAAATGTCCTCCTTCCTGAATATATTGATTGCGCTTCATTGCTCAAACCTAAAACTTATTCTTCGGGATTATTTTTTAAAAATTAATTAACTAATTTTTTTTAGTGACAGGGTCTCACTCTATTGCCTGGGCAGGAGTGCAGTGGTGTGATCATAGCTCACTGCAGCCTCCAACTCCTAGGCTTAAGTGATCCTCTCTCCTCAGCCTCCTTTCTAGGGGGGATTACAGGTGAGTGCCAGCATGTCCAATTAATTTTTTTTTTTTTTTGTAGAGGCGGGGTCTTGCTTTATGCCCAGGCTGGTATTGAACTCCTGGCTTTAAGCAGGATTATTTTTATTTTAATGGTGGCCTTTAGTAAAGGCTGTGTTACATTTTCTGTATGTCCTTGGTGGCCATGAAGTAAGCAGATGTTTGTGCACAGGATCTGAGTGAAATTCAGTTGTGGTTAAAGCAATTTGATTATACTCTGGTTCTCTTATTCTTCCATTTCTGCTTTGCTTTTTTCATATATCCTGAATCTGTGCTCTTTATTTCCAGTAATTTCCCGTTCAGCTTCCCTTTGCATTTAGTTCTCCTGTTTGTTCTGCTGTTTGTTTCCTTTCCTTTCCTGTTGGCCTTTGTAGGAATTTGTACTTGTGGGATGGAGAGTTGCTTGTTTAGAGAACCTCCTCTGGGCATTGATGTTGGATTTTGGTTATTTTGTAGATTAAAAAGAAAGAGAACAAAAGTGGAGCCAAATGTGCATGTAGTATAGCCACAGATTTTGCTCGAAGTACAGTTTTCGTAGACTTAGACTAAAGAACTGGAAGAGGAACCATGTAGCTTACACGGCCTCTTCCAGTCTTCTCATTTTGAAGATGAGAAAACTGAGGCCGTGGGGAAGTGGCTTGCCCAAAGATATATGCCTCTGATAATGATACTATGAAAGTGCTTTGCTTAAATGTCTGTTTTACAGGATTGGAATTTGTCCCTTATTTTATAAAGCCAGGAAAGGGGCTGAAAGATGTTAAATTATTGAGAGAAGAACGAACACATTTGGTCACTTTTGATTTTAGGCCTTTGATGTATGGTCCCCATGAATCAGGTTTCTGTTTGTTTTTACCTCTGGCATGGGCTCTAAGGATGACATCACACTTTTTACTTGAAATCTCACTGGAAGCAAAAGCACATGGAAAGTACCTTTTTCTGATACTTGTTCCCTTACCCTCACAACGTTAAAATACACACAGTTACACATTTAGAGAGAAAAAAAGAAATAAAAATTGATAATTGGTCAGATTGTTCATTAATACTTTGCAACAGTGGATATAAAATGAGAATAAGAATAGCTTACTTAATTTTGAGTGCTAATTATTTTCCATGTATCTGTTTCTTAAAAAAGCCCTTTAAGGTGAATACTCTTACTGCCCTTTTGACAGGTGGTTAAATCTAGATGCCGAGAGGTGTAGTTACTCTAGTCATAGTTATACATACAGCTAATAAGGACCAGAATGAGGACTAGTTAAATAAACCCTGGCAGTCTAATTCCTGGGTCCCCACTCCAATCATTGCACTCTGCATGCAGAGGGCTTACCCACATGGCGTGTATCGTGATGTGTTTGGCAGGGGGCAGGTCAGGAGTTGTGGGCCGTTCAGGAAGAGGGAACATCTGAGCAAATCACAGATGTATGGGCACATGATAATGTTGGTCAGGCGTTTGGACTGAAGTGTGAGTAATGCATAGGGAAATAATGGGATGCAGGCTGGAGTGGTGGGTGAGGTCCTAATTTTGACATTGGTTCCCTGAGTGGGAACCATTGAAAGGTTTTAGTGGGGACATGTGAGACTTCCTTCCTCAGTCTGGCCCTCCCAGTACCCCTTCTTCATCTGTCTCTTGCTGTCTGACTTCTTCCTCTTTCCCCCAGCTGTACTAGGCCATATACCAGGAGCTGGGGTGATGAGGGAATTGGGGGTAGGGATATCTCAGTCATTCACTGAATATTTTTTTTTTAGCCTGGCACCTCCTCCTTCCTGTGTTCCACTGGGTCTGCAGCCTTGTGTGAGGATGGGGTATGCGCTCATGAGGCAGGAGTATGGGGAATCGGGGGTCTGATCATTGCTTATGTGAAGGTCAGCTAGTCTCCTTGTTTTCTGCTCAGTGTGTTACTCATGCCTCCTGAAGGACTTGATGCCTCCAGTTCCTGAGCCTTTCTGGGGTTCTGCCAGGTTTTCTGACTTGCCTGCCACGGATGCCCATCTCCCAGCCTTGGCTTCCCTGTCCTGTGTCATTTACCACTCCATCTGCTTTCCAGCTCTTTGGACTTTCACCTGTCTTCTGGTTTCATGAAAGATAGAATTTGGGTTTCTGTTTCCCTTTATTGTCATTTTGGGGTGAATCTTGGGGGAAAAGGGGTGCATCTTCAAACCAGAAGTCCCATTCTTCATCTTTGTCTAGCATCTAGTGGATTTTTTCCCTTTGTAGTACTTAGTGGGCTCTTGCTAGTTAACTAAAGTACTAGAGACTAGGAAGCTCTGAGTAAGAAGTCGGTAGTAGCGGACAGTGGGAATCTATGTAACAGCTGCATGGGTGGCTGGTTGATTGTGGGGTCAGGAAGCAGGAGGATTTCGAGGAGGTTTTTTAGCTTTGGCGATTTGTAATAACTGATGGTCTCTTCTTGTTTTTAAGGTAGCTATTGTCAGGTTTGCTTGTGACACGTTACAAAGGTCGGCAATGGGGCCTGCATTCCTATATAAATATTTTTATCAGCACTATCTCCATTCTTGGAACTTGACAGAATCAGTTCAGGAGCTTCACTAATAAGATGCATGCTATGATGTCTAGATATATAGTTGAGGCACTAATAGGCATTACAATTAAAATGCCTTCAGAGCTACCTAGCAAATGAAGTGATGTAACTTGTCTTATTTAAGTAAGAAATTCTGAAGTAGAAGAAAGTGGTGAGATAGAAACATAAGCATCTTTATTCTTAAGATAGAAGACTCATATTTTATTAGATTATCATCATGTAAAGTGAAAAAAGTTAAACCCTTAGTATATTATGCATTTGTAAGCAGCTGTATAATAGGACGGAAAATGTCAGTGCAACAAGTGTTTGAAAATGTCTGCTTTGGTGTAATTTCAGTGAGGAGGACATGTACCGTGCTGCAGATGAAATAGAAAAGGAGAAAGAATTGCTTATACATGAAAGAGGGGCATCAGGTATGTTTGGAATTGTTTTATTTATAGAGTTCTTATTGTTTATAGCAGAAAATGCAGTTAAATCCGTATAACCATTTTCATAAAATATCAATAAAATATTCTTATGTATATGGTCTTATCTACATTGATTGTTTTGCTGAAGTATGTTAGAGACTGTTTCCTGAGGCTTTTAAATTTTAATGCAAACATTCTCTCTGCATTCTTTACATTCATATCGTTTTTCACACCTATGAGGATTGTTTTGTTTAATCTCTTGACACCGTCCTCTCTCAGTTCTTGATTTCCTTATATTCTTAGAGGGAGAGTTCAGATTTGAAGTGCATTTTTCATTTCAAATGGAAAGACTTAACTGAGAAACTGGCTGTGCACATCTTTGCATGCAGATGGCCATATGAATGTGATTAAGTAATAAGAAAGACAGTGATGGGATCAGTAGCACAGAGTCTCATCGTTTTGTGATTTCATGTCTGTGTTTTTCTTGTCTTGCCTGATCTTACCCCAACCAGGACCCATTGCTGCCGGAGTGAGGTGTTACTCCTGGACCCCTCCGCTGGTCCGTGGAGACTTGGCTGGCAAAGTTGCATGTGACGTACATCCTTAGTTCCCTGAGTGGCCTCATGCAGGAGCTGCATAGGGTTACTCTGATTTTGGGATATCCCGTGAATAATCACAAGTGGCATTTTCTCTTTCATTACCTGTGTAATGTATAAGGAGACTTCAAAACGGTTGTGGAAAAATGGAATTGAAAGATAGAAGGCTGGGTGTGGTGGATCATGCCCGTAATCCCAGCACTTGGGGAGGCCGAGGCGGGCGGATTGCTTGAGTCCAGGAGTTCGAGACCGGCCTGGGCAAACAAGGAGACCTTGTGTCTACAAAAAATACAAAAATTAATCGGGCGTGGTGGTGTACGTTTGTGGTGCCAGCTACTCAGGAGGCGGAGGTGGGAGGATCGCTTGAGCCTGGGAGTTTGAGGATGTAGTGAGCCGTGATTGCATTACTGCACTCCAACCTGGGTAACAGTGAGACCTTGTCTCAAAAAAAAAATAAAAAATAAAAATATAAACCTTATTTCTCAACATAAGCTCCATCAGTTTCAAGCCACTTTTAAATGATGATACCAGCCATTTGTTGGACTCATCCCTAAAGAACTGACAGGCCTGGGAATTTAACAATGTGAATGCAGCAGTCTTTTTTGCATTATTAGCTGAAGAAAAATGTGTGTCCTTTAAAGCTTCTTAAGATTAGGAAACAAAAGGAAGTCAGAAGGAGCCAGATCAGGACTGTAAGGTGGATGCCTAATGATTTCTCATTGAAATTCTTGCCGTTGTTTGATGTTTTTTCTTGCTTTAATTTTAGCAGAACTCATGTTGCTCTAATAGGGGCTCTTTTCAAGCTGATGTCTTATCCTTCTTAGTGCCTTAGACTAGATCCTGTTCATACATGTTATAACAAGTTAGTATGAGTTTATTATGGTGCCAAAAAAAATTGAAATCCGTCCATAGCTTTTTCATAAAACTCATTTTCCATGAACCTTAGAAGACCCTTGTCTGTGCTCTTCTGTTTTGAGAACTGGCTTCTGTTTTTGGTGAACAAAAGCATTGTCATGTGTGATTAGGAACAAATGATACACAGTGTGGTTTTTATAATACTTCTTGAGCCCCCCTCAAGCAATTGGTGAACTCTTCACTGTGGTAGCCACAGGAGATATTCTTTGTAGTGATGTGTGGCGGGGCCGCACCGTTCCAGTCTTCCATGAAACTTGAAGAATGCTCTGTCTCTACTCTGTGGTTGTTCAAAATTTCATGTAGGGTGCAGTGTCCTCATTAGTCAGATTCCTAAGAAGAAAGTGTGTATTCAGCTGGTGTTTGTTACCGCTGACAGTATTTCACCCTGTAGGCTCTCGGTTGTGATTCTCTTCTGTCTGGCATTGTACCCCACACGGGCAATCAAGCTTTATGGTGGGTCTTGTAACTCCTAGCTTTAGTCTGAGAGTGAAATGGATCCCTTTACACTTCTCACATCATCTCAGACCTTCTGGGTTCATTGTCTTTCTTGAAATAACATTTGTTACCCTCTCAGAGCCCAGGCTGAGGCAAAAAGTTTTCTTATCCTCTCTGTTAGTGAAAATATTTTTTTCCACCTTGCCTGAGAGTCAGCAAACAATGGTTTCCAGGCCAAATCTGACTTGCCACCTGGTTTTGTCGATAAAGATTTTTTGAAACATATTAATTTACATATTGTCTGTGGTGGCTTTCGTGCATAGTAAAGTTGAGTAGCTGTGACAGAAACCTTATGGCTCTCCAAGCCTTAACTTATTTCCTGTCTGGCCCGTTACAGACAAAGATTGAGATTCCTATCCTATTCCACCCTGTTTGAGAGTCCCTGCTTTCCGGAGGGGTTTCAGTTTTAACTTCCCGCCTTCTGAGGGTCTGATTCTTGTCTTTGTCACCCATGTGGTGGTTAAAGATGAAGCCTCTTGGTTATTTCAACTTGTGGCTTACCACTCTGGTTTTCAACTTCCCTATTTTTCTATTTTTTATTTTTTTGCCATTAGAAATGTCCTTTTTTGAAAACAGCAGCGTCTGTGTAGTTTGCAACTAAAGAAAGTTGCTTTTGAACTCCATAAGCTGCTCGAGGTCAGGTACTGCCTTGTCCTGCATCTCCAGCTCCTAGCCTGGTACCTGGCATGTAGTAGCCATTGGAGTCCTCCTCAGAGGACCACAGCAGAATGGGAATTCAGGTATTTGATGCTGCCAGCTGTGCCAGTACCCATTTTCCCAACCCTCACTACGCTACGTAGGCCTCTGATTCAGCACTTGGCTGTGGCCTGTGGCTTGATCTCTTGGCCTGTGTGAGGCTTGTGCCTCCTCCCCTCAGTCATGGGGTGCTGGGCTTGCCCCACCCTGTCCAGGTCTTGTCTTGGTGTGCACAGGAATGAGGACTGCAGGGAGGAGAGCAGGAAGGTAGATTTCCTTCCCAGGAGTCCCTTTCTGAGCTGGACATGTGCTTTCTGTTCAGGCTCATAACCCTACCTGGAGGAAAAATGTGGACCAATAAGTGTCCTGACTCTGGACATTCGCATTTCTTCCCTTTTGGGCAGGGGAATGGAAAGACAGCTACATGAGAATGCTTCCATCCACTAAGTAGACATGCAAAAAAATATTTCTCGAATTAAAAAAAATGAAGATTCTTTAAGGATTGGCTGTGCAGCATTGGTCTTTGTGGTCCCTGTATATTATACCTCAGGAGTCTGCTTCACTTTTAAGTGAATCCTGATGTGTGCCACAGATAAATATGTCTATGTTATCTGTATATGTATTATTTTCTCTTGTATGTAAAAAGTTACTTTTCTTTGTAAAAGAATTCACAGTGAGATTATTAAAAATCAGCAGTTCTTAAGAGTTTACTTAAAAAATTTTTTTTTTAAATTTACCTAAACTGCAAGGAGGATTTAGGGCCTCTTTTGTGCTCCTAATCATCCTGGCACCCATCACACCCTGGTTTATAAGTGCTTGTTGTCTTTTCTCCTCCAGCAGTCCATAAGCCCCTTGAGGATAGAATCCTGTCTTCATCACCTTTTATCCCCAGTTCCTAGCTCAATATTTGGTACATTTTAGACACTCAGTAAATATTTGTTGAATTTAGTTGAATAAAACATTTTTATTTTATGTACAACTTGCTCAGGAGTAAATATGTTGTAAGGTACTTCTGCATTCTAAAATCATTGCTAGCATCTACGTCTTCAGTAATTTAAAAAGGAAGTCAAGATGTGCCTGAAAATTTACCTCCTTTTCTTCCTAAAACACACACACTAATATGTGCATGTGCGTGTATATGCACATACCACAAAATCAAACCCCAAACCATATATATTAAACTAGGGAAAATATAAAGGCTATTTTTTTTTCACTATAACATTTGTCTGATGGTGAGTTGTATTTTTAATTTTGGGGGATGTGTTGTTAGAGTCAGGTGAGGTCTGTGGATTAACAAACATGGAGAGTTCTGTTAGTTTCTGGTTTATTATCGACCACTTTTAGGTTTTTGGGATCAGGGTAGGACATAAATACATTAAGATAATTAAATGTAATTTTTGTTATAGTAGGTGTTATTTCTTTGTATAATGGTTATAAAAAACTGATTACTCATTGTTAGAAGTGTTTTCTCATAGTTCAGACTGTCGCGTCTGTAATTTGATTAGAAAAGTATTCATGAGCACCTGTGTGTCAGTGCAGCTCCAGATGCTGAGGACACAACACAACTGAGAAACAAAACAAAGTCCCTGCCCTCAAGGAGCTTGTGTTTTACTGTATTTTTGTATGGGTGTGTGTGGGGGGTGGTGGGTGAGTGGTACAGAAAAATATTTCAGGTGTTGATGAGTGCTAAGAAGAAAAACCAAATGGTATAAGAGGAATAGAGAGCAAAAGTGTACGTGATACTATGATACAAGGTGCCAGCTGACTCTGGAGCAGAGGCCTGCATGGAGGGAGGGAGCAGCTCTGCAGGTGCGGGGAAGAGCAAGCCAGGTGTTTTGGAGAGTATTGGGAGGCTGTAGCTGGGGCTGGAGCCCACTCAGTGGGGAATGGTAGGAGCAGAGACCAGAGAGGCAGAGAGGGGGACTATATGAGGAATAAGGCCATGAGGCAGGAGCCCCTGGAGCTCTCTGAGCGCAGGAGTAATTGATACCATCTGATTCACGTTTAGATGGATCATCCTGGCTAGCTATCATGTGGATAATGGTCTGGAGAGTGTGGTGACAAGGGACACCCATTGGGAGACCCCCATGGTTATCTAGGGGTGAGGTGATGGTGGTCTGGACCAGCGGTTAGGCAGTGGTTGAATTCTGGATTTTTTGACGTGAAGAAAGAAAATGAAGAGTGAAGGGTAACCCCCAACTGAAGCAGTATTCTGATTATGCTTTGATTTATTATTTGCTTTTTTTTTTTTTAAATTCTTTAACAGAACCGAGATTAAGCGTAGCTCCTGAAATGGATATCATGGACTACTGCAAAAAAGAATGGAGAGGAAATACACAGAAAGCAACGTGTATGAAAATGGTATGACACAGAGGTGCACATATTTCAGGTCTTTCAAATAGTCTATCATAAGTTGTTTAATATGTCATTTGATATTTTTAGACATTAGTTAAAATGACTGCTATAGACGTTGTTATTGGTGTTCTAATTTTAGAGTTAAGGAAATAGACTCCAAAGATAAGGGTTTTGTTTTAAGTCACAGTATTAATATAGAATCAGCATCAGTTATTCAGTGACGCAATTTCTTTGAAAAACACGTAAATGACTGCTGTTCAGAGTTGGGCCAGCTCTTGGTTGTCCTCTTGGGGCCATTTGGGAATGTCCTTTTTGGTCTGGTGTTATAAAATAAAAGCCTCAGGGATGCCTCAGGCCGATTCCACACTTCTGCTTTCCACAGCACATTGAGTTTGCTTACACACCCTCTGGTCCTGGGGCCTAGAACCTTCTTGGACTCCCTACACAGGGGAATCAGGAACTGCTCCCTTCAAGATAGTCTCCAAGGCTGTGGGATGACATTGGAGATTCATATGATGTGGTCCTGCTGTGACTGTTTGGTCCGGTTCATTACTCAGCTCAGACACCATGGCCTACATACACCACACAGCTGATCAAGCAGCAGACCCTGTGGGCTCTACCCTCAGATGTATACCAAATCCAGTATTATCAGTAGGGTGAACCATGTGAATTGCTCAAAAACAGTCAAATAGCAGATTTAACCTAAGACTTCCATGACCTCTTGAAACCTCTGGGTTTATCTTTTGCTCATTTTTCTCTTGGGATTATTTACATTATGAATTTGAATGCACTTCTTATATATTAGAGATACTGACTGTCATATTTAATAGAAATATCTTTAACTTTTTTTGGTTAGGATTTTAAATTTTTAAATATTTGAATATTTAGTTTTTTCCTCAGAGCTCATTTTTATAGAAAATGATTGCTCATCTTTCAGCATGTACCTCAGCTGCCCATGGGCTGACCTTAGAAAAATCTAGCTGCCACTTGTAAAGCTCTGAGAGCAGATGATAGTTCTCTGCAAGTCTGATATGTAGATGCTTTGTGTTTTAGGCGTTGGTTAGAGAACTCAATTATGAAAAACCTGGAATTCTTAGTTCCTGCCAGAGGTTAAGAACATTTATATTTTTGCTAAATATGCTGTTGGTCACTTGCAGATTTTCCAACCTCTAGCCCATCAGGACCCATGGCAGTAATTAGAGCATCTCAGATGCCTGAAAACAGCTTTCACCTCCATTCTATTTTAGTCCTTATTGGCGTGATTGTCTGTTTTTGTTTCGAATATTCTTTTGGAAGTAAGTTTCTACAAATTCAGATTTAATTTTATTCTGAAATAGCCTGAGTAATTTATGCATTTGGAAAGGTACAGCTGCAGTTGGATTTGCATAAGTATTCTGGGGTAATTGAGGTTTACCATAGGCAAGAAGTACATAATTATTAGTAGGTGTGATTCTGCCTGATGGAACCTTATGTGTTACAGTGGTTGGACCACTAAATAAAAATGCAACCCTCAAAATGTTGTTATTGGGGGAAAAAAGTACTTTTATATTCACTTAAAACATCATCCTATGACTTGAACCTTGAAAACAGCTAGTAATGAGGTTCTAGTACCTGGACACACAGGACAGAGGTGGTCTGCATTGCGTCCACCCCACGATGAGGGTAACACTTCTTTCTTTCTGTGAGTGCAGGGTAGGAAGTGGGTCTTGAGTGACTGTCAATGAAAAGTTGGATGAGTTAAGGGGCTGACTCGACCCAGGGTCAGGGAGATGGTGGGCAGTTCAGTCAGTCTCAAGGACTGTGCATGTGTCTAGCTGGAGAAGCCAGGCATCATCATGCCTGCTGGGGGACCAGACTCACTAGGATTTTTTGGTGTCTTTTCAGGGTACGTTTCAGAATGGTCCATTGGATGGCTGTTTTTGAGTGCCCAAGCATGTCACTGAATATTTTCATTTGCTTGTTTCACTTCCAGACTGAGCAAGAGTGACACTTCACTTAAGAAAAGAAGGCGGGGCACGGTGGCTCACGCCTGTAATCCCTGCACTTTGGGAGGCAGAAGCAGGTGGATCATCTGAGGTCAGGAGTTCAAGACCAGCCTGGCCAACATGATGAAATCCTGTCACTACTAAAAATACAAAAAATTAGCTGGGCTTGGTGGCACATACCTGTAATCCCAGTTACTCAGGAGGCTGAGGCAGGAGAATTGCTTGAACCCGGGAGGCCGAGGTTGCAGTGAGCCGAGATTGCGCCACTGCACTCCAGCCTGGGCAACGAGAGCGAAACTGCATCTCAAAAAAAGAAGCCTAACAGAATTATTCAGCCATCTCCTGGCATATAGACTTTTATGTGTACATGCACATACACAAAGCACCCCCGCCCCCCTTTGTGTTTTGGAAACTTGGGGTTTTTCTATATTTTTTTAGTAGGAAAATATAAACTTAGTTTAGCTCTCTTTTTTCTTGCCTTTTTTTTTTTTAAAAGAGTTTAGGGTCATTTGAAACACAGAGTAAACCCTTCAAAATGTTGTTTGCCAGTGAGTAAGTGTTAAAACAATTGCTTAGAAAGGGACATAAAACTCCAACTTTGGGCATCCTCCCAGTGATCCCAGGCCAAGCTTTTTCCACAGGAATGAAACTTTCTCTGCTATCTCAAGTCAGTAACGACCATTTTGAATTCTTTCATACCTTTTCCCAGGGCTATGAAGAGGTTTCTCAGAAGTTCACCTCCATACGGCGAGTCCGTGGTGATAATTACTGTGCACTGAGGGCCACGCTGTTCCAGGCCATGAGCCAGGCTGTGGGGCTGCCGCCCTGGCTGCAGGACCCGGAGCTCATGCTGGTACGCTGCTGCTGCAGGTTTGAGTCCAAAATGTTTCAAACAATTTTTGTGAGAAAACTTTCCCTTTCTGTCCATGCTACCTTCTAGTATCGTCTGCAGTATGATGTCAGCATGTGCGTTTATTCAGTTTTGTGTGGCTGGGGTGATTTCACATAGTTAAATGACCAAAAATAATTGGTGTTTCCTAGAAGAGAAAAATGATAAAATTTATATGAACAATTTAGTTGAATTAGAGAGCAGATGTTTGTATAAAGCACTTAGGAACAGTTCGATTTCAATTTTGGTGTTTATTTTAAGTAGGCTGTATATGTTACTATTTGAGAACCTGCTAGGGTTTTAGAATACACATTTCTTTAGTTTTTAGCTATAATTCAATAAATTAGTACTTTTGGCTAAGTGTGAGGATTGGCTTAGTAGGTGGCAGAACAGGAACACTAGAAGAGACATGATTACTGTCACATGGAGAGGGGCTTCCTGAGGAGCTGAGACTCAGCCTGTCCCAGGCCTGGCCCTCTTTAGCGTTTTAAATGTACCACATGGCAGACATGCACTGGAAAGTCATGTGTCTGCATGTCCTGACACGGATAAAGGCATATAGTCAGGTGGGTGATAGACTATCCTGAAAGATTTTTTGGTCAGGAATGATTGGTCAGAGACAGCAATATACCCATATAACAAATCTGCACATGTACCTTCTGTATCTAAAATAAAAGTTGAATTGCAAAAAAAGAAATGGCCACAGCCACCCAATCTTCAACAGCCACCACCCTGTTCAGTTAGCAGCCATCAACATCAAAGCAAGACCCTCCACCAGCAAAAAGATTACAACTTGCTGAAGGCCCAGATGATCATTAGCATTTTTTTACCAACAAAATATTTTTAAATTAAAAAAAAAATGACAATATGACATTAACTGGAAGAAAATTGAAAGTCTTGTGCTTAAATTTAAAAAATCCAAAACCCAGAAATGCTAGCCGTGGGAGATTGGCCTTATAGCAATTTATGAAAAGAAAGAAAAAGATGTTAGGATTTTAATTATGCAAGCCCACTGTGAGCCTGCATGAAATGCGATGGCTAGCAATGATCACAAAGCCCTAGCTGCATTTTATTTTTATTATTTTTATTTTTATTTTTTTTGATATTAAGCAAAAAGACCAACCTGGCTGCGTTTTAAAAGGAATGATTCTAAGAATTAGGCAGTGACAGCCCCACCTTGAACTGGGCTGGTCAGAGGCCATCTCAAGCTCGGTGCCTGATAAAGTATCCTCAGCAGATGGAAATGTGGCCAGGATGCTTCTTCACATTCTGGGAGCCATTGAAGGAACTGGGGTGTTTTCCTAGAATAAAGAAGACTTTTAGAGGAACTTGTTGACTAAGCTAGAGGTCTTTTAGGTGGATGAGAGATCACACGCTCAGAAGGGCAAAACCAGGATTGATGGGTGAAGGATACTCCCCATCTGTTCCATGATTGTTTAATACACCAGCATAAAATCAGCACACCTATATCAACTGTCAAAATGACATCTGGAGCCAAGTGTGGTGGCGCCTGTAGTGTTAGCTACTCAGGAGGCTGGGGTGGGAGGATCACTTGAGCCAGGAGTTCAAGTCCAGCCTGGGCAACATAAGGAGACCCCTTGTATTGGGGAGTCTATTAAAAAAAAACCAAAACCAACATCTGGGAAAGATATTTTCTTCTAAGCAAAGATGCATGCCATCTTAAGCCGATTTTTCAGTATTAGCTTATTTCTTTCATATAGAGGCAAGAGAAATGGATATACTAAGCTGTTTTTTCTTTTGTAAATGATGCCATTTATTAGTAAAGTATTTCAGAATTGCCAGTTGGCGAAAGCATTCCTATGGTTGGATATAAGACCCAACTAGAGAAGCAAACAATGATTTCACTGTTTTTGCTTTGCCTTATTTTAACTTCTGTGCTTGACAACTGTAGATATATATGACACAATTTCTAGATTTTGGTGGTGTATACCTATGTTCTTAGCTACTCAGGAGGCTGCGCTGGCAACTGTGGCTATATTATATTAATCTACAAATCTGTATTTCTGGATAGTGACATAATATCTTCCTCAATTTTAGGCAAAATTTTCCTTTTGAGGCTTTACCTTTAAGGAGCTATTTGGATTTATGGACTTACTTGACACTAAATTTGTATTTTTATACTTTCTGAGAATCTGGGGTAAATAGTGTCCTAATTAATTAAATAAAGTATAAAATTGCTTTTAAAAAAGTTAAGTACAATGTCTCCCCCCCTTTTTTTTTGCTAGCAGGATATATTGGGTAAGATTATCTGCCATATTAAAAATAGTCTGGGTAGATTACATTCAAACTCTAATCACTGTTACAATATGTTGCATGTGTGAGTGATGGGGTTTTAAGGTGGTTTTTCTGACTTAATTTGAGTAATGTGAAAATAGTTTTAAAATTCTTAAGTGTTCTTTCCAGTTTCTTTCCTTTTCTATGTGTATCAGCTATTATATTTTTCTGGGAGCATAATTTAATTAGTTGGTCACTTGGTTTGGTTTTTGTCATCTAATTGAATGCCAAGAGGCCTCTGTCAGAGAGGGAAAACACAGTGTACCTGCCTGTGGGTTTGATATTTATGTTTATTAAACGTTGGATCTGAATGTTAGCTGAAGAACGTCTTTGTTCTTTCCTTGCTGTCATCCAGCCAGAGGACTTGTCCTTGTGTTGCTGTTCCAGCCCTCAGCAATTTAACATAGTTTGAAAACTTGCTTTACCCAGTTCGTTTTGTGGTATCACGTCTGAGACATGATTGGATGACAAATTCAAATTCAGCACATGCTTTGTGTTTGAGGGGCCAGTGAAGGAAGGAAGGGACCCATAAGCTTACTCTGGTTGTGCAAATCTACCAGGTGGCCCGCAGACCCTCCTGTGGATGCCTTTCCATTCCTGTTCTCACTCTGGCCCCCCTGGCCCCACAGCCCTTCCCTTGGAAGGTCCACTCTGACAAGGGCTTTGTTGAGTGAGCGTTTCTTGCAGTGTGACTGAAATAAATCAGGGGTGGAACCTTTAGCTAGCTTTATCTGCTTCTGTTTGCAGATTGAGAGATGTTCTCTGTGGCATGTTGCTGTCTTCTCTGTCTTTTAGAACATCATTTGGTTTTAGGGTATTAAAGGGAGCTGGGAAAGCTAGACTGAGTGACCCTCCCCTTAATCTATGCTCGGTGAAGAAGACCCGGGCTTCCTTTCTGCTGCTGCTCAGCTTTGCTGGCCTTGCTCTGTTCCCTGCCTGTGAGGCAGAGCTTTGTCCTTATTTGCCCCTCTGACAGTTCGGCTGTCCCTCACCTCCTGTCATCCTGCCCAGGTGTCCTGTTTGTTGTTCCCATTTCTGCCCAGATCCCAGTCTCCGTGTTTGGCTGCAGCCAGATCATCTGACCCTCACCCCAGCTATGGAGATGGCCTAGCCTGGCTCTCAAATGTGGGACAACACTTTGGTTCCTGAGGAGGGTACCCTTTAGAGTTTGGTTTCCAAGTTCGTTACATTTTATAATGTCTCTGAACTGGTTAGACTGTGACAGTGTTTGCTTAGAGTGAGATAGACTGTGTATCAAAATTTTTTTGTAAGTTTTGGGGATGACACATTTTTATTATTTGCTTTCTGTTGTGGTATCAAGAATTACCGGCATATGCTAGAGAAAACAGGCTGTTTTATAGTTTAGTCACAAACAAAATGACACCTAAGCTAATTACCTACTTTATTCTTGAATATTTCCAATCACTGTTTCTTGTTTAAATCTGGTTTCTTGCTTAAATTTTCTTTATTCTAATAGAAGTCCAGTTTGTGCTTAGTGGAAAACAAAGGTTATTTACGTGTGTTCCATGTGCTGTGACCTCTGAAAGCGTTTGAAGTTGTATTCACTTTTTTCTTCTGAATAAATTTGACTTCATTCTTTTCTGATGGCTTTTTTCATGCTTCATTTTTTAAAATTGTCTTAAGGATTTCTGCATTTCCTGGAAGTCTACAACCCTGAACTGTTTGACCAGTGTGTGAAGGGAATCAGAAACAATTGTTTCTCTCTGTGTAGTTAGGTCTTCAGGGTCTCCTGAGTAATTCAGTTGAGTACTGTACCTACTTTTTAGATAACTGTATCATGTCCCCAGATGCTCAGCCGGTCTTCTGGGCTTCCCTTCACCTCATTTCCCAGCTCACATCTGTGTAGCCAGTATTTTCTGCACATTTGTAGTTCTTTGTGCCCAATTGTAATTTTAGCTTGTTGCCACTTGAGGGCATGTGAGGTTCTTGTGATAAATCTGAGAGACTGAATTGAAGGTTTTGCTGCAGAACTGCCACATGTTGCCGAAACGCAGGGCAGTGTGGGCACGGAGTGGGCTGGTGCAGCCTTTAGGTGGGTGGTCATTTGTTATTCTAATAAGATGAGGAGGAGAAGTCCCTCTCCACCCTTAGTGAGTGATGTAGTTCGCCATCACTGTGGTCACAGTGAAAAGTAATTTACATCCCAATCGTGGTTCTGTGTTTTGTAGAAACCACCTTAGTTCACACGATTGCTCTAGGTTGAGAAGGTACCACCAGAATTACTATTTATGAAAGGGTCTTTTAGTCTTACATTCCAGTTGAATGGAAGATTTGGCCTCATTTAAAACTGTATTTATTTTATTTTATGTATTTATTTTTATTCATTTCTTTCTTACTATATAAAGTTTTTAATTTTTTGGGGATGAGGTCTTGCTCTGTTGCTCAGGCTGAAGTGCAGTGGTGCAGTTATAGCTAACTGTAACCTCAAACTCCCGGGCTCAAGTGATCCTCCTGCCTCAGCCTCCTGAGTAGCTGGGAATACAGGTACATGCCACTGTGCCCAGTGAATTTTTAAACTTTTTTTTTTTATAGAAATGGGGTCTTGCTATGTTGCCTGTACTGGCAGAACTGTATTAATAACTGCTAAACAAGGTCAGGTTCCTCATAGGATATTGTAGGATTTAATTATTCTTTAATGATCTGTTGACTTGGAGGTGAACTTTTTTTCCTTTCTAAATTTTATAGCAGTGAAGTGACACACCTGTGCCCAGCCTAATTCTAGGATTTTTCTCCTGACACACCCAAGACTGTTGGAAGAGTCTTACTTCCCATGCTGTCATCAGTCAGGCTGTGCCTCAGCTTGCCTTTCAAACTGCAGATTGTGTTGATAACTAGAGGGAAACAAAGTAACAAATACTCCAGGAATAAAAAAAATGGAAACTAGCAATGTAGTTCAGCTGTCACTTCTTTCATGAACTAAGTGAGCACAGCTCACTTAACCCTGCCTCTGATTTTCAATTGTATGTTTTATCTTAATAGATCGATTAGATAGTTAAACTAGACATAGTATCATTTCTCTGAATGTTAAAACTTGAGTATATGTGTTAACATTATTTAACCAAACTTTTTCTACCTTTTTTTGGTGGATTTTTTAAATGCCAGAAACTAGGTTTTATTTTTCTTATTGGGAAAGGAGAAGGTTTGGCTTCACCCTGGACCTTCTCACATGCTCAGAAGCACTGTCCCGAGCCATGTGTTAGGTGGTGGTTGAGAGGCTGCAGTGAGTCCCATAGCCTGAAGGTGGTTGGTGTGAGGACGTGCTGTGGGCATGGCCTGCTGTGGAATGTCCTGGCCGTGGTTGGAGTCCTGCAAGGCAGATTGTGCTTTGGCTCAACCAAAAGCACCATTTCACTCCAGCAGCCCTCCTCAGGGTGGTACTTTCTAAGTTCCTGACTTCTAGATTTAGGTCCTCCATCCTAAGCCCACATCACAGATTTGCAGAATTAATTCTGGAAACAAAGTTAGGTTTTATAGACTTTGTGGTTTCTTACAGCTTGGATTGTGTGGTGGATTTCTTGGAATGTTAACACTTCTTTATCTCTTTGTTTCTCGATGTTGTAGTTACCAGAAAAACTCATAAGCAAATACAACTGGATCAAGCAATGGAAACTTGGACTGAAATTTGATGGGAAGAATGAGGACCTGGTTGATAAAATTAAAGAGTCCCTTACTCTGCTGAGGAAGAAGGTTTGGAACCTGTAGTGTCCTGTCTGATAAGGGTGAAGCTCTCGTTCTTGCTTGCCCCAGAAGACCAGTTTTTAGTCTTCACTCAGTGGATTTTCAAATGCTCTTGGCTGATTTTTAGGCAAAATGGTTTTAAATGAATTCAAACTCTTCCCACGAGGGCTTTAGTAAAATGGGAAGTACCAACATTATATATTCTTAGAGCAGATGCCATGTACTAGGGTATCAAATAATGAAGTGTTTGACTTTCTTAAAAGGAAACCTTAACAAATATAGTCTTTGTTCCAAGTCATATTTATGTTTCAAGAATATAATTTGGTTCCTATTTCTTATATCATTAGTAATTTATTAAATTCTTTCCAATTATGCTCATGTTTTAAGATTCTGCCCATATTTATCAGACTTATTTTCTTTCTCCGTGATTTTCCAGTTAGTAGATTTAGTAACTTGTCTTTAGAAAACTGTCCTGAGAGTTTTTCTGAAACAGAATTGTAGGGAGAACTTGGTCTTCTGATTCCTATTGATTTGGTCTTTGAAATTCTACCTTTCTGTGGCTTTCCACTGTCTCCTCTGGGTTGGATGTCCTGCCTGCACACTGGCTTACATGACCCCTAGCTTGCTTTCATTGAGCAGCTTGGAGCCCTTCTCACCAAGAACCCTGATTGAGGGCCTGTCACTTGCGCCAGGGTGTCGGTGGAGGGTGGTCAAGTAGAGAGGGGTCAAACATGGACTTTTCAAGGTCCTTCCTAGCACGTACTTCAAACAGTGATTTCTGTACTCACACATGGTCTGCTGCTCCCATTAGACTTTCAGCTCCACGAGAGACTGTCCTGTGCATTCCTTGACACCCTGTGTCCAGCAGCAGGTCTGGCACATAATAGGTGTTCATTTAGTGCTTTATTGAATTAGTGAACTGAGGGCCCTGACTTCTTGGAACCTAGTTTTTGCTTAGAAAGATAAGAAATGTTTACTGGAAAATATACTGTCAAAGGAAGTCCAGTAGTTTTATCTTTCTTTTACTATAAAGAAATGGGAGCAAAAGAAGGGAAGAGGGAAATTCCATTCTTGTTACCTGTTGGACTAGAATGCAGGATTTTTGTGTTCCCCAGTCCTTGGGTTAGTGGAAGGCTGACGGCAGGGCTGTAGCCCTGTGGGAGTGAACGAGAGGGCCCTTCAGCGCAACCACAGGTCACAATTTCGTTTTCATTTTTTTAAGGTCTTGTGAAATTGCTATTTCTGCTTTATTAGGTTTTTCTACTATAATTAGACCCTCATTTTTGGGAATGCTTGAGTGGTGCCAATTTGCAATAAGGTTAAAATTACTAATAATCTGAGCCAGCATTACTAACACTTCTATGCCAGGCTCCACACTAAAATTTCATGTGTTATTTAATTCTCACAACTATGAAGGTGGTGTCGCTGTGGTCATCACTGTTTTTTAGGTGAGGAAACTAAGGCCAGGAGCTCAGTTAAATGCCCTGCAAAAACCACCACAGCTGCTCTGTGGTGAAGCCTTGATTCCATCCCGACTGACTTTAGAGCCATGTCCATGATTGGCAACTTGGTCTAGTTTGGAAAATATGAGATACAGACAAGCAAGTACCAGCCTTCAGCCCAAATATTAGAGGGAATTGTATGCAGTCATTACCATTGAATTCACTCTTGTATTTAAAATCCATAATGGTGTTTGAGAGGGGCACTAGTTATTGTTGATTCATAAGGAATGGTATTTATGTTGGCGTCTCTTATTCTCATTCACTGTAACTTAAAAGCACATATATTTATAGGTTTTCTTTTTTAAAGAGTTTGTCTATATTCACTGAATACCTAACACATTACTTTATTCTTAATCCGGAGTCAAGAGTTTCCTGAATGGATTTATTCATTTGAAGTTCATATATATTTTTGAGGTTAGAGGGATAAGTTTAGTAAATTATTATTCAGGAGCCCCTACGCCCTTCCTTGCCTCTCTTCCATTTAGGAGGGTTGGCTTTGTGTTTCTGGGTGCTAACCCTCCTGTAAGCCCCTTATAATTGTAGCTGCCCTTCACAGCTTCACACACAGGCTTCACACACATGTGTTAGCTCTTCCATAAGTGTCTCTGATTGGCTGGTTCAATCTCATTGCCTGGGAAGTTAAGGGAGTCAAAATTTCCACAGCCTCGGTGCTTCTTATTGCATTGTATTTTTCTTTCAAATTAATGGGAGAAAAAGCTGAATAAGGAGTTTGTGTGCTTTAAAGTGTACCATTTGTTAATCTGGAAACCTGAATGTTGTGAGCATTGGTAAGTGACCCATGGTCACTTTTAAAAAATAATTTTGTGCTCATAGTATGGTACTATACCAGGGATTTTTAGAACAAAAATTCTAATTATTACATAACTTTCTTATTGTAGTGGGCAGGCTTGGCTGAAATGAGAACTGCTGAAGCAAGACAGATAGCTTGTGATGAACTATTCACAAATGAGGCGGAGGAATATAGCCTCTATGAAGCTGTAAAATTTCTAATGCTAAACAGAGCCATTGAACTATATAATGATAAAGAGAAAGGAAAGGAAGTACCATTTTTCTCTGTGCTTCTGTTTGCTCGGGACACATCAAATGACCCAGGACAGCTTCTGAGGAACCACCTCAACCAGGTGGGACACACTGGTGGTCTTGAACAGGTAAGTTGTGCTTTTGAGCATGTATTACCCCAAAATAAAGCAGCTTTACTGATCAAACTTGATGTCACAGTTTTTGTAGGTCAGAAATTCAGGGACAGCTTAGTTGGATGGTTCTGGCTCAGGATGTCATGAGGCTGCAGTTGTATGTTCAGGGCTGCAGTCATCTGAAGGCTTGACTGGGGCTGGAAGATCTACTTCCAGTGTTGTTCACTCATGTGGCTGTGGGCAGGAGGCTTCAGTTCCTTACTGGTAGTTAGTAGGAGGGTTCAGTTCTTCACACATAGGCCTCCACAGGGCTGCTTGAGTGTCCTTACAACATGGCAGCTGGCTTCTCAGAGTGAACTAAGCAGTGAGCAAGAAAGAAGCCAAAATGCCTTTTATGACCTAATCTAGGATGTCACACACTGTTAGATTGTTTTCTACTTTTTAGAAACAAGTTACTTGATGCATTCCACTCTCAAGAGGAGGGGAATTTGGCTCCACCTTTTTGAATGAGGGGTACCAAAGAATTGTGGACATACTTTACAGTCACCACCGTTATCTCAGCCTGGGCTTTATTCTTCAGAGGGGTGGATGGGATTAGTACTCTTGGCTCTGGGAGGCTACAAATAAGTGAAGTACTTGGAAGAGCCATTCGAAGGGTCTTGTTTAATCTTGGCAACTGTAGCTGCATTAAAAAGAGAAATGGAGTCACCTTAGCCAGTAGAGTTCAGCCTGCTCTTGGATCTTTTACAGATTTGTTAAGTGTGGAGTTTTACACACAAACCCAGTGCAGTACTATCTCTAAGCCAATATAGTTGAGTCACCACACCTTGTGCTATCTTTGATGTGTTCATTTTCCTAAAAAGTCTTAATGAGGTTTTTTTTATTGGAATAGCCAACCGCTAAAGTAGCATTAAGGCTGTTCATCAAAGTGCCACCCTCCTACTTACATAATTGACTCTTGTGCCTGCTTTTTTCTAAAAAGGCCCAAGTGCCATGACAGATACTGCAAGGATTAGAGAGCTGAGTTAGTTTCCATTCTGAGCTGTCCTGGAGTGTGAGGTCTCTTCTTCTGTTATTGCCAAGTGCGTAGGAAGGAGTGTAGACTGATGGTCACTGCTGGGTCAGGCAGGGCTGATGATAGTTATTTTCAAAAATTACCTGTACTCATAATGTGGGTTACTTACGTCTCCTGAACCATAGCAAGTACCTTGCAGTCAAAAGGCTTATAGAGGATGGTTTGCATATTAGACTAAAGTTAGTCTTTTCCGAGACCCTATAAGGTCTGCTGTGATGGTGAGTCCATTCTTTTTTTTTTTTTTCAATAAGAAATTTTCAGTTTCTTTTTTGAAATACATATACCATAAAGTTCACTCTTTTAAAGTTTTGCAGCCATCACTACAGTCTAATTTTAGAGCATTTTGTCAAAAGAAACCTCATGCCCATTAGTAACCACTTTGTCTTCTTTCTAACCCTAGGCAGCCACTAATCTACTTTCTGTCTCAATGGATTTGCCTGTGCTGGACATTTCATATGAATGGAATCATATAATATGTGGTCTTTTGTTTATGGCTTATTTGATTTAGCATAATGTTTTTAAGATTTCATCCATATTGCACCATGTATTAGTACTTCATTCCTTTTTATTGATAAGTAATATCCCATTGTATGGATGGATCACATTTTATTCATCTGTTCAATAGTTTGATGGGTATTTGGATTGTTTCCACTTTTTAGTTCTGTGAATAACCCTGCTATGAACATTCATGTATAATTTTTTTTATGTGAACATATGTTTGTAGTTCTCTTGGGTATACACCGAGGAGTGGAATTGCTTTAACATTTTGAGGAACTGCCAGACTGTTTGCAAAGCAGCTGCACCATTTTACATTCTCACCAGCAATGTATCAGTGTCCTGTTTCACCATATCTTCACCAACACTTCTGACTTTTTGTATTGGGGTGAAGTTCATATAATTTAAAATTGACCATTTTAAAGTGTACATCTCATTGACATTTAGTACACTGCTGGTGACCACCACCTATATGAAGTTCTAAAACATGTCACCCCCAAAGAAAATCCTGTGCTCATTAAGCAGCCATTCCCCATTATCATCTTTTTGGTTATAGTCATTCTAGTGGGTGTGAAGTACTATCTCATTGTAGTTGGATTTGGATTTTGATTTCCCTAATGACTCACAACGTTGAGCATCTTTTCATGTGCTTTCTTGGTCACTTGTATATCTTCTTTGGAGAGAGGTGTCTGTTCAGATCCTTTGCCTAATTTTTAAGCTGGTTATTTGGTTTTTTGTTTTGTTAATTGTTGTAAAAGTTCTTTATTCTGGATACAGGATCCTTATCAGACATATGATCCATTCTTGATTATCTGCTTTTTTTTTTTTTTTATTTAAATCGAAAAGGATTGGGGCTGGGCCCAAAGCAGGAGGAAAAAACGTTGTGGCTTCACCATTGCTGTGCACTGTGGGATAATGGATGGAACATGGTGTTAAGCCACGTTTTTCAGTGTGATCTTCCTCAGAATACCCGTTTGCTCTTCTTCCCAGGTTGAAATGTTCCTTCTTGCCTATGCTGTGCGCCACACCATCCAGGTGTACCGGCTCTCCAAGTACAACACGGAAGAATTCATCACAGTCTACCCCACCGACCCACCCAAGGACTGGCCAGTGGTAACGCTCATTGCTGAGGACGATCGGCACTATAACATCCCCGTCAGAGTGTGTGAGGAGACCAGTCTATGAGAGACGCATGCTCCTGACAGCCTGGCGACGTGGCGAAGATGCACAGGTGGCTCCTGGGCTTGGGCTGCAGGTTTGGGGGTCTCTAAGAACAATCTCTGAGAAGAACCCTTGGGCCCCTGGGAGCCAAGTTGGACAGGATGTCCTGAAGACTAGCTTTTGATAAGAGAAATTAACCAAGTCTTTCCCCTCATCTATGATGCAATATATTTCAGTGGGGGCCTTCAGAGCACACCTGTTGGACGGTGCAAACCATATCTTCTCCAGAAGGCAAATACTTTTGTATCAGAGGAAACTCAGTTTTGGAGAGGAATATGTTCTTTATGTCTCAAATCAAAACTCTCTCTAATGGTAAACTGGCTTCTAATTTTTTTAAGTACAGTATTTTTTTTTCCCCTTTAGTAGTAACGGGTTTCTATAGATCTTCCTATACAGTCTGCTTTAACTCAGGACCTTGAGATTATGAGACTGACGTGCTGCCCACTGCACTGAGGGGGCTTCTAACAGTCTGCTTTAAGTGGTATAATTCTGGGATAGATCTGTTACTGGCATAGTCATGACAACCTCTGGTAATCTTACCTTCTCCTTTTTATGAAGGGAAGAGCAATGGTTTGGACTTACATCTTAATTAAGGCTATTTTAAGCAGATTGTTTTGCAACAGATTAAGAATTGGGTCCCAAAGTGGGTTATTTCAAGGCATTTTTGAAGACTGGAGGAGCGTAGGAGGGAGTGGTGAGGGAACCTAGAACTTCTTGCTCCTTGTGACTATGACAGATGTCTGATGCCCCCAGCGCACTGGAGTCTGGGGCTTGGTGCAGGTGGTGCCCCATCAGTGTGGACAGACACTACTTGCCTTTGTGGTTTAGTGTTGGAAGCTTTAATTATTCTACAGTTCCATAGATTCACAATTTTATAGCCAAACAGTTTGTATCCACCTGCTTTCAGAGGAGGAACCAAAGGCCAAATTACTTTGAGGTAGGGCTTAGCTGGACCTGGGTTTTCCTATGCTCTTTTCATGCTGTGTTGGAGGGTGTGTCCACTGCCAGATCTGTGTAACCCGTCTGGGTCAGGGGATGAGTGACAGCAAACCATCTTAAAATTTTTCATGAGTACATTTAAGCGGAAGCATACGGGAATATGAGTGCAAAAGTGTGGCTGAGCCGCGTATGCCCTTGATTGGTTTTGGGAAGCCTGAGGGAGGCAGCCTTCCTGGCTATGAGCCATCGCCTGCCCAATCAGGCTAAGGGTGGTGACTGGGGTGGTGAAGGGGCAGCTCTGCTGAGCATGGTCTGCCTTATGGCCTGAATTGTCCTCAAGGGGTGTGGACTGCAGATGGTGTTCACATGAACCGGAGACATCACTCTTTAGGATTCTACTGGCAGCCCCTGAATTGGCTCAACGTTTGTGGAGGTGGTATTTCCCTGAAGTACTGAGCTTTGTTTTATAATAATTAAAATCCTTATTTGGTCCAATTTAATATAGTTTAGAAGCTATTTTTTTTGAGGCAAACCGTTTTTGAAAATGTAAATTTTGTTTTTAATTAAAAATAAAGTCTTAGTTAAGAAAACTCAGGATGCACAAAACTATTCAGACTGTTACTTTAGCTTTCTCCCATTACCTCATCAGTAATATTCACCACATTTTGCTAAATATTTATTGATTAGAGTGTTGAAATCAAATTCTGCTCTAAATGTGTGTGAATATGTTGGAGAGGCTTTGTGTTCTTCACTGTGAAATGCAATTGTGCCTTGAATAAGAAGGTACCTAGAAGCCAAATTAAAGTAATAATGACTTCTTATTGGCTTTGATTTTTCATTGCAGTATATGGGATTGTACAGCAGGAAATGCTTATCATTAATTTCTGATGTTTTTTAAAGCACAACTCGAAACATTTCGATCATACATACATAGCAGTAGAGATCTGTGCCCTTCAGGTACATTGAATCTGACCATCAGTTTATATATGTCATTGAATTTTAAGAATACTCATGTTAATAATAGTCATCTATCCTTGCATTTTGAAACTGTTCTAATCTTAGTGAACTTGAATTGGATTTCTGGGTAAAAGAATGTGTTTCTTTTATGTTGCTTATGTCCGAAGGCCTTGTCAGAATCTGTCAGACTCTTGTTTAGGTTTAGTGTGATCATGGCGTCAGAGAAGCAAAGCTTTCAAATAAATAGTACTTCAGGAAATAGAAATGATTGACCAACTTTAAAAATAATTTTTTTTTAATTGCAATATGCAGCTTCAGTTGCCCAGAATCTTAGTTCCGTTTCTCATTCTTGGTCTTGAGCTGGTCAGGTGACATCAGCAGATTAGAAGTTGAATGGAGATTAAGTGGATTCAGGAGGATGTTCCACTTAGAGCAGTCTTCAAAATGATAAGGTGTTCTAGAAGAAAGGAATGTAGTAGGAACTATACTATGCCTAACTTTCTATCCCAGAGTGTCTTGCAAGAGTTTAGGAGTTTTGGACCCTGTGTATTGGCAGAAAAGTTATCTCCATCTTAAGCAGGCATGACTTTTATACCTGTGAGCTCATTTAAGGTGCATTTAAACCTAAAATAATTTCCCTGTATTATGCTTCATGGGATTAACACTGCTTTTCCAGAACATTTTCAGATTCCCCTCCTTACATCCTGAGCTCCTTCTGTATATACATCTGTTGATTTTATCCATCCACAAGGAACAATGATAGTCACATTAGAGAACAAGAAACCAGTAATACATGGTCTCTAACTGATGATTCGGGCCTGGATTTGATTGAAAGTGTTTGCAGTTCCTCTTCCGTAGAATACAGAGTGGATGAAAATGTTTTCAATGCACAGAACAGGATGAATCCTTTTTTCTTTATTTAGCGATTTACACTTTTGTTACTCTATTATATATTCAGTTAGTGTCTGATAAGATTTTCTTTGCTTAAGGAGAACGGACATTGCCTTGGTATGTTTTTTTTTTTTTTTCCCTCCACTTTTGGAGCTTATCAGGTAAAAATCTCAAGCCACATGAATTGTTAACACCTCTGTTGGGAAAAGCCTTTGTGAGTTTTTATGTACTTGGTCTTTGTTTTTGTTATTCATCCTGTGTCCTCCCTCTTCCCGATGTGCTGTTTTACCTAGGAGTTAGTCTGCTTTCTGAGGATCTTTTAGAGAGAGGCTGTGAAGTGCTGAATCACCTTTAATGATACAGCACTTCTGCCATCTCAGCATCTACATAGGACTTACATAGACTTCCTGAATGTGTCTTCTTCAGATACTAAAGTACAGTTGGATCATTTTCTTATCTCCTTTTCTTAAGCAGTACTTTGCAGGTACTCCCCTTTGAAAGCCAGAAGCATAAACCATTGGGGAATCTTAACTTGTAGACATGCAGTAAAAGAAATGCATTTATGTAAGATCTGTGAGTACTTAAAAAGAAAGCCCTCAGTGTGTGTGAAGTGAATGTGAAATGTGTGTGAAATACATAGAATTCCCAAATAGTTTAGCAAAGGCAGGGCGCAATATCAAGTAATTTAAAAATGGTCCAAGGAACTGTAAGAAGGAGGAACTAATTCTAGAATAAATGTTAAAATGCCATTCAAGAACAAAACCACAGATGCCATACAGACCTCCTGTGCTTAAGTTATAGAAGAATAAAAATCTGAATGAATGGAAGGCCTTACGTGTATACAGTTTACAAATTCCTATTTCTAAAATTTAAGTCCCTTATTTAACAGAAGTATGTATTTTAATGCTTAACTGTCTCGGGAAACCTCATTTGTGACATCATCTAAGGGGATGGGAAGACTAGGGAGCCAGTGCCACGTTGAACAGAACAGTGGTTTAGTGAATGTGTGAGGAAAGACATGGGCAACTGATTATTAATGTTTTTGTAATTCAGTTTATAACTTGGAACCAATGAAAAGCAACAAAACTAAACTGGTTTGACAGCCTGCCACTTCTGGCATTTCCTGTAAGTCACTAGCAGTAGGTGTGAGGTGGGCTTGCCCATGACCAGGAGGGGTGTGTGTGTGTGTGTGCATGTGTGTATATGCGTGTTGGTCTGCAGTCACAGCATACCTTTATGTGCATGTGTCCTCGCAGCTTGGGACTCAGCAGTATTCTGGGAGGGTGGAGGTGAACTGTCCCATGTATTGTATTATATATTTTTTGAGATGGGGTCTTGCTCTGTTGCCCAGGCTGGAGTGCAGTGGTGCGATCTCAGCTCACTGCAACTTTTGCCTCCTGGTTCAAGCAGTTCTCCTGCCTCAGCCTGCCAAATAGCTGGGATTACAGGTGTGTACCACCACTCCCAGCTAATTTTTGTATTTTTAGTAGAGATGGGGTTTTACCATGTTGGCCAGGCTGGTCTCGAGCTCCTGGCCTCAGGTGATCCACCTGCTTTGGCCTCCCAAAGTGCTGAGATTACAGGCGTGAACTACCGCGCCTGGCCCCATGTATTGTATTTTTTTCAGGTTATATTGAAATCTACTACCAGGAATGTCGGAATGGGTTTTGGTATGTATAATGGAAATAGATAGAGTGGTTAAGTCTAGAAACACATACATTAATTGTATTGAAATGTTATATCAATACATCATTTATGATGTGTGTGTGGTCCCAGACCTCATGGCCACCAGTTTGTTTAAGCATTGTGAATGCTTTTTAATAGCATTCATTAGCATTAATGGAGGAGGACACTGTGTTTTCTCAATTAATCTCATTGATTTGTTTGGTATAAGTTTGGGTCAGAAATGAAACTGCCAAAACATCGATCAGTACAAGGAAGGGACACAGGGCTTAAAATGTCCACAGTCTTGGCAGTGGACTTGGCAGTTCTCCCAGTAAGCAGAAGTACTTGAGCTTAATTCTGAACTTCAAAGTAATATTTTATACTTAATTTTAGGAGTTTTCATTTACATATTGAAAAATGCCTTGACTGTATTCACATAAATGGTGCTAAAACATTGTACCCCTTATAAGAACTGCAGCAATCCACAGTAATGTTGGTTACTTCTGAGTATTTGATAAAGGAACAAAGTCAAAATGAATGTATTTAATAAGCTTCTTTCTCATTTCCATTGTTTTTATAAAAATATTTTGGTATTGTTGCCTGCATTTTAGCCACTTCTAACTTTTTGTATTATGAATTTGGAGAGGATAACAAGCCAACTTTAGACCCTCTGCCAGTGGCGATGGTGTTTTTCTTCCATGGGTAAGCCATTGTGAATGGAGGCTGGTGGAGCAGCACACTGTGTGAACCTGGCAGCGCTCATCTTGGCTTGTTTAGCAGTGCCTCTGTTTACACCATAAGATGTTCCGCATGTGTCCAAAATTTCGCCTGCTCTGAAAAACATGCCCCCGAGGCTCTGTGCAGTTTGGGGCCTTGGTTCCCACCTGCAGATGCGGTCAGTTGCCTGGCTCCTGGGGCCAGAGTTTCCTCTGTTACTTGTTGAGTCTCTTGTCTTCACTGTCAGAAGCTGAACTGACTTGGGGGCTTTGCTGTTGATCCACTTTAGCAAACCCTGCTGCAGAGGACTGTAAAAACAAATAACTAAAAATAAACTTAGAAAATACAACTCAGAAGCCTGGCTCTGTTGCTGTGGTCAAATGCTTGCCTTTGAGGACTTTGGCAGATTGTGCTATTACATTGGGCTCTAACTTTCTGGCACCCGCAAGGCAGACCTATGATGTCCACATGGCTGACTCTTGACCCCTGGCCATTGTGAGCAGAGGAATCAAGGGTTTAGGGAGGCAGTATTGGGCAGTGTGGAAGAGTTAGATGAGATGAAGCAGTTAGCACAGTGCTTAACCCATACTAAGTGCCCCCAACCCTGCCAGCCAAATTAGGTGCATAGTTTTCAGCTTGGGTCTGGATTCAACAGCATTCCCGCTGCCCACTAAAAGGGTGGGCTTGGACAGTTCCTGAACCTCCCTAAATCTGTTTCTTCATCTTTACCACACACAGTCTGTCTCAGTGGTGGTGTGGATTAAGTGAGGTGCTAGCACTTATTAGGGGAAGATCCTCCAGACCTGCAAAGCAGGGCTGCAGCCCCAATTCTGACCCAGCCCTGCTGTGTGTTTGCCGCAAAGAGGTTTGGTGTGTGCGAGACATTTCTTTATGAACCATTTACACTGCTGGAAATGTACCCACTAATGTGATGGCAAGAACTTCAACAAATTGCTTATGAATCAGGCTCTCAATGGAAGAAGTTAATCCTCTGAAGAGGGGGAAGACTGGACTTTCAGAAGTATGTTGGGGATAGAGAATGAAGTTTGAGTCAGCAGAGCTCTGCCTTCCTGTTTGTCAAAGAACTAGAGTCTGGGAGTCTTGCAAGATGGAGCTGGGCTTCTGAAGAACCCAGTGGGTAGGTACTGGGCATCCATTAGACGGCAGTGCTAAGTCGGTCATGTGCAGCAGAAAGACCTCCCCACTGTGAACAACAAACCACTTTCCTCCTCCAGTGGCCCATTCATTTGGATTGATACACTTTTTCAGTGTCAGAAATGCACTTTCTCCCTCTACTTGTCTGAATTACGATGCTCTGCTCAACTCTGTGGACAGTGTTTCTTGAATTTCCTTTTCCACCGCCTTTTCCCACTCAAGAAAGTGGAGAGAAAAACAGGGATGCAGGCTGTGGGTCTTGTGGAAGCCCTTTACAACCATTAAATAAAGAACACCAGCTGCATTATGTGTGTTTAGAACGAGAAGTTGTTTGTACAGTATTTTTCTATTGACCGCTTCCGTCTTGCCTGAAACCTGGGCATTCTTTCTGTAGTTTCTCTGAATTTTCTGTCTCACCTCCTCACCCCTACCCTTGCCTTTTGTCTGGGCTCGGTTGCCTGTTCATGTTCTTTGCCTCTGACATTAAACTCTCCCTAGTTGCCTGTGTGCTTGAGACGTCTTAACAAGTTGTCCTCTAAGTGGTGCCATTGATGTACAGTCCCATTGGAGAGCACGAGTATGTTTCCTTAGGCTCTTACAACACTGGCTTTATCAAACATTTTGATCTTTGCTGAGCTGATGGTTGGAAGTCTGACTTGCGTTTCTTGAGAAAGGCTGAGCATGTTTTCATTTGCGTAAACCATTTTCAGGTCCTTTCCTGGGAGCCATCTGTTCATGTCTTCTGTAACCACTTTTGAGTTTTCTATCTGAATTTCACAGAAACGAGATAGATGTAGGGTGGGAGCAGTAGGAAGGAAAGGCGGACCAAGGGGTGTTAGAGATTCCATGTCAGGCCCTTTGGTTGCAAGTAACAATAACTCACTCAGAGTATTTTAGTTCACAAAGGGTTTGGCCTTCTTCAGGGACAAGAAGAGAGCATTGAAGACCAGAAGGTTACGGGAGGGAGGGCTGTCTTGCTGGTGTCCTAGAGTTGGCATGTTCAGGGTAGGAATATGGGAATGCCTGCATCCATTCACCAAAGAGTGCCAGCCCTGGGGCCAGGCATGGTTCCAAACTTGGGGATGTAGGGGTGAGCCGGCCAAGGCACAGTCCTCCCAGCCCTCTCCATCCTCACCCCAACCCCATGCCCACCCTCCCCAACCCTCCCCATCCATACCCTCTGTGCTCACCCTCCGCATCTGCACCTCCCCCTTTGCCCACCCTCCCCATCTGTACCTCCCGCTGTGCCTACCCTCCCCAGCCCTCCCCTCTGCAGCCCTCCCCACCTTTCACGGAGCTCTTGTGCATTTGTCACTGGTGAGCAGAACTGGCATGACTCCAGGGATGGAATCACAAAGTAACTATTTTTGTCTTTGGCTGTTTAAGACATAATTCAATCGGAGACCTTCTCCTACCCCTGGTGAAAACTCAACTCAGGGCGACCCATCACCTTTTTGAGCACTCTGGGGTAATAGACTTTATAGTCCTCTTAGGTTGCCAAATGCTTTCCTAACTCAGAAATTGGAATATCGCATCTGTGTGAGAGTGAAAGCTGTGACAGTTGCTCACTGCCCTGTTTGGCCCTCCAGAGTTAGAACAGGAGGAGGGAGCCAAGACAGGGAGGGAGCAGAGATCTCAGCCCTCCATAGGAATTGTCCTGTCGGCCGCCCTTCCTGGGCTCAGCCAGGGCTTTGTTCTCATTCTCTCATGGGGTACTTTCAGGAATCTTTGAGGCCCCCTCTGTCTCCCCACTTCTTGTCCCCGGCTCAGGGCCTTCCCATGTACCTTGACCAAGGCAGCTCCTGGGATGTGCTAATGCTGTCGCCTCCCACCACAACTTCCTCCTTTGCAGCTCGTAGGAAGCCAGTGATAGCTCCAGCTTCTTTCTACTGAGCCCTGTCCACACCCCTAGGTGGCCTTGTGGGGCAGGCCTTAAGATGACCCCAGGCAAGCTTGTTGATCTATGAGGCCAGGGTCTGGGCCAAGGGAAAGACTTTTGGACCCCCTGCCCTGTCAAACTCGGGATTTGCCAGCCAGCCCCAATGCCCTTCTATTAGATTTGATGGGTGAGTCAGACACCAGCCCACTGAGTCCCCAGGACTCAGGACCCCATTTCAAGCTTTGAGTATTACAACCCCCTGCCCCAGAAGGAGTGGGACTCAGTGTCGCTCTCTGCAAAGAAACCATCTCTACAAATTCTTTTCAAATATCTACTCTTGGTACTTTTTTGCCCTCCTCGTGTTGAGGGATGGCAGAGTCAGGGAGTTCAGACTCCTGCAGAAGGAGGCCGGGTGCCATCAGGAGTCCCCGTTTGGTGTGGCCGCCTTCTCTTTGGTGTGAGTGTCGTCCTCTCTGGCTGGGTTCTTATTTTCTACATGTAGCTCAGGCGTAAGCTGGTGCCCACCCGTGTTAAGTGTCAGGCTGGTCCTGAAGCAGCCCAGTGCCTACAGTGAGGAAGGACCTGCCGGGCAAAGCAGGGCGCTCATCAGGCCAGGGTTTCTAGAACCATATCCCAGGCTGCTGAGAATGGGTGTGTGGGTTGTGTGATGCAGAATTCTAGGAGATGTCATTTCCATCATAGTCTAGGGAAACACTCGAGCCTCGTGGAGGGAGATGGTTCTGGAGGGAGGCTTCTGTAGCATCCAAGCCCAAGGTGAGCAGGAGCCCCCTGAGCCGAGCTGCTGGGACTGAAGAGGAAAAGGAGAGAGTGGGAGTGAGATGCTAGGAGGCAGCGCTGATGGCGCTTGGGGACTTGACTGAGAGGAGTGGGACATGGAGTGGGTTTCCGGGTGGGTGCTCCTGTGACTCCTCTAGATGGGGGAGACAGGAGAAAATGTGGAAGGGGTAAGGAAAGAGTGTACAGGGATGGGCTGAAGGCCACAGCCCTTCTCGGCCCCTGGGGAGATGTTGGGAGGTGACTGGATACACCCAGTGACTGGTCTGAAGCTTGGGAACAAGTTAGGGCTGGAAAAACAGACTTGGGCATCACCGCTGTATTTGGAGCTGGAAATAGGCCCAGATTAGGAACCTGGGCTTGTGAGGACTGGATTCCCAGCGAAGGTGGAATTGGGCCTGCCAGCCATTTGTATACTTTTCTGAAGAGCATGGAATTAAATAGCATTGGGCAGGTTGGCACTGGGGGAAAGAAGAACCGGGCGAGGTTAGGACGTGGCCTTGCTGGCATGATAAAAAGCATGAGGAAACGCTTTTTACCTCAGACCACACGTGAATTGCAAGCAGCTGCCCTGATGGTGCCATCAGGGGCGGTGGAGATACAGGCCGCTCTCCTCAGCCATTTCCTTTAGACCAAGAGAGCTTTTATTGTGTAGCAGATGAAAGACCCGATGAGAATTTGAGGTGTATAGTATAATGTAAAGTTTGGAAATAATGATTGTACTTGTTAATTCTGTATTGGTCTTTGGAATCAAGGGTTTCTGAACCTGAGATAAGCAGCTTTTTTGTTTCATAAAAGCTCTAGTCATTTTTCTGTGTTGAAAGTGGACCACAGTAATGTTCATGGATTTGTTGGCTGAAGCACTTCCATGTGGCTTAGAAGCTTAGCAGACACGGCACCTCCGCCTTTGTGAACTGTCATTGGCCACTCTGCAAATCCTGGTGGTGCAGTAGTTTAGAACTGTGTAGAAAAGATCTGGTTGTAGAGGACAGGAGGCTGATCCAGAGGCGTCTAGTCACTTGCCTGAATCACAGCTAAAAAGCAGCAGACAGAATGAGGACTCACAGCTCCTGATTTATTTTTTCCTTTTGTTTAAAGCCCAGTGTATTGAACTGGGCAGTCAGCATGGTATTTACTGTTTTATATTGTCCAGGTAAGAAACCTGGAGCTTATTGGGAGCAGAATTACAAATATAAGCAATGCCAACCTTCCCTGCACCTTAGCATTACCTTTAATAGTGTCAAAAAAAAAAAAAAAAAAAAAAAAAAAAAAAAAAAAAAACTTAGAAGGAGGCATAGTTTTCTCCACAGTTTTTGAGAAATTCTCCACGATTTTTCTCCTGAGCTAAGCCAGTGAGACCACAGAGGATAAAGAGGAAGGCGTGGAAGGCAGAGATACCAGGGGGCAGGGCTTGGTGGGACTCCACTGGCGGTGGGGGGTTGAGGAGGAGGTTTCCAGGTGGGAGGTAAATGTGCCTCCTCTAGATGGAGATGTCAGGGGAAAGCATGGGTTGGGGACGTAGATTTGCCCCTTGTGGTATTAAGAGTACCACTCCCCACAGGGACAGTGAATGATGCTGGGGCCAGCGCAGCTCTGTATTGTCTTTAAGGCAACCAGGAACTGAACATACTTGACCCGATAGCTAGGCCTGACCCTATGCCATGGACATGGCATAGCCCATGCACTGTGGCCGGGAGCACAGCTCTGAAGCCTTCAAAAACATGGTTGGTGTTAGAGGTAGTAAGAGAGAAGCACAGTGGAGGTAGGACTGAGATCTGGGATTTTAACAAAAGGAGCAGTAAGGAAGGAAATAGGCAATCCCAAGCGAGTCTGTAGGATGCCTAGAATCTTACTGACTACAGGTATGTAATGAAACACTTTCTACAATGTCTTATGAGGAGCTAAAAAAAATTAGAGCCATCTTTCTTTGAGGTTAAAACATGATGCTTTAAGAAAAGAGTGATGCTGGCCGGGCGTGGTGGCTCACGCCTGTAATCCCAGCACTTTGGGAGGCAGAGGTTGGCAGATCACAAGGTCAGGAGATCAAGACCATCCTAGCCAACATGGTGAAACCCCGTCTCTACTAAACATACAAAAATTAGCTGGGCGTGGTGACGTGTGCCTATAGTCCCAGCTACTCGGGAGGCTGAGGGAGGAGAATCGCTCGAACCCGGGAGGCAGAGGTTGCAATGAGCCGAGATTGCGCCACTGCACTCCAGCCTGGGCAATAGAGGGAGACTCCGTCTCAAAAAAAAAAAAAAAAAAAAAAAAAAGTGATAAAAGAGTAATGCTTTTCCCATAAAGACTAAGAAGAGTAAGAATCTCTTAGATGTGGGCAGGAGGATTGTCGGGCTCTGTCCTTCTCAGGCTCACCAAACACTTGCTTCATTTTGGCATTCCCATTTGAGAAGGTGTATAGAGAAGTTGGAGAGGGTTCAGAGAAGCATTTTCATTACTGAAGTTTTGGGAAGTAAAAGTAATTTTAATGCAGAATAAAATCTGAAGAAATAGGTTATATTTAAGTAAGACAGGGAGTTTAGAGAAATTTCCCAGTGGTTAGAAGTTTTAGCAACCAAGGGAAAGGGCAAAATGTTAATCTCTCAGGTAAATTTGATTAAAAGGGAAACTGTAATCAGGATTAGGAAACCAAGTAACTTTGCGGTGAGTAAACAGATGCATGGTTAGAATAAAAAAAAATCAAGAAACTAAAAGCAATCTCAGTTGTATGCCAAGTGTTTAAGCTTTACTTAAAGTAAAATTAGAGTATGAAACCTATTTGACAATATATGAATACAAATCCATAAACCCTGAAACAAAGCATATATAAATGCTCTTACCAATGCAAAAACTTCCATCTGTTAGATACATAAAGAGCACTTCCTTAAAAGCGACATGTATTTTATACTGACCGCTGTAGTCAATTTTAATCAAAAACTACACAAATATTTTATTTGTATTTTAGAGACGGGGTTTTGCTCTGTTGCTCAGGCTGGATTCCAACTCCTGTGCTTAAGCGATCCTCCTGCCTCAGCCTCCCAAGTAGCTGGGACTACAGATGCACACCACTGTGCCCAGCTAAATATTTTAATGTGATTGGTTTCAACAGTTTATACCCACAGTTTTGATGTGAAACTGACAAACCTATGGGCTGACAGCCACAGCCCATGTAGAGGAATGACTCTAAGCACACTTAATTTTGTTTAAAAAAAAAAAAATCTAGATCACTGCTAATGTTCAGATCTGAAATGAAGAATGAGGTGATTTTATTCTTCCATTGTAGGATCTCATACGACGTTCTAAATCCTAGATCATAAACAGAATGTTAGATCAGGAAGGGGCCTTAGCAATAATGGCTCAAGCCTCCCATTGGACAGATGAGCAAGGTGAGGCCAAGAAGCGTGAGTGATATGGAAGCCTCCAGCTTGAATACACTTCTTAAATGAATGAGTGTCGGCATGGAACAGAATCACGTGTGTGGCTCTTGTCCACTTTCCCGAAGCCCTTTGATTAACTCCTTGGCCCTACTAGCTTTAGACAGTTCCCTGATCAGTACATCATTAAGCAACCAAAATATCTCATTAAATCCAAGGAGCAGCGTATTTGCCACTGCAAGGCTTGTGGATGTGGCAGCCCTGGGGTAAGGGACCTGCTGCACGGTGACATGACCATCGCTGTGGGGTGCTGGGTGATTGGTGTTGATGTGTACCCTGTACTCCTTTGTTACGCAAGGGTGGTTTGAACTTAGCTTTCAGTAGCTGTTTCATTCAAACCGTGGGTCCCTGCATGTTCATGGCCCCACACTTCAGGGAACCAGCATCTACCCGGTTGTAATGTTCCCCTAATGTTCCCCAACTCCAGAGGCGCCATTTCTTGCCCTGGCTTATAGCTAGGGAACATTGCCTCTAAATCTTATAGTGAGAATTTCCATGAGGTTGTACAGTGAGTGGTACAACCATTTTTAGCTGGTCTGTCCCCTTCTTTAACCTAAGGAAACCACTTAAACTCTTGGAGAGAGAAAGGGTGCCTAGTTCTTGTGTGCTTTTGTTTACATATACATATTGTAGACGCTAATGTCAAGTCTTGTTAGTAAAGTGCACTTTAAGTTATGTAGCCTAACTTAAAAACAGGTACTATATAAAAAAAATTTGCTGAATCTATGTGTAGCTGACAGCCACCTATAAAAGTGCATATATCTTATGCAGTCTTTTAGAGATCCTGGTTGATTGCAAATGAAGCAGAGAAAAACATTATCACTAAAATGAAATATTTTAAAAGATACTGGCTATAATTCTCCTGGAACCACTTGGACTTGACAGAGGTTTTTCAAAAATGATTTAGGAGGCCCACCTTTGATGCTCTTCCCAGCAGAAAGTTGCAAGTTAATAGATTTAATGTCCACTCTTGAGAAGAAAATAAAGTCTAAACTTAAGGTCTTATCATCTCGTTTTTCCCTTTTGAGATCAGATAGTATACTATATATTTGTGACTTTTCTGAGTGGAGTTTGGGTTATTTTGATTCCACAATGCAATTTCTCTCATTTTGAACATTTGCATGATTTTAGACATTTTGCCTTTAAAAGGGCAGGCAACAGGCCCTTTTACGTTTCTCATCAGATTTTTCTCTACATCCTGTTTTAAGTGTGATTAGATCAGTTGATGAGTCACATGATGTTTTTTGCTGCTTCAATGACAGAAATAGAGATTCAAAATAACCACACAGAGGAGTATCCCAGACACGTTGCTCAAAAACATGCTTTCCTACGGTTTGAGTGCTTTATATGAGAGCCATCAGAGGACTGTGTGTGAGGGCGATGTCTACAGAATGCAGGCAGGAGCTGCTGGCTTTGAACCGGCTGAATGTGCAATGCAGACATCTCAACACTCCACGTCTTTCAAAGCTCTTCCTCACACTCCACTGCAATTTTGGTTCCAAAGAAAGGTGAGGAGCAGAACTTAGAAGATAAAGGACCCCTTTTTCTGGACTGTGCACTAGTTTGATTGATGAAGACGTCGTCCTAAGTTTAGAAGTCAGCTCACCTGCAAAGCTGGTACTAACCGGCACATGCTGTCCTGGGCACTGTTCTGCTGGGAGTTACTGAAGTAGAAAGATTTTTAAATACAAGAAAATATTTCTCAAGGAAATGTAATTACAACACTATAAATACTTGCTATTTTGTGGAACACACGCACACTCGCACTTCAGTTTGAAGGGGGAAAAAAAAAAACCAGTCAGCTACTGAGTCTTCAAATCGATGTGTTCCTAGAAACCAAGGATATAGAAAAGTTACTCTCCCCCTGCCCCTTCCCTCCAGAAGATCCCCAAATGGGGAACAAGTAAGAGAGCAGAGAGCTGTTAACATTTCACACTTCTTATTCTGAAAATATAAGTGAATAAATTTTGAGAGTTACGATATGTAATGATTATTCCAACCAGGAGAGAGATCCAGAGGGCTGGGAGTGAGCACTCCTGAGCTGGCCCCGCTGCGACGCATCCTGGCGTCTGGAGAACTCAGCCCAACTCTGTCACTACCCTGGGAGCTCCCAGGCCTCCCCATCCTGGGCCCCCCACCCCCTGCACCTCCCAAGGTTATTTATTGGGAAGACTCAGAGAGTGAAGTATAAAGTGCTTTTACTATTGTAAAGAAGCTTTATTTGGCCCCATCTGATACATCCTAAGCCAATATTAAATGTTTCAGTTTCTTAGGGAATCGGCTATCCAGGACATTTCCAAGCCAAACTACCAGCTAATGCTAAAAATCAAGGCAAAGTAAAAACAAAGGAAGAGTAACTTTGGCACAAGACAAACCCGATGCAGGCAGTCATGGGGGATGACTGTTTTTTACCCAGAAATGCAAACAAGTGGCCTTCTGTGCCCCATTTAAAGAATCCCAAACGGGAGAGTTTCCTGCCAATGTGCAAATCCGTCAATACTCCCTGAGCCATGTGGCCGGCAGGTCCAATCCTACCGTGACTTTCCAAGCGCAAGCCTCGTCTAGTTCTTTTTGCTCAGTTGTTGTCTCACTGACGCCCTTTGCCACTGAGATCCCTGTAAGTCACTACAGAACAAATGGCAACTGCACATTTAGGATGACGTCCCTTGTGCTACTCAAACAGGCCACCAAAGGAGGAGCTCTAGAAAACCCTTACTATTTCCTATGCTTTGAGCTGCCCAAACCTATTATTTCTCAGCATCTAAATGAAAAACTACTTCATGGCCTTGTATTTTTAGATTGTATTCATCCACAAGCAATCACTCAGTTTTGGAGAAAGTCACACCTGGTCTTTCCCTGGTCTTTGACATGAGAATCTCACAGGCATGGTAACTTTCTAAAATGCAGCTGTCAGCTGAATGCCCTACAATGAAAAATAAATGTTTTGGGGGAATGTTTCTTTGGTCACAAAAGTCAAAAAGTTGCCCCAATGACTCTGAAAAGTGGGAAGGAGAAAGGTCACCCTCCCTGGTTTGATCTCTCATGTCTAGCTGGATGATGGGACTCGATTAGAAGAAACGCAGGAGAATATGCCAGTTCTCAGTTTTGCCTCAAAGTTGTTAGGCTGTGACTTAAGCAGCCCAAGTGAAGAAAATGTACGAAGAAGGATCACGTGCTTTAAGGTGAAAGGTTTGAACAAGTCCTGCCAAATCAGCTCCATTGTGGTGGCCTGAGTGTGGCATTGCTTCCTGTGTTCTCAGAAACTCTAACCAAATATTATGGCCCACTGATCTTGATCACTGAAGGAATCTCTGGAGTTGTATTTCCTCATCTCATAATGAGGAGGCCCTTGCTGATCCTTCCTGGATTTAGAGGGAAAGGATTTTTTTTTTTTTTGAGATGGAGTTTTGCTCTTGTCACCCAGGCTGGAGTGCGATGGCGCGATCTCGGCTCACTACAACCTCTGCCTCCCAGGATCAAGCAAATTCTCCTGCCTCAGCCTCCTGAGTAGCTGGGATTACAGGTATGTGCTACCACCCCCAGCTAATTTTTATGTTTTTAGTAGAGACAGGGTTTTGCCATGTTGGCCAGGCTGGTCTCAAACTCCTGACCTTAAGTGATCCACCCTCCTTGGCCTCCCAAAGTGTTGGGATTACAGGCATGAGCCACCATGCCCGGCCTGCTTTCTCAGTTTGGATCTTTAAGCTCCAACCCCAGAAGCATGAAAGTCACACATGTTAAAAAATACTGTTTAATTTTCTAGTAATGTCCTTTAAAAAAAGCTGATACATTGAGATTTTTTTTTAATCTTCTCAGATCTGCCTCTGAAACCACTGCAAAGCAGCTATGCAACTTAATTTTTCAGTACTCATATATGTATTAATGGAGGAAAAGCCACTCTGAGGAAGCACGCCAAGGACATGTCCCCACGTGGGCACACCCCATCAGCACTGGGTACCCAGGAATGTGAATGCAACCCTGGCATGTTCACAGCTAACATTATGCCCTTGCATTCTTTTTTGCTGTGAGGAACAATATGATCACACAGCACTGAAAACGGTAGACACAAAGGGCCTGCCTTTTTCTTTCTCATTTTTGCCTTTCCAGCTTGCACTTCTATTCCTACTCCAGTGACCCATTTATTCCCCAGTTACCCATAATGAAAAATAGTTCTGTCATTTACTGAGCCTTACATTCAAATGCAAATGACGGACTTTATAAAACTGCTGCCAATAAGGTACAATGTTCATTGATACAATACGTTTCAACTGCAGGTATGTTGAGCACACAAGCAATCACCGTATTGTATTAGAGACATTTTATTGAAAATGCGAAAATAGGAAATGTATTATAGCCTAAAATAAATTACATAACATATACAGCATATATTTATATCTTTAAAATATTTTTTTTTTTAGGTTCTTTCAGTCTAGGAATTCTGACTAAATCAATTTAGTGAACCGTGTCTATAATTTTTTTAAAGGAAAAAACCTGCTTTCCAAAACTTAGAAAAATATACTGCACTGCATGGATTTCGAATGCGTTATTTCAGGGAGGACCACATAGTGACTCTGGTATCGTTATAAAATGTCTTGCTTTATCGTATGGTGTGGGAGGGAAGTACCGTAGTACATTCTCAATTACCTGTACCGCAGAGTTATGACTAAGGATAGCAGAACCAGGTAATATATCTACTTCAAAAGTTACCCTACAGCAACCTGGCATTAGAATGCTGGATGAGACTTAAAGCTTCAGTTCACTGTAAAAACTAAAATGCAAAGTTAGGATGCTCCATGTGACTCGCTCTAATGCGACCTTCAGGAAAGGCGAGGGAAAAGCAAGCCTTCAGGAAAAGTCATGCGGCAGGGTCTGGAATCTGGAGATGCGCTTTTGTGACAATTTAAAAAAGTTAGCTCATGTATATACACGGTGGGGGTGAGAACTGACAGCTTGCTCAGATCTAGGAGAACGCAGAGTGAAATGCTATCATTCAACCATGTCAGTTTGCTGCCCCCGGGGCATTTCAAACCAAACCTTTCTACGGGAGATTCTGTCCATCTGTCAGCCTGCTGTGGTCACAGGTCTCCGTTCCTCAGTGTGAACGGGGACTCCGGGCTGCAGCGTGCCACCCGCCTCCTGCATGTGTGGAGTAGATGGTTTCGAACTCCGTGGCGGAAGGGAAATTTAAGAGGCCACCGGGGCTCCATCTCTTTGTACGGCCATGTGACTGGGAAGCAAATCAAAGGAAGCCGAGTTTTAACCTGTTGATTCTTAAGAGCGATGAAGGGGGACAGGAGAGTCTGTGGCCTGCTGTGCAGGGTGACCGAGGCGCGATGGCACAGCTGCAGTCCTTTGGTTCCAAGAGGAGATTGTCCAGGGGAGGAGGACACAACGTCAACCGTGAGGCAGCTGTGTCTTTTGGGTTTTCGTGAGGCAGGGGTATGAAGTCAGTTGTTTCGTTTGTTTTTACATAGCAACAGTAAAGACCATTCACTAGGTCCCCCCGTCAGTGTGAGCATACCCAGTATGCTAGAGAATTGACACGAAACCTTTAAATCAAGGCCTCTTTCATTACCAAAACAAAACAAAAAAAAGGGAACAAAATACGATGGGAGAGGGAAGAGATGATGCCGAAGTGTCATCCTGACTGACTGTCCCTGCAGTGCCCATGGCGTCCCGTGCCTTATTCATTCTCCTCTCTCATTTCCACGATGTCTGTCACCTCCTCTGTCGGAGGCATGTCTGTCATGGCAGAGTCTTCCCCCTCCGTGGCCGACTCATTCTCCATCTTCTTTTTCTAGACCAAAGAAGACTCATCAGTGTGGGGCTGTGGATGGGGACACTGCACAGCAGAACCACGAGCAGGGAGACAACACCGGGGTCTTGGGGGACCCCTCACTGTAGGCTTAAACCTTCTTATGGTTGGGGTGGCGTCACCTCTTTTGCATCTTAGCTCAGTGTGTTCCTTGCAGTTTGGTTGTCTGTGTGCCTGCTGTGTGCCTGGCACTGAGCTAGGCAGGCACTTCGGAGGACACCATGTCCCACTGCCCCGCCCCAGACAACCCGCTCCCTGCTGCCCTTTCCAATGAGGGCTGCGCTCTCCCCGACTCCTCACAGTCACCTGTAGACTGCTTCTCCTTCCTCCTCCCTAAAGCCTCAAGCTTGGAATCTCACATTATCAAAATATTCCACCTTGTACAGCATCCGTCAGTCACCTCTGGGACAGCTCCAGGCTTGCCGTCATTCTCTCCCACTTACTGCCTGTCCTAGTTCCTGGTCACTTCCCTGCCATGTTGCCTGTTCTTACAATAAATGGCCTCTCAGGGATCAGGTTCTCAGCCCCAGCCCCACCTCAGCCACTGCTGGGTCACTGCAGACCTTGCCATTATCGACACACCAACAGGCCAAGGCAAGGACATTGTCCTCTGTCTGCCAACCCCGCTGGTCCCCCATCCACGGATCCCACCAACCCTTCATTGTGGCCACCTTTTCGATGTCCTGTCTCCCCTCTTTCCTCAGCTTACATGACATGCTCAGTAATGACCATCATTTCCCTACCCTGCTTTTCTTTCATTATATTTGCCAGGCAAAGCCCCAGCTGTGCTGAGGTTCAGATCTCTACCATCTCAGCCCACACCCCTCAGCTGCCATGGCTGGGGAAGCCCAACCGCAGGGGACAGCCAGTGTCCTGAGATGCACGTCACGCACCGTGAGCAGGCTCTCTGAGTGGCCTGGCCGTCACTCTGCTGCCCCGGCCTGTTCACTCTGCTACTCTCTTGACCAACTGTTTCCCCACCCATGTGTCCTCGTTCTTCCACCCTCATATACCTCCCTTTTCTCAGACAATGATGTGGCTTCCTACTTCACTGAGAAAAACAAAAGTGATCAGAAGGGCCCTTGCGCAAGCTCTCGGACTGCATCTCTGCTCCGCCCATGACCAGAGAGGCTGCCCGAGCTCCTGTCTTGGACTGCCCAGTCCTTGTGTGCACAGCCACATTGGTATCACTGTCCCCTCTCCCATCGGCAGCATCGCATGTCTGCGGGTCATTCCCCAAAGCAAGCCATAGGCTGAATTTCGCCCCATCTACGCTGGCTTTCTGAAATCCATGTCCACACCTCTCTCCCCTTTGGCGCAAAACTCTTCAAAGGGACTGTCTGTACTTGCTGCCTTCAGCTTTTCCCCTTTTTTCTTACCCCACTCCCATTAGGCTTCCAGCCACCCTAAGCCACGAGACTGGGCAGTGTCACCAAGGATCCCCCACTGACGAACGCCACCATCCAACCTGGTCAGTGGCTGCTCAGGTTCTCCTGCACCCAGGAGGATGCACCCGGGAGGAGGCTCCCGGCGCGGCTGTCTCACCTGCTTCCGGTAGACATAGCACGCAGCGATGGCGACCATGGTGGATTCTCCCACAAAGCCCGCCAGGAGGGAGCCCACGCCCAGGGTCGCACCGTGCACCCTGCAGATGAGAACACAAAGGCAATTTGTCTGTTAAGGCCAAGTCAAGGCACAACCGTCGATGCCAAAACCCAGGAAAGTAAGTGTAGCCTCGAGACGGCTGAGACCAGCGGCGTTCTCCATCTGCTGGCTTCGTAAGGGCCGCAGCTAATAACCTAATGTGTGAGGGGAACCAGGAACTCGGGGCTGGGCCACCTCCCTCCCACAGCACATGGATCCCACAGCCCTTCCCACCCTCCCCAGGACGCTGGGAGCTCCCTGAGCGCAGGGACCATGTCCTTCTCTTCTGGTTTTCATGTCCAGCATACGTTCAAGCCCGTGCAGGGCCGGCCATGCCCTGACAGGAGCTCAGTGGCTATTATTCGTGTCTGGGCCTGATTTCAAAAGCACTTTTCTAAAATGGATCCCAAGAGCCTCCACCTGGTGCCTGGGCAGACACACAAAACATCATTCTGAATTTCCGATTCTAGACGTGCCTGGGGATTTCCCCTGAAAATGTAGCTGTTAAACCTCTGGACACAGTATTGAAGTGGCAGAAGGACCCACAGCCCCAAACTCCCTGACAACATACCCCAGGTAGGGTAGGACCACGAGGCTGGCGATGAGGACGATGATCCGCAGCACAGAGCTGGGGGCAAGGACGAAGGTTTTCTTCAGTGTCATCAGCCACCCGGTGAGATGCGCCCTCACTGTGACTGTTGGGAGGAGCAAAGGACTCGTCAGCCGTGCCCGCCATCCACTCCCCATCCTGCTGCCTCTGGACCAGGGCAGCACATCCGAGAGCCAGGGGCTGCCTAGGACCCTGGCCTTGCTGTTGAGCCGCTGGCCACCTCATCTTCCTGCCAGGGTTCCCCATCCCTGCTCCTGAGCCTAGGCCCGCCTCGGCTCCCCGCCTCCTCACAGCCCTTTGGATCTAAATGGCTGGGACCAGGCAGGCTCCTTTCTCCACTGGGACAGCATCTTCCAGGCAGCCTAGCTGCTCTTGTCCAGTCCTGTCCCCACACTTGGCCAGCCTCGCCCTCTGATCATCTACCTCTAGAAGAGAACACTCAGAGAAAAGTGGCACTCTAGTGTGATGCTGCGTGAGCAGAAAAGCTGGCATCAGAAGCCATCTTCCCTGCCTGCGGTCAGAGGTGTGGGGACCAAGCAGTGGGGTAGGAGGAGGAAGCTGCTCGTCCCCACTTCCCTCTGTTCTTTCCCTGGACTGGTCCTGACCACTTCCACCGAGGTCACTTCCCTTTCTCCCTCCTAATGGTGTGGGCCCTCGTTGGTGTGCTGCCATTTCACCAAGGGCTGCATGGCCTGCCCATGCCTGCCTCTTCACTGGATCTCTGAGCTGCAGGAGGGCCATGGGTGGACAGCGGGGAACTGTGGAGAGCACGGGGCTTGCCCTTGTCAGTAGGAAGGCCCTGAGCATCTAGATTCCATCTGAAACTGGAAAGGCTTGAGGACGCGCAGGGCAGGGCCTGGGCCTTGAAGAGAGGGCCTGTTAACCTCCCTGTGGACAGCACCAGGCAAGGGCTCTTGGAGGAGGAAGTGCTCATTCCTGGGATAAAAATTCCTTTCCAGGATATGCTGGTTTGGAAGGAAGTCTTTGCCGTCTTCTTGGTCTAACAGTGTGTCCTGCCTTCCTCTGGGTGGAAGCCTTATATTAATACTAACGAGGCTAATTTTCTTCTCTTAGGCAGGCAGACAGACCCACTGAGGTTTTTGACCAAAGGAGAGAGTCAGGATCCCAGGCATATGCTAAACTGGTTGGCCCAAATCCAACAGATTGCAAAGAGTGGCAGGGCCTGGCAGCTGTCTGGAAGCCCTTCATCTTACAGACAAGGAAGTGGTGTCAAATGGACAGTAAAGGTGAATCACATACTCAGCTATAGCCTGCTCCCAGCTGGGGCACTCCAGGCCCCTCCTCTGGTCACTACTGTAGAAATTAACTGCATGTGTCTCAATCTGCGAGTGCAGCTGCTTCTAGATGGTGGCACCTTCCAGAGCTTGGTTCGCCCTGTGTCTACCCAACAAGTACAGATGCCATCCCGGTGCTGTGATCTTCCAGCCATTTCTCCATTTCTGTCACAGCCCAGAAAGTGACGCCGCAAGGCCTTAGAGCAAGGGCCGTTCCATCAGCCCTGGCCTACCTGGGGCTCCATGGCTCCTTTCTTTTTCTTTTTGTTTTGAGACGGAGTTTCACTCTTATTGCAGAGGCTGGAGTGCAGTGGTGCAATCTCGACTCACTGCAATCTCTGCCTCCTGGGTTCAAGCGATTCTCCTGCCTTAGCCTCCTGAGTAGCTGGGATTACAGGCATGCGCCACCACGCCTGGCTAATTTTTTGTATTTAGTAGAGACGGGGTTTCACCATGTTGGTGAGGCTGGTCTCGAACTCCTGACCTCAGATGATCCACCTGCCTCGGACTACCAAAGTGCTGGAATTACAGGCATAAGCCACTGCGCCCGGCCCATGGCTCCTTTCTTAACATTGTGGCTTTGTAGATTCTGGCTTTCCAGTTTAATGATTTAGGTGGATCTTTTGGGGAAACCGATTTTTGACTAGGTGACACACCTGGTACAGAATTTAAAAGATACAAAAGGGAATAGAATACAAAGGTCTTCTTCCCAGTGGTGACTTCCCAGGCCCTTGTCCTGCTTCCCACAGGCAACCACTGTTAGCAGCTTGGTGAGTTACTTATACAAAAAGAATGTAGCTATGCAAGCAGTTAGCACATCCATATGACGATACAGACATACACGTGCTACATATTTGCTATGGAAATGGTTGTATACTAATCAACCATTCTGCAACCTGCTTTTCTGATTTAATCTAGAACAACCTCATTCTTGTGTATAGTACACCTCACACCACTATATTGGCTTGGTATAATAACTTTCCAACTGGCTTTTGTCTCAGCCATGGGCAGTTTCTTTTCTGACCATCCATCTGGCCTCAGGTTCCCCTGGAGTCTTCCTTTCTCCAGCAGTCCTTCTCTGTCTTTGTATATCTCCAGGCTTTAGCAATACGCTCACTCTATTTTTCTTTTTTTGATTTCACTTTTTAAATTAAAGTATTGTAAAACTGGCTTTTTGGTGCACAGTTTTGAGAATTTCAGTACATGAACACATTTGTGTTCCCACCACCACAATCAAGACAGAGGGCCGTTTTATTGTCCCCAAAGCTCCACATGCTATCCTTTCAGGTCTACTTCCTTTTTACTGTTTTTGTAATCACTGCACTTTTAAAAACAAGTTGTACGCCAGGTGCAGTGGCTCACGCCTGTAATCCCAGCACTTTGCCGAGGAGGAGCACTTGAGGCCAGGAGTTCAAGACCAGCCTGGACAACATGGTGAAACCCCGTCTCTACTAAAAATACAAAAATTAGTTGGGTATGGTGGTGGGTGCCTGTAGTCCCAGCTACTTGGGAGGCTGAACAGGAGAAGTGCTTGAACCCGGGAGGCAGAGGTTGCAGTGAGCCGACATTGTGCTACTGCATTCCAGCCTGGGTGACGGAATGAAACTCTGTCTCCAATAAATAAATAAATAAATAAATAAAATAAAAAGTTATACTGTTTGATTCATTTCTTGAACTTTTAACCTACTGGCTAATGTTTTTGCATCTTTCTAAGCCACAGTGAAATTTTACATTTGTGTTGGTGACATAATTGCAAACATTTCCAAAGAAAGATTTAATTAGGCATGAGGATAAACAGGAATGCTTCCTTCATTCTGTTTTTCTTTACCTGGAACTGGGAAGAAGGAGAAGATCCGCAAAGGAACAACACAGAGTTCTGCAAAGGCAAAGTCCACTCCGATGATGTCTATCAAGATTTTCTCAGACACGTTGGGTGTCCAAAACATCACGAAACAGAGCTGGGGAGAAAGACATCAAACAGGGTTGTGAGGAAAAAGTGTAAGCAGGTGAAATGAGCAGATCAGGTGTGGCACAATCCTTGGAGAGTTACGAAAGAGGGACAACCGGCCTGACTGGGTGGTGGGCATGCTGGTCCCAGATCTGCCACCTGCTTGCTTGACTCTCTTCTGACCACAGAGGCCCTGGTCCATTAGCCATGTCTGTACCCAGGGGACCCCCACGGCAGAGCAGATGTGGCTCCTCCAAGAGTGGGTCATTTATTTCTGAGTGGGTGAGCAGACCCGTTCAGAACCAGTGTGCTTTGGGGCAAGGGTTAAGGAGAGTGCCAAACAGCTCAGCCAGTTCCACGTGGACATGTTTATTCATATAATTTTTACAGCTTTAACAAGCAATAAAAAAAGACCTGAAAGTACTTGGATGTGTACAGAACCACGCAGAATCAGCACACATAATGAAAAGGGAAATATTAGTATTTAGAGTAAGGATCAGCCTATGAACCTTTCAAAGTCTAGTTAAGAGAATAAAAGATGAGACAGCAACAGAATGTGGAACTCTGGAAAGCAGATGGGCAGATGGTAAACTGATGTAACAGACACAGGAAAAGGGAATCTTGAACCCGATGGGGAAAGTGGAGCTCTCTCCCCACCTCCCTTCCCCACAGATCAGAAAGTGCGGCACAGGTCCTTCCAGAGACAGGGTGAAGGCAGGGTCCAGAGCAGGATGGCTGGAAGTCAAGTTAGTAAGCAATCCATCCACAGCTCCCCTTGCGCAGCTGGTGACTACATCTCCCCGAATTTGACAGGAAACAGGAGGTTAGTCTCTGGATGAGGTAAAACAGAGGGGTACCTGGCATGGCCCAGGGCAGAGTTACTACAGGTTGAGTAACCCTTATCTGAAATGCTTGGGACCAAAAGTGTTTTAGATTCTGAATTTTTCAGATTTTAGAATTTTTGCATTATACTTACAGGTTACACATCCCTAATCCCAAAATACAAAGTCCAGAATGCTCTGATAAACATTTACTTTGAGAGTCATGTCAGCGCTCAAAAGTTTCAGATTTTGGAGCATTTTGGATTTTCGATTTTTGGATGAGGCATACTCAATCTGTACATGGAAAACGGGGGAATTAAGAGAAGGATGACATTTGCATGTTCGGGCTTCTTTCCTCTTCTACGCTCCCAGAACATGGGAAACTGGTTGAGTCCTTCCCAGGTAGGTGACTGGAAATGGTCTCTGAGGAATCTGACCAGCCCAAGAGAAAAGACGTAAAGTTCCTGAAAATTAGAGTCTCCCAATGAAGCAGCCGCACTTGAGCAGCCATCAGTGAGGCCCTCGCAGGTGAGAAACCCCATCCTGGTGTTTACAGCTTCCAACCAACTACTAGTCTCCAGATAAGGTAAAATGGGGTGGGGTGGGGGGTACCTGGTTGAGGGCAGAGTTACTACAACTAGTAACTAGTGCCCCACTTACCAAAATGAGCAGGCAACCAGGAAACCAGACTTTGACAAAGGCCTCCAATGTGAGGAGGTCAAAACTATGGAAAAAACTACAACTTAAGAGGAAACAAAGATAATACAGAAAGAGAGAAGGGAAAAAAAAAACTTTTCTCCACTGATATCCCCAGAGAAATGGGAGAAGACACTGCACCCATGAAACAAGAACAGAAGGAGAATGTTATAAAAAAGACATTCACGCCAGACGCTTTGGCTCATGGCTGTAATCCCAGCAGTTTGGGAGGCTGAGGCGGGCGGATGACCTGATGTCAGGAGTTCGAGACCAGCCTGGCCAACATGGAGAAACCCCGTTTCTACTAAAAATACAAAATTAACCGGGCATGGTGGTGCATCTCTGTAATCTCAGCTACTTGGGAGGCTGAGGCAGGAGAATCGCTTGAACCCGGGAGACGGAGGTTGTGGTGAGCTGAGATGGTGCCACTGCACTCCATGCACTCCAGCCTGGGCAACAAAAGCGAAACTCCATCCTCCCAACACCACCCCCCCCCCAAAAAAAAAAGACATAGAAAAAGATAAAAGCAGAAAGGAAAATTCACAAGTTAGCAGTAAGATAAGTTTAGGGAAGCCTACCACAGAGACAGAGCAGAAGGATGAAGGCATGCAAATGAAGCACAGGAGAAGAGAGTTAAAGAAACAAAGTCCAACACCCAAATAATAGGAGTTCTGGAAAGAGGGGACAGCGGACGTCTCAGACTGAAAGATACCAGTTTCAGGACTGAAAGGGCCCATCCGGGGGAGGTGGTGCAGTGCATGGGAAAAGCCCCATCAGGGCACGTCACTGAACACAACTGGGGACACAGCTTCCTATGAGCTTCTGGCCTCAGGCTTCTCAATAGCACTGAAAGCTAGAAGACAAGGAGCAATAAGTTTTGAAGGCGGATGATTTCTACCCTAGAACTCTAAACCAAACTATCACTCAAGTGTGTTTAAAAGAAAAATATTTTCAATATTCAGGGCCTCAAAAGTTTTACCTCTCATGCACACTTTTTCAAGAAGCTATTGGTGACGGTTGCTTTGCCAAGGCAAGTGAGCCATGGAGTGGAAAAGAGCAAGGCATGGGTGAAGCACAAGACAAAAGCCAGGGAAATCTCTGGGGTGGAGGTGAAGGCTGCGATAGGCCCACAGGTCAGCTGATCTTCCCTGGAGCAGGGAGAAAAAGGCTCCGAGAGATGCTAACTACCTAATGTGCTTGAATACTTGAAAAGCGATTTACACCACGAAGGGAAAATGTGGGAATAACTTAGTGTGAAATACACAGAAGGCTAAGAAAGATGATAATTGACAATTATTAAGTCCAGGAAAAATTAAAGTTGTTTGAGAAAGGAAGGGAATCAGGGCTCAGCGTCAGAGTTTATCGTAGTCACAATCCATCAAGAGTTGGGGGTGCCTCTCGGAGTAGGAAAGGGACAGGGTGGAAGTGAGCAGCACTGAAGAGGTGGGCTGGGGACATGGCTACTGTGAGTTACAATCCTTACAGAGCTGACTTGGAAAACTTGGTGCTAACTTTAAAAACCTGAATTTTAAAATCCAACAACATAACTTTGGAAGATCCTGTTAAAAACTTGACAGTTTCATCAAATATTTATCTCCTTTTCTTAAAATGCAAGTGATTCTTCTCTACAATAAAACTGAATACATTCTAAAATGAATTAAGAACAGAACACTAAAATTTTAGAATATAACATTCTTTTAGGCTCTGAGTACACTAAGTTTCATGGAATTAGCCAAGCTCTATTTACTATGTCATGTTGAAATATTAAAAAAAAAATACACTGGAGATCTATTATAAATATGTTTTGCTTTGTAAGTGCAATAGAGCCATTCCCCTACGTATTTTCTGCATCTGGCAAAGTATATTCCACTGGTTTTCAAAAATGGCAGAGGTACTATCTCATTTAATCCTACTGCTTGATGACAGTACTCACACCCCATCTTTGACATGAAGGAAAAAATACTTCCTTAGATCTAGCAACTTGGAGCTCAGGGACTTTATTACCTGAATGCCCTGGACAAGTGGCCCTGTCATCTTTTCCCACTGCAAAGCTACTAGCCTACAAGGGTGAGACATCGTACACAGTCATAGCCCTGGTATGGTGGCAACTTCACATTACAATTCAAAACAACACTCAGCATGGAGTTGGAACACTATTTCCCTGTCCATATCCCATCCCCACAAATACATGGATCATCCCTGCTTCCAGCTTTGCTTTATATTGGGCCCCCAATATGTCCCATAGCAGTAAAACTGTAAAGAATTGAGCTAAGGGATGACTGCCTTACAGTCTGGGCTGGCTCTGTGCCTTAGAACCTACAGGAAGTAAGCCATTCTGTGTTTATCTAAGGGTTAGAGAGAGACCTAGGCCACATACTACTAAAAACCTTAAGCTTCCAGGGAACCATTAGCATGCTTTACTGATTTTGCAGCCAGCAATGATCTGAATGTGAGATAATGCCTCACACAAATGTTGCAATTCTCTAGGCTTTGCAAAATCATTGTAAAGTGGCTCTTCAGTTACAAGAACCAAGGAAAAAGGAGGGTGTAATTGCACGTCAGAGAGAAAGATGGCGGAAATGGGCCTCTGTGGCAGATGAGCCAGGTAATCCCTGCTCTGGGATCCACAATCGGGTCATGTTCACCCAGAGGCGTTTTCCCATCTTGTAGAAGATCAGAAAACCTTTGGAGCAGTGGGTGGGGGGTCAGCTTGAGGACATGATAGTGAGTGTGCCCACATCACTTGACACATTGACATCAGTATCAGCCAAGCTGTGTAGGTGAGCACAGTTATGGTACCTTGAACACAACCACGAAGTTAAGTAAGGTTTGATGGATTTCCAGTAGGAGCTTCCTGAGATGGTGGCTCAATAGTCCATTTCTAAAATTCCACGGTATGATCCAACCTGGCACCACTCAGTCACTCTGTTTTTTATCTTGGTCTGTGCTGAGCACACCCTAAATGCCCCTTATCATGGCCATGTGCCAACAGAGGTGCTTCTTCAGTTTTCAACCACACACACCTACAGCCCAGACTGGGTCTTCGCGGGGTATCGGAACTGGAAGCGGTTAGTCTGATCTGGGGTTTGAACAATCACAGGTAACTAAAGGAAAGGAACGCCACATTTATCAAAGTCTCCTTTTTCTTCCTCCCTGAAGTCTCTGAAGCTCTTGCTATGCTTCCAGTAGGAAAATGGCGCTTCACTTTTCAGCAAGTTTTTCAACGAGTGGATATTTCTTGCGTATATAACTTAGGTATACATATAACTTAGAAAGGAATACATTTAACTTATAAGTGGATATGGTGAGCTGGGCGTGGTGGCTCATGCCTGTAATCCAGCACTTTGGGAGGCCAAGGTGGGAGGATCACAAGGTCAGGAGATCGAGACCATCCTGGCTAACACGGTGAAACCCCATCTCTACTAAAAATACAAAAAATTAGCCAGGCATGGTGGCAGGCGCCTGTAGTCCCAGCTACTCGTGAGGCTGAGGCAGGAGAATGGCGTGAATCGGGGAGGCGGAGCTTGCAGTGAGCTGAGATCATGCCACTGCACTCCAGCCTGGGCGACAGAGCGAGACTCCGTCTCAAAAAAAAAAAAAAAAAAAAAAAAAGTGGGTATGGTATGTATTAAAAGCTACAATACCTATCTGCAGGTGAGGTTTCCCTAGCTTCCCCTAGGCAAAGTACTGAGCCCTAGCATAATAATCAGACTACATTTAACAAGTCCATTTGAAAAAACAGGACGCTTTAGAAGTTCCCTTGACAAAGAGTATCAGGAACAGTGTCATTTTAATGAGTTCACCCAGAGTAGTCTCAACTCAGAACATGCCTCCCAGTTGACCATGATGTGCTGTGTTCCTCAAATATTTGCAGAGCCTAATGACATTGACTTTTCCAAACCAGCACACACCCCTAATAATCTCCCACCAATGAACAAGAGTCGTTCCTCTGAGCAGCTGCAGAGGTGGGTTTTCTGCTGTCGAGTTTGCTGTCAATATTCTGTCAGGACACAGCCTTCAAAATCGAATAGTCCACCCAGTGCCCAGATCTTGGTTTTTCTATTTATTCTTCAATAAAAGGAACCAGGATTCCTTAGAGAAATGACTCATTCTAGGACCAAGGCAGAGAATATGCAAGATGATTCGCTTGGAGCATCTATGGTACAAGAAGGAAGGCTGTGCCCCAAAATAAAAGAATGGGAACACGGCAAAGGGACACAGAAGCCAGGCAGAAGGAGCTTCCGAATGGCCAAAGCAAAAACAATTTGGGCAACAAAATAAGTACAGTATTGAATTATATCCCAAAATAGCAAATAAATATCCATGAGTCCCTAGGGATAGAAATTTAAAAATGGCAGAGAAGGGACAAATGTCCTGCACAGAACTCTAAATAATTCATTAGCTGCTCCCCTCTAAGGTGGGTGGAGCAGACCTTCCTGCTCCTTCTGAGGAACTTCCTTCTGAAGAGCACAGTGGGGAGAAAGGAAACCCGTCCTGACAGCAGAGGAACACGGCAGACATGACCCCAGCCATGCAATCAAGGTCAACATCCACGCACATACCCTCGATAAGATGTGATGACAGTGGCACTTTGTCTCTGTGGTCTTCCTCCCCAAAATCCCTAAGCCCAGTCTTAATCATAAGACAAACCCCAGACAAACGCACATTGAGGGACCTTCTACCAAATACCCGACCAGAACTCCTCAAAACCGTTGAGGCCTTAAAAACAAGGAAAGTCTAAAACTCTCAGAGACCAGAGGAGGCTACGGAAGCATGATGACTAGACATAATGTGGTGTCTTGGATGAGATCCTGGAACAGAAAGAGCTCACGAGAAAACAAACCAGTGAAATCCTAATGCACCATGGAGTTTAGTTCACAGTCACACACCAGGGCTGGCTCCTCGGTTGTAACATGCGCGCTGCAGTAAAGTAATGTGAGTGAGGGTGAGGAGTCTATGGGAACTCTGCACCATCTCCACAATGTTTCTGTAAATCAGAAGTTATTCTTTTTTTAAAAAAAAAAAAGTTAAAAAAAGAAGGGCTGGGCATGGTGGATGCCTGTAATTCCAGCACTTTGGGAAGTCAAGGTGGGAGGACTGCTTGAGGCCAGGAGTTCGAGACCAGCCTGGACAACACAAGACCCCATCTCTACAAACAAAATGTAGCATACCCTTAATCCCAGCTACTTGGGAGGCTAAGGCGGGAGGACTGCTTGAGCCTGGGAGGTCCAGGCTGCAGTGAGCCAAGATTGCGCCACTGTACTCCAGCCTGAGTGACAAGATCCTGTCTCCAAAAATTAAAGGAGAAAAAAAGAAGGAAGAAGAAGATGACGATTCATAATTCACTTCTCTGTTATTTGACAGACTGTGATTCATTTTCTGAGACCAGCCATTGACCGTGAAGTGTCTGCTTTGAACTCTGAGGTGCTTACATGCAGCCCAAGACACATTCATTTCTAGTAGAGTGTAGTCCCCTCTCAGTCTCTTATTCTGCATGATCAAGGGGTAGACTTCCTCATTTCTTGAATCATATTAACCTCTTTAGAAACTAACCACCACTGGGCTGCAGCTTTTTTATTCACAAACTTAAAATACAGTTTCCAGTCAGCATGTGAGCCAGTCAGTTTCCAGGGATGATTTGGTTGAGCCTAACGTTGATGATGACTCAGATCAATGAGTAATTTAACATTTTTGTCCAGGAGTGGTGGCTCACACCTGTAATCCCAGCACTCTGGGAGGCCGAGGTGGATGGATCACTTGAGGTCAAGAGTTCGAGACCAGCCTAACCAACATGGAGAAGCCCCATCTCTACTAAAAATACAAAAGTAGCCAGGCGTGGTGGTGTGCACCTGTAATCCTGGCTACTCGGGAGGCAGAGGCAGGAGAATCACTTGAACCCAGGAGGCAGAGGTTGCAGTGAGCTGAGATTGTGCCATTGTACTCCAGCCTGGTTAACAAGAGTGAAACTCTGTCTCAAAACAACAACAACAACAAAATCACATAAAAAACCCCAAAACATTTTCAAGCAGGCCTTAACTGTGTGTCGTCATTCTGTGTTGGGGCAGTACTTGACTTTTATTTCTAAATCTGTGTATCAATGGGCTAAGTCATGAAAAACTTTGACCACATATTAAGGTCCCCCAATAGGATCAGAAGGATCAGTGCAGTGATGAAGGAAATCGCCAGCTTTACAGACAGAAGACCCCTGGGTCTTACTATGCTACAGTCCGAAACAGAGCTTGGTTTTCTGAGCTAAGAACCACGGAAGGGGGATTTGAACCAAGACCTGCTTCCTCACTTGCAGAGTGGGCCATGCATGGTCCCCGAGCTCCCCTGGGGACAATCTGAGTCTCTTTTCAAAGCATTTGGAACCGGGATATGAAGCAGCCAGTTGTCTTCATCAGCACGTGAACTCAGAAACATGCCAACCAGGCCACGGTGGGACGGCCGTTTCTGTGTGTGTCCTCGGAGACCACCACCCTATGAGGGCACTGCCAAGTGCTCGGGTCTTATTTAATTTCCATAAGCTCTTAACCACATTTTGAGGAACTCACAAAGGCTTCCCCATTGCCCTGAATAACCAGAATTAGCAGTACATGAGACTCTTATCCCTGCAGTTAGAAAAAGTCAAACATATGCAGCTGTTTTGAATAAAAATCGCTGGCCCTGGACATCATTTTTATTTGGCGCTTTTGCTTGAAAAAAAGGTTCAATATACCTTTTTAATTGGGTTGAAGTCCCCACCGGGCAAGCCAGTGGTTAGCCCTCGGCAACACAAAGTGTGAAGAGGAGGTTAGGGCTTGGCACTGGCGCCTGACTGCCGGGCTGGCACTCCAACCCAGCTGTGTCTCTGTCTGTTGTCTCTAGGTGAGTTCCCTGAGCACTCCAGCCTCAGCTCTCTTCTTTCAAACGGGGATGGTGTCTCCCTCACAGGGATGCTGTGTGGACTGGGCTGCCCAGAGTGCTGGTCTGCCAACTGTGGACTGGTCCACACTGAGATAAGCAGTTGACTCCATAAAGTAAATCGATGCCTGCCTTCCTTAAGAAAGTCTTGCCATCCAAACAACGCCAGCTGAACTGGACATCATACCTGGTGACCAAGTTGATTCACATTCCGGTGCTAGCTTCTTATCCCATCACGGATGGCCAGACCTCTGGCACTCATCTGCAAACCCCGAGCCTGCGAGCACTGCAGTTTGCATAAACCGCTTTTCCAGCACCGGCACACCAAATGTGATCCACGGATGTCACCTGTGAGTATTCCAGAAGGTTTCCTGGGACCGTATTCTAACAAAACGCTAGCAGGGGAGTCCTCTGGAGGTGGTGAGATTAGGACTGATTGAATTTTCCTCTTTGTATTTTTCCGTGGCTTCCACAAAGAACATGTATTCTTTTTATCAGAAAAACATTTTTTTTTCTTTTGAGATGCAGCCTTGCTCTGTTGCCAGGCTGGAGTGCAGTGGCACGATCTTGGCTCACTGCAATCTCCGCTTCCCGGGTTCAAGAGATTCTCCCGCCTCAGCCTCCTGAGTAGCTGGGACTACAGGTACGTGCCACCACGCCCAGCTAATTTTTGTATTTTTAGTAGAGATGGGGTTTCACCATGCAGAAAAACATTTTTAAATAAAACAGACCCCTGTAGATGTCTTCACGGATATCATCAAACTTCAAATGTGATTGGGACAGGAATGTGAGAAGTCTTGTCTTGGGGGAGGGGCAGCTTTCAGAAAGTGGCTGTCAGCTTGGTTTTCACAGCCAGCGTCTTGGGAAACCATGTCCCACATCACCTCATGAGGAAGGCACACTGATTTGATATACTTAGGGGTGGAGGGGCCAGCACAGGGCAGGACACTATTAGATAACACTATGCTGTCTTGCTCGACTTTCCAGAGAGAGCTGACGCAGCCATAAGGAATGCTGTTTGGCCTTTTGTTTCTTAGTGCCAGACTGCACCAGCTGCATGCACGTAAGGAAGGAGGACAGTTCACGAAGGGTTTCACAGGTCATGGTCACGACTCTGGCTTTCACTCGGAGGGATGTGAGAGCCATGGCAGGTTGTGGGTGGAGGAGAGGCAGGGCAAGCAGGGGAAGGGCTGAATCAAGGATCCTCGTCACGGCTACTGTGACCATCCAGGTGAGAGCTGGCAAGGGTTTGGACTGGTGGGGAAGGGAGAAGAACCAATGTACAATATGAAAGACAGGAGCTGGGCAAGAGTGACGGGAGGGAGGCTGGAGGCGTGGCTGACCTGTCCTCACGGTGGTTTCCTGCTCACTTGTGAGCTGTCCCATGAGCTGGATGGGGCCTCTCTAGGAGTGTTCCTAATGTTTGCATGACTCAGTACACCCCAAATGGAATGACATGGAATTCCATCAGGACACACTCTCAGATTCCCAATTTAGAAGGAAAAACAATGCCATTTCACCAGGGTGAATTGCCGAAAGCAGGCAATATGTGAAAGTAGCAAATGACTCCCATTTCTGGGGAACGGTGCTTAAGGTGTGCATACCTGTAGCAACTGCCAGAAGGAATGGGCTCTTGGGATTGACTGACCTGTCCTCAGAAGGGTGCAAAGCCACGTGTTCCCGATACAGCACGTGAGGGGATGATGGGAGAGAGGGATGCTTCCACATCCGCGTCTTGCTCAGTGGGAGAAAGTAGGGAACCTCACAGGAGGGATGATGATGATGACCATCACAGGCAGTGGGGACACGGGAAGGAGTTTTTACTTAAGGTCAGGCTAGAAAAATTCTAGTTGGCTAACATAGGGGTAGCAAACAATAGATGAAAAATGACATCTATTACTGAGAGAAACAGAGCTTGGTTTTCTAAGCTAAGGAGCTTGGAAAAGCATATTACAAAGTGTTTATGTAGAATTTGATACCTTCCATCTGGCTTGTTGATAATCATAATAATTATTATAAATCTTGAATATTTTCATAAAGGAGTTGAAGCAATCATCAACTGTTACAGCATATTCACGGTAAAAAATCAACACTTTCAGATATAGTTTTATAACCAGCTTTTTGAAGAATATGAAAACTAAATCATCCCTTCTATCATCTAGGTTTAATGAAATTGCCAAATGCACACACTACATGAAAGCAAAGTGTCTTTCAGATCCCAACGACTTACTAATCTAGTAATGCCGCGTTGGTGGAAAGACATGACATACCTCAAACAGCAGGGGGCGCCATGCGCCAAGCCCGCAGAGGGTTGTCCAACTCCTATTCCTTTTCTCTGCAGCTTTAATCCTTTCCTGGTTTTTCTCACAGGATCTGAGGACTATTGATAAAGTTCCACACTCCAGCTTCTGTTTAGCCTTTCCTTCTCCTTGACTATTAATAGTCAACTTGGAACTTGTTTGGGACTGGGGGAAGGGGACATGAGGAGTGACTGTTTAGTGGGTATAGGGTTTCAGTTTTGCAATCCCGTTATGGGCAGATGGTGATGACAAGCAGCAATGTGAATGGACTTCACTGTCCCTTTAAAAATGGTGAGGTTGGTACACTGTATGTGTATTTTTCTACAATTAAAAAAATCTTAAAAACATTTGGAACCTGCTTATAACAGCACACTCTGTTCATTTGCTCGTTGTTTAAATGACACATGTGCATCTGCCCTGGTGTCTTATTATGAGGGCTTAGGTAGAGTTTTAGGGACTAGCCTTTATTGTCTTCATCTTACCTAAATTCCCCCAAAACAAACCAATCAACCACTCAAATCTGCTATACGTGCTGGATTTGAGCAAATGCTGGATTCCTGAAGCTTCCAGAGAGAAGTGCGGAGGGAAGGCAGAGGGAAGGAAGTCACTCACTATGCGCCAACAGCGCTCCATATGTGATTCCATTTCATCTTCATACACTCCCCAGATAGATGCCTTATTAGCTGAGGAGGACACAGGGCCTACAGGGACTGTGTGACTTGCCCCAGGTCACCGGCTGGTAAAGAGGCAGGGGCCAGAGTTCAATCCAGGCCTTGGGGCCGCAGAAGCCCTGCTTTCTCCCTGTTTCCAAGATGCCCTAAGCTGCTAAACTGTTCAGGCCCAAGGGTACTGTGAGGGGCACCAAATGAGAAAGTGTTGAATTCCATTAATTCACCTTTGGTTCTTTTCTCATCCCCCATACACAAGAGAGGCATTTTCTTCCAGTGGAGCCGGGAACAATGGGGTGGCAGTCTCCACCTCACGGCGTGGGGGTGGGGTGGCCCAGCATTAACAAAGCCTCAAACAGGCCGTCTTTGTTCCAGACAAAGGGTCAGCATGGTGCCACCGCTGGAATATGGCCTTTAGCATCCGCCCAAGAGGGCTGAGTGACAGCTATGGCTTGGGGGAAGGTTGCCACAGGAAGGTGAGACAGGGTCATTCTCATGAACGGAATTTCTAACATGGAACGCAGGGCCAGCCGGGCAAAGTCCTGTCGGATGGCAAGTTTTACTACAAGCTCAGATTCTGCTACCTTCTAGCACATGACAGAAGGACTCAGAACTGACACGCCTTACTGAGACGCAGCTGCAAATAATGGTGTGCAACCAAGACGGTGGAGTCCTTGGGGTGCCGGCCCAAGCAGCGGCAAGACAGGAGCAGCACAAGCTCACCAGGGCGCGGAAGGCCCTCTCCACTACACATGGACAGTAGGTAGAAATGGGAGTGGAGGAGCCCATCCTGACCTGCAAGGTGCGTCCAAAACTGGCCCTGAAATGATGGGAAAAAAGCCTTTTTTTTCTTTTTTTTTGAGACAGTCTTGCTCTGTCAGCCAGGCTGGAGTGCAGTGGCATGATCTTGGCTCACTGCAACCTCCGCCTTCCGGGCTCAAGTAATTCTCCTGCCTCAGCCTCCCGAGTGGCTGGGATTACAGGCACGTGCCACCATGCCTGGCTAATTTTGTATTTTTAGTAGAGACGGGGTTTCTCCATGTTGGGCAGGCTGGTCTCGAACTCCCGACCTCAGGTGATTCGCCCACCTTGGCCTCCCAAAGTGCTGGGATTACAGCTGTGTGCCACCACGCCCCACTACTTTTTTTTTATTTAGTAGAGACGGGGTTTCACCATGTTGGCCAGGTTGGTCTCGAACTCCTGACCTCAGGTAATCTGCCCGCCTCGGCCTCCCAAAGTGCTGGGATTACAGGTTGTGCCACCGCGCCTGACCAAAAAAAAAAAAAAAGTCTTCTAATTGAGGAAATTGAGGACGCGAGAGGCAGTGCCAGACAGGACCCCAAACCTCTGACTTCTAGGAGGCGTTTCCTTTCCCTGTACCTCCGCCTCTACCTGCCAGCTGTGCCTTCCAAGAAGAGGTGGTCAGAGCCTGGGTTCCACTGGGATGAGGGGCACTGTAAATACTGAAACCGTCTGTGACCTGCCACCTTGCAATGGTGGGGTAGGCTCTGGCGGGGAGAAAAGGGGTGGAGCCAGAATTCTGGTTTCTAGCTTTGGGAATGGCACTTCCCAGCAAGTGCACAGACAGGGGTTAGCTCAGTGTGTCCAAGAGAAAGACCCGGACAGAGTGGATTCTTCAGGCTGCTTCCTTCTCTGATGCCGCTGCTCTTTGTTTTCTTTCCCTCCTGAGTTGCTCTCTCTGCGGCCTGAAGTTCTGAAGCTTTAGGATCAAGACATTTTAAATACTAAACACCTTTATCCTCAGTTCCGCAGGGTTGCCTGCTCTGGGATGGCACCTACTTCCCTCCGGCAGGCAGTGAAGCCCAACAGAAGCAGCCCGCTGTGCTGTGATCCATGCTGGGTTCTACAGAAACAGCACGCAAGGTGGGGACCTGACCATGCTGGGTTCTACAGAAACAGCACACAAGGAGGGGACCTGACCAGGCCGCTAAGCCCCTCTCCTCTCTGGCAGCCTCCAACCTAATCCCTTCTCCCGGACAAAGTTTCTCCCCAGAAGCTGGAGCAGGGGGGCTCACAGCCTTGCCGGAGGGGATGATCCTGGGCTGCTGACAAAGAGAGTGGCCATGGTTTCTTCACATTCACAGGAATCAGGGAAAATTATTTTTTTTAAAGAAATTAAGGGAAACAGATTTCAAAACTTATGGAAAAGAGGCGAATATGATCTAATAGCACCAGAGATTCTAAAAGAGGCTGAAAAACTCTCAGAAGACAAATTCTCTCCCAACAACCAGAAAACAGGCCACGAGGAGGAAAACAGAAGGCATCTGAAGGCCTCATGGTCCCCAGGTGTGGAAGTGGGTACTGGGGACAGCAAAACGTGCATCCATGCCTTCACCTGAGGGCAGGGGTTTGGAAGCCAGTCTCTTGCAGGTCTCCCTCACCCAGGTCCTGGGACGCCCCACGCAGAGTCGACCTTTAAGGGCTTGCAGCCTGGAGGATGGGGCCGACGTGTATGTGGATGTGCCCAGCGTACTTGCCAGCAAGAAGCGAGCGCCAGGAGTGCAGGAGAAGGACCCCAAACCTCTGACTTCTAGGAGGCGTTTCCTTTCCCTGTGCCTCCACCTCTATCTTGCCAGCTGCGCCTTCCAAGAAGAGGTGGCCAGAGCCCGGGTTCCACTGGGATGAGGGGCACTGTAAATACTGAAACTGTCTGTGACCTGCCACTTTGCAATGGTGGGGTAGGCTCTGGCGGGGGGAAAAGGGGCGGTGCCTGTCTGTGCCAGGGAGAGGTTGATAAGGAAGCACCTGCCTGCCAAGAAGCCCGACGGGGCCCTCGAGGCCAAGGCAGCAGCCACCAAGGCAAAGCACAGAGCGAGGGGACACTGCTGCATGGGAAGCTGGAGAGGCGGCCCAACACGGGCGTGAAAGGCCATGTCGTCCTCCGGGGGCAGCGGCCAGTGGTGAAGGACTATCTGGAAGGCTGTTGGCGGATGGGTGGCTACTGAGAGGGCTCATTTCCTGAGGATCTTTATCATTTCCAAATCGGCCATGGCTAGGAGGGAGAGGCGGGCTGAAGGGGCAGCCTGGTGCACACAAGTGTCATGTCTATGGCAGGGTCTATGGTGGTACCAAACAATGTGTCCATAAGAACGTAAGAACCCCCATAAGAACAAGGTCGGGAGGTGAAAGCCCAAGTGCTCAGAGTAAAAGTGCTCAGATCAAGAAAAAGAGCTGTAAAAAATGTGCCACGAGAAAGAAGGGAAAAGGGAAAGAGCTGCCAGGGGCCGGGGGTACCTTCCAAACCCCAGCTCTCTCTCTGCCTTCTCCACCAAGGAGGGTCACCTCAAAACTAGCCAGGAAGAGCAAACCCAGCCAAGTGGGATCTGAAGACCAACACTGACAAGAGGGAGAAAAGCATTCTGTTGATAACCATAAAACTGTGCAAGGTTCCCAGCATGAACTCATCTGTGGTGGAAAGAAAGCTTAGAGAATCAGGGAGAGGCTGGGAGCCTCGAGGTTGGAAATCCTAGAAGGGCCCAGTCCTTGACTGGAGCTTATGGGTCTCATGTTTATCCTGAGAACAGTGCCAAGCGGCTAATTTAAAAAGCAGGTATAGCCTTAGGCTGCACTAGGGAAAGTGATGGGCTGACGTGTTCTGCTCCACTGCCTAGGCGTTTGATGATTTCAGCAATGCATACGGCCACAGCTGTGTGGGACAGGGCAACGTGGGGAGAGACGAGACACACGGGAGGCCCAGGGAGCTGCGCGAGTGTCACGTGAACAGGGGTCATGACGGGTCCCTAGGAAGCATCACGTGTGCCCCACAGGACCCAGGTTTCTGTGGACACGCGGGTGTTCTTTCTCACCTGAGGACTTCAAAATGTTAACATGCTTCCTGGGCCCAGGTGCAACTTCAAATTGGTCCTTACTGGCATTTTCTACTATGTGGTTGTGTCTGTGGTTCTATCAGATGTCTAGTCAGAGGACTCAACCTATTCATTCCCCTCTTTTTGTGTTCACTGCAGCTTGATGGAGAACTGGCATCTCTGTGTTAGCAAGAAGATGGGGCTCTGGTAGCACCATCTGTGCCTGGGACTGGGAGGCTGTAAATAGCAGGGGGTGACGGGTCAACTAAAGAGCTTCCCCGAGGAGAAAAATGGTTCATACAGGGGTCACATCTGTGGCAGGGTTTGTCTACTGAAGGTGTGTGTAAATCTACCGATCAAGAGACTGGCTTTTAAAAAAACAACACCCCCCACCACCAAAACCCACACAAATTTGAAGACTATAAACTTTATATTTATCTATAAGATATAGATACATATATATAATTCATAAAATTATTCCTTGGCATAAAATATACCCCTAGCTACTTATGTATATGTGCAGCCCTCTTTCCCTATGTTAGGGACCACTGAGTGTCCCGGTGGTGGAGCTGGTGGCTGAGGAGAGCTGTCATTCTTTGCATATAGCACATGCCAGGTATTTCACTAAGCTTTTACCCCTTTTAAAGTCTTAAAAGGTGAGCAATTCTTGTTGCCTCTGTGTGGCATCTGGGGAAACTGAAGATGGCAGTTTTGAGTGACTTTCCTGAAGCCACTTGGCTAGTGAGTGGTGGAGCCTGGATTTGAACCCAAGCCCTGTGGCTCCAGGGCCCACAGCTATAAGCACCAAGCTATGTAGCCAATTCCAGCTTGACCTAAATCCCTCTGCCTCCATCCCTCTTCCCTCATTAAATCAACAGACACATACAGGGCAGTTAGATGTCATGAGAGCCACAGGCGTGACAGACAGCCCCCCCAGCTGAACCCATCTCCAGTTTCAAAGGAGGGAACTTGTAAGAGATCAGTGGTGTCAGCTCCAGTTCGTGCACCCTGGCCCTCTGGAAACTTCTTTTTTGGTAACAATCAGTTCATTCTTCAAGCCACATCAGTTAAGAGCCATCTCCAGGGAGGACTACAGGCCACTGAAAACTGTCTGGCACCGGATTCATAGTGAGCAGGTTTCGAGGCACTGTTGTTTGCCATATGTGCTGTTTCTTGGCAGCGCTTTGTGGTTCTTTTAGCCTTGTACTGGGCTCAGAAGATACAAAAAGACCCCAGAAGAATTTCATGGCACCATTAAAACCCATTTACCTTACTGTGCCCGAGCAAGTGGGACATCCGACCCAGAGCTGGGGACACAGTAGTCAGCCTTTAAGAGAAAATGAAGACCCTTTTGAGCAAAGACCACAGACTAGCTAAAAGCACTTCACAAGCACTGCCCGTAGGTGCAGGAGACACCCAGGCCTGGGAGAGGGAAGCCAGTGAAGTCTCTCCTGTGCCCAGAGTGTTTTTTGATTGTTTTCTTTTGTTCCTGTGTCAAATGATATGTTACTTCATTAAACTTACAAAATGGCCATTTAGCATGCAATCAGCTGTTTTAGATCCTCATCGTGCTCATTTCACACACTGCTTCATGTAATTACCTCTATTTGGTAATTTTTGAGGTATTTTGAGATCATTTACATGGGCTTTGCTGGGCTCCCTGCCTGCTGCACCTAAGTGAATGGCCGGTCATCGGGAGTTTCAGGCCACGGGGAAAGTGCTCGTGTGCGGAGCCCCGTGTGCCTCACAGCCTCCGAGCTGGTGCTGGGCTCGGAAAGCCAAGAGGCCAGAGGCGCCACATCTTTGCTTTCTCCACGTTGATGGCGCATGCGTGTCGGGAGTGTCTGGACTAAGCGCCCCGTCAGGCTGATGTCTGGTTTCTGTACACTGTCTTTAAGCTGAGACTAAGAAAACCAATTTTTAAAAAACCTGTAGGGAATCATAAGGTATTAATCATGGAAGTCGATCAATGAAGCCCTACTGAGTGACTTCACCATTTGTGTGGGATGGCAGTTCCTGACTGACCTCTCCCTATTGCTAGATATGCGTTCTAAATTTCTCTTCAAAGAATCAGTATGTCAATATGTTCAATTCTTTGCCTTCTACTTTTAAACTTAACTTCCTCGTAAAGCAACCTTTTCTGATTACCTGCTCCACCCTGACTCATTCCGATTTCCTGCTCTGCCGTAATCATTTTTCCCCCCAAACCACTCACCCCCGTCACTCTCTTTAAATTAGCCAATCGGAATTAGTTTAGCCCGTGCAGTCTAACCCTAGCCAATAGGGAAACAACACAGCAGCAGGGGCCACGTGCGTCAGGGATAAGAACCCCTTCCCCTCCCTTGTCCATGTGTGCGCTCACCATTGCTCCATCTGTAAGGGCGCATCCTTCTATAGAAGTACATTGCCTTGCTGAGAATTAAAAAGAAAATTTTATATTCGAGTACTATGTCTTTTGTGGCACTGAAACCTTATAACACTATGATAGCTCTGCTTCCACAGCAGTGAAAACCGAAAGAGCCGGGCTGGGCACCTGCCTCTTTGAGGTGGAACTCGGGTCAGGCAGCACTCGGCAGGTGCAGGGATCCGTGGGGCCCAGGCTTTACTTCCTTAAGGGCTCAGAGGGGCTGGTGAGCAGTGCGTGTCTGCAGGCCCAGGGTATAAACAACGTGTCTTCCCTGTTGCTTTCAAACTCATTCAGGTGGTGGGCCCCACGTGGGTTCTTGGCAGAACACGGGTGTGTATTGATACGTTCAACTGAAAAATGAGTAATTTTTATAATTTTGTGCCAAATCAATTACCCTTTATAAGGTTCAAGTGGTAAATAGAAGAAGAGATCAAGATTTTGAGGCAATCTGGGGGTGAAGAAATACAAATGAATAAAATTCTAGCAACTTATTGTTTCCTGAAAATTGGAAAAATATTTCAGTTTTTGAATGTTTGTAGTGGCCCAGGTTAGTCCTGGACTCTGCAAAGACCTTGTTGAGGGGCACTGCATTATTCAATGAATAAAAAGCAGAAGAAAAACAAGAAGCAAAGTAACTTAAATCTAGTCCTGGTACTTCTATCAGTAGCTACGGTGTCAATATCCCCTGTCCCCAGAGAAACCTTTGGCAAAAATATCATTAAGCATGTAAGTACTGGCACAGGTTACCTGTATCAAAATGGCTCATGTTCCCCATAAATATGTACACCTACTAGGTACCCACAAAAAATAAAAATTAAACTAAAAAATGCAGACACAGGGCCACACTGCATAAAGTACTATATTTCTAAGCAAATCCCCTACTCACATGGAGAATCTGGAAATAAAATAATAGAGATGTCTCATGAAACTAAAAGGAGACAGAATCTAACAAAAAACAAAAACAAGTGAGTTGAATAGTTAGAAGTCTGGTTCATCAATCCATGTAGCCTTAAGTGACGAGAAGATTCCTTCCTTTCAGAAATCATAGTTGTTAGCTTGCCAGGCACCCAAAACAAAATAACACAAACTGGGTGACTCTGAGCAACAGAAAATTACTGCCCCACAGTTCTGGAGACTGAAATCAAGGTGTGAGCAGAGGCACATGCCCTCTGAAGGTGCTAGGGAAGGGTCTGTTCCAGGCCTTTCCTGGCTTCTGGTAGCTCCTGGGCTGAGGCAGCAAAACTCCAGCCTACATGTGGTGCTTCCCCTGTGTGCATGTCTGTGCCCAAATTTCTTCCTCTAAAAAGGCACCAGTCATAGGGGATTATGGGCCCACCCTACTCACCTACCAGAACCTCATCTTAACCCTATTTCCAAGTAAGGTCACATTCTGAGGTACTGGGGGTTAGGACTTTAACATAAGAAGGTTTGGCGAATCCTATTCAACCCATAACAATAAAATAGAAGGTTCCGGGTTGAATGCAGTTTCACGGTCTCCCTTTAACCCCCCACTGACTACAAAAAGCAAGGCTCAGAAAGATCCAGAGTAAAAACCTAACTTTTTTTTTTTTTTTTTTTTTTTTTTTTTTTTAAAGAATCAGATCCTTAAATACAAACAGCCATTGACCTCGGATACCCTTGCACTCTATTGCATGAGGCCACGTGGTTTGATTGGCACACTGTGCCAGCGTGGCCAGGCTTCCTTCTCTCTCTGCCTCAAGTGACAGCAACACCTCCCTACCCCCACCACATCAAGCAGCCTCCATGTGTTGAAGCCAGTGAAACCAGTTATTTGGGGACCAGTGGATGTAGTCTGGGGGCCCTGGCACAGTCCCATGACCTCTGCGTCATCAGAATGTGGGTGTGTGGGGCCAGCCCTGGACAGAGTCCCATCCACACCTGCCATCTTGAAACAGGTCAGCTCGCCAAAAATCAACCGGTGGATAACCAATTTGGCCAACCAACAAATTGTCAAATTTTCTGAGTTTTAAGATCTTGTCTCTTTTAAACTCTTCTAAAGTTTATAGCCATTTTTTACAGGAAGGATTGGCAGGGTCCCAAGGGCTGGGAGGGCCCCAGGGTCTCTGGGGCCTCCATTTTCCCTGTCTGTAACCCCACCTCTGCCATTCTGCTCCAGTTTTCTCTGAGTCGTCACCTCCCCTCTTTTTCTGACCAGTCTCTCTCCCTTCTCCTTCTGACCTTCACGCTACTCCACCTCTCTGACATTCAGTCACTCTCCTTTCCCTGATCCTTGTTCTCCCCCTTCTCTGACTTTCTCTGAATGTGGCATCCCAGGGGTGCTGGGTATAGTCGTGTAGTTCGTGCACTGCACAAAAGTGCCTGGCTGGCTCTGCTTGCCAAGATCCATCTGGAGAGATCCCATTTCCATTGTGTGCTAATGGTTTGGGGAGGCTTAGCAGAGGCCAAGCCTGTGCTTTGCATGGATTCTTCTCTATGTCTCCTGAAGCAGAGGGTCCCCCTCTCTTGGCACTAACTCCCCAAAGTACAGCAGAGCAGGGAGCTTGAGAAGATAAACAGCAGATGTTCTGAAAATGCCATTGTGAAATCAAAATGGAAACTAGTCAACTAAAAGCATCCAAAGGTGTTAAAAACTTCTGTTTATTAAAATATGATTGGCTATGGACTTCAGAAACAGTTTTAAAAAGTCATGTTTTGGGTAAATTGGCAAATTTGGTAAACTTAGCAGCCCGATGGGCTGGCTTTCACCACTTGGCCTGGCATGCAGGAATAGGGAGGTCCGTCACTCTTTTGGGACATTTCTTCCCCACCAAAAGGACTGTTGGAAGATACAGCCCATGCCGGTGAGTGGTTTCTATCTTATCCCCACTTCTAGAGTCCAGGAGGGCACCATGATAGGCCCCAGGGGTTTGTAGGAGGCTGGGTTTCTGTAAGTTCAGCACTGCAGCTGCCTTCCCCACGTAAGAGGAAGGACTGTGGTGCCTGCTCCTCTCTTGTGAGCTCACTGCTGCCTCAGCCTGTGGCTCCAGGAGTGTCTACCTAGAGAAGCACAGCCTTTTAGGGCACACTCACTGTCACTGTGTTCTACAGCCAGTCACATGAGCGACAGAGACCGCAGCTGTCCAGGAAGGCTCAGGGCAAGGCGACCACTGGCTCTGACTCCAGCACCAGTGGAGACACCTTGCATGGCGAGGCTGCGACGCAGTCTCCTTTGCGTGGCTGCAACCCTGCACGCTTCCACGTGAAAGCAGACCCTCTGAAGCTGTTCTTCCAAATGGCTTTATGCCACATATATTTTTGAAATGTGCTTCCCTTCACCCCAAACAGCTGCTTGTCAGTCAGCAGGCGCCTTGCTAACCTGGGTTTGCACTGTGTCTGCTCCCTCGTTGCTATCAAGGGGATTCCGTTTCATCTGACAGTTCTACTGTTTTGAAGCCAATCTTTTGGATCAACTAAAGGTACCCCCTTTCTCATCCTCATGCCCATCAGATGGTTTAGAGAGATCAATCAACCTCCGGCTAAGCATGCCTAACCGCAGCTCTGAAGGACTGAAAGCAAGATGCTAACGGAAATGGCGAACATTTCCATTTTCCTACTCTACACCCCTCTGACTTCAGCCCCTCTTCCACACTGGGCAGAAGACATCTGCTGCTTTTCTTAAAACCCAGTGATCAACAAAACTGCTGGATAAGAGTACAAGGGCAGAACCAACTTCTGGAGTAGGACAGATACTCTAAATTTAAATAGAAAATGTGTAATAGGGAATAAACAAACACGTCATTGTAACATGCTGAAATGAGCCTCTTACTAACTGTCAGCAGTGACACCGCGGTATTTTTCACAGGCAAAGGCGGTGTTGAACTCAAATGTCAGGGCCTGGAAAGGGGGCTGTTCTGAGGGAAGGATGCATTTTGATTCTGGACAGTATACGTTTTCCTTTGAATCACTGAGTCATTGGGTGTCTACAGGATCCTGGGGGTCAGCTCTTCTCAAAAGACTCAGGGATAAAGCTGATTTTCCCAAAGCAGCGGAGTGTGGGAAAGCGTGCTAACGTTGGCCAATGCGTGGAGGGCTGTGGCATCATCACGCAGCTCCTACTGTATACACAGAATCATCTGCTGAAATAAACACCAAGTGTGCTGCTCTCAAGCGTTTCAATGACCTCTGCTACATTAATTTCCTGATATTACGAAGTTTCAAAATTCAAAAAAACAAAAACAGGCCAGGGGCAGTGGCTCATGCCTCTAATCCCAGCATTTTAGGAGGCCAGGAATTCGACATCAGCCTGAGCAACATAGTGAGACCCCTTCTATACAAACAGTTAAAAAAAAAAACCCAAAACCAAGGAAAAAGAAAATAGACTAGAAAATCAAGAGCCTTTTAAAAGCTTTTACGATAATACAGACTGAGCATAAATGAGAAGATTGCCATTCACAAGGGTGAATGCTGTCGGTACCTTACTGACCGGTGTCTCATAATTAAGGATTAGTTGATTCCTGTGTTTGTTAACTTGTTACTGTGACCTTTCTCAGTGTCAAGCAGGATGCTAAGCCCTGGGGATAAAAGATGACATTGCAGACCCTGCCTCATGAAGTTTGGGGCCCAAGAGCAGCAAAAGATGTACAAGAATGAATACAGTAAGAGACAGAATAAGGTGAGTACTCATTACAGGGACAGTTTAATGTTTAATTTAGAAAGAAAAATCTCCGGCTGGGCGCAGTGGCTCATGCCTGTAATCCCAGCACTTTGGGAGGCCGAGGCGGGCAGATCACTTGAGGTCAGGAGTTCGAGACCAGCCTGGCCGATATAGTGAAACCCCATCTCTACTAAAAACACAAAAATCAGCCGGGTGTGGTGGCGGGTGCTTGTAATCCCAGCTACTTGGTAGGCTGAGGCAGAAGAATCATTTGAACCTGGGAAGCAGAGGTTGCAGTGAGCCGAGATCATGCGCCTGCACTCCAGCCTGGGCGACGGAGTGAGACTTTGTCTCAAAAAAGAAAAAAAAGAGAAAAATCTCCCTTTATATTTTTTTCTATGTGTCTTTCAGTGAAAACTCCTTTAGCCAAGATGTTGGATCAATTGATTGAATCATCATAAGGATGGTGTACATGAGACCCTTCCTAAGCCACAAACTCAAATACTATGGTTTTTAATGGGCAAAAAATCACTGTTTCAGGCATGGTGGCAAGCGCCCCAATCTGGAGGCCTAAGGGCCAATATTTGTTCCTACTCTCTGGGAACAGTGTGGTTCAGAGCACAGGGCCCTGGAGAGCATGCCCTGAAGGCTGGGCTGTAGCCGGTTCTATTACTGGATACTTGGACAAGTCACTTGTCCGGTGTGAATCATTTCCTTTTCTGAAAAATTATGGGTTTTGACTAGTTCATCTCCAAGTTCCTGTCTGACAAAGGGTTCTGAATCTCTATTTCTAGAAGGTGAAAATTTACCCTGAGAAACTTCAAGTCACAGATGGTTTTTAGATAGAGGATTAGAATAATAAATAAAGCCTCTACCTGGGAAATGTAAGCATTTTCCCAGATTATAAGTCATTATCATTTCAAAATAAACTTGCAGAATATTTTTTTTAGAAGTATAAATTATTGCCTGTGAACTGAAAGAGAGGTGAATGTCCTTAAGCCCAATCCGGTAAAGCTCTCCATCAGATTCAACTCTAGCAGCGGAAAGATGTTAAACAGTATGAAAGAAGACAGAGGAGGTGAGTTTCTGGACCGCAGAGCCAGCGGCAGCCAGGCGTTGTCAGCTTTATATGCAGATGAGGTCCAAGTCACAGGGCCTCACAGCAGAGTTAATTCAACCTTGGATTTCCAGCCATTTAACACAGTCTCCAAATGCTGAGGTCTTTTCCTGGAAAAGAAACCTGCTCTGTTCTGCCTAAAATGCTCTTAAATGGTTTCAAAGTTGCTCAGTGTTTTGCTAATGTTTTAGGGAACTATGGAAAAGCTTGGGCACCACAGAGAGAAATCATGCTAACAGGGGAGCATGGCTGCCTGGGGAACCGGCCCCGCTCAAACAGGCATTGCTATCAGCAATTCTTCTGCAGTGAGGCAGTGCTGGAATAGGTTCCCAACGCCCCCGTGTTCCACAGGGACAGGCTGGCAAAAGGGGCTGTGTTGGTGGTGACAAGGGCAGCTGAGGACACGAGGTCATGACTCGGCAGTGTCAGAGGTCTTCTGTGATGGGCACTGCCCTTGTGACAATCTAATTAGGTGTTGGATCAACGGATCAAATACTAAGCTGCAGGCTTTCAAAATGTCCATTAAAGGTTTAAAATGTACGCAGGCCTTGAGTTTAATGGCCCACTAACAGAGCTCATCAAGCTCCACGGTTCTTGTGATGACGGTAAGAAGGACCCAGCCCCTGTGCTCCCGTTATTGGCATACTCCAACACCTTCACGGCCTCCGGTCCTCTTTATTAGTTATTGACAATGACAACTGCACACATCTCGACATTTCTGCAAATATTTCTATTGTATATGCGAAAGTAAGTTTCTACCGGATTTAATAGGACATGTGTTGTGACAACAATAAACAAGGAAAACAGAACCGAGTTCAAAAGACTCTTATTTCTTCTTATCGTCTTTTTCATCTCCATCTTTATAACCCAAAGGGCACAGTCTCCAACGGAAGGCTGTTTATAAACGGTAAGTTTTTTGCCACTGTTGATAAACGCTCTAAAAAAACCTTAAATTATATACCACGTCCTTTGGACTATAAAGCATGTACCTATTTTATCCATGTTTTTTGAACATTATCAGTGTTCGCACACATCCGAATTACACACATGGGCTTCATAACGAAGGATGCGTGTTGTTTATTTAAGGTTGCGCATAGAAATACAGACAGGCTTTGCTGCTGACACAGTGTCACACACGCTTGCTCACAGCTGTATCCTCAGCAGACAGATGGGCCTGGGATCCCGCAGGGGCTCAATGCCTATGGGCACGTGATGGCCACGTAAGTAAGCTATGTCAGCACAAACATAACTGGAAAGGAAATTTTACTGGGGAACACTGAAGTAACGCGGATTAAATTTGGAAAAGAGACAGGGGTGGTTGTAAAGTTGACTTTCGATGTTTAAAAAGTGGGCTAGAAATTTTTCAGCAAGACAAGTGTACTATTCCAATTAAAGGCAACCTCTTCCTTTCTGCAGCATTTGAGAAGTCCCAAGAAATGCCTGAAGTGGGTCCTTTATTCCTAGACTCAAGGGCCTCCTTGAATAACAATCGTTCACATTTGAAGAAGAAAGTGTATTGAAGAGATTGCTAATTAATCCAGCATCACATTACATTGTGGAAAATAAGATTTCCCCCTTTAAAATAGCAACTTGCCCCTTTACAAAAACCAAACAGAGAGAAGAGGCAGAGAGAGCCTCTGTCCTTACCGTGAGTGACAGAGCCATGCAGACGAAGGTGAACTTCTTGATGTGGGCTGCCGTGACTGTGTTGCTCGTGCTCACCAGTTTGTTGCTGGGGTTATTCTGGGGAAAGAAAACCACAGTCATGAATGGGCCCGGCTTATCCTTGGCTGAACCCACCGGGGGATCTTGAAGAGCATCTTGCTTTTGTTTTATCTGATGTGTCTGAATTAGAGGTTTCAAGTGACAGTTTGCCAGGCGGCTGTCATGTTGAGTGTCTCTCGGGCAGCTGTCAGGTCCCTGTACAGGATCATTAACCTGAGTGAATTCTCGACTCAATGCCCTGCAGCTCTTCCAACTCAGTCACCTCCCCTCTGCCTGGGCAGCCCATCTTGCCCAGTCCTGGGGCTTTGGCTCTGAAGCCTGCTCCTGCCCCATGCACCCCGCTCCTGGTCCCAGCAGACCCTGTGCCTGGCCACCATCGGCATCTCCCTAAATGCCATGGCCCTGCTCAGTGTCCTCCAGGGCTCCTCTCCTCTCTACCAAATGGACTATAAATTCCACTGGGCATTCAAGGCCTTGTGCAATCTGACACAGACTCACTTTCCAGCCATGACTTCTCCACTTCTAGCCCAGATGGGACTTCCTGCTCTTCCCCTGACACACCTGGTGCTTTTGTTCCTCCTGCCATTGAATCCTGATTTTCAAAAACATCCCTCTTTCTAAGGCCCATCATCTTCACTGCTCATCTGTTCCCTAAAGCCTCTCTGACCTTTGACCTCCAAGCTGGGCCCCACCTCCTGTAAAGCCTGATGACCCTGGAGCTCTCTGAGGGCAGGCATCATGTCCTGTCATGCGTCCAACCCCGGTGAGGCTGTGCTTGCTGAGATAACGCCCTGCGTGTCTCCCCTTGAATCACTCAGCACAACATCTGCGTAGAAAAGATGCCCCAAGAACACCTGCTGCACTGCATTTCAAGCAGGACTGCAGGGGGCTCAGATGTCACCCAGCTTGACAGTCAAAGGCGCCTGCCGAGGCTCTCCAGCTGCACTGCTAAGCGTGCTCCTCACCCCTGCAAAACGAGGGCCTGGCCCCCAGACCACGAAAACTGGCAGAGAAAAATAACCCTGACCTCATTATGGACCCAATTAGTCCCAGAGTCGACTCACAAAAACAAACCCTGAACACCTGGCTCCGCATCCAGCCGCGTGAAACACACACCCACAGCTACTACAGGATCCACCTGGAAAAGAGCTTGTGCTTTTCCTTTACTGGGAGGCTAAGGTCATTTCTCAAATCCCTTCCACCACCAGCACCAACCTCTGAATGAGTATACGTTTTCTTAATTCTAGTCTCTAAAACATATCTGTTTTCTAGACTGCTCTATGGCAAAGTACAAGTCCCAGTGGTTGGAGACCTCCGTCTCCATTCACCCTGGATCTGTTAGAGGACTGCATTCTGTAAGAGCACTGCCCTGCTGGGTACGATGAGGAGGCCTATGTTGGAAAGAATTAGGGAACCTCAGCAAAACACACATACTGCCATGGGGACAGCAACGTACCACAGCTCCTTCAGGGGCACTGTGATTTGCAAAATGGCACATATTCACATGAAGATCGTGAAAATAAACCAGCAGGTATTGTTAGATTAGCACTGGAGTTTCAGTTTGTTTGCCCAATTGGCTCAGAAGCATCCTTTTTTGCAGGTAACTGAACATTAGAGAGCATCTGCACTAGTGGAAACCTTTCTCAGCTCATGCTTAGCTAGAACTCCCGGAAGGTATGTGAGAAATTTTAAATCTCTGATTCTGGAGCCCACAAAGAAGCTCAGGATTTCAACTGTCAATGCAGCAAATTCTGGAAGTCCATATGGAGGTGCCTAAGATTTTGGTGAATAGACGGCATTCATATAAATGGCTGGTGTAGCTCGCTGGAATGCTTGGAAACAATGGGCGAGGTTTTAAAAGGATTTGGAGTAACTCGAAGTTCTGGTGAGAGGTATGCTCGTTAAAGGAATTTTTTTATAGCTCCTAGCCTCTGTGATCAAGAATAAAACAATGTTTTTCTTGGATGCTCTTACTGAAACCATACAGTGTTGTATTGTTAAATTTTATGATTTCAAGGTGGCCAAAAATAATCTCAGATGAGACCTAAGCAGCCAGGAGGTTCTAACACTTCAGCACTTGCCCTTCTCATCAGTTTCATCAGATGATCACCTTATTAATCAGGAGCTAGAACTGAAATTTAGCAAGAAGACATACATTCATGCTGGTTTTCTAGGATTTACTTCTATACACACGTGCCTTGAAATGAAAACAATGATTTCTATCTATAGACTGAATTAAACCCACTCAAACACAGTGTCTGCTCTCTCCAGCAAGTGACTCATGCCTTCTGAGTCCACTCTCAAAGGCCTGTGAAGCAGGAACCAAAAGCATTTCTTAGGAGATGCTCTGCATCCTGATGCTGCAACTGAATATTCCCAGTAGGTGGTGAGTCCTAACTCACAGTCCAGTAGGTGGTGGGTCCTAACTAATGGTCCACTGAGGAAGTTCCACACTCAGTACAGGGTTCTGGGTCTATCGCCCATTAGCTTAGGCAGGGGAATCCCTCACTGGTTTTCAGGTGGTTTACCCTTTCCCACGTGACCATGGGTAAGGGAAATAGAGGAGACAGGTGATAGAGACAGGGAAGAGTGGCCTGGGGGCTGGCAGTGGAAGAATACCCTGATGGGGAAGTGGGAGCAGGCTGTGTGTGGAGGTGGACGTGTGTGTGTTTGCACAAGCATGCATTCACAGAGAAACTGCTCGGGAACTGCAGGAGCAGAGGAGGAGGAGGGCAGATGTGGGTGATCACTCCAGGCTTGATCCTCCGTCTCCACCTCACACTTTCAGAGATGCCTGGGGGGATGCCCTTGGGCCAGGCTGTAAGGTGTGGTGGGGGAGAGGGGGTCCCCAGGTCCCTGCTCCGCAGGCCTCGCCCCTCTCAGAACCCACAAACGGTCTCAGGGGGGCATTTTGGAAGCTGGTGGCCACGTGAAGGAAGGAGAGAGGCCTGCAGCCTGTGGCCTAGCCTTGTTGTGTGGCTTCCCAGGGCTTCCCGTGCCCAGGAGAGGTCAGGCCGGCGGTGGGGGAAAGAGGGAGGGGCCAGCATTACCCAGGGTCCAAGGCCAAGCTGCCCATTCTGCCAGAGCTGAGCGCTGTGGACACCCCTGGCCAGGAGGCTTCCTCTCCTCACTTCACAGGCTCTGGCTGGGATAAGACAGTGTGATGCTGGCAGTGGCTGCTAGTTCTGCAGACATTCAAGGCACAACAGGTGCCCTTCACGGTAAGAAGTAGCAGTCTGTTTGCTTCCTTCCTGTGTATCATTTTAAAACACTGTAGACTATTTTTGGAGTATGTTTCACCAGCCATTTGTTTTAGAGTATTAAAAAAAGTCTATAGGTTTAAATGATAACGCTATAAAATAGACTTTAATTGAATGACAGCAGGACAGTGCTGACTGGGTCACAAGTTACAGGGCAGAAGGGTTATGTGACTCCCATGGCTGGGGAGACAGAGCAGCTGTCAACAGGCTTTCCACTGGAATACGTCTGCAATATCAAAACACTGGACCCAGGTCTTGCCTGTGGCCAACCTGAGCATGTAGGTAGGCCAGCCCACAGAAAGACAGCCACGCACGGCTTCCTGCCTACACCTTAGCCATCTGGTATGGGGTCAGCAAAGCATTCGTTTAAAGAAACAAACCACAGAAATAAAATCCCATAAATTGATTTTGGGGGAAGTTTATTTTCCCTTTCGCAAACAAATCATTTCTCAATGGGAATAACCTGAAAGTAACCACAGGCTGATCACTTTGGAAAAGCATCCTGGGATCAGCGTCAAAGGTAAGCTTCAACTTGCCCCTGTTATTTTCTGAGGAAAATATTCCTTCAATGCCCCCAACGTCACATTAACCTTACAAAGGGAAGCAGGACTGAGAAGCAACAAAGTGTCCCTCATCAGAGAGCCCTGTCTATCAAGAAGTCATTTCAAAAGCATGTTTCAGACACGACACCGCACGGGTTCTCACCTTGTCGAAAGCAGGATACACAGCACGGATTTCCGTCAACCAGCCGTATGGCATGTGACCCACAGGGTATGTGGCTGTCAAAATCGCCACTGCCTGCAACAGGAAGAGGTGGCAGAGTTAGCAGGGTACCAGCAGGAAGTCCTCCAGGAGCTACAGTAGGTGACGAAGCACGCCGACTCAGGTGCAGCCACTGAGGACAGAGCCCGCTACACTGGGTGACAAACATCAGGCAAGCACAGGACGGCCCAGGACGGGGGGAACTGACAGCAAATTGGGCTCCTAGGGGCAGGTACTCTGCCTCATCCCTGGGAGTGCAATGAGCCAGCCAACAAAGTGGACGTGAAACGAGGGGGATGCGTCACATTTTACGCAGATCCAATGAGAAACAGGTGCAGACCACTGGCTGGGAAGCCAAGATTCCTTTTTTTTTTTTTTCCTTCTCTCTTTCTTTTAATTTTTGAGGGAGACCAGAGTTTATTATTACTCATATCAGTCTCCCCGAGCATTGGGGTCAGAGATGAAATTATAGGAAGTCGGAGCTGTCTTCTTGTGCTCAGTCAGTTCCTGGGTAGGGGCCACAACAAGATCAGGTGAGCCAGTTTAATGATCTGCGTGGGGCCAGCTGATCCATCAAGTGCAGGATCTGCAAAATAAGCACTGAACTTTGGAGCAGTTTAGGGAGGATCAGAATGTTGTAGCCCCCAGCTGCATGATTCCTAAAACATAATTTCTAATCTTGTGGCTAATGTTAGTCCTACAAAGGCAATCTAGTCCCCAGGCAAGAAGGAGGTCTGCTTTGGGAAAGTGCTGTTACCATCTTTGTTTAAACTATAAACTGTAAGTTTCTCCCAAAGTCAGTTCAGCCTACACCCAGGAATGAACAAGGACAGCTTGGAGGTTGGAAGCAAGATGGAGTCAGTTAAGTTAGATCTCTTTCACTGTCTCAGTCATATTTTTGCAAAGACGGTTTCAATCCCTCCCTTTGGGTTTTATTACACCTTAATCAAGTGTAGGCTATGAAGATGGGAAAAGACCATCCATTGCTCTGAGAAGCCAAGATTTCAACCCAGGTCCACCTGACTCCAGAATCCTTGCTCATTCCATTGAGCCACACAGAACCCTCTAGTCTAGCTCTATTTATTTTGGATTCTCAAAATGCAACTGCGAGCCCTCCCTGCTCTCTGGAGGGTCTCTTCCTTGGGACCCACCTCTAAGCCTCCACTCCGTCCTTCAGGGATGCTGACATTTTGCGTGGTTGTTGATGGCTCCGTGCTACTCTCCTTACAACCCAACTCACTCCCAGTCTGTATGGGATTTCTGACCATAATTTGGTCAGTATGGCCCAATTTAGATTTTTAATTTAAGAAAATTAAATACATATTTTGTGCAGAAAGCTATCAATGTGTTTCCATGAAAACATGAGTTTCTGACCAGCCATGGTAGCTTAAGCCTATAATCCCAGCACTTTGGGAGGCCAAGGTTGGAGAATTGCTTGAGCCTGGGAGTTCGAGACCAGCCTGGACAACAAAGCGAGACACCGTCTCTACAAAAGAAATTCAAATATTAGTTGGGCATGGTGGCTTAGGAGGCTGAGGCAGGAGGATCGCTTGAGCCCAGGAGATTGAGGCTGCAGTGAGCTGTGATCGTGCCACCACTGCTCTCCTACCTGGGTGACAAAGCAAGACCCCACCTCTTAAAGAAGAAAAAATAAAATGACAGTTTCTTCCCTATGTGAATGAAAAGGAAGAAAAGCGAAAACAAAGCATCTAAACCTACATCCTGGCAGTGTTCAACCCTCTGCCTAGCCTGCGAAGGAGGAGAACGAGCTTCATCTGTTTTAATTAACAAAACGGCAATGTCCAGAGGTTCCAGGAACATGAGGCAAATCCCCAGCAATGTGAAGAAAGTGTGGTGTGGCGTGCTGTGCTAGAACAAAAAGGAGCATTGGGATCGGGCGGACCTGGATCCAAACCTTCACCTCATCGCTCCCCAGCTGTGCGAAGCACCACCTCTCCCACGGCTCCCCTTCTTGCTGCTCTGGTGGAATAGTAAGAACAATAATATCCATCCCATAGGGTTACTGGGGAGTCAAGGAAATGTACATAAATGCCTGGCACATGAGCAGATGACCAATAAATGCCAGTGCTGTACCCCACGTGCTGTTCCTATATGCCATCGAGAGCAATTTTCAAATGGCTCTAATGTATAATTTGTCCTTTTTCTTTTTTTTTAAAGGGGTGGATGGAATTCTAGCACACAGGTGGTGGGGGTCCCATACTTTTTGTGAGAAACTTGAACTGAAGTATTCAAGAACAAAACCTGTGTGTTACAGTAGCCACCCAAGATGATGTTTATGATTCAAAAAACAAAATCCAGGAACACATGAAGCAAGAGAAAGCGTTCTGCTTTTGATTTATGTGCTTCTTTTTCCAGGAGAACATGAGCAGCTTCCCAGGACATGGAAACTGGCAGGCACTCTGGCTGGAGACATGCTGACAGCGCAGTAAGGGCTCCGGGCCGCTCCCCTCAAGGCAGTGCCTGGACAGGGGGCCCTCGTGGGCAGCCATGAGCCTTCCTTGGGACCAGCAGTTCCAGAGATGGAATTAATTCTCCAGAGGGCAGTGGAGGAGGAAGCCAATGAAGTAATTCTATTTGTTCAAACCCAACTTGAAAGAGGGAAAAATGAGTCAACTCTTTCTTTGGAGTGGCTGCCAGTTTCCAGATAAAGTTTGTTCAATCAAGGAGCTCCCCATCTGAGGTGGGCATGCCAGGCACGGGTGTGGTGGTGACGGGTCAGGTGGCACATGCAGGATGGTGAAGGGCAGGTGAGGGCAGGCCGGGTCAACACGGAGGCAGCGCCCCTGCAGCCACTGGGTGTGTCCCACTCTGCTGCCATGTGGCATGCATGCTCCATCATCCTCTGCCACCACGGTGAAGAGGCCAGTGCTGATTCCGTGGACATGGAAAACTGAGTGGGAGTCAGAAAACCTGGATTCTAACACTAGCCCAGCTTCCAGCTAGTTCTGTGTCTTTAACCTTTTCTTTCTGTGCCTCAGTTCCTCATATGATAAACAAGAAGGATGTACGACATGCATGACAGGTTTTCTCCCATAATCATAAAAATATACAATTACATGACTATAAGTCACCGAACGAGATCTTTATGGCTTCCTAGTGTGACTGTCATGTAATTTAATATTGGGGAATTACTTGAGCTCTCGAGAAGAACTGGAAATCAGTTTCAGCACCCCCCTGCCCCACCAAGGTGATCATAAGCCCCACATCCCCAAAGCATGGCCCACCTCTGTGGCTGCAGAACTGCCACCAAGGTCCCGGGAAACAAAGAGGTTGACAATAGGCCGACTGATTCTCTGTGTGGCCAGAATTAGAGCCAAAGGCCACCAGAAGCTCAGCATCTTTCTTATTGTTGCATCTCCCTGTGTTAAGAAACGAAGATAAAAGTTACCTGAACTCTAGAAGCAGAATGGAAAAAACGATTCAGAATCAAAGCTTTTCCTTCGTATGTTAATCACAAGCCAATTCACTATACTTGAAAGTAATATAAGGAAAAGTGTCTGTAGACAAGCCAAGTTGAATTAAAATAAAATGTTCAGTCCTAATAGAAATTAACCGAGACAGCTGGCAAGCTGCTGTGAAATTAAAACACACACTGAAGTTTAATGGATCCCAACCACTCTTTTCCATACTGAGACTCGGGGAATCTCTAACCAAGGTAGAACCCACATCTCGAGCCTGAGAAACAGGTTTGAAATTAAGTCTTTGTTAATCTCATCAAATGGACTGGCTGGAAGCCACGTCAGGAAGAGGTAACTCTTAGAAATAAAAAAGTTATTTGGAATCAGTCAGCTCACAAAAATGTGCCTAATTATTCTGGCAGTGTAGAAACTGACTACAGAGGTTCTTATTCTCGGAGCTCTCACAGACATCATGTAAACTGTTCAAAAGCATAATCAAAATAAAGGCATGTAAAGAACAAGGGATTCCTAAGACTTCTGTGGCAAAGGTGTGGAATATCTTTAAAGCCTGGCTTTCATTATGCAATTTTGGTTTTGATTGTTCACAAGGGTGAGAGTTACATCATGGAACCATCTTGGTCACTTTATTTCCATTTGCTGGTGGCTAAATGTTAAGAGATGGATTGTTACTGTCAAGACCAATTTGTGGTTGGCCTAGTGATGGGATAACTAGATAGGATTTTACTGACAGTCTGACCTCAGATGGAGGTAAGTGGTCAAAACAATTACTGCTTGATACGACAAAGTAATGTGCGGCCCAAGTAGGGATCAGGGTGAGGTGAGGGGATGAATTCAGGGCTATAGATGCCTTACAGCTAAATGCAGAGAAACCTAATGATGTCTCATACCTATGGGTAGGGAAAATTAGCACACACAGAAATCAGATAATGTTTATACTTACAACAAACAGAATGCTTTGGTCATCTCTATAAGGTTCTCTATCTCATTCCTACTTGTTTCTTATTCAACTTTCAGGGCACAGCAAGATCTACCTCCTCCAAGGAGGCATCTTACACTACATCACTATGTTCCTTCTCCCAGTGTTCGTGGCTCCTATATCCTCATGCAGGTGATGTGCTGTCTCAGATGACTGTTTAATTGTTGCTTCTGTATTGTTCTGATCTGCCAGATGGGATATGATGCTGCTTGAGGGTAGCGACCATATCTTAAAATATTCTGTGTTGCCCTATGGTACCTAACGTTGTGCTTGGTCCCCAGGAGGCACCTGAATAAGGGACTGGGATTGGCCATTGAAGAAAGCATAAACAAAGCCTGGATCCCTGCTGTAAAATCAAACACAATGAAATATAAACTCAAAGGTATCGTGGGTCCTAAAACCTTTGCTGACTGCAGAATAACTTATAAGAGCAAGAAAAACCATGAATGTCGTATCTATTCCTTGGCCACAGATTCTCTGTGCCTCTGTCTCCTCCTATGGGATAAGGAGGCTGGACAGTGACATCTCAGATCACATCCATCTGTTAGAGTTCATTAATCCTCCAACTGTCTTTCCCTGCAGACATCTAGCACTTGGCCTCTGGGTATGACATCCTGGCCAACTTCATGTTTTGATGTCACTGATTTCTCATTTTACATAGAGGTGGAATACAGTTTTATTCTACTCTGAGTCTCAGACAGACTGCTGTTGGGTTGGTAGACGTACCCCCAGCTCCGGGCCACTTCTGTCAGGGATGATGTCGTGAATGTTCTTGTAGTAGCCCAGGCACAGGGTGGTGCAGCGCACAAGTGCGCCCATGTACAAGGAGAGGATCGGGATGAGCAGGGGCTCCCGGCATTCCAGGTGACTGTGAAGCAAAATGGCTACAAAAACAACCTGAGAGAAGGGAGAACGGGAACAGGTCAGAGGGGAGAAGCGGGAACCGACTGACAGAAGCACAGGGGCACGCTCTTGAACCTGAGACAGACCTCTGAGCAAAGATCTTGACTTTTATGCAAACAGAACCAAAAATTGGATGATGACCCAATGTCGCTCTCATGTAATTCATGTGCAGATGTTTGGGATTCACTGGAGGAACATGGATCATTTTGTTATACCCACCATGAAAATTCTTTTAAGCAACTACAAAAATCTTTCAAGGCATCTTTTTTAAGGTTATTACTTTAAAAAAATTTATGCAATATGTTTTCAGGAATCCCTTGGCAATGATTTACTGGAACATATAACTATTCAAATAATGACGGCACAGAGAAGCACTGCATGTGTGCACCAAACCGAGAGATTTTTTGTACCATTGTGTGAAACCCATTAACTTAGTAAAATTTGAAAAACAAAACAACAACAAAAAAACAAACAAAAAAACACCCCTCAAGAATTGCCACTGACATTGGAGGCATTATAAATAATTTCCATTTTACCATTGGTGCTTGGTGATTACTTGCTATTTATGCCAAGGTGGCATTTCAAAGTACTTTGCATGGAATCTATTTACTCATTACCAACTTAATGTAGCCTTTCCCTCTCGAGGCTGGACACTCAGATGTGTATGTAACACACATCTGAGGACTAGGCTACATTTAACAAAGAAAAAAACAGTAGTGATAAATAACATATACAGGAAAATAGACATTAATGTTTATAGGATAGAAGGCACTAAAAATGGGCTGGGTGCCATGGCTCACACCTGTGATCTCAGTGCTTTGGGAGGCTGAGGCTGGAGGACTGTTGGAGACCAGCAGTTCCAGACCAACCTGGGCAACTTAGTGAGACCCCATCTCTGTAAAAGATTTTTAAAAATGAGCCAGGTGTCGTGGTGCACACCCGTAGTCCTAGCTACTTTGGTAGCTGACGTGGGAGGTTCACTTGAGCTCAGGAGTTTGAGGTTACAGTGAGTTTTGATCGTGCCACTGCACTCCAGCCTGGGTGACAGTGAGACCCTATCTCAAAAAAAAGTCACTAAAAATGCTGCCAAAAAACACCAACAGTAATAATTATAAAACAACTTACATTAACATTTAAAATACTAACCTATAAAACTAGAATAGGTTGAAATAACCAGAGTGAGAGAATGAAATTACAATAATGTTTATATCTCTATTCAATGGTACAGTCTCTAAATCAAGCTTAACTGTATTAACCTCCCTGTACTGCAGAAATCAGAGAATCAGCCCAGCCTTTGTCTAGAGTCCTCCTGGGATCCACTCATTCCAAAGACCTCAGAAGCATACTGAGAACAAAAGCAGGACAATGCATATTCCTGAGCTACATCAACCTTAATGGCCAAATACCAATGGAAAAACAAGCTGAAACATGTAAAAACCAGGACTGCAGCGGGGAGAGGGCTGGTGGGAAAGAGTGTGTGACTGAGGAGCGGGTAGTCAACAGAGCAAAGATCAGGAAAGCTGCCTGCTGCGTTTAATGGCAGGAAAGTCATTAGTAAGAATCATCTGGGTGGACTGATGGGGGTGGAAGTCAGCCTCAAGTAGGTAGAGAATGAAAGAGAAGTGAAAAAGACAGTGAGTAGAAGCCACCCTCCCAAGAAGTTTGGCTATAAAGTGATAGAACTGTAGCTAAAGAGTTAGGTGAAATACACAGGAAGCTTCTCGTTGCTGTGTTAACATGGCAGACATGTGAGTGTGACAGGACAAGGGAAACGATGCACGAGAAAGCAGGGAACAGGTTCCTGAGGAAGCAGCATAGGCCAGGACCCAGAGGAGTGGCCCTGGATGGGAGGAGGGACACCTCCTCCCCTACAATGAGAAGAGAATTGGGAGGATGCAGGGTTGGAAAGTAAGTGTGTAGGTTTGTTGGCTGGAAGGTGACGAATTTGGTTGCTGCAGTTGACTCTGTGAGGTGGGAAATGAGGTCTTATGTTGGAAGGTGAGAGGTAGAGAAACTCTCTGAAATAGTTGCTACAGAGTTAGCAGAGGTGAAGGATGAGATTGTGCATTTACAGTTCGATTAGTTTATTCTGTTGTGTAACCTTTTGCAGAAGCACCGCGCAATTGGAGGAAGATGTGTAACATAAGGTTGGTTCAGAGGAATTTTCTCAGAAGGCTGAGATGAAAAGGCAGGAGATAAGGGAATTTACAGGAATGCGGGGGATGTACACATTATGATCTGACCAGCCTTGGGATGTCAGCTGACCTTGAAAGGCGAGGGCTGATGATAGCAGAGGAGTGACAGGATGGAAAGTCCAAAGACAGCAAACAACCTTGACAATTCTCACCTTGATATCAAGCAAGCTAAGAAGGTCCAGATGACCAGGGAACAAAACAAAAACAGCAATATGTTTCCACGAATCCCTTGGCAATGATTGACTGGAACATATCACTGTTAAAATAATGACGGCAAAGAAAAGCACTGCATGGTTGCAACAAACCAAGAGGTTTTTGTATTATTGTGTGAAGCCCATTAACTTAGTAAAATCTGAAAACAAAACAAAACAAAACAAAAAACCCCCCTCGAGAATTGCCATTGAAATTTGAGGCATTATAAATGATTTCCATTTTATCATTGGTGATTGGTGATTATGTGCTATTTATGCCAAGGTGATATTTCAAAGTACTTTGCATGGAATCCATTTGCTCACTACCAACTTAGGTATGTTTTCATACCTAACAAACGTTTTCAGGTAATGAGAGGAAGCCTGAGGGTAAAAGACTTAAAAAGAGAATTTATTCCCCCAGCCAAATTGTGGCAGGAACTCAAGCAACAAGGTTTAAAATAACTACTCCACCAGGCACAGCCTGAAGCCAGATGGCATCTGAACTCGGCTTCCACGCTCCCACTAACCAGATCTGTTTATTCTAAACTTGCAGGCCTTCCCTCAACAGGCAAGGGCCAGGATCAGGTTTAAAATAGAGAAGGAAAATGGCTGTAGGTGTATTGGCAAAGTCTTTTTCAGAGATAGGCTTTTCTTCTTCTGTCCTTGGATGGGTACTATGTTTATTTTAGGCAAAGTTAAGAGTTTTTTTTTTTTTTTTGCCTTTAAAAAAACACACATCTACAAATGTGTGCTCACAAATGCTCACCGACTTGCTGATGCCAGTGTTTGAAATTAGAGAGGCTTACTGAATTTCAAATGAAGTGATTAGAGTGAATAAGGCAGTTTAGTTCATCTCCCATAGGATACAGAAAGTAAGACTGGGACAAAATTCTCTACTAACTCTTAAGAAAATTAACAAAGACATACCAAAGAATGGTGGTTGCTAGTATTGCTAGTATTTACACACACACACACAGTTAGTAGAAATCCATTTAAATTACTTATAATAGTGATCCACGGAGTAAACACGATTAATCTGGAAATTATTGGTCTTCAGGGAAGTACTAACAGTTCAACAGTCGATTATTTCAAGAAGGTGGCTAAGAGAGCAGGGTGTACAAGAAAGGAAAAATGTATGGAAATATTCATAGAATAGAAATGAGACTGGGCGTGGTGGCTCATGCCTGTAATCCCAGCACTTTGGGAGGCCGAGGTGGGCAGATCACCTGAGGTCAGGAGTTTGAGACCAACCTCGCCAATATGAAGAAGCCCCATCTCTACTAAAAATACAAAAATTAGCCAGGCATGGTGGCAGATGCCTATAATCCCAGCTACTCAGGAGGCTGAGGCAGGAGAATCACTTGAACCTGGGTAGTGGAGGTTGCAGTGAGCCGAGATTGTGCCATTCGACAAGAGCGAAACTCTGTCTCAAAAAAAAAAAAAAAAAGACATGAGAATTTGGAAAGGCATTTAGAGATATAGTCTAACCTCTTCCTCTATGAAGAAATCATTCTCCCAAATCCCTGACTGTAGGAACTTAGTCTAATTTATAAATCATAAGAATTCAATCTATTTTTCCACTAAAATTGTTCATGCGCTATCCTTGGTAGAAGAAGAAAGGACAGAAAGCCAGGGCTGAGTGCCAGGGCTCAGAGAATTGGACCCAACAGAAAGTGGGATGTAGGCCTTCTTCTCAGACCGCGTGGAAAGGTAGCTGAATCCACTTCCTGGTTCCTTCTAAATGTGGGGAAGTGACCTGTGAATGGCAGCCCTGCATGGTAACAACAGAGGATTATAAGAACATTGAAGAATAATTCCTAAGAGCCTTCCCTCTAGGACAGAGTGACAGACTTCATAGTGATAGGCCACGCAGAGGGCACCCAGGCAAGTAAACAGTGACCCTAAGACATGCCGAAAGGTACTAGGTATGACTTTATGCTCATCTCATGTGCATGCTCTTTAAAAATAAAGGTCAAAACCCCTTTATTTAAATTTAAATTCTTACAACCCATATTCTAGCAAGATTATACATACTGTTATTACAGGGCATTCCCTTTTCTCATTCATTTAGCAAATATTTATTGAGGTCTCTATGTGATGTAACGGTGCTGGCAAAACCAGGTCGAATGCAGAGTGTACTGCACAGTGAATGAATATAAATCACACATCAGTTACACACGCCAGAAGGGGACTCTGAGGAGCTCTGATTGACACACAGACCATATTTACCTGAGCTATGACATCTGAGATTGAGGCACATCCCACCAGGAAACTGTATTTGTGTTTTAAGAGAATGCCAGCATGGGTCCATGCCTGCCAGAAAGAAAAGAATTTGGCATGAGATACACCTTCAGGATTATGCTGTTTCTGGTTGTTGAGATTTACTGGGCATTCCTGAAATACACTTTATACCCCCTCAAAGCCTTAGCAGCCCAGGTCTGATAAATCTTTGGTTGGTAAAATTACTGTAACTTGATCTGGTGGCTGGCTCCATGTTAGAGTTTACAGTGGAGTGAAGGACTGCACGCAGGTATTTATTTAGTACCAATTGTATGTAGACTAGTGCGCTATTAGGTTTGTATGCCTGGCAGGAAAGCTGAAGGAATACCAAGAATGGAAGAAACACAATCTCTGTCTCTCAAGCGTCTCAGTCCCAAAGTAGCATCCTTCCCACGTGATGCAGATCATAATGAGGGCTCTCATTTGGGTCTGAGTTATTACAGTCATTACCGGTGCTCACTGACTGATTAGGGCCTACTGTTTTCTTGCCTTCAAGTTTGGGCAGGATCTGACCTGACACTTTGGGAGATGAGGAGGAAGATGCTACGAGGGGAGCAGACGAAAAGCCCGAGGAACAGCAGGTCTGGAGAAGGTTTCAAGTTCATGACGGGCTCTGTTTAAGGATCATCCTTCTTACCTTCAAGGTTGATTTGGACTGACACAGAAATGACACTTCATCTGAGCTACGCACAATGAGGCAAGCAGGGTCTATTCCCCAGGTCCATGTCAAGATTTTGTACAGCAACAGCTAATTCCCTGCCCATCTGCAAACACAGCTGTGGGCTGGCTTTGTTGTCTGAAAGCCACCATACAATAAGCTTGCTGGCTTTAAATATTCTCTCTCCAACCAATATATCAGCGCCAAGCTGCCAGGGGTGAGGGGGTGGGGAGGGAGGAGTTGATCTGGTCCTTATAAATGTTCATTATTTTCATTTTTATAAGCCATCTCTTGCTGTTATACCAGGGTCTCTGGGGGAACTTACAGAAGAAACATGGAAGAAAAGAGTACCAATTACAAATGTTCTGGTGTTCTATTTGATTTCAGAAACTCTCTTATGGCAAATAAATATAGCTAAAGGGACATGGAATACCAGGTCCTTAAGAATCTGCAATTCACTTTTACTAACAGTCCTGAGTTCCTGGAATTCACCGTATAACTGTAATTCTTCTATGTGTGTAGATTCCCACTTCAACACAGATGGGAGGACAGACCTCAGAGGAATGACACGGACCTGTCCAGGAAGCTGGGCTTTGACTCTTTAGGGATGTCAGAAAGGCCACCTCCTTCAGTTCTCTAACTGGGCTACCACCATGGGCTAGCTCAGGCACCGCAGGGAAGCCAGTTATGCACTTACATCATGCATCTAACTGCATATAAACTTGAGGTGGGGGTGGTAAAAAAAACTATACAGACTAACATATTTTTAAGTCTCCTTCCAAGAATAATTCGAAATGGAGCCAAAGGAAAGGGTTTACTTTCCAGCATTGGACCTTATTGGAACATATATATATATATATATTTTTTTTTTTTTTTTTTTGCTAAGTCTTTTTTATATTTATAAGACAGCAGAAGAGAATGAAAAGCACTGTTTAAGCACTCCTCAGAATCATGACAAAGAATTTATGGAAGTGGGCAGCCCTGAGCTAATGGGGTGAAGTTGGTTATTAAAATAATGAAACCCTACCAGTATGTTCAACAGATTCTTACTCTAAAACTCTGGGTGTCTGTGCCACACAAGTGGTAAGTTTATCAGAAAGTGATTCTGATCCTTTGATCCTGAGTATATCAGAAAAGAACTGTTTATCTGCATCAAAATTTTCAAATGGGCTTTCCTGCCACCTACCAGAACTTGTGGCAAAATTAAATAAATTGACAAGATGGACTGGTTAAAAGTCAACAGACAATTGGAACCTGAGTACTCTGATGGTGGTATAGCTGCTACGAAGATCAGTCTGCTAATTCCTCAAAAAATCAAAAATCAAATTTCTGTATGATCCAGCAATTCCACTTCTGGGTATATACCCCAAAGAACCAAAAACAAGGACTCAGATATTTGCACACTCACGTTCATAGCAGCGTTAGTCACAAGAACCCAAAGGTGGAAGCAACGCAAGTGTCCATCAGCTGACGAACGGATACACAAGATGTGGCCTAGACATTCACTGGAAAGTGACTCAGCCTTAAAAAGGAAGGAAATTCTGACACCTGCTACTACATTGTTAAACTCTGAAGACACGCTCAGTGAAATACGCCAATTACAAAAGTACAAACGCTGTATGATTCCACTCTTTTGAGGTATCTCAAGTAGTCCAATTTGTAGAGTTACAAAGTAGAATGGAGGTTGCCCAGAGCTGGGGAGGGGGCCGAGGAGGGTTACTGTTGAATTAGGATAGAATCTCAGTTTTGCAAGATGAAGAGTTCTGAAGATTGGTTACACAATAATGTGAATGTACTTCCTGCCATTAAGCTGTACACACAAAAATAGCTAAAATGGTAGATTTTATATTATGTATATTTTACCACCAGTTAAAGAAAAAGAAAGAAAGCCAACGATCTTCTCTACTCACCATTGCGTCCATGAAAGGAAAGGCGGCGAGGTACAGGAAGGCCCTTCTCGTCTTGCTCCCCACCGACTCGTCCACATGGTGCAGTTTATTGATAATGTAGTATCCTAAATCACTATAAGCTGCAAAGTGTCGAAAGGCATATGTGGAAATATTTAGAAAAGGATATCTTTATATTCTTTTTGTTTCAAAAGCTTAAAAACAATTTTAAATGTAGTATTTGTTCGTCATAGAAAAATTAGATAAGCAAATAGAAAAAAATCATCTACAATCTCATCCCTCTACCCAGAGTGGGTCACAGCCAATGAATGCTCTGGGTTCTAATCACCAAGTTCTTTTATTGTTCTGTGTTTTAACGTAAAAACGAGATTGTATTCCACATACTCTTTTGTAAACCATGAACATCTTTCCATGATATACTTCTACATTTTATTTCTTTGAATTCCCTTCAATGAACTGAATTTCTTTTTGAGAGTTTGCTTGGTATCAGCTTGCCCAGTCTCCTATTGCTACACAGTGAGGTGGTTTCCATCATTTTGATACTAGAAAAGAATGCTTGGTGGCTAGGTTTGAAGCTAAATGTTTACACATATTCTTAACTATGTACTAAGAGAAAATTTCTAGATGTTAATATGCCTTTCCATAAAACTTTAAAGCTAGCTTTTTCACACTTGCCAGTTCTTTTATTTCACTTTTTGGGAAGAGGGTGGCAACTTAGGGTATAGTCCTGCACCGCTGGAAAATGACATTGCGGAGGTGCTTTTGTAGTCCTTCCAATATCAGAATTTGTTACCAGTGACTGGAACATAGGCACTCAGCCAGTACGGGCTGAATGAATGCATATGTGTCAAATAGGAATAGGGAAGAAGGAGAAAGGTCTCCTAATGTATTAGTCAGGAATCCTGACAGATATTATTAGCAAAGGTTAAATAAAATATTGAGCTATTTTTTCACCTCATTGATAGAAGTTTAGATTATATATAAAAATAACAGGCCAGGCATGATGGCTCATGCCTGTAATCCCAGTACTTCAGGAGGCTGAGGCAGAAAGATTGCTTAGCCTAAGAGTTTGAGACTAGCCTGGGCAACATAGTGAGACTCTGTTTCTAGCAAAAAAAAAAAATTTAAAAATTAGCCCGGCATGGTGGTACATGCCTGTAGTCCCAGCTACTTGGGAGGTGGAGGCAGGAGGATTGCTTGAGCCCAGGAGTTCAAGGGTACAGTGAGCTATGATCGTGCCACTGTACGTCACCCTGGGTGACAGAGTGAGACCCTGTCTTTATAAGAAAGAAAAGAAAAAAGAAGAGGAGAGGGGAGGGGAGGGGAGGGAAGGGGAGGGAAAAAAAGGAAAGGAAAGGGAAGGGAAGGGAAGGAAAGGGAAGGAAAGAGAAGGAAAGGAAAAGAAAGACAAGAAAATAATAATCTTCAGGTTTTTCACAGTGTCTTACGAGTGTTTTAACAGTAGGTGTGCCTACTATTTTCATTCTCTTACAACTATGGATATTAGAGGTGGGAGTAAGTGGTTTCAAGGTGTGGGAAGCTGGAATGACTACGATCTTCAGAGAGTGAGGTGGGGCAGGTCGGGGAGAGTGCAGGAGGAAAGCTCCTAGTCCTTCCAGGCAGGGTAGAGGTGAACAACCAGAAGGTCAGCTGCCAGGTAAGCAAAGGTGCCAGGTGTGGTAGTAGCTGGGCCATCAGAACCACTGAGGCACCAAGAAGAGAAATCCAAGAGAGGGCATGTCACGTGGCAGAAAGAAGAGAGACCTGGGAAGATGGGATTAGTTATAGCAAGGGACATGGATGGAAGGAGGCAGCTGTGATGTCCCTGTCGTTTGGATCAGAAGCTGTGCAGAGATGAAAAGGGGATTAGTAGAGGTTTGACCTGGGAAGGCAGGGAGGGAGAGCTCCTGCCTGATTTTGCAGCCAGGTGAGAATTGCATTTAGACATGAGCTAAGCTGGCTGAAACACAAAGCCAGAATGAAGATGTTACTTAATCATACAGATGATCTACTTTGGGTGCCGAACTGTGGAAATTTTGTTCAAAGTTTATTGTTGCTGCTGCTGTTTATTTGCACATGTGTTTTCATTCAGTCAACAAATGTTCACTGCGCAGGGATCTGCAAGGAGACCATCCTGACCTTGCCCACATTGCTGTCCCCACACCCACCTCTCAGCTGAGGCCACTGGCAATGGTAAAGGCAGCTGTGCCAGGCGAGTAGAGCAACGAACACAATGCCAAGTGCAAGAGCACAGGGCTGGCTAGGAATAGCTCATGAGCTAAAATCCCCTGGTGAAGGTTACGGTCACTATAAAACACCAGCTGAGGGGACTTGACTGCCATGGTTGAAGCTGGGGACTATGGAATTGGTGAAAGGGCAGTGTTGTAAGCTGAACTATGTCCCTTCAAAATTCAGATGTTGAAATCCTAACCCCTGGCATCTCAGGATGTGACCTTATCTAGCCATAAGGTCACTGCAGATATAACTGGTTAAGATGAGGTCATACTGGAGTAGAGTGGGCTCTCAATCCAATGACTGATGTTCTTATAAAACGGATATTCAGATACAGAGGCAGATGCACACAGGGAGAACTCAGTGTGAAGATGAACGCAGAAACCGGGGTGACTCCTCTACAAGCCCAGGAATGCCAAAGATTGCCAGCAAACACCCAGAAGCTAGGGGAGAGGCCTAGATGACAGTCTTCCTCATATCTCTCAGAAGGAACCGCCCCTGCAACACCTTGACCTCGGACTTCCAGCATCCATAACTGTGAAATGCTCAATTTCTGTTGCTTAAACCACCTGGTTTGTGATACTTTGTTACGGCAGCCCTGGAACACAGGTACAAGTGGCTTCTGAGAGAGGGAGACAGGCTTATTTTCATGTTAAACTCTGGGGTGGCAGGAAGATCAGATGGGACATGTGAGTTTCAGCAGCTGAGAGCAGGGCATGCAGTCTGCATGTAGCGCCCAGAAATAGAGATCAATACACATAAGCTTCTCCCTGCTGAGAAGGAAAAGAAACTCATCTGAGTAAGGGCATCCCCTTTAATTATCAGACCTAGGGATGCACTGAAATGTGACAATGTGTGACAGCAGTCACATCTCACTCCCACCTTGAGTGAATAATGACCTTGAAGCCACTTGCTATGTGCGCTCCAGATGAACTGATGCCAAGTAGCCATAAAATGCCATATGCTGGACACCACAATTCATACCCTATACCGTAAATCAATGAGTATTCCCGTCAAGCAACTTCGTGTCAGACCATTCCTTGTCCCCTTTTGCCTTTTTTTTTTTTTCCTTTGAGACAGAGTCTCGCTCTGTCTCGCCCAGGGTGGAATGCAGTGGCGCAATCTCAGCTCACTGCAACCTCCACCTCCTGGGTTCAAGCAATTCTCCTGTCTCAGCCTCCCAAGTAGCTGGGACTACAGACGTGTGCCACCACACCTAGCTAATTTTGTATTTTTAGTAGAGATGGGGTTTCACCATGTTGGCCAGGCTGGTCTTGAACTCCTGTCCTCAGGTGATCCACCTGCCTCAGCCTCCCAAAGTGCTGGGATTATAGGCGTTAGTCACCGCACCCAGCCCCTTTTGCCTTTAAAAACCTGCTTGTAACAAAGGCCGAAAGGAGCACTCCCCAAGGCCACTGGGAAGTGTGTCCCAGGTGACAATCCTCAATCCTGGCCCAAATAAACTCTCTATATAATTTAACCTCAGTTTCTTAAATATAGCTACTTATTTCAATAGTTTAACAGAAACATCAAAAACAGTGCCTTCATGCAGAGTAACTGGGGTAAACATGTAATATTTATGGGGTCTAAGGACTGCTGGGGCGTTCGCCATCCATTCTCCTGGGGATGAGCCCAGCCCAGCTTTCTGGTTGGGTGAGAAGGTGTCCCCAACTCTTGCCTCCTTCAGCATCCAGGGCTTGTCCTAGCTCCCTTGGTTTCAGAGTACTGTGGGACCTATGAGGCTTGAGGCTGCCTTTGCTTCTTTTAACTTCTTTTTATTTCAGTCTCTTCCTCTTTCAGCTACTCCGGGAGATATTTGGAGGCCAAGGGAAGAAGCTTTTCCTCCCAGATTTTCTAACTTCCATCTACTCTTCCCCTACATGATAGAGGAGTCTGATTATAGCTATAGAGGTTAATTCTACCCTGGGAGCTGTGAGTATAAAATCCCAACAACTGTTTTCACCCACTCTGTTGGGGCGACTCCCTCCCTCCCATGCCCCTGAGCTATTTCCAGCTAGAGCTATTGGGGGGGTGGGGGGGTAATTTGTTTAAAGTGATTTGCATAGAGTCCATAATTACCAGGCTAGCTGCCTTAGCAATATTTAGCAACCTTCAGCTTCTATAAACCGCCTTACCAAGACTGTTCTAAAACAGCTTGTATTCCTTATGAAGAGCAGAACATTACAAAAAAAATTAAACAAGGTTTTTGAACAGATGTAAACAAATTTTATGATATTGCAACAGCAAGAAGACACTGACTTGACCTGTTTACAGGTGGACAGCTTTGACCCTCCTAAACAAGGGACACAGAAAGTGCCCTTCAGATCCACGGGTCCACTGACTTCAGCCAGCCAGGGCCATGGGCTCTTTCTGAATCAGTGGTTCTCAAACCTGTTCATCCAGGAGCTGTTGCAAACCATAAAATGTTAATATGAACCGAAATAAGTCTACACACATTTTTCCACATCCAATAGGCAAATCTGAGAACCATTATTCTAATTCAAATTCCCAAGTCCTCAATGTTTAAAAGTCTCACAGGTACTGTTGTTGACCCACTGTGACCAGCTTGCGAGGCTTTTCACGGGAGCAGGTAATTTCACCCCTGTGCTTCTAGGGTATCATTTCCAAGGTATGTGTGTTTACATGGCTGATAGGCCATATTTAAATCACTTCGATAAATACACATTGAGTGACTTGTATGCATCAGGTACTGCACACTCTAACACAGCTGTGAAGAGGACAGTTTCCTGCATATGGGCTGGGACACAGACATTTAATATCACCCATCTATAATCTATACTAGGCAACACTTGTCCAATGTGGGGGATAGGGGGCATAAATATCACCTAGGTCTTGAAGAGATACCATAAACCCATGCACAATGTAAGTCAAGTAATTGTGAAATTTTAACGCAAGTACAAGAATTCTATCTCACTGGCATCAAGACTTGGTGGAGTGGGGTTCAGAAGAATTTATTGCAGGAGATCTGCTTCTTTCTAGAGAACATTTCTTATTCATGTTTGAATTCTCAGGATCTAGCCCAGTGTGCTGATTGAATAAATGTTGAAATCCATAACCCCCAAAAGAAGTGACTGGGAGGCTGGGCACGGTGGCTTATGCCTGTAATCCCAGCACTTTGGGAGGCCGAGGCGGGTGGATCACCTGAGGTCTGGAGTTCGAGACCAGCCTGGCCAACATAGTGAAACCTCGTCTCTACTAAAAATACAAAAATTAGCTGGGTGAGGTGGCAGGTGCCTGTAATCCCAGCTACTTGGGAGGCTGAGGCAGGAGAATGCCTGAGCCTGGGAGGCGGAGGTTGCAATAACCCAAGATCACACTAATGAACTCTAGCCTGGGTGACAGAACGGAAAATAAATAAATAAATAAAAATAAAAAAAGTGACTGGGATATACTGGTAGCAAAAATATCCCTTGAGTCTTCCCTCCTACTTATATCCCCACTCTTTGTCACATGATTTGGCAGTTCCTCACACCAAAAGTTAGGGTCTATTCCCCTCGCCTTGAATCTGGGCTGGCCAGTGATTTGTTTTGGTCAGTAGTGTGCGGTGGGAGTGATGGTGGGCCCGTTCTGATTCCTGGCCTCAGGGAGCCGTCATGTGTGCTTCTGTCCCTTCACTTGGAGTGTCACCACAGCCATCTAAAAAAGCCCAGGCAATGCTAGTGGAGGATGAGAGACTATGTGGAGGAGAGTTCAGCTGTCCCAACAGAGGCCATCTAGGCTGGCCAGATGTTCGCCAACAAGGAGCCCACCAAGGTCAGCAGAGCGACCTCCTGGCCCTCAGCTGACCATAGAGGCCTGAGCCTAGTCAAGTTCCAAAGATCCGCCCAGCCAGCCTGCAGTCTTGCAAACAAAAATAAATGCTTGTGTTTTGAGCCACTGAGGATCGGGGTGGTTTTTTACACGACAATAAATTGTGAGACTATACTGGCACTGTCTGTTCGCTCCCAGCACCCTCGTTGGTTTAAATTATGGCAAATTATACTAATTCACCCTTTATAGAGCTGGTTAATAACCCATGAATAATGGGAAAGTTTGAAAAGAGAAGTCTGGCAAACAGAACTGGTCCAGAAATTATTCCAATGGCTCACTGGAAGAGCACAGGAACCTGCAGTTTTGTTCCCCTGAATTCTGCTGACTACCCAGGAAGCTTCAGAACATGGCAAGGGCCTTACAGGTTACTGTCAAGAATAAACGTGTAAAGAAAGTTAAAATCCACAGCAGCGGTTTCGACATCTTCGTGAATTAGGAGGTTAGGCAATACTAATTTCCACGCACGTGAAATTAATTTGGACCCAAATGGAACCAAATGCAAGGTCAGCACGCTTTCCTCCATGCAGCACAACCACTGGCCTAAATGAAGGTGTGGTGATGGCAAACCCCGGGCTCTGTACTCTTCGTTTTTGTTTTGTAACTTAATCTAGCAGGACAACGCAGTTTTAAAAAATGGTGTCTCATACATGGGTCCATGACAGAAGTCGTGGCTATGGTTAAGCTAAAAAAGAGATACTTGCAGCTGTTCAACAAGGGCCAAGAAATACTCCCAAGGCTTGTGCAATTTGGGTATCTAGAGCCAGGCTATGGGTGTGCATAGTATGGACAGTAACTCTTGTCCAGTGGATCTTCTAGACTTCAACTCTCTCAGTCCAACACAATTCCAAGTGTCTGCTCTATTGGCTCATTGCACAAGGTTTGCCTGGGTGGGAAGAGTTGCTGGGCACATTCTCTGGGGCCATCTTTCCCGCACAATCTCCACCAAGCATTCCCAGGGAAGTGTCTGAGTGGTCAGTGGTATCTAACCCAGCCTTGTCTGGGGAAATCCATTACCAAGCACAAAGTTCTCAAAGATGGGAGAATGCCTAGCTCAATAGCGGGGTCAAGAAAAAAAAAAGAAAAGAAATGTAAGGAAAAAGAATTCCTTAACTACAGTAAATCTAATGAAAAGGACCTAGTAGAAGGTTCTTTCCTTTATTGGGGCAAACCCAGTGAATGAGGGATGACACTACAAAAGCTTTTAGTGCTCTTTGACCTGAGCCTGTCTCAATCATCCTGCTGCGACCCATTAACTGATGCACAGAGGGGACACTGCGTTAGTGAAAGTGAGAAGCTACATCTGCAACTGATTTTTCAGAGCTGGCAATGTCCACATTTGAAATCCCTTCTAAGTGAAGAAGACCCTCCAGGGATTGGTAAATTATTAGTAAATAGTGAAAAGTATGAAGTGTCAAAGTTCATCCAGACTGGGGGAAAAAAGTCTAAGATAGAGAACATCACGTTGGGATGATTTTAGATGGCTATAGCAAAATATTCATTATAGCGCACAGGGCAAATTCTTGACTCCATTTTGTATCAAAGATAAGGAAAAATTAGACAGTGTTGTGCTGGCCAGGTGTGGTGGCTCATGCCTGTAATCCCAGCACTTTGGGAGGCTCAGGTAGGCAGATCGCTTGAACTCAGGAATTCAAGACCAGCCTGGGCAACATGGCAAAACCCTATCTCTACAAAAAAAAAATATAAAAATTAGCCAGATGTGGTGGCATGCATCTGTAGTCCCAGCTACTCAAGAGGCTGAGGTGGGAGAATTGATTGAGCCCACGAGTTCAAGGTTGCGGTTAGTTGTGATCACACCACTGCACTCCTGGCTGGGCAGCAGAGCAAGACTCTGTCTCAAAAACAAACAAACAAACAAACAAACTGAAGAAAAGTGCTGAAATGCAATTCATCCTTCAGAGACGGTTAAGAAATGACTCAATCCATGAGGCCTGTCCCAACCCCAAAAAGAAAGAATCTCTTCCTGCTCTATGCTCTCACATGTTGAAAATAAATGCCTTTGAAAAATTAGAAGAACTTGCTAAAAGGAAATAAATTCATTAAGGTGATGGGAAACTAGCACTTAAAGAAATGTTGAAGGCAATTCAACTACTTTTGCCTGGACAAAAGAATAGAAAGAAATTAGTTTAAACCTAGATGTATCTGATTTATATTCCCACTCTGTGAATTCAGCATGTTGAATTTATAATACAAAGCTTCCTGTACTTACTGTAGGCCCCACCCAGGAGCTGTACATGTAGGGAATATATGCTCATTTCAATATCAGCCCAAGCAAATATAATCAGGAAGACTGCTTGAAATCATACAATGGCTTTTCGAGTCAAATATACTTGGAGTATTTCCTTTTCTGTTTTATCTATGTCAGTGTTCCCCTGTCACACACATAGTTATCCAGGAGCTGACTGCTGAAGTAGAAATGTAAGTAGCTGTTTTCAGCATTACTAGGAAATGAAAATGGGTGTAAGCGTCAAATATAGGTGATGCATAGAGACTGCCATTGGAAGGGCAACGTTCAATGACATAGGAAAGTGGTGGGAAGAATGGCTGGGGGGTGGAGAGAGAGCAACATCCCATCATGGAGCTTGTGGCCACGATTATGGGAAACAAAATGGGCAGGATCTGGATATAGAAAAGCTTACAGGATTACTAAAAACAGAGGCAGAAAGGTGAACAAAGATGCCCGACGTAGCAGATGGCAAAGGCAAGAGAGCAGCTAAAGACTTAGGCAGAAAATGGTAAGGAGGCCAACACTCTAGAAAAGGGTACATCATTAAGATCTGATTTTCAGATGTTCAAAAGAAATTCATATGTGCTTTCGTAGCAACTGTGGAAAACATTTGTTTGGTGGATGGAAAAATGCTGTGATTGCAAAAGTATAAAAACTAATAATGATTATTAAATATATATGAGATACAGAAAACCATTTTGGTTTAAATTTAAAATTTTATAATTCTATTTTAAAATTGAAAAACTAAAATGACATTGATTTTTATTTTAATGACCACATTTTCTTCCCGACAATTGCAATAACACGGGATGCTTAGCTTTTCTCTTCCAGAATTACTGACAACTGATAATTAGCTGTTTAGTCCCAAAGTTTCATCCAACCATGGCTAAATAGGGAATGTTGGATTATTTATAAGTCCAAGTAAAAAAAGAGCTAGTAACAAAGGGAACTCATTTGCTTATTTAAGGAAGCCCCTTATTTTACAAAATATATGGCTTTTTTTTTTCCCAAATACTGTACATGTATTCTTTGAAAATGGCTCAGGTCAAATGTAGCAGAAATTTACTTCAAATACAAGTACATGTGCAAATACTCAGTCCACAGTTAGCCTTCAGGGCATAAACTGAGGAAATGAGAGGCAGCTCCTCTTTACTCCATGCCCTGAAGCTCTGAGCACAAATTAAAGGATCAATATCAACGCTTTGGCTGAATGTCTGGTCCATCAGCAGATGCGCTCTCTTCCACAATGTTCTTAGCACAAAATTTTATGTCACATTAAAAAGGAAAACCACAAAGGCCTTACCTTATTTACTTTCAGATTCGCAGTTATGTGAGTAAGCATTAGCTGCCATGCAAACACACTGTAAACGGTCTGGGTTAATCTTTTGGTTCCTTTATTCACCACTGACAGTCACGCGTCTTAAACAATCAGTAACAATTTTAAGGTACACAATGGGTTTATGAAGTGTCATTCACAGTGTTTTATGTAACTGGTTTCAGTAGAGGTACCACTCAATTTTTATGCCAGGTAAGCAAAGCTGTTTTAAAGCCACGACGGAAGTCATGCCCTGAAGGCTTTATCCCCACCAAGAAAGCAGCAGCAGAACTCCAGCCCTGAAGGAGAGCTGCTTTTCCAGGGTCTTGGTTAAACTGGAGGCCAGTCACTGTATGTATGATACAGCTTTCCTGTTGTTTCATGGAAAGAATGCTATCACAAGAGCATTTAGTCTTGTCTTTGAATAAAATAGAATAAGATCCTAGAACAAATTAATAAATAGAACAATCTGTCATTTGTTCTCACTGCTAATAAGCATTAATTCTAAATAAGTCATTCTATTTTTATTCTTAAGATTTAATGACCCAGTACAATGACGCACACATATCTCTAACGAAAGCACCTGCTATTTTATTGGCCTTACCAAATGTTATTCCTAGATGTAATCGCCTACTAATGAAATCACTGCTTTTCACTTTGGGAATCAGAGACACAAAACTACAGCTCCCCAGAAAAAACACATTATTGTCTTAAGCTAGGAGCACAAGCGCTTTCCTTCTATCCCCTGAAAATTTCATAAGAAACATTTGATAATTAGTGAAGAAACCACTTATCTCAATAAATACATTTAAATCAATGAAAAGGAATAAGAAATTGCCAAAGCTAGATTCGTCAGTGGCGGTCGGCGGCCTCACCTATCAGTGTGTGAAAGACGGCAGCGATGGCCCCTGCCACCACCATACACAGGACGGCTTTGGTCCTGTCTCTCTTGCTGTTCACAAACACCAGGCCCACATTTTTGAAGTCACTCATGGGACCCGTGAAGAACTTCATGAGGGAGTACGCCAGCCCGTAGCTGGCCAGCATCTCGACTGCATCCTCCTTGACAGCAGCAATGCCCCGGTTCAAGGCCTGGGAAGGGGGAAAAAAACCCACAAGCATTAGAAATGTCATCTCTTCTCTGGGGAATCATACCTCTAAGATGAAATTCAGCAGATCACGTTTCTATAGAAACACTAAGTAGCTTATAGGGTGCATCTCATGTAATTGGATAAAGGTGATTGGTTTTCATTTTCATCTACATCAGCTTCAGTTTGAGTTTCTTTTTGTGAAGGAGATACCTGACCACTGCAGTTAAAATAATAGCAAAACACCAACAAATATTTTATGCTAATATTGAAAAATAATTCTAAGAAGTTTTGGTTAAAAGTTGATTTTTTTAAAAAAACAAAAATGTTAAATTTTGTTTGCAGGCTGAATTGACATAATGGCAAGAGACATTCTGAAAACGAGTCTAACAGTTTATATCAAGGGGATGGGTTCTTTTTTCTTTAAAGAAGGGGTGGTGTGTGTGTGTGTGTGTGTTCATGTGTGCACATGTAATCTTAAATACTGTGTATGTGTTATGTATTCTTCATAGCAGAGCTCTATGCTATGAAAAAAGGTACTGAAAGAATTTATTATATTCTTCATTCATGCATGTTGTTTACCTGATTCCTACTATATTTTAACCTGAAATACATTCCTGAGCTCTACACAGACAAATATGAAAAGAACACCTTTAGACTAAAAAATAAATGTTTTTGGATAATGGTTGTGCAGGAAGATGCGGTTGTAAAATACCCTGACTACTTTAACCATCCTCCAAGAGAGACGCTCTTAGGCACTGCAGGCCTTGGTGGGATGGTACTTCCAAACTAAATTTCCCACCCCGAAGACAAATCAGTAACAGCAGACCAGTGGGAATGGATGTCCAGGTAGAGAGAGCTTTCTGACTAAAATGCCTCTAGAACATTGCATCTGTCATTAGGAACAGGAAACTAAGCAGAAGAGTCAGCTTTCTGTATAGTTATATATTTTTAGAAAATAGACTGTTTTTAAGGCAGTTTTAGGTTCACAGTAAAATTGAGCAGAAAGTACAGAGCATTCCCATATATCCTTTGCCCCCCACAAACACGGAGCCTCCCCTGCTATCAACATCCCACGCCAGAGTGGTACATGCCTTACAATCAATGAATCTACACGGACACATCATTATTACTCAAAGACCAGACAGTAGTCCCCCCTTATCCTTAGGGGATACATTCTAAGACCCCCAGTGAATGCCTGAAACCATGGAAAGTACCTATGTTTTTTCCTATATATACTATGTTTTTTCCTATATATACATACCTATGAGAAAGTTTAATTTATAAATTAGGCACAGTAAGAGATTAACAACAATAATAATCAAACAGAATAATTATTAACAATATATTATAATAAAAGTTTTATCAATGTGGTCTTTCTCTCAAAATATCTTACTGTACTCCTTGTGATGAGGAAGAGATGAAGCAAGATGGTGAGAGATTTCATTACACTACTCGGAATGGCATGCAATTTAAAACTTATGAATTGTTTATTTCTGGAACTTTCCATTTAATATTTCTGAACCTTGGTCAACCATGGGTAACTGTAACCATGGATAGTAAAACTGTGGATAGGGGTGACTAGTGTAATGTAGTTTACATTAGGGCTTACTCTTGGTATATTGTACATTCTGTGGATTCTGACAAATGCAGAATGACATATATCCACAACATATTTTTAAGAAAAAAGATATGCTAAAGTCTTGGCCCTGCCATTTGTCACTCATCCAATAGAGACACAATCACATTCATAGAATTCATATTCAGTCTCTGCTATGTAAACTGAAAGAAGAAATGAAAGAAATGCACTTTTCCTGTCTATTTCCTATTTCTATTAATCAAGATAGCTGTTGATAATTTTCCCTACAAATATATGGTTATAGCCACAGTCTGAGAGCTGCCTTGCTATACTGGGTAGAGCTAATGTCAACAATACCAAAGGAGCCAACGGGTGCTTGAAAGAGGAAAGACTGAATACAACAAAAGATTCAAGAACTAATCTTCAAACATATATAAGAATCATACTACATTATGACAAAACAAAGTAAACTCAATCCACCATTGTGTTTCACTGAATCTGATACTATAGACTGTAAGTGTATGGCAGACACATCTGATAGCAATAACTTCAGCATACCCTGAGAATGACCCTGCATGGTAGATGCACCTGATAAGAATAACAACTTAAACATACTCCAAGAATGCTGACACAGCTGATCTACATAAACTGCATGCTTTTTACAAATGGTAGCAGCTCTCCTGTCCGGCCTGCCACCGCTGGACTTCCCTGTATGTAAGTCCCCTCAGTAAACAGGGTTTAGGTCTCATTCACTGGCTCTGGGTCGCTTCTTTGGCCTCTTGAACATGGTGCCATCCCTATTGAAGTCAATATGGGTCTGATACGACAGTAAGGTACATTATTAGTTATACCACTAAGAAAGAAAGTGTTCCAGCTGGGTGCGGTGGCTCACTTCTGTAATCCCAGCACTTGTGGAGGCTGAGATGGGCAGATCCCTTGAGGACAGGAGTTCAAGACAAGCCTGGCCAACATGGTGAAACCCCGTCTCTACTAAAAATACAAAAATTAGCTGGACATGATGGTGTGCACCTATAATCCCAGCTACTCGGGAGGCTGAGAGTCACTTGAACCCGGGAGGTGGAGGTTGCGATGAGCTGAGATCATGTCACTGCACTCCAGTCTGGGCAACAGAGTGAGACTGTGTCTCAAAAAAAGAAAAAAAAAAAAAAAAAAAAAAAAAACCAAAACAAAACAAAACAAAAAACCGTTCCCAATTATAATTGGATGTCATTGATTGTAAGATGTATCCAGATTTCAGAGTTACTAAAATATGGAGGTGGAAGGAGTGTGCCTCAGAATCTATGAAAGGAGGTATTTCATGTTACACTTCAAGTTATTCCTTGGTTTCAAGGGCTGATCTAGGCTGTGGTCCCTACATGTAATCCAGTGTCACAGACTCTGGCAGAAGCACAGGCAGAGCTACTCGGCAAAACCAGAGGGCTTCACGTTCTGTGCCTTTGTTTCATTCCTTTACCAGGAGACACAGCTGGCTGGCAGAATGAAAACTTAAGAGTTGACATTCTCTGCAAAGCACTGTTAGGAAGAAATGTATTTACAGGAAAATATCAATGTGAAATATAATTTTTAGAAAAATCTAGAATAAAAATGTATGCTAGCCGTAGGAACTCATTATCATTTTTCTGACTCGGTATTATATAAGCTAGCTTCTGATAATTGTTTCCAATTTTATCTCTAATTGTTTTCCTTTTTTCCACTAATAACGGTGAAAACTTCCATAAGAACCTTCTTAGCCTCTGAGAGCACACCTGCCATGATGCCTTTCTTAGAAACAAATTTTCCCTGATGGAATACATTAACACCCTAAAACAAAATAAAAATCAAAAAGCTCCTTTATAACAAGTGCCTGTGCTCAACAAACATCTCTAGCCTAAGGCCTCCTCCTATCTATGTGCGAAACTCACCACTTGACAATTTACCCAATTAATTCCCTTTGGCCTTCTGTAGGGGACACTACTGGTGTCTCACCCAGATCCCCTATCCTTTACCTGGCAGTGGACCCATCCCCGGATGTTGGGAATTGGCCACTAATGGCTCACAGCTGTCTTCTTGCCAGGGAGACCTACTCCCAGCCATTATGCATCGGTGAAACTCATCTGATGCATCCACCATAGTTCCAGTCAGCACGAAGCCACTGGCTGATTTTATACACTGGGGTGTGTAAGATCAGTGTCCCTGCCTCCAAGTGGGACCACTGTGGTACAATTCATGCTCCAGAGTTCTCCCTGGGATCAGGGTGAAGCCAGTCTCCAGTGGGGACCACATCCTCTATGCACTTTTCCCCACCACCTATCCTGCTTCCTCCCACACAGGTTTTGTTTCTAGAGAACTCCATTTAGGACAGCTTCTAATCATCTATTTCTCAGACATCAACAATAGCATGTGGTTTGTTCCTTCTCTTTCCCATCCTTCCCAAAATCTAGGATTGTCAATTGTTTACTTGTGCTTATTGCTCGAATGTGTTAATCTTGGATGGTATCTATTATTTAGCAAAAATTTAAAAGCATCTCATAGGGCACCTAAATAATGGAGGACTAGACATTTTATGTGTCTTCTTGGCAAAGCATTCTTTTTTTTTTTTTTTTTTTTTTTTTGCTAAAAACACACCAGCCTGGGCTGAGGCATCCACTGAAATGCCTTCTATTTCCACCAACAGTTCCCGGACTTGAGTCCTCAAGCCAGTGCTGAGGCAGGTGGGAAGAGAGAGGGCCCAGGTAATGATAGCTCTGTCAGTGAGACAAAGTGAGAAAGTTTCATTTAGCCCAACAATTATGGTAATTTGAGGAAAGAACACAGGGTTTAAAGCCATGCAGACTTGAGTTGGAATCTGCTTCTATCACTTAAGCGCTGAGTGGCCTTGGCTAAAATACTTATTCTCCCTAAAATAACCCAACTGATTTGAGAAGCAAGGTAGGTAGTGCACAGGGCACGAAGCAGTGGCTGGCTGACAGGCGCTTGAAAGCAAGGATTTTTGCCGCTTTTGTTTACTGCTGTTCACCTACCCCCTTGTTGCCAAGGCGACATCGTAAACACTCCATTATTTGTTGAATGAACGAATGAATTGGCTATTTTCTACCACGAACTTAAGTGTCCATACTAATTACATGAACTAATTTTTAAAGAAACACTTCTTAAAATCACATTTTACCTGCAAGATATTATTGCTTGTAAGAAATGCCATTGATTTCATGTTTTTAATGACCACATTAAATATACACATTATTTGAAAATCATCCCAATTTCAAGAAACATTCAAAAGTATGAAAAAAGCTGCAGAATTGAGGACATGAGCTACATTCATATTACTAGCACTTTGTTATCCCCATCTGGAGCAAACGTTTCCCCCAGTGTGTTCACTGCTTAGTTCCATGTTTTCTTTTGATACCAGAAACATTCAGTTATCATGCAGTCTGTCAATCATTTTATGGAGTTTGTTTCTATGCTTTTGGATTTGCCATTCTTACCCCGCCATAGATAGGATAAATTTGTTCTAATTTATGGCTTCACTTGCACACTTTTTAATCTTCCTGAAACTTATGAAGTGAGTTATGGATTAAAACTAATTGTCTCCAACTAGTGCATTACTTCAAAATCACTTATTGAATAAACCATCTGTTGCCCATTTATTTGTGATTTTTTTCCCATTCATTATTATTATTATTTTTTTCCTCAAGACACAGTCGCGCTCTGTCGCCCAGTCTGGAGTGCAGTGGCATGATCTCGGCTCACTGCAACCTCCGCCTCCCAGGCTCAAGCAATTCTCCTGCCTCAGCCTCCCGAGTAGCTAGGATTACAGGCACCCACCACAACGCCTGGCTAATCATTAAGTTACTATACGTCCTTCAGTCACCTACTGTTTGCTTTATCTGTCTCTGTTTGCTCACCCTGTTTTTCTTCATTGCATGTTCACTTCCTAACATAGTATCACATCTTTACTTGTTATTTATTTTCTTGCCTGACTGCCCTACCTGAATGTAAGCTCCAGGAAGCAGAGACCTTTGTTTCACTGCTACATCCCCAGACCTACAACATGGGGGGTGGTAGGGCATCTCAAGATAGATGATCAATAAATATTTGGAAGAATGAAGTAAAACGTATACAAATAGAATAAACATTTACTGTGATATGTACTGAAGACAAAAAAAAAATACATAGGTGCCCCTTATTCACAGAAAGTATGATTCAAGACCCCCAGTGGATGCCTGAAACCTCGGATAGTACCCAACTCTATATATACTATGTTTTTTCCTATACATACACACACATAAGTCCCCTTTTTTTTCTTTTTTTGAGATGGGGTCTTCCTCTGTCACCCAAGCTGTAGAACTGTGGCAAAATCACAGCTCACCCTGCAGCCTCAACCTCCTGAGCTCAAGTGATCCTCCTGCCTCAGCCTCCTGAGTGGCTGGGACTACAGGTGTGCACCATCACATTTGGTTAATTTTTTACTTTTATTAATTTTTTTGTAGAGATGGGGTCTTGCTGTGTGGCCCAGGCTGGTCTTGGCTGAACTCCCGGGCTCAAGTGATCCTTCTGCCTCTGCCTCCCAAAGCATGATAAAGTCTAATTTATAAATTAGGCACAGTAAGAGTAACAACAATAACAATAAAATAGGACAATTATAACAATATACTGTAATAAAAGTTATGTCAATGTGGTCTCTCTCTCAAAATACTGCACAATTTTCAGACTGTGATTGACTGCAGGTAGCTGAACCTGCAGACGTGAACCCATGGATAAGGGGGCCTACTATGTGCCAATGGCTGGACATTTTTTGCAGGAGCTTATTTAGGTAGACAAGGCAGCCCCTCTAAAGAGGTGACGTTTGAGCTGGGACCCAAAGACCAAGAGTGAGCCAGGTGCATAAAGAGCTGGAGGCAGGTACAGGCCTGCAGGAGGGCTTAGTATATTTAAGGAACAGAAGGGAGGCCAGTAAGAGAAATAGAGAGGTGTAGAAGGTGGGTTTGGACAAGCAGGCAATGCTGAGATGATTCTAGGTGGCAGTGAAGAACATGTGTTTTGCTGCAAGAGCAGTGGGAAGCCATTAAAGGTCTGGGCAGAGGCAGGACAGGGGCTGCCACTGGCCTTTGTGATAGAAGTGGGCTGGAGAGGGATGCGAGCCACAGAGGCCAAGGGCCCTGTGGTAACCCAGGCCAGACAAGGTGCGGCTTGGCCGAGGGTGAGTAGTGGAGAGGGAGAGTGGCCTGACTGGAGAGCTTGTGGGAAGGAAAGCAAATGGGTGTGGCAGGGACTACACTTGGCTTGGGTCCCAACGCCTGGCTCATGCTTCCCACGTTTCTTCCCAGGGAGCAGAGTGTGGGCAGGGGGCCGCCCCCCGCATCCTCCTGGGCATGAGAAAGAGGGAGAACCTGATGATGACTGCTGAGCTTTCTGGCTTGAGTCACTGATCAAGTGCTGCAGCAATTTTCTGGGTTGAGGAAATGAGAGAGGGAAGGTTTGAGAGGAAAAAGCAAGAGCGCCATTGGCAGCCTCATGTTGGATTTGAGATGCCCATTAGGATTCCAAATAGAGAAGTTGTATGAGAGAGTCAGCTCTGTGAGTCTGGAGTCTGGAGGGTCGGTCTGGGCTATGGATATACATTTGGAGGTCATTGGCCTACAGATAGAATTTAAAGCTAGGGGACTGAACAAGATCATCTAGAAAGAACAGAGATAGGAAAAAAGAGTCCACAATTTGGCCCCACAGCACACTAGGAGTAAATCTAAACACATGAAGGATGTGGCGAGCCTTCTATGTCATGCCAGCGTTGTGACAGTGCTGTAGTTCAGTTACTTAGATAGGAAGTGCTCTTCAGGTAATGTCAGTCCCAAATACTGCTGCATCTCTAGCCAAGACCAGGAAGAAGGTGCTGTGTCTGGTAAAGAGGAATAGCTATGGTCATGAAATTCAGCAAAGAAAGTGTCTAGGATGTCTCCAGCATGAATTAGGCCTCGAGGCAGACGGCCAAGACATTCACCAGGGCAGAGGTTCACTGTTTAAAGGCGAGTCTCTAAACATTCATGGGGTTTTCAAAGTAAAGACACTTTAGATTAGAGCCAGATTTAACAGCACTCCAACAACTGTGAATATGAAGCCGCCCTTTAATCACAGCCTGGGTCTGGCCCCAGGTGCATGGCACAAGGCATTTCAGATCAGTCTTCTCTACACAATGGGCACTTAGCGATGTGGAATGGCTGACTTAAAAACATATCTGGGGTCGGGTGCAGTGGCTCACGCCTGTAATCCCAGCACTTTAGGAGGCCGAGGCAGGTGGATCACCTGAAGTCAGGAGTTTGAGACCAGCCCGGCAAACATGGCAAAACCCTGTCTCTACCAAAAATATAAAAAAAGTTAGCCGGGCGTGGTGGGGGGGCACCTGTAATTCCAGCTACTCTGGAGGCTGAGGCAGAAAAATTGCTTGAACACGGGAGGTGGAGGTTGCAGTGAGCCGAGATTGCGCCATTGCACTCCAGTCTGGGCGACAAGAGCAAAACTCCATCACAAAAACAAAAAACAAACAAACAAAAACACCAAACATATCTGGGTCCAGAAAGTATTGAGTGAGTCATGCAAGCCCTTCTATCTCCCAGTATCTACCAGGTTCACTGTGTTCTGTTGCCTGATTTTTTTTCCACAGTAAGTTAACAAAACCACAGGATATTAAAAAGTAAAAAATATAACCTCCACGGAAATGTTTACCAAATCCCACAGACATGAACTGATCTCCCTGGTATGAGCTGTCTAGATCATTAAATCCTAAAAGAGACGCCAACATTGTAAACTTCAGATCTAGAGACCAGAAATATCTTTATACTGTAGTCTGAGATTCCTCAGGACAGGAGGCACCAATTCACCCCAATCCTGCCAGTCATTTTATGCTAATGCTAGCAACAAGCATTCCTTGCAAGTGGGAAGGAGTGCTGTGCCCCTGGGGCACGGGTCCAGGTGGTAACCCCTCCTCGCTGAGAGGAGGTCTGGTGTACAAGCTGCTCAGCTCATCTCCTGTCTGGGAAACCTATGAAGCACTGATGTGTAGACAGATTATCTTTTGGGGTTCAGTACATAAGTTGGGCCCATGAGCCCACCCCGGCCACAGTAACAGAGTGGTCCCCTAGTCTGATTCCTCTGGGCCTTTGGAGGAGAATGTCCCTTTCCATGCTTCCTGCAGGTTCCATCATGGTTATAAGGCCCTGGGCAAAAGCCCTGCAGTCCCGCTCCAGTGAACAGCACCTCCCTGCCTCTGCCACTTGTGTTACCTCCACCTGAGATGGCACTGCATGGCCTTTGACTGCTGCTGTCACCCAGCAGCTGAAATTCCTGGCAACCCCAGAGCTGGGCAACAGGAAGGTGAGGGCACATGCAGCACCCGGCCTGGGGTCATCCTGATCCTCGCAGTCCTGGAGGTAGCTGTGCATTCTTGCTGTCCACACCATTCCAGCCAATGCCTCTCTGCTCTCCTGTAAACTCCCTGCTTTTTTGAGATTCACACGCCTAGCCATATTGCTCTCTCATCTTAGAGTTCCAAATGGAGAATTGATCCCTTCTAGCCCCTTAGATTTTCACTGGGGACCCTGCCACTTGGCTCAGAGTCTCCTCTGCATCTCAACTCTGCAGGGAAGGCATGTCAATATCCGTCTGGTCAGCCCACCCAATGCCCTCTGAGTTCTTTGACCTCCTCCGCGCCAGTGACCTCTACTCTGCTTCAAGTGCACACTCTTGTGGCCACACCTTTGCCTCCACCATCCAGAGTTGCTCCCCTTCTCAAATTTCAGTTAAAATCTCCGGCTGCAATTTCTAACCTTTCAGCTCTATTTCTCCCACTCCCTCGATTCTAAACTTCATTAAGCTTGTCACTCTCTCGACTCCCCACTTTCCCTCTCATCGCTCCTCCTGTCTTCCCTTCCTTACTACTGCAGCCTACACTTCAGGGTCATCACTTAACCCCACTCTTGCCAAAACCTGCAACTCACTGCCTGCAAATCTCTAGCCTTGGATTCACCTGACTGACCTATTCCACCCTTAACGGTATTTGTAGAATTCTACTTGGGCTTTGAGAGTTGCTGGAAACGAATACACAGCCACACGGTCTGCTGCCACTGCACAATCATGGTCTCCAACGCCCCCTGCATGCTGTCAGCTGCCCAGTTACCCCTCTAGTCTTTCCCATTCCCTGCTCTCAGTACTCCTAGGCTGGGAAGACTTTGAGATGCATTCCTTCTTACTCAGCAGATAACCTCACCTCTTATCCATCTGGAATGTGGAACCCATCAGGTAGAAACTAAATTTCTTATTGCTTCTCTCTCTGAAACTACAAAACTCAACAAAACACATCTGACCTAAGCTCTTCCTCACCTCCTCCCTCCTGTCACAAAGGAAAGGCGGGCCTGACCAGGGTGAGTGTGGGGCCATCCATCTGGGGCTCTACCTTTATGTTCCTCTGACCATTTCAGGAGCCCTGTTCAAATCCACCATCTTCCTCTCATTTTTGTCTGATCTTTGCTACTTGACTGGCCTTCCCATCAATGTTTACACAGGCAAAAGTCTCCTCCATCCTAAAAAAGAAACCCTCTCTTGACTCCCAACGTCCTCTAGTTCCCACCCTCTTTCTTGTCTTCCCTCCTCTGTGCTCTGCAGCCCCCTGTGCAGATCCGAGACTCTGTTATCGCCCTCGTCAAGGTGTACAGCAGTTACCTGCTTACCTGACTGCCCATATCACCAGTCTGTTACCTCCTTGAGGCAGGGACTGGGCGTATTTGTCACCAGTTTTTCTGCATTTACTTAGCACAATGCTTGAAACCCAATACATGCACAAATGAATGTGTATTAACTGTGATACAAAACTTATGTCTGGTCATTCATAAATAAAATCTTCTAACTGTAGGTTTAGACTTCTGGATGAAAAACCCATACTTTTTTGGGTAGAATCTATGAACTTAAAATATGCAAAGTGCTGACAATGTCACTGTACCTATTCATGTAGTTCTGATCGTTTCTCAATAGATGGGTAGGTCTTCCATGACTACTTCCACCAAGCCACACTGAGCACCCAGTTGGCTGCTTAACTGTAGACACACGGACATGAACAGAATGCAGCAATGGGACACATAATTAGCCTCCTTGGTGTAAAGCGAAAGTAAAGATTTTTTTCAACTCTTTTTGGATGTCAATTGGGATAGAGGACAAGCTGTTCCATTATGGAGTCAAATCTTGTAACAGAAGTTAGTTGCCATGAGGAAGAAATCAGAAGTTCACATTCAAAGGATAACAGCTTTTTTTTTTTTTTTTTCTGACCAGGCCCTGGAGAAGCTGAGTGTGCCGCTGACAGAGAACCACGTTTCACTGTGAATGAACGGTGCCTGGATGGGCGACAGGGCATTCAGGAGAAGTGGCTGTGCAAGTCAGGACGTGCCAAGGGCTGCTGGGCCCTGACCTTGTTATACACATTCATGACCACATGGTTAGAAAATAAAATCATGGGCCAGACATGGTGGCTCACGTCTGTAATCCCAGCACTTTGGGAGGCCGAGCTGGGTGGATTACCTGAGGTCAGGAGTTCAAGACCGGCCTGGCCAACGTGGCAAAACCTCATCTCTACTAAAAATACAAAAATTAGCTGGGCGTGGTGGCACATGCCTGTAGTCCCAGCTACTTGGCAGGCTGAGGCGGGAGAATCACTTGAACCCAGGAGGCGGAGGTTGCAGTGAGCTGAGATTGTGCCACTGCACTCCAGCCTAGCCAACAGAGTTAGACTGTCTCAAAAAAAACAGAACAAAACAAAATCATGTTTCTCATATGGAAACAGCTTTTCAAATTCTTCCACAAAAAAGGGTGTCCAGTTGAAAGCTGATACTGTTCCCTAAAATAGCAAGAGATTATTATGTGAAATGCTGAAAGTTGCATTTTTGACTTTCAGTAAGATGAATACTTCCTTTACTTGCCTCATCCTAGACTAGAAAAAACAATGATACCTAAGAGCCAGGTAATTATTTTGTCTCGTTCAGAACCAGCCTGGGCTGCCATCTATCTAATCCTTTTGATAAAAGACAACTCCTCCGTCTACAGCTTCAATGATCTCATTATACTTACGATGACATCAAGGAAACTGACCATTGTAGTAGACGAAATCTAGTTTTAAAATGTGCCTTACACCCTAAGTCGTCAGAAAATGTACATGTGTGGACCCGTGGAAAAGTCAGACGTACATGTGCAGGCACAGTTACCTGTGGGAAGAGCTTCTTCCAAAGACATGGAGAATCAGCAATTTCGGATTTTGGTCCTCTCAAGGAGCCTGGGTTCCTGTAATTTTCCACTGTTATTGTTCTGTTGGTCTGAGTTTTGAAAAGTGGCTTGGGTTAAATTGGATCATTTGTCTTCCCGGTAGTTTTCCAGCCATGCTTTATTTTCCCAGGGATCTATACAGCTCTAAATGAGACTCCCTCACTCTGTTTAGCTAGAGCTTCAGCCAAGAACTTCACGCCCACACATGAGGTTGTGGTTCAGGGGGAGCAGCAGTCAAACGGAACCTGGTCCCTTCAGGAGTCAAAGTGACTGCTCTGTGTGGTGCTGTCCATATTTAGTGCTTCCTGAAAACCCCAAGACAACATTGGGCAAGTCCAAAATACAACAGTGGTGTTTTCAGTCACCTCCCACACCTGGAGAGGAGCTTCCATTAAGAATAGGGACAAACAACCAAGCACGGTACAACGATGTTTGGCTAACTCACCTTTCTCCTGTTGGTGTCTTCAATATGTCAGGAGAAAACAAAAAGCATTTTCCTGTATGACCTCTTAATATGAAAATATGCTCCATCATGAAAGGGTAGACTTAGTGTCATAAGACCCTCTTTGAATTCTCCTGATCTCTCATGAAACATGAAGCTTATTCACCCAGCTAAATTTAACCTCAATTCAAGATGGTAGAAGGCCTGACAAGAAAGGATTGCTACCATGAAAGTTGTAGTGTATTTAAACCCCAAAGCTTCCTGTGCCATTTAAGAATGCTTATTCCCCACCTCAATCTCACAGCTTTACTACATTTCCTAATTTTTTATACTTACAAAGAGAGATGGTTCTCAAATGATACTGCTTAGTTAACATCTCAAGATTCTGTCCAGATTTTGAAACAGCACCACCAACTCCAGAAACAACAATCTGGAATACAGGTTTACGTCTGGGATCCTGGGAGTCTTTTAACCAACTCTCCCTACCTACTATCTCCCTGCTTGGTAGTAGATTTTTTTCTTGATGACCCCAGTGCCTTAACTGTGGCTGTGGACCCTAAGCAGCTCAGAATCTCCATTCCTTCTTCTGACTTAAGTGCAACTTCAAGCTGTGTCGTCTACTGCCTTCCATGGACGTTTATAAGTGTGTTTACACTAAGCAAAAAAAGAGTGAAGGCCAATTTGCATTTGGACCTTAAGAAATCCAGTGACCATGATAATGATGATGATGATCTCAGCAACTAGCACTGACTGAGTGCTCACCCTGTGGCAGACAGTATTCTAAGATCTTACCTTCCCCTGACAACACTGTGAGGGAGATATTTTTATTCCCCAGTTTACTGGGGAGGAAACTGATGTATGGAGAGGCGAAATCACTCATCCAGGGTGGACACAAAGCTCAGAGAAAAATCCAGAGAGCTTGGCTTCACAGCTAGCGATCCTAACCCTCATTCTATTATACTAAAACCAAAGTAAAGTAAAACCCTTTACTTTGAATTAGAGATTATAGTTGATGCTAAATTCTGTCTACTAGCAATACTTTAAACAGAGAGGACTAGCTATCAGATCAAAGAGGACTTTTGACTAAAGACTATCTTTACAAAAAATTCCAAAGATCCTAAAGATTATTTTTTAAACAGTACTATACAACAAGCATTACGGCGCAGATGTAAAGGCTGAACTGAGTGTGACTAAAGACGTATTTAATATATCTGAGCCATGCCAAGAAAATGAGAATAAAAGAAATCAGGTCAATTATATTGTGCAATCATGACTGTGAAGCTTGGTGAAGAGTTTGAAACCTGTAAATCCAGCACCACGCAGGCCATCTTGCAAAGCTCATGCACCTGCTCATTGTCACCAGTGCAGTGGGGATGCCAAGTGAACCTCTATAGCGGCCTACTGAAGATGAGGACAAGAACCTCTAGGGGCTCCTTTTGTACATGGCAGAGTGTATTATACAAGGATCTTTAACTCTTCCAAAGTTTTCTTCACTTCTCAGCTGTGGGGTTCATTTACTTCTGCATGAGGGATCCGTTAGAACTCACTATTGGTATTTATGTAACTGGCACGCATCAAGTTTTGTGAATGAGTTCTAAGGGTCTGGGGCACTTGATCTCGTTGTTTTTAGGAGGTGAGAGAGAGTTAAAAGCAGTCATTAAACAAGTTAGTCTGCTCAGCCCATGACCAGTCTCACTGAGCCATTTGTTAGGAATCAGTAACACTGCCTATAACTATCAGGACAAGAGAAGACACTGTGGCACAGAAGAGGGTCGCCACCATTCTACACACACACACACACACACACACACACACACACACACACACCACACATGGAGATAGGAATCTCAGCAAAATTAAAATAGCACTATTTTACTTAATTGTGACAAGGCTGTCTTCAGCATTTGCTTTGCTGTGTGCAAGTAGGAATGTCATTACCTTGCCATCCCATGCTACTGTTATTGGTTTAAATTATTGATGCACAGTATTCTATTGATGCACAGTATTCTAGTTGAAGTAAAATTGTCTCAAGGAATTAAGCTGTTTAGAACACAATACAAGAAAGGACAAAGGATATGATCATGGCACCCCAAAAATTTGCAGAGTCAACAGTGTCACTGGTTGTAACAGCAATTTAAGAATTATATGTCCTGAATTTATTTTGTCTTTACAATGATATCCATGGTTTATACCTAAGGTTTTTCACCTTAAATAGTGACATGATAATGTAATAAGCTAGAGAATAACGTGAATAAAATTAAAGTGCTTTGAAAATTGCTAAAGATGGGAAAATGAATTCATTTTTATCACTTGCTATTTCATGCATACGTGATACAGGAGGTAGTAAGTGCCCATGCTGTGCTTTCACTCTGTAAATCCAGATTCACTATGACTCAGACCTTGTTTCTGAAAATTAGAGCAGCTGAAGAGTTGTCTTGCTCCAGCCCTTTCACCTACTCGGGTAAGGGGACCAAGGAGACCCAGTGAAAGGAGGCAGCTTTGTCCTCCACCTTGCCCTCAGGGCCCTGGTAGAGGCTGCAGCATCAGAAGGCGTATTTGTTGGTGGAGTACATGAATTCATCCAAGAAACATTTACAGAACCCATGAAGAATAACAACCTCTTACATAGGCGGTACTGCACATTCTTGAACATGACTTCACATGTTACCTTATTGGTTTTATCTAACAAGGTAACAAGGTAAGTTTTATCTAACAACATAATAGGGTAACAACTAAAAATTCCCATGATGTGGATAAGGAAATTGAGGCTCAAAAAGATTCCATGCCCTGCCCTAGGTTCCTGGTTAATATACGGTGCTACCAAATAGAACCAGTGAGACTGCCAGCCTGCCTGGTGCTCCTTCCTCTGCACCTCAACACTGGACTGAAGAGGGTGGGGCGGCAGGGGCAGGATAAACACGTCTCTACCATCATCAGACTAGCAAAGCTGGTGAGTGGCGGTGCACGGCCTCACACAGAAATGCTTTATTACCTACCCAGGCAATTAAGTAGGAAAAATAATTATCATTAAAAGAAGTGGTTATTTTAAAGTCATGGCTACCTAGTTTGGGGAACTGTAGTGCCCTCATAAAGAACGTAAGTCATGTGGTTGGAGGCATTTCCCTCTAAACAGAGTAAGGAGCAGGGTCATGGTATCTAGTGACAGAGTGTTGGCCTGGCCAACCTCTACCTGGAAGTCTGGGTAAAGAAATCCTACAGGACAAGCAGTGCAAGAACTGCCAGGACTGAAGCTTCCAAGGAGCTCCCCAAAGGAAAGGAAGGTAACTCAGTGATGGATCACTCTTCTCTGCCTTCTAATTCTCACCTAAAATGAGCAAGTGAGGCCCTAGAAAAGGCACTTGCTGAAGTTAGTACAACCCCCAATCAAGGCTCCAACGACTCTGGACAGAGGAATATTTGAGATGTGCCCACCAATAGCAGGACAGTGGACTGTGGAAAGCTCCACTGGTCAGCGCTCTTCCAGTGACTCTGGATACCACCTTCAATCTGCCGCGTGCGGTGGCTTGGACTTTTCCTTCATTTCTGCTCATTTTTCTGACAGCTGAGGTCTGAGAGCAGACAGTGAAGCTCTCCCCCAAAATATCCACTGCCCAAACACAGTTATTTAAGCCTTTTTGAGATCTGTGAGAATTCTACTCAGAGACCTCAAAACAAAAAAGACGAATATCCATAGGTACAAGTACTAAATCCTACCAGGTGATATGGTTTGGATGTTTGTCCCCTCCAAATCTCACACTGAAATGTGATTCCCAGTGTGGGAGCTGAGGCCTGGAGGGAGGTGAGAGGATCTTGGGGGTGGATCCCTCAGGAATGGTTCAGCACCATGGTGATGAGTGAGTTCTTGCTCAATTCATGCAAGATCTGATTGTTTAAAAGTCTGGGACCTTCCACTCCTCCCTCTCTTGCTCTCACCATGTGGTTTGCCTACTCCCCGTTCACCTTCTGCCATGATTGGAAGCTTCCTGAGGCCTCTGCAGAAGCCAAACGGATGCCAGCACTATGCTTCTTGTACAGCCTGCAGCACCGTAAGCCAATTAAACCTCACCTCTTCTCATTATAAGTTATCCAGTCTCAGGTATTTTCTTACAGCAATGCAAAAACTAATACGCCAGTTTAAACTGAAATTGAAACTGTTATTTTAAAACATCATGTAGGAAAATTTTAATATAAATGTTAAGAGAAAAACTCTCTTTTCATTCTAATAAAACTCCTTAGTATATGTTTATTATTTAAAAGTAATCTGTATCGGCAGGGCGTGGTGGCTCACGCCTGTAATCCCAGCACTTTGGGAGGCTGAGGTGGGTGGATTACAAGGTCAGGAGTTTGAGACCAAGATGGTGAAACCCCATCTCTACTAAAAATAAAAAAAAATTAGCCAGGCATGTTGGCAGGCGCCTGTAATCCCAGCTACTTGGGAGGCTGAGGCAGGAGAATCGCTTGAACCCAGGAGGCACAGGTTGCAGTGAGCCGAGATCACGCCACTGTATTCTAGCCTGGGTGAGAAAGTGAGACTCTGTCTCAAAAAAAAAAAAAAAAAAAAAAAGTATTCTGTATCAGGGAGAAAAAGTAAAAAAATAACGTCTATTTTCTTTGTCTTTGATGGCACATTCTTGGGTCTTATTAGACTGATATCAGACTCATAAACTGTGTCACTCCCAGTATAAAAGAGACAAAACTATAAACTTCCTGGAAATAAATTAAAGAAGTAGTTCCTAAATAAAGAAAACCACAGCATTTTATTAAAGTTCATAAAATGAGACCTGAATAAATGGAGAGGCAAACTATGTTCCTTGATGAGAAGACATAATGTCATAAATATGTCAGAGCTCTTTCTGAACTCATTTGTAAATCTGATGGCGTTCCAGTCAGAATTCTAGTGATCTAGTGATTTGCATTTTTATTTGGACCTGGGCAAAATGAGTTTTAACTCCACATAGGAGAAAAAACAAGAGAAATGTGATAGAGGAGACTAGTGAGGGGCACTTGCCTTAGCAGATATTTAACTACAGAGAAGCCGGCTCCCAGAAGAAGCAATGCTCACAGGGCACAGACACATCAAAAGATGCTCTGCCTCAGCCAAAGTCAGAGAAAGAAAAACTGAAACAAGATGGTTGTCAAATTTTAAAAATTAAAATAAATGGTAAAACCTAGCGCTAGCAAAGACGAATAATGGGAAATGTCAGATAGTATTGGTGGGTGTGTAAGCTGCTATAATTGTGTGGAAAAGGAATATATCAAGAGGTATTATAATTAAAAGTGTGACAACTCCTTGACCCAGTAATCCCCCTTCAGAAATCCATCTAAACAAAAGCCCCAGTACATAATGACATGTACAAATAGATGTTCATGAAAGCGTTCTTTGTCATGACACACAGCTGATAATAATCCATGTGTCCACCAACATAGGAAAGGTTAAATAATTATGGTTCATCCAGAGGGCAGAAGGTCACCCACCAAACATGAAGTGAAAGTCAATGTACTGAAGTAGAAAGAGGCCCAAGAAACAGGCCGGGTGCGGTGGCTCACGCCTGTAATTCCAGCACTTTGGAAGGCTGAGGCAGGTGGATCACCTGAGGTCAGGAGTTCAAGACCAGCCTAACCAACATGGTGAAACCCCGTCTCTACTAAAAATACAAAGATTAGCCTGGCCTGGTTGCATGCGCCTGTAATCCCAGCTACTTGGGAAGCTGAGGCAGGAGAATTGCTTGAACCTGGGAGGTGGAGGTTGCAGTGAGCCAAGATAGCGCCATTGCACTCCAGCCTGGGCAACAGAGCAAGACTCCATCTCAAAAAAAGAAAAAAAGAAAGAGGCCCAAGAAACAGTGTTAAGTAGAAGTAAGTTGCAAGTCAAGCAATATAAAATATTCTCATTCTGTTAAAAACATAAAAAAAGACCCTAAAAAATGTGTGAGTATATTTGTATGAGCAGAGATATAGCTAGAGACTGACATACACCAAGCTGTTCATCCTGGTTATTTTAGGAGAAGTGGGATTAAGAGGGGCAGGAATGGGACAATTATTAACTTGATACATTTCTGTATCATTTTACTTATGATAAAGAGCAGAGCAGATGCTACTTTTATTAATTTAAAATGAAAAAAAATGAAAGCAACTTTATCAAGGCAGACAAAATAAATGAAATGCCTAATTTTCTAGGGTGCAAAGCCAAGGAAGCACCCGGCAAAGCAAAGGCTGACAGGTCACTGGCGTGCTTTGAGTAATCACCTGTGATAGTATCTGTAAGCAGATGCCTACCTGCTCATCTCACTTGAAAAACACTGTGAATTCCAACAGTTTGAAACACAAGGCTACATACTAGGAGTTATGTGCTGGTCAAAAGACAGCCATGACGCTCCCAAACCCACACCTTTGGCCATGAGAAAAGAGGAACCTTCTCCCTGTTGGACTCACTTTCCTATTAGTGCTGGTTTAAGCCCTTCATGACCTACTTCCCTTTTTTGGACTTCAGCACCTAAATCATGATTGGTTTACAAATAGGTGAAACAATTCTAACAGTCTGATTACAGCATGAAGGCATTGAGTCCAGTCTGCTGGGTCCAAGAAGGCTTCTTGGAGCCCTAGAAGCTTACCAGGACTATCAGTGCTGCCCTTGTTAGAACTCTAAGTTATCAAGGCCAACCTCTGGATTTCCTGGCTGTGTTGTCTTCATCCCGACGAAATGCCAGCAGAACGGCTTCCTCTTGTCTTCTGCCCATCCTCTGAGAACAAGGTCAATTCCTTCCTCCCTCAGGAAACCTCCTTAACCTGCCTAAGCCACAGGATTGCTCCTGTCCCAGGGATTATCACTGTCATGTATTTACTCAAAGAACTACTTCATATATGCAAATATACTTCATGATTGTGATGTATCTGCCTGGCACCATCTCTTGGTTGAGGAATGTGCATGACGTGGTGGCCAAACTGTTAACTTTTTATGGCCATCACATCGTGTACATTGTTCATGAAAGAGCATGGTGCCAGGCAAATACACCACACACACTAAGTATATTTGAACATTTCTTTATATCCCCCAAAGCCTTAGAATTAGGGGCTTATATCTGATCATCAGTGACTAATTAATTGCCGTAAGGATTAGGCACTTTCGTATGACAAGTAGGAGGATGAACTCAGGAGTTGAAGATGGAAAAAGTGGTGGAGAAGGCAGTAGAAAGGCAGAGAGAAATACACAGAGAAGGACTGTCACTGTAACAAAGGCTAAGACAGAAACACAGGGGGATAGCTACACAAGTCACACAGGTTAATAATACTAACTGATCAAAATGAGTGGAAAGGGAACTTTAGAATGAAGGTATGTGGAATGCTCCCTGAGCAGCTGTGCAAAAAGGGGGAAAGAAAAAGGTGCTTCACATGCCTTAGTGCCACTTGGATTCTTTGGACATAACTACATCTAAACTTATTTGGGCCGGGCACGGTGGCTCACGCCTGTAATCCCAGCACTTTGGGAGGCCGAGGCGGGTGGATCACCTGAGCCCAGGAGTTTGAGACCAGCCTGGCTAACATAGTGAAATCCCATCTCTACAAAAATACAAAAATTAGCCAGGCATGGTGGTACGTGCCTGTAGTCCCAGCTACTCGGGAGGCTGAGGCAGGAGAATCGCTTGAACCTTGGAGGCAGAGGTTATAATGAGCCAAGATTGCGCCACTGCACTCCAGCCTGGGCGACATGAATGAAACCCTGTCTCCAAAAACAACAACAACAACAACTCAGTTAGCATATATACCATAGTATTTATTTAAGAACGTAAGAATGGTTCCAACCTCAATGTTAGAATCGTTTTACAAAGTCTGACTTTTGAGCTTCCGTATGAGTTAAATGCATTTTTTAAAAGCAAATTTAATATCCTTGCATCACATTTAGGTCCCATTCAACTATCCTAAATTCATGTTGTGCTCTCAGAATGGTGGTGATAAAAAAAAAAAAAAAAGCTAAGCTCCATTTCTAAGCTGTGTCTATCTAGAAATTTTCTAAAGTATTCAGTGTTTGGCTTGGTAACCTCTCTTTAACACTAAGGAATAAACCACAGTAAATATTTCTTTCTATTTTATTGAGAATAAAAGGGAATCTCCTAAAATTGTTTGTTAACTTTCAAGATGGCAAAGTGCAGATTTTTAAAACTGTACTTTAAGAATAAAACAATGATAATTTTGGACTTTGAGCAGTACACATTCTCTCTCTCTCTCTCTCGACAGGATCTCACTCTGTTGCCTGGCTGGAGTGCAGTGGTGCGATCTCAGCTCACTGCAACCTCCGATTCCCGGGCTCAAGTGATTATCCAGCCTCAGTCTCCCCAGTAGTTGGGATTATAGTTGCGTGTCACCATGCATGGCTAATTTTGTATTTTTAGTAGAGATTGGGTTTCACCATGTTGTCCAGGCTGGTCTCGAACTCCTGGGCTCAAGCGATCTACCCGCCTCGGCCTCCCAAAGTGCTGGGATTACAGGCGTGAGCCACCAGGCCCAGCTCACATTTTCATTTTGTGTAAAATTAATAGCTGTGACAATACAGTTTAGTCTGCTTTAAAGTAAGTCTTATGATACCTTCCAATTCCCCAATATAGAATATGATGCTTCTTCACAAGTTAAAATGCATTAAGATTTCTACTCCGCCTCCCTCCTCACATCATTCTAAAAGTACAGAACAAAAACCTTTCTCCATAATTACTTACTTCCATATGAAGATAAAAGTACACTAAACAGATAAAACACGACATAAACTACTATATCACCTAATTTTTAAACCCCTCAAACACACTTGGAACTTAAGACTAGTCCCATATGAATGTGTTCTTGGCTGATGCCAAAAATGAAGAATTAAAAGAGAAAAACACAGATCAGGGAAAAACAGGAAGTCCCAACTTTGAAAAACACTCAATCCACCTTCTATGCAAACCACAAAAAGATTAGACAAACTAAGTATTTGTTGACATTGGCTGTAAATTTTGAAAAGGGAGAGAACATTAAAATATATCTGGAGTGAGACTCAAATCACTTATTCACTGGTTCTTTTCTTTTTCTTTCTTTTTGTAAAATGTATTTTAAAGAAACTGCTCCGTGGAAACCTAAAATTATTTTCATATTCATCCCTGAGTCTCACTCTGTCGCCCAGGCTGGGGAGCAGTGGTGCGATCTCGGCTCACTGCAACCTTCGCTTCCGGGGTTCGAGCGATTCTCTTGTCTCAGCCTCCCTGAGTAGTGGGGACTATAGGCGAGCGTCACCATGCCCAGTTAATTTTTTGTATTTTTAGTAGAGACAGGGTTTTGCCATGTTGGCCAGGCTGGTCTTGAACTCCTTACCTCAAGAGATCCACCTGCCTTGGCCTCCCAAAGCACTAGAATCACAGGTATAAGCCACTATGCCCAGCCAAGATCCAACTCTTTTCACGCACCCTCCTGTGTGTATTAGGGCCTGTGCTGGGCATTTTCTCATGAGTTCTCTCACTTCATTAATCCTCCTGAAAAACCTAGCAAGGTAGAGAGTCTCAGCTCTTGTGAAGGACAAGATGACTGAGACTCATAGGGAAAAACCAATTTACCCAAGGCCATTAAGCTATTAGTGGCAATATTGGGACTTTGGCCTCTAAACCCAGCCACGTAAGCTGGAAATCACGTGGACCATCAGGCTGATATCTGAGTTTCCCCCTACCAGCTGTGTTATCTTAGGCCCCTTCGGGTGCCTGGAGAGGGATGTGAAGAACCTTAACTCTGGGGTGGGCGCATGAGCTCAGTCTGAAAGAGGTGGCCATGTTGACCCAAACTGCCTGAGATGTCATGACTCCTCGTTCAGCAGGGAGGTGAGGAACAGCAAAATGAAGAACTGTGGTAGTTGCTTGGTGATTTCCATAAAAAATGCAAAGATCTAGACTCAATGAAGTAGTTTCAAAAGCACCTTCTATACCAAGTCTGTCTGCTGCCTACCCAAGCTCCTACGGCTGTAATGAGCCTTTTCTTAGCTTCGTTTTCTTTTTATACAAATGGTTCCCTTGTTGTAAAAAAAATGCATAAAAATTGGTTTTGAATAAATCAGCCACCCCAAAGTCAGCTTTTGACTTTTGCCTAGTCAAAAGCTAAGCAAAATCAAGCCCACTTACTACTCAATATTTATCCTCATTGAATTTGACAGCTTTGGAAGGAAAGCACCCAGTGTGTGCAAAGAATGCCAGTTTTGCATTTTCAAAAGCAGCTTCCAGTGATAGCTCATGAAGTCAAAAGTCTACCCCAGCCTCTCCCTTGGGAGCCCTCCCAACTTTTACCTTCTACTCCAGCAAACCTCTGCCACGCAGGTGCTACTTGAAGGCGCTCATCCAGCAATTGCTTGGCTAAGAAGGATTTGTTCAGTACCTGTTATGTGCCTGGTACTCTACTAGGCAAGAACCATGGACCACACACAAGAGGTTTAAAAGCTGGTCCCTGCCTTCAAGGAAGTCATGATGAGAATATGGAACAGGCATAGGACAAAAATGGTGGCTCTGATTCGATCAGCAAGAGCAAGCTGCCTGTGCTGAAGATGGTGAGGGTCCTGGATCCTTTGGGACGAGGGTGGAGGGCTCTGAGGGGGTACAGGGAGTGCCAGAGCTCAGCCTGCTCTGGGCTCAAGAGAGGAACAGAGGCTGGCTCAAGGAAGCGTGCATGGAGTGGAGAGAAATTAGGTCAGGTGTCTAGAGTCGAGTCCCATTATACTGGGCAGGGGAATTGAGATTGGATATGACTGTGATAGGAAAGGCTGCAAGCTTGTGAGTGGAGGATTTATGAAGAACAATCTGGGAAGAATGTGCATAGTGGACTAGAGTGGCAAAAAACAGAGTCAGGAAACCAACTCTTGCCAGAGTGGCAGGGAAGAGGTGCTTGGTCTGGGACCCAGACTGGTGATGATGGGACAGGAGGGTGAAAGCCAACATTTATTTGGATGTGAGAACTAAGATCTGTTTCTTGTCTGCTGCCAGTGGCCCTCCTCCCCAGGTGAATCTCCCTCACAGTGGGGAATGGACCTCCTTCACCGCTCTATCTAGGCTGATGAACACTGATGAAAGGAAAGAACGATTTGGGGGTTTCTAGCTGAGGAGGCAGCTGGGTGCTGGTGAACACAGCTAAAACACTACCCAGAACTGACTACTCATCCTTGAAGTTACGTGAAATAAAAATAAAACAGGGCTGGGCACGGTGGCTCACGCCTGTAATCCTAGCACTTTGGGAGGCCGAGACAGGTGGATCACCTGAGTTCAGGAGTTCGAGACCAGCCTGGCCAACATGGTAAAACCCTGCCTCTACTAAAAATACAAAAAAATTAGCCAGATGTGGTGGCAGACACCTGTAATCCCAGCTACTCGGGAGGCTGAGGCAGGAGAATCGCTTGAACCTGGGAGTTGCAGGTTGCAGTGAGCCGAGATTATGCCACCACACTCCAGCCTGGGCAACAAGAGAGAAACTCCATCATATATATATATAAAAATATATATATATATAAATATATATATATAAATATATATATATAAAAATATATATATAAATATATATAAAATATATATAAATATATAAAAATATATATATAAATATTTATTTATTTATATATTATATATATAAATAAAACAACACTTAGTTACAACAAAGCCTAAAATAAAAGAGAGGTGGACACTCTTACCAAAGTTTAAGGAGGGAGGGATGCGTCAGCAGAGCCAGGCTGCCTTGGACTTGGTCTGCTTTGACCCTGACATCTAAGGGTTCTGGGGCTGGAAAGAGGCCCACAGAGACACTCTGGGCTGCTGAAGACCCAGCGAGGACTCACCTCTGCCACTCAGTCATAGCCAAAGACCTAACCCCTAAATGTTCCTCAGCCATGGTGGCTTTGCCCAGTAGCTCTTGGGTATTTCTCTAATTCCCAGGAGCTGTGCCCACGTTAAACTGGCAGTGTGGTGAGGACTGCAGGGGATCAGAGGCAGTGAGACCACCGGACACCTGGTGGCCAGTTCTCTGGTGGAGCAGCAAGGTAAGTGGTAAGGGGCTGAGTAACGGGAGATGAACCAGGGTGAAGAGGCAGAATAAACAGGCAAAGGACAAGCAGCCAGGCCGGGAGTCTTGCAGGAATGGTGGCTGCAAATCTCAATGGTGCTGTTCTCGCCTTCACTGCTGCAGCTCCTCTTGCCTTGGAGAAACCCAGTCCCAAGTGAGTTTGTCCTGGAAGTTTGCAAGTGACACCTAATGGCCCAGCCAGCTGTGTGGCCTTGCGGGGGCAGTAAGTGAGGCCCTGGCAGGAGCATTTCTCTGCCTTGTTTGCTCTCTCGTGGGGCAGTAAATCCTCTCCCTCTTCATTTGCTATCACTGCATTTCTGTGTGGCTGACTATTGAACAATGAATGGGGCGACCGCCCACTGGGAGAAAAATGTTTTTCTCTAAGTAGAAGAAGTAATGCTATCCACTGATCCATTCTGGCCTGCAAAGCAAATGTGTTTGCTAAGCCAACACTTATCTGATGGCGAACTTTTGTTGGGATAAACAGAAATATCACTAAGATCTCTTTACACTGGTGAGAACCAAACCTCGTAGGACGTAGACAGAGTCAATGCAACTAACTGCATGGCTGTATTCTCCAGGAAGTCCTAACAGCTTTGGGCAATAAGGCATTGTTGGGAAGTGTACTGGGAAAGCCAGCCTATTCTAGAGCAGCAGAGCCTATTTTCAAAGGACAGTTATTTTAGCCACAGAGGAGACCTGGAAAAAGCTGAATTTCTCATGCTGGAACTATACCCTGCAGCTTCCTGTGTGCCCAGCACTGACTGTGAATCCATGATGTAACTATAGTGGGGACCACAGAAAGGAGGCAGGTGAAGTGCAGAGAGGGGCCCTGGCCGTGAACGTGGGCTAAAGACAGCTCGGGGAGCACAGGGAGCATGTGTAAGAGGCTCTGGGGATGTTCCATTGAATGCCTCTTCTCTCCCTCTCCTATCTTCTTTCGTATCCTAATTATCTAATAGTTGTACTACCACAGAAAATCCTTTTGCTTACTGTTGGATCACAGTCTTAAGATAAATGTCCCCAGGTTTACTAACTGCTCTAATTTGGAAATGTGCTGTGGTGAAAAGCTGAATCCCAAAGGCAGATCATTTCTTCCAGTACTGTTCAATTATTTTTCCCACAGAGGTGACAAACTTCAGAAGCAGATGAGAGAGCTTGCTGCAAGTCATATAAGAAGCTTGCTCCTGAACAGATGGGGCCTTGAGACTGGTAAACCAACATGTGGAACTGACTAGTTGTTTTGCTTCCTGAATGATGTTAGGGTTGCACTGAGTGCTGCATTGCCCTTTGAAGAAATATATACGGCATTTGCTGCTGCACAAGGTGAGGCAATGAAAACGGAATTCCGTTGGTGCTTTGGAAGGCATGGTCTTGTGTTTTCCTTTGCTGTACTGTGTATGTTCTGAGATAATGGAAGTAGGAGGAGGTGGTACACAGAAACAATGTGTGCCTGGCACTACTTGTCTGAGTGACAGAAAAATGCCTGGATGCAAGTCTGGTCCAACGTGCATCCACCCACAGCATCTCACTCATCACACATCATTGCAGGCAGCTGCTCTTTTCAGAAGCTGATCCTTCAAGTGTGTGCACAGAAACATTTTCCATTTTCTTGGTGGCATGCTAATGGCAAAGCAAAATCCAGTTGCTGACTTGGAGCCATTACCACCAGCCATGAAAAGGTAGTCAGCAAAAAGAGAGTGGAAAAAATTTATCTTCAACAATGGTGGTAAAATCCAATTGTGACCTACTAAACAATGGTGTTTATTACTTGAACAGTGAACATTTTCTGCATTTGGAAAAAAAATAGATGCAGCTTTTATTCTGAACTAGAGAGATCCCTACAATAATACGTTGTGGTTCTTAAACTCATCTTAAGTTAAAATAATCCCCAAATCATGTGCAATTGATTGATAGGATGTAAAAAACCAAGAAGAAAAAATTCTGGACTCCTTCAGCAAACCTTCACCCTTTTCAAATGAGAACTATATAAAGGATGCTGCAAAAGCAGATTAAAAGCTGGGTGTGGTGGCTCACGCCTGTAATCCCAGCACTTTGGGAGGCAAAGGCAGGTGGATCACTTGAGGCCAGGAGTTTAAGACCAGCCTGGCCAACATGGCGAAACCCCATTTTTAGTCTCTACTAAAAATACGAAACAAATTAGTCGGCGTGGTGGCACATATCTGTAATCCCAGCTACTCGGGAGGCTGAAGCACAAGGATCAGTTGAACCTGGGAGGTGGAAGTTACAGTGAGCCAAGAATACACCACTGCACTCCATCCTGGGTGACAGAGTGAGACTGTGTCTCAAAAAAAAAAAAAAGCAGATTATAGCCCAACATATATAAAAGCGAATATCCTAAGATAAGCCCTGAGACCGTGAGGCTGGTTAATTATTCCTTTTGCAATGTGACACCTTATTAGTGTCCTGTTTGGAGCCTTTAACAGTTAAAATTATTTTGAACATATTTTCCTTCCCAATTGTCAGACTAGATCTTAGCTGAAAAAATTCTTTTCGACGTGATATTTTTACAAAGAAATTTGTATCTGTGCCTTTTGGGTACAGGCATATTCAGACCTTGTTTTATTGAGCTTCATTTTCTTGTGCATTGCAAATGTGTTTTTTTTTTTAATGTAGAAAAGCAATTTATTCCATTTTAAGCACTTACACAGTTAGTCATGGAGAGTAATAGGCCTGCTGGTGAAACAGGTCACCCAAAATGGAGATGGCATCAAACTAGTGGTCAAGGACAAACTCCTAAAAAAAAAGCAACTCTTATCAAGGATTAATTTAATTTTTAAAACAAATACAATTTATCGATTCACTCTTCTCAACTTGACAATCTACCTGTGGTATACCTGTCAGGTAAAAACATACATCTTTACAACTTGGCGGTCCCAAGTTAAAAAAAAAAAACACACACCAACAAAAAAAAAAAAAACACCATTTCACAGACAGGAAATAAACAACATGAAAACAGCTCAAGAAATACACTAACGAGCAAAAATATATGAATATATGGGGAAAGAGGAACGTGCTGTTTTGACTTAACTGAAGAAACCAAGAGGAAACTGGTCTACGTATGAAAATGTGCATCCTGGAAACTCAGGTGTCGAGATTTTCGAGTAGGAATCTATATGACTTGAATCTCCCCTATTTCCTGAATAAAAGTGACATCTTTCAGTATTTATACTTCATGGCTCAGACACCTACCTCATTTGGCTCTATTCTCCTTACTCACTCTAGCCTTTACTTAAATGAGTCCAAAAAACTTGGGGATATAGCATAAGAAGAAAAATAATCACACATAATATTCCCCTTTCTGTAGCTACTTTAGACCTGGGTTACTAGAAAATTCCTGAAGAAAATTTCAACATAACTCTGTAGCTTTGTTGAATCAAGCCCCCCATTAATATTTAGAAAACACCCACTGTTTGGGCTAATAGCATTATCGGTGGTACCTATTATATAGAGGGATAGCTGAATAAAATCTGTCTCAGAACCAGTGTTAAATCACTCTCGGGGTTGAGAAGAAAAAAGGGGAGTCTAAAATCACAAGAAGTAAAGACATATTTAGGACCCTTGTCCTTCTGGATCCATGCTTCCTTCAGGGTCTTCATCATTATAAATGTTCTCTGCCATTTGCCACACTTGCATGATATTGTCTTCCGATACAGAACACATCACTCAAGGTTCACTGGGATTCCAGGAGAAATCAGGTATCTTGGCAGTGTGACCACCATGAATAAACAACAACTCTGGTGGCCTGTCTTCTGCATCTTCTGGGGATTGTTCCTCTCCAATTTTACTTAAATCCTAGACATTCGGTCTGTGATCAGTACCACTGGAAGCTAAAATAGTCTCATTGTGAGGTGACCACTGAACCTGGAATATTTCATCCTTATGTGACTCAAAGGAATGCAACTTAAGTTTCAGATTTCTCAGATCCCACAAGGCAACAGTCTTGTCAGCTGATCCTGTGGCAAGAATGAACTCACTATAAGGACTGAAAGAAAGGCAGTTCACTTCAGCAGTGTGAGTGTCAACTGAGTGGCTTGGTTTGGAAGTATTGTTTGAACGAGTATCCCAAATCATCAGTTTCTGATCATCAGCAACTGACCCAAACAGAGACTCACAGAGTAGATGCCAGGAAACATCTTCTACTATTGCCGTATGCCCTGTAAAGATGGTCTTCGCATCTACCACTTTTCCCTCCTTTGGAACGGCACTGATGTCCCACAGGCAGATGGTGTGGTCATCTGAAGCACTAAGTAAGTGCCCACTGAGATTTAGGTTCCAAGAAAGCCCATAGCCTTCCTTCTGATGTCCACGGAGACGCAAGTCTGGGTTGCATTCTCCAGAAGGATCTGGTTTAGAAGGATGTTTTGTATAGTCAAAGACAAGAATATCACTGGAAGGAGTCTTTGTTGTGATGATACAAGGGTTCTGGGGCATATAACGGGCCCTGTTTACTTTTCCTTCATGGTTGATCTTGATTTCTATTTCAATTTTTCCACTAACTGAACCAAAACCTCCAAATTCTCCTTTCTCTCTGTCGTAGTGTGATGCATCAAACTGAGCATCATCATCAGGCAGCTGCACACTGGCTATAACAAGATGGTTTTGTTCATCCGATGTGTGTGTCCCCAGGACAAGTCGATGAAGGCTGAAATCTTTCCCTTCTGGTCTGGTTACATCTGGAAGCCACTGGGCAGTTAGGCTGGGCCACTCCAGAGCATGGGTCATCACCAAATTATAAAGAAAAGGGGTGTTCTTTTTCCATATTTTGTATTCCTTGTTGATCACTCATTCTTCCACTGTGTTGTCAAAGGCTGCTTCCTTGTCGGCCATGGCGGGCAGGCGAGCCGGGGGAATCCTGGGGTCGAGCGTTGTGGGAGGGGCAGGGAGGCTGCAGGCGTTCGCTCTGCGCACGCGGTCTCTATTTTTTTTTTTAATTAACAAATTGAAGGTTTGTGGCAACCCTGTGTCAAGCAAGTCTATTGGCACCATTTTTTCCAAAAGCACATGCTCACTCTCTGTCTCTTTGTGTCACATTTTGGTAACTCTCGCAATATTTCAAACTTTTTCATTATTATTATATCTGATATGGTGATGTGTGATAGGTGATCTTTAATGTGACTATTTTAATTGTTTTGGGACACCACAAACTGCACCCATATTAGATGGCAAACTTAATAAATGTGTGTGTCCTGACTGCTCTATCCACTGGTCTTTCCCTTCTCCCTTGCCTCCAGGCCTCCCTGTTACCTGAAACAAAACAATACTGAAATTGGGCCAATTAATAACCCTACAATGGCCTCTAACTATTCAAGTGAAAGGAACAGTCACACCTCTCTCTTGGTAAATCAACAGCATTGCTTAGTGAGGAAGGCTTGCTACCAGCTCAGGCCAAGAAAGCTAGGCTTCCTCTATCAGTTAGCCAAGTTGTGCATGTAGAGGGAAAGTTCTTAAAGGAAATTAAAAAATGTTACTTGAGTGGATACAAGAATAATAAGAAAGTGCAACAGCCTTATTGCTGATACGGAGAAAGTTTGAGTGGTCTGGAAAGAAGATCAAACCACCCACAACATTCCCTTAAGCAAAAGCCTAATCCAGGGCAAGGCTCTCACTCTTGAATTCCATGAATGCTGGGAGAGGTAAGGAAGTTGCAGAAGAAAAGCTGGAAGCTAACAGAGGTTGGTTCATGGGGTTTCAGGAAAGAATCTGTCTCCAAAATACAAAAGTACAAGGTAAAGCAGCAAGTGCTTATGTAGGAGCTGCAGCAACTTATCCAGAAGATCTAGCTAAGATCACTAATGAAGGTGGCTACATTATACAACAGATTTTCAAGGTAGACAAAACAGTCTTTTATTGGAAGAAGGTGTCATCTAGGACTTTCACAGCTAGAAAAGAGAGGTAAATGTCTGGCTTCAAAGTTGCAAAGGACAGGCTGATTCTCTTGTTAGGGGCTAATGCAGGTGGCGAACTTAAGCTGACGCCAATGCTCATTTACCATTCAGAAAGTCCTCAGGTCCTTAAGAATTATGCTGAGTTTACTCTGCCTGTGTTACAGCAAAGCCCGGATGACAGCACATCTGTATACAGCATGGCTTACTGAAAATATTTTAAGCCCACTGCTGAGACCTACTGCTCAGAAAAAAGATTTCTTTCAAATATTACTGCTCATTGACAATGCACCTGGTCACCGAAGAGCTCTGATGGAGAGGTACGAGGAGATTTATGTTGTTTTCATGACTGCTAACACAACATCCATTCTGCGGTCCACGGATCAAGGAGTAATTTCTACTTTCAAGTCTTACTATTTAAGAAATACATTTCATAAGGCTATAGCTGCCATAGACAGTGATTCCACTGATGGATCTGGGCAAAGGATAGTGAAAACCTTCTGGAAAGAAGTCACCATTCTAGATGCCATTAAGAGAACATTCCTGACTCATGGGAGGAGGTAAAACTATCCACATTAACAGTCGTTTGGAAGAAGTTGATTTCAACCCTCATGGATGACTTTGAGGGGTTCAAGACCTTAGTGGGGAAGGTAACTGCAGATGTGGTAGAAATAGCAAGAGAACTAGAGTTAGAAGTAGAGCATGAAGACAGGACTGAATTGCTGTAATCTCATGATCAAACTTCAATAGATGAGGAGCTGCTTCTTACGGATAAGCAAATAAAGTGTTTGAGATGAAATCTATACCTGGTGAAGATGCTGTGAACATTGTTGAAGTGACAACAAATGACTTAGAATATTACATAAGCTTAGTGGATAAAGCAAAAGCAGAGTTTGAGAGGATTGATTTCAGTTTTGAAAGAAGTTCTACTGTGAGTAAAATGCTATCAAACAGCATTTCATGCTACAGACAAATCTTTCATGAAAGGAAGAGTCAACTGATGTGGCAAACTTCATTCCTGTCTTATTTTAAGAAATTGCTACAACCTGCCCAACCTTCAGGAACCACCACCCTGATCAGCCAGCAGCCATCAATACAGAAGCAAGATCCTGTATCCACAAAATGATTACAACTCTTTGAAAGCTCAGATGATCGTTAGCATTTTTTAGCAATGGAGTATCTTTTATTTAAGGTATATACACTGTTTTTTAAGTCCTAATACATTGCACACTTAATTGACTATAGTATAGAGCAAATATAACATTTTTTTTCTTTTTTTTTTTTTTTTTGAGACAGGGTCTTGCTCCTTTGCCCAGGTTGGAGTACAGTGATGTGAACATGGCTCACTGCAGCCTTGACCTCCTGGGCTCAAGCAATCCTCCCACCTCAGCCTCGGGTAGCTGGGACCACAGACATGCTACCACCATACCTGGCTAGTTATTTTATTTTTTGTAAAGATGAGGTCTTGGCATGATGCCCAGGCTGATCTCAAACTCCTGGGCTCAAGCAATCCTCCTGCCTCAGCCTCCCAAAGGGGTAGGCTTATAGGTGTGAGCTACCACACCCAGCCCAAACGTAACTTTTATATGCATTGGAAAACCAAAAAGTGTGTGTCACTTGCTTTCATGTGGAATTTGCTTCATTGTGGTGGTCTGGAACCGAAGCCGCAATAGCTCCAAGGGATGCCTATATAATTTGATGTACATATCTTGGAAGATTTAACAGAATTATTGGATCAAAAGGTTTCTTACCTGATTGTTTTAGTTGTCTCTTATCTTTACATAGAACCCTATTAGATGCCTTCTTGATCTTTAAGTCCTTAAATTCCCTATGACCTCCCTAAAAACAAATCCCACTGCTTCCAATCCTTTCCCAGTGCCTATCCTGATGATTACCAACACTCATTCTAAAACAGTGTAGGTTTGGAAATGGACAAGCTAATGCTATGTTACTGAAAGTATACTCTAAGGAACACTATTTCTTCCAGATGTTAATAGGTGCTGTGTATAAAAAACTCTTTATATTGAAATGACTCTAGAAAACAAAATTAAACTCTTTCTCTTTTTTAGCTATAGAATTTCTCAAAGACTTTGTCAATGTATGCTAAAAATCTCCAAAGGGACAGTGGCATTACAGAACTTAACAAATGTTTTTGCCTACAGAACCTTGCTTTTGAGGTTCATGTTACAAAGTCCTCCATAGGACATTTTGAGAAATGCTGCCATGACATCACCTCTACTGTGACATGAAGCGGGGTGTGGGTAAGTGGATCCAACAGGAAAACAAGAAAACAGAATGTCTGTGTAGTCCTTGAAAGCTCAGCTCTTGACTTTCACCTGTCTTCTCATTCTACATATTCCCTAAGACATCAGTGTGTCATGAAAACAATTTAGAACATTACAACCAACAATTTTTATAAACAGAATAGAAAAATGCCATCATGCATGCAGTGGGGATACATCTGTTGTAGGAGTGTGTGTGCACTAACATGTCTGTAGACTAGGCTGCAGGACAGGATGCATTTCCTACTGTGCATTGCTGGCAGCTGTTTCCTCTGGAGATCTCTCATCTACTCCTGCAGTTTCAATTCCTTTCTTCCTGTCGACAGTGCCAACACCGGGTCAATGTTCCTACCTGAGACTTCTCTCCTTGGCCTGAAATAGGCAAAGTCAACTGCCCACCAGCTAGTGCTTGTTGGGTGGCTGGCAGGTGCTTCAATCTCAGTGCGTTCAGAAATGAATTCATCATTTAGTCCCTGACACTCCACAAGGCTGTTCCTTCAATGCTCCATTTCTTAATGGCTCTTCTCACCGAGACTTGGCATTATCTCTGATGCTTCTCTCTCCCCTATTCCTCCATTTTCAATCAATCACCTTGTCCAGTTGATTCTGTCTCCTATGTATCAATTATATCCATCTATCACTTCCCAGACCCACCGCCTAGTGCAGACCAGTATTACTTCTCATGGAGTTTGCTGAATCCCTATTACTACTTGATCTCTCTTGACCTTATCGTTGTCCCCTCGAGTCCATTTTGCTTCACAGATGGAGGGACCTCTGAAGATGCGGCTCTGACCCTGTCTCTCCTCCACAGCTTCCCATCACCCCTTGGCCAAATCTCTGTCTCCTTAGTTTTTCTTCTAAGGCCCTCCATGGTCTGGTCCCTCACCTCCTCTTCTCCATTCTAGATTCCAGACACAAGGCGTCTCCTTGAGAGCTACAGATTCTTCCCTCCCCCTCAGCCATCCCATTCTCCCTCCCACCTGCCTCCCCCTGGCTGCTCCTACACATCCCTCGTCTCAATGTCAGCTCCTCTGAAGCCTTTCTCTGATCCCTGGGCTGGGTTAGCTCCCCACCCCCGTTCCTTCTCCCATAGCATGTAAGCTGCCCATCATGATCCAATCATGGCTTACTGAATTACTTGGCACAGAGTAGGTGCTCAATAAAGACTTGTTGAATGGGAGCATGACTCTCACCCATCTTCAAGCAGGGATGTTAAATTAACCAACTTGTTGGCTCTGGAACCAACTTGCAGAGTGATGTCTGATAAATACTGTAATCCTCTAGCTTGGCATCTTCCATACCGTGAATTGCTATCCACAGTGGGTCATGAAATCAGTTTGATAGGTCACATCCAGCATGTAAGTATATTTTAGTTGTTTAAATGTTGGTGTGTGCATACTGGGCTGCAATGAAAGAACTATTACTGTGTCAGGTGGTGGAAAAGTTTGAAAGCCCCTCCTGCAAATCTGTTTCCTTAGATATGGGCTGAAGGCCATGGACTTCTCTAAAGGTCTTTTAGTCTCTATCTCTTTTTTATTTTAATTTGTTTATTTATTTTTTGAGAAAAAGTGTTGCTCTGTTGCCCGGGCTGGAGTGCAGTGGTGCGATCTCAGCTCACCACAACCTCCACCTCCTGGGTTCAAGCAATTCTTTTGCCTCAGCCTCCTGAGTAGCTGGGACTACAGGCACGCACCACCACTCCCAACTAATTTTTGTGTTTTTGGTAGACATGGGGTTTCGCCATCTTGGCCAGGCTGGTCTCAAACTCCTGATCTCAAGTGATCCACCTGCCTCAGCCTCCCAAAGTACTGGGATTACAGGCATAAGCCACCATGCCCAGCTGCTATCTCTTTTTTAATTTTTATTTTCCTCTTTTGCCTTACATTTTTACATTTTACACTTCTTCTTCTTCTATACTCCCTTGATCTTAGTAAAATCAAGGTCTCAGTTCACTCCGTGATCTTGGCGATATGCAGATCTAGCCCCTCTCCAGCCAAGTGCTCTTTCCTGAGCTCCTCACATGACATCTCTCATTCTACATGTCTAAAACCAACAACAGCAACCATAACTATCATGTGTTACTGGCAAGGAATGTGGGAACAGCTTTATCATTTGGTCCTGTGATCACCTTACATAGCAAATTCTATTAGTTCTCTACCCCCAACTTTGTTTTTTTAGACAGAGTTTCACTCTTGTTGCCCAGGCTGGAGTGCAACGGCGCGGTATCTGCTCACTGCAACCTCCGCCTCCTGGGTTCAAGTGATTCTCCTGCCTCAGCCTCCCTAGTAGCTGGGATTACAGGTGCGTGCCACCATGCCTGGCTAATTTTTGTATTGTTAGTAGAGACGGGGTTTCACCATGTTGGCCAGGCTGGTCTCGAACTTCTGACCTCAGGTGATCCACCCGCTTCAGCCTCCCAAAGTGCTGGGATTATAGATGTGAGCCACCATGCCCAGCTAGTTCTCCTTTTCTACAGAGACGAAGGAACGGAGGCAGAGAGAATTTCATTACTCACCCCAGGTCACACAGTGAGTGCCCATCTGAAACCTGGTCTGCAATGTATGTCCCCAGCTCTGCGCCTCCGTCTTCGGAGCAGCCCTCCCACCACACCATAATGGGTCACTTGTGTCCCTCAGTTGACAACTGAAAGTTCCAGGTATGCAGGCATCCTCTTTCCTTTGTGCTCCCTGCACCCAGAACAATTCTAGGCCCCAAATAAGTAGTGTTGAACGGCAGAATGAATGAATGACTGTGTCAAAGTCCATGACTGATTGGCAGGTAATAGGCTGGGAGAGTCTGTGTCTACTTTACGCTTACTTTGTTTCTTCTGTAAAAATAATGTGATTGTCAGTGATGGACTGAAAACTGTTGTTGGAGTCTCACAGGGGCTGAAAATAGAATAAAATGTTGTGAAACCCCTGCTGACTTCTCTAATTAAGGTATACTCTTGCTAGGTTTACACCTAGAGTTGAGGAAATGGATACTTTCTATGTTTTTTGAACAGAGAAATAAAGACTCTATCAGCGCTCACTGGCATTTCAAACAGGGTGAGACTGGATGGGGAATCCCCAGGCATAGGATTTGGTTCTTTCTCTGGCACATCTGGCTTTGGGATATTAGAGTAATCACTGGGACGTCTTGTGTGAGTCTGATGGCCTCTAAGGTCCTCCAACGACGTGATTCTCAATGTATTTGTATGGCAGCTTGAGGTAGCTAGAGATGACCAAGGTTTGACTCTACCTTTTCTTGCTGTGACGGTTAATACTGAGTGTCAACTTAATTGGATTGAAGGATACAAAGTACTGATTTTTGATGTGTCTGCGAGGGTGTTGCTGAAAGAGATGAACATTTGAGTCAGTGGGCTGGGGAAGGCAGACCCACCCTTAATCTGGTGGGCACAATCTAATCAGCTGCCAGCGAATATAAAGCAGGCAGAAAAATATGAAAAGGAGAGACTGGCCTAGCCTCCCAGCCTACATCTTTCTCCCATGCTGGATGCTTCCTGCCCTCGAACATCAGACTCCAAGTTCTTCAGTTTTGGGACTCGGACTGGCTCTCCTTGCTCCTCAGCTGGCAGATGGCCTATTGCAGAACTTTGTGATCGTGTAAGTTAATACTTAATAAACTCCCCTATATATATGTGTGTATGTGTATATATACGTGTGTGTGTGTGTGTGTGTGTATCCTATAAACATATATATGTGTGTGTGTATATATATATGTACACACACATATATGTTTATAGGATACACACACACACACACACACACGTATATATACACATACACACATATATATATCTCTCCTATCAGTTCTGTCCCTCTAAGAGAAACCTGACTAATACACTTGCTTTAGGTGTTTATTCTAAGGTATCTTTTTTATATGAAACTTGCCTTATTTTTCTTAGTTACCTTGTTGTTGTCCACAGACCCAATCCATACATTTCTTTCCCTGTTAGACAGTAGCTCACACTGATTACCTGACACAATGTTATTAAAGTTGGATGCCTAACGGCCCTGCAGATGGTTCCAACCCACTGCAGAGACATTCACCTTCCCTTGCCACTCGAGGGTATGACCAGTCTCACACTGGAGAGCATGCACTGCTGCTGCCTCGATAAAGCCGGACTCCTGGCCTCACCAGGTGTCACTCAAAGGGCCATTTCGACTGTGCTTCGAAGTCTGTGCTTCTAACTCCTCTGCTTAGCAACGAAGGAGGTGTTTTGAGGCGATACATATAACATTAACAGGGAACTTCTGATTTATTCACAATTGAGATAGGAAGACAAGATAACTGTGTAAAACTTGTGCACATAAGGAGACATGGAGCAATAATACAACTCAGGTGCAACTGTGCAAGAATAATTTTCAATTCTTCCACCCTTCTGCCACTTCAACACATTTGTTCTGGAAAACACTAAAGGTACAGACTGCCTAATTCAATAGCTGTTGAATAAAGCAAAAACATTAATCAGTTAAAGAGAATTATCTCCTATGCAGCAGCTCTTGCCCCTCACGACCTGCACCACCCTCAACCCCCCAAAAAAACTCGAAACATCTCAACATAAAACACATTTGGGTGGGTAAAAAAAAAAAATACCCAATCCATAGAAGCCTACTGCTTAGTCAGGACTAAAACAACAGACTTTAATGCTTTAAATGGAATGTTGACCACAATTTCAATAATTGCCACTTAATAATTATCTTGGAGTCCAACAGAACCCTCCCTGCATGGCAGTCTCTGATGAGTGTTTGCTATTTTATCCCCATTCACACTACAAACCCTTTTTCTAGGTGGTCAGGGGAGTGGCTGTGGCTGTGGCTGTAGCTGTGGCAGGAGGTCACGCTCCTCCTGCTCAAAGGGCAGGGGTGACTGTGGACCATCAGGAGAAGAGCAGGCGAGTTCCTGTGTGTGTTGTTCTTGGAGGCCCTTCTAATGGGAACCGGCTGCGGCAGCTCTTCTATTACGTGTGATCTGTCCTTAGGCGTCATCAGTTTTAACTGTCCTCTTGTGACCTCTTGTAAATATAAAAAGGAGATGGCTGGGAAAGACACAATGAATCTCTGAACTGATGCCTATGCAGTCACAAAGGAGAAACACGGCATGCAGTGTCTGCCCTGGAGAATCTCTGCTTCAGAAAGCCCACTTCATTTTAGGTATAAAATGAATTATCCACATTCTGAACAATAGTAGTTGTCAAAAGTTCAGAAAATATAGTTCTAATTTTTAAACTCATTTTTAAAGTTTTAATCTCACATGATCAAATGTTTCTTTTGTCTCTTTCTTCCTGACCAAGCATTAAACTAACTGCCACAAAGAGTCCTAGCTAATCAGTTATAGTTACAGATTGTCCTGTGTGGTCTGCCATGATATTTCTTTTTTTTTTTTTTTTTTTGAGGTAGGGCCTCGCTCTGTCTCCCAGGCTGGAGTGCAGTAGCATGATCTCAGCTCATTGAAACCTCCACCTCCCGGGCTCAAGTGATCCTCCTACCTCCGCCTCCCGAGTAGCTGGGACTATAGGCACACACCACCATGCCTGGCTAATTTTTGCATTTTTGGTAGAGAGGGGGTTTCACCACGTTGGCCAGGCTGGTCTTGAACTCCTGAGCTCAGATGATCCACCCGCCTTGGCCTCCCAAAGTGCTGGGATTATAGGCATGAGCCACGGCACCCAGGCTGCCATGATATTCCTTACAGTGTTGTGGAGTCAGCACAGTGAGTTTGTAAGGGCTTAAGAATTCTGATACTTCTTGAGCATGTCTTCCTAGGTACCGATCCTTAACCTGAACTGCTGTGAGAACGGTAAACCTATTAAAATGCAATGTTTGTATGCATCATTTTACAAGCACCTGCACTACTGACACCTGTCTTAGATTATAAATCTCTGAGAGGCAGACACTGTGTCCCCCTATAGTAAGTCTATATGTCAGCAAAGTGGCAAATACAAGGGGAGTGATTTGAGGAGATGTGTAAATATCACAGGGCTACAATCCCAACCTGACATCACTGGGTTCAAGTCAAGGAGGTCTGAGTCACAGAGTTCTAGAACTAGATAACCTTAAACATGATCTTTTATTTTGCCCTTTGCAGCAGATGTTCCTTGGTGAGAGGTCGGGGGGGTTACTTGAATCCATTCATTTAAGATCAATTTCAGGAAAAAAGGTAAATTAGACATGTATATAACTTTAAGTCTTTCTTTCTTCATTAGCTCCTTTAAAAAATTGGAGTTAATAATTTTAGGCACCAAAATGTTATTGCTGGTCATTTATGAAATTGTTTTGCAAAGAGTAACTTTTTCCATGCTCTGAAATCAGTGCTACCTTGCACTTCCAATAAAGTTTTATTAATTTTTTTTGAAAACTGTTTTTTTAATAAACTTATACATGCCCAGTGTGTTAAACACAGAAAAGTATACAAAGGAAGGAAAAATCAGCCATATTCATACCACTCAGCAATAACTATCCACTGTGAATAGTTGAGCATATTTTCTTCCAGCATTTTTTTCTACATGTACATTTTTTTTTACACTATTGAATGTAGAGTTTGTAAATCTTATAGTGATCTTTGACCAAAAGCCATCAAGTCTAAGACTTTATAAACAGAAGATAAAGCTGTACCTTCCAAAAGAAAACACCCAATGATTTGGGGATGTCTTTTGGCTTCTGGGTAATTAAAAAATTTCCTACTCATTCTCATCACTTACATTCTGAAGTTATCTATTCAAACAACAAAGTTTAAAAAGAAAGGCCAGGTGCAGTGGCTCACACCTGTAATCCCAGCACTTTGGGAGGCTGAGGCAGGTGGATCACTTGAGCCCAGGAGTTCAAGACCAGCCTGGCCAACATGGTGAAACCCTGCCACGCCATCAGAGAAATGCAAATCAAAACCACTATGAGATATCATCTCACACCAGTTAGAATGGCAATCATTAAAAAGTTAGGAAACAACAGGTGCTGGAGAGGATGTGGAGAAATAGGAACACTTTTACACTGTTGGTGGGACTGTAAACTAGTTCAACCATTGTGGAAGTCAGTGTGGCGATTCCTCAGGGATCTAGAACTAGAAATACCATTTGACCCAGCCATCCCATTACTGGGTATATACCCAAAGGACTATAAATCATGCTGCTATAAAGACACATGCACACGTATGTTTATTGCGGCATTATTCACAATAGCAAAGACTTGGAACCAACCCAAATGTCCAACAATGATAGACTGGATTAAGAAAATGTGGCACATATACACCATGGAATACTATGCAGCCATAAAAAATGATGAGTTCATGTCCTTTGTAGGGACATGGATGAAATTGGAAACCATCATTCTCAGTAAACTATCGCAAGAACAAAAAAACCAAACACCGCATATTCTCACTCATAGGTGGGAATTGAACAATGAGATCACATGGACACAGGAAGGGGAATATCACACTCTGGGGACTGTGGTGGGGTCGGGGGAGGGGGGAGGGATAGCATTGGGAGATATACCTAATGCTAGATGACACGTTAGTGGGTGCAGCGCACCAGCATGGCACATGTATGCATATGTAACTAACCTGCACAATGTGCACATGTACCCTAAAACTTAGAGTATAATAAAAAAAAAAAAAAAAAAAAAAGAAAAAAAAAGAAATGGAAATAAGGAAAAAAAAATAAAATAAAATACAAAAATTAGCTGGGTGTGCTCATGTGTGCTGTAATCCCAGCTACTTGAAAGTCTCAGAAGGGAGGATGACTTGAGCCCAGGAAGGTGCTGCAGTGAGCCGTGATCGTGCCACTGCACTCCAACGTGGGAGACATAGTGAGACTCTGTCTCAATCAGTCAATCAATAAGTGTCATAACAGAAAGCTCTGAGTTTTTTCCACCACAGCTTTCTATTTCTTCTTGACATAAACTGTTCATGGGATGAAATGATGCCTTTCTGCAGGTATGAAATGTAGAAGCAAATATGACCTGAAAATGTTCAATTCTCACCTTTCTGCATTTCCCAGACCTTTCAGGCTAAGGCCAGGGACCACTTGAATGAGAAGCCTCCAAAGAAAACTCTGGACCCACAGGAAGTGGGGTGATGACTCAATAGGAGGGATCCTTCCTCTGAGTCAGCCCCGTCTCGGTGTGACCCTAGAGCGTGCACTGGGCTCTCAAAGCCACAACAGAATGAAGATCTGAAACCCAGATTTTGCTCACAAAGGAGCCTACACAGGAAGTTAGTTTCTGGGCGCCAGCTGAATTCAAGCCACAGACACGGACTCTGTTTGTGTTCCCTGGTGGCACTAGTGCCTGTTTTCCTGACTCTGACTTCCTGGGTCTCGGCACCACAGATAGCTTCTGCGTTTCTCTACAGGAGGGAAGAAGCAATTTCCAATTCTGAGCTTCATGAGGGAGGAGAATAACTACTATGAAAGCATAAAAACGATTGACTTTTTTTTTTTTTTGAGACAGAGTTTCACTCTTGTCACCCAGGCTGGAGTGCAGTGGCATAATCTTGGCTCACTGCAACCTCCTCCTCTTGGGCTCAAGAGATTCTCCTGCCTCAGCCTACCAAATAGCTGGGATTACAGGCGCCCGCCACCAGGCCAGCTAATTTTTCTGTATTTTTAGTAGAGGCGCGGTTTCACCATGTTGGGCAGGATGGTCTCAAACTCCTAACCTCAGGTGATCCGCCTGCCTCAGCCTCCCAAAGTGCTGGGATTACAGGAGTGAGCCACCGCACCTGGCCAAAAATTGATTGACTTTTAAAGTAGAATAACAGTGAGCATGTTTGTACATGCCTGCACTGATCACAATTAACTTTCAGTCAGTTCACAATTAACTTTCATTGATTTGGAGTTTAAAGTACCCAAGTGACATGACTAATTACAGTAACCATGAATTCAGTGCCTGGCCATTTATCCTAGCAATTTCAAGTCTCAGGAATCTCTTGCAGCATTAAGAAACCAGAGAGACAACTATATGTTTAACTTCTACCTTCTGTCCCCTGAGAAGCCACTACTCATCTTGCTTCCCTCAGGATGAACTTTCTGTTTCTATGTTTAAAAGTCTGCAAAATAAATTTAAAAAACAAACAAAAAAAGCAGACTCAGTATGAGATCAAACCTTACGAATCATTGTCAAGGTCATTTTTTACCTCTTCTATACCTAGACTACTGGGTGGGATAGTGCATTCATAAAATTCCAGATTCAATGCTCTCATTTCCATCGTGACAAAATGCTACTTTATGAAGAATTATGATTTCTACAGGGTGCTGTGGGGTGAAGAAGGAAGGGGGGGAATAAATGGACCATAAAAAGCAAAAGATAAATCATGGTCCTGCAAGTGCAGATCATGATCCCTCCAGTAGACTGCACAGCCTCCTCACTAAGTTAACCTCATTGCCCCAAGCAGCATAATGCATTCTGAACACGTTACTTTGGCTGGTAACAAAACAGTCACTCGGCTTTCAAGAGTCTCGGCTCTGCCAGTGAAACAAGCTCAGCCGCTTCATATTCCTTCATATTCCTTATTCATACACGATAAAAAGACAGTGCTGACCAATAACCACAGCACAGCGACAGGGAAGGGGGAAAAGAAGAGAAACCTGTGCGGTCTTAATAGGCACCAGGACTGTTCTCTGACCTCTCCACTGGCCACTCAGACACACACTTTCCACACGAAGCCTCCATGTGCAACTGTACGACGTCAGTGGGAGGCAGGATTGCTGGTATCAGCTAATAAAAATCCCAGTATACTGTAGGTCCTTTTGAATTGCCTGGTGGGTGCGTACTATTGGAACTAACCACTGAAGAGTATTCTGATAATGGTATACCCTGTCCCCAAGTACAAACAACCTTGTGTGATATGAAAATAACAAAAAGAATATTGAAATTCTGATGTTCAATCCACTTGATTTTTAGTTTCCTAACATTTTAACATATTTCAATTTCAGATGAAACCTCAAAACATACTTTCCTTGTAGTCTCTAGGGTCTAACTCAAAGAGGAACTTTACTGCTTTCTCTTAAGTTTCTGTTTTCTACTAAAAAAATTTCTGAGCAGTTAATCCTTTTCCAAGTAAAACAATGAAATTAGCCATGGGGGCAAGGATGTCTCATTTACCTTTTCATAAAGATTCCATGCTTGATATTATCCACCTTTATTCAGTTCTTCTACTCTTAAGCCTTCAAGGTCTGAAGACCACAGGACAAATAAATAACACCACTGTGGCTCATTAGAAGCACCTTTTAGAAGTCTGAATGTAGAAAATAATCTATCGTCCTACTTCAATTCATGGTACTATCATAGTCCATTCTTCTCTCTCTATTTATTTTCCTTTATAAAATTCTTGCTGAGCTACTTTCAATCACTGGATCCTGAAGGTAGTTGTTTCTGTATTTATCTTAAAAAAAAAAAAAAAAAAAAAAGAATAAAAGGATCCTAATAAGTTTGAAAAACTACCAAGGGAAAACAGATTTCCCTTTAAGGGTTAATGCTTTCTCAAATTAAAACCAAAACCCCAAACTTATTATTTTTTTTTTTACCAAAATATAAGTAAATTGAGTAGTCAAGTTTGGAGCAGATGTGTCTGATGGGGACCATGCTCTCAAAACCCCCTTTCTTCTGCCACCTGTTAACGCACTGGCTGCCTCCTTCACTGAGCGTTCCCCCTGTGACGAAACAGTCTCTCGTGAGGCTTCCTGATCTGGAAGCAGGTTTTGCATGGGCATTACAGAACACTTCATCCCGTAACTACATATTTTCCAGTTTTAATACCTGTAACAAACAGTTCTAGGGTTTGGGGGTGACAAAGACTCTCTTCCTTGAGCAAATCTTAATGGGCCCCTCTGAGCCCTCTTCCTTGCCCTTGAGCCCTGTCTTCAGCCTGTTTATTTGTAGCAATAATCCTACTAAGTCAGTTTAGCCAGAATCCCTGCACCCCTGATATCTGATCACCCTTGATAACTGATCAAGTTCCTTACCTTCCACCCTTGATGTCTATGTCCTTGGCCTGCCTTCAGCAAGAATCCTGTTAATAAAGTCTTCCTTACAGTTTTAGTAAGTGTCAGAATAATTTTTTTCTTTAACACAGGAAACGATCGAAAGACAATCTTTGTACTCAAGTAACTGACTGTCTATCTAGAAACAGACATTCAGTAAACCAACATAAATACAAAGCAGCCTCAAATGAGTGCTACCTACAGTAATAAAATAAGCAGAGTACTACATTTTCTTTGTATTCAATGTAATCATCCTGGTCATATTAACATATGGTTGAAGCACTTTGGGAGGTTAAGGTGGGAGGATCACTTGAAGCCAGACATTTGAGACCAGCCTGGGCAACATAGTGAAACCCTATCTCTACAAAAAATTAAAAAATAAACTGGGCATGGTGGCACATACCTGTAGTCCTAGCTACTCAGGAGGCTAAAGCAGGAGGATCACTTGGGTCCAAGAGTTCAAGGTTACAGTGAGCTATGATCAGGCCACTGCACCTCAGCCTGGGCAATAGAGAGAAATGGCTATTTAAAAAAAAAAAAGCATGGTTGAATGGGCAACCATTATTAGCAGAACCTATTTCTCAATGCAGTAAAGGTTTTGGAATGATACAGGATGGTGTTAAAGACAGGCCCATAGATACTCACAGGGTATCAGCAAAAGTACTTGCAGATTATTAATGTGAATTGTCATCTGAATGCCACAGAGAAATGTTAAGTTCCAATGGCTCTTAAAGAGTTATTTTGACCAAAGCATAAATACAGAAGAGTCACAAAAAAAAAAGGAGGAGAAAAACAAATTAAAATATGCAACAGTGTCCTCAGCTTTGTAGTGTGAAGGTGATCCTGGAAACCCCCAATGTGAAGATGATCTGTACTGACGTGTGCCACAGTGACCTTCAATGCCTGGATCCTTACTGTAGCCCCTGCCCACGGCGTCTATCAGAGGCTGAGCTTCACTGGGACCTGGCACCTAATCTGTGTCTGCCACAGCCATCAATCCAGCTCCAGCTCTACCTCTCAGCTCTCCGTTGCTTCTTGCCATTGCTCCAGCATCATCTTCTTAAAACATGGACAAGACCAAGCCACCTCCATCTTCAGAACCCATTAAGGACTCTTACCCCTACAACATGAGGCTAAACTCATGCCACAGATGATCTGTGCCATATTCTTCCAGCTTCCTCTCCCACCAATGCTCCCACATCCCATGTTCTGGCTTCCCCTGACAACTTGCCAGCCCCCAAGCATCACAGCTGCCACTTCCCCTCTCCCGGCTCAGACAGATTCCTCAGGCCAGACACTCCTCCCTCCTAATTTCCACCTTATCCCAGTTCTTCTTATTCTTCAAGGTCAAGTTCAGATGCTAACATCCTCGAGACAGCGTTCCATCTCACACACCAGAATCAATGATCCCTTTCCCAATGTTTTCATAGACAATTGCTATTCTCTGCATGACATTTTGACATTTATTTCATTCCCACATAGCTTTGTCGTTAGTTATTTATCTTTGTCTCCTCCACATAAACAACGTGAGGGCAGGAGACTGGTGTGTGTCATCAATGTATCAGTTCAGCTTCTAGCGAATAGCAGGTATTTAAAAATGTAAATAGGCTGGGTGTGGTGACACACGCCTGTAATCCCAGCACTTTGGGAGGCTGAGGCAGGAGGACTGTTTGAGCCCAGGAGCTTGAGACCAGCCTGGGCAACATACCAAGACCTTGTCTCTACAGAAAAAATGTTTTTTTAATTAGCGATGCATGGTGGTGCACATCTGTGGTCCCAGCTACTCAGGAGGCTGAGGTGGTAGGATGGCTTGAGCCTGGGAGGTTGAGGCTGCAGTGAGCCATGATTGTGCCACTGCACTCCAGCCTGGGCAATGCAGTGAGACCTTGTCTCAAAAAATTAAAATTAAAATGTAACTAAATGGACCCGGAGTGGATAAATTAAGTCAGATGCTTTTTATTTTATTTCTGCAATTCAATAGTCTGTTTCCAGCACTAAGGTGTGTCTTATGGCATTCCTCGACTCAGACTCAAGGACATACCTTGGATCAGTCCATCTTCTATCTGAGGAGGGCACACTTTCAACCTATAGCACCTCTTGGAGTCAATCTGGCTTTATCTCCCTTCCTCCTCTCTCTAAATAAAAGTTTACTTCTTTCAAATTTCACGAGTTTGGGAGCAGGGCTGCTAGTTTCAGAAAGCCAATATTTTACTAAACAAGGCCCTTTTACTTTATCCGTACTTCAAAACAGAGTTGGAATGTTTAACAGAGCGTTTGCCCTTCCAGTCTGAGGAATCCTGAGCCTTGAAGTTGGTTCTCACCCACCAGCATTGTGTCTCTGCGCTTTTGAACATGTCACCTGTCCCTCTCTGAAAATTCTGTAATTCTGTAAACTGTGTAGAATATTCTAGGTCTGTGGCTTTCTAGAAAAGTAAGTGAACATTTTGGTTCACTTTCCATATCCTCCACCTAATAATACCTACTGGGCTGTAGCAGAACCTCTGGGCTGATGTCTTCAAGAGACCACAGGCAAGTCTCCCGATTTTTCTGCATATGAGGATTTAAAAATTAATGCCCACTGTGTGGCAATGAGAGAGATTTCCCCCCAAAACCCCACTAATTAACAGGTGTCTGGGCTGCAGCTCATCTGTCTGTATGCATGTGAGTGTGTATGGATATATACTTGTGTTTGAATAACAAGAACACTGCCACTGCCTTGAAATTGTTCATTCATAGTCATTCTTGTCACCTGCAATTTTTGCTATTTTACCACTTACTTTCTCCCATCAATCATTCTAAAAATATGGATGATGTGGAGGTCCACCAGGGTTTCCAGGGAACCCCATGGTTTCTACACTTCCCCAGTGCTGTGCTAGTTATTTGCTTCTTGTGCCTAAGTCAGTTCTCATGGATGACAAAGTACTCGTTCGCCCCTACTAAGGAGTATTCTTTATGCAATAATAACCACTCCCAGGGCACCCCAGACAAATAGAAAAAGGAATGACAATGTATACATACAAAGACAGGGGCCATGAGCCACACAGACACGACCACAAGTGTCCAGGAGCACAGAGGCATTGGCCAATGTAGAGACTTAATACTGCCAAACACAAGTCAAACACGATCGGGAATTTTGCATGGCAGAGTCTAGTGACTCTTGAGGCACAGATCGAGGGCGCTGGCTAGTAAGCTAGACCAGGCCAAGGTGGGCAGGTTATTGTTGTGAATGACCAATTCTGAATTCCAGCCCCTATTTTTCTGTTTGCTCATCCTTGTTTACTAGATTGTCCGATCCTGGTTTCCAGCTAAAGACATTTTTTGGCATATCAGTTTGACTAAGCACTGGGGATAAGCTGAAAAATAAGTATTCCTGACCCACAAAACATCCCAGTTGCCATTCTAATGGGGAGAGGACATTATGCTAAATTCCTTTCTTTTCCAAACCCAAAAACATTTTTCTTTAATTTGTTGATCTAAAGAGGTTGAAGGGCAGAGGACAGAAGTCATTGTCTTAGGACAGGACACCTGAGCATCACCTTCAGCGAGTGACCTCTGCAGGACTCAGTATCCTCACATGCAAAATCAAAGAAGATTGGTTTAGAAGCTTTAAGAAAAGAGAGAGAAGCCACTTCGAATGGGTCTAATTGTAATTTCTTCTAAACTTCAAATTGTTGTGTGGATGATTTTTTTTTCCTCACAATCCTTTTATTTGAACAACCTGATGTAGCATCAGAGAGTGACTTGGGGTGTCAGAGAGGAACAGGACCCAGCATGAGAGGAAGGGGATGATTCATTCGAACTTGTCAAACTCAGAAGGGAAAATAAATCATGATCATCTTATAAAAGCGACGTAAAAGCCTCGGAGATGACTCTTGTTTCTGGCTCTATTCTCTCACAAAAGGTTTTATTTGGGCATCAATATTTTCAGGAGGCCCAAGGGTTTCAGTCGACTTTCTTGGAATGTTCATGTCAAGTACATCTGACTGTTCTTCAGTAGAGTCTCTGTAACAGGTTGGTCTGGCACCAAGAAAAGCTTCTCAAAAATTCACCCAACCAAGAGGCAGGACAGTCAACACTGCAAGCCACGAGCTTTGGCCAGGATGAACACGATGGCAAACAAACTCTCCCACGGGGAAAAGAAAAACACTCATTTGGGATGTGACCAAAGGAAGGACCAGGGACTGAGAGCTCGAGCTTTTACCTCGTTGCACAGATCTCAGCCTTTTTAGATGGATTGCCGTGAGTTGCTGTTGGATACAATTTTTAAATTAAAAAATAACATAATCTGCTTCGATGATCCCATACCATGGTGTTTTCTAAGTTCAAATATTTCACTGAATAAAGTGCTTCAATTCTTTTAGACATAAGCTCCCATTTTTCTGTTGTTTTTGCCAAATAGACAGATGGAAAGGATGTATTGTGCAAGAGTCTAGGATTGGGCACCACAGGGTAGAAATGATGAATCAAAGCTTACTGATTCTGTTTGGCTTTCTGTGGTGCATTTTGGCAGCCCTGTGTGGATGTGTCAGAGGCTGTCTGACCACGCGTGAGGCTCGTTGATGGTGATAGGTTTCTATGTGTGACGCTAAAACGCCAGGAAAGAAAAGGATAGAAACTGCTAAACATGAGTGGAAATGAGTGAAATGGAAGGATGAAAATAAGAAAGGCAAAAAGGGGGTGAAAGAAAAAACAAAAATCCTGGTGAATTTAAGAAGGAATATAGGCATTTCTGAACTACCATGAGATGGATGAGATGGAGTACAATTGTCATGTTAAATGAATCTTCTCCCAGTCATATACTCTGTGCTCCCCAGAGACCAGCTTTCTCCTTACTCCTCAATCCTCCTACTGTATACAGAACTAGTCAAGAAGACAGACTTGACCTGATACAGAGTGACATCTGCCATCACTTCTGATGTTTAGGTTCACAAGTGTGAAGAAGTAAAAGGCTGTGAATTTCCCCAGGGTATTCTGTCTAGAGAATGTTCCCTCTGACATGGCTACATAACCTACAGATATAGGCTTCACCTGGAGAGAGGTGTGTCAACCCCCTCTTTCACTGTAAAGAATAAAGGGTTCACTATAAGAGAGGGTTAACAATTTTAATGTAAAAGCTAATGCAAAAAGGAAAAAGCAAGATTTAAAGTAACCAATGGCCTTGGTCAACACGGTAAAACCCCATCTCTACTAAAAATACAAAAATTATCCAGGCATGATAGTGTGGGCCTGTAGTCCTAGCTACTCAGGAGGCTGAGGCATGAGAACTGCTTGAACCGGGGAGGTGGAGATTGCAGTGAGCTGAGATCTCACCACTGCACTCCAGCCTGGGTGACAGTGCAAGACTTTGTCTCAAAAAAAAAAAAAAAAAAAGGAAAAAAAAAAACCCAATGGCTAGGAGTATTTGTCACTTATCTCATTAGTCTACCCATACCGGTTATAATTCACCACGCATCCTGATGAAACCTTTAGCTCTTTTCTCTCACCTGCCTTATTCCATGTGGAAGCCCAGGATTTGCTCATACTCCATATTTAAGTTTTAAACTCTCCAGCAGGATCAGTAGGAGGAGAAAGTCCTACCCTCCCTTCTCCTCCTCTCCCTCTTGGTGCTATTCCATCTTTTTTTCTTTTTTTAATAAGGCAGAAGCGGCTGGGCACAGTGGCTCACGCCTGTAATCCCAACACTTTGGGGGGCTGAGGCAGGTATGGATCACCTGAGGTCAGGAGTTCGAGACCAGCCTGGCCAACATGGTGAACCCCTATCTCTACTAAAAATACAAAAATTATCCAGGCATGGTGGCGGGCACCTGTAGTCTTAGCTACTCGGGAGGCTAAGGCAGGAGAATCGCTTGAACCCTGGGAGGTGGAGGTTGCAAGTGAGCCGAGATTGCACCATTGCACTCCAGCCTGGGTGACAAGAGCAAAACTCCATCTCAAAAAAAAAAAAAAAAAAAAAAAAAGAGGCAGAAGCAGAAAAAAGAATTAGACCCCTGTGTGCACACTGGGCTTCCACACCACCCCTAGTCTCAAGGTTGCCACTTCCAATGGAAACAGCAATTCTGCCCTTGATTCTTTTACAAAGAAATAAAAAGCCTCACTGAAACCTCATCGTTCTGGTCGCCGACTCTTTGAAATGTGCACACAATGGACACTTAGTAGAGGATACCTTCAGCAAATGCCTTAACCTAGAATTTATACTGAATCGCTGCTGAAGAGCTACTTTTGAAAAAAGCTAATTTTCTTAAATCATACAATACTGTATCCTAAAAACAATTAAACAGAAATCTACTGAGGTTTTGACACAGAGACCGAAAGTGGCTTCACCATAAAGCACCAAAGGCTCAACTCTGAATACGGAGTTAATGACCGGGTTGCCAGCATGAGCTACCCCTCGTCTGGCATGAATGGCACTGTGGTCCACTGTCCAGAAAGAGCTGATGTCTTCCTGGAAAGTAACTCTCTGGGGAGTTTCCATAATTGTCTTCAGAAAAAATGAAACACTGAAACTACCGTTTATTCTGCTGTCTCAACCTATTTCTTTTGCATAACTCATAAAATAACTAAGCATTCAGGAAAGACATATGGGCAGGAAATAGGCCGATACACAAGTCCAGGCACCCATATCTATGTGGGACTATATTGCTGTAATGCAGTCATGAAAATCTGCGGCGAGGGCCTGGACTTTCTGAACTCAATAAGCCCTCTGGGTAGGGGCTAACATTTCTACAAGGAGGTCCTCTCTGCAGTAAAAGTGGTTCGATAATGTTACAATGTAATTCTGTATCACCTTTATTTCAGTCTGCCACAGAGAGAGCTACTTTTGGTGCAAGCTCCCACTGACTTCTTACAAGTGGATTAAAATACGTGAAGCCTTGGCTGGGCACGGTGACTCATGCCTGTAATCCCAGCACTTTGGGAGGCCAAGAACGGCAGATCTCTTGAGCCCAGGAATTCAAGACCAGCCTGGGCAACAAGGCAAAACCCCGTCTCTACCAAAAATTCAAAAATTAGCCAGGCATGGTAGTGTGCGTCTATAGTCCCAACTACTTGGGAGGCTGAGGTGGGAGGATCCCTAGAACCTGGAAGGTCGAGGCTATAGTGAGAGGAGATGGCACCACTGCACTACAGTCTGAATGACAGAGTGAAAGCTCGTCTCAACAATAACAACAACAACAACAACAACAAAAATATACACACACACACACACACACACACACACACACACACACATTAAGCCTAATCTCTAACAACCTTTGCAACTCATTATATAACGCCAATGGGAGACACATGCCCATATATTTTGGACCAAATACTATGGTGTAAATTAAGATCTCACTCCTGTAGAAATAATTCAGACTAGAGAAACCAGTATTTTATAAGAAAGTATTTTATAAAATTTTAGGCCAGATTTTGTACTTTGGTTGTAAGCATAATAAAATGTCCACATAACAGTAATAAACAATGAATTTTCTAAGTAAATATAAACTTCAGTTCTAACCATAGAGTTTACTTTAGCTTGCCTAATATAGTGTTTTTTAGTTTCATGAATGAGATGAAATAAGAACTTACTCTGTACCATTTTACAATAAAATTGTCCTAAAGTGCTAATACAGGGGCTTTCTATGCAACTTATTATTTTGCCATAGAAAAAAAGTTACTCTGACACTTGTTAAAATGGTAAGGAAGACTTTATTTGGGACTATTGCAATAGGGGAAAGAGATGGAGCTCAACTCTGAATATAAGAACAAGGGAGAATGACAGCCAACAAGCAGAGTGAGAGGACTGCTGGATGGAAAACTACTAAGAGGAGACACCACAATTAGGGAGATTCTTACAAAACTCACCTAACAGGATTCTTGCTGAGGGCAGGCCAACGGCCCAACATCAAGGGTGGGGAAATGAGGAACTTGATCAATATTAAGGGTGATCAGATACCAAGGGTAGGAGGATTCCCACTAAACTGACTTGGAAGAATTCTTGCTAAAGGCAGACCAGGAGGGAGAGGCACAGAAGGTTAAGAAGAAGGCTCAGGGGAGCTTAACTAAAGTTTGGTAAAGGAGAGAATTTTTGTCAGTTTCTACCATAAGAAAAATTTAAGTTATTACAGCCAGGTGCAGTGGCTTATGCCTGTAATCCCAGCACTCTGGGAGGCCAAGGCAGGCGGATCTCTTAAGCCCAGGAATTCGAGACCAGCCTGGGCGACATGATAAAACCTGTCTCTACCAGAAATACAAACAAATTAGCTGGGGGTGGTGGTGACACTGTAGTCCCAGCACCTCACAGGGGCTCAGGTGGGAGGATTGCTTGAGCTTGGGAGATGGAGGTTGCAGTGAGACCTGATCATACCACTGTACTCCAGCCTGGGTGACAGAATGAGACCCTGTCTTAAAAAAAAAAAAAAATTTCAGTTATTAAACTTCAAAACATGCCAAGACCTTATTAAAGCCCGACATCATATAAATGATACATGTGTGAGTTTGTAGATACATTCCAAGTTAATTCTGAGAACATGCCTCTATTACCAATCCCTTGAGGGTAATAATCTAGCAAAACTTCCCTCTCCAATCAACACTAATAAACCCAAAGGTCATAGCTTCTTCAAAATGAGGGCCATCTGGTTGACAACAACCGTTTAAATTGGCCAGGAAGACATAGTATGTTATCATCTCACTTAGAATTACAGTAACAGCTCTTTTACTCTGAAAATGGAATGACATAAAATAGTTCGTATTCCAGATCGGAGGGAGGAAAATCCGATCAGACAAAGACTCTGTGACATGTTCCGGTTATGAATTAACACTGACCGTTTTTGGTAATTATGGTTTATACTTGCTGTAAGGGCTTTGAAGCATTTGAAATGGCATTAATGTACCATCTTCACTGCCCATACTAAACCAAAACATAAACATTCACTAAGCACAACTTCCACATTTTCAGGGGAAAAAGCTTGATACAGTAAAAACAGCCTTTGGCTGAAAAGTAGCCTGCTAACTAAAGAAAGCACTGTGACTATAACTGGAGTCTTTAATTTCTGCCGCATCCCATCCATGTGGCTATGGCAACAGTAGAACCAGATAAATGAGCGAAAAAAAGGAATCCTTTACATTAAGGCCCTCTGATGTGGATTTTTAATTTCCTTCAGGAAATGACTAACATTAGATCAGTGTTTGGGTTTTTCCTTTTTTTTTCCATAAAAATAAAGTTAAACCCTGCTATGGAACAGCATTTGATCTGTGCAAATAAACATCAGAAGGTTATATTTTCCAGACAGTTCTGTCAACATTTTCCTTTTCAAGATCTGACATTTAGTTTTCTGCAAAGGAACAGACATTTCACATGATCCCTTTCTTTCTCCTATCTGAAGCTGCAGTCAAGCCATTGATGGACCCTGCTGTCCAATACAGCAACCTGGATAACATGTAGCTAGGAGCATTTGAAAAGTGCTAGTCTGAACTGTGATGTGCTGTATGTGTAAATACACACTGGATTTCCATGACTTAGTACAGAAAAAGAAGGAATATCTCAATAATAATTTTATTTTGATGACATACAGGAATAATAGTATTTGGATATACTGAGTTAAATATAGCACTAAAAATTTCAACTATTTATTTTTAATTTTTAAATAAGGCTACTAGAAAATTTTAAGTTATATATGTGGCTCACATTACTTCTGTTGGACAGCTGCATGAGACACTTCTTTGGAGGAGGCTGTTTTTCCTAGCCATCTGAACAGAATGAATATTTCACACTTCAGAAATAGCACTACCAGCAGAATCACATAATGACCCTACATCGGGCCCATCTGCTCAAATAAGGATTCAATTCTGTTATGTAATCATTTTATTGTATATAAAATGGTAGTGGCCTTCATTTTTCATGACATAGAGCACACATTCAGAAGCAATGTTAACCACAATAGTAAAAACTCTGCCAATAAACAACAGAAATTTCACGACCACAGATATTCAAATCCCAGAAATACACGAAAACCACATTTGTCCTTTTCTTATGCTCTAAGAACCTGCCATTAAACATTACTAATACCGTAATTGGCTGAGCGTGGTGGCTCACGCCTGTAATCCCAGCACTTTGGGAGGCCGAGGCGGGTGGACCACGAGGTCAGGAGATCGAGACCACGGTGAAACCCTGTCTCTACTAAAAATAGAAAAAATTAGCTGGGCGCAGTGGTGCACGCCTGTAGTCCCAGCTACTCGGGAGGCTGAGGCAGGAGAATGGCGTGAACCCGGAAGGCGGAGCTTGCAGTGAGCCGAGATCACGCCACTGCACTTCAGCCTGGGCGACAGAGCCAGACTCCGTCTCAAAAAAAAAAAAAATACTGTAATTAATTTAAGGTTATCTGGACTTGGTAATATAAAATACACTATTATGTAATTTTATAACACTAAATAAAACCAAACATTCAACTACACTTCTGACATTTACTATATTTGTTGCAATGGGAAAAGTGTGAACTTCAGTGTTTACTTGTAACAGTTCCATGAGTAGTCAGAAAGCCTAATATATACTATTTTATACCTATATTACAAGAAAATAAGTTTAGTTCATTTATTTTATTAGTCATAACTGCTTTGAACTGTGATTCACTTAAATATCAGTGTCTCTATCTCTCAGAATATCAGGAATAACAACAACAATTTTAAAATAAAAAGAACTTTTAAAAAGGAGAGATCCTGTTTATAAAATGAACAATTTGCAGTGGAAATGAACAATTTACAACATTGTATAGCAAGAAGGCAATCATAGCATGGTGTGTGAGTGGGTGATCCTTCTAGAAATAATTCAGGAATTGAGAGACTGAGAGAGAAAAAGTGAGTATTTTCAAGCAAACTGGAGATCAAAACTCACAAATGACTTTCAAGTTCACAGCCTCTTACGCATGAGAAGTCATTTCCACATTTAAATCTTTCTTTGGCAGGGCGCGGTTGCTGATGCCTGTAATCCCAGCATTTTGGGAGGCCAAGGCGGGTGGATCACCTGAGGTCAGGAGTTCGAGACCAGCCTGGCCAACATGGTGAAATCCTGTCTCCACTAAAAATATAAAAATTAGCCAGGCATAGCGGCACATGCCTGTAATCTCAGCTGCTTGGAAGGCTGAGGCAGGAGGATTGAGGCTTGAACCTAGGAGGTGGAGGTTGCAGTGAGTGGAGATCACGCCACTGCACTCCAGCCTGGGTGACAAAGAGAGACTCCATCTCAAAAAACAAACAAACAAACAAATCTTTCTTTCTCCCTGTGGTTCTGCTGCCCAGATAAACAGGCAGCAGACAGAAACCCACTGTGGTATGTAAGAATACCTTACCCCAACCAAGAGTCTGCAGAGCCCTCAGATAGCTGTGACTGCAGACAAAAACCCATCTCCATGACATTTTATCTCCACAGCCATAGAGGCTGAAACAATCTGTTCCCAGCAGGGCCATCCTTCCTTGAAAGAAGGAAAAAAAATAGTCTCTGATGAAATGTAAATAGGAAAAAATTAAAAGTGATTTATTTTTCAGATTTTTTTGGAAAAAAAATTAGTCAAGTTAATCAAGCAGATCTAGCCTAGAAATGACATGTCTGCTGCATACGATGTATTCTCGTTTGAAAATAAAAACCAAAACTGGACTAGAAGCATAAAGGGCAACAACGGCTGGGTGATTTTTTCCAATAATAGAGATATAAAAAAGCGGTTTCTTTTTTAATGTTAAAATTAAGTTGCATTTAAATTAGGAAGGAATGTTCATGGTCACGAATTCTAAAACACAACAGCTCAATGTCCCATAGAATCAAAGGGTACCCTCAATATTGGTTCATAGAATGCGAATAGCTGTATGTTAATCATAATACAAAATAAGAAGTAATTTCCAAACAGTACCAGTAATAAATAAAATGAACAGTTCTGCAGTTTGTGAGATCATTTCATCAGCTGACAGGAGCGACTGCCAACACTCCTGGTTCCCAAGGTGGTGCTGAGGTCCCAAGCCCAAAGTCCCTATTAAATTACCACTGTAACAGCCCAAGGAGTTAGCCCTGATACTTCTATTTTCTGCCTGGCCCCTGACTTCTGCTTGGCCTGTCAGGGGGCATATCAGTAGCCTCCCACCTCCAACAGCTCTGGTTACACGCCCCAAAAGGTGAGCAATATCACTTTCTCAACTCAGTGAAAATAACTTTGAAGAACAAATGTGATAAAGAATATTCTAACTTTGCACAGTGGAAAATGCTTTGAGATCTAGAGGTAAAAGGCAAGAGATTATCACCTGTTAGCAACAGACAGACGGATGGTCTAATTGTTCCCTATGTTTTTATAAAACTGAAACAAAACAGTGTGGAAAGAAAAAACAAATATTGAAAAATAGGTACTTTCCTCATTTGGCTTAGAACAAATATTGAGGAATAGGTGCTTTCCTCATTCAGCTACCATTACCAAGATTTTTAAAAGACACATGAGGACTCACAAAAACGACTGGGCAAATACCCAACTGCCTTGTGGCTTGGCCAAAAGTCTTTAAGGTACGCTGGTACACAGAAATTCTAACTACTCAGCTATTCCATGGCCTATCAAAACTCTTTCTACTACTATACATCTACAGCTTCTATCTGACATCTGTTTAAATATCTACTTCTTGGTGATTTTCTTTCTTTTTTATTTTTTTGAGACAGGATCTCCCTCTGTTGCCCAGGCTGGAGTGCAATGGCACAATCTTGGCTCACTGCAGCCTTGACCTCTTGGGCTCAAGCAATCCTCCCATCTCAGCCTCCCGAGTAGCTGAGACTACAGGTGTGCACCACCATGCCTGATTAATTTTTGTATTTTTTTGTAGAGACAGGATCTCACTATGTTGCCCAGGTTGGTCTCAAACTCCTGGGCTCAAGTGATCCTCCTGCATCAGCCTCTCAAAGTGCTGGGATTTAAGATGTGAGCCATCATGCCCAGCCTCAAGCCTTTTAATAAACATATCTTAGTGCCTTAGAGGAACCTGAAATCTATCGAATTGATAAAGATGGCAATGAGCTGACTCATCTGAACTGATCGTGCAGAATCTCTTAAGAAAATAAGTGCCTAATCTTAACGTTGTCCGTGTACAGGGGCTCACAGAATTGTGCCTTCATCTTTTCTTTCTACAGTGCTATACGCAAAAAATTAAAACACAAGTACCAGTGACATCATGTTATGTAACCTCCATAATTAAAATCTAGAGGTTAGGGTTAGAACCCTCACTTGAATCTGCAGTTAGTATTAAAAACTAACTAAATACAATCTATGATTAAAATACTAATTGCAGATCCAAGTAAGGGTCCTAACTAATTTTTCCAGGACGAACTAAACAGATATCACTGGTTAAGACATTAAAACCTCTTTTCCAGACTAACGCAATGTATGCATGGTTAACCTAATAACCATAGCATGTTTCTCTAAGCAAATAAGTTAAAGTAAACCAAAGGATAAAGTACACATTGATGTGTGTTTTTCCATGCACATGTGTATTAGGTTTTCTTGACAAACCACCCAGCTCATGACAAATTAATGGGTGCTGTATTAGGTAGAATGAACACCTCATATGGGATTAAGTCTCAAGCTGTATATCTGGATTTGGTCTCCCAAAAAAGAAAACAGAGTTGGTGACTAAGTTATCTCTCTACCAAATCTTGTCAGATTACAGATTAAAGGGACAGCGAAAAAGACCAACTAGCAGCTTTGTTCTTCCTGTTTGTGCTTCTTCATCAACTCATATTTGTCATTTGGATTCATGCCTTTTTGGTAATTCCATTTCTTCATCTATCAAATGGGGATAATTCTGGTACCTACTTCATAAAGGCTATGGTGGGAATTAATAAATTAATTCCATCTTATTAAATAAGATCAAATAAGTATGTCAAGTTCTTGGTATTTTAGTACACAGCAAATGCTCCCTACATGTTAGCTTTCATTATTTTATTCAGAAACAATAACACAGCTGAATTTCGGCATGAACACTGGAATTTGACTGTTGCATGCCAAGTAAGAGAGCAGATTTTCATATTAATTCTTAAAATTAAACTGAAAAATGTTTCTGCTTTAGAGTGAAACCATAAACCAAAGTCAAAACCATCGATTTGCTCTCCATATGTTCTGACTAACATCCATGTTCTTTTCTGCTTCCTGGGCCCCCAGCTAACCTGCGTTTCCCACGTCCCTCTGCAGTTAGGTGGGGCCATGTGACCATTTCTGGCCAATGGAATGTGGGACTTTTGAGAGTGTGAGAATGTGGGAAGTCTGGTCTCCAAAAACTCCTGACCAAACCTCTTCCCTCACCTGCCAGCTACAGGCTGAAAGTCAGTGAAGAACTCAGAGGGCCTAGAATACAGCAGAACCACTGTCTCCAAGGAACCTCACCGACCTGGGCTAAGCAGCTGAGCGGTCACCACTGTGCGCTCTGGCAGTTCGCACACTCCAGTCCATGGCTTCTTCTTTCCGCGTGACTCTGACATACTCCTGTTAACAGTAACACCTAAGACTTTTACCAAGGGCCACTGCTCTAAGTACTGCATATACATCTTAGCTCTTTTAATTTTCTCAACAATCCTCTGAGCCAGGTATTTCTTACAGCTGAGGAAGGTAAAACAAACATTTTAAGTGATCTGCCTCAGGTGCACAGCCAAGGTAAGCTGATGAACTGGGGCTGGATGCAAATAGCAGTCCAGCCAGCCCTAGAGTCCATATTCTCAGCTGCTAGTCTAGGCCTTTTAAAGATAAATGCACACATATGAGACATGCCGCTGTGGCATTATTCACCTGAGTGTTACGCAGGGTCAGTCCAGGCATAGTTGAGAAGAAGGCTGTGGCTGTCAATAAGGGATCCCCAAAGCCCCTGCTGCGGGCACATCCCATTTCCTTTGTTAACCAGGTATCTCATCAGGTAGCAGATAACTGGGTGTCTCATCATCTCCTTTGGCTTCCTAGTGCTTCCAACTTAAAGGATCCTCTCTGGGCATCACTAAGGTTTTTGGACCTTTGTTGTATTTCTCCTTATATCAAAACTGTTGTCCTAAGACCTATTTTTTTTGGGAGATTCTACTCACTGAGTGCTGATAACTCAGTGATCTGATACATTGTATCAATGTTCTCTTTCTCTCAGATTATCTTTTATTTCAGAGGCCTTCAGGGACAATGCCATAATCTGAAATGGTAACTTGATTGCCAACAGTTTGCAACATTCCCAGGTAGGTGTAGGAGCCATATCTGTTTGGATAAAGAAGAGTATTTGCATATCTCAGATCATACCACGTGGGCACCTGTTCCGGCATAAGATAAATCACATCAATTACAGACAAACTAAAACATGTTGCTTTGTTTCTAGGCTGCGGCTACAACACTCTTATGTTAAGCACTACCATCTGCTTTATGCCATTCAGAAAAAGAAATCATGGTAATCTCACCACATGATGAGGAGTGTGTGACAGGTCAGCTTGGATGCCAGGCAAGGGTATTTCCTAACATTATAAACAAGCTTCTGGCTGGGAGTGGTGGCTCATGCCTGTAATCCCAGCACTTTGGGAGGCCGAGGCGGGCATATCACTTAAAGTCAGGAGTTTGAGACCAGCCTGGCCAACATGGTGAAACCACATCTCTACTTAAAAACAAAAACAAACAAACAACAAAAACAACTATAAAAATCAGCCAGGCATGGTGGTGGGTGCCTGGCGCCTGTAATCCCAGCTACTCAGGAGGCTGAGGCAGGAGAATTACTTGAACTCAGGAGGTGGAGGTTGCAGTGAGCTGAGATTGCACCACTGCACTCCCACCTGGGCAACAGAGACTCCGTCTCAAAAACAAACAAAAAAACAAACAAACAACAACAAAAAGTTTCCTCTTCTTTTCTTTTCTTTCTTCTTCTTTTTTTTAATACCATAATGCAGTTCTTTACGCCTATACCATGGAATGAAACCATCAGCAATATGTCTTCTAATAAGAATCTCACCACATGGAAAATTTACTTGTGAAAATATATTTAATGGCCTGGACTCTAGACATACAATTGGAAAATATCAGCTTATTAAAATAAAGCTCATCCCCTTGCACTATATCCAAATCAGAGGGAGAAGAACAAGCTAGAAAACAACTTTGCCCAAGTCATAGGTACATATCTTTAAGGTCTGAATTACTCAAGAGAATTTCTTACATGGTAACATTCAGAAGAAGCAATTTCTGGCTGGCTGCAGTGGCTCACGCCTGTAATCCCAACACTTTGGGAGGCCAAGGCAGGCAGATCACGAGGTCAGCAGATCAAGAACAGCCTGGCCAACATGGTGAAACTCGTCTCTATTAAAAATACAAAAATTAGCCAGGCGTGGTGGTGGGCACCTGTAATCCCAGCTACTCGGGAGGCTGAGGCAGTAGAATCGCTTGAACCTGGGAGGTAGAGCTTGCAGTGAGCCCAAGACTGCGCCTTTGCACTCCAGCCTGGGCGACAGAGAGAGACTCTGTCTCAAAAAAAAAAAAAAAAAAAAAAAAAGCAATTTCAAAGCATGGACCTCTACTGCAGTTTTTGTTAATCTATGACTCTTACTGTCCATTGTAATGAAGAGTACAAGAGAATCCAGAAAGGCTTACCCAGAAATACTTATTTTGCTGTACAGATGCCTGAAGTCCCCCTGTTCTCCTTCTTCAAGCTTGATGGTCAAATTTCTAGAATAATTCATCAAACAATCAAAAGCTGAATGTGCTACACAGTTAAGATTCAGCTTCTACTGAAAAATGTCAAAGTTCTACAAATAATACAGGTTCTGAGATATGAAAGAAAAAAGTGTCAAATCTTTACTTTATAAATAAACTACCAAATGCTTAGGAAGAATGCATTTGGGCGAGTTGCCTGTTCTCGTGCAGCAAACCAACAGAAATGCCTGACATATGATCTAGAATTCACTTCTGCCAGGCTAGGGCTGCCCAACCACAACACATCTTGAGTGTCTTAAGAATCAGTCTTTGAGAAAACCTCCTCACAAAATCATTACATAAAAAGATTTGTTGCACATTTCCTGCGTTTTATTTAGACAGGTACCTGAGACCAATATAATCTGTCCTCCCCATCCTCAGGATAAATAGAAGACATAAAACATGAATACCTTCTGTGTTTTCATCAGTTTATAATCTCATAACTGAATAATAATTTCAGCAAGCAAAACATCCACCTAGCCTCTAAAATGACCATTCTCAATATTAGCAAATTAACCATTTCATATAAACCCAGGGAATTATCAATATTCTATTTCTGATTCTGGTTTTGCAATTTCTGGATTGGGCAAGAGGAAGAGTCACTTATCTTTTGTCTGTATGAGAGATGGAGGCATGAATTGATGTGAAGAAAGTCCAGTGTTTTACCTTGGAAAGCACCTCACTAGAGGATATACTAAAATCAGCACAACAGACTGAACACATACCTATGGACGACTACGAAGCAAGAATTTTTATGTGAAGGTAGTAAGCAAAATTGTTACATAGACGTCCTTCTGTGTATTTGAGGCTGCCTTTCAAAATCATCCTCTTTTATTCCTGGGCTCACTGGGCAGCCATATCAGATCGAGAAGACACTGCTGCGGCTTGCCCCGTGTTGAACTTACCTCCTGCCCAGTACACGCACCCACACAGGCTGGAATGACCGAAGGTGGCGACAGCATGAGTAGGAGGTAATGAAAACGTGTCCAGTGCTGGGAAGAGTCCAAACCAAACACAGTCCTAGGCTGCAGTGGGGGAAGGAAGTGGCTGGAAAGTTATTCCCTGATGGCTTGGATATTTAAATATTGTGAGGTAGGGGGAGTGTGTGTGTGTGTGTGTGTGTGTGTGTCTGTGTGTGTGTGAGTGTGTGCAGACTTAGGAATAAAAAACAACACTGCTAACTTAGAAAGTTAGAAAAATAATTTGGTCATAACTGAAAGAGAATAACAGCAAGTCCGACTAAGATAGCACGGAGCTGCTTGAGAGCTCCAGGCTGCAGCTCTATTTTGTATGTCTATTTTCCCAAACTGCCTCTCCACTGACCATTTTCCCAAGCACTGCCCAGAAAGGAATGTCACTGGCCCTACTGGTGAAACACTAAATCTGATTCACCACTTTACCCCCAACATCTAGTCTGGTTTTTGGCATCCAAAGGGCACCAACGGTCCTGCTTTGCCTGGGACTCGCCTGGCTTCAGGACTGAGGGTCACAGCCCAGGAAACCCTTGGTCCCGGACAAACTGGGTCAGTTGGTCACTCTACAAGGTGCCCCATGTGGAATCCCTTCCTCAGTATGCCTTCATAGAAAGTTAAATCATTCACTTTTTTAAGGGCAAAAAAAGAATTTTTTGAATTTCAGCACCAGGTACTTCCTCTGGAGTTGATCAGAATGAGGACAAGGATAGTTCCTGCTGAACAGCTCCTGGCTGGGCCACAAATGCAGTTTTCTACTGAGTGGGACTGTGGTGTCCAACTCAGGAGACCTTGGAGAGTGACAGGGAGCCCTAAAATGAAGGGTGTGAAAACTTCACAGAACCGGAATCGGACAGCCAGCCAACCCTCTGCATTCCTATTGGAGGAATTCTATATATATCCCATCATGAATGTTTGTATGAGGAGCTACTTAGGTGAAAAACTGCCTAAAGATGCCCCTATTTGGCATTTTTATTATTATTTTGCCTCTCTTAGCTAAGTCATTAAATGCCTAATACAAAGCAACTTTTCTGTGTTTCTCATATCTCCGCACCTTGCTGTAGTTGAGTTCACTGGTGACTCAAGGCACTAGAATGACATTTGCTGAAACTGATATCATCCACAGTTCCATGATCCCCCTGGGGGACGACGGGGGGCCTTTACTGTATTTATAGCTGTGATTGCCATGGTGCCAAAGGGATCCATGGTCAAATGCTCAAGGGGGGCCCTGCACACCATCCACACCAGAGAAATCCTGTGGGACAGGAAACCATCTTCAATGTAGTCAGCTTAGCACTGTTCAGATTTACTTGATCACAGGGTCCAATTTTCACCCAAAACTTATTATCCTGCAGCAAATTTTGAAACACTTGCTCAACTAAGGCACAGAATTGAAAACAGTGTTTTCCTCAACCTACATATTCACCGTGCTAATTAAGGAAAAGCAGTTACCAAACCATGGAGTATTTCCCATATATGAATCTTTTTCATCACCAAATTAAATTATTAAGAAAGATAAGGAAGATGAATGAACTTTCAGGAACAAAGACTAATAAATTACAAGACATACTTTGCTTTTACCCTAAAATTTTTTGGGAAAATGTTCTGGCCCAGCAAAATATTCAATTCTTGATGGTATTTCTCAACAGCTCATAATACCAGCAGTGCACACAGCTCTACTCAAAATTACAGTGAAATTTCCTGGCAGCCCCCTTCTAAGAAAAGCAATTTTTAATCAATAACCTCCAAATACAGGTGGTTTATATATATATATTTTCTGGTCTGAAAAGTCATACTAAGAAATCATTCCTTAAGCAGTTATCTTTACAAAGTAGGACATAATTTAAAAACTAAAAACATAACAAAAATACTTAAAAGCTATTAAAAAGTTGCTGCCACAGACAAAAATTTTATTGTCTCTGGGAATTCTGACAGTTCTCCATGTGCAAATAAATATGCTTTCCACCACTGCGATTTTTTATAAGCTCCCAAAATAGCTGCAGTGAGGGTTAAAAAACATTTCTGGATTATAAACAAGCAGCATCCTTTTCAAAAAACTCAATAACCGAAGTCAATTATTAAATTGCTAGTTCATGGTCCTAAGGGTAGAGGGGAAGTCAAAATAAACAGATTACATTCAGTAAGTAACGGAGTTATAGAACCATTCAAGTCACCTAGAAAACACAGTATGAGAATTTAAAACAAATTCTAATAGATTTATTTAAAAGTGCTGAAGAAGGAGTTGGAGGAAGTAAGTTTCCAAGAACGGATAAATTAAATTTTAATTACCATTCATGCTTTTATTTTCTAGTTTTCAAGTTACCATTTATTTGCCTGTAGAGTTTGTTGGGCTGTTACAAATAACGATCTTTGTAACATTTGAAGCAAGGAAAGCAGAAACAAGATTCACAATGGGGAGAAAATATCTGTTCCACTGTGAGAGCAATGAAACATCTGGAAAGAATATGGCTATCGAGATACTGAAAAACATACCAACACCTAAGCTTTCTGAAAAGGAGAAATTTGTCTGCAAAAATTATTACTAGCCGACCTTCCCGTGGACAACTAAAAAGTAGCTAGTCACAACTGAATGCCTAACAATTTCTGGTGCTGAATGTTTTCAATTTCTTGATGAAATCACAGTGCTGCTTTGATGGGCCCCAAGCTTGGCCCCACAACCTGCACTATTATTCCTATTGTCTCAGATGGATCAGTTGGCAACAAACAGAACCACTCTAGGCATGATGGCTTCCCTTCTACTCACATTAAGGCTTGCAATGGATTATGTCTTCAGATGTTCAGAGGCAGGTAAATATTCATTCCATTCTTAAGTTATAGCATTGCCATATATTTTGGAAGTTCTATCAGAGGAATTAAGACTAAAAGAACTAGCTTGGTATGCTCATTAAAAATGAGCTGTCTGTCTTGATATTCCAACACGCCTGCTTGCTAAAGCTCAGGTCTTGAGGAGGTTTCATTCATTCACACACAAGGGTGTTCGCTATTCATGGGAATGGGTAATAGACTAGTAAAAGGTTTAGTCTCCTACCCTGCAGAGCTTGTTAGGCTCTCAGACATATCAATCTTTATGGCATTTAGAGCACAGGAGGCCAAAACGAGATTCTCGCCTGCTCCTCCCCCAGTCTGGGTATATGGTCCAGGGTGGGCTCCCAAAGCTACAAGAGAAAAGGATGAGGACTACCTTAAGTATTCAGGGTGAAAAAGGCTGCTGCACCACCTCAAAGACAAGTAGTGATATCTGCCAGAGACCTTTCAAAATAGCCAAGATGTCACTCTGTGGACTGGCCAATGCTGGGCCTGAGGGAAGTGAGCCAAACTGACCTGTAGGCCCTGCCTTGCTTATAGTATAATGCAAAGCAGAAAAGTACCTCATGCATAGTTACATCCCCTTATGGACCATTTCTTTACTCAAGAAGCTTACCTACCTACGTGCAAAGGAACTGTTGGGGCCCTGCAGTCCTCCAACAGCAATCTACCTTCCCTCTCATATTAAAACCCTTTTCAGTAATGCAACTGCCTCAGAGTTGGCAGCACGAAAGAATCAGGAAACCAAAGAGAATTGCACGGGGCTTACGTGGGGCTCGTGCTGACCTGCATTCACCCACATACAAACCTGACCTAAATGCAGAGCACGGCTCACCTTCCACAAAATCCACTGGCATCTTTAAAGTACAGGGGCAGACTTCAGTTATTTTATATAAAATTGAAAGGTACAAGGAAAGGAGGACTAATGAAGTGGTAAAGAACAAGAGCTCTACCCTTAGACTGTCTGGGCACAGACAAGAGCTCTGCTGTCTGACCCTAGACAAGTGATCTCACATCTTTGACCTCAGTTTCCCATCTGTAAAATGGAGACAATGACAGGACCTGCGTCACAGGGGAAAGCATTGGTAAATGCTCAGTCTCTGAATGGTCTGGAGTGATGAGGCCTCCACAGAAGACAATGCCTGTTATGATTACTATTGCTAATTACATTCAAGGTAAGCATGCCCCAAAGACTACAGGAGAAAGGACACTGTAACGTTAGAGGAAAAACCCATAAATACTGGGGATTTACTAGGGAATTTCTTAAGATTATTTTAAAAATATAAAGATCTGGCCGGGCGCAGTGGCTCATGCCTGTAATCCTAGCACTTTGGGAGGCTGAGGTGGGCAGATCACATGAAGCCAGGAGTTCAAGACCAGCCTGGCCAACATGGTGAAACTCTGTCTCTAAAAAATACGTAAAAATTAGCCAGGTGTGGTGGTACACACCTGTAATCCCAGCTACTCAGGAGGCTGAGGCAGGAGAATCACTTGAACCCAGGAGGCTGAGGTTGCAGTGAGCAGAGATCGCGCCACTACACTCCAGCCTGGGTGACAGAATGAGACTGTGTCTCAAAATAAATAAATAAATATCTATTGTGTCATCTTGGACATGTGCCTTAGTTTCCTCATCTGGAGAAAGAAGATAATAACAGTGGCTGCTTCATAGGATTATTTAGAAGATTCGTGAATTAATAGACTTATAAAGCACTCTGAGCAGTCACCAGGAACACTGTCAGGGCTACATAACTGCTTGTTTTAGTACCATCATTAAGACAAAAGCACGGTTCTCAAGTAAAACAGCCAAAGTAGGAAAGAAAAGGTTATTTACTTCAGTAACATTACTTTAATCAAGCAAGATTAACCATTACTTCTGATACTAGTACAACTCATTTACATTTTTATGGTGATGTAATCTTTACAAGTTTTTTAAAAAATAATTCTGGATTAGTGCAGAGCTCGTTAAATTTTAAAGTGCTTCACATATGTATATTTTATGACCAGGCTTAACTGGAAACCACATATATTTTTAATTCTGTTGAGACTGAAAGAGATGAGTGTTGCTCAGCGAGATGACTGCTGTCCCTCTGGTTAGTCACAGGAATAACCTGCCTCTTGGAAGAGTCTGTTCCATTGTAAAAGGAGCCCTTTGAAAAACCCGCAGTCCGTGCCCACAGACAGGTTGAAATGCTTCCCGAGTTCAGCACTACTGACTTGAAACCATTTTTGTAATCAGGCCCTTCATCTTTCCAGACATCTCAGTGCGTTCAGTGGTGAAAAGCCACATGAATCCTACACTCTTCCCTAAGAGACTGAGGGTCCTGTTTCCCACCCAGAAACTCTGATGCTGGGTTACTATGCGTTTCTGGCTGGTGAGATTCTGGCAGATGCTCCTGCTGGCTACTAATCACTTTTCCTGTTTGTCTTTCTGCTTAACTAGTCATGCTCTTTGTCTTCTGACAAAATCACAGCCCAGAAGTACAAAGAGGAACTGGTACCATTCCTTCTGAAACTATTCCAATCAATAGAAAAAGATGGAATCCTCCCTAACTCATTTTATGAGGCCAGCATCATCCTGATACCAAAGCCTGGCAGAGACACAACAAAAAAAAGAGAATTTTAGACCAATATCCCTGATGAACATCAATGCAAAAATCCTCAATAAAATACTGGCAAATCGAATCCAGCAGCACATCAAAAAGCTTATTCACCACGATCAAGTTGGCTTCATCCCTGGGATGCAAGGCTGGTTCAACATATGCAAATCAATAAACGTAATCCATCACATAAACAGAACCAAAGACAAAAACCACATGATTATCTCCATAGCTGCAGAAAAGGCCTTTGACAAAATTCAACAGCCCTTCATGCTAAAAACTCTCAATAAACTAGGTATTGATGGGACGTATCTCAAAATAATAAGAGCTATTTATGACAAACCCACAGCCAATATCATACTGAATGGGCAAAAACTGGAAGCATTCCCTTTGAAAACTGGCACAAGACAGGGATGCCCTCTCTCACCACTCCTATTCAACATAGTGTTGGAAGTTCTGGCCAGAGCAATCAGGCAGGAGAAAGAAATAAAGGGTATTCAATTAGGAAAAGAGGAAGTGAAATTGTCCCTGTTTGCAGATGACATGATTGTATATTTAGAAAACCCCATCATCTCAGCCCCAAATCTGCTTAAGCTGATAAGCAACTTCAGCAAAGCCTCAGGATACAAAATCAATGTGCAAAAATCACAAGCATTCTTATACACCAATAACAGACAAACAGAGAGCCAAATCATGAGTGAACTCCCATTCACAATTGCTTCAAAGAGAATCAAATACCTAGGAATCCAACTTACAAGGGATGTGAAGGACCTCTTCAAGGAGGACTACAAACCACTGCTCAACAAAATAAAAGAGGACACAAACAAATGGAAGAACATTCCATGCTCATGGATAGGAAGAATCAATATTGTGAAAATGGCCATACTGCCCAAGGTAATTTATAGATTCAATGCCATCCCCATCAAGCTACCAATGACTTTCTTCACAGAATTGGAAAAAACTACTTTAAAGTTCATATGGAACCAAAAAAGAGCCCACATTGCCAAGACAATCCTAAGCCAAAAGAACAAAGCTGGAGGCATCATGCTACCTGACTTCGAACTATACTACAAGGCTACAGTAACCAAAACAGCATGATACTGGTACCAAAACAGAGATATAGACCAATGGAACAGAACAGAGCCCTCAGAAATAATACCACACATCTACAACCATCTGATCTTTGACAAACCTGACAAAAACAAGAAATGGGAAAAGGATTCCCTATTTAATAAATGGTGCTGGGAAAACTGGCTAGCCATATGTAGAAAGCTGAAACTGGATCCCTTCCTTACACCTTATACAAAAATTAATTCAAGATGGATTAAAGACTTAAATCTTAGACCTAAAACCATAAAAACTCTGGAAGAAAACCTAGGCAATACCATTCAGGACATAGGCATGGGCAAGGACTTCATGACTAAAAAACAAAACAAAAGCAATGGCAACAAAACCCAAAATAGACAAATGGGATCTAATTAAACTAAAGAGCTTCTGCACAGCAAAAGAAACTACCATCAGAGTGAACAGGCAACCTATAGAATGGGAGAAAATTTTTATAATCTACCCATCTGATAAAGGGCTAATATCCAGAATCTACAAAGAACTTAAACAAATTTACAAGAAAAAATCAAACAACCCCATCAAAAAGTGGACGAAGGATATGAACAAACACTTCTCAAAAGAAGACATTTATACAGCCAACAGACACATGAAAAAATGCTCATCATCACTGGCCATCAGAGAAATGCAAATCAAAACCACAATGAGATACCATCTCACACCAGTTAGAATGGCGATCATTAAAAAGTCAGGAAACAACAGGTGCTGGAGAAGATGTGGAGAAACAGGAACACTTTTACACTGTTGGTGGGACTGTAAACTAGTTCAACCATTGTGGAAGACAGTGTGGCGATTCCTCAGGGATCTAGAACTAGAAATACCATTTGACCCAGCCATCCCATTACTGGGTACATACCCAAAGGATTATAAATCATGCTGCTATAAAGACACATGGACACGTATGTTTACTGCGGCACTATTCACAATAGCAAAGACTTGGAACCAACCCAATGATAGACTGGATTAAGAAAATGTGGCACATATATACCATGGAATACTATGCAGCCATAAAAAATGATGAGTTCATGTCCTTTGTAGGGACATGGATAAGGCTGGAAACCATCATTCTGAGCAAACTATCATAATGATAGAAAACCAAACACTGCATGTTATCACTCATAGGTGGGAACTGAACAATGAGAACACTTGGACACAGGGTGGGAAACATCACGCACCAGGGCCTGACGTGGGGTGGGGGAAGGGCGGAGGGATAGCATTAGGAGAAATACCTAATGTAAGTGATGAGTTAATGGGTGCAGCACACCAACATGGCACATGTATACATATGTCACAAACCTGCACGTTGTGCACATGTACCCTAGAACTTAAAGTATAATAATAAAAAAATTACCTAACGCTAAACGACGAGTTAATGGGTGCAGCACACCAACATGGCACATGTATACATATGTAATAAACCTGCACATTGTGCACATGTACCCTAAAACTTAAAGTATAATAAAAATAATAATAAAATTATATATATTAAAAAAGTATAATTAAATAAATAAACAAGAAAAAGAAAAAAAAATCACAGCCTGGAGCAGTGCTCTCCAACTCCAGAAAACCACAAGTCTCTTGGACTCAAGGGGTATGTATGTCCTTCTCAGTGTGGGCCTGAAGCGGCAAAACCCTGCTGGGGCACACGTGAGTGGCAGCCCCTGGGGGACCCCACGCCTGCTTGGGGGCGCCAGAGAGGAGGCAGAGGATGGGACAAGCTGTAACACAAATACCCAGTCCTGAGGGGAGCTTTGCTTAATTCCAGCTGGATTATTTTGTTTGGCAGACGACTCTGCACACTTTCTGATAAAGGAGGGTTTAGAAATGGTTTATTTTTTTCAATAAATCACTTAATGAGCATAACAAAACACTCCGTGGTGTGAATTTTTCTGCCAGTGTATACAAACTGCAGGTGTGCCCAGGAAAAAACCCAGCCAAGTCCCTCCCAGCCCCTAAGGTGTGCGTATGTTGGCCAAGGAACCGACTCGCTATCCACGTGAAGGCAAAGACCTGAAGACTTGATTATTTGTTAATGTTAAATGACATTACACTCCCTTCGAACAACAACCCAAGTGAAAAACTATTCGTAAAAATCTCAGCAAAGATCCTTAAAGTGATTTTGACCCAGTTATCCAATAGACCCTTACCTCACTTTTAGCAAGCTGAGCCTTGTGCCATGTTAGCTTAATGGCGGGGAGAGTCTTCAAAGTAAAACATGGGACATACGAGGTAGTGATGTATGTATGCAGCCATAGCGACCACAGCACTCACAATCTTCACATCCTGACTTGAATCCTTGGATTTAAACCTAAGTGCCAAATTCAGAATATGTAAACTAATTTTTTATTTCTGGAAAGATTATGTTCTTTCATTATAATCTTTAATATCAAGAGTAGCGAAGACAAGTAAAAATGCTAACATCGATAAGTTAAAACTTCATAACTTGAATACATACAGACACACACGCACAGACAGAGTTTTGGCTCAATGTCTTACTTGATCTCTTCAAAGAAATGGTATCATAATATATTCTGCCAAGCTGAGGCTAGATGCTTCTAGCCTCAACTCAAAGTCTTATCAGTTAAAAAAAAAAAAAAACCCACAGAGATTCCTTTCTTTCGTCTTCAGTATAAGAAAGGGTTTTTGTTTGATTTTGTTTTCATGGCTGGCTAGATTTTGATCAGTCTCCAAACTCATGTTACCTTCAGACTGAAATCAAGACTACCAAAGCTCAAGCCGTCAACTTTGTCTTTCCTAGAAGAAACTTCAAGACACTGGAAAACAGAATGAAAGTCCTAATGGCACTCATTTTTAGCCTTTCATCTTCAATATTCTAATTTTGCACTGTAAATAAGATACTTTGTGCATTTGAGGGTGTCTGTGGGACACAGTATTTATTGTGATGTGGGAAGAGATGTAAAGATGCAAGCACGTACCCCATCAGAGGTAGAAACATGACCCTGACTGGCAAGTACCATCTCACCAACAGCAGCTCAAATCATAGAAAATTACCAATGTCTGATTTTTGTGATCAAACCCAATAAATGTTCAGGCTGACCTTGTCCAAGACACTTATCCAAGACCCCACTGTGAACATCACAGAAATCATCCGATAATAAGCAAAGGAATATACAAGAAGTTCTTAAATATACAAGAAGTCCTTTAAAAAGGGAGCTCTTGCCTTATAAAGGATGGAAGATAACATTTGCTCTCATCCTTACCACGCCTCTCTGAACATGCTGGGTTTGCTCATGAAGAGATCCAATGCTCTTCTATCCTCAACAAGTGAAGTGTCTGGCCAGGGCAAGGAATTTCCATAGCACTTTTTAAGAACAGTTTATTTTTTCCTCTTTCTGTATTCAAGATATAGTTTAAAGATTTTTAAGAAGGAAAGCTATAGTATTCCAGCAGGGTAGAAGTGTCCACCATTTTCCATTTTGCCCTAGGACAAAACCAAATTAAGTTGTTTGTGCTGCATTTTTCTAGGAGGAAGGTGACTGTTGAACATGGAAAAATAAAAAAACACACATTATTCTTTTCTGGATTCAGAGCTCTACCAAATTCTGATGTTTAGAATCTGGATTTTACCATATGAGATTTGGGATCCAAAGTATATTGAGTTGTGCATTTTCTTGATTTGTGACAGTTGTTCTAATGGTTTACTTAGCTGCCTGTTTCAAGCAAAAGTGGATGCTTATGAATTTGCTTCATAAGGTGGTTTCTAGAAATGACAAATGATCTGATTTAGCGAGTATTATTACACATTTTCAAATTATCTGCTTCAAAATTCTACTGACACATCAGGTTAAATGAGCTCTCCCTGGCTTTCTAATGATGCCCAGGCATTTACATGCCCTTCACAGTCAGTAGGAAAGTGGAAGGTTCTGACACCTAAAGACAGCCAAGGGGCATCCTGGAAGGTGACTGCAAGGGCATCTATGGAAAGGGAAAATGAACGGGAAAACAGGATATTTCTGAGTGGCGCCTCAGACAAAAAAATCACAGCTGCTTTACTATACTATGCCATTTGGTTTTTTATAACTTGACAGGCTAACACCTTAATCATGGTCTTTTCTCCTTCAGCCTACAACACATGTCTGAAAGTTTTGAGCGGGGATATATATGACTAATATGTATGAGGATACTAATTGTCACTACTGAGAGGACAGATTTTACAATCATTAGGTAGAACTGAGCAAAAAAATGGGTAGAGGAATGAAGAGCTGACAAAGTTTTATTTAAAAAACAAAAGAAAAAACTTAGGCCTCTTAAGAGCTCCAAGGAAAAATAATTAATGCATAAAATATGTGATAATATTTTATACTTATTTTTTAAATCATGATAAAATAGACATAACATAAAATATAACATTTATTTTGTTTTTTTTTTTAGATGAAGTCTCGCTCTGTCACCCAGGCTAAAGTGCAATGGTGCGACCTCGGCTCACTGCAACCTCCGCCTCCCGGGTTCAAGTGACTCTCCTGCCTCAGCCTCCCAAGTAGCTGGGATTACAGGCATGTGCCCCAACGCCTGGCTAATTTTTGCATTTTTGGTAGAGATGGGATTTTGCCATGTTGGCCAGGCTGGTCTCAAACTCCTGACCTCAGGTGATCCATGCACTTTAGCCTCCCAAAGTGCTAGGATTACAAGTGTGAGCCACTGCATCAGGCAAAAATTTACCATTTTTAAGTGTGAAGTTCAGAGGCACCAAATCCATTCACATTGTTGGGCAACCATCCACACCATCCATCTCCGGAACCCTTTCTGCCTTGCAAAACTGAAACTGTGTCCCCATTAAACACTAACTCCCAATTATCTTTCCGCCAAGCCCCCAGCAACCCCCATTCTACTTTCTGTCTTTATGGATTTGACTACTCTAAGTACCACATATGAATAAAATTAGACAGTATTTGTCTATTTGTGACCGGCTTATTTCACCTATGGTAGTCTTGAAGGGTGGTCTATATTGTGGCATGTGTCAATATGTGATCATTTAGTTCACCAAAATCCTAGAATTCCAGAATTAGGTGTCAATTCCAAAGTTCTAGGGAGTTAGTCTTAAGAAAAATAAAAAGGATTCGTTCTTTACAAAGGGATAATAAACCTTGAGCAATTTGTACCACAAAAAGATAAAAAAAGCTAAACAGATAAATGCTTTCACTAAAATTAGACAATTCCTAGGAAAGAGATATATAGGAGGCTATTTCCTGGGAGGAAATTTATACCACCATTTCAGCCTGCTGTAAGGTGGAGATGGTAGACAGCTAATTAGGGTCCTCTCTATAATATTGACTGATGATGGGGGGTGTGGTTTCTTACTTGGCTGAGTGCCTTGCCAATCATTTCTGCACCTGCGGGGCCTGGAGATTGCTGATGTGCTTCAGGCATAAGCAAACCACATCAAAGGCTCAGCTCACTGGCATACCTGACGGTCAAGGACAGAGACCTGCTCTGACCAAGGAATACCCCAATGAGACTGGCCTGGAGGATCCAAGCCAGTTCGGCAATGTCTTATGGAGTCCTAGGATAGTCCTGGTTACTCAGTTTTGGAGAGCATGGTTTGGCCTATGGGACACACCGATCTGGGTTTGGCCTATAGGACACAGACTCTCTTCTATAGCCTTCCTTAGGGACCAGCTGTGTCTCAAACTGCATAAGACCTGGGAAAACTAAAATGGACTGATCATTCCAGACCACAGAGTATCAAAGCCCTTAGTTTACAGTGTCCTGAGAAAACACTCACCCAAGTTTCTTGGGCTGGACTTGGAACAGATGAAGGCTGCAGAGACAGGGAGTGGGGGTTTTCTTCTATCAAGCCCAAGTATGAACGACACACTGAAGTGTCTCTTCCATTTACTGGGTGCTCACGAGCCATGCAGGAGCAATCATATCACCCATGGGTGGTGATTTTCTTCCCTTTCTTCTCTCAGTAATGGCACTGAGAACACAATGTTCTGAACATTGTAAGGCAGAACACATGAAAATTCCTAGAGAGAAGATCTGTTCTATCCACCCCTCTCCTCCATTCAGCATGCTGTGTTCCCACTGTGGTTCTGCTGTTGGATAGCAAAGTCTGTTTTGAGAGCTTCAAGGTAAGAGGGTCTCAAATTGTGGCTAGATGCCCAGGAGTGATTAAGCAATTAGAACATTCAGACATTGCTAATTGCCTACAACTCAGCAGCAGCAGCCCATCTCCTGGGCCACTCAGCTCCCTAACAAACGAGACCTTTGCAGAGCCACCAGGGTTCTCTTTTTTTTTTTTTTTTTTTGAGAAGAGACTCGTTCTGTTGCCCAGGCCAGAGTGCAATGGCACAATTTTGGCTCACTGCAACCTCCGCCTCATGGATTCAAGTGGGTCTCCTGTGTCAGCCTCCTGAGTAGCTGGGACTACAGGCGTATGCCACCACACCTGGCTAATTTTTGCATTTTTAGTAGAGATGGCACTTCGCCATGTTGGTCAGGCTGATCTTGAACTCTTGACCTCAGGCAATCTGCCTGCCTCGGCCTCCCAAAGCGCTGGGATTACAGGTGTGAGCCACCACGCCTGGCCAGCTCTCATTTTTTATAATGCACCAGACCCCAACTAATGAGCCCTTCTCCCAAACAACTATCAGGGGATTAGCGAAAAAAAAAAAAAAAAAAAAGAGCCTATCTGAAAGTAGCAGAAAAAGTGAACTAGGCAATGCCAAAACCAGGGCAGACTAACAGACCCTGGTCAGAATATAGAACCTGAGCAAGAAGGGAGAAGACTCAAGCTTAACATGCGTTTCTCTCCTATTACCTCGCCCTAACAACCTTCCACTTACCTCCTCAGTGTGTGCTCGCTCTTGAGTTATTCTCTGGGTGAGGGAGGATGGAAAAGAAGCAGTAAGGATAACTTAAGGGTTACAATAAAGAAATCTCGACTCACTTTAACGACAGAGCCCAGACAGTACCATTCATACACAGTGGGCACACATTTTGCATATAAGGTATGTAAATATAAGCATGAACTACTGTAGAAACCAGGATATCATATTTTTTTAGTGGACACCACATTTTTCTCTTCCTCGAAGGAGAGAGGGATAAAAGGGAAAAACCGTGTTCCTGCATCATCCACAAGATTTGACCTGGAGTCAAGTTCCCATTCACCGTAGAGCAAATAAGACACTTGGTTGCAGAGAGAAAAAACTTCATTCTCTGAGTGGCAGTGATTTGTTTCACTCTGCCTCATGCTTAGTACTCCCCAAGTGTGGTGTAACATAAAGCCTTTAAAATAGATATATCCCCAAGGTTGCAAGTCTTGGGACAGTTCTGATGTCTTATGTACCTCTCCTATAGACCTATCTTTCTCTGCACAATAAGTGAATAGGCATGCTTATTTTCTAAAAGCACAATTGTTTCACTTGCCAAGTTTCTCTGACCCTACTTTTGGCCTAAGGTGTTTCTAGCAAAATGCAGTGTTTTAGTGCTTTTGCCAAATTTCTTGGCTACTGGCTCAAAAGAAGCAAACTGTCACTTAGAAGAGGTCCTTCACCTAAAGAAAGACATGAATGCTGTTTCTATCTAAACTGCAGCCTTCTGAGGCTTCAGCCTTGCTCTCACTTTGCTAAGTACTGATGGTGGCTATTCAGATTTTTATTAGGGTGTTTTAGCTACAAGTCAGAGATCTGGAGAAACAACAGCGGTCAGGGAGAACCTTCTATTTTCTTGATCTGTAATTGCAACTGGAAGGTGGTCACAGGTGGCTATTTAAAGACGAGCCCCTTTCACTGTCTGTGACTATCTGCTCTGCAGTGGTACATGCGGAGCTGTAGATTCGGGATTTGCTTGGCAGCACACTCCTCAGACTTGAAGAATTTTTCACGTTTGTTTTGAGTTTGAGAGTTATTTCTGCCTTTCCTGTTTCTCCCCACTCCTCTTTTCTTTGTGCATAACAAGCTCATTGTCTTGGTCTCAGAGAACTCCCAAGTTTCTGGGAGCATCTTTCGGGAGGATTGGAGCCATAGGGTTGGTATCAACTTTCTACTTAAAAATGTTTCCCTCAGGGGAGAAATTACTTACCAAGCTATCATATTATCAACTTCTTCCTGCTCTTTTATTCCTGTTTACCTAAGCGTGCAAGAAAAAAAAAAAAAAGGCCCTTTTCCTACAACTGAACTTTCAAAGAGGACTTTAATAAGGTATCTGACCCTTCCACATCCAGATTAATGGTGTTGACAGAAACACGCTTTCCAATAATGCCTCTATTTTGTTATTCTGGCAAAAAACAAAAATGGATATTGTTTGATCTCTTTATTTAACGAGTATATATGTTAAGAGTCTAGCTTGGATGAATAACGAGTCCAGAACCGTCTTTCTTCCATCTGTCCTGTGCCTGAAACCACCATGCTGAGATTTGAAGACATCACTGTTGGCAGAAGAAACCCTGCTAGTTTCATGTGTATATATATATATATATATTTTTTTTTTTACCTTTCTGGTTTTATTAAGAAAAAAAGACAGTATAAAATAAATTAAAGAAAATGGTAAGTGTGTTTAGAAGTACATGTCCCGGAGGAGCTATCTTGGGATCTTCTTATAAGATCTTTGTGACCTTACCATATAGTGTCATTCTCTGACAGGGACTTCTGAGTCCCCTGCAAGAGGACTTGGGTTGACAGGGACTTGAGAGGAAGTTGTTCTGGGTCCAGTTCTTGCAGAAGAAACATAGAGAGTGCTGGTGTTTCTCTTGGGTTTCAATCCACCCAGGGTGCTAGGCGGTGCCTAATTTGACTCTCTCCACCTTGGGCTCTGTGGGGTGCCTTTAATGTCCTACAACCCTGGTCAATTACCACAGGTGCTGGGCAACCAAGGACATGTCTAATTAGCTATGAGCCAAAGGTAACAGATCACTACGTCAGTACTGCAAACTGGTCAGAGAAAATCCCTATGCACACTTTTTTTTTTTTTTTTTTTTTTTTTTGGTGATGGAATTTCACTCTTGTTGCCCAGGCTGGAGAGTACAATGGCGCAATCTCAGCTCACCACAACCTCCATCTCCCAGGTTCAAGTGATTCTCCTGCCTTAGCCTCCCAAATAGCTGGGATTACAGGCACCTGCCACCACGCCCGGCAAATTTTTTGTATTTTTAGTAGAGACAGGGTTTCACCGTGTTGGCCAGGCTGGTCTCGAACTCCTGGCCTCAAGTGATCCGCCTGCCTCGGCCTCCCAAAGTGCTGGGATTACAAGCATGAGCCACCGCGCCCGGCCGTAAAACTTATTTTGATGCAGCCAAATTCTAATCTCTGAGCATCTTTTGGTAAATATGCATAAGGCAGTGTGTCAAACTGCGAGGAGGTCATAATCTTAAAAGATTAAAGACTGTTACCTAAGTGTCTACTATTTCCATGATACAAGGATTCCCACTGCTTTCCTTTAATTTTCCGTACAGGCAATGCCGTGCTATTCCTCATTATAGAGCAGTGGGAAAACAGCCATATTTACAATGACATTTACTTGTATCCACCTTAACAGCTAGTAGAGTTTGGACTAGGATAAGAAATGGATGACAAGACTTATTTAGTAATTAATATCGTGATTTTTAGTCCCTCAGCTTTTCAAAGGATGTTTTTCTGAATTGTTTCATATATAAGCAATGGAATGGTTCAAGAGCAAGTGACAAAGTCCCAGAGAAGCAACTGAGTACTGTCTCTTGGGCTGTTTCTACTAGAGATCTATTTTACATCACCCAACAAAATTAATTTAGTAGAGTGCACATACATTTGACACCCAGGGAAGAGCATGGTTAAGAATGAACCTCAAGGGCCAAGGGTGGTGGCTCACGCCTGTAATCCCAATATTTTGGGAGGCTGAGGCGGATGGATTACTTGGGATCAGGAGTTCAAGCCCAGCCTGGCCAACATGGTAAAACTGCGTCTCTACTAAAAACACACACACGCACACAAAAAAAAACTAGCCAGGCATGGTGTTATGCACCTGTAGTCCCAGCTACTCGGGAGGCTGAGGCAGGAGAATTGCTTGAACTCAGGAGACGGATGTTGCAGTGAGCCAAGATCATGCCACTGCGGTCCAGCCTGGGAAACAGTGTAAGACTGCCTCAAAAAAAAAAAAAAAAACAATGAAACTCGAGCTTTTGATTTTAAAATGACCATCTTACAGGTTGCCTTATGGGATGAAGGGTGCTGCATCAAAGGCAAAAAGCGTTGCTCTTAGGCCAGGAAGGGAGCCAGTAAACTACTAAAGACACAGTGGCTGGTTAATGAGAGCAAAATTTTTCATTTATTATTTTCATCCATATTGGGGAAAAGAAAGAGAGAAAAGTTGGCACCTCAAAGTGAATGCTTATGTAGCCAGTAAAAACACAGAGATTACTAAGGGGGAAAAAGGGGCTGTTACTGGTTTGGAAATAAAGTCTCCTTTGCTGTGGAGGCTGAGGATGTGGCTCTGAGAAACAGCTGTGCTAGTGCATCCTGACTATATTGAGTCCTGACTGTGGGAGAAAGGTTCCACTCGGAAATCGCCGGAACCTGCATGTTGCAGCAAAGACAAGGAGCAAGGTCCCAGGGCTGCCCAGCAGACAAAGTGTCGCCGTCGAGAAGGAGGGCACATTCAGGCTTCCATCAGGATTCCTGTGAGCCTGGTCTGGGCAGGCCTGGTCCTTCTAGCTGTCCTCTGGATTAGTAAAAACTGCATGGGGCCACGTCAGCTGAATGACAATCTACTGCTCAGGCTGCCAAAGCACAAAGCATATGGATTGGCACAGTAAAGATCTATTTATTTTGTGCCTATAGATATGGACCCAGTCTCTCTGACAATCTTAGGATAAAGAGATTTTCTCCTACTCAATATGGGAAGACCATATGCTTTCAAATAACCATGGCTTCTTACGAGACACTAGGAAAATGACAGGAAAAGATTAGAATTTTAAATTTGTTTTCAAAGTTTTATACTCTGGGCCAGGTGCAGTGGCTCACGCCTGTAATCCCAACACTTTGGGAAGCTGAGGTGGGCGGATAACTTGAGGTCAGGAGTTTGAGACCAGCCTGGCCAACGTGGTGAAACCCCAGCTCTACTAAAAATAAAATTAGCCGGGTGTGGTGGCTTGCACCTGTAATTCCAGCTACTCGGGAGGCTGAGGCAGGAGAATCACCTGAACCCAGGAGGCAGAGGTTGCAGTGAGCTGAGACTGTGCCACTACACTCCAGCCTGGCGATGGACCGAGATTCTGTTGAGAGACAGGACTAGCTGGATTTCCTAGGCCGACTAAGAATTCCTAAGCCTAACTGAGGAAGGTGACTGCACCCACCTTTAAACGTGGGGCTTGTAACTCAGCTCACACCCAACCAATCAGGTAGTGAAGAGAGTAGTGAAGAGAGCTCACTAAAATACCAATTAGGCTAAAAGCAGGAGGTAAAGAAATTGTCAATCATCTATCGCCTGAGAGCACACAGACAGGGACAATGATAGGGATATAAACCCAGGTGTTGGAGCTGGCAGTGGCAATCCTCTGGGTCCCCTCCCGTTGTATGGGAGCTCTGTTTTCACTCTATTAAATCTTGCAACTGCACACTCTTCTGCTCCATGTTTGTTCCGGCTCGAGCTGAGCTTTTGCTCGCCGTCCGGCACTGATCACCGCCATCGCAGACCCGCCGCTGACTTCCACCCCTCCAGATTCGGCAGGGTGTCCACTGCGCCTCTGATCCAGCTAGGCGCCCACTGCCGCTCCCGATCGGGCTGGGGCTCGCCATTGTTCCTGTGCAGCTAAGTGCCTGGTTCATCTTAATCAAGCTGAACACTAGTTGCTGGGTTCCACGGTTCTCTTCCGTGACCCACGGCTTCTAATAGAGCTAACAGAGCTATAACACTCACCGCATGGCCCAAGGTTCCGTTCCTTGTAATCCGTGAGGCCAAGAACCCCAGGTCAGAGAACAAAAGGCTTGCCACCATCTTGGGAGCTCTAAGAACAAAGACCCACCGGTAACAGCAATGTTTTTAAAACAACATTGTTTTATAAACTAAAACCCTGTCCCCCTTCTCCCTCCAGCTTTTAGCCTAATTGGTATTTTAGTGAACTCTCTTTACTACCTGATTGGTCGGGTGTGAGCTGAGTTACAAGCCCCGTGTTTAAAGGTGGGTGTGGTCACCTTCCCCAGCTAGGCTTAGGAATTCTTAGTCAGCCTAGGAAATCCAGCTAGTCCTGTCTCCCAGTGCTATGCTTACTTCCATCCTTTTCCCTTTGGACTTGCCTCAACCTCAGTCGCTAAGGAACTAGTACATACTAGAGATCAGATTTCTTCTTTGTCAGATTTGTATGGCAGGTAAGTCCCAAAAGTCTTTTCTCTTCCATCTTCTCATCTATTTGGGAGAGGAAAAGCAGCCTATTTTTTGACCACATTCTTTCCCTTTGGGTAATGGTAAGTAATGTAACAAACTCAGGATCCCTTAAAGCAAAGGGGTTTTCTCCTCCTAATGTTAGCTGTATACATGTATTCCATAAACTGTGGCTGTTCACATTATTTGCAGAGAAAATTATTACGGGTTCTTAAACTATTTATTAGATAGATGCAGGGAGGGCGGGAAGGTGAGCTCAACAGACAATACTGTTTGCTAGCTCTTAGATCATTATCACTTCCATGTTATTCTCTGTTCGGGTCTCATTGTCATGATATACAATAGACACATAAAAAGGTTTTGGGTTTGGCCACAGCCCACTCTGATGATCAGAAGTGCAGTCAGTCCAGAATGCTCTTTACTAGCTATAAAATCACAAAGTCTTCTCACGAATGTTGCTCTTCACATCTGGGTCTATTCAGCTCATTCTAACCATAGCTGTGCCGGACGATCCCTCTGCCCTGGATGAGAATACACACTTGTTAAGTCACATTGTCATCCAGGCAGACGCTGCTTGTCACGGTCACTCGGATGTGCATCCTCAAAAGAAGGTGGTCTTCCATGTGGACTTTCAGGGCTGGGGGTGTGAACTAGGGTGGTCAGGAGCCTTCCTCTGCACCCTTTCCTGCCTTACATCTCACCTCCCTAGGATGCACCCTCCAGGTTAAACCTGCTCCTAACCAGCACCGCTTCAGTACTCAAATCACCCTGACCTCGTTCCTTCAGGCAAAATCGCCTCACATAAAAGGTATGTTTTTGCACATTTCCTTTCACCACAAAAGGATTTCTCAACAAACCCAAGAATAATTGTCTTTCAAAGTAGCTGGTCTCACTGGCTTGACGAGGAACCCGCATATCAAGTCCAAGCCAAGGCTAACCCTGCCCCCCACCACTCCCACCGGCTTCCAGATGTGGCCTGAGAGGAGCTGCCCCACTGCCTGGGTGGGGAAGGTGGGCCAAGGCTGCACATTCACGCATTGTGGTCTTCCCTGCTGCTGGCCCTGAGCTAAATGTGTGTACCAAGGTATTGTGTCTAGGAAGTAATCTAATAAATTCAGCTTGTTGTCCTTCCATTTAGAGGGAAAAATGCACTCTGGATGATAGAAGATGGGGACATCTGTACTAACCTTAAGCAAACTGCATTTGAAAGCTTATATTTTCAGGCATTCAGCCGCTGATTTCCTTCAAGCCCTCTGAAGTCCCTACTGTGTGCTGAGTCTGGAAGCCAGAAGCCAGGACAGTAGGCTGGAATCACACCTCAGCCCCCCTCCGGGGTTCACGGTAAGATGGGGACAGAGTGTGGCAGTGCCAACAGTCCTACTATGGCACCTCCTGGAAAGGCAGGGTGAATGCCGTGATGCACTCTCTCCCTCTCCTGGAGCTGGCTGCTGTGGAGAGGAAAGGAACCCTTTACAAAGGCAAGCTGAGCAATCTAATCTGAAACTAATGAATGCTTGGAAGCAGGAAAAATCTTTGAAACAGACCTGATTTGTGAAAAGGTGCTGAAAGGCAGAGAAACTGCGACGTCTGCCAGAAGGCACAAACGATTAAAGCCCAGAGAGCCCTCATCGAGTTTTTTTTTTTCTCCTGATGATTAGATTAGAAGAAAGTCTTGCTCTGCAGTACAGATAAGGAACTGTGAGGTGCTCCCATTAGTTTAGGAGAGGGCAGTGGGGGCAGGCAAAGGCGTGGTGATGTTATGAAGGTTTAAGGAGGAAAAGAGCAGTGTATATAAGAAGAGAATTCCAGGAGGACTGCGGAACCTGCCTATGACATGGAATCCTACTGAGGCTGTGCTACGACCCACACAATGCTGCCAGGAAGCCTCACTCTCTGTTCCAACAGTGCATGATTCTCAAAGGGGACAAGCAGGAGGTTTAGGACACCAACACCCAGAGAAAAGGAAGGCTGGCTGCAGGCTGGGGCCTTTGATCCCAGGCTATCTGCGGCTCTGCCTCTCACTGCCTGTGTGTGCAGTTCTCTGTAACACCAAGACTGGACTCCGCCTTCCTCTGTGCTCCAAGAGAAGCTCTGCACAGAAGTGCCATTCGGGGCTCAGAAGGAAGATGGGTTCACCTCAGAGGAGGAAAAGAAAAGTGGTCAGTGGGATCTCATATCCCCTGGGGACAGCCCCACTCTTTTTATGGCTGGGGTCATCCCCAGTGCCTGTGGATTGTGGAACTATTGCATTTAATGAAAATATATTTTACAAACTGTGAAGTGCTCTACAAATGTGAATTGTGCACCAGGCAAGGGAAAGGCAATGTTCATTTTGTTGCATCCTGAAATAAGATTGTCCATTTCTGCTGAACTAAAAAGAAGAAAAAGTAGATTAAGCACTACTTTCCACTCCCTCAATCTAAAGCATTTGTCTTACATTGGAGATGACTTGAACAATTCTCAAAAACAAAAACCAAAAAAGGAATGTAAGTAAGCATTGGATGTAACATACAAAATTGATATGGTCCAATCATGAAAAGTATTTTCACTTCCCCAAATTCTCATTTAAATGCTGAGCTTCCTAGCAGCTTATGGGTCTCTTAGTAATGTAAATGCAAACATTGCTTTTTACATTATTTTCTAAGATTATTTCAATTGAATGAAGGTACAGGTAGGCCTAAATCAATGGATACAGTTAGGTGTTTTAAAATTTTATCCTCACTAGAAAACATAGCTATAACACACTTAAAAATAGAATTTGGGGCTGGGTGCAGTGGCACACACCTATAATTCCAGCACTTTCAGAGGCTAAGGTGGGAGGACTGCTTGAGCCCAGGAGTTTGAAACTAGCCTGGACAACATAGCAGGACCCTGTCTCTACAAAAACTTTAAAAATTATCCATGAGTGGTGACACATGCCTGTAGTCCCAGCTACCTGGGAGGCCAAGGCAGGAGGATCACTTGAGCCCAGGAGTTCAAGGCTGCAGTGAGCAGTGATTGTGCCACTGCACTCCAGCCTGGGTGACAGTGAGATCTTGTCTCTCAAAAAAAAGAAAGAAATGGAATGCTCCTTAAGGGCTAATTAAGGAAAAGGAAACATGATATGGAAGCAGCAAGGCCCCTGGAAATTAGCCTGGTGCATAGCACATGATTAGGTCACAACAAATTACAGGGCAGAGAACAGAAATTTTAAAGTCCAAGCAGCTACTGATAGTGACAATCAGAACAAGCCTTTCTCTAACCATACAGAAATGAGTTATTTTTGATGCAAAAACATTAATTTTTAAAAATTTAACTTTTAAGTTCAGGGGTACATGTGCTGGTTTGTTATATAGGTAAGCTTGTGTTGTGGGGGTTTGTGGTACAGATTATTTTGTCACCTGGAGTGTAAATTAGTTCAAAAACATTTTAAACTGCCTTACGTGTGTCCCTAGCAGCAGACAACTGGCCACTACTATACTTTAAATTATATCAAGTTACAGGCACAACTTTCTATTGCCCGTCCCCCAAAAATGTCTTTCACGTGCAACTGGAAGAATGCACAGTATCTTCCTTTTACCTTACCATCCCGGCCCACTCAAGCTGTCCTGGGTTCATGATGCCAGCAGAGAATAGGTATCCTGTGGGATCCTGCAGAAGATCTAGCCTCACCCAGGAGAATTCATTCCCATCACACCCATTAATTCCACCCAAGCAGATCTGTTTCACACCCACCCTCCTGTCCGCCAAACCGTGTCAAGGTACCCCCGGGAGTGTGCATCACTCATCTCTCATCGGTGAGTTTTCAGATAATCACAATCATGCTGATGAGCCACGTGCATCCAGAGGATGTTTTAGTTTAAAACTAAGCCCTTGGCACCAACCTCCCCCCAAACTACCACCACATGCCTTACAATGCAATTAAACCAACAGTTCTTAAGGTGCAATTAATCAAGACAAATAATAAATTTCAATCATACGCTTTTCCCAATTACTACTATTTTAAGAGTATAGTTGTCTACTCCTCCTTGCATATACAGAATATCTAAATAACATTAGGAGTTATATAACTTAGGTGGTCAGGTGTGGTGGCTCACGCCTGTAATCCCAACATTTTGAGAGGCCAAGGCAGGAGAATCACTTGAGCCCTGGGGCTTGAGACCAACCTGGGTAACATAGTGAGACCCTGTCTCCACAGAAAAATAAAAAAATTAGCCGGGTGTGGCAGCATGCACCTATGGTCACAGCTACTCGGGTGGCTGAGGTGAGAGGATCGCTTGAGCCCAGGAGGTTGAGGTCGCAGTGAGCTGAGATTGTGCCACTGCACTCCAGCCTGGGTGACAGAACAAGACTCTGTCTCAATAAAATAAAATAATTTAGGTGGAGGGGCCTGGAAACCTAAACATGATTTATATATTATTTCTGTAGAAAGATGTGTGGGTTTTTTTTGTTTGTTTGTTTTTTTGAGATGGAGTTTTGCTCTCTTCGCCCAGGCTGGAGTGCAGTGGCGCGATAGAAAGGTGTATTTTAAGTGAATTTTATGAATCACAACTAGATGGTAAACTATATACTAAAAACAAACAAACATGCAAGCAAACATAAACCCATACAAGGAAGCCCTCTAAGGTGAGTCTACTCCCTACTGTTTACATGGTAAACATTTACTATACACAAAGATAGAGCAAACCCAGGAGCCTCATCAAATTCAATTCCAGATGGTTCTCTCCACTGTCACCAGGCACCTGGTCCCTCTGTAATGTTATCCTTAGCAGAACACAACGATGATGCAGAGAAATTTGCATCCTCCAAAATCCTAATGTATTCCAGTGCCAAATATTCATAAATAGTTTTGAATTTTCTATATCACTATTTCATTAAGGCAAATGGCTGAGAACTAACTGTATTATAATAGAACATTTTTATATTTTAAAGGGATAAATGAATATCATAGCATTTGCAGGTAGGAAAAATGAACTGTAGTACGGCTCCCACTGACAGAGAATGTCCTGAAGAGAGAGATCCAACACTAAGTATTCACTGCCGTTCCCACTGTTTATTCATAACTTGTATTCTCTCAGGCAAGCAATTTAAAACATTTCACTAAATCTACTAACAAATTAACACGACTGAAACAGAACTCATTCTCTTTGCCACAACCTAGCTCTTTTAAAGCTTGGTGGTAGCCGGGCATGGTGGCTCACGCCTGTAATCCCAGCACTTTGGGTGGTCGAGGCAGAAGGATCTCTTGGGCCTAAGAGTTTGAGACTAGCCTGGACAACATACCAGGACCCAGTCTCTACAAAACAAAAACAAAAACAAACAAACAACTTTAAAAATTAGCCAGGCATGGTGGCATGCACCTGTGGTCCCAGCTACTCTGGAGGCTGAGGTGGATCACTTGAGCCCAGGAGTGAGCCATGATGGTGCCACTGCACTCCAGCCTGAGTGACACAGTAAGACCCTGTTTCTAAAATAAATAAACAAAAAATAAAACTTGGTGGCATCATCACCTGCCCCAGCCTCTCCCACCCCATCTGATCAGAGCCAGGTCCATTTGACTGTAGGTTATTTTCTCTTCCAGCCCTGCCTTCCCACCCCAACCCTGAACCAGGCCACAGCTGTCTCTCTGGTAGTTGCCAGAATAGCCTCTTAACTGGTCTCTGTGCCTTTGGTCTCACCTCCCTCTAATTCAGTAGCTATTTTGAAACCAAATTATCTTTCAAATCTGAGCACACCACACCCTACTAAGAAAGCTCTCCAATGTGAGCAGGACCAAGTCCACGCTCCTTACCCTGAATGACTGGGCCCTTCCCAGTCCGGGTTCACTTACCCAACTATCCTCTCCTCCTGCCGTTCCCCTGGTCTTATTACCTGCTCCACTCATACTAAGCATCTTTCATTCCTCTACTGGATCCGTCTTGCTTTCCAGAATGGGGACATAGTATTCTCTTTAGGCCTCAGCTGGCACTAAAACCTTCCCTGATTCTGGGGATGGGCTAAGGATTCCTTCTATAGGATCCCAGAGCAAAGCCCCTGGTCTCTTCCTCCCAGCCTTGGTCCTATTTCTTGCTAAGTGCCTCCTTGTTTATTTGCCCTCCTATTAATAGATAGACTCACCTGAAGGCAAGCACTGCATTCGTCCTTTTGCTGACTCCATTCAGTGACTAGCACATCATAAATGCCCAAGAAACATTTGTTGAATGAACAAATTCATGAATATACTCTTGCCCTCTGTGTTCCATACTCCCCATTATTTAATAATGAAAACACTCCAAAACAGTATACTAAGCACTTGGGGAAGTGAGTTACAACTTTTATCTCATTGAGTAACCAGCATACATTGTGTCAAAACACCATGGTGTGTTATTATCATAACTGTCAACAAAATTGAGAAAGACTTGGTCCCACTTGAATGACCTGATTACAGAAGGGGTCCATGGTACATGGTAGTCACCCTCTCCCTAAGCCTGTGTCAAATAGCAGCCTATAATTAAATGAAGATTAAATTTAATCTATTATTTCAAAAAGCATACGTTACTTAAATATTAGTAACTCAGTTTTAAAAAGGCACACTACTGAGAAAATCCAGCCTTAAAGGCCTTTTCCCTAAGGTGGAAAAAAAAAAGAAAAAGAAAAAAAAAAAAAGGCGGCATGCTGATACACATGCTGTAAAATCTAAGTGCCCCAATCATCTGTCATTTGCTTGCTTCTGCTTGCCCCTAACCAGCTGGCTCTGGCTTAAAGATATCCCCTTAATGCAATTCATTGAAAAAATACAAAGCAAGAAAAGTCAGTTAGTCAAGAAAGCATAAAAACAGGCAGGGTGTGGTGGCTCAAGCCTGTAATCCCAGCACTTTCGGAAGCCAAAGTGGGCAGGCGAATCGCTTGAGCCCAGGAGTTTGAGACCAGCCTGGGTAACATGGCAGAGCCCGATCTCTACAAAAAATAGAGGAGGCGGAGGCTGCAGTGAGCCGTGATCATGTCACTGCACTCCAGCCTGGGAGACAGAGTCTGACCCTGTCTCAAAAACAACAAAAAAGAGAGAAAACATAAAAATAAAACAGGTATAGCAGCTACACACCATGCTCAAAGTCTTTGCAATACTATCATACATACATGCACCATTTCATACTTTTCAAAGCACGTTTGCATCCAGTCTGTTTGGTCCAGATCTCCAAAAGAAGGCATATCAATCTTTATCCCTATTTACAGTTGAAAAAGTTGAAGCCTACAGAGTTCTCTGCTCAAGGTCACAGAGCCAGTGGGTGCAGAGGTCCTGACCATCAGATGCCCATGATTTTTCGATCCACCATGCCGTGATCAGCTTGCCCCATTGATACTGGGAGAGCAGAGGACAGGCCCCAGAGACTCAGTTCACTTCTGGATGAAGATGAACCATTTCCCCTCTCCTTTTCTCCGATACAGACTCGAAATAACAAAACCAGGTGAAATGGATAAAATCATGGTCAGCCTGGTAGAAAAGGAAAAAGAACGTTTTCTCTTTGATTTTCCCTAAATATCACCAGCTCTGCTTTTCTCTCGCAGGCTGTCAATACCAAAATTCACCTATGAGACTCTAAGCATGAGCCACGAGTCAGACAAGCCTGGCTCCACATGCCAGAAGCTATTCACCTATTCATCTTCGAAGTGGGGAAGGTGACTCTCCACAGTGCATGCCCCATACCTAGGGTCTGGCATGTAGGAAGGTGTGGATGTTTTTTTCTCCTTTCCCACCCATATGTTCACAGGGAAGCAAAACTTCCTGAGCACCAGTGAACTCATTGAAAGAAAGCGCTTTTCTCTGTCTGGAACCCTGCAGGAACTGAGATCTTCCCAAATATACGGGGGAGTAAAACCAATACAGTCCCTGCCCACCCTACGCCTATGTCTAAACACATTTGCAGTACATATCGGGTCCAAAAGGTACCAGGCATTTTGCCTGGTACCTCCAAACATCCTCCCACTAACTAGAGACAAAGCAGTTCCCTGCAGGAGGTGAGATCTTCCCAGATATACAGGGAAGTAAAACCAATACAGCCCCTGCCCTCCCCACAAGTATGCCTAGCCACACATGCAGTATATATTTGGTCCAAAAGGTATTTATTTTAAAAAATGAAAGTCCAGAGGCAGTTTAAAAGTATTACATTAAGAAAAACTGCTGGGTGCAGTGGCTTATGCCTGTAATCCCAGCACTCTGGGAGGCCAAGACAGGTGGATCACTTGAGGTCAGGAGTTCAAGACCAACCTGGCCAGTATAGTGAAACCCCATCTCTACTTAAAAAAATACAAAAATTAGCCAGGAGTGGTGGTGGGTGCCTGTGATTCCAGCTACTTGGGAGGCTAAGGCAGGAGAATCGCTTGAACCTGGGAGGCGGAGGTTGCAGTGAGTGGAGATCGCGCCACTGCACTCCAGCCTGGGCAACAGAGACTCCATCTCAAAAAAAAGAAAAAGAAAAAAAAACTTAATAGATCTCTCAGCATTAAACAATACTTTTAATAAAACAAATAATGTGAAGGAGTTCAACATGGTGTGGCTGGAGAGAACTAAAATGCAGATTCTCAAAGTCACAGGGCAATAAAATAGCTTCAAGGGAGGGAACACCCACCATGTGCCAGGATCAGGAACACAGGCATATCCAGACCCAGCATCTCTAAGGAAAGCTGGAACAACTGTCTATACAGGGGTGTGGGGCCGCTCTGCAGAAGCCTGGAAAAGGGGCACATTGTGACCGGTAATATTAATCCAAAGAAATAATCAGATGTGTACAAAGATTTCTGTACAATATGTTGCATAGCATTATTTACAATAGGAATAAAATAGTTTGAACATTAACTACAGATAATTGGTTAAATAAATGATGGAATAGCCATGTGATGGAAGCTAGGAGCATTAATCATCACATTTTATTTCACTTTTTTCTAATTTTAATTTTTATTTCAATAATTTTTGGAGTACAGGTGGTTTTTGCTTACATGGTTTGGTGCACCTGTCACCTAAGCAGTGTACACTGTACCCAATGTGTAGTCTTTTATCCCTCACCCGCCTCCCACCCTTCCCCCAGAGCCCCCAAAGTCCTTTGTATCATTCTTATGTCTTTATATCCTTACAGCGTAGCTCCCAATTCATCAAATTTTAGATGAATATTTAAAATCAAGAAAAATTGCCTACGATAAAAAGTAGGGAAAGGTTACAATATTGTTTTAAAATATACGCATAGTGCCAGATGTGGTGGCTCTCGCCTGTAATCCTAACACTTTGGGAGGCCAAGGGGGTGCGGATCACAAGGTCAGGAGTTTGAGATAAGCCTGGCCAGCATGGCGAAACCCCGTCTCTACTAAAAATACAAAAATTAGCCAGGCATGGTGGGTAATGCCTGTAGTCCCAGCTACTCGGGAGGCTGAGGCAGGAAAATCGCTTAAACACAGGAGGCGGGGGTTGCAGTGAGCCGAGATCGGGCCACTGCACTCCAGCCTGGGCAACAGAGTGAGAATCCATCTCAATAAATAAATAAATAAATAAATAAATAAATAAATAAATAAATAAAATAAAATAAAATATATGCACAGAAAAGAGATAAGAAGATTATGCACTAAAATAAGATACAGATTTCTAGGTGGTGGGCTTGCATAAGATATTCTTATTTTCTTTTTGATACTTTTCCTTCTTTTAAAAATGAAAATGAATGGTATCTGTAACTACAATACAATTAATAAATTTAGTCTTTTTTTTTTAAAAGGGAGATCCTCTTCAAATACCACAGGCTTTTCCAGTGGCTTATGGTGTTAATTGAAAGTTTTTCATTTTGATAAAATATACATAAAAATGTATCATTTTAATAATTTTTAAGTGTACAATTCAGTGGCATTAAGTATCTGCACATCATTGCCATCCATCTCTAGAGCTTTTTCATCACCCCAAATTGAAACTATGCCCATCAAACAACAGCTCCCTATTCTCCTCTCCCCTGGCCTCTGGTAACTACTATTCTACCTTCTATCTCTACAAACTTGACTGTTCTGCATACCTTATATAAATGCAATCAACCATAAGACAGTTGTCTTTTTGTGTCTGTCTTATTTTACTTAGCATAATGTCTTCAAGGTTTGCCTATATTGTAGCATACATCGTAATTCCTTTTTAAGGCTGTATAATAGTCCATTGCCTGTATATGCCCCATTTTGCTGTAGGACATTAGTTTTTTAATGCAGGCTTTTAAAACCATGTCTGAACATCAAAATGATCAACAGTACACATAATTTAAGATGTGTACCATTGGAAACAATTATTTTACAAACTCTCCACCTGCTGAAAAGCCACTAAAATACTCAATATTAGGCTATATTTTGCAATAAGAAAGAATAAGGTGCTAGACACTGTAATAACAATGCACATGTGTCATTTTCATGAGCAGTTACAAAGGCTGGCTCAGGAATCAGAACAGTGGTTGACTAGGAAGACTGCAAAGGGGCACTGTGGATATATCTGGGCTGATGGAAATGTCCCATATCCTCATGGTGTGGATTACACACAGGTACGCATCCGTCATTTGACAAAACTCACAGACCTATACAGTTAAGATCTGTACACTTCACTTAGAGCCTAAAGGAAATCAGAGTAAAATATGAATTTTACAAAAACAAAGGAGATTCTACAGTTCAGCTAGTGAGACTTACTGCCATCCACCACTTTAGGGCCCTTTGGCAGGTCTCTACTATACCTGGAATTAAGCCCAAGCTCCTTGCTATTTGGTGCTGAAACACTGGTTTGTCTAGGAGAGGCTGGGAAACATGTGGTGGACTAACTACCTACAATGCCAGGAAATCTGCCCACGTTTAGGAGACAGCCCAATAGGCATGAGCCGCAGGTGGTGGAATGCCTCTGCGTGGGGGTACAAATGAGGTACAACCAGCTGCACGCCAGGCTCCAGGCCAGGTGTCTTCTCAGGTGATGCAAGGCTGCATCCAAAACCATCCCAAAGAAACAAGGTCTCTCTCCAGAAGGCGGTGAGGGAGGGACATTCGAACACAGAAACCTGCAGAGGAGGAGGGTGTTGTCTTGACTCCCTTGTCAGGCTGGCTGCAAGCTGTCTTTCCAGTCACTGTGGCCTTGGACTTGGCTAGAATCACGAAGAGCTGAAAGTTACTGCCTCCTTATTAAGTGTGGTTATTTGTTACTCTCCTCTGTGCAGTTTGCCTTTATAAAATGTCAAGTTTAGGCCACACATGGTGGGAGGCCTCAGCGTCCCAGCCACAGTGAATTTCCTCTAAACCATTTAAAGCACTAAGAAGTCAGAGAATTTTGTGTTGTTGTTATTTACTATTTTATATTCTCCACACTACTATTCCCCTCTATTAAAATGCAAGACCCAGTGGCCAGTCGATCTCCAGGTGGTTCACGGATAAAAAAGCATACAAACTTCTTATCACCTTAAAAACAGTTTTGGAAACACAAAGCAGCCCCAGCTAAGTCAAACGGCAAATTAGAAAACGGCAGGCAGAAACTCAAATACTCTCCTCCACTTAAACGTTATATATATTTTTATTTTATTATTAATTTATTTTGAGATGGAGTCTTGCTGTGACGCCCAGGCTGGAGTGCTGCGATGCCCAGGCTGGAGTGCACTGGCATGATCTCGGCTCACTGCAACCTCCACCTCCTGGGTTCAAGTGATTCTCCTGCCTCAGCCTCCCAAGTAGCTAGGACTACAGGCGCCCACCACCACACCCGGCTAATTTTTGTATTTTTAGTGGAGATGGAGTTTCACCATGTTGGTCAGGCTGGCCTTGAACTCCTGAGCTCAAGTGATCTGCCCACCTAGGCCTCCCAAAGTGCTGGCAGGCATGAGCCACCGTGCCCGGCCTACATATATTTTTTAAGTGAAGCAAGGGTTCTGAAAAGCTTACTAATGTGGACTCACTATAATTTGAATGAAAGGCAGTAACCTGAAGTAACTAGTTCTCACAACATAAATGCTCGCACAGGATGACTGAACCTCCAAGACTCCAAGCACATAATATTCCTCTTTGGGACATGCACAGAATAAGCCACCTTTCCTTCTCACGTCCTCAGAAGCTGATAACCACAAAGCTGACCTCTGCCCCTCCTGGTTCCTGGTTCATCTGGCTCACTAGGAAAATCCTCATTAACCTGTCAGCAGACATTCTGCTTTCCAGCCATTTAATCAGGATGACAAAATGTCCTAAGAAGCCTCAACCTCACTTTTGAAGCCATCTTTGAAACTCCCTATCTGAGGACTCTGCTCTGTTTTTGGATTTCTCCCCAGCCTGGAGCCAGAGGTCCTCACTGGCATATTTCTGCCTGGGTGAGATAGCCTAGTGGGTGTGGTGTGTGGCAGTGCCTGTCACCTCCTCATGCTCCAGAGTACACAGCCACACACGTACAGCCCCTCCTCTGTCCCCCAGGCTGGGGACAGTGATGTCAGCCCATCTTATTGAGGAGACTGTAGATTCTTATCGACAGCCCACCTTTCAGTGCCTCTGAAAAATGTCATTACTGATCTAAAAACCAGCTAGGACCTGCAAACTAACTTAAACCAAAACATCCTCCCCCGAACTAGGGACAAAGCTGGTCAGTCTGTCCCTAGGGACCCTGAACCAGATGTAGACTGTCTTTTGATAACATTTTATCTAGAGGAATAAATATTGTCCCCAACCTTTGCCCTGACAAATAACCAAGTTACTTTCCTTCCCTGGATGGACTTTAAGAGTACTTTTGGGGCTGAGCATGGTAGCTCACACCTGTAATCCCAGCACTTTGGGAGGCCAAGGCAGGTGGATCACTTGAGGTCAGGAGTTTGAGACCAGCCTGGCCAACATGGTGAAACCCCGTCTCTACCAAAAATATGGAAATCAGCTGGGCATGGTGGCACATGCCTCTAATCCCAGCTACTCAGGAGGCTGAGGCAGGGGAATCGCTTGAACCCAGGAGGTGGACGTTGCAGTGAGCTAAGACCACGCCACTGCACTCTAGCCTGGGCAACAAGAGCGAAACTGTCTCAAACAAACAAACAAAAAAAGAGCATTTTTGCTATGAAGAAGCAACTACATAGGAGAAACAGTAAATTCTGATGAATAAACCTTCTAGTTGACTGAAATCCCTCCTAAATGTTTTCATTGTAATTTTAAGCTCATTTGTTCTCATAGCATCATGACTGGTATTTGGTTGTTGGAACAGGAACTGAATGATACCAAAGCCAGGGAAAACTAATTAACCAACAAAGAAAAACAACACCTGGGCTGATACGGCTTGATATGAATGACCTATCTTGCAATTCCATCTTCATCTTCTGCAGACCAGAGCTCTCCACGTTCCCCAGCAGAGCATTTAGAGAGGTAAGGCAGGAGGTGAGAACATCCAGATGAGAACTATGTCCAAACATCTTGCTGTTTCATGTCCACAGACTTACTGCTCTGCTGCAATTAGTGAGCACCTCGTTGTGTGTCATAATAAACTCTGCTGTATAATTAGACATTTTGCTCTGTGCTGCTCTGTTTGCAAAGGTGTTTCACGTATGTTTTCTTAACCAGGATCTAAACAATTTGAGGGCAGGGGCTGGCTCGAATACAGCCATGCTTCCTTGACTTTTCAAAAATCACTTCACTGCCATTGGCCCTAGAATCTCTCTAGAACAGACACAAAATGACAGCAGGAAAACGAGTGTCATGAAGTACAAATGCTTTTCCCAAAGGAAGCCACCAAAGTTACTCCTTCATTTTTCCTGGCATTCTAGTGAATTTTAGTTGCCTGGGCCCAGAGCAAGTCCACAGCAGAACATCAAAAAGCAAGAACTCAATAAATATTAGCTATGTTTATGGTGTTTGTGTTATCATTAAGTGGTTACACGGGCATACTGCACAGCAAGAAGAGGAAACTGAGTCCTTAGTAACCAGTTACTGAAACCAGTAGCAACTGATTACCACTAACCAGTTGACTGGCAACTGGTTAGTATTAAAATGATAAAAGCAGGCACATAGCCTATAAAAAAATTTTTTTTAAACCCTACCACACACCTAAGAGTCTCAAGAAGGCCACAACACTACTGGTCATGCAGGGCTCAGGACTGGGCCAAGGTCAGCTCCCACTGGTTGGTGCCAATCCCTCGGTTAAGTACTTTGAATCTCACGTGACTGCCTGGCACAATGGACATTCACAGCCTCCAAAGATGCTATGTTATGATTTGCCATATGATACTCATTTAATAAGGTAGATAAATGTGCAGTATAGGCTAGACTTCCAACAACCCTAGTTCTCATACTAAAAAAAGGAAAAACCCAGTGACTTCCACTTTGAAGTATTAGCTTCAGTTATGAAGCAAATTCACTCATGTGGATTGCTCAGACCCAGGTAAGGCTGTAGAAAACTAGATTTTTCTCTATTGCATCTCTGCAGAAACTAATAGAGTCACAGGTGTTCAAAAAATACCTGATTTTTTCTTTTTTTAATGTAGACACCACCCAAGTCACTCTGGTATGCTATATCAGGAGCTTAAAGAGGTTTATTTACTCACACAAGACAGTAAAGGAATGGTTCTCCACCCATGCTCTCTCCTCCTCCCACCCAACATAACCTGCTCCATTGTCCCAAACCAAATATGAAAACCAAATTATTCACCATTAATTTACAACTGGGCTTGTCTCATCTAAAAAGTGGTTCCCATAAACGGTATCACACTGTACCCTTTAAAAACTGTTTTTAGGCTGGATGTGGTGGCTCGTGCCTGTAATCCCAACAGTTTGGGAGGCTGAGATGGGAGGATTGCTTAAGCCCAGGAGTTCGAGACCAGCTTGGGCAACATCACAAGACCCAATCTCTACAAAAATAAAAAAATTAGGCAGGCATGGTTCCATATGCCTGGAATCCCAGCTACTCAGAGGCTGAGGCTGGAGGATGGCTTTAGCCCCGGAATTTGAGGCTGCAGTAAGCTGTGTTTGCACCATTGTTCTCCAGCCTGGGCCACACAGTGAGACTTGTCTCAAAACAAAACAAAATAAAAACTGCTTTTAAAGAATTTGATCTATTACTAGGAAGAGATTTAAATATTGTTTCTGTATGATGGATATGCTTGGAAGTATGTAGATAGATTAGTATCTAGGCTGGTCATCAAACCACCTCAATAAATAAATGAATGAGTAAACGAGTAAACAAACCAACCTCAGGATTATACCTCTGTGGCTCTAGAAACAACCCGCTTACCTAAGTCATCCTAAGAGAGGTATTTTAAATGCAGATGGACATCTAAAGAAAACTGGGAAACACAGCAGGGAAGTAAGTACCAAGTGGACTAAGGAGGTCACAGTGTCCTTGACTAAATATGGACTGTAAGAAAGGCATGACCTCATTTTCTATGTATGAATTGGACACTGAAATAGGCACCAAATTATGCCAGGCATAAAGCCCAAGGCAGTCAGAGAAAACACATTACCTACTTAATACACAAAGATGTTCATTGAAACTTTATATTGCAAAAACAAACAAACCTGTGTTTAACAATAAGGTAATACATGCAAAAGGAATTACAGCATGCTCTCATAACCACATATTATGCTGCAATTTAAAATCATACTTAAATACTTTTAAATAGTTTAGGGAAAATGCTTCTGTGTTTTGTGAAACATACACACATACACACCATTTTTTATATGTGTGTATATATAATGTATACACACACACACTTACCCCACACACACACATACCCCACATACACATATATTTCCTCAATTATGTTATAAAAATAAATCGGCGGCCAGGCGTGGTGGCTCACGCCTGTAATCCCAGCACTTTGGGAGGCCGAGGCAGGGGGACGACCTGAGGTCAGGAATTCGACACCAGCCTGACCAACATGGAGAAACCCTGTCACTACTAAAAATATAAAATTAGCCAGGCATGGTGACGCATGCCTGTAATCCCAGCTACTTGGGAGGCTGAGGCAGGAGAATCACTTGAACCCGGGAGGCGGAGGTTGTGGTGAGCTGAGATCACACCATTGCACTCCAGCCTGGGCAACAAGAACAAAACTCCGTCTCAAAAAATAATAATAATGATAATAAATTAAATAAAATAATAAATTGGCAGGAGATACCCAAATTGTTAAATGAGTTTTAGGAGTGAAATTAGAGGCATTTTTTCACATTTAAAAAATATTTACCAAACTTTAAACAATTAGCTGATATTACTTCTATTTATAATTAGGAAAAATAATTATTTTGAAATTTATTCTGTTACTACAGAATAGACTGGAGGGGGAAAGTCTCCCTCACAGTGACTCGGAGCCTTAGCTTGAGATTTCCATTTCTTTCTTTAAGCACTTTAGGAAGTGGATCTTACAACAGATCCCTGTCATGTTCCTTAAGGCAAGCTCTTAAGCACTGTCAAAGGAGGTCCTCTCCATTGCTCAGTGACTTTTGATGAAGAGTCTCTTCCCTGTTGAAGCCAGTGCCATATACTGCATCTGTCCTTTTTATTCCTATTCCTCCTAATCGAATGAAATACTTTTGTTATACTTTGGGAGGAGGTGTGGAGAGGGTGCACTTCTCCAAGCTATTTTTCCTGGGCTTCTCTTTTTGTCCATCTTGTGATATTAATAATTTGGAACCCTCTTATACTGTGGAAGCCTAACTCTAGGTTTCCTAAATAGAAAGGGCTGAAGATATATGAACACTCCTATTACACATCTTATTCCAGGAATTGTCACAATTCATGTGCAAAACTCTCCATTCACAGATAAACAGCTCTGGTCTTTGAATTATCATATTAGACCCAACCAAATTCAGTGAATCATACAAGGCAATTTGAAATATCTAAAGTATCTGAAAGGTATTGAGGTATTCAGTGCGGTCTCAGCTCACTGCAACCTCCGCCTCCCAGGTTCAAAAGATTCTCCTGCCTCAGCCTCCCAAGTAGCTGGGATTACAGGTGCCTGCCATCATGCCCCGCTAATTTTGTATTTTTAGTAGAGACGGGGTTTCTTCATGTTGGCCAGGCTGCTCTTGAACTCCTGACCTCAGGTGATCCACCTGCCTTGGCCTCCCAAAGTGCTGGGATTACAGGCGTGAGCCACCGCGCCTGGCACCATTTCTCCTTTGAGCATGAAAGAGTAGATCACCTGGCCCTAGGCAGAACACATTTCTTAAGTGAGAACAATTTCAACTTTCTTTTCTCCTTCAAGGTCTTCACAGCAACGTTGCCCTTAATATTTTAAGTAATACTGAGTACCTTTTTAAAAAGCTCACTAATTTGTTCTATGTCATTTGGTGAATTTGGCTTTTAAGGAAATTGGGGACTCTGAACCAAATTTAAACAGAATAACAATTCTTTGGACATGGTGAGATCAAATGGACATTTGCAGATACTTTAAAAGAAATATATTTTTTAAAAACTATCTCAACATGCTCCTTTCCTTAGCAATCTGTATTGTTTTAATGACAAAGACCAAGTGACTTCTAAATAACTTTATTGTGAGGTATCAGTTGTTTCTTTCATCCCCCCTTGACCAAAAGCTATGCCAACCTTGTTAAAATAAGATACAGTGTTGACTTAATTATCTGGGTAATTAAGCTTTTCTTAAAATGAACTTCTTGGTCATAATATCCCTTTCCTGGAAGCCCTCCTTTTAATCATCCTACATCTGTTGAGTTTTTAAAATTCAATATACAGGCCAGATGTGGTGGCTCACGTTTTGGAAGGCCAAGGTAGGTGGATCACGTGAGCTCAGGAGTTGAAGACCAGCCTGGGCAACATGGTGAAACCCCGTCTCTACAAAATATACAAAAATTAGCCGGGGGTGGTGGTGCACGCCTGTAGTCCCCGCTACTCGGGGGACTGAGGCAGGAGAATCGCTTGAGCCTGGGAAATGGTGGCTGCATTGAGCCAAGATCACACCACTGTACTCTAGCCTGGGCAACAAGTGAGACTCAGTCTCAAAAAAAAAAAAAAAAAAAAAAATTCAATATACGACAGCTAAGATTAAATTTAGACCTAGTCTGGGAATCAGAAAAGCTAGAACTTATTCCTAAATTTATAAAGACCAGGTGGGTATGGGCTTGAACCTTAGCTCTGCCATTTACTACCCGTGTCATCTTGAACAAGTACCTTAACAAGCGTAGGCCTCTCATTGTTTCCTCATATATATCATATGCTGAGATACAGGCACATACTAGGTGCTCAATCAATGTACGTGATTAATACTTTTGATTCTCAATCTGTAAAAATTGAGATAAAATAATTCTAGATATACAATGATTGTAAAGTATTTTATATACCTATAGGGCTCTATAATATAAACGTTTCTTCAGTTTCTGCAAAAGGAGATGTGTTCCCATTTTCTTTTTTTTTTTGAGACGGAGTCTCGCTCTGTCGCCCAGGCCGGACTGCGGACTGCAGTGGCGCAATCTCGGCTCACTGCAAGCTCCGCTTCCCGGGTTCACGCCATTCTCCTGCCTCAGCCTCCCGAGTAGCTGGGACTACAGGCACCCGCCACCGCGCCTGGCTAATTTTTTGTATTTTTAGTAGAGACGGGGTTTCACCTTGTTAGCCAGGATGGTCTCGATCTCCTGACCTCATGATCCACCCGCCTCGGCCTCCCAAAGGTGTTCCCATTTTCTATGGTGCCTATGTTTAATATTAAAAGCAGATCATTTTATTCCATAGAGCTTTTTTTAGTACAAAATTCAAACGCTCCCCCCACCACCTCAAATTACTGCCACTACCAAAATTGAAAAAATGTGATAATAGGTTTTGCTAGTTTTGTTAGAGGAAATAGTCCATAAGATTTGGTTTCCTCCCTGACTGAGCTATAAAATGACTAAGAAATCTATATACAACAGGTAATGTTCATGGAGAATATCAGAAGTTTCTGGAGAGACTGTTACAGGCTCTTTCCTAGCCCCTCCACACACACTGGCTCTGGGGTCATTAACAGGTAATTCCTTTACATGGTCACGTATGTGCAGCTTATTTAACTTTCAGTGGAATCTTATACATAGCTGGATTTCCATTTCAAAAGATCTGTACATGTTTTTAAAAGAAACCATAAACTGTGATATTTATCATCATAAAACACCTCATCTAAGAAACATTTAACATAATTTTGCTATTGTTTTGTTCTTGACAAGCCAGGAACTTAAAAGCTCATGAGAGGTTTTATTTTTTAATTTTGCATTTCTTTTTTTTTTTTTTTTTAGACGGAGTCTTGCTCTGTCGCCCAGGCTGGAGGGTGCAGTGGTACAGTCTTGGCTTACTGCAACCCCTGCCTCCTGGGGTTCAATGCAATTCTCCCACCTCAGCCTCCTGAGTAGCTAGGATTACAGGCATGCAATACCATGCCTGGCTAATTTTTTGTTTGTTTGTATTTTTTAGTAGAGATAGAATTTCATCATGTTGGCCAGGCTGGTCTCGAACTCCTGACCTCAAGTGATCCATCCACCTCACCTCCCAAAGTGCCGGGATTACAGGTGTGAGCTATAGCACCTGGCCTTTTTTTTTTTTTAATAGAGACGAGGTTTCACTATGTTGCCCAGGCTGGTTTTGAACTCCTGAGCTCAAGCGATCCTCCCACCTTAGCCTAAGCAATCCTCTAGCCTAAGCCTCCCAAAGTGCTAGGATTGATCTCCCCAAGTGCTACGATCATAGGCATGAGCCACCTTGCCCAGCCTAACTTTGCATTTCTTAATCATCTCAAAAGCACGTGAACCTGAGGCTGCATTGGCCTTTGTACTCCCGTGCTACCTCTCCATCTTAGGATTTGTAAATCGCTGACAAATAAGCCATCATTCACTCCCAGCAAGGTGTAATACACCTGCCCACTCAGCGGCAGTACCTACATGTGTCCATCTGTCTAGAACTCCATATAAACTCAAGGGCTGCATATTTTCAGCTAACGTAGACCCACTTTTGCAAACTGGTTCATTTCTCCTCCTCTTTACTGTGCTTCAGAAGAATTGGGGTAAAGTGTTCTTCTATTCATCACCCACACATACCAGGTCACTCTTCAGCTCCCACTGTAATTCTTTCCCTCCAGTTTAATGCTGAAAAGAGTAAGTCAGTCTCACTCTCTCTCACCCTGCAGCATTTTGCAAAAACAATTATCATCTGACACCAGAAGGCAAAGCAAGGTTTGGAAAACCTATCAATTTCTTCTCCCCATTTCTCCACCCTTAACTCTGTGATAAAATATCTCCGCCCTCCAGGCAGCCTATAACCTCATACTCTGGTGTTTTTGGGAAAAGGACCTCAAATGACACTTGTTGATAACATTTTGCTTCTCTGCAAAAACACAACTCCATTAAGTACTTTGCTTACATCAGCCATGATAATCAGGTTAGCAATGTTTTAAGGATGAGTTAGAATTATTAGACCTGCGAGGATAAACCATCTGGATAGTTGTCTCTTATGTTTAACCTCCCTTTTGTGACTTCAGGAGATTCTTTTTCTTATACTAAAATCAAACCTAGTTATGTCAGCCTTTCATTAAATCAAGGCAAAAGGGAGGCAATATTGTGGTATGCGTCAGGTGGTTTAATGATGACACAGACTACTCTTATTTCCACTAGTTATCTCGATATGATTCTTACATGCACACAAACACACACCAGTTCAGATGAGCAGCCTGGGCTTTCTGACAACCTTTGGGGCAGCTCCAAGAAGGTAAGCCTTAAAATAGGAAAGGCTCGAGTGAATATACAGCATTTGACTCATCTAAAATGGGCAATGTAGTAAATTCGTGTCTAAAAGCTTTTCTACGGATTGTAGGAAGTGTTCAAAGTCACCAGTTACTATAGAAAGAAGGGAAGGTGGGCGGGTACAGGGTGGAGCAGGGAAGAAGCCCTTGGGGTACCCTTGTGAGGCACTGGCAGGGCACAGTGGCAACGGAAGAGACAAGATTTTATCAAAGGACATTGGCTGGCGCGGTAAACAAAGGTCTCTAGAGAATATGCCATATTGTGAACACCTATCACCAACAAAATTCAAAGTAAAAAGTAGCTTACAATGTGGGCTACATATTAGAGAGCTTACAGAGTTGCAATTATTCAAAAGTTTTGAGCACAGAAAGACAAATCCAAACAGATATTCGTCAAACGAAGGAGTCACACAAATCTCCGATTTGTAACTGCCTCCTGAAAGCTGTTTTACTTTTACAATGAGTACTGCATCAAAATAGGTGCATATTCTAGATAAATATCCGTTTAAGTCTCTTGACTTAAAAGGAAAGAAGAAAGACAGTACCACAATACAGGAGTGCCGCTCGTCACACGCTCTGGCCACTTGGGACACCTGCCCATCAGGGTGGCATGTCACTGCCTCCCCATCACCAAATCCTCTCCCCGGCCTTAGAACGCAGCTGCATCCCGCTGGTGGCCCTGCCAAAACGGTCCCCACATGCAAAGTGCAGGGTGCCAATGCCCCATCGCTGGAGAGCTTGCAGCGCTAGATTTTCAATGACGCCACATGGAGAAAACGTGAAAAGAAACAAGGACGAGAAGGCGACCCCAAACAAAAATGTGCTCCCCTTCTTTAGTGGTCCATGAAAAAAAAAAAAGAAAGAAAGAAAGAAAGAAAAAAAAAGAAAAGGAAAAGGAAAAAAAAGAAATCCCAAACTAGAAATAAATGGTCAAGACCGGCTTATCAGGACACATTCGGGATACCCCTAATCCTTACCTGGACTACGAAACAAATGTTTAAAAATGGAAGTACCTGGGAAATCAACTTGGACGCATTATAAAACAGAATCTCCCCACCGTCACCATTACCACCAGCCATGGGTAAATAAAAACCCAGCACTTAAGCTACTAGAAACTACATTTTAATTAGAGCTGAGGTTTACATAATCGCAAATTACATAATACTGCCGTGCACTAAAAACCCTTCCATAGGTGAAGCTTCACACCATCCAGTCTTTTTAACATTTTCCAGAGAGGGCTGGAAAAGTCTGCTGAATAATTGAGGGGAGGGAGGGAGGGAATGGGGTGCTGGAAAAGTCACCCTTGACAAGCTGCACACCCGACCAAATGTTTCAGGATAAAGAGGGACTCGGAGCAGGTGACTCCCCTCCGCCCCCGTGTCCGGGCGTGTAAGGCCAAGGCAGGGCGAGCGGGCGTGGGGCGCGGGGCCGGGGCTTACCTGCTCCCCGAAGTCGATGGCTATGTTGGTGATGCCCAGGGGCACCAAGAACCGGATCAGGGGCCAGTAGTGCGTGAGCGCCGGGAATTTCACCATAGTCCCCGCCGTGGGCTGACCCCACACACATCTGCTGCCGCGAGGGGACTCTGCGGGGAGGCGAGGGGCGACGGGGCGACGGGGCGAGCGGGGCGCGGGCCGACAGAGGCCGCGGGCGGCGGGGCCTCGGGCGCGGCGGCGGCGGCTCCTCCTCGCGGCTGCGGCGCCTTCTCCGAGCGCGGCTGCTCTAGCAGGGGATCCGCAAGCTCAAGTCCATCCCTGCTGCCCTCCCACACAACAAAGATCTGCCGGGAAAAAAAAGAGGAGGGACGGCGGCGGCGGCGGCGGCGGCAGAAGGTTCTGCTGACAGCGGCTCCATTATAAGCGCTCTGGGGCCCGGAAATAAATAACCGCGCGCACGAGGCGCCGCCGCCGCCGCCGCCGCCCGGAGGAAATCAGGGGCGGGCGCGGAGGCGCGGACACCGCCAGCGGCCCCGGGGGCGGGCTGGGGAGGGGGCCGGGCCGGGCGCGCCGCGGCCTCCTTTCCTGTGCCGTCGCCTGCGCTTGGCGCGGCCGCGGGGGGCGCTGCGCACGCTCGGGCCGTGGGGCTGGCGCCTCCGGGGCGCTGGGCGGGACTCGCCGCGGAGCCTCGGCCGGCCCGGGGGCGGCGGCGCTGAGGGCGCGGCGGGGACGGTCTGGGGGCTTGGGGACGCCGGTGGGGGGTGAGGGCGGTGGGCCGCCTGGAGACCCCGGGGTGCCCTGGCTCGCCGGCCGGGCCCTGTAGCCCTCGTCCCGTGGGGCCGGGGGCCGGGGTTCCCGCGCTGTGCCGGGAGGGCCCGGCCGTCTGGAAGACTTGGCAGCCGGGGCAAGCGACGTGGGCTCGGACGCGCGAGGAGGGCTGGGGAGCGGGGCGCGGGGCTGGGAAGGGCGCCGTCCGGCGGTGGCCGGGCTGGCGGCGGGCGGGGACTGCGGAGGAGGCAGCTTGCGCCGGGGCTGGGGCCTGCTTCGGGGGACTAGCGGCCCGGGAGGTATGGAGGTGCCGCTCCGGGGGGGGCGAAAGAAACGTGGAAAGGTCGCCCAGGAGGGAGCCTGTCCCCCAGGGTTTCCAGGGGCAACGGTGGCCCGTGTCCCTGGAGGACATGCGCCAGGGCAGCAGGGAGTGGTCCCCGCAGGCTCCCAGGCTGGGGCCGGCCGCCTTCTGGGGCGCTCAGACCTGTCTGCTGCAGTTTGCAAACAGTACGCCCGAATTCTTTTCATTGTAAAAAATTTCTATTAAAAATAACTCGTAAAGCCTATCATCTCTTTTAAATAAAGGGGAAGAAAGAGGAAAGTGTGTTCTGTTTTGTAATACCGGGCCCCAGTGATTTCAGGGTAACTAGTCGCGGTGCTGAGAGTTTGACCTAAAGCTCGGCAGTGTGACAGCAACGCCAGCATCCCCGCACCCCAGGACTGTGACGCGAGGGAGGAGGACCCAGTGAATGAAAAGGGACTCTGGGCAGGGCTGGCTTCACGGGCGTGCGATCTGTGAAGTCACAGAGGGCCCGCACTTAAAAGGACTAACGCGCTGCTGTTGCACTCTTGAATTTGAACAAGGGTCTCTGCATTTTCATTTTGTAGTGGGCCTGGCATAGTATGTAGCCTATCGTGGTCTTACTATTTTATACCAACTCTCACACACATCTCTGCATTTAATAAATATAACGAAGTAAAGTAATTTATTATTAAAAGTAAGAAACTATCTTGTACCTAGAATGAACCGATTAACTCACAATTTAGCTTTGTAAAGCTTTTGTAAATAGTGAGCTTGAGACCTCAATATCCTGGGTTCAGGTATTTCCCAACTACTTTGAAAGTGTTAAATGTTTCCATAGGCCGGGCGTGAGCGGTGGGCGCCGGTAGCCCCAGCTACTCAAGAGGCTAAGGCAGGAGAATGGTTTGAACCCGGAAGACGGAGGTTGCAGCGTCACCCATGGCACTCCAGCCTGGGTGACAGAGTGAGACTCCCTCTCAAAAAATAATAAATAAATAAATAAATATTTCCATATTTTGCATCCTTTTTAAAATACTTTTTTGAAATTCCACACAATTTGAGCAGGCTTTGAAAAATAGGAAGCTAATTTACCTTGTAGCTCTGATGTAACCTCAAATTACATTCCCTATGATTAAAATTAAACTTGGTAAGTATTTATTGTTAAATGTGTCAAATAGCAATACTGTATTTAAAAGATTTCCCAGCAAAACAGGAGGTTCATGTGGACAGGACTGTCTTCAGGAGCAAGTTCCTGAAAGGTGTGTTTTAATATATTTGAATCTAACTTAAATATACAAAAAGGGAGCTTGTTATTTAAAGGAATTCTCTGGGAAAGAGGTTTTTTTTTTCCTAAAACAAATATCACCTCATGGTTTATCATTCTGTTATTCTAGGTTTCATGGGCTCATTTTACTTAGAGCAATCTAATTACACTGACCTTTGTCTAGAATGTGGGATTGATGAGGTCCTAGATCGATCTCCATCAAGTCCAGTTTGCTTTCATTGGTCTCTGGACAAGGACCGCCACAGCCCCCGCTGCCTGATGTGAATGCACACCTTTGGTCTTTAGGGGAATGATGAGAAAATTCCAGTGGATCAATGAAAGGTCATCATCCTTGTTTGAGTGTTCTAAAAGTGCATTTTTTAAATGAGTGATTTGGAAGTGTCATCTCTGATTATGGCAAAGAGCCCTTTTTAGATTTTAAAGGCCTATGAATTTCAGTAACACTGTGGCAACATGGAAACTAATGAGACATTTCATTATTTTTTCTGTCACAGTCAAAATCTGAAACAGATTTCAAAGAGATTTTTGGGCTCCTCTTTATTTTTTATTTTTTTGTTTTTTTAATATTACAATAGACTTTTATTTAAAGTGAAACATTGGCAGACCAAATAATTCTTAAATTATATGTTTCAGGTTTAACCATTTTCATAAAAATACTTGGAGGACAGCTACATCCACGGACTTCAAATATGTGATGACTTCTTTGACCATTCTCATTCTTTTCTTTCCCAAATAAGCGCTTTCAGATATGGCTCATGGTAGAATTTATCCTCTTCATGTTTGGTCCGCTGCTGTTAAGGCAAGATCTGCTGTCTCATAGGTCCAGTGTTCTAATGCGAAACATCCTGCCGTTAGAAAGCCGTCTTATGGCTTCCTTTACATCTTCATCTTCATATATTGTCTCATCTCACATTTACTTTAGTTTCTCGAATCCTGCAGCATTGTCATACCATTTTCAAATACCATCCAGCTACCTGTCTGATGCTGCGGTAGCCAGCCTGCCAGCCATCTTGACCCAAACGTGAAATGTTGCCTTCTCCCTCTCTCTTTTTATTTATTTATTTATCTAATTTATTTTATTTTATTTTTGAGGTGGAGTTTCGCTCTTGTCACTGGACCCAGGTTGGAGTGCAATGGCGCGATCTGAGCTCGCTGCAACCTCCACCTCCCAGATTCAAGCGATTCTCCTGCCTCAGCCTCCCAGGTAGCTGGGATTACAGGTGTGCACTACCACACCTGGCTAGTTTTTTGTATTTTTAGTACAGACAGGGTTTCACCATGTTGGCCAGGCTGGTCTTGAACTCCTGACCTTAGGTGATCCACTCACCTTGGCCTCCCAAAATTCTGGGATTACAGGTGTGAGCCACTGCACCCAGGCTCTCTTTTTAAACTTTGTTGTTTGAAAAGATAACTTCAGAATGTAAGTGATGAGAATGAGTAGGGAATTTCTTTTTAATTACCCAGAAGCCAAAAAGATATCCCCAAGTCATTGGGTGTTTTCTTTTGGAAGGTACAGCTTTATCTTCTATTTATAAAGTCTTAGACTTGATGACTTTTGGTCAAAAATCATTATAAGATTTACAAACTACACTCAATAGTGTAAGAAAAAAATACATGTAGAAAAAACATGCTGGAAGAAAATATGCTCAACTATTCACAGTGGATAGTTATTGCTGAGTGGTATGAATATGGCTGATTATTCCTTCCTGTGTATACTTTTCTGTGTTTAATGCAATGGGCATATATAAGTTTATTTTTTAAAAGTTTAAAAAAATTATAAAACTTTATTGGAAGTGCAAGGTAGCACTGAGTTCAGAGCATGGAAAAAGTTACGAAATTGCAAAACAATTTCGTAAATGACCAGCAATATCATTTTGGTGCCTAAAATTATTAACTCTAATTTTTTAAAGGAGCTAATGCAGAAAGAAAGACTAAAAGTTACATACATGTCTAATTTACCTTTTTTTCTGAAATTGATCTTAAATGAATGGATTCAAGTAACCCCCCACCCCCCACCGACCCCTCACCAAGGAACATCTGCAGCAAAGGGCAAAATGAAAGATCACGTTTAAGGTTATCCAGTTCTAGAACTCTGCAACTCAGACCTCCTTGACTTGAGGAACCCAATGATGTCAAGTTGGGATTGTAGCAGTGAACATGGTTTGGGAGCAGATGCCATATTGATTTGTGTAAGCTTGACCCAACAGGGTTATCTTCATTGATTCCATGCAATTATCCTATATCATGTATTTAGTATAGCCAACTTATTTAACAACTTTGATGGAAGGCTTAGTCCTAGAGATTGGTGTCTAGTTTTGAGTCACAAATCTCCAATATAGGGTAGACGAGGTGTAAATTTAAGCCTCACAGTTCTATATTTGGGCCACGAGTAATTATGCTCCATGGCTCGTTGGGAATGTGATAAGGGGAAGTCTACGATTTCAGCCTATTTATTTGTGTTCATGTAAACATCATCCTATTGATAAAGTCATGATTTCTGCCCAGTTGCCAGATTCCAAGAGAGCAAAAAGAGAAGTTACTTGCTTCGTCCCGGTTGTTAAGTTTTACTTTTGCTATTCCAGCCCAAAGCCTAGGTGTAATTTGCCTGGGCTAATTATTAGTCAGTTTCTGTACTCTCAGCACATGCCAGAAGTGGAGTTAGGAGGTGAGGGGAATGGGTAAATGATCCTGAAACTGTCATTTGCTGTAGATAAGCTAGAATTAGCTAGCTAAATTCTGCCAAGAGTTATAGTTATCGCTTTTAATGACTTCCTTAATAATATTTTTAAAGGGACCACACAGATGCTTCAAAATGTGTGCTGTAAAAAGGAATGGGGAAGAATTCTATATACTGATATGGAATAATCTGTAGAATATTTTGTTAAGTGAGAAAAGCAAGGTGCCAAATCATAAAATGGTATTATGCTATTTTGGGGGCAAAAAGGGAGAGAAATATGAATATGGGGGTGTGTGTGTGTGTGTGTGTGTGTGTGTGTGTGTGAATTTGGTTATATTTGTGAAAAGACACACTAGTAGGATAAGCCAAAAATTAATTAAACGTTTATGAGAGAAGGAAGAGAACAGGTTGGAGTTGGGATGGAAGAATGATTTCTCTGAATGTACCTTAGAATCTAATTTTGGCTTTGGAAACATTCATGTTTTACATGTTGAAAAAATAAAATTAAATCAAAAGAAAAATTGACAGCAGATACATTTCACACAAGTGTTTTTCTTACTTAGTACCCTTTTATTCTGAGGAAAGAATTTGAGGCAGCTTAAATCAGAGCACAGATATATACTGTATGCACTTTGATAAATTTTGATTTTTCTATAACTGCTAGAGAATAAAACCATTTGGAGAGACTCTTGCCAGGGCAACTGTGTAATCTGGTGGCACTGTGTATTGGTAACTACTAACTCACTCCTTCCTCTGAAAAGTGACCTAAAAAACAAGAGTAAGTTTTGGGATAGATTCTGCTTCTGCCCCTCAGAAATGACACCACCACGAGCTGACTTTCAGGATTCTTGAAGTAATGTAGTTTATACAGGTAAGCATTTGATGATTTGCTGCTTATATTTGGCTCATAATGATGCAACATAAAAGGTGAGCATATATGTAATTCATCCTGGCTCTGCAAACCGCAGGTCTGGCAAGGCTTAATAAGGAGAGTGGAATGAAGAGCTGCAACTAAGACTAAACTAAAACTACTTTTTGTTCTCCTTTTTCCCTCTTTCTTCAACTTCTGATTGTTTTGTTTAAATGACCAGAATAAGATAGAATGCCTGTAATTAAAAATATTTAATAAAGCTTACGTTATTATCCTTGCCACCTATTCAAAATCTTCTAAAAATTTTTTCCACCATCTAAAGGAGATACTACTTAATTATATAAAAGGTAGGTAATAAAATACATTTCTCTTTTTCTAATCAGGCAGTGAGGCATAAACTGTTGGGACATGCTGCTCGGGGCCCCTGCTGTCTGGGACTAAAGCATTGGCATTGTGGTCTGTACGGAGAAACTTCATATTCTTGCTTCCTTTTCCAGTCACTGCCCCAGCATTCTGCTCTGAAGCAGAATGCCTAATTCAACCATCTCATCAGTGTTTCTAGATCTTTAAATGCTTTTTCCTCTTTCATGTCTTCTGCAGGATGTTTACCAGAGTCACTGTTGATTTCGATGTTAGGGAAGGTTTCCTCTGGCTGTTCAGTTTCCATTTTCTTGTATCAAATGGACACACCAATCCGTTGAAAAACAAAGAAGCTGGTACATTTGGCTTATTGGAAAGCAAGCTGTAAAAAAAAAAAAAAAAAAAAAAAAGACTCTGACTCTCTTTTTAAATTTATTAAAGCTCTTTTGAAATTTGTTAAAGCTCTTTTGGAATATCATTTCTTCCATAAAGATTTCCTGGGTAATTCTAGCTCACTTTGGTCACTTCTCTTCCATTTAATATTTTGGCAGTCAGAGTCAGGGCTGTATTCGTTTCTATTTCGAGTGTATAAGTCTGATATCTACCACAGAATATTACATTTCCTGAGGTTGAAACTATTTAGAGAAGGGATTCCCAACCCCTGGGCCATGGATAGGTACAGGTTTGTGGCATGTTAGGAACTGGGCCGCACAGTGGGAGGTGAATGGCGGGTAAGCAAGCAAAATTTCACCTGTATTTACAGCCACTCCCCATCACTCACATTACCACCTGGGCCCTGCCTCCTGTCAGATCAGTGGTGGCATTAGATTTTTTTTTTTTTTTTTTTTTGAGACGGATTCTCGCTCTGTCACCAGGCTGGAGTGCAGTGGCATGATCTCCGCTCACTGCAACCTCTGCCTCCCGGATTCAAGTGATTCTCCTGCCTCAGCCTCCCGAGTAGCAGGGACTATAGGCACGTGCCACCATGTCCAGCTAATTTTTGTATTTGTAGTAGAGACAGGGTTTCACCATGTTGGCCAGCATGGTCTCAATCTCTTGACCTCATGATCCGCCCACCTCAGCCTCCCAAAGTGCTGGGATTACAGGCGTGAGCCACTGCGCCCAGCTGGTATTAGATTTTCATAGGAGTATGAACCCTACTGTGAACTGTGCATGTGAGGAATCTGGGTTGTGGGCTCCTTTTGAGAATCTAATGCCCGATGATCTGTCGCTATCTCCCATCACTCCTAGATGGGACCGTCTAGTTGCAGGAAAACAAGCTCAGGGCTCCCACTGACTCTACATTATGGTGAGTTATATAATTATTTCATTGTGTATTGTAATAATAATAGAAATAAAGTGCACAATAAATGTAATGAGCTGGGATCATCTTGAAACCACCCTGCCCCCAGTCTGTGGAAAAATTGTCTCCCATGAAACTGGTCCCTGGTGCCAAAAAGATTGGGGACAGCTGATTTAGAGTACTGTTACATCTCCTTTCACCCTCCTTCTCCTGTATCCCTAAGGCAGTAATAGACACTAAATAATATGTTTTGAGTTGAGTGTTTTATGTGTTGTGTGTGTCTGTGTTTTTTTGTTTGTTTGTTTGTTTTGTTCTCGCTCCGTCACCCAGGCTGGAATGCAGTGGCACCATCTCTGCTCACTGCAACCTCCGCCTCCCGGGTTCAAACAATGCTCTGGCCTTAGCCTCCCAAGTAGCTAGGATTACAGGCAGCCACCACCATGCCCTGCTAATTGAGTGCAAGTTCTATGCAGAGAACCTTGCAGAGAATTTCACAGCCCACTGCAGTGGAGGGGCATCCCAGCAGAAGCCAAAACACTGGTGGTCTAGAGAGAAAGGGAAACCTGAAGAGTAAGTTCAGGGGTAAAGCAAGGGTACTGGGGGACAAGACTATGGAACTGTACATTTAGAGCTCAGACAGCTAGTGAAGGATCCATCAGGATGAGGGAGGGGCCGGGTGCAGTGACTCATGGCTATAATCTCAGCAGTTTGGGAGGCCAAGCTGGGAGGATCGCTTGAGCTCAGGAGTTTGAGATCAGCCTGGGCAATATAGTGAAACCCTATCTCTATCTTTAAAAATAAAAAAAGGTATTAAACAAAAAGATGAGGGAGGGATTGGAGTGTGCATTGCCCATTTTATTTTATTTTTTCATCATAATTATTAGCTATTCCTGGATTGAGCATTTTCCATGTGCCAGGAATGTTGTTAGGCACCTCACATGCGCTGTGACGTGCAATCTTCAGAGCAACTCCCTGAGGGAGGGACTGTTCATTATCACCCGGTAATGAATCTGAGCAGAGGAGTTGAGCGGACCATGAAAGAGACTCAGGATCACAAAATAGCAAATCTGCAAGGAATTTTAGAGATGATTTAGTCCAAGGGTCTATCCTGTGCTTTAGTTTAAAAAGAGACAGAAAGGGCTGGGTGCCATGGCTCACACCTGTAATCCCAGCACTTCAGGAGGCCTAAACAGGGGGATCCCTTGAGCCCAGGAGTTCGTGGTTACAGTGAGCTATGATTGCATCACTGTACTGTAGCCTGAGCAAAAGAATGAGACTCTGTCTAAACAAAAAAAAAAAAAAAAAAAGGAGAGAGAGAGAAGAAAAGGCAAAACTTTCCTGGAAGGACAGCAGCTATGTGGGTGGTTTCTCAAAAATGAGGAAACGGGATAGTTTGGGGCAGGGGTCTGTGCCACAGGCTTTGGAGAAGAGACAGTGGGGTCAGGGCTTCTCAAAGCTGGAGCAAAGTCACCGCTAGAGCAGTGATGGGGGCTGCCTTGATCATAATTGCGCAACTAGCCTCTCTAGGGCGCTGCATTATTTCCAACCTACTTTTCATATCAAGTATAGTAGCTCCTCACAACTCATCTGTGAGAAGGTCTTTCAGTTGAATTCTTTTGGTAGAATCTAAGGAAAATCAGCTTAAACTAGCCTAAGCTGAAAAGAGGGATTTATTATGAAGATATAGTATGTTCCACAGAACCCAATTCAAAGGCAAAGTGGCCTCAGGAAGGAACCGGTACTAGAGACTCAGCTATTGTTAGAACTTGCCCTGCCTCTCTAATTACTATTCCCCCTGACCTCCTGCCTGTTACCTTTTGCTTGTCTGGTCCAGATGGGGGTAGAAAATGCCCAACCCATAGCTTCTGAGCTTAGATATTAGGTCCCTTTTTCCCTCAGGTCTATATGTCAACAAAAGAGACTCTGAGTGGTCCAGCTTGGATCAGGTTCCCATCCTGATGCAATCAAGATGAGTCAGGGGATGGGGTCATGTTGTCCATCATGACTACTGGGTGCCCCAGGGAGAAGTGGCCGAGCAGACAACTCAACAGATGTCTTACCCATGGCAGCCTGCTGTGTGACACAAGTATACATTATCCCATATGTACAAATTTTCAAAGATGCCTCTGCCTAACAAGGCTCAACTATTCCAGTGACAATCCCAAATGTACTCTCTTTCCCCAACAGAAGAAAATTCAACCCAATAACTCATATCCAGCCACTGTAGGCAATACTGGGGTCCTGGCACCAGGGTTCATAGACAGTGCCATCTTTTTCCATATAAGGGAATATTGACCCCTTTGACATATAACATGATGGTCTCAGGGTCCAGGGCTTAGGAAGTGGATCTATTTGGATACCATTATTTAACCTATCACAAGTAGCTTCATTAAAAAGGTAAAGCAGGCCGGGCACGGTGGTTCATGCCTGTAATCCTAGCACTTTGGGAGGCCGAGGAAGGCGGATGACGAGGTCAGGAGTTCAAGACCAGCCTGGCCAACATGGTGAAACCCCGTCTCTACTAAAAATACAAAAATTAGCTGGGCTTGGTAGTGAGCACCTGTAGTCCCAGCTAATCGGGAGGCTGAGGCAGGAGAATCACTTGAACCTGTGAGGCAGAGTTTGCAGTGAGCCAAGATTGCACCACTGCACTCCACCCTGGGTGACAGAGCGAGACTCCATCTCAAAAAAAAAAAAAAAAAAGTAAAACAAAACAGGTGAAATTGATTTTTAATATATTTTGTTTAACCTAATGTATCCAAGGCATTATTATTATTACAACACGTAATCAATATAAAAATATCAGTGCGATATCTTACATTCTTTTTTCCGACTAGGTCTTCAAAACCCTGTGTGTCTGCACAGGCTTTCTCTTCTGTCTGCATCTTGTGGTGAGTTGTTCTTGGACTGGGGCACAGCTGCACACACCATGGGGTCGTGTTCTGCTAGAGGGACTCACCCAGGATCTCTGCTTTCATAGGGAAGGGTGGCTTTGCCCAGGAGAATAAGCACCTTGGGTTCGGTTGCCTGGCACCCTACGACTAGGTGCCAGATATTCAGAGGCCACGTGCCTGCCCTGGCTCAATCAGTTGGCAAAGGCCCTCTGTCTGGCACCTGGGGACCCTGGCCGTGCCTTTTCCCATGGGAAGTTGAATCCAGGCGCAACCCTTTTCTCTGGCAGTTGTGTGTGTGGAGAGGGTGGCCTGGCACGGCTGAGTCCTTGCACCTCACTTCCTGTTGCCAGGAAATGGAAACACGGAAAAGTACTCATAGTCGCCCATTGGGCAGGCCTGGACTTCTGCACAGCTGAAAATTGTAGAAATAGGATGTTAGGTCTAATTCCAAAGCCAGTTCTCTCAGCTACATATTCTTCTGCTCCTTCCCATGGGAAAAGGCACAGCCAGCATCTCCGGGTGCCAGACAGAGGGCCTTTCCCAACTGATTGAGCCGGGGCGGGCACCTTACCTCTGAACATCCAGCATCTAGTGCAGGGTGCCTTTGCTAGTCTGGTCCAGACAGGGGGTAGAAAATGCCCATCCCATAGCGTCTGAGCTTGGATATTAGGTCCTTTCCTCCCAGGTCTATATGTCAGCAAAAGAGAGCCTCAGTAGTCTAGCTTGGGTCAGGTGCCCACCCTGAGGCAATCAGATGATTCAGGGGATGGGGTCATATTGCCATCATGACTACTGGCTTGATAGGTGGTGACCCTATCACCACCTATGGTGCACTGAGACAGGGATTGCTTTGGAAGGCAGCCCCCACTTGGACTGAGGTAGGACAGCAGGCAGGCAGGGGCAGGATCAGGGGCAGGTCAGGAATCGGGACAAACCAGGATGTGGTCCACATGGCCAAGGTAAAGACAGGAGCTTCAGGAAGAGCCTTCGGGTGTGGCCAGACCTGAGCTGGAAGCCATGGCCAGGCTGCTCACAGGGAGACCTGTTTTGGATGGAGATGAACTGTTAAGTTGTTTGTTTTTCAGTGAACTGCCCCACCCAAGAATGTTCCAGTCATGTCTTAAAAGGCTTAGCCCCTCCAGAGAGGGTCTGGTTTCCCTGAGTCAGTGATTTTGTCGCCTTCTGTCTAAGAATCCTGCCAGTTTGTCTCCAAAAGAGTGTTTGCCCTTGGGGCGGATGGGGGCTCAGCCGGCTCTGGACTGAGACTCAGTCCTCTTAGGCTTTGATTCAGTAACTTTCCAATTCCCTCCCACAGCACTGGGGCCACAGGTGGGCGTTTGGCTTAAACCTGAAACTAACCCCATTGGCTCCAGTCACCAGAGCTGTCTGCACATAACAGGTATCCATGCATGTTGCCAACCAACAGCTCTTATCTTGGGGTGGCTTGGCTGTCAACCAGGCCAGGGGAGCTGACTGCTGGAGGCCTCATCTCAGAAGCAAAGAAAAGCATCGTGTCCTTGCTCTAGTGTTTTCCAAGGACTCTAGTAAGTGCCTGATATGGTTTGGCTGTGTCCCCACTCAAATCTCATCTTGAATTCCCACATGTTGTGGGAGGGACCCAGTGGGAGGTAGTTGAATCATGGGGACAAGTCTTTCCCGTGCTGTTCTTGTGATAGTGAATAAGTCTCACGAGATCTTATGGTTTTATAAAGAGGAGTTCCCCTGCACAAGTTCTCTCTCTTTGCTTGCTCCTATTTATATAAGAGATGACGTGCTCCTCCTTGCCTTCCACCATGATTGTGAGGCCTCCCCAGCCCTGCGGAACTGTAAGTCCATTGAACCTCTTTCTTTTGTAAACTGCCCAGTCTCAGGTATATCTTTATCAGCAGTGTGAGAACAGACTAATACAGTGCCTTTCAAACATGTTTGCAATGATGTTTTCAGTGTGTGCCCACCTCTCTTTGGTGAATCCATGAAGAATATTTAGCACAAATCTCAACAATTGTGTAGATCAAGAACAAGTTATTGGTATCCCAGTTTCCAATTCAAATAACAGCGCAAGTTTATTTGGCTTGATTTCCCCAGGGCTTACCTTTTTCCCACAAAATTTCATATATTTAAATGTGTTCAGTCTCCAAAACAGCATAATAGTCATTACAGAGAAGGTTGATTGTGTTTTCTGAACAAAAAGTACAATTTTTGCTACTTTTTAGAGTCAGTCTGGGAGGTGTAATTGGAGGCAGAAATATTTAAGTTTGGGCTGGTCTATTAAAAGATCACAGAACACATTATTTGAATTGTGGCTGCCCCAAAAGTACATTCAGGTCATTTGATGGAGATCCTGGCGTCCATTGAGTCCAACATTCACCCCACGTTTTATGTGTATCTGGCAGAAGCAGACTCAGTAACAATGTAGGAGGCCTAGCCAGTGACATTCTTTCTTGCCATAGTAATCTCTATTTCTTTCTTCTTATTGTTCTTAGAGTCCCAGTGGAGAAGATTGGGCTTGGCAGTGAAAGAGCTAAAACAGGTGAAGGGCCAGGACGAAAGGCAGGATGTGTAAAGTTCCTGGACAAATAATAATTAGTAATAAAAATAAGAACAAGCACAGCAACAGGTAGTACTTATCACTTATATGCTATGTGCCATACTATGCTGGGTGCTTGACGTGGGTTACCTCATTCATTCATCCAATTGTTCAGCAGTTACTAATGTGTCAAGCAACATTCCAGGTACCAAGGGCACAGCAATGAGTAAAACAAAGTCCTTGCTCTTGTGGAGTTTGCACTCTAGTAGGGAGATAGACAACAAACAAATACATACATAATGCCAAGGAGATGAGTGCTAAGAGAGAAAATAAATCTGAGCATGGGAAAGAGGGGGTTGGAGGGTCCCAGGGGAGGTCACTCTGTTGAGTAGGTATCTGTCTGCTTTGCAGGCAGTCAACAACAGGCCCTGAGCCTGGGAAGGGCTTCACAATGCATGGTAGGGGATGAAGGCCATGGGGTAGCTAGGGATCCCAGTGAAATGGAGAAGCCACTGGAGATTGTTGAGCAGGGACATATTTTGAGATTGTCTTTGAAGGAATCACTCTGCCTGCTTGGTGGAGAAGAGGCTGGGGAAGGGATGGGAGGAGGCAGGGAGACTGCTTCACAGGCTACTCCAATAGTTGGGGAAGAGATGGTGATGGCATGAAGCTTGAGCTAAAACTGGGGGAGGTGAGAAATGGTGGGTTTGGGATCTTCTCTGAAGTTACAGTGGTGGCAAAATAGCTCATGGACTTGAATGTGGTGTGAGAGCAAGAGAAGAGTCAGGGAAGTCATCTAAGTTTTTGGCTGGAGCTCAAACTAGGGGTACCATTTCCTAACATGAGTGCCCGAGGGAGGAGCTGGTCTGGAAATGGAAATCAAGCATTTGGAGTGGATGTACTGCCTTTGTGCTGCTCTGTAGACATCAGGTAGAGATGTCATAGACAGAGCTGAGTGCCTAAACTAGTCTGGAGCTCAGAGGGGAGGCTCGAGATTGAGATTTAGGAGCCATCAGCAGAAATGTGGTCCCTGAGGTCAGAGGCCTGGATGACCAACAAAGGAGGGAGAAGATGTGAGGTCCAAGAACCAACTTCTCAGTACTCCAAGCTTCACACATAGGAAAGGGACAGATGCTGAGGGGAGTTGAAGGAGGGAAGGAAACCAGAAGAGAGTGCTTATTTTGACAGCAAATGGAGCAAGTGCACTAATAAACTCAGTATCATGAGTACTGAGAATTGACCACAGGGTTTAGCAATGTGGATTTCATTAGTCTCAAAACCTTATGTGGTAGACATTGTTATTTTCCTCATTTTTCTTTCTTTCTTTTTCTTTCTCTTTTTTTTTTTTTTTTTTGAGATGGAGTCTCTCTCTGTTGCCCAGGCTGGAGTATAGTGGCGTGATCTCAGCTCCCTGCAACCTCCACCTCCTGGGTTCAAATTCTCCTGCCTCAGGCTCCCAAGTAGCTGGGATTACAAGTGCCTACCAGCACGCCTGGCTATTTTTTTTTTTTTGTATTTTTAGTAGAGACGGGGTTTCACCGTGTTGGCTAGGCTGGTTTCGAACTCCTGACCTCAAGTGATCTGCCCGCCTCGCCCTCCCAAAGTGCTAGGATTACAGGCATGAGCCACCGCACCCGGCCATTTTCCTCATTTTTCAGAGTAGAAAGCCAAGACTCAGAGAGACTTAAGTAACTTGCCTGGATGGAAAACAGTATGGAGGCGCCTCAAAAAATTAAAAATAGAACTACCATATGATCCAGCATCCCCACTACCGGGTATCTATCCAGAGGAAATATAATCAGTATATCAAAGAGATGTCTGCACTCCCATGTTCATTGCAGCACTGTTTACAATAGCTGAGATATGAAATCAACCAAAGTGTCCATCAATGGATGAATGAATAAGGGAGGTATGGTATACAAACACCGTGGAATACCATTCAGCCTTAAAAAAGAAGAAAATCTTGTCATTTGCTACAACATAGATGAACATGGAGAATATTATGTTAAGTAAAATAAGTCCAGCATAGAAAGACAAATACCACATGATCTCACTTATATGTGAAATGTAAACAAGTCAAAGTCATAGAACTAGAGAGTAGAATGGTGGTTACTATTTTGGGGAAGACTAGGGAGATGTTGGTCAAAGGACATAAAGCTTCACTTGGATGGGAAGAGTAAGTTCAACAAATCCATTGTACATCACGGTAACTACAGTTAGTAACATATATAGTATGTAAGAGAGTAGATTTTAGGGCCAGGCACAGTGGCTCACGTCTGTAATCCCAGCACTTTGGGAGGCCAAGGTGGGTGGATCATGAGGTCAGGAGATCGACACCATCCTGGCTAGCATGGTGAAACACCCATCTCTACTAAAAATACAAAAAAATCAGCTGGGCATGGTGGTGTGTGCCTGTAGTCCCAGCTACTCAGGAGGCTGAGGCAGGAGAATTGCTTGAACTCAGGAGGCAGAAGTTGCAGTGAGCCGAAATCGCACCACTGCACTCCAGCCTGGGCGACAGTGAGACTCTGTCTCAAAAAAAAAAAAAAGAGAGAGAGATTTTAAATGTTCTTTCCACAGAAAAGGTAAGTATGTGAGGTAATGCCTATATATATTTTTACTTGAGATAGAGTCTCACTCTGTTGCCCAGGCTGGAGTACAGTGGCATGATCTTGGCTCACTGCAACCTTGACCTCCTGGGTTCAAGCACTTCTCCTGCCTCAGCCTCCCAAGTAGCTGGGACCAAAGGCTTGCACCACCATGCCTGGCTAATTTTTGTATTTTTAGTAGAAACCGGGTTTTATTTTGTTGTCCAGGCTGGTCTTGAACTCCTGGCCTCAAGTGATCTGCCCGCCTTGGCCTCCCAAAGTGCTGAGATTACAGGCGCAAGCCACTGTGCCCGGCCTGGTAATGCATATTGTTAAACAGTGTGATTTAGCATTCCACAACGTATGCATTTATCAATGTACATCATAAATATATACAATTTGCTTTTTTTTTTGAGATGAAGTCTTGCTCTGTCGCCCAGGCTGGAGTGCAGTGGTGTGATCTCGGCTCACGGCAAGCTCCACCTCCCGGGTTCAAGCCATTCTCCTGCCTCAGCCTCCAGAGTAGCTGGGACTACAGGCACCTACCACCACACCTGGCTAATTTTTTTGTATTTTTAGTAGAGACAGGGTTTCACTGTGTTAGCCAGGATGGTCTCGATCTCCTGACCTCGTGATCCGCCGGCCTCAGCCTCCCAAAGTGCTGGGATTACAGGCATGAGCCATGGCGCCCGGCCAAATATATACAATTTTTACTAGTCAATTAAGAAAAAAAAATATGCAGCAAGTTGCCTGAGCTCACATCGTCAAGTGACACAGCCAGGATTTACACCCAGGCTCTCTAACGTCAGAGGCTGCCAGGTCCATGCCCAGGGCTACTCTGGAGACACACATTTCCCTTCTTACTACCAGTTGTAGAGTCCTGGGCTTTTTACCTCACCTCTACCAGGTAAACAGCAGCAGTGCCCCAGGGAAGAAGCCTAGCCCACTTCACCTCTGTTTGCAGGATGATAGATTCCTGCCGAATTTTCAGAGAATGATTCGAAATGAGGCCAGAGAGAGGATAATGGAGAGCATTTAGAAGCCTGCCTTACTACTTATCTTTGGTTTTAGCTCATGATTGCTTAAAAAATTTCTTATTAGCATGAGAGAGAGAGAGAGAGGAAAAGAAGACTGAAAATAAACATTTTTTACACCAAAAAATGTAGTGGGAGATTTGTAGGCTTTTCTGCCAGACTGCAGGCTACAAGACAGATTTGTGGGTAAAACCTAAGCTCTTCGTGTTTGTTCTTTCTCATTTCGTCTCTTGTATGCTTAGTGCACATTAAAGAAAAGCTAATTAGGCTATGATAGGAAAAGCACAAATAATCCTCATTCCTAAACAATGCTATCTATTCACTGCAAAATATTTGCATGAAAAGGTATTTTCTTATTTTGAGGGAAATAAAGGTAGCGAATGAACTGCCCTACTTTATATTTTAGTTTCTGACTGTATGTTCTTAAAATGTCTCAATAATCCGAACATAGATTTTCAAATCTGGGTTTCCTAATCCAAAGCCAAATGGATTGAGAATAGGTTTTATAGGCCATTGGTGCCAATACATATTTCTAGATGATGGTTATAAAACAAAATATTTTTTTTAAATTTTTTTGAAGCAGAGTCTCCCTCTGTTGCCTGGGCTGGAGTGCAGTGGTGTGATCTTGGCTCACTGAAACCTCTGCCTACTGGGCTTAAGTGGCCCTCCCACCTCACCCTCCCAAGTAGCTGGGACCACAGGCACATGCTAATTTTTGTATTTTTGGTAGAGATGGGGTTTTGCCCTGTTGCCCAGGCTGGTCTCACCTAAGCTCAAATGAACCACCCACCTCTGCCTCCTAAAATGCTGGGATTACAGGCGTGAGCAACTGCACCTGCCAAGATTCTTAATTTCAGTGTAAATTCGTTTCCTAGGGCTTCCACAACAAGTTACCAAACCCTGGGTGGCTTAAAACAACAGGATTTCAGGTTCTCGTCATCTGGAGGTCTGAAGTCTGGAGTCAAGGAATCAGCACGGCTCTGCTCACTCCGAAGGCTCCAGGAGAGAACCTTTCTTTGCTTCTTCCAGCATCTGGTGGCTGCAGGCATTCCCTGGATTGTGGCAAAGTAAATCCCTTTTCTGCTTCTGTCTTTATATGGTTTCTTCTCTGTGTGTTAAATCTGTCTCTGCCTTTCTTTGATGAGGACACTGTGATTGGATTTAGGGCCCACTCTAAATACCAGATGGTCTCATTTTGAGATCATTAGTTATGTCTGCAAACACCATTTTCCAAATAAGATCATATTCACAAGTTTTGATGCTTAGGATTTGAATATATGTTTTGGGGTCACCGTATTTTGGGGACATATATTTATGGATCACTATTGGGGTGACCCATAGTGGATCACCATTCCACCCGCTGTACCATGTTACCCCTGAAGGCCGTGGGAAGGAATTAGAGGTTTGGGTGTGGTCTTCCTCTGATGTCCACTTCTTAAAGGTTTGCACACAATACCACATTCAAGATAATATCATACACATGTGTAAGTAGTCTAGCAAAACAAATGAGAGATAGAGAATGAGGTGGTTCACTTTGTCATCCCTCCTTGCAGGTGTGTGGTGCAACAGCAGAGTGGAAAGAGAATGTGTGGATCAGACATACCTGGGTGGAAACTGACTTTACCAACGACTGGCTGGCTGCAAGACCTTGGCGATTATCCTTAACCTAGCCTCAGTCTCAACCTGTGGTAACTGAGTCCTAATCCTGACCTCAGAATGTCCTGTCCCTGGGAAATTAGAGGTGCCAAATGTGGAACCCCTTGCACAATGCCTACACGATTCCACAAATGTCAGTGTCTCCCTTCTTTCCGTGCTGAGCCAGGATGCCTGTCTTCCCTCCTGGTGCCATTTCAGCATTTAGTTTTTCATCCTTGGAGCTCCCCAGCTACAGGAAGAAGCAGGAGCCGTGGTCTGGCTCCTCATATCTTTGGCCAGTGAGTCTGCTCGAGCCCTCTGTTCCACCAGGATGCTTCCAGTCCACGTATGCAGTCCTTCCTCTTTGGCTGCCTCTGTCTCTTGCCCAGAGACTGTAGTAGCTTTTCTCATCTGTTCGTTGAGACCCCCTGGTATTCAGCCTATCTCCTCCGTAAGGCATCCAGTAGTCTTGTGAGGAATACAAGGATAAGTCCCATAGTCCTTGCCTGAGGGATGGGACCCTGTTGATGGCTTCTGATGTCTCTGAGCTAGTTCATGAGGGGAATCCCAAGCTGGGCTTCGGGAGGCTGTGTGTGAAGTGGATTTAAGGGGCAAAGAATTGGAAGCAGCAAGGAGTAGGCCTGTCTGGCAGTTTAGGAACTGTGGACTGAACGAGGCTGCTGGTAACGGGAATGAAAAAGAAGGGTCTGGAGATAGGAGCCACAGGTTATGTGGTTGATTGGTGCTGGGCCATGGGCCATCCGAGTGGTGCAGGTGGTACCATCTTCTCAGCTGTGGTGAATGGCGGGCTATTCGGCTTGAGGAAGGAGCCCTGGACTACTGTGTGTGAGCCCAGCAGGTCCCCTAATGTCTCTGAGCTCCTCTGTAAAATAATAAATAAATAAATAAATAAAACAAGCAAACAAACAAACACAAAGCCCCAGAAACTATAGGTTGTTTGGAAATATAACTAAGATCATGGGCATAGGTCCAAGTAAATGTTATTAAATTCCATTGTTCTTTTGTAACATAATATAGGGCAATTTTAAGTTAGACACCTCTAGGGCAGAGAGCCCTTCTCTCGTTCCACCATCATTATCCTTTAAGACATCTAGAGGAGCAATGAATGCGATCAAATGAAGGTAAAGTAATTTCAAATCAGTACCAAGGCTCTGATGCCCATCATATCCCGTCCAGTTGTTGACTTTTTTCACAAGAATTGGGCTGGGGCAGCGCTTCCCAAACCCTAATGGATTTCCCAATCCCCTGGGGATCTTGTTAAAATTCAGACTTGAATTCAGCCATTGTTGGCCAGGGCCCAAAATTCTGCATTTCTAGCAAATTCCCAGGTGATGCCAACATTGCAGCTCAGAGGACCACACTGTGAGTGGCAGGAGTGAGGTAGCACCCGGGATTCAGTCATTCAAATACTCTACGCCCCCAGGATTTCTTGAAAGCTATCAGCTGCAACTTCTCTCTCCTTTTTCACTGAAAGCTCATCTTCTTCTTCTTTTTTTTTTTTTTTTTTTTTTTGTCTTGAGACAGAGTCTCGCTGTGTCACCCAGGCCGGAGTGCAGTGACACAATCTCGGCTCACTGCAACCTCTGCCTCCCAAGTTCAAGTGATTCTCCTACCTCAGCCTCCTGAGTAGCTAGGACTACAGACATGCGCCACCACAGTTAACTTTTGTATTTTTAGTAAAGATGGGGTTTCACCATGTTGGCCAGGCTGGTCTCAAACTCCTGACCTCAAGTGATCCATCTACCTCAGCCTCCCAACGTGCTGGGATTATAGGCATGAGCCACCTCTCCTGGCCTCATCTTCTTCAGGTCAGAATTGACAGAGAAGAATTTTCTTAGGGCAACTCATATAGAAGGGAGCCAGGGAGGCAAAGGAAAATTACTGCTTTGAGGAAAGCCATTTCTTCAAGCAGTTAACACAGTGACCCAGGATTACAGAAGGAAGTTTAGTCTGCCAGACTTTCATCCACATGTTTTAGGTATAGCAGTATGACTTCGTCTGATTCTCATCTGAAAGCCTAATTGATAATTTTGTTTTGTTTTAGTCTTATGTCCTATAAGATTTTCCTTAGATTCCACCTCCTCTGAGAGGCCTCTCCTTTTCTATTTTTTCTTCCTAACTCTCAATCCTCTATAACAGGGACCCCCAGTGCCCAGGGTTGTGGACCTGTACTGGTCTGTGGCCTGTTAGCAGGAGGTGAGTGGCAGGCAAGTGAGCATGACCGCCTGAGCTCTACCTCCTTCACATAGTGGTGGCACTAGATTCTCATAGGAGTGAAAACCCTATTGTGAACTGCAGATGCAAGAGACGCAGGTTGCATGCTTCTTATGAGAATCTAACTAATGCCTGATGATCCAAGGTGGAACAGTTTTATCCTGAAACCAACCTCCCCTACTCCATCTGCGGAAAAATTGTCTTCCATGAAACCGGTCCCTGGTGCCAAAAAGGTTGGGGACCGCTGCTCTATAATCTCCTTGGCCTCCAGTATCTGCCTGTATCCTAACTCTGGCTTCCCTGTATCTGGCCACCCTTTTGTGGGTCTCCTTCAGAGCATAATCTCCTTGAAGGCAGAAAGGAGACTCTAGACCCTGTAGTCAGGGGTCTTAGAGAATGTCTGGCATATTCATAGACACTCCAGGTCTAGTAACAGTTATATCAATAGTTATAAATTTGTTGAAGCAAAGACCCTTCACTAATCCTCATTTAATCCTAACATCGTGATGAATTTTTGCTGTCTCTCCATTTTGCAGACACGGCAATGGCAGCTTAGAGAGGTTAAGCTACTTGAGTCACACCCGTGTCAGGTGGAGGAGCTGAACCTTGGATGCAGGAGTATCCGTTTCTACTGTCTCAACTCTTCCTAACTGCTTTGGAATGACAGAATGAGGAAATGCACCCAACGTGAATTTTGCGTTCACCATTACCTGCAAAATGTCAGTGGCTAATGCCAGCTTTGGCTGACTGTCCTGATATCCAGAGCAATGGTTCCTAAATTTTGGTCCACGGTCCAGTGCCAGCTTAGGACCAAGGATTCACAGTCTTTGATGTGAGGAAAATAAGAACATAAAATTGGCCAGGCGTGGTGGCTCACGGCTGTAATCCCAACAATTTGGGAGGCCCAGGCGGGCAGATCACCTGAGGTTGGGAATTCAAGACCAGCCTGACCAACATGGTGAAACCCCATCTCTACTAAAAATACAAAAACTAGCTGCGCATGGTCGCGCATGCCTGTAATCCCAGCTACTCAGGAGGCTGAGGCAGGAGACTCACTTGAACCCGGGAGATGGAGGTTGCAGTGAGCTGAGATCACACCACTGCACTCCAGCCTGGGTGACAGAGCGAGACTCCATCTCAAAACAAACAAACAAACAAACAACAAACAAAAAACCCATAAAATTAAATGTATTAAATTAAAGAACTGCCTTAACTATGAGATCATGTTCATTCATTTTTGAGAGTCAAGTGACCCTTCCTTTCATGAAATAATGGTGATACCCTGAGGTCAGGAGTTCAAGACCAGCCTGGCCAACATGGTGAAACCCTGTCTCTACTAAAAATACAGAAATTAGCCGTATGTGGTGGCAGGTGCCTGTAATCGCAGCTACTCGGGAGGCTGAGGCAGGAGAATCTCTTGAACCTGGGAGAGGGGCTGTTGCAGTGAGCCAAGATCACACCACTGCACTCCAGCCTAGGCAACAGAGCGAAACTCCATCTCAAAAATAAATAAATAAATAAATAAATGAAATAATGGTGATAGGAATTCGTAGTTTTGTTGTTGTTGTTATTTTTGTTTTTAAGTGCTCTTACTTGGCAAAATAAACTTATCATACTGAGTTGAAATCCCACTTTTTTTAGATTGCTGTGGAATCCCAATGCCTGAGAATGATTGCTATGGAGAAAGGAGGAAGTAATAAAGTCCTGGGCCTCTGAGAGCAAATAGGGAGGTGCCTTTAATGGATGATTTTAGTGGAGACTGCAATAAAAATTCCTGTTCATAAATATCACCTTTTCCACTGTGCCCAGCTTACTTTGAGTAGCCCTTGAAAATAGGACCTAAAATTCATGAAAGGACCTCCCCTTTTATTTGAACAAAATGACTGGGGGCTTTGTCTTTGAAAAAATTCTGTTCAAATGGGCACCCTGCTAGGGTGACTTGGATGGGAAGAGGATGTGGGTGTTATGCGCCTTTTTCCCACTAGCACATTGTCTCAGTCCTTTTGGGCTGCTCTAACAAGATACATAGACTGAGTGCTTTGACACAACAGAAATTTATTTCCCATAGTTCTGGAGGCGAGGAAGTTCAAGATCAAAGTGCCCATAGTTTGGGTGTTTGGTGAGGGCTGGATTTCTTCCTCAAAGGTGGTGCCTTCTTGCGGTGTCCACATGGCAGGAGGGGTGAACAGCTTCCCTCAGGCTTTTTTCTTTTTTTTTCTGAGATGGTGTTTCGCTCTTGTTGCCCAGGCTGGAGTGCAGTGGCGCGATCTCAGCTCATTACAACCTCTGCCTCCCGGGTTCAAGTGATTGTCCTGCCTCAGCCTCCCAAGTAGCTGGGATTACAGGCATGTGCCGCCATGCCTGGCTAATTTTGTATTTTTAGTAGAGATAGGGTTTCACCATGTTGGTCAGGCTTGTCTGGAACTTCTGATCTCAGGTGATCCACCTGCCTTGGCCTCCCAAAGTGCTGGGATTACAGGTGTGAACCACCGTGCCTGGTCAAGACCTTTTTTTATAAGGGCCTCAATCTTATTTCTGAGGGTGGAGCCCTCATGACATCATCATCTCCCAAAGACCTCACCTCCTAATGCCATCACCTTGGGGATTTGGTTTCAACATATGAATTCTGTGGGGACATAAACATTCAGACCACAGCACACAGGTGACTTAATTTTCTTGGAAATGATAGGAACTCTTGCTTGGGGAGTGTACATTTCTAAAGGATTTGAGCAAGGCAGCCAAAATTTCTGGGTAGGGGGATGGATAGGAAGTGAGGAGGGGGTTGGGTGTGGGGAGACTAGAGCGCTGCCTAGGAAGGCCAAGGGTATTTAGCTGAGAGAACAGGGGTAGTGAGAGAAAGTCTTACGAAGGGGATGCCCAGAGGGATATTGAACAAATGCAAAGAGAGACAATAAAAGGATGGGGAAACCAGATTTTACCTGCTGATCTACCTTGAAGCAAAAACCCAAACCAAAATAAACACAGAAACCAAAAAGCAAAACTTCCACGATATCATCAGAAATGGGGCATTTCCACATGGAGTGGCAGATGAGCTGATGGAATTCTTAGTTTCTCTACTTCAGGAAGAATAGAGTAATGAGGGATGTCTTTCTCACTGTGTTCATATCATTGTCTGATGAGTAGAATGACTGACATGATAAATGCAGGTAATTACAATCTTTTTCTTACGCACATTTCACAACATTCAGCCCTACACAACAGAATTGATCTTGTACTCAAGACTGCAAAAAAAAAATCCTTGTATGGCTGGGTGCGGTGCCTCACACCTGTAATCCCAGCACTTTGGGAGGCTGAGGTGGATGGATCGCCTGAGGTCAGGAGTTTGAGACCAGCCTGGCGAACATGGTGAAGCAATGTCCCTACTAAAAATACAAAAACTAGCTGGGCATGGTGGTGGGCACCTGTAATCCCAGCTACTTGAGTGGCTGAGGCAGAATTGCTTGAACCCAGGAAGCGGAGGTTGCAGTGAGCCAAGATCGAGCCATTGCACTCCAGCCTGGATCACAAGAATGAAACGCCACCTCAAAAAAAAAAATTCCTTGTATAATGCAGTAGATCACAGAATATAATGTAGTTATCCATGTACCGTGACCCCAGAAAGGGATTGGTGTGTGGCTGATCTCATCTTTATTGCCCCCTGGGTGAGTCATGAATCATTGCACCCAAGAAACTCTGACACACTTTCTAGCAAGTAGTATTCACCATCACTATAGTATAACTACCATTCACTGCCAAGTAGTGCAAAAATTAAAAAAGAAACAGCCGCCTTTATGAGGTAACAAGCTTTAGAGCAACAGCAGATTGTGTGTGATTATAGCAACTGAAATGACCTTGCCGTGTAATGGGCTTATGATATCTGTTGTATAGTGGCTTTTTTTCTGAGCCATATAAAGTTGAAATTAGCAATGGTCAAGTATCAAATCTGCTGGCATTTCACAACTGTAAATGTTTCAGTAATTAAAAGGAGACAAGGACTCTGGCTGTCAAAGGAAAGAATGGCCCAGGAATACATATATATATATATATATATATATACACACATATATATATATATATATTTTTTTTTTTTTTAACTGAGACTTGTTCTGTTGCCCAGGCTGGTGCGATCTTGGCTCACTGCAACCTCCGCCTCCTGGGTTCAAGCAATTCTTCTGTCTCAGCTTCCCGAGTAGTTGTGACTAGAGGTGCGCGCCACCACGTCTGGCTAATTTTTGTATTTTTAGTAGAGACGGTGTTTCAACATATTGGTCAGGATGGTCTCGAACTCCTGACCTCATGATCCACCCACCTGGGCCTCCCAAAGTGCCGGGATTACAGGCATGAGCCACCGCTCCCAGCCTTTTTTTTTTTTTTTTTTTTTGAGACAGAGTCACAGTCCTGACCCAGGACAGTCTCGCTTTTCTCCATTGAGGCAGGGGAGAGGCGAGGCCATAAAGAGGGCAATGAGATAAGAATAGGAGGCAGCAGAGGAGTTCAGGGTGTGGACTTTAGAGTTGCACTGTCTGGGTTTGGGTCCAGCTCGGCCTCTTACCAGCTGTGTGACCTTGAGCAAGTTACCTAACCTCTCCACGCCTCATTCCCCCAAGTGAAAAATGGGAATAACCATGGTACTAAGTCATAAGGTTGTTGTGAGAATTAAACAAGTTTATAAGGTGGTTGTGTTCAGCATACTACGCAAATGAATGTTTGCTACTTCTGAAGGAGGCATAGCAGGAAAACTGCTCTAGATGGATGTAGCAGCCAGCAGTTGAAGCTATTGGTGCAAAGGTGGAGGGCAGATTGGAAGGTGCCTGGGAAGTGATGTCTTGTCTGGACTAAATACCCGAGATTTGTTGTCTCATGGCCATAGAAAACTAGGATGCAGACACACAAAGAGTGAGGTTCAGAGCAGAAGTCTAATAGGTGAAAGAGAAGAGCTCTTTGGGGCAGAAGAGGTCCCGGAGAAATGGGTTGCTGCTTCTGCAGTGAAATACAGAGGATTTTATAGATGAGCTTGAGGAGGTGGTGTCTGATTTACATAGGGCACAAAAGATTGGTTGGACCAGGTGTTCCACTTGCATAGGTGTGAAAAACTGGTTAGGGCTAAGTATGTCATTTGCATAGGGCATGAAAACCTGGCCACCCTCACCCTAATATTTTATTATGCAGATGGATTCTCCACCTTGTTGGAGCCATGTTTTTTTATTTTTTGAGACGGAGTCTCGCTCTGTCGCCCAGGCTGGAGTTCAGTGGTGTGATCTCGGCTCACTGCAAGCTCCACCTCCCGGGTTCAAGCTATTCACCTACCTCAGCCTCCTGAGTAGCTGGGATCACACGCGGCCACCATCGCGCCCGGCTAATGTTGTATTTTTTAGTAGAGATGGGGTTTCGCCTTGTTGGCCAGGCTGGTCTTGAATTCCTGACCTCAGGTGATCCACCTGCCTCGGCCTCCCAAAGTGCTGGGATTACAGGCCTTTGCCACCGCGCCCGGCTGCCTGTTTCTTTACTGTACACCTGGTGACAAAAGGAAGATGGAGCCTCCATGTTGAACATACCTGGACCCCAGGTAGCCCTTTTCTATTGGCACAGCAGCCGGTGTTCACCGGTGCAAGCTTCCAGCTTGCTTATCTATGTTAACAGCTCGATTTTTCAGGTTACCCTTTGTTAGAAAAGAAATAATTTTGGGGCTGTTTTTGTTAAAAGGGAAATTCCGGCCGGGCGAGGTGGCTCACGCCTGTAATCCCAGCACTTTGGGAGGCCGAGGCCGGCGGATTGCCTGAGCTCAGGAGTTTGAAACCAGCCTGGGCAACATGGCGAAACCTGGTTTCTACTAAAAAGGAAAAAAAAAAATAGCCAGGCGTGGTGGCGGGCGCCTGTAATCCCAGTTGCTGGGGAGGCTGAGACAGGAGAACTTGAACTCGGGAGGCGGAGGTTGCAGTGAGCCGAGATCGCGCCACTGCACTCCACCCTGGGAGAGAGAGTGAGACTCTGTCTCGAAAAAAAAAGGAATTCCGCCGAGGACTCTGTTGCCCTTACTATCTGCTTAAATAATTTCTTTCTAGCTCCTGTATCACCTGGTCAGGGATCTCTGGGTCCTTGCACCACCTTCACAGCATCATAGAGGGCCCGAGGCAGGTGGCCTCTGGAGGGCCCTCCCGACAATGAGCAAGAAACCCAAGTCTGGGGAGGGGAAGCGTCCTCTTCACCAGACTTAGCAGTATCCTCCCTCATTTTCTCTACGGTTTGTATTGTTGGTGTTTTAAATGTAAAGACCTTTTTCCTGATTATGAAGGTCCGGAGTAACTGCAGCATTATTTGTAATAGCTAAAAATTGGATGCAACCTAAATGAATCATTCCCATAAATGTTCATTCCCCATAAGGGAATGAACAAGCTAATGATGGGATATTTGTTTGAGAAATACTCCACAGCAGTTAAAATAAATGAATTGCTTCAATACAGAGCATCCTGAGTGGCTCTCAAAAATCTAATGTTTAGTGAAAAAAGTAAGTCACAGTGTGATAAAATTTGTGTAAATTTTGAAGAACACCAAGAGGAACACTATGGGATGTTTATGAAGGCAGAAACTTCTAGGAAAGTGTGCAAACAGTCCGGGTACTGTGGCTCATGCCTGTAATCCCAGCACTTTGGGAGGCTGCGGCGGACAGATCACTTGAGGTCAGGAGTTTGAGACCAGCCTGGCCAGCATGGTGAAACTCCATCTGTACAAAAATACAAAAATTAGCCGGGCATGCTGGCGCGTGCCTGTAGTCCCAGCTACTTGAGAGGCTGAGGCAGGAGAATTGCTTGCACCTGGAAGGTAGAGGTTGCAGTGAGCCAAAATCATGCCACTGCACAGCCTGGGCGCCACAGCGAGACTCTGTCTCAAAAAAAGAAAAGTGTGCAAACACAGACTAGAAGGCTGCATGCTCAGGAAGAGAGAGAGGGGTCTGGGATGGGGAGCAAAGAAGACTGAAACTCCATCGATGATATTCCATTCCTTTATTAGATATCTGAAGTGAAAACAAAAGTTAATTCTGGGTAGGAGAGTCATTATTTTTCTGTTTAAAACTTTCCCCTATTAAAAATTTGTTCATGCCCACATTAGAAAATTTAGAAAATACATTTATTTTATTTATTTATTTATGTTTTGAGACGGAGTTTCGCTCTGTCGCCTAGGCTGGAGTGCAGTGGTGCGATGTTGGCCCACTGCAAGCTCCGCCCCTGGGTTCATGCCATTCTCCTGTCTCAGCCTCCTGAGTAGCTGGGACTACAGGTGCACACCACCATGCCCAGCTAATTTTTGTATTTTTTTTTTAGTAGAGACGGGGTTTTACCGTGTTAGCCAGGATGGTCTTGATCTCCTGACTTTGTGATCCACCTGCCTCGGCCTCTCAAAGTGCTGGGATTACAGGTGTGAGCCACCGCCCTGCCTATTTTTATTTTTTATTATACTTTAAGTTCTAGAATACATGTGCAGAAAGTACAGGTTTGTTACATGGGTATACACGTGCCATGGTGGTTTGCTGCACCCATCAATCCGTCATCTACATTCGGTATTTCTCTTAATGCTATCCCTCCCCTAGCCCCCCACATCCCAACAGGCCCTGGTGTGCGATGTTCCCCTCCCTGTATCCATGTGTTCTCATTGTTCATCTCTCACTTATGAGTGAGAACATGCGGTGTTTTTTGGTTTTCTCTTCCTGTGTTAGTTTGCTGAGAATGATAGTTTCCAGCTTCATCCAAGTCCCTGCAAAGGACATGAACTGATCCTTTTTTATGGCTGCATAGTGTTCCATGGTGTATATATGCCACATTTCCCTTATCCAGTCTATCATTGATGGGCATTTAGGTTGGTTCCAAGTCTTTGCTATCGTGAACAGTGCTGCAATAAAAAAAAAGGGGCTGGGTGAAGTGGCTCATGCCTGTAATCCCCACACTTTGGGAGGCTGAGGTGGGTGGATCACCTGAGGTCAGGAGTTTGAGACCAGCCTGGCCAACATGGTGAAACCCCGTCTCTACTAAAAATACAACAACAAAAAAAATTTATCTGGGCATGGTGGCAGGAACCTGTTATCCCAGCTACTCAGGAGGCTGGGGCAAGAGAATCGCTTGAACTCAGGAGGCAGAGGTAGCAGTGAGCCAAGATCGCACCATTGCACTCCAGCCTGGGCAACAAGAGCAAGGCTCTGTCTCAAAAAAAAAGAAAAAAAGAAAAGAAAAGAAAAGAAAAAAGCATAAAAAATAAGTAACTAGCATTCAGATGTAATCACCATCAACACTTTTTTCTGCTGTGATGTGTGTAGATGTGCATTTGAAATTGTAGTGTATATATAGTTTTGTAAAATGCTTTTAAAATGTAATGTTTTATATTTTCCTATGTTAAATGTTCTGTTAACACATGCTTATCAGCAGCTACAAAATATTTCATCTTCTGTACACACCAAAATTTATTCTATCATTTTTCTACAGGTAGATATACAAACTGTTTCCAACCTTTTTGTCACTGTAAATAATGGGCTGTGAACATTGTACATGTCTGATTATTTCCTTAAGATATATTTCCTTAAGATACATTTCTCTCTCTCTATATATAGATATATTTATATTTAATATTATATTTATATTTAATATATATATTTCTCTATATATTTCTATATTTCTTAAGAAATATATCCTTAAGATATATTTCTAGGAAGAAATGCCGGCCAGACAGGTTCAAAGTGTATGGGCATTTTTAAGGCAATTGATACGCATTATCAAACTGGTTTCCCAAAAGGTTGAATCAATTTAAGCCTCTTTAATTGGGTATCAAGTCGCCTGAACTCACCCCACCTCTATAGCAAATTTGTTTTTCCTGGGCCTCTGGGCTTATTTTCTTTTGGATTTCCTCTAGCAGTGGTTCAGACCTCAGGAAGGGAGTGGCTTCTGGCTGGAGAACAGGCTTGGTGGGCGATTTCCCTAATATTTGCTCCTGTGGGAACCTCAGAGCCAACCCCCTCCCTCCGATGATTTCAGTCACTTCCAGTCATTAGGTTGAAGGCCTGTCTTGTTACTGCTCACCACCTCCTACGCTGCGGCTGACACATGTACTGGAGCCCTTCAGAGAGGAAGGACAACCCGTTATTTGGTAGTTTGCTGTCTTATAGGAAGCTAGGGACAATACTCAGCAAAAACACAGATTCACCCTAAGTGGCTGTGCCTTTCTAACTGTCATAATCCAGCCCTGATGTTCACCGTCACTGCCAAAAATCCTTTCCAAATGGGAACTCTGCTCCCTATCTGAAACTGATTCTAGTTAAGGGGCCACTGATGAGTATCATCTGGCTCAGTAGGAGAACGAATGGCTTAGTCCTGGCCTGTTAACATTTACAGATATTTGTTATCACCCACATTCCAGGGAATTTGTTGACATAAGCCCCAACTATTTTGAAAGAGCATTCCACCTTGGGATACTGTACTGCTTTTAAACTTGTGTCTATATAAGGCAGGAATTATTTCACATTCGATGGTAAGATTTCCATCCATTCAACATTTAAAGTAAAAAAGTAGCTGCCTCCCACTGTTCTGAGGATACGTAGCTACAACCTCACCAAGACCAACAAGCCTGTCTGGTTTCCTCTCATGAGAACTCTCGAGCCTCCTTGACTTTCTTTCTGGCTCTCAAACACAGCACATTCCCCCAGCCTCGGGGCCTTTGCATGTGCTACTTCCTTTGCCTAGAATGGTCTCCTTCCTCCTAGAAATTGCTCCTGACTCAGCAGATTCCACTCCAGCACCCTCCTTTGCCCAGTCCTATTAGAATCCTTTAGAGGAACTCCAAAACCCCATCTGCAGGCAAGGCTGCCCTGATGCCCCAGACGAGGTCTGGACTCTGGTTTATATTATCACAGCATCTGGTGGTTTTGCTTGTGATGCTTTGCAGTTTGTAATTCTATGTTTATCTGTGTCATCAGCGTTGAATATCTGTCTCTCTCATTAGTGTGTGAGGTCTAGGCGGGAAGGGACAGCTTTTTCTTATCACCAAAAGCACGTGGCCACCAGCACAATGCCGGCCAGATAGGTGCTGAATTCATGCTTGCAAATGAGTAAATGGATACTGATATGCTGCAGCTGATGGCTGGGGTGGGGTTAGTGCAGTGACTGAGTGTCCTGGCACGCAGTGTTTATTTTATTTTATTTTTATTTTTTGCAGGGGGATACATTATTTCTCATGCCATATAAAAGTGCCTCTCAGGGTGGAGGTTTTTTTTTTTTTGAGACGGAGTCTTGTTCTGTCGCCCAGGCTGGAATGCAGTGGTGCAATCTCGGCTCACTGCAACCTCTGCCTCCCGGGTTCAAGCAATTCTCTGCCTCAGCCTCCTGAGTAGCTGGGATTACAGGAGCATGCCACCACGCCCAGCTAATTTTTGTATTTTAGTAGAGATGGGGTTTCACCATCTTGGCCAGGCTGGTTTTGAACTCCTGACCTCGTGATCCACCCACCTTGGCCTCCCAAAGTGCTGGGATTACAGGCGTGAACCACTGTGCCTGGCCAGATTCTGGGTGGATTTTCTTAACTTACTAGTGATGAGACTTTCTTACTACCTTGGCTTCAGTCTGATTTTAAAATGAGGATAATATCTTACATTTTCTTCATCCTAAGACACCACCGACTTTAAGATGATCATCATTTAATAACAACTTTTCAGTGAAAAAATCCAAACTAGACCAAATAAACAAATAAATAAGATAAAACACCTCACTATAGCTCCTGCATGTTGGTTTTAAAACACATATTGATTGTAAAACATACCCAATTTCCAGGCATGCTAACATGTTAAAAAAAATGAACATGTTTAGAATTTAGACAAAATGTGGCGATGCCTACCAAAAAGGATGACTGTTCAAAGAGATGATGCATGTTCATTGTTTTGCCACGTGCCTGGTATACCTGAAGCATTTATTACTGTGAATACTATCTTTTCCTTTGAAAGGGTTCACTTGTTTTCGGTCTGTGGGTTGTATATTCCTAAGGACATTAAAGGGCTCATGTCTTCTATTTCTTTATAAATTCCATCTCCCCTGCCCCCCGCCCAGTATTTGGTAAGCTATGATGAACACACCGTAGATATCAGTAGTGGAGACTGATGGAGGCATCCGTGCCATGAAGAGCAAGGCTGTTTTGGACCCTGCTTCCTGCTTGGGAGGAGTGAAGGGAATGAAGCCAAAAAGTGGGGAACTGGCCTTTCTCAGACCATCTGTGCTCAGGATCTGGCTCCTTTGCTAAACAATCAAGGGAAGAAAAGCCCCCTGTTTGGTGGGACTGCATTCTCTGTTGTGGTCAGGATGTTATTGTTGTCTTTTCTGTGTTTTCACGGAATAACATTACAGCATGTTTATTCTCAGAGATCTTTGTTGGCTGTTTCCAGTCCCACTGCCACCGCCTGGCCCAGGCCTTCATGACTTCTTGCTTGTCCCATGCAGTTACCTCCCAAAGAATTTCCCGCTGGTAGACATTCCTCTCTGCAGCTGGCCCGATTTAATTCAGACGAGATCGGGCATGTTCGGGGTGATACGGCGGTAGACTGACCCAATTTAATTCAATTCCATACAAATGAGCAAGGTAGTGTTGCTGGGCTCATCGTCTAAGTTGTGAAGATGCTCATCTCACTCCCCTGGTCTCCTGCAGAGACTGGTTAAGCTGCAAAGGCTAGTAGCCACAGAAAGCATTATTCTCATGAACACGTAGAGAATAAAGTATGGTCTGGTGAGCAAAGCTTTGCTTTCTGAAGTTGAGTCTCATTCCAACATCCTTGCGTTCCTTCTCTTCTCAGCCTTGATTTGTTCCTGACTTCCTGTCCAGCCTCAGGGTCTTGATTTGGTCAAGCCTCAGTTGCCTCTGATTTCTGGAAAAATCTCCTTTGCTTTTACCTCACTCAGCACACTGTCTAGGCTTGTCACACAGCACATGATTACATTTTCCTATTTTGGAATATACTCAGACAGGCACAAAGCTGATTTCTAGACTATAAACTCCTTGAGAGCAGGAGCTCCATCTCATTTATCTTTATATTGTAGTTTTTACAGGTAGCATGCATAAAATGAGTAAGTTGCTTAATGGTGACTGAAACATCAAAAGGAATTTATTATAGGGTTTCGACTCAGGTGCTAAAAAGCAGTAACAGGTATTTCTTTTTCTTCTTTTTCTTGATTTTTTTTTTTTTTTTTTTTTTGAGATGGAGTTTCCCTCTTGTTGCCCAGGCTGGAGTGCAATGGCGTGATCTTGGCTCACTGCAACCTCCGCCTCCCGGGTTCAAGCAATTCTCCTGCCTCAGCCTCCTGAGTAGCTGGGATTACAGACATGCACTACCATGCCTGGCTAATTTTGTCTTTTTAGTAGAGATGGGGTTTCTTCATGTTGGTCAGGCTGGTCTCAAACTCCCGACTTCAGGTGATCCATCTGCCTCTGCCTCCCAAAGTGCTAGGATTACAGCCGTGAGCCACCGCGCCCAGCTGTAACAAGGTATTTCTTATGTGTCCCATAAATTAAATCTAGGGGAAAAAACTATCCCTACACAGTGAAGGGATCTTTCTTTTGCAACAATCATTTTTTTGTGTGTGTGTTCTTCCTTTGAATTAATTTAATGGTGCAAAGGGGCCTTCTTTTCTCTGATGGGCAGAGGAGGGATGTATATACTGTCAGATTATGCTATTTTAGCAATGTGTCCATTCATGCATGTATCCAGTGCTCAGAATGCAGCCAGTATATATTTTAAAACCAACACTGGTGCTTTATGAAGGGTGGGTTGAATTCAGATGTAGGCGCAAGGAGCCAAAGGCAGGATCAGCTCTAGCTTGGTGACCTGGACTTAGGTCCCAGATGGGTGAGGCCAAGCCTTGCTGCCTTCTTCTCAGCGGTGGTTCCTGGGGCACAGAATGAGAATGCTAAACAGCTTCACCCTTAAGAACTACCAGCTTTCAAGGAAATGGGTAGCGCAGAGAATGGCTCTAAGCCAATGACCTTGCGGCATTTGGAAGCAGAAATTCACAGTGTTTCAGGTGCGCTAACAAAATAACTCGGTAAGCAACATAGCCTATTGGGGTTTCCCTATTACATTTTATGGAGTCCTCAAATTTTAGGTGATTTTTTGAAAATAATAATTTTTGGCACATTTAAAACTTATGTATGTATGGATGTAATTTCTAAATCCAATCTCTTCTTTTTTTCAGTAGACCAAATTAGATTGCCATCTTTATCTTGTGGCAGACATGTGTTTCCAAGTGCAAATGGTCACCTAACAAAAAACAATATGGTTTTACTGCCTGATAGATGATTTTCAGATTTTTGAAAATTATCAAAAAGTCAAAATAGCAATTTAAAATTTTAAAAAATGCGGAAAAGCCTTTGTAAATATTTGAATAGGCTCAGGGGCTAATGAATGTGGGTGTCAACCTCAGTGTGGAGTGGATTGAACTTCATGGTCTTGAGTGTCTTTCCTCCTCTCAGTATCTGCCTCTGCAGATATAAGACAGAAACAGAGATGACAGACAGCCTCTACACACTGAAAGGATGTGAAGTAAATACAATAATGCGTGGAAACATATCCTTAGACCAACGATCACGTCTAGGTTTGAATTAAGTCATGATCCTAGGTTGTCTTAGGTAATGTTCTTTCTGCATAGATCCCTTATAAAAAATTCCTTTCTCAGTGACAGATGACAAGAGCTCACCTGTCAAAAACTGTTCTGTAAAAATCATTTACCTTTCCATCCTTCTCTGCATTATTGTCTTTATTTTTCAGGCACTGCAAAAGTGGCCTCATTTTCAATGGCAGGTGTTAGCAGAGTGGTCATCCTGTCTGTGTGTGTTCCATGTCACCCCTACCTGCTGGTAGCCGTGAGTGGGTCCCCACTGCTGGAGACGTGGTTTTCTCTTCTCAGTGCTGGCCTCCCGGGTCATGGTAAGCCCTGGAATTTCTCCAAGGCAAAGAGGTTTTAGGGCAAGACACTCTCTCGTCTAATTTTTCTTGCATTATTTCAACTGGATACTAATAGAAACCAACAGGTGAGTAACCTCTTATCCACCTTTGGGAAATGCCTACCTGGTTTCCTAGATAGAAGCTATTTGATGAGAAATGTCATTCTGTAGTTCTTTCTGAGTCTTGCGATTTTTATCACAGCAAAGTTATTTGCCTTAAGGACTTTTCCAAACCCATTACTTTCCTATAAAATATCCTCAATTGAAATAATACACTTCTCGTTACGTAGTTACTTTCATTGCTGGAGACTCAAAAATACTTGAAAAATCTTTTAAACTCCTCTTCAAGGACTATTTTTACCACTGTAAAATTTACATATGGTGATATATAGCAACTGTTTTAATAGCTTACAGCCATATTAATAAAATCTAGATATAATAAGACAAAAAGGATTCTATATCTCAATAATAGTGCAGTGCTCACTTAGAAATGCTGAATAATCACTCTGGCTGGAATTGGAGCAGCAAAGGCACTATTTGAAGAGCATTATATGATGCCTAATGACCTAGAGAAAGTATGACCAAGCTTTCTATCTAATTGGAAAAACACCCTTCCTTCTGATCGGGTTTGTGGGGACAATTCTGCTGAATGCCACATTTTCTCATTTGCCTTTTTCTTACACTTACATAAGGGATGCCAGCTTTAGGGTAGATTTCATATAATCACTGGTGAAGTATTGCTTCTCAATCCTTTCCTCCTACACTGCAAAGCCCATCTTTGAAGGGTTCCAACCTTATGAACCCATAGGTCTGCTTAATCCATTGGAGCTGCCAACCTTGCAGGGGGTGTGATATGAGGGCTAACCTAGCCCAATGCTTTATCACTCTAGCCTCTCCAAAAATGCTACCATCCTTTAAAATAATACTTTGTAAAATTTCAGCACCGGTATGGTTTTGATACGTGTCCCCACCCAAACCTCATGTTGAGTCATAATCCCCAGTGTTGGTGGTGGGGCTTGGTGGGAGGTGATTGGATCATGGGGGCAGATTTCTCATGAATGGTTTAGTAGCATCCTCTTGGTACTGCCCTCAGGATAGTGACTGAGTTCTCATGAGATCAGCTCATTTAAAATTGTGTAGCACCTCCTCACCCGCTGTCTTACTCCTGCTCTGGCCATGTGATGTGCCTGGTCCCACTTCACCTTCTGCCATGATTGTAAGTTTTCTGAGGCCTCCCCAGAAGCTAAGCAGATGCCAACATCATCCTTCCTGTACAGCCTGCAGAATTAAGAGCCACTTAAACTTCTTTTTTATTATAAATTACCCAGTCTCAGGTATTTCTTTACAGCGATGCAGGAATGGACTGATACAAGCAACTTTTCTTTAATATATTGAAAATTGTGACACCTGTAATCCCAGCACTTTGGGAGGCTGAGGTGGGTGGATCACCTGAGGTCAGGAGTTCAAGACCATCCTGGCCAATATGGTGAAACCCTGTCTCTACTAAAAATACAAAAAATTAGCTGGGCATGGTGGTGGGTGCCTGTAATCCCAGCTACTTGGGAGGCTGAGGCAGGAGAATCGCTTGAACCCAGGAGATGGAGGTTGCAGCAAGTTGAGATTGCACCATTGCACTCCAGCCTGGGCAACAAGAGTGAAACTCCGTCTCCAGAAAAAAAAAATTGTGTTATAGCAAGTCATTTTTTAGTATTACATGTAAATACAGGTAACTATTTGCTCTATGTGAGTGTATACTACTACACTATATCACGAGAAAAGGAAACTCCACAAGAACTTGCTCTAGCAAAATGGGCTTTTCTAGAACCAATTTTTTTACTTAAAAATAGTTGATAAGTCAATGTTTAATTCCACCCACCCTTCCCCCCATGGAAGGACTTCCTGGGCATTAGGAATATTTTGTAATTACATAGTTATTTTATTCTTAGGATGTCAGTGCCTGAAATAATTCATTCCAATAGAGAAAGAATGTTTCGCTTCAACTTTAGCAGAAAATTGTGATTTTTACTTAAGATTGAAATCAAGTTGATGATAATTGTGTGGCTGAAATACCTAGCGTCTTTTATGTTTTTTATCATGCATTTTAACAAAGGATTTATATTGGTCTTAGTATTGTCCAACTGGTGCATATATATATATATATATATATGTTTAGTTAGTTATTATTTATTTCTTTATTTAGAGAAGAGTCTCACTTGTTGCCCAGGCTGCAGTACAGTGGTGTGATCTTGGCTCACTGCAACCTCTGCCTCCCAGGTTCAAGTGATTCTCTTGCCTCAGTCTCCTGAGTAGCGGGGACTACAGGCGTGCGCCACCACGCCTGGCTAATTTTTGTATTTTTAGTATAGATGAGGTTTCACCATGTTGGTCAGGTTGGTCTTGAACTCCTGACTTTGTGATCTGCCCGCCTTGGCCTCCCAAAGTGCTGGTATTAGAGGCGTGAGCCACCGTGCCCGGCCTGGTATATTTTTACCCAAGGACTAGATTATTAGTTGCTAGTGGGTAAGGAAAACAACTTAAAATTCCTTTGCAAGTTGTCTTTCAGCACATGGAGAGGTGGGAGTGCAGCCCATACTTACCGTAGGAGATAAGCCAGATGTCTGGCACTGAAATGAAACATCTGTCAGCATTTGATTGTGTCATAGACAATGCCCTTGCCACACCCATACATTAATGCTCGAAGAAAAACTGTGGCATGTATATAATGGAATGTAGGTGGGCCAAATGAAAACAAAGATTTAAGGATTCTGGAGATCATATTTATACTTTTGTTACTATTTCTTTTTTTGAAATGTGCGTGAAGGAATTAACAATTATATAGTAATATAAAAATTATCCTGTGAATGAACCCGGTAATATGACATGTAACTTGACAACGAGTGGTGATAAATAATTGCTCTAGGCTTCTTCAGTTTTTTTTTTTCTTAGATTCCCTTCCTACCAATATGCTCTGTCTGTGAGACACCAGATCTTCTATAAGGCTGTGGTCTATGGTTGCACTTCCCCAGTGGATTATTCTTCTCAGAACTCTAGTGTCTCATGAAATGATATGTTAATAGTTATTTCACGAAAAAAGGAGATATGCATGCATGCAGACGATCTCTGACTTTTGATGGTTTGACTTAATTTTTGTACTTTACAGTGGGTTTATGAAGGTATTAAATGCATTTTTGACTCAATGTTATTTTCAATTTATGATTGGCTTAATTTATGATTGGCTTAATAGGACATAACCCTATCATCACTTCAAGAGCATCTCTCTCTCTCTCTCTCTGTGTATATATATGTATATGTGTGTGTGTGTGTATATATATGTATATGTGCGTGTGTGTGTGTGTGTGTGTATAAGTGTCTCACAAAAAGACTTATTATAAGGAATTGGCTTGTGTGATTATGGAGGCTAGCAAGTCCCAAATTTGTGATATGAGCTGGCAGGTTCAAGACTCAGGAGAGCCAATGGTGCAGATGAAGTTTGGAGGCAATTTATTGAAGAATTCCCTCTTGCTTTGGGAGGCCAGTCTTTTTGTTCTGTTCAGGCTGCTTGAATGAGACCCACCACATTATGGAGAGCCAGCGCTTACTCAAAGTTCACTGACTTAAATGTTAATCTCCTCCAAAAACACTCTTCAAATTGGCACATAAAATTAACCATCACACTGGCAAAAAACAAGGGGTGGTGGGAGTGGGAGGGAGAGAAACACGGCATGTTATGCATGTTACAGTCTCCTCCTGGAGGGAGAATCACAATACACATGAACATAAAGGCCCTGAGAAGTCCTGCAGTGAAGATGTCTTTTTATATTTGTATGACCCCATCTTTCCCAAATTTATTTGCTCATGGAAACTCCCCCTGCCCCCAATGTTTTTTCTGTGAAAATGTATTACCATTGTGCTAGATTACTAATGTTCAGGGGAACACAGTTTAAAAAAAACTGGTCTATGGGACACTATCTGTTCTGGCAACTGGATCATTTGGAGATAAATTGATAATATCAGCTTCATTAACTGAACCTAGTAGCCTAGATGGGCATTTATCCATTTAATGTATTGGCTATATACTCAAGTGTATATAGAGGGTCTCCTGCATGAGATTCCATACACGATGGGTAACGTGTGAAACACTAGTGCACTTACAAGTATCATCACCACTAACACAAAATAAGCATCTGAGAAAGATGCCAAAATAAAGAATCATAAGTAAAGAAAAACAACATCGCCACTTGCATATTCATAGGCTTATGATGTATATATTTTTTAACTCAGGGAAAAACAAAGCATCTTTAATCCTATCGTCCTGGAAAACTTGAGTATCTCAATGCAGAAAGGCATGAAAATATCTTTTTTTATTTTTTTTTCGAGATGGAGTCTCGCTCTGTTGCCCAGGCTAGAGTGCAGTGGCATGATCTTGGCTCACTGCAAACTCCACCTCCCGGATTCACGCCATTCTCCTGCCTCAGCCTCCTGAGTAGCTGGGATTACAGGTGCCTGCCAGCACGCCCAGCTAATTTTTTGTATTTTTAGTAGAGACAGGGTTTCACCATGTTAGCCAGGATGGTCTCGATCTCCTGACCTCGTGATCCGCCCGCCTTTGATAAAATTTTCTGAAGCCTACATTCAAGTATGTGACAATCCTAGGTGAATCACTGAAACTCTCAAGCTGTATAATTTTATATGAAAACAAATGGTAAATTTGTACAGTTAATTCTTAGATGACTATCACGTTGAGATAGTAATCATCTCACCATGAATGTTACTAGGTTGGTGCAAAAGTAATTGTGTTTTTTGCCATTTGAAAGTAATGGCAAAAACCACAATTACTTTTGCATCAGCCTAATAACTCCTTTTTGTCCCTTTCTCCTTTATCCATCCCCAGTCATTAACTCTGGCATGTAGCAGCAGAAGAGGGCATTGGAAAGAGTCCAGTGGAGCAGAGAAAGGTGGGGAGTGGACGATCAAGGGCAGCCAGGTCTTGATTTGGAAAAGATGCCCGTGGAAGGGACACTCACTGAAAAGGTGACCTGTGTGCTAAATAATGAAACATAGATTTTACCCACCACGAACACCTGTAGAAGCACTGAGGGCTTTTCAGCCAGGAGAGATGCGAATAGACAGGCATTAGAATCATTCTGATATCCACTGAAACATAGGTTAGTGAGTGGGGGTTATGGGAATTTGGGAGAGAGTAAGTCTTAGTATGCTTTTTGGGGTACCTATCTTACCTATCTTACATATTTAATAAGAACATGGCTTCTCGAGGGCAGGTACATGTGTTTATTTATGGCTGATAAAAGAAAAACTTCAGCTGAATTAAATTTAAAGGAGTTGGGCTGGGCACAGTGGCTCAAACCTGTAATCCCAGCACTTTGGGAGGCTGAGGCAGGAGCATCGCTGAGCTCACGGGTTCAAGACCAGCCTGGGCAACATGGTGAAGCCCTGTCTCTACAGAAAAATACAAAAATTAGCCAGGAGTGGTGGCATGTGCCTATAGTCCCAGCTACTTGAGAGGCTGAGGCTGGAGAATCTCTTGAGCCTGGGAGGTATAGGCTGCAGTGAGCCGAGATCACGCCACTGCACTCCAGCCTGGGCAACAGAGTAAGACCCTGTCAAAATAAATAAATAAATAAATTTAAAGGAGTTGAATTGAGCAATGAACACATGAATCGGGCAGCCTCCTAAGCCAGAGTAGGCTCAGAGACTCCAGCACAGCCACGTGGTAGAAGATTTATGGACAGAAAAAGGAAAGTGATGTCCAGAAAATGGAAGTGAGGTACAAAACAGCCGGTTACCAGTTGGCATGTGCCTTATTTAAATATGGTTCAAACAGTTGACTACATTTGATTGACCAAAACTTGGTGAATTGGCACAAGTGTAGGCTACAGTCTGTTTACACCTCCATTGGCTATAGTTCACGATGTCCAGAACTTCAAATATTTCAGGTTGAGCTTAAAATACGTAAGGAGGAAGCTTTAGGCTAAACTTGATTAAACACTGTGCAGTCTGTTTTGCTACAATGTGAGCTTTTAGGGCAAAATTTTGCTCACGTGCAATTTGTAAATAAGGGAATAATGTCAGTACTGAACTCAGTTTTGTGCCCTTCCAAATGTTCTCAGCACCTGCACCCCCCTCTTCCTGGCCAGAGAGGCTTCCAGACAGCTCATGCAGCTACCTGGTCTTCCAGTAGAGCCGCTTGTCTCATCCTCTCATCCTCCCCTGGGTGTGAGGCCATGGTCAGGTTCTAGAGGCTATGACAGCAATGGCATTCTGTGCAGCTGGACCCTCAGGGGCTCCAGTTTCCCTGGCGGCTATCTGGGGTGGGATGCCACCTGGACGTTAGCATAATTACTTGCACTGTGAGGTAAACCTTAGCAATGTGGGACAGGAGGCAAGAAGAAACTGGCAGGTCAATTGCCGGCCTCCCTTCCGCCATATTTCCTGAGATGTAGTAATTCCCTGTGACCTTTCTGGAGATGGCCCACACGACCCAGGGAGCTGGGGCTGTTTTCATAAAACTGTGGCCATCTTGGTAACAGAACTTTAAATTCCTTCCCTCTTCCCTGATTCATTCCTCTTCCCCCGTCACTCCTCCAAACACCCACCCCTAATAACCTGAAAGTTTTGCCTCAGGGCTGTTTTCCAGAGAAGCAGGTGAAGACGATGTCAGTGTAAGAACGTGGAAGTCATTTCGGTTCATACATGATTTTTCTTACACAAGGGAAGCCAGAATAGATCATGGGAGTGGAATTATAACCTTCATCAGGAAGGGGGTAAGCCTCCAACTCAGTGGCTGCCCAAGCAGCAAAGGCCTTTTGGCTGAATTTTGAGAAAATTAAAACGAGGGCCTGTTTCTGGAGCCCCGCCTTGAGAGACACAACTCTCGGCTAGGTTAGATGGGGCTGCCTCTGGGCCCAGATTTGCCACAGCCCTACCGGCTACGAGCCACCCCCACACTTGCGTTCCTCAGCACTCCCAGCTCTGCTCTAACTGAAGTGTGGCTAACATGTTTACTGTGTTGTTTCTGTGCTTTTTTTGGAGATGGAGTCTTGCTTTGTCGCCCAGGCTGGAGTGCAGCGGCACAATCTTGGCTCACTGACCTCAGCCTCCCAGGTTCAAGCAATTCTCAGCCTCAGCCTCCCAAGTAGCTGGGATTATAGGCACCTGCCACCATGCCCGGCTAATTTTTGTATTTTTAGTGGAGACAGGGTTTCACCATGTTGACTAGGCTGTTCTCGAACTCCTGGCCTCAAGGGATCAGCCTGCCTCAGCCTCCCAAAGTTCTGGGATTACAGGCATGAGCCACCGCACCCAGCCAATGTTTCTGTGCATTTTTAACCGCCCAGTGGCAGCCTCCAGCCAGGCTGAGCTGCCTGCATGGTGGTTTCCAGTTGTCTCCCCAGGAACCAATTACCGTTTTTGTGAGTACTCTGGTTACAAAGCTGCATAGGTTTGAAGTGGTCTGTCTAATCCTATTTTTCTCGGAAAGGCAGTAATAAGTGTGTGATTTTTGAGAATGTTGAGGTATATTCAGGTATGCCTATGTTGCAATCTAGCAGAAATGTTGGTTTCTCGAGCAGATAAAAAAAGACTTGTGGAATGAATAAAATGCTTTAAAAATTATTCCTAGGGATATGGAAAGTGACATTCACATGATAGTATGAATATTTTTAAAACTTTTTGTTTAGAGAGGATTTTAAGCCCTTTCATTGTAGCTATTTTTAAAAAACAAACATTTCCCCATTGCAGCGGCGTACCACTGGAGGAGATAAGAATACTATGATGAACATCTTTCTGTAGCCCCTCTGAATCCACTCTTCTCCCTTTTTCAGTGTGTTCTGTACCCTGGAAGGCTGGAACTGGAAGGCTGACTACATCAGGGACGACTCTCTTGCTGTAGGGCTTCTGTTCGGTCCAGCCAATGCCAGACAAAGCAGGGAATACGAAGGTGGGAGAAGAGCGAGGTGGGCCCACTGCTTTTTTTTTTTTTTTTTTTTTTGTTGTTGTTGTTTGTTTTTTTTGAGACAGAGTTTTGCTCTTGTTGCCCAGGCTGGAGTGCAACGGCGCAATTTCGGCTCACCGCAACCTCCGCCTCCCAGGTTCAAGCAATTCTCATGCCTCAACGTCCCAAGTAGCTGGGATTACAGGCATGCGCCACCACGCCCGGCTAATTCTGTCTTTTTCTTAGAGACGGGGTTTCTCCATGTTGGTCAGGCTGGTCTTGAACTCCCGACCTCAGGTGATCGGCCCACCTTGGCCACCCAAAGTGCTGGGATTACAGGCGTGAGCCACCGTGCCCGGCCTGCCCACTCCTTTGTTAAAACTCCTGGTCTGTCTGTGTCACCTATTTCCTGCTGGTGAGGCAGGAGAATAGGGTCTGCAGGCAGGAAACCTAAGGCCGATTCACGCTGACTTCCTAGAACTAAATCAAAAGGAAGACCCCAACTTTCCACACCTAAGTAACAAAAAAACACCTTGCTACTCACCGCCAACTGCTGCCCGCCCATTTTTTGGGTGGCAGACGGAAAATTGAAAGTATCTCTGATTGGCTGGTTTCTGCAACCAATCAGACTGACTGCCGGCCAAGTCTTCTTTGCCTAGAAGTGTAACTTTGTAACTTCACTTTAGCCTCTGATTGGTTGCTTTCCACAACCAATCAGATGCTTGCATAGGGTGTAATCTTTGTAACCTCACTTCAGCCTCTGATTAGTTGCTTTCTGCAACCAGTCAGATGATTGGGGCCATTACTTCATCTATACAGGGTGTACACCAAGTAACGAATGGGAAACTTTTAGAGGGTATTTAAACACCAGAAAATTCTGTAAAGGGTCCCTTGAATCCCTATGCTCGGGCCGCCCCCACACTGAAGAGTGTACTATTATTTTCAATAAATCTCTGCTTTTGTTGCTTCATGCTTTCCTTGCTTTGTTTGTGCGTTTTGTCCAATTCTTTGTTCAAGTTGCTGAGAACCTGGACACCCTCCACTGGTAACGCTAGGACCCTGACTACTAAACACCTTTCTCTGAAGGTTTGTGTATTTCCTAACCTTCAGCAGATGAATGAGTGAGGCAACTTCAATAACCCTTGTCACATTCATTCACTGTACAGGAAGCTTGTAGTTAGAAATTAATAACTGGGGAAATGGGAGATATTTCACTCTGTCTTCAAAGAACAGTAAAGAGTATCTCTTCCTTGGCAAATGTGTATCCATAAAATAACATTATAAAATGCATTTGAAAAAGTGCCACTTAAAACATAAGTCAATCTGTTTTTCGATGATTCAGAAGATATGATAGTAGCCCGCAGTGTCTCAGGAGTCATGGTGATGACTAATTGTACTAAAGATCTGTGGAAAGTCTGGTTCATGGGATATAGAGAGCAGAATTTTCTATATTTTGGGTGTGCGAATCCTGCATGTCTACTGTAAAAATCCCTTATGAACACTGTTAAATTATAATAAAACCGGGACCCAGCAAAATGACCCCATAAAAAGTTCTGTACTTTTAAAATAAAATCAGAAATATTATCAAATGTCTCCTACATTCCAGACACTATTATAGTTTGCTTACCATATTTCCTTTCATCTTCAGGACAACCCAACAAAGTGGGTTTTATCATCTGTCTTTTGTAGATGAAGGAACGGGCTCAGAGAAGTCACAGGTTCAAGGTCACACACCCAGTAAGGGGCAAAGCCTGGATTAGAGGCCGGGCCTGTTTGGTTCCAAAGTTCATTCCCTTTCATGAGACCAACTGCCATTTCGAGGATTGTCAAAAGGGAATTCTAGAACTCAGAACTTTTTGGCTTTTCTGAGCTTTCATGGTTTTGAGTGATCCTGAATAGGTGAATCCCAGCAGGCTGTGGAAGCGAGTGCTTCTCTTTCTGTTCTTTTCTTCTACAGAAGCCGAGTCTTATGATTTAGGCATTGCTATGTGTCATTACCCACTGTAATAGCATAACGCACTGAGATTAGCTTGCAAGACAATCCTTCACTGTGATGGCTGGCAGGCGCCACACTGTGAGATCCTCGGACTGAACTTTTCACCCAAAGAAATGCAGGAAGCTGTCCTGTCGGGCAGTCACTTACAGTGCTGTGCCTTGGATCATGGAGTTTTAGAGCCGGAGGGGAATGCCTATAATGAAAGCAATAATTTTTACTTACTCGCAAAGACCTGTCTCAAAATAGTAGACTACGCTTGGCAGGCAAAAAGGTAATCTTGGTTTTTCATGTCCCATAAACAAGGCAACAAACTCTTGTGTGAGGAGGTAAAATAAAGGCTTAGTTTTTCAGGGTTTTATGTTCCTCAGATGTACATCTGAGTATGTCTTAAATCCTGAAGGGTGGCCCAGACCTGGAGAATTAATCCCAGCTGGTCTGGGGGCTGTGGTGAGCAGTGATCAAGCAGGACAGCACACGAGAAGGAGGTGAGTTGCTGGATTTCCATGTGTGCTTTGCGTGGAGCTTGCAGCTGACCAGACAGCAAGACCAGAGAAGCAGTTGAGAGCATGCGCTCTGGAGAGAGACTGCCTGGGTTCCTATCCTGACGCCGCCACTCACCTCTCTGAGCCTCAGTTTCCTCCCCTGTAAAATGGCAATAACAAGCACATGCACCTCAAGGGGTTGTCCTGAGCCTTGCTCAGGTAACACATGTGAAGCATGGAGAATGGGGCTTTGCACAGGGTAAGCCATCTATGTGTTAGTGACAATTCTTGTGATTTTCATTTTTTCAGAGGCTCAGAAATGTGAATCAACCTGTGGTATGGTTTGGCCATGTCCCCACCCAAGTCTCATCTTGAATTGTAACTCCCATAATTCCCATGTGTTGTGGGAGGGACCCCATGTGAGATAATTGAATAATGATGGTGGTTTCCCCCATACTGTTCTCCTGGTAGTGAATAAGTCTTATGAGATCTGATGCTTTTGTAAGGGAAAACTCTTTTCTCTTGGCTCTTATTCTCTCTTGTCTGCCACCATGTAAGATGTGCCTTTTGCCTTCTGCTATGACTGTGAGGCCTCCCCAGCCATGTGGAACTGTGATGTCATTAAGCCACTTTTTCTTTATAAATTACCCAGTCTTGGGTATGTCTTTATCAGCAGCAGGAGAATGGATTAATACAACCTGTCTAAGGTCCTACAGCTTGTAAGTGCGTGCATTGGGACTTGTGCTGCCCAGAATAGGTGGAGGGTGTAAATGTCCCCCATCCTGAGACTGTCTAGGGGACCCTGAAGTTAGACCAGGGGAAACCAGAGACAAGTTCGTGGTGCCAAAGGCAAGAGTCAATATTGAAAACCAGTTCCATGTGAGATTCCCCGTGAAGAGAATTCTGCAGACCTGTGGTTTTGTGTATGCCAATTTTGAAATATTCTTCCTTTCTGCTTCCATGATTCTTCTGCTGAGAGAATTTTCTCTGCTGAGAAAGGTTGTGGGTGATGGCATTAAGCCATCAAGAATAAAGGTATTCACAGTCTTTCCAGTGTCTGTTCAGTGTGGAACCTCCAGCTCCTAGAACAGTGTATTAGTATTCACTGATGTTTATTAAATGAATACTTATTAAATGAGTGAAAGAATGGATGAAGGGAGGGAGAGATGACTTTTTGAATCAAAGTTTTGTGTACCAGGGGAGAGCAGACAGGAGCTTAATGATCACCACTCAGTGTTCCCTAGGCTGGGTCCAAATATGGCCCCAGGGGAGCTGGCTGAGAGACGACAAAAGCAGGGTGTGTGAATGGCATGTTCTCCTCAAAGACTGCATACTCCCCTTCTTCTCCACTCCTGGGGTGGGTGCTCAGTGTGTGGACAGTGGACCCACCTACATGGGACCCACAGAAGGGCTTTCAGGACATGCAAAGAGAATCCCTGGTAGATCCATTTTTCACTTCCATGGGTCAGAGTGGCTCCTGGGACATAACTAAAAAACGCATTGTGGCCTCCATCCGGAGATGGGGGTGGCAGAGAGAGTTTGGCCCAGATATATCGGTTGGAAGGCTGTTTCAGGAATTCAGGTGAGAACTGAAGAGGGCTTGCATTCAAACACAGGTGGTGAGAATGGCCTGGAGGGGATGTGTTCTGGAAATCTTTGTAGGGTGGATTGTCAGCACTGATTGGATTCATCACATCCTGCCCTGAAGCCTTAGATGTCCCCAAATAAAGTGAGTTTATAGTTTCCAGCTGAGAATTTTGGCCAGCTACCAGCTATTGCTAGGAACTGGCTTTTTTAGAATGGCCACTATAGTCATTGTTTTTGAATTTCTGAGTACCATTTGTTTGGTTCTACAGTGTGTTTCTTTCCATACTTAATAGAGATCTATTGAAATGGCATTTAACTCAGGATTTTTGCACCTATGAAGTCACTGTACCTTTCCCTATTAACTTAATATTGGATCTCTTCCCCTCCCCCAAACTTCTCTCTCTCTGTCCCTCTCTCTCTCCACATCCCACCCCATCTCCTTTAGTTATGAATGGCTCCATACATTTCAGGAGCACCTTGCCCTATAACTTTGATTCCGATGCAAGGAATGGAAAACCTTTGTAGCTCAGAAGCATCTTAAAATTCATTCATGATTCCCTTGATCTTCATTCATAGGGTAGAAGGAGACTTTGGCTCTGGTAAAGACAGGTATGTCTGGTGTCAGGGACCCCTATCATTCTAAAAGCAGGTTATCCCTCATCCTATGCTCCTCCTTTGAAGTCTCTAGTTCTTGTCTAGAACCAGGAAGCTTCCCCAGAGATTTGCTGCAATTGCTGACAGCTTCCGGACCTGTCCTTGTTCTGGTAGTAACACCTGATTGCCAGCCACCATTTACCCACACCAGGAAGGTTGCTTAAAACAAGGCAGAGAGCAGGCCATGATCAGTCCACTCCGAGATTTTGCTTCACGCTTTCCCCTAGGGACTTGCCTTCTTGCTATTACCAGTTTTCTGTGCTCAGTTCAGGCCTCAGGCTGTCTGATCTGGGCCTTTCTGCTTTACCTGGGCTTTGGTGCTGTCTTCCAAAGCCCAGCTGGTCTCAGCTCTGCCCGATTTCCAACCTGCACCTCCCTGCCCAGTCCGGACCTATGAGTGCCATATTCTAATTTATCCACCGGGACTTAGAAACTTCTCTGTGCCCTCTGGTTAGGTTTGGGAAACTGGGCTCTGACTTTGCCACTGCCTTTTCCATGGTCCTTTCCAGTGGTGCTTCATGCCCCTGCATGACAATGGAAGCCATTTGGCCTGACTGTCACCAAATAAACCTGTTTGGCTAAAAGAGAAGATACGCTCTCATTCCCTGAATCATTATGTAGGACATCTCCTCTGAGCACCATTCAGTCATTTCACATTTGGACCTGAGATTTCTAAGTTCAACCTCTTTTATCATTCATCAAATTTTGAAACCCAACTATCTATCTATCTATCTATCTATCTATCTATCTATCTATCTACCTACCTATTATCTATCTTCTATCTATCTATGACTTGTCATCTATCTACTATCCATCTATTTATCTACTTTCATCTATCTATCTATCTATCTATCATCTATCTATCTATCTATCTATCTATCTATCTATCTATCTATCTATCATCTATCTATCTATCTTTCAGAGACAGGATCTTGCTCTGTCACTCAGGCTGGAGTGCGGTGGTGCAATCGTAGCTCACTGCAGACTTGGCTTCCTGGGCTCAGGCAATTCTCCCACCTCAGCCTCCCAAGTAGCCAGGAACACAAGAGTGTCATACCATGCCTGGCCCTCAACAATTTATCTGGAAATTTTATTTGATGAGCCTAACTACTTTGATTACACCTTTTAGATTTGAGCTGTGCTCACTAGTTTGTGTTTAAGGAGTATACCTGTTACTTGGGTTTGATGGGGCTTAGGATATGCTACCCCAAAATATGGCACCTTGGCATTAGAGAAAACAGTAGAAGCAAGAAGGCCACTCTGACCTTCCCCTACCTTTCTCCTCCAAAGTGGATGAAAAGACTCTGGTTTGGGAGGGGCCCTCATTATTTTGGGAGGAAAGGAACATTCTTATATCTGAAAACACAGTGACACAGAGAAGAATCTGAACAAACAGGCCTTGCTAAGTTCCCCCCAGTTTATTACTACTGGATTATACCACTTTGTCCAATTACACTTCTCCACGACTACCCAATTCTTCATCAAACCTAGGGTAAAAAGGTACACATAATTACCTGCATTGAAAGACAAAATTATAACAAATTTAGTTTAAAAACCTTAACTGGCTTTTATTTGCAATCCCAGAATCAGGCAACATCTCATTCTATAAGATAGAGATGAGCGGGGGAGATTGGCTTTACAGACAAAAAAGGGCTGAGGAAAGCAAAAATAGAACAAAAAGTAAATTGGTCATTTTAAAGTAACTTTTCTTGTAAAGTTAAAGGGAAGAGGGCTTCCTTATTATGCCAGCTAAAACTGGCCTGTTTGGGGATTTGGCTCTTTTCTCTCTGTCTTCGGATTTCCTGAAAGGTCAGATAAACAACTTAACTAGGTGGCATGAAACTTTAGCATGAGTAACCCCATTGTGGTTTGGTTTGTTGGGCCTAGTGCGGGAGCTCAGTCTAAACCAATGGCCTCCTATCAATTTCTCAGAGAAGCACTCGTGTCTTGGGTCTGCATTTCTGAAGGCTCTCCTGCCATGTAAAAGTTATATTAAATAAATCTGTATGCTTTTCTCTTGATAATCTGCCTTTAGTTATGGGGGGCTCAGCCATGAACCTAGTGATGGGAAAGAAAGATGCTCCCTGTAGGTACCTGCCATTTTCCTTTGTAGGGCAGGAATTACTTTTCTGCTTGAATTACTTTATAGTGTAACTGTTGGGCCTCAGAAAATGATGCCCTGAAATGAAAGCCCCAGAAGCAGCTTCAGAAGCAAAAGTTTTTCTCTGACCTCCTTTTTCCTGTCTCTCAGTCCCATTCTCCCACAAGACCAGCCATAGAAACTAGAATCCCTTTTCCCCAAGGCGGGTTATCAAAACCAGAATCCCCTTCCCCAAAGTCAGCCATAAAGCCTGAAAATATTACTGTAGGATCCCCCACATCCCTGTGTAAAAATTGGCCACAAAGAAATTATCTGACCTGCCTTGGTTGATTGTAGGTCATAAGACCCCCATTCCAGAGAGGGTCCTGCCCTGTACTCAGAAAAAAGGAATGCTGGCCAGGCGCAGGGCTCACATCTGTAATCCCAGCACTTTGGGAGACCGAGGCGGGCAGATCACATGAGGCAGGAGTTCAAGGCCGCCTGGCCAAAATGGCAAAACCCTGTCTCCACTAAAAATATAAAAATTAGCTGGGCATGGTGGCACATGCCTGTAGTCCCAGTTACTTAGGAGGCTGAGGCAGGATAATCACTTGAACCCAGGAGGTGGAAGCTGCAATGGGCTGAGATCGGGCCACTGCACTCCATTCTGGGTGACAGAACAAGACTCTGTCTCAAATGAAAAAAAAAAAGAAAAAGAAAAAGGAATGTTACACAGACAGGCAAAAAAAAAAAATCTAAGCAGACAGGACTTGCTGGACTTCCCTTTACTCTATTGGCCTTGGATCATAACCTTTTTGTTCACTTATATTTCTGCGTGGCTGTTCCCACATTGTTGAACCTAAGCATTAAAAAAAAGCAATTAATTGCCCCTGTATCTTTAGGTCTTCATTCTGAAGGTTCTTGTGTCATGGAAAACTATGATCAAACATATTTGTATGCCTTATTTTCCCCATTTTCTGCATTTTGTCAGTTTTGGTTTTCAGTGAATCATCAGAGGGCAAAGGGGACTTTTTCTCTTATCCCCATCATAATCAATGCACTCAAGTATGGTCTAATGCAACCAAGAATACATTTGGAGAAAATTAATGCTATTGATGATTACTGAAAAGTGGCTCATGCTTGTAATCCCAGCACTTTGGGAAGCCAAGGTGGGAGGATCACCTGAGGTCAGGAGTTCGAGACCAGCCTGCCCAACATGGAGAAACCCTGTCTCTACTAAAAATCAAAAATTAGCCAGGCATGGTGGCATGTGCCTATAATCCCAGATACTCGGGAGGCTGTGGCAGGAGAATCGCTTGAACCCGGGGGGCAGAGGTTGCAGTGAGCCGAGATCATGCACTGCACTCCAGCCTGGGCGACAGAGCAAGACTCTGTCTCAAAAACAAACAAACAAACAAAAAAAAAAAACAAAAAAAAAGAAAGTTGTTTCTTTGTGAAACAGAGGTACTATTAGAAAACACTTTAATGTGCTTTCTGTTTGTACTTTGGGTATGTAACTTTATCCCTGGTCAGCCCAAGGTAAGGTACAGTTCTGGGGTAAGTTAATGGGGATTTGTTGACATTACAACAGAAATACCAAGGGAAACAAAGGTTAATAGCCCCTGACGTTCAAAATAGGTTTTTGCTGCCAAACAATAGATTTGAAACCAGGTTTGCCTAGAGAAGATTCCCCAAATTAGCACATAGGACAGAACAACAGAAAAGGTAAGGAAGAAGACACATTGTCTTGATCACATATTTCCAGAACAGAATCCAGAGAAAGGAGGGGTGCTACTGGAGCTGAGGGGAATGCTGAGAGCTTGGGGCTTTTGGTCCATTTTAATGTTTGTAGCCCTGGGAGGAGATCACCTCAAGAGTTGCTCCCTTGTGAACCTGGGGGAAAGCCACTTTGAAGTAGACTAGGGAACAGAGAGTGGGCCAGGATCTAATTTGCCTGAGTTGTTCTTGCTTCCAGAGGGTCATGGAAGTGACCTAGAATTTCTCTCCCTCTCATGGGATTGGAGGTGGGGAGGGAGACCCAGAAGGTGACTGTTTCCGGACAGCAGGTCTTGGCCCGGGGCGCACTATGGAGAGGAGCCAGAGGCCAAGGGGAACACTCAGGCTAAGAGCTAACAGAGGATGGGCGGGGTCTCCTGTGCCTCCCAGAGACAGGGAGGCCAGCTGTGTGAGAAAGGAGCACCTGGCCAGGTGACAGTAATCATTTATTTTTACCCGATAAAGGAGGATTGTAGCATAGTACCTGTGTGATCGCGTTTTCCTCAACAGTAGAACCCAGAAGGACAGGCTTCGAGAACTCGGTGGTGGTTGCAGTGGTTCTTAGGATTATAGATAATCTTGACTTTCTTCCTTCTGCTTTTCTATTTTTCTGATATATATTGTAATGACAAAGTGTTAATTTTGTAAAAAGAAAAAGTAAAGCTATCTTAAAAAAAAAAGAGAATCAGACTAGACACATTACTCTGTAACTTTTTAATATTCCAAAGCCATCCCTATAAGTTTGTAGACATCTCTCTTTTTTCATTTTCATTTTTTTGGAAACAGAGTCTAACTCTGTCATTCAGGCTGGAGTGCAGTGGCGCAATCTCAGCTCACTGCAACCTCCGCCTCCCGGGCTCAAGCAATTCTCATATCTCAGCCTCTTGAGTAGCTGGGGTTACAGGCATGTGCCACTATGCCCGGCTAATTTTTGTGTTTTTAGTAGAGACGGGGTTTTGCTATGTTGGCCAGGCTGGTCTCGAGCTCCTGACTTCAAGTGATCTGCCTGTCTTGGCCTCCCAAAGTGCTGGGATTACAGGTATGAGCCAATGTTTCTGGACTTTTCTTTTTCTAAAAAGCATACATATACTTTTACACAAGTACAATCATATTTTTTGGTTCAGTCTCCTTTTTCCTTTGCCTTTGTCCTGTATTGTCCCCACCCTCCAGTTCCCCAGGAAAAGTATTAGCCACCTGGTGTACTCTTTAGTACTTTTTTTCTATCTAACCATCTGCCTTATGACCATATATGACTATGCATACAGACTTGCATACATCATATACTTGTATAAAAACATTGAGATTCACACATATGTAAACACATTTATAAGTGGGTATTTTGTTACATTACAAAGATGGGATCATACTATGAACTTATCTCTGCATCTTATCTTTTGTACTCACTATCACCTCCTAGAAATTCTCCAAGTCAACTGGCATAAGTCCTATTCATTTTTTTTTGAATGGCTCTGTAATACTCTATGATGTTGTCATTCATCCATCTGTAAGAGTTACTAGCACTTCTTTTATTATTGATTCTTGAAGATGGTGGCTGTTTGGCCACTATGATTTGAAAGCTTATGATATGTTCTATATTTTAAATAACATTGTTTTATTAATTTGATGATGTTAATACACCTAGATATTTTTTTTTCAAACAAACAAATAATTTAAATTTACCAGATGTGGGGGAATGGAATACAAACAGTAACAAATGAACTCAACTCTTTTACAAATTATAATTAGAACCACACAGAATTGGGGCACGAAAGAGCTAAACAAATTAATTTTAAAAAAGCAAGAGTTTTTGACTGTATCTTTAAGTCTAAAGACAAAAAGAACTATGCACAAATACTTTACTATAGTTTACAAATGTGTTTTCACAAGGGTATGAGTTTGCAAATGTGAAATTACTTTATGTGTATGCTAGGATTGAACAAAATGTAAATATACTGTGGATGACAGCCAGGCTTTCTTTTTTTTACTTTTTGAAAGTTTTTAGTTTATTAGTCTTCTCGATACACCTAGATTTTTATCCGCTTATTTCTAGAGACATTCAAATATGCTTTTCTTCCTTCCTTTCTTTCTTCCTTTTTCTTTCTTTCTTTCTTCCTCTTTCTTTCTTTCTTTCTTTCTTTCTTTCTTTCTTTCTTTCTTTCTTTCTTTCTTTCTTTCTTTCTTTCTTTCTTTCTTTCTTCTTTTTGAGACAAGTTCTTGCTCTCTATCCCAAGCTGGGGTGCAGTGGCGCAATCAGAGCTCACTGCAGCCTTGACCTCCTGGGCTCAAGTTGATCCTCCCACTCCAGCCTCCTGAGTAGCTAGGGCTACAGGTATGAGACACACACCTGGCTAATTTTTAAAAAAACATTTGTAGAGACAGGATCTCGCTTTGTTGCCCAGGCTAATCTTGAACTCCTGGTCTCCAGCAATCCTCCCACTTTGGCCTCCCAAAGCTCTGCAGGGATCACAGTTGAGAGCCACTGCATCCAGCCTCAAATATGTTTTTCTATTCCAGGGCCAAGACAATACTCTTTGGTTAATACAAGCACTAGAGAGTAACAATGCAGGACAATTAATCAACAAATATTTGAGAATCTCTATTATGTCAGATACAAACTTCTCTTTAATTAGTGGTTTTTCACAAAAGTCTTTGATAGGACTTGTGCGGTTTTCTGTGGAGAGATTAACAATGGGCCCAAATTAAGAAGGTGGAGACTTTCATTTGAATTAACCAATTATTGGAAAATGGGCTTGATCTTCAGAAGGCAATAAGGTTTTTATGATTTTGCTAAAATTTTCATTGCAATTATTACAGATAGTGTTTTGCATTCAGGTGTAGCCCATATCTGGTTTTTAGAGGTTAGTAAAAGAACAGCTTCCTATTGTTAATCTCTCTTTAATCTCTCTAGTGATTAGCTTATTTTCTAAAGATCTGAGTTATAGACCACCAATACTGAATTAAGATAACTCCTGGTTATGCATGTAAGTCTAAATTTTAAAAAGATCTTATACATCTATATCCTTATTTAAGTCTTACGACTTTTTTGGGTAATGAATCTCATCGTTTGACAACAGATGAAGATTACGCTTTTCATTTTAGTTTGCCAAGAGTTTTAGATCATGCTAACAAAAGCCAATATTGCTTAGCTGAGCTAACTCTAATGGCAGTTTATAAATCACTTCCTATCATTTTAACCACAGGAAGGAGAGGTTGTTAGCCTGCTATACTTGCTTTAAATGTCTAACTGTGGCTTCCATTACAAACAAAAATTATGAAACACACTCATCCACTGTCATGAACTTTTGACTATTAAAAACAAGTACATAATAAAACCTTTTACTTTCAAGCTTAATTTTAAAACCAGGTGTGAGGGCAAAGAGGTTTGCTATGTTGAACACAGGTCTTCAATCACAGGGAAAATTTGTAGTGTGTGATGGATGAGGTTGATATATTTTTTAAAAGATTCTACTTTTTTCTTTTCAGGAAATAAAATCAGAATTACCCGAGAATCTGTCCCATGGTCTCTTGACTATATCAGTCATTCGACAGCGGACAGAAGTCACAGCATCTTTAACAGACAGTCAAGAGACTTAAATGGGGGGCACTGAATTGCTGGGAAAGCTAATGGCTTGTCGAGAGCAGTAGGGTCCCTTTTGATTACAAGGCCTAATCACCACCTTTGCCTTCTGAATGTTTTGCTTCTCATTGCATCTCGTCTCTGAGGATGACAGAGAAGGTGAAATGCAGGCAGCTGTGGTGAAAGATCTGGTGTGAGGGAGCGTTCTCCACCACCCACACATCCTTACCCAGTGTGGGCTGATTTCCGGCTGGCTGCTTTTCCTAACCTCCAGACTGACTCACTCTGTGCTTGTAACCTCGTCATAGCCTCTGTCTCTGCCTTATTTGTCCCACAGGCAGGGCTGGCCCCCTGGCTTACCAGTACCGGGAAGGCATCATAGCCTTCTTAGGGTCTTCTAGTGCTAGAACTGGAAGAGATCTTCGCACATCCCCTCAGCCCCCTGGCTTTGCTGATGATGGAGTTGAGGCCCAGAGAGAAGGTTTTGTGGTCAAGTCTAAGGTTCAGATTTCCTACCTCCAAATATGTCATTTTTCTGAGTCTCACTCTGTCGCCCAGGCTGGAGTGCAGTGGCACAACCTTGGATCACTGCAACCTCTGCCTCCTGGGTTCAAGAGATTCTCCTGCCTCAGCCTCTCGAGTAGCTGGAACCACATGCTTTGCACCACCATGCCTGGCTAATTTTTGCATTTTTAGTAGAGACAGACAGGGTTTCACCATGTTGGCCAGGCTGGTCTCGAACTCCTGATCTCAAGTGATCCACCTGTCTTGGCCTCCCAAAGTTCTGGGATTACAGATGTGAGCCACCGCGCCTGGCCTACCAGATATGTCACTTCTACTCCACTAGGCTCATTATGCTTGTTTACAATTCTTCCTAATACAGACTCATCCCTTTGGAATTACTAGAGTCCTGAGTCCAATATCCTTTGGGAGAGAGGCCAACCTGAGTGTGAAATTGTCAGACACTTATCTTATTAGAGAAGATGGCGATAAGTCAGGGTGCTGAGGGTATGGAACCTTTGTCGAGCGAAATGACAAGATTTCCTCTGGGGCAGGAGGCTCTGACCTGGACTGCTGCTGCTGCAGGTGACTGGCTGAGAAGAGAGAAGGGGCAAAATGGAAACTGTCCTTTTGTCTACATCATGGCTTCCTCTGTGGCTTTCTTCCATCCAAGGCTGCCCTACTACCAGCACTTACCAGCAGCTTTCACAACGTGGAGTGCTAATCTGTGCATCTCAAGGATGTGTAGGGGACTGTTGTGTCTCTATGTCCATCTTTGAGCTTCTTGGCTGAGAGTTCCTCCATGGAGAAGCCTTTGGATCATGAAGACTTCCAGCTGCATTTGCTGCTCAACTCCTTGTAGCCTCTATTGTCCCAAAATATTTTTGTTACCTAAAATGAAGGAAAATTGTTTCTAATTCTGGATGATGTCATTTGTGACAACTCCATCAGGGTTTAGGTAGGATTACATTTCCTTATAAATAGCATACCTAGTTTAAATGAACCTAAATAATGGACCTAAATAACTTCCTTATATTTTTTTCTTTACTTCAAAACATCAGAAAGCAAGCGACATTTTACCTTGTTCTCTTCGAACTTTCCAAAGAAAACTCTACTAGTGTGGACTGCCAGGTACAGGTGGTGAATGAAATAAAGGAACTTTTGGAAACACAGAACCTTTACAATAGAACTAATGACTATGTTAAGTAAAAGATGTAAGCACACCTTAGATGTAGACAGCATCTGAGCTCTCCTTTCTGCAATGTCTTTCACTGATTGTCCCTCAGGCTGGAGAGACTCATGACCAGGATTCCAAGTGAGTCTTTTTTTCCTTTTAAACGAAGTCTGTCTCTGTTGCTCAGGCTGGAGTGCAGTGGCGTGATCTCGGCTCACTGCAACCTCTGCCTCCCAGGCTCAAGTGATTCTCCCGCCTCAGCCTCTCAAGTAGCTGGGACTACAGGTGCACCCCAACATGCCTGGCTAATTTTCTTGTATTTTTAGTAGAGATGTGTTTTTGCCACGTTGGCCAGGCTGGTCTGGAACTCCTGATTTCAGGTGATCTGCCCGCCTTGGCCTCCCAAAGTGCTGGAATTACAGGCATAAGCCACCATGCCCCACCTAAGTGAATCTTAATTCAAGTTACTTAAACATTTTCCCAAATGGGTTTTATGAGATACCACAGGTTATTTTGTAAAAAAAAAAAAAAAAAAAAAATACTAGTCATGATTTTTTTTGCCCTTTAAATTGTGTTTTAGGCCAGGCGCAGTGGCTCACGCCTGTAATTCCAGCACTTTGGAAGGCCAAGGCAGGCGGATCATGAGGTCAAGAGATTGAGCCAACATGGTGAAACCCTGTCTCTACTAAAAATACAAAAATCAGCTGGGCATAGTGGTGGCGCGCCTGTAGTCCCAGCTACTCGGGAGGCTGAGGCAGGAGAATCGCTTGAACCCGGGAGGCAGAGGTTGCAGTGAGCCGAGAGCGCATCACTGCACTCCAGCCTGGCAACACAGTGGGACTCCATCTCAAAAAGAAAGAAAAACAAAACAATATAAATTGTATTTTAAAAGTAGATGAGGCCGGGTGTGGTGGCTCATACCCATAATCCCAGCACTTTGGGAGACTGAGGTGGGAGGATCACTTGAGCCCCAGGAGTTCAAGATCAGCCTGGGCAATATGGCAGGACCTCATCTCTGCGAAACATGTAAAAAAGTGACCTGGGTATAGTGCTGTGTGCCTGTGGTCCCAGCTACTTGGGAGGCTGAGGCAGGAGGATTGCCAGAGAGAACCCCAGGGATTGAGACTGCAGTGAGTCATGTTCATGCCACTGCACTCCAGCTTGGGGCGACAGAATGAGACCCTGTCTCCAAAAAAAAAAAAAAAAGATGTAAGAAACCTACTTAACACATAGAATGTTCCATCCATCAATGACACTGAGACAGCCTTTTGGCATACTATCAAATGGACATGAGTACTGTCTCAGAAGACCAATGATCTATGCTGTGTATTGCATTCCTCAACTTCAATATATATTAGTCATGTTATTTCATGCACTTAGGATACTAAACAATTATATTACACTGTGTTATTTTATATATATATATATATATATATGTTTTTAATCAACAGTTCCTGGCTTGCTACTCCCATAGTTTTTGTTATAATGTTGGGGCACTTTAGGACTCAGTAGACCCCAGAAAACAGAATCTTTCTCTCTCTGACCTTCTCCTGTCCTCCTTTCACCTGCTTTATTTTTCTTCCCAAGGCAGAAATCTTCTCCCACCTTTTTGTCTTGGAGCTGGCCATAAAGAAATTCCCTGACCTACCTTATTTGATTGTAGGTCCTAAGACCCTCCTTCTAAAGAGGGTTCTACCCCATACCCTGGAGGATGAACTGCTGCACAGAGAGTCCAGGAAGAATGTGAACAGACAGGACTTGCGGGCTTTTCCTACTCTGCCTATTCATATTAGACCTTACCCTTTTTGTCCAATGCTATTTCTGCACAATGGTCAGCCATGCTTATCCAGTGAAGTCTCCATAGAAGGCCCAAGAGGACTGCTGAACACATGGATGCCGACCAAGAACTGATCTGTGTGCCAGGAGGGTGATGCCTCTCAGCTCCACGGGGACAGAAGCTCCTGTGCTTGGGACCGGTCCAGACCTCATCATGTTTGTCTCCATCTGGCTGTTTATTTTATCCTTTAAGATACACTTTGTAATAAACTGGTAAACTTAAGTAAGTGTTTCCCTGAGTTGTGAGCCACTCTAACAAATTAAACCCCAAAAAGGGGAACCCCAACTTGAAGTCCTAAGTTCCAGAGGCCTGGACTTTGGATTGGTGGGAAAGAGGGGGTGGCCTTGTGGGACTGAGCCCTTAATCTGTGGGTTCCAAGGCTATCTCCAGGCAGATAGCATCAGAATTGAATTGACTTGGAGGACACCCAGCTGGCGCCTGCTGCAGAATTGGTTGGTTGCTTGGTGTGTGAAGAGACCTCCCCCACATTTGGTCACAGAAGTCTGTGTTGTTGTTCAGTGAGAATAGAGAAAAAATACTTTGGGTGTGAGTTTTTCATACACATATGCAAACCTCCTTCCCAAGATCTATAGCTGACAGAGGAAGATTAAATGAAAAGTAAGGTATTGTGAAACTCACTATATCAGATATAAATGAGCCACAATAGGTATTTGAATTTTTGTTGTCGCTGTTTGTTTTTTGAGACAGAGTCTCACTCTGTTGCCCAGGCTGGAGTGCACTGGCACGATCTTGGCTCACTGCAACCCTCTGCCTCCTGGGTTCAAGTGATTGTCCTGCCTCAGCCTCCTGAGTAGCTGGGATTACAGGCGTGTGCCACCACACCTGGCTAATTTTTGTATTTTTAGTAGAGATGGGGTTTCACCATGTTGTCCAGGCTGGTCTCGAACTCCTGACCTCAAGTGATCCACTTGCCTTGGCCTCCCAAAATGCTGGGATTATAGGCGTGAGCTACCGGGCCCGGCCAAAATAGGAATATTTTAAAGAGAATATTAATAGTCATGCTCTTTGATTTCTATAGAAATTACTCAACATAAACAATACATTTAAAAGCAGCCTAATTCATGATTACCCAATTATTATAACACCAGAAGGTCACATCTCTCCCTTTGCTACCGTGTATGTGTAGGAAACAGGATTTTTCATAATGTTCTTTAGTGTTGTTGAGATCCTTGGGTTTAGTATAACGAAATGAGTTTATAGTCAGACGGTAGCTGAGGCAGGAAAATAGGGTCTGGAGTCAGGGAACATAAGGCTGATTCACACTTCAGCTATGATAAGAAATATCCTCTCCATTTACATAAGGCATACACCAAGTCACCAATGAGAACCTCTAGAGAGTATTTGAACCCCTCACAATTCTGTAACCAGCTCCTGGGGCCCCTATGCTTGGCCTGCTCCCACACTCTGGAGTGTACTTTCAGTAAGTTTCTGCTTTTGTTGCTTCATTCTTTCCTTGTTTTGTTTGTGCATTTTGTCCAATTCTTTGTTCAAGATGCCAAGAACCTAGACACCCTCCACCGGTAACATAGCTACTTACTCTCACTTTGAACAAGTTATCCAATCTTACTAAACTTTATTTATAGAGCTTTTTTCTTTCTTTTTTTTTTTTTTTTTTGTGAGATGGAGTCTTGCTCTGTTGCGCAGACTGAAGTGCAGCAGCACGATCTTGGCTCACTGCAACCTCTGCCTCTTGGGTTCAAGGGATTCTCTTGCCTCAGCCTCTGGAGTTGCTAGCTGGGATTACAGGCATGTGCCACCCCGCCGGGCTAATTTTTGTATTTTTAGTAGAGACAGGGTTTCGCCATGTTGGCCAGGCTGGTCCTGAACTCCAGACCTCAGGTGATCTGCCCACCTCAGCCTCCCAAAGTGCTAGGATTACAGGCGTGAGCCACCATGCCTGGTGCATGTTTTTATTTATAAAGTTAAAAAAAATCAGCAAGAGATACCCCAAAGGATTATTTTGAAGGTGAGATGTAAACCGTTTAGTGCAGTGTCTGGTATGTAATAAATAGTCAATGCGGATTAGCTATTTTTATTAGTTATTATTTATGCTGCTTCATATATGAAGATTGGTTCATGTTTCCTTCTAGAAGCATATTAAAAGATACAAAATTTTAAATTCCCACTTTATTTTTTGCTCTATTAAAAAGTTTACAGGCCAGGCGCGGTGGCTCATGCCTGTAATCCCAGCACTTTGGGAGGCCGAGGCGAGCAGATCACGAGGTCAGGAGATCGAGACCATCCTGGCTAACACGGTGAAACCCTGTCTCTATTAAAAATACAAAAAAATTAGCCGGGCGTGGTGGCGGGCCACTGTAGTCCTAGGTACTCGGGAGGCTGAGGCAGGAGAATGGCGTGAACCCGGGAGGCGGAGCTTGCAGTGAGCCGAGATCCGAGATCCGGCCACTGCACTCCAGCCTGGGCGACAGAGAGAGACTCCGTCTCAAAATAAATAAATAAATAAAAAGGTTACAAATATTAATTAAATTGGGGGTCATTTCTTTATTTTTATTTTTATTTTTGAGACGAATTCTCGCTCTTGTCACTCAGACTGGAGTGCAATGACGCGATCTTGGCTCACTGCAACCTCCGCCTCCTGGGTTCAAGCGATTCTCCTGCCTTAGCCTCTTGGGTAGCTGGGATTACAGGTGCCCGCCACCACGCCTGGCTAATTTTTGTATTTTTAGTAGAGATGAGGTTTCACCATGTTGGCCAGGCTGGTCTCGAACTCCTGACCTCAGGCAATCTGCCCGCCTCAGCCTCCCAAAGTGCTGGGATTATAGGCGTGAGCCACCGTGCCCAGCCAATTGGCGGTCATTTCTTGAAGCAACACAGGTTAGTATTTTATCTAAACACCTGTTAGCTTTTAAGTGTTTTTCTTGGTTTGGGTGCAGTGGCTCTAATCCCAGTGCTTTGGGAGGTCAAGGTGGGAGGATTGCTTGAGGCCTGGAGTTTGAGACTAGCCTGGGCAACAAAAGTGAGACCTCCATCTCTGGAAAAAAAAAAAAAAAAATTAGCTGAGCATGGTGGTTTGTGCCTGTAGTCTTAACTAACTACTTGGGAGGCTGAGGCAGAAGGATCACTTGAGCCCAGGCATTCCAGGCTGCAGTGTGCTATGACCACTCCACTGTACTCTAGCCTGGTTGAGAGGCTGAGACCCTATTTCTGAAAGAAAATTTTTAAAAAGCCAAGAGTATTTCTTGGTCAAATGAGCTTGGGAAGTAATGAGATAAGCTTTTTTCTTTTTTTTTCTTTTGAGGAGGAGTCTTACTCTGTTGCCCAGGCTGGAGTGTAGTGAAGCGATCTCGGCTCACTGCAACCTCTACCTCCAGGGTTCAAGCAATTCTCTGCCTCAGCCTCCTGAGTAACTGGGATTACAGGCACCCACCACCACGCCCAGCTAATTTTTGTATGTTTAGTAGAGATGGGGTTTCACCATCTTGGCCAGGCTGGTCTTGATCTCCTGACCTCATGATCCACCCACCTCGGCCTCCCAAAGTGCTAGGATTACAGGCATGAGCCACTGCACCCAGCCCTGAGATACGCTTTTATTTATCTATATCAAGAGAAAGAAATACTAAACACAGTAAGAAGAAGACTGAAATGACTTTTCTATGCCCTCATATACCATATTTGATTTAAACAATCTCCTATAGATGAACATGCAAGTTGTTTGTCATTTTTTGTCACCATGAATAGTGCAGAACATGCATAGTTGATAGAAAATGAAATAAAAAATCGTATCAGTTGAAAACTCTTTTCGAATGATTGTAAAATGGGCCCCAAAGCTTAAAGACATATGACTCATTTGTTGCTAGTGGGAATATGAAATAGTGCAACCACTGTGGAAAACAGTTTGGTGACTCCTCAAAATGTTAAACATAGAATATCGTTTGAATCAGCAGTTCCATTCCTAGGCGTATACCCAAGACAATCAAAAGCAGTTGTTCAAACAAAAACTTGTACAGGAACGTTTAGAGCAGCCCCATTTATAATAGCCAAAAGGTGGAAAACCCTCAAATTATCCATCAAGAAATTAATGGATAACAAATTGTCATATATTCATACAATGAAATGTTATTCATACAATGAAATATTATTCATCCATAAAAAGGAATGAAGTACTGACGCTTGTTACAATGTAAACGTGCTCAGTTAAAGAAGCCAGGCACAAAAGGTCACACGTTGTTGGCTTCCTTTTATAAGAAATATCCCAAACAGGTAAATCCATGGAGGCAGAAAACAGATTAGTGGTTGTGTGGACTGAAGGGAAGCAGAGGAGAGTAGCTCCTTGATGAACACAGGTTTCCTTTTGCAGTGATACAAATGTTTGGGAACTTGATAGTGGTCATGGTTGTACCCCATTGTAAATGTACAAAATAATACTGAGTTGTACACTTTAGAATGGTTAAAATGGTATATTTTTATGTGTATTTACCACCATAAAAAAACCAGAAAGTGGCTTCATGGTACCCCCAAAATACCAATATGTGAAAAACCTGAATTCAGCTGGAGTTGTATTTTCAAGTAATTTGTTCTCGTGATCCAGTGGCCGTCTCACTCAGATTGCTTTTGTCTGAATTATTTCCTGCTAAACTCTGAGGGTCCCTTCTTCAGGGAATGGTGTTAGGCATTTTTGCCCCAATCTCCTGAACTGGAGTTAACTGAAAGGGATTTTGATCAAAATAAGAAATCTATAGTTTAGATGAGGTGTTGTCATAGAAATGCATTTCCCAATAGACACCTCTTGTTTATACTCCTCTTTTTATTCCTTCTTTTAATCTTTTCTTTTCCCTCTCCCTCTTTGCATTTTCCCCTCAGTTGTTGCTTATATTTAAGGCTGTCCAGGAATATGCAAGAACATTGCTTTGGTGGCACCAAGAATTTGGAGTGGATGGTATTCTTGCCTCTTAGATTGAGACAATCCAGTCCTTAAAAACACTCAGTAGACAAATTGGGCTCTGATAAAGAATTTTCTGTGTTCGGATTCATGTCAATATGTGTATTATGAACACAACTTTCTTTTTAAAACAATAGCAGGGAAATGTCTCTATTTCTGGTCAATTCTTTTCACAATTTACTGTCAGGTAGCATTAAAAGAAACATGTTAGCAGGGCATGGTGGCTCACGCCCGTAATCCCACAGTTTGGGAGGCTGAGGCAAGTGGATCGCTTGAGGCCAGAAATTCAAAACCAGCCTGGGCCACATGACGAAACCCCGTCTCTACAAAAAATACAGCTGCATGTGGTGGCACGTACCTGTAGTCCCAGCTACTCAGAATCCCGAGAGGTTGAGGCTACAGTGAGCTATGATGATGCCACTGCACTCCAGCCTGGCTGACACAATGAGACCCTGTCTCAAAAAAAAAAAAAAAAAAAAAAAAAAAAAAGAAAAGAAAAGATAACATGATGTTTATTGCTTTTTAAAGTTTTCCCTGAAAGTGATTTTTAAAAGGCCAATGTGACTGATAATGTGACTGATATTTCACGTGAGAGAATATGAGAACTGGGACTATTGGATTAGAATTTTAAAAATATACTATGATTTACCAAGTAAAGGATTTTTTTATTGAAGTGAAACTCACAAGACACACAAATAGCCATTTCAGAGCACACAATTCAGTAGCATTTTGTGCATTCACAACATGGGGCAACCACCACCTCTCTGTTATTGGGAGACTTTTTCATCACTCCAGAACAGCCTGCACCCATTAACTAATCACTCTCTCCTTCCCTCCTCCCGCATCCCCTGGGAACCATTAATCTGCTTTCTGCCTCTATGGGTTTACCTGCTTTTGATATTTCATATGAAAGGAATCATACAATGTGTGACTTTTTGTGTCTGACTTCTTCTCTCACTTAGCATATTTTCAAGGTTCATCTATGTTGTAGCTAGTGTCAGTCATATTATTCCTTTTTATGGCTGAATAATATTTCATTGTATGAATATGCCACAATTTGTCATCCATTAATTTCCTGAAGGATGATTTGAGAGGTTTTCACCTTTCGGCTATTGTAAATAGTGTTGCTATAAACATTACTGTGCAAGTTTTTGTTTGAACATCTCTTTTTGATTGTCTTGGGTAATACCTAGGAATGGAATTGCTGGGTCAAACAATGTTCTATGTGTAACATTTTGAGGAACTACCAAACTGTTTTCCACAGTGGCTGCAAAATTTTAAATTTCCACCAGCAATGTACGAGGGTTCCTATTTCTTCACATTGTACTGATTCTTTTTTTTTTTTTTTTGATTATAGCCATCCTAGTAGGTGCAAAGTAGTATATTAAAAGTCTTTTTGTGTGATCGTTGGCTATACATGTACTTTCTTTAGAGGCGTGTCTATCCAAATTCTTTGTCCATTTTTAAATTGGATTTTTTGTCTTTTTGTTCTTGAGTAATAACAGTGGTTTATATATATGATTCAAAAATATTTTCTCATTCTGTAAGTTGACTATTTACTTTCTTGATATCTTTTGATGTACAAAATGTTCTAAAGTTTATGAAGTCCAGTGTATTTATTTTTTTTCTTTTGTTGCTCATGCTTTTGGTGTTAAATATAAGAATCCATTGCCAAATCTGACTTCATGAAGATTTACTCCTGTGTTTTACTCCTTAAGCTTTTTTTTTGTTTTGTTTTGTTTAGGTCATTGATTTTCTTTCAGTTAATTTTTGATTATGGAGTGAGGTGGGAGATCAACTTTAATTTTTTACATGTTTTCACACAGTTTTCCCAGAACCATTTGTTGAAGAGGCTGTTTTTTCCTCATTTAATGATCTTGGCACCCTTGACAAAAAGCAATTGGCCATAGATGTTTGGTTTATTTCTGGACCGTTAATTCCATTCCATTGTTCTGTATCTATGTTGATGACAGCACGACACTGTTTGGATTACTGTAGCTTTGTCGTAAGTTTGAAATCAATCAGTGTGAGTCTTCCAACTTTATTTTTTCTTCTTTCAACATTATTTTGGCTATTTGTAATTCCATATGGATTTGAGGATTGACTTTTCCATTTTTGCAAAAAAATGCAAAATTGGAATTCGGTAGGGATTACATTTAATCTATGGATTGCTTTGGGGACTATTGACATCTTCATCACAATATTAAGTCTTCCTATTCATTATCACTGATGTCTTTTCATTTATTTAGGTCTTTTAAAATTTCCTCCAGTAATATTTTGTAGTTTTCAGTGTACAAGTCTTTTACCTCCCTGGTTAATTTTATTGCAAGGTTTTTATTCTTTTGGATGCAATTGTAAATGGAATTGTTTTCTTTCGTTTTTTTTTTTTTTCTAATATTAGCAGGGGTTGACAGGAAGGAAACGTTTTCTTAATTTCCTCTTTGAATTGTTGTTGCTGATGTATAAAATCCCAGCTTATTTTTGCATGTGATCTTGTACCCTGTAACTTTGCTGAATTTGTTCATTAGTTCTTGTCATTTTTTGGTGGATTCTTTGGGATTTTCTTGTAATATATAAAATCATGTCATCTGGAAATATATATTGTTCTAATTATTCCTTTTCAATCTGGATGCCTTTTATTTATTTATTCTTGCCAAATTGCCCTGGCTAGGACTTCTGGTACAATATTGAATAGCAATGGTGAAGATGGGAATGAGACAAGGATGCTTGCTTTCACCACGGCTATCAATATCCCACTAAAAGTAATGGATTTTGCAGGACATCTTCCATGTATTACAGTTCACGAAATAAAGCCAGTTGTTCAGTAATGCCCCACCTTTTCTGAGATTAGATTTTTTTTGGCAAATTTATGGTACAGAATATACATATTTGGAACATAGAAATATTGGAATAGTCCTCTTAGGAGGAAGACAATGACTATCTCAAAGCTATATGTCTCACTCTAAAAGAAGACTAGCTCTACTTTCTGAAAAAAGCCTGTTGACTCAGAGTTGTTCCTTAAATTAGGGCTATTGATTTACTCAGGGCGTTTTCCTTAGACACTTCCGGTTCTGTCTTATAATGTATAATGCATTCAAAGGGAGGATTGAGAATACAGAACTGCCAGCAGCTGACAGTGGGAGAAATGACCATTGGCAACAAGGGACAATGTGGAAGAAAAGTCGAGTGAGAAGGAGTTCAGGGAAAGGGCAAGCTAAATGCTAATGACTGCAGTGGTCTTTGTGGTGTCACCATGTCGCTCCACAATGCAATGAATCACTTTTTTTTTTTTTTCTGAGTTCATTTTCTAGCCCCGTTTCTGGACACTCTTGAGTATCCTCTCTGCAGTCCCCTGGCCAGTGCAGAGGAGGGCAATGGGGACTGGGACACGGGGTGCTGCTGGGGGCCAGGAGAGCACAGTCAATAACTTTTATATGACCTTGAGTTAGATGAAAGACTAAATTATATTTAGTATAAATCATTTAATACATTTAACAAAAAGTCCCATAAACATAAAATTTAAAAGTTCTCGGAAGGGAAGTGTTCAATTTCATGGATTTTATATTTATAGCATATATTCCATTTCTTACCAGTGCCAGGGAAATTAATTATTATATGAAATGATGAAACAATCTTTTAAAATAGAGTTCTTCTGGCCAGGTGTGGTGGCTCACGCCTGTAATTCCAGCACTTTGGGAGGCTGAGGCGGGAGAATCACTTGAGGTCAGGAGTCCAAGACCAGCGTGGCCAACATGGTAAAACCCCATCTCTACTAAAAATACAAAAATTAGCCGGGCGTGGTGGCACATGCCTGTAGTCCCAGCTACTCAGGAGGCTGAGGTAGGAGAATCACTTGAACCTGGGAAGCAGAGGTTGCAGTGAGCTGAGATCGCACCACTGCACTCCAGTCTAGGTGACAGAGTAAGACCCTGCCTCAAAAACAAAAACAAAGAAAGTTCTTCTAACTCATTTCTGATGAAAAGGTTAGAGAAAGAATGTGAAACTTCTCAGTAACTTGTCTCTGTAAAGATGGATTGATGATTTTCTTCTACGACAGCCTTCATGGGGGGTGATCTGAGTAAGTTTCACCAGTAGAAATTTAGACCAGTGAATAAAAGTTCATTTCCTAAGCAACTCAACGTTGGGGATCACATAATTTGTTGTCCAAACCAGGAAACTTTTGAGAAAGGAGTAGTGCACTACTTATTATGCCAGGGTGACAGGCATAAACCAGTACTGTCTTGGGCAAACTGAGATGGATGGTCATTCTAACTAAAACCATTAGGATCATTTGAGTTTTTTTTTTTTTTGAGATGGAGTTTCGCTTTCTTGGCCAGGCTGGAGTGCAGTGGTGTGATCTTGGCTCACTGCAAACTCCGCCTCCTGGGTTCTAGCGATTCTCGTGCCTCAGCCTCCTGAGTAGCTGGGATTACAGGCACCCGCCACCACTCCCGACTAATTTTTGTATTTTTAGTAAAGATGGATTTTCACATGTTGGCCAGGCTGGTTTCGAACTCCTGACCTCAACTGATCTGCCTGCCTCGGCCTCCCAAACTGCTGGGATTACAGGCATGAGCCACTGTGCCTGGTTAAGTTTTTATTCTCATTGTTACCACTGCTTCATTATGGAAAAAAAATTAGTAGCAAGAGAAACTTTTATTCTTTAAAGTGATAAACCAGATTTTCAGTGGAAAGGAAAATGAGGTAACAATCCACTATTGTAATAGTTGCCCTTTCCAGTTCTTCTATAGTTTTTTAGAGTGGCCTATTTGGGTGATGTGAGACTGGACTGAAGTCAATCCAAATCAATTTGATACTGAGTGTGGCCAAGACAGAGCTGCCTAGTGGGTTTAGGTTCACACAAAGACCAGGGTGAAGAGGAGCTGGTTTCAGTCCAGAGCTTTTGGGCCATTCTTGTGCACCGTCTCCACTCCAGACTTCCTACCAATGAGGCAGCCTGGGACCCTCTCACTTTTACCAGGGCCCACCAAGCGTGGGAAAGTCCTAAGATTCGGCTGTAACTGGGCTTGTTTCCAGGAATTAGGAACTGAGCGGGATAATTCTTTTCATTAGGAATACATTTACTTCCTCACACTTTGTCGATAAGTAAATTTCACAGCAAAGCAATAACCAAAATAATAAAAGCTATTCCATGAACATACTTAATCATGTGAATGTGATTTATGATTCCAAAGGCTAAAGGTAATGATGGTTAAAAATCAGAAACAATTTAGTTTAGGCAAGTGTTCTAAAGCTTACTTGTCTGGCATCAGCGGGACCTTACATTTAATAATTAGTCTTCAATATAGGATTATGAGTTTGTGGATCCCTATAATGAAGACATAGTGGACAACGATGGCTATTGGAGCAACGATAAAAGTAATGAAAACCACCTAGGAGCATCTATTGTCTACCAGGCAAAAGTAGTTGGTTTAAAGTAACGTGGTTAGTTAGTAGCAGTTTGGAGCGGAGCTGGAATTAACAGTTCATGCCCTTCCCACTCTGTTTCAGTGACCCTCGATTCACAGATATTGTAGATAATGGAAAATACATTGAGATGCAAAGCAGGGACCTAGGTCCTAGCCATGGATGTGTCTTCCATAATGGCAAGTCCTACGATCTTTTTGAATCAGTTTCTTCATTTGTTAAAGGAAGGTTATATAGGTCCTAACTGAATCTCAGAATGGTAGTAAAAATCAAATGTGATATATATGACAGTATTTTGAAAATACTTTTCATGGCATAAAGCACTGTGAAAAGTTATTCGGAAGATTCTGTCTCAATCACACTTGTATTATGACCTGTAGGAAAAAGAAATCATTCAGCCTTTAAAAATTCTCTTCTCTATTTTTAGATGTGCAAAAGACGGGGAAAAAAGAGATCTTTCCCCCTCACTCATCCCAGTCAGTCTTCATAAACACTTTTCCAAGTGGTTTCTATGGCTAACTCCTTTTTTTTTTTTTTGAGAGGGATTTTCGCTCTTGTTGCCCAGGTTGGAGTGCGATGGCGCGATCTCGGCTCACTGCAACCTCCGCCTCCCGGGTTCAAGTGATTCTCCTGCTTCAGCCTCCCGAGTAGCTGGGATTATAGGTGCATGCCACCATGCCCAGATAATTTTGTATTTTAAATAGAGACAGGGTTTCACCATGTTGGCCAGGCTGGTCTCGAACTCCTGACCTCAGGTGATCCACCCGCCTCTGCTTCCTAAAGTACTGGGATTACAGACGTGAGCCACCATGCCTGGCCATGGCTGACTACTTTATCCATTGTTTGCAGGTACTAATTGCTAGGTGGATCAGTGGGATTCTGAATGCATCCTACTGTCCTTAGTGATTATTAAAGATCCCTGAGACTTTAAATATTAAGTGAAGCATGAGGATCACTTTGGTTTTAATTAACAGAAATTTCTGACTCAAAATGATTTAAACATTAGGAGACATCAGGAACCATTTCATCTCACTGAACCAGAATTTCATAGGCATGGCAGCTCTTGCTGTGGCATCTCAGGGTCGTAATTTGTTTTCTGGCAATTCTATCTACTTTGACCTTCACTACATGTTGACATCATGGTTGTAGTTCTAGGTATTGAAGCATACAGGGCATCATCTCAGGGAAGAAAGAAAAATTTTCCCCACCTTTTTTGGCCAGGATTGGATGGCATGTCACATCTAAGCCAATTACAAGCAAGGGGAAAAGATCATCGTGGCTGACCATTTGGAGTAGGGTGTATTTTTGGGAGTCAACCACCGAGACCACTGCAATAAGGCAGATTGGAAGGAAGGATGGAGCCACCTGACACTATGTAACCTCCATTCAAACTCTGCAGAGTGGACTCTTTGTAAGGCTGCTTGGTTGATGGAGATAGCAGCACATCTGCCATTTTGTACTTCTTGTTACAAGGCGGATCATGACCATTTTATAGTTCCTGTTCTGTGGCCACTATAATTGGCTTGAGATTCCTATGTAGCTTTTCTCTCTTTTCCTTTCTTTTCGTTATTTTGAAGAGACTGAGTCTACAGTTGCAATGGAAGACATTGAGATGAAAGAAAATCTCTACTCATTTTGATTCGCAGAAAGCTACAGGTTGTATCTTATAATGACTATTGCAGAAAACAATGAGCCTCCAGATCTTGGTTTTAAAAAAATGGTGCCTCTGATGAATCTCTTTCCTGGGCAATTTGTTGACTTTGTTTTAGCTGCCACCCTTGTATCAGCCTGTAGTTAATTCAGACTAGAATACAAATACCAGTGTTAAAAGGACAAATAACTAATTAGGGGGCATCCCAATCTGTTCCTTGATTAAGGAAATAATTCTCATCTGATAAGACAAGAAATAATCAGCAAGATGTTATGTATGTTTTGAGGCAATGAAAAGTGTTCTTCCTGATGAAAGTTTGTTGAATTAAGACAAACCCGTTTATTTTGTGTCTTCATCTACAAATCCATGACATCAGCTGCTTAGGTGCTTATAATCAGAGCCACACCAGAAAGAAGAAACATTTCTATCGTTCCGTTTCCTGAAGGAAATATGTGAGAACTCATAGCTGCCACTATTAATTGGGATAATCTTCTGGTAAATTCCTGGTCTGGGCCGGGCAAGGTGGCTCATGCCTGTAATCCCAGCAGATTACTCGAGGTCAGGAGTTTGAGACCAGCCTGGCCAACATGGCGAAACCCTGTCTCTACTAAAAATACAAAAATTAGCCAGGTGTGGTGGCACGCACCTGTAATCCCAGCTACTCAGGAGGCTGAGGCACGAGAATTACTTGAACCTGGGAGGCAGAGGTTGCAGTGAGCTGAGATTGTGCCACTGCACTCCAGCCTGGGTGACAGAGTAAGACTCTGTCCAAAAAAAATAATAAAAAAAAACTTCTTGGTCTGAACAGCCTACCTAAACTGTTTAGTAATTTGTTTTTCTGAATGATTGCAATCTGTTTAAAATGCCATGTGCAACTCAGCTGAGAGGTAAGTGCTCAGCCTCTGCCTTTCTCTTTTACTGACTTCTGGCCCTTTTCCTGCAAATGAATGAACATTTGATGTTGCAGCAGGAACAACTCATTATGCTCATGAAAAAGCACAAAAACTGTCTAGGAAAATATCTACTGATCATTTAACCATGAACCATGACTAACAGTTATCTAAATGGAATTAAGGGTAATGACTCCAAGAGGTTCATAGGAAAAAAGTGCCATTTCCTAGCAGTAACAATTGAGTAGTTTTTTCCTCCTTCTTTTATGGAAACTTTTACCCCTTAAGCTCCAAATGCCTAGTAAGAGTTGTTTTATATTCCATGGAGTATGTCCTTCTAAAAAGCTTGATAATACCGTCCTCAGAAACATGATATAGAGAAATCAGAATAATAAAACTTGAGGTTGACCAAATTAGTAAAAAGAGATTTTTATTTTTTTAATTAAAAAAATTTTCGACAATAAACATGTCACTTAATTATTATTTCCATGATAACAAATCATTTCATAAAAACTTAATCCTACTTGAGCACATCTGGGAGCTGCCAAGTCCCCACCTATAGGATTTACCATTAAACTCACACATCCAGATAACGGGAAACAGAACAGAGTTCTCCACTGTCACAGATTCTCCATCCTGCACGAGAGGAGCTCATGTTGTGGTAATCTTTGTAATTTTCCGACTTGAGATGATTTTTTTTTTTTTTTTTTTTTTTTTTTTTTTTTTTTGAGATGGAGTCTCTCTCTGTTGCCCAGGCTGGAGTGCAGTGGCGCGATCTCGGCTCACTGCAAGCTCCGCCTTCCGGGTTCATGCCATTCTCCTGCCTCAGCCTCCCAAGTAGCTGGAACTACAGGCACGCACCACCATGCCAGGCTAATTTTTTGTATTTTTAGTAGAGACGGGGTTTCATTGTGTTAGCCAGGATGGTCTCGATCTCCTGATCTCATGATCCACCTGCCTCGGCCTCCCAAAGTGCTGGGATTACAGGCATGAGCCACTGCGCCCGGCTGAGATGATTTTTAAATACTCCTAACTCAAGTCATTAATGGCATTAACTGTTCCCCCGTCTGTTGGGAACAGCAGTTGCTTCATATGCATTTGTAAAAATATTTTCTAACTGTTCAAGTTCAGAGCATGTTTCTTGCCTTTTAATTTTGTTTTTAATATAGTTAGGGAAGGCAGAGATCTCTGATAGACACTATTCTTCCACTGTGCTTTGGAATTAAAAAAGATGAGAGTGGTAGATACTTCTTTCACTGAAGTCACCTTTTGAGCTTTATATTTAGAGTCAAAGGAAAATTAATTCCTCACAGAGTACATTTTGCCTTGAAGGTACAAGGAAGTGAAGTACTGGGCATAATATCCTGAAACAGGTGCCTGGATCCTCCGCTTCTGCTCAGCACCTCTGTGGATAAATGGATATGTGTCTGAAAAACTCATTCCTGTGCTTGCAGACCCAGGGCACCCAGAGCTATAGAGAGCATTTTCTTCATTTTCTGTGGAAAACTAACCTAACATATCCAATCAAATGTACTTTTTATCTTTATTTCTGGGTTATCTAATTGTAGATTTTTTTTTTTTTTTTTTTGAGACAGAGTCTCATCCCGCCGCCCAGGCTGGAGTGTAGTAGCGCGATCTCAGCTCACTGCAGCCTCTGCCTCCCAGGTTCAAGCAATTCTCCTGCCTCAGCCTCCTGAGTAGCTGGGATTACAGGTGTGTGCCACTATGCCGGGCTAATTTTTTGTATTTTTAGTAGAGACGGGGTTTCCATGTTGGCCAGGCTGGTCTGGAACTCCTGGCCTCAAATGATCCGCCCGCCTCGGCCTCACAAAGTGCTGGGATTACAAGCATGAGCCACTGTGCCTGGCTATTTCTGGGTTATCTTTTTTACTTCTCAGCATAAATGATGGCTCAGCAGGTTAGAAACTATGACATCATCTTGGTTCAAAAATAACCTTCTGAGTTCATTATTTTGTTTCTGTTTGACAAGTAGAATTTGAGAAAAAGGTCATTTAATTTTTTTTTAATTTTATGTATTACTTCTATTAAGAACCAAATAGAAATAGAAATAAACAGTAGTTAAGATGAGCTGAAAGCCTAAAGTCTACTTGACAGTACAAATCAAAACCCCAATATTCAGAGTTCTAGCTTCCCAATTTTGCGGTCTCAAGAGAATTGCCTGCTCGATTGGTATTCATATAGGCAGGTGCTAAAGGATTACCTGACTTCAAATCCCCAACCTGACATCTCCTTACATCTGTCACATTAAATATAGTTCTGTTTCTTCACCTTACTCACTGATGTGGCATTTATCAAATCCTCACACAAAGGCGTAGGTTGGAAAGAATGACAAGATCACATTATTTAATAGACTCCTAAAATCTATTAAAAATAATGAAGTTTAACTTTAGATTTTTTTTTTTCATTTAGGGCTCAAATGAGTGTTCGGCAACATATGCATATCAATTGGGGGGTTTGTAATTCAGCAAAGGGGTATTACCTGTAGTGATCTGTACTTTAAAATATTGGTGTATGGGGGAATTGTGTCGATGCTGAATTTTTCATAGAAATGACAAGACCCCCTATTTTGTTAACCATAAAAAATGTAACTGAAGAGAAATATTATAGCCTTAAAAACACATGTAGTAAGTAAATGCTGTGGCTGTATAACCAATCATGTAAAGTTGCATTTAGAATTATATAGTATCATGCATTGTTCAAAATTGTCATCTTCCCCAGTTCTGCCTAGTTTTACTATAACAATGCATCAAATGAATAAACAGATATGTCCAGATTACAGAATGAAGAAGGGTTTTCTTGAAGCAAATTTCTTAGGTATCTGATTACCCAAGCTGCCACTCCTGGGAGCTTTCCTCTGACGTTATACAAAGCATATCTATTATTTACACAGAATTGTTTATCTTTTCATCTCTCACAAGGAAGTTGTTTCTTCCAAAAGTCAAAACTCCTACTGGACATAAGTGATGGCCGGCTTTAAGGTGCACAGCCCTGCAGGCGATGTTGCATTTCCAAAGCAAGGCTTTCTGCCCAACTCAAAACCTGGTATTTTTTTCTGGGCTGTTTTCAGCTGTTTTTCCTTTTGTTGTTTATTATTAGAGAAATAGATGACATAAGTCATTGGATTTATTTTAAACAAGCATAGCAATATATGCACCCATCCTCAAAGTAGGCATTGTACTTGTTCAAATAATGGAACATTTTTGGAATTCTCCTCAGAGGGCTTATTGCCCACTCAAGGGTATGATGGCTCATCATTTCCTATTGAAGGTTCTGGTTTCTGGTTGTCTCACCCCCTCCCATGTCACTCACCTGGGCTTCATCCAGCCTTGCCCCACTTTCTTGGCACTTGAGTTGACTGTTGTTGAGTCTGTGAGCAAGCTGATCCTTTCTGTGAACTCTGGAATCTACAACCACAAAAAAAGCTTCCTGGGAACTAAGTCAATCTTTTCCTACAACTCAGCCTAAACCAAACATCCAAGAGAACGATTTTTCTCCTCCGTTAATCAGAACATCTTCTGACCTCCGTTTTCCTGAATATCTTAGATGTCTTAAATGTCACAGGGTTCTTCCCTGCATCCCCACCTCCCATGCTTTACCCACCCAAGGAGGTGATGTAGTCTTGTACTTCAATTTGCATCTCTTCATGTCTACTCCAGGAAAAATATTAGAGTCCCCAGATGTCAATAGTTATTACTTAGTTAACAGCCACACTGAGAGTACTCATTATTTTTATCTGACTGCTTTTCTGCTGCATATAATGCTTTTGCATTGACATCCTTCAAATACTGTATGGTGGGTACCATTAACATAGAAGCAACCTTAAATGATAACACTAATATTTGGAAGCCTTGGAATTACCTTTCTTTCCCTACCTCCCAAGTCCTGTTCCTTTGTATATAAAATTAATGAGATCTTTTAAAAACTGAAAGTGTATGCAGGGCTTTTACTTGCTCAAAAGAAACTTACAGTTATTCTATACTTTTTAAAGATGGTCCTGGAGTGTTATTTCCATGAAGTCAACAGTTGTTGTGTCTGTTTGTGCTCACCATTGTGGATCTCATGCTTAGAGCAGTGTTTGGTACCTAGTAAGCTCTCAAGGACTGTGTAGTCTGCCCTTGGGCTGCTCTGAGAAGTTTAAAGCTACTATTGACAGTGCCTGTTTGTGAACAAGAATATGAGAGAGTGGGCATTCCATATCTTGTCCTCAATAATGGGGAACTTATAATCATGTTGGGCATAGCTTGCTCGGAGTGATTAAGGTTGGAAGCTGTCTAATGTATTTGTACAGGGAGAATTCCATTTCTATCACATGTTGATTGGATACAGATTTTTAATTTTGCCCAGAACACTTTAAAATACCTCTGATTGGAAGTCATATCCTGTCCACACATTTGGGAAAACAGAAGTAAAAATTTCCCTCTTGTTTAACGACTATCTGACCAATTGGATTAAGAGTTGTGCTGATTTTTTACTCCATTTAAGCATTCTGTTTGTTGCTATGCACATTCAGTGATGTGTGGAAACCAAATAACCAAAAGTCATGGGATTAAACAGCACAGTTGCCTAGCTGGGGCTCTAGAAGAAGGGACAGAGTCTTAGTTTCTTGAAACGCAACTTACCTGCAGAGAACGAATGAAGAATGATGGCTTTTCAACATGTCTAGGCAACATTCCAGCATATGTGACAAAGCATTGGCATATGTCATCCAGTGGAGGGCACCAGTACTTAGTTTGGTTTTACAGCCCATGCCTGTGTCAAGGTCGAGTTTAAAACAAGACCAAAAAAATTACCTTAAGGGAGTCACCAGAGTATCAAAGAACATTTGCACTCTCAAGGGGCTTAGTGACCATCCAGCCAGATGTCCATTTTATGGACAAAGACAGTAAGTGCTGAGAGGTCCTTGAGCTGGTCAGCACCAAATAATTAGTTAGGAACAGAGCCAGAACTCTCAGTCAGGAGCATTTCCTCACCATACTACTACCTGTTCCTTTCTTGCTTCTCCTCTGAACATGATTGACCCAGACCCTAACTAGGAAGGACTGGTTTCTGCAGTGGGATCTACACAGGCTACATTGGAACAGCCAGGGTGAGGCAACATTCTTCCTGTTGAGGGATTTTGCTCTGGAAGCCTTGCCCTTTGAAATACCACAATGAGCCTTTGTGGCATTCCTCAGGGAAATGGCCAAGACACTCATTTCCATTTCTGGGCCATTGTGGTGCCTCGGGTGGCACTGAGATAGTTGGGAGAAGATTTGGGCTTAAGATTTTAATTAGTTTTGCTCAAGACTTGATGAAGTGTCAATGGGCCAGGAACAAACAGCACCTTTTGTTTATTGTACTATTTAGATTTCATTAGGGCATTTGGAAATGGAGTGGAAACAACGGAATGAAAAATAAAACAACAAAAGGTCACTATGAATGCTCAAAGTCTTTGGAACATTTGAATAAAGTCATTGGAAGTAATTTTCTGTAAAGTCCTCTAGTCTTCCAAAGCTCCCAATTCAAATCTCAGGCAAAATCAACACCTTCCATAGTCCTACATCTACATATTTTTGAAGAAATAACTGTTCTCCCTACATGTCTATTGTTATTCTTATACAACAGTAAGCGTACATTTTTGGTACGTTAAAAATAAACTTTTTATTAAAATATAACAAAAATAGAGAAAAGCGTGTAATAAATTTTCACAAGGTGAACACAAATGATAAATGTCATCCAGGCCAAGATATAGAACATTGCTGTCCAGGCAGAAGCCTTCCCCAAGACCCCTTCCATTTACTCCCCACAGTCCTACCCCCCTGCTCACAAAGGTACCAATATCCTGCCTTCAGTCACCAATTTAGTTTTGTAAGTTTCTGAATTTTATATAAATGAAATCATATAGTAGGTACTATTTGGTGTTCAGTTTCTTTCATTCAACATTTTGTCTGTGAGATTCATTTATGCTGTTACATGTAGCAGCCTTGTTTATTTTCATTTTTATACAGCATTTTAGTACATGGATAAAACACAATTTATCCATTTACTTTTGATGGCCTTTTGAGTCGTTTGTAGTTTTTGGTTACTATGAAGAGTGCTTCTATGAGTGTCTGGGTACACGCATTTTGGTACGTATATGCACTCATTTGCTTTGGGCATATACTTAGGAGTAGAATTGCCAGTCATAGGGGAAGCACAGGTTCAGCTTTAGTGGATACAGCCAAGCTGTTTTCAATTGGTTGTGCTAATTTACATTACCAACAGCAGTCTATGGAAAATCCATTTGCTAGATAGCCTCACTTGAAGTTGGTGTTCTGGTGAGGCTATAATGGCATTTTATTGTGGTTTTAATTTGCATTTTCCTGATGACTAATGTTGTTGAACATCTTTTCGTATGTTTAGCGGCTAAACATTGGGATTTTTTTTGTGTGAAGAGCTTGTTCAAGTTCTATGCCTGTTTTTCTATTGGATGGCCTGTCTTGTTTTTATTAACTTTTAGTGGTTTTTATATATTCTAGATATAAGTCCTTTGTTGAATATGTGCATAACAAATATTTTCTCCCAATCCATTGTTTGCCTTTTCTCCCTTCCCTTCCCTCCCCTCCCCTCCCCTCTCCTCCCCTCTCCTCCCCTTCTCTCTCTCTTTTCTCTTTTTTCTTTCCTTCCTTCTTCCTTTCTTTTCTTTCTTTCAGACAGAGTCTGGCTTTGTAGCCTAGGCTGGAGTGCAGTGGCATCATCTCAGCTCACCGCAGCCTCCATCTCTCAGGCTCAAGCCATCTTATTTCCTCAGCCTCCCAAGTACCTGGGACTACAGGTGTGCCACCATGCCTAGCTAATTTTTGTATTTTTAGTAGAGACAGGGTTTTGCCATGTTGCTCAGGCTGGTCTTGAACTCGTGAGCTCCAGTGATCCACCTGCCTTGGCCTCCCAAAGTGCTGGGATTGTAGATGTGAGCCACCATGCCCAGCCTTCACTTTCTTAATGGTGTCTTTTTGATGAACTGAAATTCTTACTTTTAATGCAGTAGAATTTATCCATCATTTAATTTATGGTTATTGCTCTTGTGTCTTCTTAAACTTCTTTTTTTTTTGCCTGCCATAAGGTCATGAAGATAAGTCTCCTTTTCCCCCCTAGAATCTTTGTTGTAGTTATGCCTACTTTTACAGCTACAATTCCTGTAGTTTATTATGCATGATGTGAAACAGAGATTTAAGAGTTTTCTTTTCATATAGATTCTAATTACGCATGTGCATTTTATTGAAAAGGCAATTTCCCCCCTCATTGGACTGATGTGTCATCTTTGTCAAAAATCAAGTGACAGTTTCTGCACTCTCTTTTCTATTCCATAGGCCTATTGGTGTATCAGGAACTTATACTATGACCCTCTTAATTGCTGTAGCTTTATAATGTATCTTGGTATCTGCTCATGTAAATCCTAAAGTTTTTTCTTCTAGATTTTCTCAGTCCTGCTGGAATATAGATTTGTTTGGGAATAACTTACTTAGACCTTTATAATATTGAGTTTTTCAATTCATGATCATTGCATAGCTTTCCACTGAATAGATTTTAAAGATTTCTCTCAATAAGCTTTCCGCTAAATTAGATTTTAAAGATTTTTCTCAATATGTATAACTTTCAGTGTAAAGTTCTTGTGAATCTTTGTCAGGTTTATTACTGGCTATTTTCTTGCTTTATTATGTAGGCTACAACCTCCAGTTGTTTGAATAAAAGTGATCATAGAGGCATATTTTCTATCTCAGGAGAAGATCTTTTCGTCCTTCACCATTAAGTATGATCTTTGCTATATGGTTTTTCTATGTACTCTATATTAGGACAAAGGAAGTTTTCCTCTACTCTAATTTTGCTAAAAGTTTAAATTTTTGTTAACATGAGTAACTGCAGCATTTTATCAAGCGCATTTGTGCATTTGTTAATATGATCATATGACATCTCTTTTTCCTTATGTGATGAATTACATTACTATTATTATTATTTTTGGCTTATAAACAACAGAAACTTATTTCCCACAGTTCTGGAGTCTGAGAAGTTCAAGATCAAGGTGCTGGCAGATTTGGTGTCTGGTGAGGGCTTTGCCTCCTGGTTTGTAGATGTGGTTTTTGTAGATGCCTGTCTTTTCCCTGTGTCTTCACATGGTTGCAGGGGGATGGGCCCTGTCTAGGGCCTCTTTCATAAGAGTATGTTGACAGATTTTAAAATATTAAACTAATCTTGAATTTCATTTCTGGAATCAAGCCAACTTGGTTGTGATATATTGTTATTTTTACATACTGTTGGATTTGATATGTGAATGTTTGATGAGACTTAAGCATCTGTCAATAGCCTACAGCCAAAGAAATACATTTGAAGTTGAACAAGTGGGTTTATTGCTCATTGCAAAGAATGAGACTGCACACAACAGGAACCACGGGGGTATCTCAGTCAGAGAGAATTAGGAAGGATTTAGTATAGGATTTGGTGTTTTCAGGGAGGGTTTAAGGAAGTAGAGCTTTGCTCCAATCATGCTGTCAGGAAACAGGGACAATTCTATAGTTGAGTGTCTTAATAAATCTTATCTCTGAGGCTGGAAGAATGCATCGAGGCTAAAGATGTGATCAGTAAAGAGGCAATAGTCCCTTATAGTAGCCAGGATGAGAGGATGTCCGGGCATTTTTATGGTTTGAACAATGGTCTTGATTTTGTCTGTGTTAAGACATGATTATGAATGGTCTTAGTTTGTCTTGATCCTTCATGGTTACGGAGTACCCTTACCTGCTGTTGGTGTTCTATGAAATGGTTTATGTTGAACAGGAGGACACCAAGACCTACCTGTGGGAGCCAGGCCATGGACCCACCGGTACTGGTCCGAGGCCTGTTAGGAATGGGGCCACAGAGCAGGAGGTAAATGGAAGGCGAGTGAGCATTACTGCCTGAGCTCGGCCTCCTGTCAGATCAGCAGTGGCATTAAATTCTCATAGGAGCCTAAACTGCTATTGTGAACTGGGTATGTGAGGGATCTAGGTTGGGAGCTCCTTATCAGAATCTAATGCCTGATGATCTGACATGGAACAGTTTTATCCTGAAACCATCTCACACACATGTCAGTGGAAAAATTGTCTTCCATAGAACCAGTCCCTGGTGCCAAAAAGGTTGGGCACCACTGCTTTCAGTGGGAGAAAATCCTCCTGGTGAAGTTGTTTTAGCCTTGACAAAGACTCTCTCCTTGATTGGACTCTAGTTAAGCTCCTCTGAATCCTGAAAATCTTGGTGTGCTTTTTCTGTAGAATCCCTTTTGACTAGGGCTTGACCTTGGTCCCTGTTCTTGTTTGGTCTGCATAGTCCAGTCACAGCAAGAATCATGCTAATTCTGTTCAGAGAGAATCCCCCACGCTTGATATCTGATCCCCCTTAATATCAGATTAAATTGCTCAGCTCCTACCCTCAATATCTAATCATCCTGGCCTGCCTTCAACCAGAATCCTGCCACGTTCGTGTAGCAAGAACCCCTGCCCTCCACCCCTGATGTCTCCCTAAGGAATTCTCCATATGCTGACCTTTCATAGTGCTCACTTCTGTTCTTCTTATGTCTTTTTTTTGCCTCTTTTGGACTAATTATTTTTAAGATTATTATTTCATTTTCCCCTCTATTAAATATTTTTTTAAAAATAAAGATATCCCTCTGCTATTCTTTTGTAAGTTATCCTAGAGATTAAAACAATCACTTTTGATTTATTCCAGTTTAATATAAATGAGTTCTTTACATTTCTCAAAGGACTTTAACTCCATGTATCTCCTTCTTTTTTGTTATTTTTTGTCATGCTGTTTAATCCTATACATATTTAAATCTCCATATTATTACTGTTTTGTACAATTAATATTCATTTAGATTTAAATACATTTACCTTGCTCATTATTTCTATATGTATTCTGTGTTGCAGTCTTCTGTCTGACCCATTGGAGGAAACCATTGCTGCGTGTTGGATCCATTGTTGGTGTCCTCCTTCTCTTTGGTATCTTGGCCTTTCAAGGACACTTCTGCAGCTTCAGATCCCAATTTGTCCTCCCAGTCCTGTAAAATTGTTTGAAGCTCTGCTGGCTTCTCTGCCTCTTAGCATCTGCCCCCGCCCCGTTTCTTAGTCCCTAGCCCAGTATCAAGAATTGACCAAGAATTGCCCCGAAGGTGCAATCAGACCAAGAATTGCCCCACAGGTGAAACTGGAATGTGGAGAGCTGGGCTCACCTCTGGAGGCTTCCTGTCTTTTGTGGATCTGGTGCCCAAATTGTGTCTGGTTGTCTTGGTGGTTCCTCTATGCCTTTAAACAGTTTTTTTTTTTTTTTTTTTGAGACACAGTCTCACTCTGTCACCCAAGCTGGAGTGTAGTGGTGCAACCTTAGTTCACTGCAACCTCTGCCTCCCAGGTTGAAGCTATTCTCCTGCCTCAGCCTCCCAAGTAGCTGGGATTATAGGCATGTGCCACCACGCCCAGCTAATTTTTATATTTTCAGTAAGATGGCATTTCACTATGTTGGCCAGGCTGGTCTCGAACCCCTGACCTCAGGTGATCCACCCACCTTGGCCTCCCAAAGTGCTGGGATTACAGGCATGAGCCACCATGCCTGGCCTAAATGATTTTTAAAAATATAATTCATCTGTTCTTTAGGTTTTTCTTTAGTTTTCTTTAAACTACTCTGTCATAGCCAGAACAAAAAGTCCTGTAATTATATTTTTTGTACATATATTCTCTGGCATGTGAGAAGCCTTTGACTGTTTAAGAAACAAATTAGCATGTGTTGCTTAAGGAGTCTATGGAGAGAAGTAACAGGGAGATTGCCTTTTCCCAGTTAACCCACTGCCAACTCCAGGCCCTCTTTCTCCCGAGTACCCTTATAGTATGGAGAGAGCATTTCCCTCATCTCTCACGTCTGCTGTGGCTCCAGAGTTTCACGAATCATGCAGGGTGACTGCCTGAGTGTGCTGTTTCTGAACCTGCGAGGGCCCTCTAGCCTTAAAATATCTTCATATCCTCCCCACCCCAGCTGGCCACAGATGCCAGCAATCCCTTTGAGAAAGAACAGTCTCTGCACTATGAGGGGACTCAGGAGAAAGAGGGCCTGGGGTTGGCAATGAGTTCACCGGAACAAGGCAACCTCCACATTACTTCCTTAGCAGAGCTTTAAACTTTCCAGAACTCTGAGAGCCCAGGGCAACACACAGGCTTTGCTGAATGACAGATAGGAGATTCTTCTGTAAGAGCAGGAATGGGAAGCGGGGAGGCGCGTTATGACAGAGGAAAAGAGGCAGAAAAGAGAAAAACAGTCTGCCAACATTATGATCATGCCTCAGCAGTGTCCTGGGGGCAGAGGCAGGTGATCTTTCCATTGTCACAATAACCAGGGGGACCAGGTGGCTTTGACGCCCTGTATCTCCTATGTGGCTCCACAGTCCCACAGTCAATAGGAAACTGAGAACGTGTTGCCAATGCATTCTCTGATTATCTTTATTCCTCTGCCACTGCCCCTGCAAGCTGCAGGAGTGAACCCCCTTTCATCCTCCTCTGATCTTTGGGGTTTTCTCTTACTAATCATTTGTCAGGAGCACAGCCCTTTTGACAAATCGACTGTTGCTGAAGCGTGGTGTGCTTTTCGTGTACTGTAAATTCTTCCCTCGTCTGTTGCGTGTGTATGGTGTTCTATAAATACATTAATTGGTACCACTTTTAATTTAACTGTCAGTGCTGTCTCTTTTCTTGACAAGCGTATATTAAACTCTCTTATGATGGAACAAAATAAAACCACCCAGTTACAGGGGCCTATTTTGGCTAAAGTGGAATGTAACAGGAAGAAAAGTTGTAGTTATGGTGGGGAAAGACTCATCAGTGATAGTTTGTGTAAAAAATTTAGAGTAAAATTTCCTTCTTAGATGTGGGGGGAAAATCCTCCAGGAAACTACTGAAATAAGGAAGGTAAGGTGGAATTGTCAGAACAGCTGCAATTTAGGAAATGGGCTGAAACCAATTTCAACTTCATTTTAGCATTCATCAAGTCATACTTATTTTAGATGACTTTGGTTTTGGAGGAGTTTCAGAAACCATATTCCTTATATGTTCCTTTCTGCCTTGAAAGGCTGCAGCCAATTCACAACAATGGAAACCCAACTGGTACAAATGTTCATTTCAAATGTCTTTTACACTAGATAGAAATTGGAACAAACTAGTCGTACAATAGAGTATATTTTTACTAACTCCCATCTAGATGGCATTTAAGGATATAGTAGCAAATAATCTTAAATGTCTGCTACTCTGTGTTCTAAAGTTTATAAAACCAATGTTTTGAGATTTGGCAATTGACTAAAATTTAGGGTATAATGAGGCCCTTTATTTCTAGATAAATTTAGGTTGATTTCATCCAAGCCCAGTAGACTGGCGTATCAGTCAAGATTCTGCCAGAGAAACAGAATCAGTGATTGTGGGGTCTGGCAAGTCTGACGTCCCTAGAGCAGGCCGTCGGGAAGAGCCATCTGGAGTCTGTCAGGCCAGAGCTGATGCTGCTGTCTACAGGCGGAATTTTCCTTCCTCTGGGAAACCTCAGTTTTGCTCTGAAGGCCTTCATCAGATTGGATGAGGCTCAACCAGATTATTGAGGATAATCTCCTTTCTTTAACATCAACTGACTGTAGATGCTAACCACATCCACAAAATACCTTGGCAGCAACACCTAGGCTAGTGTTTGATCAAGTACTGGATACTGTAGCCTTGCCATGTTGACCTATAAGACTAACCATTACCGCTGGTGGTGAAAACTCCTCCTCGGTTTGAACAGAATTATCTGAAAGTGTTGCTCGGTGTATCCACTACAAATGGCATCAGTCCTGAAGGCCTGGACTGCATGGTCTGGCCTCCAACTCCTAAATGGAGTCCTTCTTGTGGAGTGAGAGAAGCCCAGGTCAGGCTGTCCTTGTTCTCTTCGTTCCTAATACTTTGACAGGGGCATGAGCTCAGGGTGCTAGACTCTAGGGCACAACTTTCCTATTTTTCATGAAGGCTGCACAGAATGAATATCTGCATCAATCAACCACTTCATTCTTTGTCTCTGCTCTGGAGAATGTCATGTGGGGAATGGCCTTTAAGAATTTGCAGTCTGTGTTCAGTTCTAAAGAATGCTTATTTTAAAAATATATCAAAATGAATACAATTTCTGTAAGTATGGATTCTTTACTTACAAGTATGTTTCCTTATAGAACAAAGAGAATGTGAAAAAAGAATATGGTCATAAAACTGTAAAATGTGCATTTGGCCAACCAATATTTAATTTATTTATTATTAATTATTTTAGAGAGGGGGGTCTCACACTGTCACCCAGGCTGGAGTGCAGTGGCATGATGATAACTCACTGCAACCTCAAACTCCTGGGCTAAAGTGATCCTCTTGCCTTAGCCTCCCAAGTAGCTAGTACTGCAGGTGTGTGCCACCACTCCCAGCTAATTTGTTGTTGTTGTTTTGTAGAGATGGGGGTCTTACTATGTTTCCTAGGCTGGTCTTGAACTCTTGGCCTCAAACTATCCTCCCACCCTGGCTTCCCAAAGTGCCGGAATCACAGGTATGAGCCACCGTGTCTGGCCCTGATATTTATTTTATAGAAAGTTCCATTTTTTATAGCTGGAACAATTTTAAATATGACTCAATGTAACTTCTTTAGTTTGTTTAGTTATTTTATAAGTATACATTAGAATGTACAAAATGAATGCATGAGAATAAGTGTAATACACAGTCAATAAGGAAGAAAATAGATTTGAATTTAAGCTTAGATACTATTCCTTGGTCACTTTTGACTCAGCAAAAGTGAAATATGAAGGAAAAACATTTTTATTTAATTTGTTTGTTAAATATAGTTGGTATTAGAGAAATTCTTCTTCTTCTTCCACCAAAAGCCACTTTGAACTTCTCTTCTGGTATGTAAGCTCCATTTTATCAAATGTAACTTTAAAATACAAGTTCTGTTGTTATGAATACATTCAGCACCCATTAAGATGCTTTGATATTCCCTATGACAGATATTCCTTGTAAAACACTTGGCTTGTTTTTATGTCTCCAAACTCTATCATTGTACATGAAGAGGAAAGGGAAAAGGAAAGTTGAAATATTTTGATCTTTATTTTCACAATAAAATTATCTTGGGTTCTAAGAAGCACAAAGCAACTTTGCAATATTACTGCCTGAATAAAAAGCAACATTGTCCACATTTTGTGCAAATGGGAAGTGAGTCCAGGTATTCACAGTGCATATCCAGTGAGCTGACCAGAGCAGGACCCATAAGGAATTTGCCTGGGAGCAGCGAGGGCGTCATGCTGGCCGACCACAGCAACCTTTAAACCTGTGGTGGTAAAACTCAGGGTTTGGGATCTGCTGCATGGAAAGGAAAAATTTTAAACTAGCCTCTTTCATCTTGATTGAGGGTGGAAACATAAACGGGAGTGTTTGTGCTTGAACCTCTTGAAACCAGTTTCTTGGAAAGTAATAGTTAAGTGTTTTCTTAAAACATCATTTGCAATTGAAAATGCAAACCGTAGGGCTCATTAGTTTGTCCATGGGTGGTCTTCAGAGGCTGGACCAAGGCTGGATGTTTGGGTGTTGTTCTGTGTGAGCTGACTGAGGTATGGGAAGGCCTAGACACATTGTTTTTGGGGAAACTTAAAAATAAGTAAGTCCCATGATTTGTCTGCTTTCACCTCCGTTCAACCCTAGAACATTTGGCTCTGGTGTTAGTCTGTTTTGCATTGTTATACAGGAATATCTGAGGCTTGGTAATTTATAAAGAAAAGAGTTTTATTTTGGTTCACGGTTCAGAGGCTTTATAAGAAACCTAATGCTGGCAGCTACTTCTGGTGAGGGCCTTAGGAAGCTTACAATCATGGTAGAAGGTGAAGGGGAAGCAGGCGTGTCACATGATGAGAAAGCAAGAGAGATGCCAGGCTCTTTTAAACAACCAGCTCTTGCATGAACTAACAGAGTGAGAAATCACTTATTACCATGGAGAGGGCACCAAGCCATTTATGAGAGATCCACCCCCCTGACCCAAACACCTCCCACCAGGCTCCATCTGCAACTTTGGGATTCACATTTCAATATGAGATTTGGAAGGGACAAACATCCAAACCCTATTAGCTACACAGTGTCCCAGTGAGGCCACACTGCACAGATTCACAAGCTAGAGAAGCCCCTATTCAGCAAGGATGGGCTCACTCTCACCTCTGAACACTATACAATTAGCATTTTGCTGACACGGCCAGCAAATGTGAGCAGCTCTTTATTTATGGGTGAAAAACTGCCAATCACTTCTCCACTAGGTGGAGAAGTCTCATTTCTATTGTCAACCTCATTTCTTCTTCTTCTTTTTTTTTTTTGAGACAGAGTCTGACTCTGTCGCCCGGGCTGGAGTGCAGTGGCACGATCTCGGCTCACTGCAAACTCCGCCTCCCGAGTTAAAGCAATTCTCTTGCCTCAACCTCCCGAGTAGCTGGGGTTACAGTCATATACCACCACACCTGGCTAATTTTTGTATTTTAGTAGAGACAGAATTTCACCATGTTGCCCAGGCTGGTCTCGAACTCCTGACCTCGTGATCCTCCCACCTCGGCCTCCCAAAGTGCTGGGATTATAGGCATAAACCACTGTGCCCAGCCCTCATTTCTATTATCAAATTAGAATCAACATTTTTGGTTATGAAAGATTCATTTCACATTGTGATTTAGAACACAACCGCAGTTGTGTGTGTGCACACATGCTTGCACATCAAACTTAAAGTTTCACAGACCAGCTCTCTCCTGCTTACCTGTGATTTGCTCTGGTATTTCTTATCCTATCCTATTCAATCCATCCCATCCTACCCTATCCTATGCATCTTCTCCTATCCAATCCATCTTCTCCTTCTCTCCTCTCCTCTTCTCCCCTTCCCTCTCCTCCCCTCCCCTCCTTATTCTAACCTATCCCATCTTATGTCATCCCATCCCATCCCACCCTATCCTATTCTATCTGTATCCCAAGTGCTAGTCATGACTCACTACATTTATATTACGACACTTTAATATCTGATGGATCTACTTCCAGCAAATAAAACCAGCAATGGTGCAACTTCATGAGCACTGGCAGAAAAAGGCACTCTTCTGTATGAAACAATCTGCCGCCCACAGATATACTGATTTCTGACAATGTGCCCAGCCCTTTTCCTCCCAAGTGAGAAGGATAAAGAGAAGAGGTAAAGCACACTCCTTCTGTATGATACATATATACACAGGTGTGTGTGTGTGTGTGTGTGTGTGTGTGTGTGTGTGTATACTTACCATAAATAGTCCCCAAACTTGACTTTCCTTTCCCTGAAGTGGGATAGGAAAGAGGAAATCAGTATCAGTTGAATCTGCATAGTGCATGGATTGGTGCTGGGGATAGAAACTCTTTTTTCAATTCTCACATTTCATCAAAGCTAGTAGTAAACAGAAGTTACTATCAGAGAAGACCTTGAGTAAACTAATTGGTGATTTGAATTAATGTCTTGATATGGCATTAATTTTCTTTCCCTGTCAATTCTGGGAGACATTCTAAAAGCCCTTAGAATGGAAATTAATTGCCTAGCTTTTCCTGTGATGTTAATAGTACTCCCTTGGGCCTTCAAAAGCAACTTTCAAAGGAGAATGTGATTTGTTGCATAGTTCTGTTTATTTTTGTTTTTCCAGAGTTTGGACTTCTTTATTAAAGGCTGTCAACCTAAGGCTTTGACCACAAAGATTTAGCACCATGTTTTTAAGAAAAAGAAAATCAAAATTGGGGTTAACGAAAATTAAAAATCTTTGAGACTCCTTGTAGGTCTCTTGTACAGACACTTGTTTTGCAACTGTCTCTTGCCTGGGTGCGCCAGGTCTTTGCGGACCAGCTCGACCAGAGGAAAAACAAAATAAACATTACCAATGGTGGCTGTCATAACCGGCAACCTCTTTTTTTTTTTTTCCTACCAGACAAACCTCTTTTTTTTTCCTCCATTACAATTTTGTCTGTGTTTGACATTTGAATCACCCTAGAATGTGGAATACTGTTTTTGTTGCAGCTACTGGGTAAGTGTCTCCTACCTACCTTGTCTGGAAAAAGCCCCAGATATCCCCTTCTCATGTGCCCTTGGCCTGGAGGCACTGCCCTTCCTGGCTTCCCTAGCTCAGGCTTTGGAGCCCACATAGTCACCAGCATGAAATTCAATCCCTATTCTCCGGCACCTGAATAGATAGGAGTTCAGCACATGCTCCAAATAGCGCGCCCGGGGACCTGGGAAAGGTGAACTGTTAACCTGCAGCGGGCCTGCCTAGCCTTCAAAGGTCAGATGACATGAAATGCTCCTAGGTGTTTGAAGATATTAGTCACATAGTAAACAAAAATACAGAGATTCTTGGAGGAGGTAGTGGTTGAAGTATTAGAAGCAGACATGTCAGAACAGAAGTATCCTGTCATCCTTGCTTTGCCTCATAAACAGGCGGGTACAGAGGCTGGGACATAATTCCTAAGCTGCTCCTATGACTTTATATCTCAAAATACTCAACATCGATTTCTGGGTTTCCCAAAAGTTGGCTCCAACACTTATCTCCCCTTTTCTATAGATCCAGTCTCTTCAAATACTGGCTCTTCGTACCGTGCAAGCATGTGATAAACCTCTCCCATTTTGGAGGAAGGCCAAGGAGGGGTGGCTTGGGCGAGAAGGGTGTCCAGAATGGTGCCCGGGAGAATCTCTGTGGGAGATATTTGACTGTTACTTCATATTAACTTGAGTGGAAACTAAAAAGGCCGTCTCCTCTTCTCCCCTCTCCTCAGGCCTTTCCAGCAGGCGCGATGGCGGAAGCCCCGTGACGGTGGCCATGGCGGCGGCGGAAGTCTCATCAAGCCCGGCGGCCTTGTCTCTGGGCTGGGCCTTCTCGAGCTACTGGCCCTGCTAGCCCCAGTTGTGGGGTCTCAGCCTGAGCTGGCGACTGACCGGCTTCTCCGGCAGGAAGGGCTGAGGCTGCAAGCTCCCGCAGGAGGCACTGCCCAAACTCCTGGCCAGACTGACACGGCCCACACCCAGCTGGGACGAGGCTGCCCAGGAAGCACCCCTGCCAGGAAGCACCCCTGCCAATGCCCTTCCAGCCCTGGGCATTGGGATAGACTCTTGCATCATCTCACTGAGGCATGGAGGCCTGTCACTGGTGCAGACCACGGACTTCTTTTACCCCTTGGTGGAAGATCCCTACATGAAGGGGTGCATAGCTTGTGCCAACGTGCTGAGTGACCTCTAGGACATAGGCATTACTGAGTGTGAAAACGTGTTGACGTTACTCAGCCTTAGCCAGAGTATGAGTGAGGAGGAATGGGAAAATATAATGCCACTCATGATCAAAGGCTTTCGGGACGCTACTGAGGAGGGAGGAACTGCAGTGACAGGTGGACAAACGTGGTCAACTCTTGGCTTATCATGGGTGGAGTTGCCACTGTGGTGTGTCGGCCAAGTGCATTAATAATGCCTGATAATGCCGCTATTGGGGATGTGCTGGTATTAACCAAACCCTTAGGAACCCAAGTTGCTGTCAATGCCCACCAATGGCTGGAGGATACTGAAAGATGGAATCAGGTGAAGATGGTGGTCTTTGGAGAAGAAGTAGATCTGGCCTATCAGGAAGCCATGCTCAATATGGCTACCATCAACAGAACTGCTGCTGGATTAATGCACAAATTTAATGCCCATGTGGCCACAGATATCACAGGCTTTGGCATTCTAGGACACTCTCAGAACCTCGTGAAGCAACAAAGAAATGATGTGTCCTTTGTCATTTGCAATCTGCCAGTCATTGCCAAGATGGCTGCCATCAGCAAGGCCAGGGGGCAGTTTGGGCTTCTTCAAGGAACCTCAGCTGAAACCTCAGGAGATTACTGATTTGTCTTCCAAGAGAACAGGTGGCTCACTTTTTTTCTGAAATCAGATCTTCCAAGTACAGAGAGGGTCACCAAGCATGGATTGTTGGCATTGTGGAAAAGGGAAATCGGACAGCCTGGATCATTGACAAGCCTCGAGTTATTGAGGTCCTTCCTCGTGGGGCCACTGCCCACTGCCCCTGCTCTTGCTCCTGCACATTCCAATGTGTCCTCAGAGCCTAGCTCATGAAATGAAGTGGCACAAGTTGTTTAGAGCTTAGGGCCTTTGTAAACAATCATGGAGAATTCTCAAGAGTTGATTTAAGAAATTCCCAAAGAAGACTACCTGCATAGTGGTTGCAGCTGCCCTTTCTAGGTGATCTGAATTAGCCCATCAAAGCTGCCTGTGTGTGCATCCCAAGGCCAGAAGTAACATTTTGAACTTTGTGGGGACATTTGTTCATCTCCCGGGTAGAAGAGGAGCAGAAAAACTTGTTTCCTCTCTCCAAAGTAAGATGAGGCTATTCCAGTTTGAGGGATGTTTTTTGCATTGGGTTGATTAATTTCTGCACAGGGAGTGAGATTATTTATTAAAACTGCATACACACACAAAAAGTAAATTGCACAATGAAAAAAATTTAGATCTGAAGCAAATGAGTTTGGACCAATACTATTGATAAATCTAAATTGTTATGAGAGATCTTATAGTGCAATGTCAGATTCTTTATTAGATTTTTCTGAAGTACTGGCTCTTTCCTGCTCTGGACAAGAATTGAGCAGCTTGTTTAAAGACTGGGAAAGGAGGACCTGCAATCATCTGACTTGTTAATGATGTCTCTCCCTCTAAACCCCATTAAGGACCGGAAGAGGCAGAAAGAGCCCTAGAGCCCAGGCCTTGGTGGTCATTAAGATGTTAAATCTTGTGCTGAAAATTTCTGGTGATTTAATCAATAAAGAGTAATTTCTAGCTGAAAAACCAAAATTTATTCCATTTTATAACACAAAACCCTCCTTTGACTATTCTCCCTTTCCTCCCAACAGTGGCTTCTCTTTCTTTTTCTAGATCTGTATGTCTCAACCTTTGGTGTACATCAGAATCAGCTACAGAACTTGTTAAAGCACACATTCCTGAGCCTCATCCTCAGAGTTTCTGATCTGGTAGGTTTGGGGTCGGGTCCAAGAATGTGCATTTCTAACAAGTTCCCAGGTGATGCTGACGGTTGGGGACCCACTTTGGGAAACACCACTCTAAAGAGCACCCTCTGCATTCACTGGCTTTGCTTGCTCTTTTTCCATTCACTACCCAACCTGCTGTCACCTGTCTGCTGCCCCACACCACTGACCTCCAAAGGTCAAATCCAGTGGAGCTTTGTATCCCATCTTACTTGAGCCCTCTGTGACGTTGGTTCCCTGGCCACATGGCTCTCTTTCTTCCTTTGGCTTCCCTGACATCACTCCTTCCCAATTGTCTCCTTCCTTTCTGGCTGCTCTTTTTGAGTTGCCTTTTCAGGAACGTCTTCTCCTGCCCATGGTGTGTTTCAGTCTTCTTCCAGGTGCTGCTCTTGTCCTCTGCATTTTTCACTCTGTTTTCTTCCTGGTTGCCTCACCCATGGTACAGCTTTGACTGGCATGCCAGTAACCCTCAGATCAACTTCTCCACTGCAAGGCTCTCTTCTAGCTCTTTATCTGCACATCCAGACTCATAAAGTTAGACATGTCCCCAGGTGGGCTTATTATATTTGCCCTCAAACAGCCTACTTGTTTGACTTATCTTCAGGAAGGGCAACTATTTTACCCTGAGCCAGAAGTCTGTCTGTCATTCTTACTTTTTCTCCCTCACTTTTATTCCTGACATTCAATTCATCATCAAGATCTCTCTCATATTGCCCTCCTTTCATTTTTCATTGCTAATGCCTCAGTTTCCTACTGTTTGCTGATGTTACTGAGATAATCTCCCAAACTTAATTCTGCAGGCTGGGGCAGGATGGGGTACTTCCTGGGTATTAGCTTTCCAGTGTTTCCAGGCACTTCTTTTTTTTTTTTTTTTGAGATGGAGTCTTGCTGTCGCCCAGGCTGGAGCGCAGTGGTGCAATCTTGGCTCACTGCAGGCTCCGCCCCCTGGGTTCACGCCCTTCTCCTGCCTCAGCCTCCCACGTAGCTGGGACTACAGGCGCCTGCCACCTTGCCTGGCTAATTTTTTTGCTTTTTTTTTTCAGTAGAGACGGGGTTTCACCATGTTAGCCAGGATGGTCTCGATCTCCTGACCTTGTGATCTGCTCACCTCGGCCTCCCAAAGTGCTGGGATTACAGGCATGAGCCACTGCGCCTGGCTGGCACTTTTTAAATACTGGCAACATATAGGAGTCCCTCAAATCAGGTAACATTTTGCTATTCCATAAATTCTGGTTTTGCCATTTGATGCTATATCATTTTATACAATAAGACATTTTATTTTATTATTTTTTTGAGACAAAGTCTCACTGTGTCACCCAGGCTAGAGTGCAGTGGTGTCATCACAGCTCACTGCAGCCTGAATCTCTGGGGCTCAAGTGATCCTTCTGCCTCAGCCTCCAGAGTAGCTGGGACTGTAGGCACACACCACCACACCCAGCTAATTTTTTTTGAAAAATTGTTTTGCAGAGATAGGGATCTCTCTCTGTTGCCCAGGCAGGTTAGAACTCCTGGGCTCAGGCAATCTTCCCACCTCAGCCTCCCAAAGTGGTGTGATTACAAGTGTGAGCCACCACACCTGGCCAAGAAGAATTTTACTACTAATAAAAGTAATGCGGGAGGCATGCATTCTTAGCTCCATTTAAGATGAGGAAACTGAGCCTCTGAGAAGGTAATAGAGTTAGAAAAAAGTGGAGCCAAAGATACAAACAAGGTCTGCAAAAAGCAAGTTTTGTAAAATGAAAAATGTCTAGCTCCTTCCATGTAGAATTGCAGAGTATAGTTCCATTCTTTTGTTGAAGTGCAGTAAGTTTTAATAAATACATATATTTCTGTAATAAAGCACATTCATATAGTAAAGTGAAAAATGTACTAAAGCCAAATATGATCTGGTGACCCATTTCTATATGCAATTTTGTTTTCTCTCTCTCTCTCTCTGTATGTGTGTATATGCATGGGTGTGTATATGTAGTTTTATGAAAATTTTAAAACTTTTATTTGGAAATAATTGTAGATTTTCAGGAACTTGCAAAGATAGTACAGAGAGGCCCTGGGTCCTCTTTATCCAGTGGTTACATCTTATATAACTATAGTACAATATTAAAGCCAGCAAATTGACATTGGTACTATATAAGTTATGTATAGTTCCATGCCATTTTGTCACAGCCATAGATTTATGTGACCACCACCATAATCAAGATATAGCACTACTCTATCACCACAAAGATCTTCCTCATGCTACCTCTTTATAATCATTTCCTCTTCCCTTCACCATTCCTAATCCCCAGCTACTACTAATCTGTTCTCCATCTCTATAATTTGTCATTTTAAGAATGTTGTATAAATGGAATTATATGGTATGTGACCTCTTGGGACTGACTTTTTTTCCACTCCATAATGTCCTTGCGTATAGTTGGGTAATGTTTTTAAAATCCTCTTTGCCAATATCTGTCTTTTAGTTGTCTCCCTCTCACTGATTTCAAGATTTATTTATTTACTTTTAGTATGTATGTATGTATGTACGTACGTATTTTATTTGAGACAGAGTCTCGCTGTGTTGCCTAGGCTGGAGTGCAGTGGCATGATCTCGGCTCACTGCAATCTCTGGCTCCCAGGTTCAAGCTATTCTCCTGCCTCAGCCTCCCGAGTAGCTGGGGACTATAGGCATGTGCCACCACGCCTGGCTAATTTTTGTATTTTTTGCTGGAGACGGAGTTTCACCATGTTGCCCAGGCTGGTCTTGAGCTCCTGACCTCCAATGATCCACCCGCCTTGGCCTCCCAGAGTGCTGGGATTACAAGCATGAGCCACCACGCCCGGCCACCTTTAGTTTTTACAAGATTAACTAATATGTGTCTTGACATGGATTTCTTTAGGTTTATTCTGTTCAGAATTCACATAGCTTCTTCTTTCTTTAAGTTGTGTCTTTTACCAAACTTGGGAAAATTTTAGTTATTGTATTTTTTAATACCTTTTTAGCCCACCTTCTTTCTCCTCTCCTTCTGGGACTCAAATGACATGAGTGTTTGATTTCTTTGTTATACTCGTATAGGTTCCTGAGTTTGTTCATTTTTTTTTCAGTTAGTTTTTTTTTTTTTTCTGTTGTTCAGATTGAGTAATTTCTATTCTGCTGCCTCAGCCTCCTGAGTAGCTGGGACTACAGGTGTGCACCACCATGCCTGGCTAATTTTTGTATTTTTAGTAGAGACAGGTTTTTGCCATGTTGGCCAGGCTGGTCTTGAACTCCTGACCTCAAGTGATTGGCCTGCCTTGGCCTTCCAAAGTGTTGGGATTACAGGTGTGAGCCACAGTGCCTGGCCAATTTCTAGTGTTCTAGTCTCAAGTTCACTGATTCTTTTCTCTGTCCTTTCCCTTCTGCTGTGAAGCTCATCTATTGAGTTTTTTTTTTTTTTGTATATTTTAGTTCTAAAATTTTTATTTGGTTCTTATTTACATCTTCTATTTGCTCAGATTTTCTCTTTTTTCATTTGTTTCAAGAAAGTTTTTGTAATTGTTCATTGAAGGCTTTTTATGATGGCTGCTTTAAAATCTTTATCAGACAATTCCAACATTATTATCTTGGTGATGGCATCTGTGGACTGTCTTTTCTTATTTAATATGAGATTTTCCTGGTTCTTGGTGTGATTAGTGATTTTGTATTTTACCCTGGATATTTTGGGTATTACATCATGAGACTCTAGTTCTTACTTAAATCTGTTTAGCAGCTTCCTCTGACATGTGCTGCAGGGAAAGAAGTGCTCCCCGTTGTTACTGCCAGGTGGGGGTGAAAATCTAGTTTCCCCACTTAGTTTCCTTTATGCCTCCAGGGGCAGGACCCCCATTACTGCTGGGTGGAGGTGGATTGCAGGCTCCTTGTAGACCTCAGCTGACAACCACTCTGGCTGGGAAGGAGAGGAACGTCTCACTATTGCTCCCCATGTGGCCTCCACTGACACTGTTTGAGGGGTGCTTACCACCAGATGGTGGTGAGATTTCTGGCCTCCCAAACCCTTTCGATAAGCTAGGGAGGAGGAGGAATGCCTTATTACCTCTGGGTGGAAGTGGAAGCCCAAGATCCCCATATGGCCTCCATTGACACCATGAAGGGGGTTTCACGTTGCTGGCGTGGGTGACAATCCTGGCTCCTCACTCAATCGTCTTTCATAATAATGGGATGGAGGAGATAGAGTGAGGTGTTATTGTTACCGCTGGGAGAGGGTGGAATTCCAGGATCCCCTCTTGGCCTTTGCTGATGGAGGAGGAGGTGGGGCTCTATTTTTCTGTGGTGTATGGCTGGGGTAGAGTGGCTATTGTCCAAAAGTTTTCTGTCTTGCTATGTCGTAACTTTCCTTGTTCTTTTTTCTTTTCTTTTCTTTTTTTTTGAGATGGAGTTTTGCTCTGTTGCCCAGGCTGGAGTGCAGTGGCACAGTCTCGCCTCACTGCAACCTCCACCTCCCAGGTTCAAGTGGCTCTCCTGCCTCAGCCTCTTGAGTTGCTGGGATTACAGGCGTGTGCCACCACGCGCCCAGCTAATTTTTGTATTTTTAGTAGAGATGGGGTTTCACCATGTTGGCCAGGCTGGTCTCGAACTCCTGACCCGAAGTGATCCATGCACCTCAGCCTCCCAAAGTGCTGGGATTACAGGCATGAGCCACCGTGCCCGGCCATACCTTTCTTTGTTCTTCGGCTAGAAGCAGTAGCTTCTCCTGGGGGCTTTTTTAGTCTGCCCCTGTTACTGTTTTTCAGTTGCTGGCTTTTCTGGCACCATGTCTGGGATGAGTGAGGCAAAAAGAAAACCCAGGGAACTTGTCACAGTGTGGTCCTCGGGGTTCCAGGCCCTTGTCAGTTTGCCTTCATTTCGTCACCTTTCAGAGGCTTGTTATGTTTGTTTTATGCATAACATCTGGGGTTTTCAGGTGTACTTTAACTTCATTTGTTTAGATAAAAGGCAGTCGTGCTTTCCTAGGAATGTTCCGGAAAAGCTGCATACTGATGGTCTGTGGGTGCTAAAGTGTACGTACTGCTTCTAAAGGCCCCAGGCCTTCCCAAGCGTCTATTCCTGCATGTCTTACAGGCACTTAAGCTGACAGATCAGCCTCAGGTTCCTTCCTCTGTTTCCACTATTACAACCAGAGATCCTAACTATCAGTGCTGTCATCTGAGGCTGCACCTTGGAAGGCCATTTAGATAGACCCTTCCTCACACAGGCGATTATTCCCCACGTCTAACCGACGTTACTTCCTGAGCGCCTTTTGAGCTAACCATGTCCTGTCTATATTCCCTTGCTTTATTTGAGCCATTATCATCTCTCACCTGCACTGTTGCCATAACTTCTTAACACATCTGTTTGCATCCGCTTTGTCCCCTCTGAGCCACTCACCCATGGTTCTGAAATGCATCTTTCTAACATGAACTTTTTCGACCCTTCAAGTCTGGCTCTGGGTCTCCCCAAGACCTTTTAGCCAGGGGGCAGAGAACTTGTGATTAGGCCTCCATCTCTAGCCTCACCCTCAGCCACAACCTTCTAGAATATTCCTGCACAGTGTCACTGGTGGCCAGCTATCAATCACATCTCCAAAGCCTTCCCCTGGACCTTTGCACACAGTTTTTCTTCTGTTGTGAATGCCATCACTTACTCTTTCCTTTTTTTTTTCCAATCTGATCCTCAAAATGTAAGCATATGTTACTTTATTTGGGAAGATTTCCTAGGTACTGTACTTCTGACATTGCACTTAGACAAGGTATTATAGTTATGTTTATTTACACATCTAACTCTCCTGGAGACTATTAATTCCCTTCATAGAGGGGACATGTCTGACCACAGAGTAGCATCGTGTAGTGCTTAAAAACAAGGACACCGGAGTCCTGAGTTTATATTCAGACTCCTGCTTATTAGTTCTATGGTCTCAGGGAATTTATGGAACGTCTTTGTGTCTCAAATTTAGTTACATGTGAAATGGAGATTATTGTGATGACTGAATGAGGTAATACATCGAAATTGCATAGCACAGTGCCTGTCACAAAATAAGCTCTTAATAGTTGTTAGTTATGATGATGACTTACTTTGCTGTAATTTACCAACTATTCTCCCACTGTGGAATATTTGCATTGCTTCTATTTTTTTTTTCCTATCATAGCTAACCCTGGTAGAAAATGTAAAAATCAAAACACCAGAGATGACTAGAATTGGGATTACTTCTATGCCTTTGTATCTGAAGTTGACAAAATCAACTTAATTTTCTATCTATGTTTGAAGTGGTTGCTGAAAAATTTTGGTATTCTTTGTGACCTCTTCCACGCTGCAAAGCACATTGGAGCTTTTAAGATTAATTAAATTTTTCTCTCCCGCCTAGCTACTGGAAGAGAAAAATCCCAAAGGAAGCACATGACAAGTGAATTTGTACTTGAGCAATGGGTAGTGTGAATGCATTATAATTCAGTTTCTGTATTTGGATTTTTCTGCTCTCAGATGAGTATACTTGAGGTTTTGAAGAACTCCCTGACCTTGTTTCTTCTATACCTATCTCTACCCCAAATAGCTGGGTTTGTAAACACAAATTAAGTGAAAGGCACAAATTTCCTCTGTGCTAAGGGAAAGCTCATTTGAGGAGTTGGGACTCTACTTTCATTATTAAAGTGATACTGGTTTTAGCCTCTTACTCATTTCAGGCTGCTATAACAAATACCATAGATGGGGAGGCTTAACCAACATTTATTTCTCAGGGTCATGGAAGTTGGGAAGTCCAAAATCAAGGTGCTGGCTGATTCAGTTCCTCATGAGGACCTTCATCCTGGTTTGTAGACTAATGCCTTCTTGATGTATTCTCACATGGTAGACAGAAAAATTATCACTCTGTTTCTTTTTATAAGGGCACTAATCCCATTCATGAGGGCTCCACACTCAAGACCTAATTACAGATGGTTCCCAGCTTATGATGGTTTGACTGATGACTTTCTGACTTTACGGTGGTGTGAAAATTATACAGTACTTTGAGTATCCATACAACCATATGTTTTTTACTTTTTGGTACTGTATTCAATAAATTACATGAGATATTCAATAATAAAGTAGGTTTTGTGTTAGATGATTTTGCCCAACTGTAGGCTAATGTAAGTGTTCTGAGCATAGAAGCTAGGGTCAGCTAAGCTATCATATTGAGTAGGTTAGGAGGATTAATTGTGCATATATATATATATATTTTTTTTGCGATAAAATCTTGCTCTATCACCCAGGCTGGAGTGCAGTGGTGCAATCTCAGCTAGCTGTAACCTCCGCCTCCTGGGTTCAAGCGCTTCCCATGCCTCAGCCTCCCAAGTAGCTGGGATTACCGGCACATACCACCACACCTGTCTAATTTTTTTGTATTTTTAGTAGAGACGAAGTTTTGCCATATTGGCCAGGCTGGTCTCAAACTCCTGGCCTCAAGTGACCCATCTACCTTGGCCTCCCAAAGTGCTGGGATTACAGGCACCCCAAAGTGCTGGGATTACAGGAGACTTAACAATATTTTAAACTCATGATGGGTTGATCAGGATGTAACCCCATCATAAGTTACACAGCAAACCTCCCCAAAACCTCTCCTCCAAATAACATCACATTGAGTATTAGGGCTTGATGAATTTCTTGTTAGGGGAAATAAACATTCAGTCCATAGTCTCCTTCAAGAGAGGGAGGTAGGTAGGTTTTAAAAAAATTATTATTTTTATATGTTTGGGTGTACAAGAGCAGCTTTGTTACATGGCTATATCACGTAGCGGTGAGGTCTGGGCTTTTAGCGTAACCATCACCCCAACAGTGAGCATTGTGCTGAATAGGTAATTTTTCAACCCTCACCCCGCCATCACTCTCCAGAGATAGGGAATTTTCTGAAAGATCTCTGGAAATGTTGCCTCCTGAGACGATTCAGTGTTAGGACTACACCATCTGATTTCAGCTCCTATCCCCAAAGCATGTTATATTTACAATTGGAGTTTCAAGGACTAACCAAAAGCATGTTCTATATCTGCCCAGAGGTTTCTTATTAAGCAGAGTGAAGCCTTTCTCATTGTTTCCTATTCTTATTCATGAATAATCCCTCAAAGTTTTTCATGCTTAACAAAAATCTGTTATATTGTAATTTAGTGCTTTCGCTTCATGTCCTTGTTAGAGTGGGACGGGTTGAGGATGAAGATGAATGATTTTCAGCTTTAAAAGTTCCCTTAATATACTCTTTCCTTATATGAAGATAATAATAATAATTATTATTTTTTGAGACAAAGTCTTGCTCTGTTGCTCAGGTTGCAGTGCAGTGGCACAATCTCAGCTCATTGCAACCTCTGCCTCCTGGGTTCTCGTGCCTTAGCTTCTGGAGTAGCTGGGATGTGCCACCATGCCCGGCTAATTTTTGTATTTTAAGTAGAGATGGGGTTTCACCATGTTGGCCAGGCTGGTGTCGAACTCCTGACTTCAGTCTCTTAAAGTGCTGGGATTATAGGTGTGAGCCATTACGCCTGGCAAAGATAATTACTTTGAAGGGATTCTGTTGTCTCCAAGGTAACTAAACTCAAGCTTGGTCCACCCATCAACAGGATTTCAGTTTCAGAGCCACCTCTGGGTCTGCACCTCCCCTGTGGGGCCTACTGTTTGGCCTTGTGCAGTGCTTTGGATCTCTGCTTTCCAGATCAGGTTTGGAAATCAGCTCCATAGCGTGAACAGCTGCTTTCCAACTGTACACGCTATTGTGGGCAGATTATCTTTTCTTTGCTAGCTGTTTCCTCTGCCTGTAAAGCTCTTTCCCCAGAGTAAAGACCTGGACACAGGAGCATGCCCGGCTTTCAAAGAACAACAAGGGGCAGTTGTAGATAGTATACAAGTTTAAGTCATCAAAATCCAAAATGCGGGCACATTTAATATCATTTACATGTGTATTGTAATGTCTTCTCTCCTTACTAATTCTTAATTACAGGTTATCTTATTTACTGAAAACTCCAAAATCTTTATTAACTTATATGTTTGGCAATGGCTAACTCAACCTATAACTCTCCCCTTTAGTCTGGTATTCATAATATAATTTTTATTGCCTCATTTATAAACAAACACAGGAGGCCAGACACAGTGGCTCATGCTTGTAATCTCACCATTTTGGGAGGCTGAGGCAGGAGGATTGCTTGAGGCCAGGAGTTTGAGACCAGCCGGAGCAACATAGGGAGACCCCATATGTACTAAAAACAAGAAAATAGCCAGGTGTGGTGGCATGCACCTGTAGTCTCAGCTCCTCAGGAGGCTGAGATGGGAGGATCATCTGAACCCAGCAGTTTGAGGCTGCAGTGAGCTATGATACACCACTGCACTCTAGTCTAGGGGACAGAGGAAGACCCTGTCTCAAAAAAAACCCAAAAAAAACAAAAAACAAAAAAACAGAACAAGACACAACACAAACTAAAACAAACCCCAAAGGAAATTATTACTGATGAGTTTGCCTTTAGGTTATGTGCTAATGATTTGTAGAATTCCACATCTTGATATGAGGAGAAATAAGTAAAAATCTATCGATTTAAATAATGCAAGTGAAGTGCTAATTTATTTCTATAGTATTTCTCAATGCTTTAAGCAAATGCCACAGTTCTATGAAAGAGGGACTTCGATCACTAAGTGCTGTGGTGGAGACACATTTCCCAATCTCCTTTGCTGTTAGGTATGGCCATGTGACTGAGTTCAGCCAATAGAATGTGAGTGGAAGTGAGTGATGTCACTTCCAGGCCTAAGCCATAAAAATCTCCCAGGTGTTTCTCCTTCAAGGGCAACCTCAGAGAGAAAATACGGAAGACAGTGGGGCCACAAGAAAGAAGAGGCATAGGCCCCTAAATTATTGCTTGAAAGAGAGTCTTGTTGATCAGAAACATTCAGAATTTACATGAACAAAAATAAACCTTGGTTATATTACTCTACTGAGATTTGGGGGTTTATCCACTCATCACTGGTAATCTCGTAGTTAATACAACAGTTCTAGGTTTTTTGCTTAGATTTAGTTCTTATTTTCCGTTTCCAGACTAGCACCGTCGTTAAGACCATGAGCTTTGGAACTAGACAGAGTTTGCATGGGATCCTCTTACTAGTTACATAAATCTTTTAAATTTTCAGAAACTCAGTTCCTTCATCCATAAAATGGGGATAGAAAAATCTTCTAGTTAGGATTGTTGTGAGAATTAAATAGGAATATTTTTCACAGTGCCTAGCACATAATAAATGAACAGTGATGGGATAGAAATTTTATTTTATTTTTATCCTTCTCACATTAATAAAAATGATTCTGAATTAGTGTATTTTAATTATTTTCCCTATGATTTCAGTTTTTTTTATTGTCAGGTAATGTGCTATACATTTCCATCTACTTGATTATTTTCTTCTTCTTTGCCTAAACATTCAACTCTTCACTTGGAAAAAAATTCATCCTTCAGGTTCTAAAAAATTATCACCTGTGGTAGATTTTAGTTTCCCAAAATACAACAGTGATATTTCCCATCTCTTCTAGAGCCTTATAATTTCTCCATTCAGTGGCTGACAGGACTTTGTGACCATGTGAATCTCATGTGGCAGAATTGATGTTGTGTGACTTCTGAGGCTAGGTCACAAAAGGCAATGTGGCTGCCACTAATATTCTCTCTTCCTCCTTTTTAAATTAATTAATTAACTGGTTGTAGAGACAAGATCTCACTCTGTTGCCCAGGCTGGGGTGCCATGGTACGATCGTAACTTACTGCAACCTTGAATTCTGGGCTCAAGCAATCCTCTTGCCTAAGTCTCCAGAGTAGCTAGAACTATAGGCACATGCCACCATTCCTGACTAATTTCTATTTTTATTTTTTATAGAGCTGGAGTCTCACTGTATTGCCCAGGCTGGTCTTGAATTCCTGAGCTCAAGCAATCCTCCAGCCTCAGCCTTCCAAAGTGCTGGGATTATAGGCATGAACATTGTGCCTGGTCTAATTTAATTTTTTTATTTAGAGACAGAGTCTGGCTCTGTCACCCAGGCCAACATGCAGTGGTGCAGTCATAGCTTTCTGCAGCCTCAAACTCCTGGGCTCAATAGATCCTACTGCCTTGGCCTCCCAAAGTGCTGGAATTACAAATATAAGCCACTGCTCCTAGACATCCCCTCTCTTTTCTGCTTTCTCCCCCTACACGAAACTTAATTAACATCCAGCCATGTTCTGAGGGAGCCCAGGTAACAGGAAGATGCTGTGTATAGGTGTTCTAGCTAACAGTCCCAAGTTATGAGCGTCAATCTCCAGAAATATGGGTGAAGGAGCCTTCAGATGATTCTAGTGACCAAGACTTTGAGCAGCCCCAGCTGATGCTGAGTGGAGCAGAGACAAACCAGCCCCAGTGGGCTCTGACCAAATCGCAGATTCACAATGCTCAATCTCATTGACTGTCAGGGAAATACAAATGAAATTTACAATGAGATACTACTACAGGTCCACCAGAATGGCTAAAATTTCAGGGCCAACAATACTAAATGCTGATAAGGATGTGAAACAACTGGAACTCTCACCCGTGCCACAGTTTTTAGACTGTAGAGTTGGGAGTCTGAATTCATACAACCACTTTTGAAGACTGTTTGGCAGTATCTGCTAAAGATTAACATACACATATTTTCTAGCCCAGCATTTCCTTTCCTAGTACATATTCAACAGAATTGTGTATATCTGCACACCAAAGACATAAATATCCTCAAACTAGAATGTATCCAAATGTCCATCAATAGCAGAATGGATTAAAAACTCATAGTATAGTTCCACACTGAAATGCTGTACAGCAAAAAAAACCTACAACTATTGCAACAATATAAATAAATCTCAAAAATGGTATTAAGTGAACAATGCCAGACATGAAAGGGTCCTATTGTATTAATATAATGTTAATATAAAATATAAATGTATAAATTTGAAGTTATTAATATAGTCTAATAAACTTCAATATGTGAATTTGAAGTTATTGATACAGTTTAATAAACTTAATAAACTAGTTTTATAAAAAAGTTTATAAAGTTTAAAAACAGGCAAAACAATTATTGTCTTAGAAGTCAATAATGTGATTACCTTCAGAGAGGAGGGAGGACAGAATGATTGGTAGGAGGCATAGCAGGTCTCTTGAGACCCTTCAGTGTTCTAGTTTTGACCTGGGTTGTGGTTGCTCAGGTGAGCTTGCTTTGTGATCATTCCGGGAGCTGTACACTTGGAACTTCCACACTTTTCTACATGTGCATTATGCATCAACAAAAAAATCTAAAAATGTCAACTAGAAATAATAAATATTTGGAAAAGTTAAAAAAAAAAACAAATTTGGAAAAGTTAAAAAAACCAAATTGTAGGTTCAGGAGAAAACTAAATGTCATCATAGTCCTAAGCTACTAAATTTGGGGGTGGTCTATGAAACAGCGATAAATAGCAGAACACCTCCTCTGTGAAGCCATCCTTATGACCTCTTGGCTTGCCTGCTTCCTCAGGACTAAAAGATTTTCTCTGTGGTCCCTTAGCATTTTATTTATTTTGCTAGGACTTAGAAGTCTGTGAAGTCTTCGAGGGCAAACATCAAAGCCTATTCTTTTTTGTATCACCTGTAGCATTTAACTCAGTACCTGCTATAGCGCAGGTACTGAGCAAATGTTGATTAAAGGACACGAGTTTATTTTGCCTTTCTTTGTCAGAGCTGTTATGCCACAGATAGAAATTTCCACTCTGTATTAACTTCTCTTGTGAAATGGCATCTGGAACACGGGTAAGTCACAGGAAGCTCAAGGATGGTGATGACCGTCCCAGAGTTTGTAATGAGAGTAGATGGGAAAGCCAATTGAAAGACTTGAAAGAATGTCATTCTTCATGAATGTCTAGCACTCATTAAGCAGCATTTACCTGTCATTCCTGGTGTTCTGTAAAGCAGCTGTAAAACTTGATCATTGCTTCCAGAGAAGCTAAACGTTACATAGCCCTGATTACCTTTATCAGAATATCCTTTGTAGTTTGTAGAAAGAGGTCTTAACATTTTTATAAGTTCTCATGGCTTTAAATGATGCTTTTTTTTTTTTTTTTGAGATGGAGCCTTGCTCTTTTGCTCAGGCTGGAGTGCAGTGGCGCGATCTCGGCTCACTGCAACCTCTGCCTCCTGGGTTCAAGCGATCTCCTGCCTCAGCCTCCTGAGTAACTGGGATTACAGGCACATGCCACTGCGCCTGGCTAATTTTTGTATTTTTAGTAGAGATGGGGTTTCACCATGTTGGCCAGGCTGGTCTTGAACTCCTGACCTCAAGTGATCCACCCACCTTGGCCTCCTAGAGTGCTGGGATTACAGGTGTGAGCCACTGTGCCCGGTCTAAATATGGTCTTTTTAACTAGATCAATAAAACTGTGCCGCAAAATGTTCTGATACCCTTAGAAAGCAAAATTCTCCTTCTGCATATGTGTTTTTTAAGCTCTATCATTAGCAGCTTTGCTACAAGCAAACTTGTATTTATTTTAAAAGCTTCAAGGTTACTTATTTATCATGAATGGAAAGATTACTTAGCTGAATGTCCAGAGACTCAGTTTCTCATCCCTGCTCTGCCATTGGCTGGCTGTGTGATCTTGGGCAAGTCCTTTGTTTTTTTTCTCCCATTTTCTCATTTCCACATTTATGAAATGAGGAATGATGGCCTTCGGGGCTTTGTCCAAGTCTAGCTCCACCATTCCATGAGCAAAATGATAGCAACATCTTTGTAGATGTGTAGGTGGAAACTCAAAGTGAGCTATAAACTTTTTTTTTTTTTTGAGACAGAGTTTTCCTCTTGTCCAGGCTGGAGTGCAATGGCGCAAACTTGGTTCACTGCAACATTTGCCACCCTGGTTCAAGTGATTCTCCTGCCTCAGCCTCCCAGGTAGCTGGGATTACAGGTATGCATCACCGTGCCAGGCTAATTTTGTATTTTTTAGTAGAGATGGGGTTTCACCATGTTAGTCAGGCTGGTCTCGAACTCATGACATCAAATGATCCACCCATCTTGACCTCCCAAACTGCTGGGATTATAGGCATGAGCCACCGCACCCAGCCAAGCTTTTTGATCCGTAGAAAAATGTTGGTGATGTAGGGAATATTAGGATTTTGAAATTCTGACTATCCTCTCAACAGCTGCACAAGACTAACCTGTTCATCGTCTGTTATTTTTGTAGATTACAACAATCCATTTAACTACTATGAAACGGTTCTGGAGTGACACTGTTGTGAAGAGGAAATTCCAGCGGAGCTACTGGAGCAAGCCTTTGATCTGCCATATTGAACTCCTCCAGCTGTGCGGATTCACTGCACTATAAGAAAAACATTTCTACGACCACTTTAAAGCTAAACTCATTTCAGGTTTGTGCTGAAGAGAGATTGAGAAAAGGCTAAAAGGCTAGCCCAGGCTTCCATTTTGAGACAGCAAGAGTACCCAGCAATATGACGGACGTAACTAGTGGCAAGCAGGATTGTGTGGGTTTTTTCTTTGAAGATCTTCTGTAGTAAAACAGAATGGAACTTGTCTATTTATGACATTTTTCAATTTTTCTGGGCAGTCAATGAAACATAACATTACCAACATCATTTTCTCTCACCTGATCTAAGAGATTTTTCTTTTTGTCATTTTTTAATACTTCACCCGTTACAAAAGTTTTTCCACCTCTTACATTTTGCAGTTACTAATATTAGGAAATGCAATGCCAATTTGTTTGCAAGCCATGTAAAAGGAACATCTTAACAGGATAGCAAATGATTAAATACATGGTATATTGTGTGGCATATATTTGGTGGTTTTGTGACCTGAAATGATCTAATGTCTAGTGTTTAATCTTATACCATCAAAGTAAGGTCATCTTTGCCCTATTTCTTTATTGCTCTTTGTGCTCATATATGTTTATTGAACATTTGTGTGTATTTAGCAGTGACAGGGATGAAAATAGTCTGAGGTTTAGGGAAGCATTATTTTTCAGGCTTCAAGAATAAAACCGATGTTTTCCAGGGCACAGAATGCCTACCTGTGCCTAGGTGATAAGGTCTCCAGCACAATGAGCTCTTTTGTTCTGGGAAACAGGCCCAGGCTTATTCTACTACTTCCCCGTTTTACAATCTTGCTAAAGTTGACCTTTACCTATCTTGTGGTGCTTTTTCAACAAAAATAAAATTCTTAACTGGGCTCATTTTTATGACTGACTATAAAACCTCCCTTTCAACTTCACCTGTTAATAAAGGGAACCAGCTCTTCCTTCTCCTGTATGCTTGGGAAAAATAGAGTAAAAACAATAAACAAAATAGTTACTGGAAATTTTAGACTAACTGAAAAAAAAAAGGTATTGAGGTTAGTCTTACAATGTGTAAGATTCTCAAATAGTCCTTAAATATAATCCTTAATTTAATTTTTAAAATGCTGTGTTTTCTTAAACCACTTCTCTCTCTTTCACATCCCCTCTACCACCACCCTGCGGGTCTTTTGCAATAGATAACTTTCCCTGGTAGAATGTTCGTAGGATTCACTTTTGATATGGGTTATTTTTTGGAACAATGACAGATTAATTGATGGGTGGTTGGGGTAATCTTTACTATTTGGTACTGCTATCTTTAAATACTTAGTAGATAATTGCTCTGATTAAATTTGTCTGTTAAACACAGTAGCTTTGATAAACATTGCAAGAGGATAAAGTAATGCAATCCCCTTTTAATACAAAATATTTTATTTGAATGGGTTTTTAATCAATAAAGAGCAATTTAGTTCTCAGAGATGCATGGGCAATTCCCATTGATTTGTATGAAATCCTTGGATTCTTTTTAGAGTGATGGATGGTTTAGTGTGGCTGTTTAAAAATAAAATTTTATTCTTGGGCTGGAGACTCCATGCTGGAGAGAGATGGTATATAATGGATGAAACTGGTCTCATGGAAGTCCCTGATGCTTCATGATATTTAGGGGACCAAATATCACTGAATGCTTGGCTTCTGTTTTGAGGCTGAATAACTGTATTAATCTGTTTTGCGTTGCTATAAAAAATACCTGCTACTGGGTAATTTATAAAGAAAAGAGGTTTATTCGGCTCACATTTCTGCAGGCTGTACAAGCATGGCAACCGTATCTGCTCAGCTCCTGGTGAGGCCTCAAGAAGCTTTTCATCATGGTGGAAGATGAAAGGGGAGCAGGCATGTCATATGGTGAGAGGGAGCAAGAGAGAGAGCGGGGAGTTCCCTGACTTTTTAACAAGCAGATCTCATGTGAACTCATTACTGCCGGGAGAGCACCAAGTCATTCAGGAGGATCCTCCTCTATGACCCAAACACCTCTCGCTAGGCCTCACCTCCAACGTTGGGGATCACGTTCCAACATGAGATTTGGAGGGGACTAACATCCAAACTATATCTATAATGTCTTCCAGTGATTCTCTATCATGTGCACTCCAGTGTTCCCATACCCTAGACAGTGATACATTTTATTGCTGTGAAACTTCTAATGAGTTATTATATGTAGGTGCTTAGAATGCTGTCTGGCACAGAGTAAGTATTATGTAAGTGTTAGAAATAATTGTTACTAGTTATTCCAAGGCCAACTCCAGCCTTAACTCATCAGCCAGGTGAGATGGAAATGGAAGCATGGCTTAGGAAAGAAAGTGTATCAGTTAACATTAGCTGTCTAACACGGAAATATTAAATGCAATGGTTTAAAAATAGCGACCATGTATTTAGCTCATGGGTCTGTGGATCATCAAGTTGGACTGGGCTCAGGTTGGCAGTTTTTGTGCTTTTGGCTTTGCTTAACATAAACATCTCTGGTCAGTATAAGCATAAACATCTTTGGTCAGTGGCCAGGTCACCTGGTGTCTGACTAGTCTAGGATGGGCTCAGGGGGATGGCTTGTCTTTGCTTCACAGGTTAGCTTGAGCATGATGTCATGGTGAAGCCAGGAGAGCAAGTCACAAAGACAGGCTTAGATTGGCCAAAGAAAACTCCAAGTCCAACCCAGATTCACTGGGTGGGGAAATAAACTCTACCTATTGCAAAATCATGGTGGAAAATGAGTGGATAGAAAAGAGTGAAGGATCTGGCCATCTTTACACTCTGCCACATCAGTGGCTGCTGCGAGAGATGAAGTGGAGAAGGAATTAGAGGACTGGGATGTGCATTTGTGTATTCATCTATATGTACAAGTACATGCCTTTTGTGGATGAGGAAAGAATACAAATGACTCCAGAGTCATGATTTCCGGTGACTTAGGATTTCCTATTTGCACCTCCCGTGCAAATAGGAAATATAGCAGGAGAAGCATTTACCTTTGAATGTATAGAGTTTAAAACAGAAATGACATGTTTAACAGAAAGTATCCAGTAAGGGGTCCAGAAATCCACAGAGAAACCAGGCCTACACATAAGATATTTAGGATGTGAACAGATGTAAATAGATGTAAACAACAACAACTACATGTTGTTTTCCTAGCCAACATGTGGTTAGAGAATTACGTGGTTTACCTTTGAGTCTCCTCTTAGCGGACACACTCTTTCCAACTGTTAGTTCATGTGATTCGAATGAGCCCAACCCTGGCCATCTGCCATTCAGGCCTGGCCAATCAGCACATTCCAGCCCTCTGGTCATTGGGATTGGTTTAGGAATGGCATTGGACCAACTTGGTTCTAATAAAATGAAATCCTGGCACTTTTGTTGAATACATTGGAACTTTCTTTTCCTTCTACAAGAGCAACTAAGCTGGAGGGCCATAGAACTGCTGGAGGTCGTATTATCAGTAGAGCAGTAGAGTCTGCCTAGGAGGGAAGCCAACAGAAACAAAAGTATAGCAGAGAGAGAGAGGGAGAGAGAGAGAGAGAGGGAGAGGGAGAGACAGATGCAGTTTAGATCCCTGAATCCAGTTATACCTAAAGACATATCTCCTTACAAACTTTTCAATTTTAGGAACCAATACATTTTCTTTTTCACTTGAACTGGTTTGAATTGGGTTTCTGTCATATGTTGCTAACAAGAAAAGAGAAAAGAATATAAACTTAGAAGAAAATTGCATTTTGTGGGGCTGAAGGAAAGTTAGAGTAAGTAATAAAAGCTCATGGAACTAAGAAATCCAAGAAGATGGAGACTTAACAAAAAGGAATAACAGTGTTGACATTGTCACATGTCAGGGAGCAAGGGCTCCACAGAGAGTCTTGACTTGGGGGCCAGGACACCTATGAGGGAGTGCTCTTGGCAGCAGGGTGGAAGAAAGGAAGGTGCCCTGCCAGAAGCTAAGGAAAGAGTGGGCAGTTTCCTTTGCCCATAAAAGGGCCTCGTAGTCACTCAAACTTGAAACCTTGGAATCAACTCTTCCTCCTCACTCTGCCACAGCCCACACAACCAAACAGTCATCTTGGCCTACAAATTCTCCCTCCACAATTGCTGTTGGACTCCTACCTTCCTTCACATTTCCACGCCATGAGCTGGCTCCAGGTGCCTAGTGTTCCTTTCCTGGAACCTGGCCTCTTTGCATCTCCCGTGCCTGTTGTCCCTCCACCTCTGTCATCCATTCTTTATTCTGCTGCCAGATTATTTGTCCTAAGGCTCAGTTCTGATTGTGAAATAGCCACACACAGTGGAGTCCCTGGATGGGGAACCCAGCACCAGCTCTGACAGGCTATGGGATCTTGGAAAAGATTCTGATCCTCTCTAGGTGTGGGAATCTAATCTTTGAAGGGAAGGGTTGAACCAAGCTCTGACATTCATTGCCTCCCCATTGCCTCTAACATAAAATTCTAGCCCTAACCTAACTCTTTTAGCCTTACCTCCTTTAGCATACATATAACTCACCTAAAATGAAATACTTCTCGTGCCTGAATGCCCTCACCTTGTACCTTCCTACTTCTGTTCATTTTACCTGGAATCATTTGTCTTTTCCTACGGAAAGCCTATCTGTCCTTGAAGGCCAAGTTCAAATGCCATCTGTGAGGCTTTCTTGAACTCTCAGCTGAGAGCCTCTTACCCATGTTCTTGGTCAGGGCACTTTGCTTTGTTTCATTGTTTGTGCATGTGTGCTGCCTCCTGCCATATTGTCAAGGGCTTGAGGATCAAACTTCCATCATATTCATTGAGGCAGCCCTCAAGGCATCTAGCCGAGTAGCTAGTTCTCAGTAAATGACTGAGTGAATGAAAACACAAACTTTCTTGCTGGTCCACTCAGCCATCCTGCAGATCCTCCCAAAGCATGTGACTGCAAAATCAGATGTTGTAGTTCTGCTGAATAGAATTATGTGATAGTTTAAAAAGGGCCTTTTGAGTGTAAACCAAAGTATCTGAGACAGGTCTCAATTTAAAGGTTTATTTTGCCAAAGTTAAAGGCCATGGCCTGTGACACAGCCTCAAGAGGCTCTGAGAACATGTGCTCAAAATGGTTTTATTATAGGTTGCTTTTATACATTTTAGGGGGACAGAAGTTACAGGCAAAGACATAAATCAATACATGGAAGGTGTACATTTGTTTGGCACAGAAAGGTGGGACATCTCCAAGGGTAGGGAGGCTTCCTGCTCACGGGATGATTCAAATATTTCCTGACTGGCAGTTGGTTGAAAGAGGTAAGCTTTGCCTGAAGAAGTAAAATCAGCATAAAGAAATGCTTGGATTAAGATAAGGGGGCGGATCCCTTGAGGTCAGGAGTTCGAGACCAGCCTGGCCAAAATGGTGAAACCCCGTCTGTATGGAAAATACAAAAAAATTGCTGGGCATGGTGGCAGGCGCCTGTAATCCCAGCTACTGGGGAAGCTGAGCAGAAGAAACATTTGAGCCCAGGAGGGGAGGCTGCAGTGAGTGGAGATCACACCACTGTACTCCAGCTTGGGCAAAAGAGTGAGACTTCATCTCAAAAAAAAAAAAAAAAAAAAAAAAAAAAAAGATAAGGGGAATGTGGAAGCCAAGGTTCTTGTTAAATATATTTTGGGATAAAATAGTTTGATTTCCTTTAGGGCCGACTATCTGTCATGTGATGCTATACCGGAGTCAGGTTGGAATTGGATGTCTTATTGCTACAAAGAATCTGTTTGATCAGTCTTACGATCCCTTTCAATGTGAATGGTGGTCAGTTGTGCCTAAACTCCAACGGGAGGCATGTCCAACACCCCCTGCTTCCTGTCATGGCCTCAACTAGTTTTTCAGGTTTCTTTGGGATCCCCTTGGCCAAGAGGGTGTCCATTCAGTCCGTTAGAGGGCTTAGAATTTTACTTTTGGTTTACATGAGCTCCATGGCCCAAGTATGACCCCACTGGCCCAAGTATGACCCCATTCCTGCCTTTGCAAGGTGTGTGTCAGCAAAGTCGGTGTTGGGTGAAAGTGTTATGGAGGTCCCTTCTATGGTTCCACACTGCTCCACATTGAGACCAATCAAGGGTGGCCTTCTCCTTAGTGTTTGCAAGATAATGATGGCGTATTCTGAATAGAACACTTTGGTCTCCCTCTGACACAGCTCTTGACAATGACAGGAGATGGTGTAAACCAAAAATAAAATTCTAACCTCCCCAACTGACTGAATGGACCCCCTCTCTTGGCCAAGGGGTCCCAAAGAAACCCGAAAAACTAGTTTGGGCCATGACAGGAAGCAGGGGGTGTTGAAAATGCCTCCCTTTGGAGTTTAGGCAAAACTGACCAGGATTCACATTAAAACAGATCTTAAGACTGACTAAACAGACTATTTGTAGCAATAAGATACCCAACTCCAACCTGGCTCTGGTACAGCATCACGAGACAGATAGTTGCCAAGAAGGAAATCAAACTATTTCATCCTGAAATATATTTCTTTGACAGGTTTTGGAATGGCCCTGCAAAGCCAGGAAATTTCTGGGGGAAATTTGCATTCTATAGAGAATTTCCTTCCCTTACTAGGCCTTTTTCAGAGAGTCTGACACTGTTTAAGGTCCAAAAGAGACATTTATCATCTATTCTCTCTGAATCCTATGACTTAGAGGCTTCATGCACCTAACAAGAACCTTGGCTTCCACATCCCCTTTATCTTAACTCAAACATTTCTTTATGCTGACTTTACCTCTTCAGGAAAAGCTTACGCCTTTCAACCAATTACCAATCAGGACATCTTCGAATCTTTCTATGAGCAGGAAGCCCCTCTACTCTTGGAGATGTACCTCTGTTTTGGGCCCAACCAATCTACACCTTCCATGTATTGATTTATGTCTTTGCCTTCTGTCTCCATAAAATGTATAAAATCAACCTATAACCAAACCATCTTGGGCACATGTTCTCAGAACCTTTTCAGGCTGTGTCACAGGCCATGGCCCTTATATTTGGCTCAAAATAAACCTCTTCAAATATTTTGGAGAGTTTTGCTTTTTTTTTTTTTTGTCGACAGTGCAAGTGCCAGTCCAGAGGAGTAAAGCAGAAAGAGAGACAAGGAAGAATAGGAGAAATGACAGGTGGAAGTGCGCAGTATGGAGATGCCAATGTTCCCCATAACCCTTTTTATAGCAAGATTATCAACTCCAGATCTGTAAACTTGTTGACATGTTGTGGCGAGACTGGATATTGACACAGCCAGTGCCCATAGCCAGTAGCTAGAATTATGTGGCTGTCTCCTACCTTCAACAGTGAACCTTGAGACCTTCCTCTGGAATGCTGGTTTTTCTAGGGGGCTGAGGGGAAACAGACAGCTGGACTTGGGTGAACCTTCACTTCCTCCTTATTATCCTCCCCTCTCCGCCCACAGCAACTTAAATCATTAAAATCCCATATAATTAAAATTTCATCCAAGTTATACCAGTTATGTTTGCTGGCCACAGTGGAGTGTATAAATATCTTAGAAAGGCATAAAGACAGAGGCTGCTTCCTGCCTGTGGTTTCCCCCTTGCACAGGATCTGCCTGCTACCGTGTATGCCATCAACAGCCTGGGGAAGGCTGAGCTCGCAGTTCCCACCAGCCCTGCTCTGACCAGACCTTTACTCCATAGTGTTATCCACAGGGCTTGGGTCTCAGGGTGACAGGTTCTTGGTGGGGGTGAATGCCTTTGTTCTGTTCATGTAGGACTTTCTTCTCTCTGTCCCTGTCATTCTCTCCCTTTCTGTCTCCCTGCCGCCTCCATTTAGAATTTGGTTTTTGATTTTGAATATATTTAAATTAAAATAGCTCAATAAATGTTTTATTCTCTCATTTAACTAGAGAACAGGAGTTTATCTTCCTTCCTACCCATCCACTTTGTCAATACAATTTGTATTGCCATTTCCTTGCTTAAAAATCCCAATTACCTTGATCTGATCATTACACATTGTATACATGCCTCAAAATATCACACGTACCCCCAAACATGTACAACCATGATGTTTTAATTTTAAAAATTAAAAAACCCACGGTGTACATTTCTACCACAATGGTTTTGTGTTACTTGCAAAATGGGGTTACAAGTCTACTACAGTTTCATTCGTTGCGAATTTTGAGCACATGTCACATACTCTGGGCTGTTAGGAGCTGTCTTGTCATAGATGTTCTAGCAGCTCCAGGGAGTCACCAAAGGGTTGAACCACAGATGGGTCCCTAGTGTGGGGTTCTAAACTCTGTGACTGGGACCACCTTGTGTTATGGGCAGTCAGTGTGCCTCTAAGTCATGTATTATTATACTTGGTTGGGGGTGGGTATCATCATGTTGGTTGTGACTTTGCAATGGCATCACCTCAATTGAGGTATGTGTGACAGCTTTGGGATTAGCATGTGTCTTGGTTTGGGTTCCTATATAGCAGACCTTGAGACAAGGATTTGAGTGCCAGTAGTGTATCTAGGATATATTCCCATGTTAAGTGAGTGAAGAAGCGAGACAGGAAGTGATCGAAGCCACCAAAGGATGTGTTATCAAACCAGTTACCACCACAAACAACAGGAGGTCAATTTCTCTGGGGGAGCTCTGGGAAGCAGTGGGGAACATGCCTCCGAATTATCCCATTTGAGGCTCCAGGAGGCTGGGCGTCATCTGACACATCCCCAGACTGTCCTGGTTGGGGAGAGTTCCATGGGTCAGGGTGCTCTTGGATGTCCAGCTTGCCTGCATGTTGAAAGTCAGATAAAAGACTTCAGGTGGCATTGCTGATATTTGCACTCAGCAGCCTTTCACACACAGGGCTGAGGGCTATGAGAATATGACCAAGGATTGATAGATACGTTATGGCGAGAAAGATCCCTGTTTAGTGCTTATAGAGCACCCTGTACAGTTGATTCTTGTTATTTGCAATAGTTAGCTTTCTATAAAGTCACTATGAACACCAAATTAGCAAATACTGAACCATTGCTTCCAGAAGATGTACAGGGTTAGGTATTGGCGAGCTTGTGGTCACATTTAGTTAACTGATCAATAGATCACATTATTTTATAGGTTTCTGTTGAAAGACAGTTTATTTAGTATGCAGTATTAATTCATTAACATTGGCCTCGCGCCAACTGCTCTACAACTCATGTCTGAACGAATCTCATCTAACACATGCATTTTCTCAAGGCACATTGCAGACTTTTTGTGCTTAGGAATACTAGACAGCACGTGAACACTGTGCCTGTGTGGCATTTCACACAACAAAATCACCAACAAAATGCTCAGAAATATGAAAAATGTGACACTAAGGCGACCATGAAAAGGAGACTTGTGTACAGTAGGAGAGCTGAAACCAGAAGGCACAGTGGCACCTGGTTGGACCTTAGCTGGACATGTGCATTGAGCTGCTCAAATATTTTGCTGGTCTGTGTATGTCTGCAAATGACCATGAAGGTGCCTCAAGGACTGGTTTTGGAGTTGCAAATACATTTTAGGGAGAAGTTCCCTAATTAGAAAAATATGAAATCTGTGAATAATGAAGCTCAACTGAATTTTTTTTTTTTTTTTTGAGACAGAATTTTGCTCTTGTCGCCTAGGCTGGAGTGCAGTGGCGCGATCTCAGCTCACTGCAACCTCCACCTCCCAGGTTCAGCGATTCTCCTGCCTCAGCCTCTTGAGTAGCTGGGATTACAGGCATGCACCACCATGCCTGGCTAATTTTTGTATTATTAGTAGAGACGGGGTTTCACCATGTTGGCCAGGCTGGTCTCAAACTCCTGACCTCAGGTGATCCACCCACCTTGGTCTCCCAAAGTGCTGGGATTACAGGCAGGAGCCACTGCGCCCAGGCAGCTTTATTTCACCTTATGACAAATATGGTAAAAGCTACCACAGTGCTAGGTGGAGCCTAGAAAACTTGGGCCTGTGAAATATGGCCTTGCGTTACCATGAGGCTAAAGAGGTGATTAAGGCAGCCTGTGCAATCAGCCAGAAGTCTGTCCAAGAGTCATCAGTCCATAAACAGTCATTTAAAACACCTGTAGGTTATGCTACTTAACAAAGAAATCTTTTGAATCAGAATAATTTGGCTCTGGAAAATTTGGATTTTCTTTATTTACATAGACATATAGAGGTCAGCTACTGAATTAGATGAATATTCATAGGATTGTTGAACTAAACATATTTTTAGTTACTTTTTAAATGTGTTGTACATGGAGAAAGGACATTAGAAATATGACCTGGTTTGGGGATAAAAAGCTGAAACAAGAGATGTTAATTTGTATAAGTAAGAGAGAAAATAAGATATATTTCCTGTGTATCACTATCTTTACAGGTAAAAATAAAAATGGTTATAGAAACATGTACATTCTAAATGTGCAGGTGGAGCACCTGAGGTCAGGAGTTCGAGACAAGCCTGGCCAACATGGGGAAATGCCGTCTCTACTAAAAATACAAAAATTAGCCAGGTGTGGTGGCAGGCGCTTGTAATCCCAGCTACTCGGGAGGCTGAGGCAGGAGAATCACTTGAACCCGGGAGGTGGAGGTTGCAGTGAGCTGAGATTGTGCCACTGTGCTCCAGCCTGGGAGACAAGAGTGAAACTGGGCCTCAAAAAAAAAAAATTTTTTTTTCTTTAAAATGTAAGCTAAGCCAATTAAGGCTGAATGCTATGTTTGGTGGAAGCAATGGGAAGTTTTGGGTAAAGGGAATAGCTTTTGTGACTGACCTTGGCCATCTCTAAATGGTATGTGGTCAGGTAAAGTTGGTTAGAAAGTTAGAGAAATGGGCCAAGTGTGGTGGCTCACGCCTATAATCCCAGCACTTTAGGAGGCCAAGGTGGGTGGATCAACTGAGGTCAGCAGTTCGAGACCAGCCAACATGGAGAAAGCCTGTCTCTACTAAAAATAGAAAAATTAGCCAGGCATGGTTGTGCGTGCCTGTAGTCCCAGCTACTCGGCAGGCTAAAGCATGAGAATCACTTGAACCCAGGAGGCAGAGGTTGCAGTGAGCCAAGATTGCGCCACTGTACTCACTCACTCCAGCCTGGGCGGTGGAGTGAGACCCCGTCTCAAAAACAAACAAACAAACAAACAAACAAAAAAACAAACAAAAAAGGAAATTAGATAAAGTGTTAAAAACATTTCGTTTCCATTTTCTTGTGAAGGATTTTCATTGCTTTTGTCTGATGTCTTTCTTCGTATAATTTTAGCTGGTGCTTGGTTACATATAGGAAAACTGAAGATTTATTTCTGGATAAATTTTGAGGGTAATATAATAACAATTATTCTATGATGATAATAAGTGACAATAAACATCACCCATGAGTTTCTTTTCATAAAATCTCACTAAGATACAATCTTCCGTAGTATTTCAAAATCAATACTTGCATTCATTCATTCATTTCATCCATCCATCAATCATATACTGAGCACCCACTTTGTGCCAAACAGCTGCTGGGTACTGAGGATACAGAAGTGAACTAAACCTGTAATAATCCCTGCCCTCATTGAGCTTATGCAGTAGCAGGAAGAGACAGATAATGAACAAATATATATAAAACATGGTATATCAGTTGCTGGTAAGAGCAATAGAAAACATAGAGCAGGGAAGGGAGATGGGACATCTTTTTCCTACCCCTTCAGAAGTCTCCCTTTGACGGGGATGTCCTCCCTTTGACTCGAGGCACTGCTACTGAGACCAGTTCCTTGTAGACTTTGACCAGCTATCCACCAGGGCAATCTGGACAGTGCCTTGCCCTAGGCCTTGTCCTTCTTGCTTCCCGCTCTGGGACTTATCTGTGCTGAGCCTGGCACATTCACGGGAACTGGCTCTGTACTCAGATACGCACAACCCCAAAGTGCAGGCAGTCACCTAGGAGCCCCCTTGAACAATGGAGGGCAGGAAGGGGTTGGTAAATGCTTCTTGCTTTCTTCTCCTGGAGGGACAGCTCTGAGATACATTTCATAGGGTCCCTCAGAAGGTGCCTGGAAGGATCGATCATTGTGTGCAGACAGCCAGCTGGATTGCACATCTGTGATGGCCCTTCCCGTCTTTCCTCTTTCACTGGTCCAGGCCTGCCCCTACTCCCTGTGATCTCCTTTTCAAATCAACCCCTGCATGCAAGCCTTCACCCAGGCTCTGCTGTGGTGGACACTAGACCAAGATGGGGAATGCAGTGGTTGGGATGATGTTGCACATATAAATATGAGGGATCAGGCCAGGCGTGATGGCTCATGCCTGCAATCCCAGCACTTTGGGAAGCCGGGTCAAGGAGGATCTTTTGAGGTCAGGAGTTCGAGACCAGTCTGGCTAACATTGGTGAAACCCTGTCTCTACTAAAAATGCAAAAAAAAAAAAAAAAAAAAAAAAAAAAAAAAAAATTAGCCAGGCGGGGTGGTGCGTGCCTGTAATCCCACCTATTTGGGAGGCTGAGGCAGGAGAATCACTTGATGCTGAAAGGCAGAGACTGCAATCAGCCGAGATCATGCCACTGCACTCCAGCCTGGGTGACAGAGCGAGACTCCATCTCAAAATAAATAAATAAAATAAACTTAAAAATAAATACGAGGGATCACTGAGAAGGTGCACTTGATCAAAGTTTCAAGAAAGGGAGATAGTAGTAGTCATGCAGATAACTGGAGGGAAAGCCTTCTAGGCAGGGGGGAAAATGGCACAGGCAAAGACCCTTTCATCAGTGTGGCTGGAGTGGAGGGAGAGGAGGAGAAAAAGGAGATGCAGACAGAGATTTGAGAGAGACCCGGGTCTCATCTCATGGGGCCATTTTTAGGACATGGGTTTTGTTCCAAGTGAGATAACAAATTTATTTTCAGATATTCTGTGTGTTTTGCCTATTTCATATTAATTATTTTATGTTTACATGGTACACTTGGATTTCCAATTTATAGGCAGGTAACTTGAGTCTTTTAAAAATATTGTTTGCTTGATGGGAGCTGTATGTTCTCATTCTCGTTTTGTGTCTTCCTTGGGTTGCTAATGAAGTACAGTTTTTGGGGATTGTACCACAGATATTGATGTACTAAATTGATGTTTGTTGATTCTGGAGTATGATTCTTCACTTCATTTATTTAGCAAGTATTTATTGACTACCACTTTGTGCATGGGAAATTAATGGAAATTGAAGGAATGGTGTGGATTAACCTCAATACTTTCTTTGAAGGTTTTTCATTGTGATAAAATATACACAAAATTTTCCATTTTGACCATTTTTAAGTGTATAGTTGAGTGGAATTAAGTACATTCACAATGTTTTACAGCCATCACTGCTATCTATTTCCAGAGCTTTTTCATTATCCCAACTGCCAGAAGCTCTGTACCCATTAAACACTAACTCCCATCTAGCTGCCCCTGACAATGACTCTCTCTTTGACTAAACTTTAGTTGGGCTCCTCTAAGCCATCTTCTCAACTAGGCCTTGACCTTGGCCTCCATCCTTGTCAGGATGGCCTTGCCCAGTTTTAAAAAGAATCCTGCTAAGTCAGCTTATCAGGAACTCTCCACTCTTGATATCTGATCCCTCTTCATAGCTGATCAAATTCTTCATTCCCCATTATCCTCCAGATAATATTGGATCAATCTGGCCTGCCTTCAGCAAGAATTCTGTTAGATCAGTTTAGCAAGAATCCCTCCCTACTCTTGACTCATTTTACTAATTTTCTACTAATTTTCTATCCACAGGCCCCTATGTATCCTTGGTGTCGTCAGAATTGAGCTCAGTTCTATACTGAGGTTTCTTTTTCCCTCTTGCAATAATTCCTGAATCAAATCCTTTTAAAACTATGGTCAGCCTCTGGTTTTCTATAATATCTCCAGCCTTTGGTAACTTCTCTTCTACCTTCTGTTTCTATGAATTTGCCTATTCTAGGCACCTTATTGTCCTAGTCCATGCTGGCTGCTGCAACAAAATACCATAGACCCGGTAGCTTATAAACAACAGAAATGTAATTCTCACAGTTCTGGAGGCTGGAGTTTCAAAATCAAGATCCAGCGTCTGGCGAGATCTTGTTTCCTGGTTCGTAGATGGTGTCTTCTTGCTGTAACCTCACATGGTAGAAGGGGCACACAAGCGCCCTTGGTCTTTTTCATAAGGGCAGCAGTGCCATTGAAGAGCACTTCACTCTCATGACCTAATCACTTCCCAAAGGTCCTGCCTCTTTTGATCATCCCATTGGTGATTAGTTTTCAACATATAAATTTTGGGGAACACAAACATTCAGACTGTTGCATTCATATATGTGGAATCATATAGTGTTTGTCCTTTTGTGTCTTTTTCACTTAGCAGGATATCTTTAGGGTTCATCCATGTTGCTGCATGTATCAGAATCTCATGCTTTTCTAAGGCTGAATAGTAGTTCACTGTATGTATACACCACATTTTGTGTATCCATTCATCTGTTGATGGACACGGATGGGGCTGTTTCTACCTTTCAGCTATTGTGAATAATGCTGCTATGAACAATGGTGTACAAGAATCTGCTCAAGTAAATGCTTTCAATTCTTTTGGGTGTATACCTATGAGTAGAAATGCTAGATCACATGTGATTCTATGTTTAACTTTTTGAGGAACTGATATATCCTTTTCCACAGTGGCTGTATAATTTTACTTCCCCACCAAAAATGCACAAGGGTTCCAATGTTTTCACACCTTTGCCAATTCTTATTTTCCATTTTTTTGATAATAGTCATTCTAATGGGTGTGAAGATATCTTATTGTGGTTTTGATTTGCGTTTCCCTGTAACTGATGACGGTGAAAATTGTTGCATGTGCCTATTGACTATTTGTGTATCTTGTTTGGAGAAATATCTATTAAATTCCTTTGTCCATTTAAAAATTTTATTGTTGTTATTGAGTTGTACTAACATTTTTTTTTAATGAGAAATACCAGTACTTCATAGATAGTAAATTTAAAAGGGACTATGATGGTGAATTTTATGTGTCAACTTGCTTGGCTCATGGGGTGCCCAGATATTTGGTTAAGTGTTATTCTGAATGTTTTTAGAAGAGACTGACCTTTAAATTGGTAGACTTAGTAAAGCAGGTTGCCCTCCCTAATGTGGGGGAGCCTCATCCAAACAGTAGAAGGCCTGAATAAAACAAAAAGACCAATTCTCCCCTGAGGAAGAGAAAATTCCTCCTACCTGACTGCCTCTGAACTAGGACGCTGGCTTTTTCCTGCCTTTGGACTTGAATGGAAGCACTGGCTATTCCTGGGTCTTGAGCTTGCTGGCTCTTAAAATGGAACTAACTACCCCATGGGCCCTCCTGGGAATCCAACTTGCAGACTGTGGGTCTTCAGACTTGTTTGTCTCTATAATTGTGTGAGCCAATTCCTTATGGTAAATCTTTCTACATAGATAGAATCATCTATTTTATTGGTTCTGTTTCTCTGGAGAAGCCTAAGACAGAGACTCATTTATTGAGATCAATTGTATTTTCTGTTCAAATCCTTTTTGTTATAGAAATAATTTGATACTCATAGTGAGTATAAAATACAATCTGCATGGGTTATTATGAATTAAAGTTAAGTAAATATTTTCATTTGTCTATTTTTCCACTAGTACATTTTTACTTTTTAGGTGACATTCTGACTTTTGTCTCAGGTCCACCTAAGTGGTTTGGGGCAGCAGTTGAGTGATGGGTATAGAGGCAGGCCAGTCCTTTTTGGGGCCTGAATGTCCTAAATGTCAGGCATGAGCTTGGCTCACTGCAACCTCCACCTCCCGGGTTCAAGTGACTCTCCTGCCTCAGCCTCCCGACTAGGTGGGTTTACAGTCACCCACCACCATGCCCAGCTAATTTTTGTATTTTTAGTAGAGATGGGGTTTTACCATGTTGGTCAGACTGGTCTTGAACTCCTGGCCTCAAGTTATCTGCCCGCTTTGGCCTTCCAAAATGCTGGGATGACAGGTGTGAGTCATCATGCCCAGCTGAGCAACTATTTTCTAAGTTATTATAGGTTAATTGCTTTTTTGAGAAATTAGAAATTAAACATTTAAGTTTTAAGCTCCTCATAAAGGCCATTTTCATCTTATTTGTTCTGCAGGATTGCTTTAAATTTAGCAACATCATCTCACTGGCAATACATGAGTTGTATTTCTTGAATACAGGAAGCTACATTCACTTCAGTGAAGGCTTGACGTCATCAGGCAGCATTAGCATCACCTGGGACTTTTCAAGCCTCACCTCAGACCTACTAAATCCGAGTCTGCATTTTAAGAAGCTCCCCAGGTGATTAATCCCCACAATAAAGTTTCAGAAGCATTGATTTAAAGGATCCACGTGTCCTGTTGTGTCCGGAATTGGTGGGTTCTTGGTCTCACTGACTTCAAAAATGAAGCCGCGGACCCTGGCGGTGAGTGTTAGAGTTCTTAAAGGCGGCGTGTCTGGAGTTTGTTCCTTCTGATGTTTGGATGTGTTCGGAGTTTCTTCCTTCTGGTGGGGTTCGTGGTCTCGCTGGCTCGGGAGTGAAGCTGCGGACCTTCGCGGTGAGTGTTACAGCTCTTAAGGCGGCGCGTCTGGAGTTGTTTGTTCCTCCCGTGGGTTTGTGGTCTCGTTGGCTTCAGGAGCGAAGCTGCAGACCCTTGCGGTGAGTGTTACAGCTCATAAAGGCAGTGTGGACCCAAAGAGTGAGCAGCAGCAAGATTTATTGCAAACAGCGAAAGAACTAAGCTTCCACAGTGTGGAAGGGGACCCGAGCGGGCTGCCACTGCTGGCTCGGGCAGCCTGCTTTCATTCTCGTATCTGGCCCCACTCACATCCTGCTGATTGCTAGAGCCCAGTGGTCTGTTTTGACAGGGCGCTGATTGGTGCGTTTACAATCCCTGAGCTAGACACAAAGGTTCTCCACGTCCCCACCAGATTAGCTAGATACAGAGTGTCGACACAAAGGTTCTCCAAGGCCCCACCAGAGTAGCTAGATACAGAGTGTCGATTGGTGCATTCACACACCCTGAGGTAGACACAGGGTGCTGATTGGTGTGTTTACAAACCTTGAGCTAGACATAAAGGTTCTCCACGTCCCCACCAGGCTCAGGAGCCCAGCTGGCTTCACCCAGTGGATCCCACACCGGGGCTGCAGGTGGAGCTGCCTGCCAGTCCCGCGCTGTGCGCCTGCACTCCTCAGACCTTGGGTGGTCGATGGGACTGGGTGCGCCGTGGAGCAGGGGGCGGCGCTCATCGGGGAGGCTCGGGCGCACAGCAGCACACGGAGCGGGTGGGAGGCTTAGGCATGGCGGGTTGCAGGTCCCGAGCCCTGCCCCGCGGGAAGGCAGCTAAGGCCCGGCGAGAAATCGAGCACAGCGCCGGCGGGCTGGCACTGCTGGGGGACCCAGTACACCCTCCGCAGCTGCTGGCCCGGGTGCTAATCCCCTCATTGCCCGGGGCCGGCAGGGCCGGCCGGCTGCTCCGAGTGCGGGGCCCTCCAAGCCCACGCCCACCCGGAACTCCAGCTGGCCTGCAAGCGCCGCGCGCAGCCCCGGTTCCCGCTCGCGCCTCTCCCTCCACACCTCCCTGCAAGCTGAGGGAGCTGGCTCTGGCCTTGGCCAGCCCAGAAAGGGGCTCCCACAGTGCAGCGGTGGGCTGAAGGGCTCCTCAAGCGCCGCCAAAGTGGGAGCCCAGGCAGAGGAGGGGCCGAGAGCGAGCGAGGGCTGTGAGGACTGCCAGCACGCTGTCACCTCTCACTGTGTTTGTTTCACTTGAAGTCTTTTAACAAAATAAAATAAAATAATTTTACAGCTTGGAGGAGGCTTAGAAGTTATCTGGTCTGATTTTCTCATTTCATAGAGGAAACAAAACTGGAATTCAAGATTAAATGACTTCCCCATTGTCATGCTGGGCTTAGATATGGGGACTCATTACTGCTATGGATATTTTTTTCCTGTTAGAATTGTCTCTCCATATTCCCAGTGTTAATTCAAATAAAGTTTTCACAGACTTTAAAGTTGGCAGGGCATTAGCACTCAACAATGTTATTTTGCAGATGAGAAAAATGAGATCTGGAAAGGTGAAGTAAAACTTATTTAAGAAAATAGAGTAGATATAATTAGTAAGGACAGGCAAAATGATGCTATGTAACAAACAACACTAAAACCTCAGTGGTTTTATTATTTTATTTTATTTTATTTTATTTTTTGAGGCAGAGTCTTGCTCTGTTGCCCAGGCTGGAGTGCAGCAGCATGATCTCGGCTCACTGCAACCTCTACCTCCCAGGTTGAAGCGATTTTCTTGCCTCAGCCTCCCGAATAGCTGGGATTACAGGCATGTGCCACCACGCCCGGCAATTTTTTTTATATTTTTAGTAGAGACGGGGTTTCACCACGTTGGCCAGGCTGGTCTTGAATTCCTGGCCTCAGGTGATCCACCTGCCTTGGCCTCCCAAAGTGCTGGGATTACAGGCATGAGCCACCACACCTGGCCACCTCAGTGGTTTGAAACAACAAAACTACTCATGCTTCCACTCATGTTATATGTTTACATGGATTGACCTAGGGTCTCAAGTTCTACCACCATCCCGTTATTACTATAGGACCCATCCTGATGGGACAGGTACTAACTGGAGGATTGCCAGTAGCAATGACAGGAGGAATATCACGGTGAAACACACACTAGCTTTTAAAACTAACCAGAAATGACATATGCCACTTGTTCTCGTATCATTGGCCCAAATTAGTCATGTGACCATGCCTGAGACCACTCGGACAGGAAATAAAATCATTGGTGTGCTTGTAAATATTTAACCACTGATTTGTAGCCTTTGCTGGTTTCTTGTTATAAACACTCCCTTTATGGCTGTCATCAAGCTATCAACATGATGTCAGTGAATGTGTTGGTGCCAGAGATGTATACAATTGCCCTTCCTTAGCTGATGCAAGCCGGTGAGAGTCAACTCCATAACACCACTAAATAATTCTCTCATTGGAATGATATTGATGAAGAATAATACGTCTATCAAAGAAAAATTGGGTCTGGATGTGGTGGCTCATGTTTGTAATCCCAGCACTTTGGGAGACCGAGGTGGGCAGATCACCTAAGGTCATGAGTTCGAGACCAGCCTGGCCAACATGGTGAAACTCTCTACTAAAAATAAAAAATTAGCCAGGCATGGTGGCACATGCCTGTAATCCAGCTACTCAGCAGGCTGAGGCAGGAGAATCACCTGAACCTGGGAGGCAGAGGTTGCAGTGAGCCAAGATTGTGCCACTGCACTCCAGCCTGGGCGACAGAGCGAGACTCCATCATAAAAAAATACATAAATAAAAGAAATATTGTATATGAAAATAGCAGCAGGGGATATAGAAATAAACACAAATATCAAATCCAGCACGGCAGCTAAATCAGAAGGGAGTCAATGACCCATAGAATGATGAAGTTATGACAGGTCAAACACCTTTACAACACATTTCAAATATTTTTGCTGCATGAATATTTGCACTCTTAGTTATTGTTGCATTAGTAAACAATACCTGGAATTTAAATCTCTTTACCCCAGGTCTTTCTGTTTATACTTGAGATGGGACTAAACTTGTGTGGCCTCCATTATGGATGCATCTCCCTTCAGGTCTCTTCTTTCTTTGAACTATTCCCATTTTATCCAAAATCAGGCGCTGTAGTGAGCCATCTGATAGGAACATCACATTCCCTTTTGTCCCCCTGTAGATAATAAGATGTGCAAAGATGAGCTTTGAATAACCACAGCAATGCCAGATATATACGCATGTGGAAAGTTCTGGGAAGTCTCCACATAAACATCTTAACAAGGAGACATCATTCCTCAATTTGATACCCTTAAAATGGCTTTTAAGGTTATCTTTCATTTTCCTTACCGTATAGCATTATGCAATTCTTTATTTTTTAATTTAATTAATTAATTTATTTATTTTTGTTTTTGTTTTAGAGACAGGGTCTCTGTCTGTCGCCCAGGCTGGAGTGCAGTGGCATGATCATGGCTCACTGCAGCCTTCAACTCCTGGGCTCAAGCCATCCTCCAGCTTCAGTCTTCCAAGTAGCTGAGGCTACAGGTGCATGTCACCACATCCAGCTAATTATTTCATTTTTTAATAGAGATAGAGTCTCACTGTGTTGTCCAGGCTGGCCTCAAACTCCTGGTCTCAAGTAATCCTTCTGCCTCAGACCCCCAAAGTGCTGGGATTACAGGAGTGAGCCACTACACCCAGCCAACATTATATAATTCTATTTACTGTATTCATTCAATGTATCAGAGACGCTTTTAAAAGGAACCTGAGGTTTGAAAAGGGTCAAAATGTCTAGGATCTAGGTTAATAATTTTCTTTAGCTTTTTCTATATATAGTCCGTTTAATAAGATGTAGTTGAAGTAATTCACTAAATCTGTGTGATGTTAACAAGTTGAGAAATTGATGGTTACTGTTCCATTCTTTAGTATCCCCTTAGCACAATCACACAAAAATTGACTGTAATAGCTAGTCCAGGAGCTTAGCAATCAACCCTGAGAGCGGAACGTTTCTCTGTCATCATGGACTTATTGTTGCCATGCCAACAAGAAACTTAGAAGTTGCTTGAGGTTTCAGTTCTCTAGAAACTTACAATCAAAACCAATAATAGCATAAATGCACATCTTGGAATGTAAACTGATTGCACTTTAGAATGATTTTCAACTTACAGACAAAGCATAAAAAGTAAAATTGATCAGTTATAGACCCTCTCCAAATATGGTTTTGGATTTAACCAATACTAATAGTTAAAATTGATTGAGTACTTATTACATAATAAGCATTGACATGTTTTACACACACTATCTCATTTAATTCTCATAGCAACATTAGGAGGTGGGTACTACTATTATCTCCTGTGCTTTATAGAGATGAGAATACTGAAGTTTGGAGAGGGTAAGAAACTTTTCCAAGGTCACAAAGCTAGTGAGAGTATAAGGCTGAGACTCACCATCAGGCAGATGGACTCTAGTGTCCACTCTGTCACCACTATCCTTTTCTACTTCCCATAAAGCAAGAAAGATAGGGCCTGTGCCAGGCAGAGTGAGCCACTGAGGTGGACTGACCATTTAAAGTCAAGAGTATAGAAGTTGAGGGCTGAAAGGACAATTTTAAGCCACTTAATAAATGCTTTGATGTCTTCAAAAGTCTCTTCACTTTTCCTTAGTCCATGCCCACAGTCTATCTTCTTCTAGAAGAGGATTTGAAGCAACCATCATCTCCACTAAATGGTTTTTTCAGCCTGTTTGCACCATGCCAGGAAGGGGACTAGACCCTGCCCTGATGTCTCTTTGGGGCAATGCTAACCCTCAGAATGCATGAATGTTTATAAACTGAAAAATCAGACCTTTTAATTATGTGCTCTGATGCCTACAAAGTAATTCTGTTCCCTTAGAATGGCTCACCCAACTTTGGAAAGCAGGGATCTTCTCCCTCAAAGAGAAGAGGCTTTTCTTCTCCAGCTTAAATAGCCTCAGTTGAGGAATCCTTTATCATCCCTTCTGCTTTCCTCCAGACAACATTCAGTCTGTCGTTTTCTTTTCTCAGTTTAAACTTGATAGTTTGGTTTAGCTTAAAGCATTTCAGGATTATCACTTTTCCCAGTTACCAACGCAAAGCCTCTATTTGGAGAGAACATGGAAGCAAAGCAGAAATTGTGCTCTATTATCCTCTGCCATCCTCAATTCTTCCACTTACAGTGCTCATTCAACATAACAGGGATTCTGTAAGAGGGGGGTGGGGACATGTCCCAGAAGGTCTTCCATCTTGCTCCAAAGAAAATCTCGAAAGTTTAGACCTTCGCTTCAGCCTTACATTATCTTGGTTTTAGCATCTCTGGCTCTATTTCTATAGGTGTGTTTAGTGTTATGTCCTCGCCTTTGCATAGATTGTGACTTTGCTGTCCGATTTTCATTCTCATGGGCTTCTCTTCTGTCTTGAGCCATCTCAGTCTGAGTGATCCTATCTCTCTTTCCTTGGAAACTTGGCGTCAGTCTGAGCATGTGTCAAATCTCACATCTCCTGGAAGTTCCTCATTATTAAGGAGAAATACACCCAAAGTAGCAGTTCCTTTGCCACTTCCTTTATTTTCTGAGAAGTGAAATTGTAAGCCAAACAAGTAAATCTAGACACTTATCAGATGACCTGATTTTCAGATGGAAATTTCCAGAATTTGGGTGTAATTGGAGCCTCTCCTTATTTTCCATAACTTGCTAATGTGCCAATTTTATAATCAATGTCCAGTGCTTTAACCAAATTCTCCAGCATACCCCCACTACAGTACTTCCTTTATTCCTCTCTCTATATCACACACACATATATGTGTTATACATCCATATTTATGTTTATGCATACATGAACACACATATATATTTTTACCCTTATCTAGATTTTTCTTCTATAATTTTATTCTTGTATTAACAGGTTTTCCCAAAGGTTGGAATAACCATATGTTCTAGTTTGCCTGGGATGGTCTTACTTTACTTGTTGTTCTGGGAGTAATTAACAATTAATACATTTCTCTTTTGTTATCAAAAGTGTGCTGGTTTGGGTGATAAATTAAACAATCATCCTATCAAAACTTCCATTCTACATTCTGTGTCCTGTCTCAGAGTCTGAATCCTAAATTGGAAATAGAGAAAAAAAAAATGCCTGCGTCCCCTGGCTCTTTAATTTCCTGACCAGCACTTCCAGCTCTCAGGTTTTTGTTTTGTTTTGTTTTTTGTGTTTTTTTGATATTTAATAGCTGCATGCTCCTGGCTACGTGAAGTCCTTGTAGAGCTGGAGGGTGCCATCTGTCCTGATGTGTCCTTTTCCTCTTGGGTTCTTTGATCTCTGTTTCAACATGCTGATTCCCTGGTTGTTTCATGTGGGGTGTGTGCTCACGGCTGATTTTTACAGGTCTCAATTCACAGTAGCAGGATGGGCTACATCTGTTGTACAGGTGAACTAGCTCTGAATGTCTTCTTGTCTTTCTCTCTTTTTCATCAGTCTGTTTTCTTAGAATCTTGGATATTCTGAATTATTTTCTTTGTTTTGTCCTGGAGTGCTTTGTTGCATGTAACAAGCAGGCATGCACATAAGAATTGTCTCCACCTTTTCATTTGCTCTTCAAGCAGTGAGACCAGCTTGGCTGACTGGCTGCCTCTAAGCAGGAAAAGAAACTCAATGCCACAGTCCATAGAAACAGTCCTCTCTGCTTCTCTACTTCTTGAAATATAAGGTTTATTGAATGTCAAGTTCATGGCTTCTCCCCTGACAACTCCTGGAGCAAGTTCCTCTTTGACCTCTTCCAGGGGGAGGGAGGCAGCACAGGTCAGTGGTCAAGACCATAGCCTCAAAGTCAGAAAACTTTGGGTTTCATTCCTCACTGTTGGCCTCACATAGTTACTTGATTTCTGAGCTGAAGCCTCCTTGCTTGCAAAATGGGGATAACAATTCTTACATGATCGGATTTGAGAAAGAGTTAAATGAGATCATACCTAGAATATGCTGAGTATCGTACCTGGCAATTAATGTATACTTAGTAAATATTTGTTATTCTTATAATTACTATTATTAGTTTTAGTGTCAGAACTATAATGAACTATTGATTCATCAGATTCTATCTCATGAAGGTGACAGCAACCTCTAACACAATGACACGAATCACATGGCCAACAGTGAGGTTTGAAGAGCACCTTTGTTCTGTTCTCCTGGGTGGCTATCAGTGGCTGAGAATGCCAGTCAATCAACCAGCTGATAGACCAAGTGATGAAATAAAAATGATCCTCCAGGAGGAATAAGTTCTAGTATCCTATAGTATTACGGGATGACTATAATAAACAACAATTTATTGTACATTTTCAAATAGCTATTTATTGTACATTTTCAAATAGCAAGAAGAACAGATTTTGAATGTTCTCAACAGAAAGAAATAATAAATGTTTAAGGTGATGGTTATGCTAATTACCCTGATTTGATCATTACACATTGTATACATGTATTGAAATATCACACTGCACCCCATAAATATGTATAATTATGTATCAATTAAAAATAATGATGATAAAAATGATTCTCTATGTGTGAGTAATTGGAGTGGCTTTTTTATTTTTTTTTGAGATGGAGTCTCACTCTGTTGCCCATCCTTCATCTTCTGGGTTCAAGTGATTCTCCTGCCTCAGCCTCCCTAGTAGCTGGGATTACAGGCATGCACCACCACACCCAGCTAATTTTTGTATTTTTAGTAGAGATGGGGTTTTGCCATGTTGGCCAGGCTGGTCTGGAACTCCTGACCTCAAGTGATCCACCCGCCTTGGCCTCCCAAAGTGCTGGGATTACAGGTGTGAGCCACCTGTAATTCGTGCCCAGCCCCTGGAGCGGCTTTAATTTTTGTTTTGCATATGCTTCCCTTTTTAACTCAACAAGAAATAACATCCACTGTAGCTTTTCTTCTAGAGGATGGATAACATGGAAAGAGTGATGGGTGAAGAGAAGCCAAGATTTCAAGTTGATCTTGAATTTGTAGCCTGATCAAATGGAATCTTCTATGAAGGTCTATTGCTATGCCTAAGAGTGTGAACTCCAAGCGAAATTTGAGTGTTTCTGCTCACTTACATTTTCCCTTGGAGGTCAGGAGAAAGACCCCCAATTCCCAACACTCCTCTTCCCTAGATTCCCAGTTCCTTGATTTTCTTCCCATTACACATTGTTTTCCAGGTACTATCCCAGTTAGTGCCCATAACCAGTGGAATCAGTGCTTACTAGAAGGGCCTTTGACGACTCCTTTCAGCTGGCAAACTAATTAGAGGATCCTGTTTTCCTTCTGTAGCCCCTACTACTCATTACATGAAGCTTTGTATGTATGTAGCATTATTTCTTTTTATAGCCAACCTCATTTTTTATTTTACACTGTTTGATTATCTGATTATTTCTGAGCAACATCTCTAGGTAGGAAAAAAATGGATAAACTGAGGCTCAAAATGCTTAACTAACTCCCTGAAGATCTTACAATGAGTCAGGGAGTGAGACAGGAATAGAAACCATGATGCTAGCCTTCTAAACTGTTTTTCTGACCACTAGACCACACTTCCTCTCCAGACTATGAAACACTGGAAAATGGGACTCAGGCAGCGAGTAAATATGGAGGCAAACCCACAGAAACACAATTTTACTTGTACCCAAATCATGTCATTTAGCAAAGGAAAACAGCAAAACACCCCAGTCTTTTCGATGTCATCCAAAATTATAATCTAAACCCACAATGGATATAGAATAGGAAATGAGTCTGCCCTGAATTGACATTTTTCCATTTAAAATAAATTTGAAAAAATTTCAGTCCTGATATGTTTTTCCTTTATATGAAAGAAGGATCTAAATATTCAGTTTGATATAGATTTCACGGTATACAAATAAAATACCTTTATGACTCTCATTCTTTGCACAATAAAAGCCTAACCAACAAATATTTATTGAGTATTTAAGGCTTTGTGGGAACAGCAGGTATATTAGACATAGTTATTGTCTTTAGACTCAAATTTTATTTTAGTCTATTTTTATTTCAATGGCAAAATGGCAATTACTTTCGCACCAACCTAATAGTTGGACAGAGAATACACATACCCATGAAGAGCTGAAGACAGCTGACGATGAATAGCAACTAAGGAGGGTGATAAGGAAGCAGCCTGTGACGTGCAATGGTGAACACCAAAGCGACATGTACAAAGATTTCGGTTTATGTCCCAACTGTACCACCAGCTAACTCTTCATCGTAGCTGAATCAGATCTCAGATCCTATGCATCAACAGACAGCGATAGCAATTGCTGGCTTTGTCTGCCCACAGCGTTGGTGTGGAAGCCAGCATGAGAAAATGCATGTAAAAAGGGCAGTGAGCTGGAAGATGAAATACGGGTGGTATCCGAATCATATTAAGGTTGCCCAGGCAAGCCTTCTCCCTTTGGGTTTAGAATCTCCAATGACATAGCTTTTGAAGACTGTTCGTCATGCCCAAATGGAAATTAAAACAAGAAATTAAAAACAGTCTCCTCTGGAAATTATTTTTGGCGATGAGAACAGAAAACCACACGATATTTTCCCTTTGGCAAATAGTTCCTTGTCTCATCACTTGGAATATGTGTGAGTGAGAGGTATCTGAACACCTCGTGTGAAATCTTCTGATAATGAGTGTGAAGAGAGGACTTTTCCATTTGGAAGAGCAAGGCATGCAATTTGGGGAAACTGAGTCCTTAGACTGTGACAGAGAATGCCAAAAAGCCCTCCCACCTGTGGTTCCCAGGAAGCAACGACAACAGTACTTCATCACAGAGGCTATGTGGCAAGCAACAAGAATCCTGGAATGACCTTTTCATGGAAACAAGCTTGAAGCTATGTTCTGGGCTTCCATCTGTGGATAAAGATGGGTATTGTTGATATGGGAAACTTGAGAAAAGGCAGGAATTTACTTTAAAACTTTTAAAGTTACTTTTAAAATTAACTTAAACAATTTTACTTTTGCAATTAGACAGGGACAACTTACCACAGTTATCCTTAATTTATAAACTGCCAGGACATTTTAATTTTAGAAGATCATTAAGATTTTTCTTACTGGAGAAAACAACTAACATTAAAACTTTTAAGATCCTTTGACTAATCTCTGCTTACATTGTCACTTTTTGTATAGTAGTAGTTCATTACACTTTATATTTAACAAAAAACAGATTTTTTTACATTGACTTTGCCACCTTTATAATGATATCAAAAGACTAAGTTATCTTCTATCTAAAATAAAGGAATTAGAATACAATCCCTGTCTTTTTCTTGGGATAGTGCATGGCCCAATGTAAGAAGAATTGCAGAGCTCTCGTGCCAAAAGTAGAATAATGGGCAACATTTAGAAAACAATGCCCTGGCGCCTGCCAGCCCTCATGCACATGTTTTAAGGGTATAATTTGTATGAAAACCCTTGTGGGTGGGTCATAATATATTAGCACCATCTAGTGGTGATGGGCAAAGCTGTCTCTCTTCACCAGCCCCGCCCTACCTCTCAAACAAGTCACAGCCAAAGCAGAGCTGATTGTGCTCTATTTATAGCCTTTGACCTAAATTTATTGCCACTGTTCACTCTGAAAATTAAAGGTGCTGCACAACTGGATTAAAAAGATGGAGAAGTGTGAACCTAAGTGTAATGATAATACTACTTGCATTATAATGATCGCTTGTGTTTATTGAGCACTACATACATGATCAATGTCGTACACAATGCTTTTCATAATCATCTTACTCCATCGGCACGAGAATCTGTTTGGCATCTGTTATCATAATTATGCCTATTTTACAGGTTAGGAAACTGAGGTCCAGAGAGTTTTACTTACCTAGGTTACACATTCAGTATTTAGAAGACAAAAACCTTCCTTGGCTCACTGACTCTTCAGGTTGGTACCGTGAGACGCACCATCACTAGGATGCTATGGAGTAGGAGGAGCTCGGGAGCTTCCACAAACTGAGAAAGCACCTGCAGAAAGGGAAGCAATGGAGCACACTAATTAAGGATACGCACTCCAGGGTCCAACTAGAACGGGGTTCGAGTCATGACTTAACCAGTTATTAATTCTGTGTCCTCGGTAAAATTACAATATCTTCTTAGAACCTCAGTTTCTTCTTCTGTAAAATGGAGATAATAATACATTATTCATGGGGGAGGAGTTGGGAGTATTAGTTGAGATATGCATGCATAGGGTGTGGTTCATAGGAGCCATTGAGGGGCTATTATTATATTTCTATTTTAATTTTTTTAGATTTTGTATATTTCTCTTTTAATTTATTTGAATGCAAAAATCAAACAGTGATCAGAGTCGTCTATCTCTCTCCTAAGGTCTCAAAACACTCATTCTGTGTATGGAAAGAAATGGAACAAGAAGGATTTGTTTTAGTGTACAATAGCAAATTGATGTGGAGAGGAAAGTAATGTAACTGCATACCTTAATCTGTAGCTTTTTATGGAATGAAGGAGTAACTTGTTCATCAATAGACAGTGTTGCTGCCATTGGCAAGTCTTGCTCACATGCAGAGTCCAGAGAAGGTTCACACAGTGGTCAAGTGGCTCTTCTGGACTGTGCAGAGGTGGAGATGTGGGAATGATCCCTGTTTCCTCTTGAGGCTACACCCTTGCAGGAGGCACTTGGCTTATATTTTCCACTCTCAGAGCACTGCAGGTAGTGACCACCATGGTTCAGCAGAGAAATCTCTTTCCTTGGAATTCTTCCTTCTTTCTTTGTGCTCTTGTCTGTGCTCATTCAGCAAAGACTGGGTTTGCTGCTGGAGGGGCTGAGAGCATGGGGTGAGTTCAGGGGGAATTTAGATCTGGAGGTGAAAGTCAGGATGTGAGTGTAACATGTGTGGGGGGAGCTGGTCTCAGTGTGGCTTATCTAAAAGAAAATCAGAGCCTTACCACTGCTCAGGAAAGCCAGGAGAGCCAGACCCCTTTCTGTTTCGCTTGGCGTGACCATAGCTCCATTCCTGCTCTATCCTTTCTTTCTTTCCCTTTCTTTCTTTCTTTCTTTCTTTCTTTCTTTCTTTCTTTCTTTCTTTCTTTCTTTCTTTCTTTCTTTCTTTTTCTTTCTTTCTTTCTTTCTCTTTCTTTCTTTCTTTCTTCCTTCCTTTCTTTCTTCCTTCCTTCCTTTCTTTCTTTCTTCTTTCTTTCTTTCTTGTTTTCTTCTTTCTCTTTCTTTCTTTCTCTTTCTCCTTCCTTCTTTCTTTCCTTCCTTCCTTCTTTCTTCCCCTCCCTCCCTTCCCCCCTCCCCCCTTCCTTCCTTCCTTCCTTCATTTCTTTCTCCTTCCTTCCTTCCTTCTTTCCTTCCTGCCTGCCTGCCTGCCTGCCTGCCTGCCTGCCTTCCTTCCTTCCTTCCTTCCTTCCTTCCTTCCTTCCTTCCTTCCTTCTCCTTCTCCTTCTCCTTCTTCTCCTTCTTTATCTTCTTCATCTTTTTTTTTTTTTTCCGAGATGGAGTCTCTCTGTCACCCAGGCTGGAGTGCAGTGGTGTGATCTTGGTTCACTGCAATCTCCACCTTTCAGGTTCACAGGATTCTCCTGCCTCAGCCTCCCAAGTAGCTGGGACTACAGGCACATGTCACCATGCCAGGCTAATTTTTGTATTTTTAGAAGAGACAGGGTTTCTCCATGTTGGTCAGGCAGGTCATGAACTCCTGGCCTCAAGTGATCTGCCTGCCTCAGCCTCCCAAAGTGCTGGGATTACAGGTGTGAGCCACCACGACTGGCCTGATCCTGCTGCTTCTGTAGCCCAAGCTCTTTGAATACAGAGTGTGCCTCAGGTGAATATCATGATGTCATATCACCTGTAATGCACTCTCTACCCAGTAGTCAGAGATGCCTGCTGCAAACAGGAGTCTGATAAAGTCACTTTCTTGCCTGGACCCATATGGTGATTTCCCATTGCTTACTAAAATGTGATTTTACTACACCTAATCTAAATCTTACTAGATCTTACTAAAATGTGAAAAATCTGTAACTTGACTTAGCAGGGCCATGTGTGATGTAACTCCTGCCTACTTCTCCACACTCATCTTCAGCTTCATCTGGCCCTCTCAGCTTCCTCCTCATACTCCAGATACCGTGTTCCCAGAATGCCCCAAGCTCCTTCTCACTGCAGGGCCTTTGTATATGCTGTTTCCACCACTTGGACAGTCTTCACTAGATTCTCTGGTACTTATCCTTGGACACGTGACTTCCCAAACCTTGTTGCATATTAGCATTGCCTAGGGAGCTTAAAAGTATCCCGATACCCAGGCTTCACCCCATGCCAGTTCAATCAGAATCTCTGGAGTAAACAGCCAGGCAAAAGCATTTTTTAAAGGCTTTGCAGGCAATTTCAATGTGTAGGCAACTTTGAGAACCAGTTCTTAGCTTAACTGTTTTCTTCTTACGGATAGCTCTTGTCCTCATTTCCCTGTCTAGCTTGGATTCCCTCATTAAATGTTCCCATAGTAGTACTCTGTATGTTTTCAACAAACACTCTGTATTTGTTCAGTGTCTCTCCCACTAGACTGTAAGCTCCACGAGGCTGTATCTACTGTGTTCACTTCTTTATTCCTAGTTTGTAGCACAGAGCCCAGCACTTAGGAGGTGCTCAAGAAATAACTGTGAAAAGAATGAAAGCTCTAATGTGGATTGCTGATGGTTCTCTCCAGAGGATGGGGAGCTGTAGTTTGGTTATCTGGCTCAGGCTTGTGCATCCACATGGTGAGTCTATGACAGGTCAATATGAAGAGGGGGACCTCCCCATTGGGGAGATGACCACAATTCCATGGGAAGAACATTTTCCTGCCTCTGGGAATGCATCTATTCTAGATCATGGCAAGGACTAGAAATATCAAGGGTTACATGTGACCACTGGGCTGCCCTCCCACAACTGTATTGGTCTATTACCTTATTTTTAATTTGTCTTTAGCAGAGAATATTTACCAAGAAATATATTTTCAACACTCAACAGCCAAAGAATATTCCCATTTGACTGCTGAATATTGACAGTGTATTTCTTGGTGTATATTCCCTGCTGAAGACAATGAATTAAGAGTAAGTTAATAGGCCAATGCATTTGCTGGAGAGTAGTCTTGTAACATCAATATAACCTTAGAATGTGCTTTACAGAGAGCAGAAATAGGTTTAGTTTATGCCTTCAACGTGCCATCTTGAAGGATAGCATAGATATGTGCTCAGAAGGATAAAAAAATTAAAGACATGGTTTTTATGTATAGTACACTGTACAATTAAAGCACATTAGGTGCACGACAAGACAATCCTGAAGTCCATTTCAATTGTGTGTATTTTCTTTTTTGCATCCCCTTCTACAGATTTGTTGCATGATATTACAAACATGGAAAATATCTTATTGAAAGGGAATCTAAAAAGTCATAATATCTAATGAATAGACGTCGGAACATCATTTGCCAGTAGATACTGTTTCAGACCCTTTCTGCAACTGTGGATGATTCATTTTATGCTGGTGTCTCAGTTTCTCCACCCCTAGAACAAGAGTAATAAAATTGGCCTTTAATTAAAGTCTCTATTATTTTTTTTAAGGCTCCAGGGAAGTTAGGTCCAATGGAAAAATGAAATACTTGAGGATATGACTTAGTCTGTGCTAAGAGTTTTATAGGCAGCTCACCAAAGATTTTTTTCCAAGTGATTTGCACGATATGCAAAATGTATTTTAAGCCAAATGTCTCGGACCGGGCGACATGCACAATAACCTGTCCCAAAAGCAATTATCACATCAGGACACACCCACTGGGATTCAATGCTCCTATTTAAAGTCTGTCCAAACACTACAGCCCACATCTATAATGGCTTTGGCAGAAGGGTGAGAACCAGCATCTGCAAAAACCTTATTTAACTGAGCAGGAAATGGATGTTTTCCGTACTAGAGTTTTAAAAGTCAAGAAATACCTATTTTGTGAACAGGATTTAGGATTTCATCCCTACAAGAAGAAGAAGTGAGAGCAAATGGACAAAAATTAATTCCATAAAGAAATCACAGCTCTCCTGCCCATTTTCCAATGGGAATTGAGGGTTATTTGTTGAACACATCGTCTTGGGAAGTAATCTCCTTAAAACACAGGGATTGTCCTAAGCATGCAAACATATTTTGATCTCTCTAGATTTCTGAGATCTTAAGTATAGGGTCGGCTCAGGCTTTGCCTTTTTCAGAAAGTCTTTGTTAATAACTCCTCTCCTGTGCCCTCTGGGTTAGAAGTTCTTTTATACTGCATACCTATCACTGGGTTTCCATATTGTTTTAAAATTGTCCTCTTCTCCATTAGATTGTGTCACTAACAGTCGTGCATACAACTTCATTCATGCTCCTGCTGTGCCCAGCAAAGTGTTGTTTAGTAAGTGATTGCTATATAAGTGAAGAGAGGAAAGAGGACTGCCGTGGCCATTCTGCACTTGGCAGAGTGTAGGTGGGGATATTTGGAATCCAAGCAAATAAAGTCAGGCAAGGGCTGCTCTTGTTTGTGCATGACTAATGTGTCCCGCTCGGTTGCGTCATCCAGAGGCTGAGTGTCTGGCATGCCGGGAAGCGCTGTGGTTCCCTGCAGGCGGTGTGTTCTGGCCCTGCTGGATTCTTGTAGTGGCCTGCTGCAGTGATGTGGGAAGGTGGGAGGAGGCACACAGTGAAGCCCAGAGCCACTTCCAAATAATCACAGCCTGTCCTCTTTAAGGGCTTCTTTTTTCTTACCTTTAAAAGAAAATACTGCCTTAACACATCATTCTTTAAATTCTTTTCTAAGAGGAAAGAAACATCGACAATCACTTAAAAAAGATGGTCGAGAGTTATTCTGTTTCAGTGTGATTCCAGGGGAAAGCTGTCTTGGTCCAAAGCCCAGGAGGTCTTTGGTTTTCTGTGGAAGATGCACGGTAGAGGTCTCAGAGTTAAGGGTGGAATGTTTAGGCCAAGGCATATCAGCTGGTGGGCTAAGGATGCTGCGTCACAGTGAGGCTTTTGGCATCGTCATCAAAGGTGGTTTGATGGAGGGCAGAGGAAAAAGATGGAATCCTTCAAAGCCATGATAGTGGACTTGGGAAAGGGGATGAAAATTAAAATAAAAGAATCAACACAGATGTCTTGGTTTCTTAAACTAAAGAAGTGTGGGGTATAATTGTTTTCCCAAGGAAAGCTCAAATTCACTGGAAAATATGCATGATTTACATAACTATGGTGTATTTAAATTACTTCAATTCTTAAAATATTAAGATAAACTTTTATGTGAGGAGAGTGCCTTTATTTAAAACTGTTGCAAATTACATCGATGACTTTCTATAACCGTGGTAGACATGTTCATTTCACATAAAAGAATAGACCTGTCAGTATTCATGGAAGGCTGACTTCTGCCCAGCTTTATCTGTGATGATTCAGTTCCTTTGGCTCAGACCCAAGAAACATCAACCTTTGTAACTCTCTGCCCCTTTGTATTTACTTTCTAAAACTGTGACATTTGCCAAGGGGGTAAATGAAACTCAATAGCAGCAGCTAAACTGCTTGTCCATAAAAAGACATTGTTTTGAGTAGAAAAGGAATTTTAAAACGTATTAATTGACATGTTGTTGCTGCAACAATAAAGAATAAGTTAATAATTTCTGTGCTCATACTGTAGCTTGTTTTCTTTTTCTTAAATTTATACTGTAGCTTATTTTATATAAACTTTGGTTTTTAGGTCATGTTCTTACCAATCAACCCATGAATAGTAGGACAAAATATTACCCAAGCCAGCGCCAGCATATTTTATACACCTAAGATATGAGGCTTTTATACTGAATGGGAGGTTCCCTTATAGAAGAGTTATAGGGGCGGTGGCTATATATATATAATCTTCTCTCTCTCTCTCTATATATATATATATATATACTCTCTCTCTATATGATATATATTATATATATGTATAAAATCCACTATGTGTCAGGTGCCACACTAAATACTTTATATTTCATTTATTCTTCCCAACAGCCCAACAAAGAGGTATTGCTAGTTGGACATGCAACAGATGTCTACATGTGAAAACAGATCCAAAGAGGGTGAGAGACCTGCCCCAGGTGCCATGGTTTGTTGGTAGCGGAGCTGAGATTTGAATGGAGATCTAGCGTCCACCTCAGCTTGAGTTCTTACCCACTTCAATAGAGTGTTTCTCATAAACAAAGCCCTACATGAGGCACAAAAGATGTTTATAAGACATTTGCACTGTAATTTAGGAAACAAACCCAAACAAAACAATGAATACACAGGAAAGCAGCATCAACATAATAAGCTGTGCTGTATATAATAATAATAATAATGATAATGATACAGGAAGCCGTGCTGTATCTATCTCAGGTGTAATAATAATAACATGGGAAGCCATGCTGTATCTCATATCTTAGCTTACACATCTTTATTTGCAAGCCAATGCAAAGTGAATTTGAAGCTACTTTTTGGATGGTGTCATTTCTTTCTAGAATATTTAAAAATAGAATCGCTTCTCAAAAGGCCTATGACATTTGAAAGATTCAGATTTTCGTGTTTCTTATGAGGATGGGAAATTGTTAATGCTCCATAATTGACACAGATTGGGGAGGGGTGAAAGATAATGGGCAGAGGAGGATTACGCAGGAGGAGTTTGAAGGTTGAGGGTCTGGTCCTTTTTTCCTCCCTTCTTTCCTAACCCCAAAAGTGAAAGTGGAGAAGAAATAGTTTGATGGGCATGAGGCACCCACTGAGCACCTTTCAAAATGATTCTGCTGCATTCTCATGGGTGTTAAAATGTCCTGAAAAGAAAGCATGGCTCCTTAAAGAAAAACTATATAGTGTTTTTTTTACATTCATAATGGCTACTGGCCATTAAAAGCACTTGGCTTGGAAAGATATTCACTTATTGGTAGATGAAACAGCCCATCATGAAACAGTAAGATCCCACTATTGGGAAACGCATCCAGAGGGCGGGACAGACACATGAATGTTATTGTAGTGGTTTGCTAGGGCTGCCACGACAAAGCACCACAGCCTGGGTGACTTAGATAATAATCCTAGAGGTTAGAAGTTTGAGATCAAGGTGTCAGCAGGGTTGCTTTTTTCTGAGGCCCGTAAGAGATGGACACCTCTTCCCTTTGCCTTCATATGGTCTTCCCTTTATACAGGTCTGTGTCCAAAAATTTCTTCTTCTTCTTTTTTTTGAGACAGAGTCTTGCTCTGTCACCCAGGCTGAAGTGCAGTGGTGCGATCTCGGCTCACTGCAACCTCCACCCCCTGGGTTCCAGGGATTATCCCGCCTTAGCCTCCCAAGTAGCTGGGACTACAGGTGCATGCCATCAGGCTCAGCTAATTTTTTGTATCTTTAGTAGAGATGGGGTTTCACCATTTTGGCCAGGCTGGTTTTGAACTCCTGACCTCAAGTGATCTGCTTGCCTTGGCCTCCCAAAGTGCTGGAATTACAGGCATGAGCCACTGTTCCAGACCAAAAATGTCTTCTTCTTGTAAGGACATCAGTCATATCTGATTTGGGTTCTCCCTAATTATCTCATTTTCATGAAATACCTCTGTAATATCTCCAAATAGGATTGCATTCTGAGGAACTAGGGGTTAGGTCTTCAAGATATGAATATCTGGAGGTATCATCAGTCCACAGCAAGCATCTGGATGCGGAGCCAGGGTGCCAGCCCTCGCTTTGCTGGGGCAAGCAGGCAGTGCTGTCTGCAGGGCAGTGCGTTCTGGGCAAGGAGGACTCACTGGGTCCACCTCCCACCCCAGTCAAGGAAATTGGAAGACTCCATGTCTTGGTTAACTGTCTGAAAATTCAGTTAATTCTTGGATTTCAGATTTCTTAACCCAGTTACAATAACTTTTTGATATGTACTCTTGAAAAGAAAGACTTCTTGAAAGTCATTGTGAAAACAAAAATTCAACTCCTTCAAAAAGCACTAAAAGCAGTGTAATAAACAAAAATGGGGTGGAGGTTGCAGAGTTGAAGGAAGATGTACTCACAAACTATGGTTCCACAGATATTTTTCAAGGGCCTGCCAGCATGAAGGCAGCAGATGAGGCTCTTGGGATGCAAAGAGGAATCAGACAGAATCCTTGCCCTCAAGGCACAGGTGGAGAAGGAAGATGAACAGAGTTCCAGGGCTGTGGGATGAGGGCTGTCCTAGAGGTACCTCCTGACAGGCATGGACAGGTGGACAGGAGTGTTCCAGGTGGAGGCCATGGGATAGGCAGAGGCAGAACAGGGCCTGCTGAAGTTTGGAAACTGGGAATACTTTGGCCTAGTTGGGGAAGTGGAGGATGGAGGGGAGAGGTGGGCCTCAGACCTTGCAAAGGATGTTAGACTGTGCTGCAGATGGGATGAATCCTTTAAAGATTGAAAGCAGGTGCTCAGAAAGAGGTACTGGTGTGCAGGAGGGGGACAGGAGCTGGTAAGTGAGAACACAGAGTCTATCTAATAGGTTCTTGCAAGAGTTAAGGAGAATCATGAGGAAGGCTTGGACAAATTATTGCAGATGGTGTTAAAGAAAAAGCTATTCGCTGATACTTGTTAAAGCACAATATGGAAGACTTCAGTCTGGACGGTCACCATAGGTATAGGGACCATGGCAATGGGATTTTGCAGTGGCAGAGAGAGATAGGACTCAATTCCAAATATGGCACAGGCAAGTGGCAATTTAGAGCAAAGGATTGGGGTCCAGGTCAGTGGATGGAAAAGTACTGAGAGGTAACATCAGGAGTAAGAGAGGAATTCTGGTGAAACTGACCATATAGGATTCTTGCTGAAGACAGGCCAGGATGATCAGACACCACTTGGGGAATGGTAGGGGATGAGGAACCTGATCATATATTGAAGGTGGGGGATTCTTGCTAAAGTGACTTAGTAGGGTTCTTGTTAAAACTGGATTTTAAAAGGAAATGTACAGATGGGCTCAGGAGAAGGTTCAGGAGTCTGACTAAAGTTTGGTCCAGCAAAGAATCACTGTCCACTGAGAGAGGGGGTAAATATTAGAGACATTTAGAAATAGAATCAGGGCCGGGTACGGTGGCTCATGCCTGTAATCCCAGCACTTTGGGAAGGCCAAGGCGGGCAGATCATGAGGTCAGGAGATGGAGACCACCCTGGCTAACATGGTGAAACCCCATTTCTGCTAAAAATACAAAAAAAAAATTAGCTGGGTGTAGTGTTGTGTGCCTGTAGTCCCAGCTACTCAGGAGGCTGAGGCATGAGAGTCGCTTGAATCCAGGAGGCAGGCAGAGGTTGCAGTGAGCCGAGATTGAGCCACTGCACTCCAGCCGGGAGACAGAGCGAAACAACTCCATCTCAAAAAAAAAAAAAAAAAAAAAAAAAAAAAAAAAAAAAAACCAAAAAACAAAGAAATAGAATCAGAAACTTGATGACTGTTGGGAAGTGAAGAATGAGAGAAAGAAAAGAGTCTAGAATGTACAGTATTCAGTGACATTTATCTAACCAGGATTTAGTGAACTTCCACCCTGTGACAGTTACGGCATCAGACTTTGAGAACACAATGGTAGGTGAGATAAATCAGGTTCCTGTTATCACAGGACTGAAGTCAAGTGAGGATGGACGGTGACCAAACACCCAAATACAGTGGAGTGAGAGATGAGATGGTGGAATGCCTTCCAGATTTCTGTCTTGGCATCTGCTGGGACCACCAAAGTTAGAAAGCCCAGAAGACAGAAGAGAACCAGCCTGGTTTTGGATTTGTTAGGTTGAAGGTGAAATATGCAGAATGTGATGCATTATTTCCTGCCACTGGAAAATACAACTATTCTTCCAAAAGGGAGTCTTCTTAAAGGGAAGAAAAAATATTGAGGAATTTCAGACATCCCTAGTTTTGCTCTAGAGTATATATTTGAGGAACAATGTTGCCCTCTAGTGTTCATCTCTGTGTTTTTATTCCATGCTGGGAAGGGTAGAGAAGAGTCCAGGCAAAGTCAAGTCTGCCTTCTTATTTCTGGTCCTAGTGACACTTTTATAAGTGAGGTTTTCCATTTTCACAGAAGTGAAAATATTACTAGTGCTTTCTTTTGGTTACGATAAATATTCCAATAATTGGGAGAGACCATGAAAGAAACCATTTTGATCAATGGCAGAAAGCTTGTGTACCTAGCAGATCTTTGACATGGGGTCAGAGCCAACCCAATGTCCAGTGACAGCTAAACACAGTTTACACTGTTTTTGGGTGTTTGTAAAATGTTCAGGTTTCCCTTAGCATCAAGTGCTAGGTACCTGACATATATGTGGCAAAACTTTATACTGACTATATATAATTTGGATTTTTATTAAAGTCATTCTTTCAAAATAATTTTTTGAAATAAAATAATTTTTAACTGTAATTTTTTTCTCATCTTGCTATGAGTATGATCAAATAAATTTTTATTTTGAACTTATAAGGAGATTGTCTTTTGAGAAGTAGAAGTCAAGATGGTAATACTATTCTTTGTTAATCATTAGAGGAAAAGGGCTATATGAATAAAAATCTGGCAGTATATGTCATGTGCTGTGGCACACACCTGTAGTCCCAGTTACTTGGGAGGCTGAAGCCGGTGGATCACTTGAGCCCAGAAGTTTGAGGCCAGCCTGGGCAACATTGCAGGACTTCCATCTCTAGAGTAACAACCACCACAATAACAAAACTGGTGACAGAAAGGCAGAGTCTGCAGTGTGTACTCTCCCCTCCCCCTCTTGAAATTTTCCTGTAGAAGCTGTGAACATCCCAGGCCTCTCTGGCTCATGAAAAACTGTGTAATTGTGTAACATATAAAAGCTCACAGCATGGGCAGCCAGACATACCTGGATGAGCCCTGGATTTGCTAGTTTTCGCTGAGCTATTGGGCAAGATGTGTAAACCCTCCAAGTCTCAGTTTCTGGAAAATGGAAACAGTAATTGAATTTATCTTCTAGAGATGTGAGGACTAAACACGATGAAGTATGTAAAGTATGTAAAGCATTTAGCTCAGTATCCTTTAACCATTAACAAAGGAGAACATGACACATAATGAATTGTTTGCAATAGCGAGTTTTGCTAACAAGTAAAAGGGGACTCCAGAATAAAATAAGAATCATTTTTTGCCTTTGGAATTATTGTCAGCAATGATATCAATATACATTCTAGATCCTAAAGCAAATTCTATAACCCAAACTGTAAACCCCTTATTCTGTCTCTTGTGAGCAAAACAGCCATGACTTTTGTTCTCTGCACTGAGCAACTTACTCTTTTCTGTTCCTTCCAAAATTGCCACTATTGCTAAAACTTATGAACCATATATGCAATCCAGAGTTAACCCTTTTATAGGAGTAGATCTCCCCTTTTTCATGAATATGATTACATTTCCTGACTCTAGAAACTCCTTTGCCTTTTAATTTCCAGCTGATCCATTGTTTAGGATTATCTTCCCATCAAAGTTGGCTCATGATGTCTTGCCTATCTTTATTATTTTCCATGGATGTTGGAACAAATTTTCTCTCTTTTTTTTTTTTTTTGAGACAAAGTCTCGCTCTTGTCTCCCAGGCTGGAGTGCAGTGGCACGATCTCGGCTCACTGCAACCCCCACCTCCCGGGTTCAAGTGATTCTCCTGCCTCAGCCTCCTGAGTAGCTGGGATTACAGGCTCCCATCACCAAGCCCAGCTAATTTTTGTACTTTTTTTAGTAGAGACAGGGTTTCGCCATGTTCCCAGGCTGGTCTCGAACTCCTGACCTCAAGTGATCTTCCCGCCTTGACCTCCCAAAGTGCTGGGATTACAGGCGTGAGCCAGCGTGCCCGGCCAGAACAAACTCTCAAGTAACTTAATTTTTTCTTTGAATATAGTCTTGAATCAATGGGGGCTGGGGGTTGGGGAGGTGTATCAGTCTATCAGCCTGATATGATGTAACATGCATCTTTTCTACCAAGCCTCTTTCTGGGAGCTTATGGAAACTTTAGTGTGCTGAGGAATGAGATTGGAAATCATCCTTTCCAGCAACCACTGATCTTAGTGACTCTGCACCACTTAAGACTCTTCCAGTTGAATGTTACAGGAGCCCACCTCCAATTAGCTTGAGTAGCTAAGGGAATCTTTGGGTTCCAGAGACTTGTGTCTACAGTAAAATCACTTTAGGGATATCTTGATCTAAGTGCTCAAACAATACTATCAGGATTCTATCTGGGGTTTGGCAGGAGTTCCCGTGTCCATTGTATGGCATACACAGTTATAATTTTGTCTTCATTGTTATGTTTTAAGATTCAGTCTCCAGAAGAGCAATGTATCTAATATTGGGTCTCTTCCAGCTTTGTGAATGAAGAGTTCATCTCCCAGACATTTCTTGAATGCTGCTCACTGCCTATGGGAGAGCTTTGGCTTTTGAATGTGCTAGACAAGGCTGGCCACATCATTCATAGGGCTCAGTGCAAAATGAAAACGCAGGACCCCTTGCTTTCAAAAAGCAAGAAAAATGAATGCCATTAAAGATACTAAAATATCATGCCTGTAATCCCAGCTACTTGGGGGGCTGAGGCAGGAGAATCACTTGAACCTGGGAGGCGGAGGTTGCAGTGAGCCGAGATCATGCCATTGCACTCCAGCCTAGGCAACAAGAGCAAAACTCCATTTCAAAAAAAAAAAAAGATACTAAAATATAACCTTTCATAAAATATATATATGTATATATATATATATATACATATATATATATAAAACCTTTCATTTTCTTAATTTGTGGTCTCTTTGTCCACAATTCATGGTGTTTTTTATTTTGTATTTAATGGCATGCTCCCTTGGGCATGGGGATACTGGCCAGGCAAGGCTAGACCTTCACAGGCACCCAGGTGTCCATTTCTGTGACTTGCAAATTCCCTGTCTAACCATTTGCCAGCTTCTGGACCAGATGCCATGCCCCAGCACTGGTAGGAGGAGCAGGTAAGTCAATCTCCTTTTTTTCCACAGCCCTTGGCCCCAGTCCACCATGAATGGGTACATTAGTCTGTTCTCATGATGCTAATAAAGACATATCCAAGACTGGGTAATTTATAAAGGAAAGAGGTTTAATGGATTCACAGTCTCGCTTGCCTGGGGAAGCCTCACAATCACGGTGGAAGGCAAAGGAGAAGCAAAGGCACATCTTACATGGCAGCAGGCAAGAGAGTGTGTGCAGGGGAACTCCCATTTATAAAACCATCAGATCTTGTGAGACTTATCCACTACCACAAGAACAGTATGGGGAAACCACCCCCATGACTGAATTATCTCCACCTGGCCCTGCCCTTGACATGTGGGGATTATTACAATTTAAGGTGAGATTTGGGTGGGGACACAGCCAAATCCTATCAATGGGCAACTTCTAAGGGCTAATAACCTCAATGCCAGGTGCCTCATACCTTGATGAGGGTAAGTGGGAGAGACAGAGAGAGAGAGAGAAAGAGAGTAAGAGAGATTGCCTAAGGTGTTGTCATGCTGCCACCCAGGGTGAAGACAGCTGCAGCCATGGTCCTCTGAGATGCTGCAGGGTACTCTCCCACATCTGGGCCCACGCTCCCACTGTGGGGAGAGAGCAGCAGCAATCACTGGTTGGGACCTGGGAGGTGGGGGTCTGGTGGGGGTCCACTGGGGGGCAGGAAGCCGGGATCAGCAGGAGTGGCCTACTGAGATCCGGCCAGGGCAGGCCGGGAGGTGGGACTGCAGGGGAGTTGAGGCTCCAAGCCCTCAAGCTTGCTCCATTGACCCATTGGACTTACAAAGTGCAAATGCAGAGATAAAGTTTTTAAGAATTTTAAGATGGTGACCACAGAGCATAAAACCCCAAGTGTAGGAGTCCTCTGTGATGGTACCAGTTCTTTACCCCTAAAGCTGGCCCAGGGCCTGGGTTTGTGTTTTTCCAAATTTTCTTCCTTTCATCTAGGCCTTCCTGTTCTACACCTACAAAGGACTCTTTACACTCAGTCGTTGCCAGAGGACAAAGACCCAGGTCTGCCAGGGCAGCTGGTTCTGCTCATGCTTGAGCTGTTTCTAGATCTCTTCCTCTGTTGGACTCAGACTTTGCTGAGGGAATTCATGTCATTTTCATGAAAACCATGACTTTGACCTTACCATGTGCTGGTTGTCCCTCAGAAGCTACAGAAGAAAGACCCAGCCATCCTCTCATAAGAAAACATTATTAAGATAGAATTGTTGCCTGGGGTCTTGATCAAGTGAGCTGAGAAGAAATTACCAGCAGAGTTTAAAATATGCCCCTTTGCCTTCAAATGCTCAGAATCTAGTTCATTCCGTGAGGCAAGAGGGAAATGACATTTTCACACTTATTTTCTTTTTCTGTTTTTTTTTTTTTTTTTTTTTTTGAGATGGAGTCTCACTCTGTCACCACGCTGGAGTGCAGTGGCGTGATATCAGCTCACTGCAACCTCTACCTACTGAGTTCAACTGGTTCTCTTGCCTCAGCCTCCCAAGTAGCTGGGACTACAGGCGCGTACCACTACGCCCGGATAATTTTTTTTGTATTTTTAGTAGAGATAGGGTTTCACTGTGTTAGCCAGGATGGTCTTGATCTCCTGACCTCGTGGTCTGCCCGCCTCGGCCTCCCGAAGTGCTGGGATCACAGTGCTGGGATCGTGAGGCACCGCGCCCGGCCTCACACTTCTTTTTTATGGGCATTTCACTTTGTCTGCTCATAAGGGCTTTGCGCATGTTCTCTAGACTATATTGCTGAGTCATTTAGTTTCTATTTTCTATTTCCTACAGGTTTTCAAAAATGTCATGTGGTGTTTTCCTTGCCTCTCCTGTAACCTTGTTTGACTTGGTTTTGGGAAAGACATTTTTATCAGTGTTTAGTTTAACATCTTACTCATCATGCTTGAGTCTGGACTTTAGGAATGAAGGTCGTATCGGAAAATAATTTCTCCGTTTGGTGCCAGCATTTTCATCCCTTGACAACCCTGAGTTCCAGACAAATAATGTGGTGACCTAGTGACTTTTCTCTTTTTGCTTATTTTTAAATTTTTAATTAATTAATTTTTTTGTAGAGAAGGGGTCTCACCATGTTGCCAAGGCGGGTCTTGAACTCCTGGGCTTAAGTGATCCTCCTGCCTTGGCCTCCCAAAGTGTTGGGATTACAGGTGTGACCCACCATGCCTGGCACCCAGTGACTTTTTTATTTTCGAGGTCAGTGACTTGCCTTTAATGTCTTACTCTATCTAACTTTTGAGATTCCAAGTGTGTTGAATATTTGAGGCTCTGTTGTGAGTTCCCAAACTCTGAAGAAAACAGTAATAACAATAAAAGCATAAAAGCAGCTTTCCCCCCATTTTCTGAAAGACAGTGTGATAATCTGAGCATTTTTTTCATCAGTGGAATAATTGTACCTGTAAATTGAGTTGAAGATCTAACGTCAATTCAAAGTTCTCTATTGAAGTTGAAGATCTAATGTCAGTTCAATCTCTATCAACTATCTGCCTGGCTTCAGGATGACCCAAGTGGCTAATATTTTTGCTCAGAAGGAGTCCCCCCTCCCCACCCAGATCCGAAGGCTTTGCCTAGTTTTCTACTATTCAGTTCACTGCTGATTGCATGCATACTTTATAAGTCTGCAGCGTTTCTAATGTACCAATAAACTCCCTCACAAAAACCAGACCCTTCAAATGGGCTATAAATTAGGACAGTTTCAACCTGCTTTTTTCCTGAGGTCTTAATCTTCCACTGAAGACCCATTTTCCTTAAATAGATTTTATAAGATTTTTATGGAAAAATTATATTTAGATTTTACCACTCTCCTGCATATAATCACATATTTTAACGGAAGAGTCATGCATTTATTCAACTTAGAGGATTGCAGGCAGTAATTTGTACCTTGAGTTTTTATCTACTCAATGTTACGTATTTCTTTTGGTAAAGATTTGCTTTGAGGAACTTTTGTTGGCTTTGTCAAAGAATAAACCTTGAATTCTCGTTTCACATGTATGTTCTTTATTTTGAAAATAGAGCCATTCGGGAAACCCATGCCATGGCTCACAGTGGTTGGACAACATTGAGAGCAGTAGTGAGGTTGCGTAAGTGCAGTGATGAGAACCCTGGGGGCAACAGTTGGAAGAACTGAGATATAGTTTGAATTATGCCATTGAGGCCTTTTATTTAATAGCTTCCCTTTTTGTAAAACAGAAAAATTAACATCAATCCCAGCTTCCCAGCATCTGACTGTGTATGGAAAGGACAGGTAAAACAAAAGGTAGACATGGTTTGAGTTTTATGAAAAAAAGGCGGTCAGGCGGGGTGGCTCACGCCAGTAATTCTAGCACTTTGTGAGGCCGAGGCGGGTGGATCACTTGAGGTCAGAGTTTGAGATCAGCCTGGCCAACATGGTGAAACCCCGTTTCTGCTAAAAATACAACAATTAGTCAGGTGTGGTAGCATGCACCTGTAATCCCAGCTACTTGGGAGGCTGAGGAGGGAGAATCGCTTGAACCCAGGAGGCAGAGGTTGCAGTGAGCTGAGATCGCCCCATTGCACTCCAGCCTGGGTGACAGAGTGAGACTCCATCTCAAAAAAAAAAGAGTAATCTTCAGATGAATTTAATGAAACGAGCTCGGTAGCTTTCTTAAAAAAGGATCTCCTTAAAAAAATATCCAAATGCATGTATTGTTTGCTGCATTTTCTAGATTACTAGGCACAGAACATTTTCATGGGAAAAGCAAAGGTGAAGGAGAAGCAGAGAGAGGAGGGTCTGTAGTGGAGTGAGGCGCTCAGACTTCCTCTGTCATAAATCATCCCTTTGTCCCTCCTTCCCATACCCACAAGGCAAATTCCTATCCTTCCCTGAGGAGAGCTGGGTTCCTCAGGTTTGAAGTAAGATCTAACAATAGAAACAGAATGTAAAGGAACCTGGGGACCCCCGCCAACCCAGGGCTGGGTGCACTCTTGAGCAATGAAAAAACTGCAGATCATGTAGGTGAAAGTGATTTCAGGGGAGCAGGCAGAGGCTCTTTGGCAGCTGTTCTTACAATTGGATTGCAGTTTTACTTTGGGACTTTGGGGACACACATATTTTCAACACAATCCATTCCACTGGAATCGAATGAATGCATTATTGATATGATGTCACCGGCTCCTTATGAAATTAGGTCAGCTCTTGACATTCAGGTGCACGGTTAACATGTCCATAGGTCAGCCCTGATTTCTTTATTGAGCAGTTTCAGATGCCATCTAAGACTCTCAGGATGTCAGCACTTCTGGCCACTGCTGCGAAAGCAAAGAAAATGGCTCCCAGCTCAGTAATGTCTGGGGACCAGGCTGCCATTGGCGGCATTCTGAAATGAATAGTGTGAGCTGGGCTTTATCTACCACAAACAATCTCTGGTATGTGGAAAGAAATGTAAGCAGCCCTTCCAAGAGACTTCTTTCAGAGGAATGGAATTAAGATTCATATCCAAGAAAAGTGAGAGGCTCCTGGAACAGCAGATTTTCCCACACCTTTTCTTTGTTTCAGTTTAAAACAACCCTTGCCACAGTGAGGATGGGTTGCACTTTCTTGCTGGCAGGACGCAGGCGGTTGTTCTACAGTAGAATTAATTTTCTTTTAGAAGCCACAAGAGTCAAAGCAGAATGTGTGTCTGCTTTAGAAAGACATTAGCTTCCGTGTCTCTTGTTATCTGTGTTCTATTGTCTCTGTTTTGCCTCCCAGGGGACATGTTTGGTTGTCACCACTGGGCAGGGCGGTATTGCTGGCATTTAGTGGGTAGAGGTCAGGGATACTGCTAAATGCCCTACAATGTACAGAATATTGCTCCACTCCCTCCAAATATGCAGCCCCAATGTCAGTGGGGCTGCTGTTGAGAAACCCTGCTCTATTAGGGCGCTTTTTCTTCCATTCACTATGCACCTTCTCTGATAGCAGACTTAGTGACTACATAAGGAAATGAGAGATGCCAGCTGTGTTTTGCCATCAGGAATGAGCTTAATATTTATTATCAGTTTGCCTAAAGTTAATGTTATGCAATACTATTTGCTTAATAGCTCTTCTTTTCTTCTTAGTTTTTAAAAACTTATAATCAGAAATAATGAAGATTTAATTTTAATTTTCTTTTATGAACCTAATGATCATTACATACATATGGACCAAATTCTCAATAAAATATTATCTAACAGTTTATCCAGTATTCTAGAGGGGGTTGAAGGTAATTCTGTTGTGTTGCTCATTATTGCAAATACTGGAACTAAGAATAATTTGGTGGCTAAGGCCATTGTTGGTTGTATACAGATGCCTTGCTGGTGCAGAGCAGTGCTGGGCTGCAGTTGGGGTGGTGAGGGGAGTGAGGGCAAGGCATAGCACCAGTTGAAAATGTTATTTCCAGTCTTATGTGAGTTAAAAACATTGGGATGAATATTGCATTTTACTCCCCAATGTAAAGATAACATTTCCACTGCTCATCATTGAAAAAAATAATTGATGCTCAAGGAAGGTGAGCCCTGTTTATGTTGGGGCTTTGAGCAGCTAATGTGCACTCCTGGGCGTAAAATCATCTCAGTTTGAGAAGCACTATTATAAGGGGAAGAAGCAGTAGAAAAAAAGACAGAAAGACAGGCCGGGCATGGTGGCTCATGCCTGTCATCCCAGCACTTTGGGAGGGTCAAAGAGGGCGGATCACTTGAGGTCAGGAGTTCAAGACGAGCCTGGCCAACAAGGTGAAACCCCGTTCCCACTAAAAATACAAAAAGTAGCTGGGTATGGTAGCACACGCCTGTAATCCCAGCTACTTGGGAGGTTGAGGCAGGAGAATCGCTTGAACCCAGGAGGCAGAGGTTACCATGAGATGAGATCGCGCCATTGCACTCCAGCCTGGGTGACAGAGTGAGACTCTGTCTCAAAAAAAAAAAAAAAAGAAAAGAGAAGACAGAAAGACAAATTACTGTGAATCTGAAGCAGGTGACTGGCTTCTGCAGAGCATGTCTTTTTATCCACCTGATTATTAAGGATCTCCTCTGTAGTGAATGCCCTTTGGTAGGCATTTACAGGAGACACAATATCTCACAGTCTGAGAGGTTCATATACATACCTTTCCCCAGATGTCCTTGTCACCTGTCTTCTAAACATGGAAGTCCCTGACCATCCAGCCAAACAATTAGTAACTGCCCATGAATTAGTGTTGATCTATACCTCTGGCTATCTGTCACTTACTTCCATCATAGTGGACGTGTACTGCTGAATGTGGAGTGGACCTCCTCTGCCCAGTGGAGAATATTTTTTCACCTTGTCTTTCTGTGTCATCCCTCAGTGGGGTGGCAGTGCTGCAGCTTTCCACTTTCTAGTGGTACCAGCATATCATGCTGAAGTTTTTCTTCCTTAGTCAGTTGGTCATAAGGAACACCCTGGGAGGTCATTGGTGTGGATTGAGGGACAGGAGGCAATTTTAACTGGAGTTGGTGTTGAAGGAGCCTGAGACTCCTGCTCACATTGCTTATTTGTACCTTCTGGATTTGCCTGAGCTTGGTCTCTTTTATATCTGTGTCCATCAGGATCCATCCAGAGAAGAACCAGTAGGAGTTTAACATA